>NC_000003.12:147455574-148705574 GCF_000001405.40 Homo sapiens
CCATAACCAGCACTATAATGACTCACCTGCTAGACCTGTGCTGCACTCCGTGTGAGAGCCTGATGGCAGGATATTGACTTCTTTAAAGGCTATTAACATTCTCAATGATGTGTGTGTGTGTGTGTGTGTGTGTGTAGGATAAAGCAAGAAGAGATAGATGAAGAAACCTGAGAAATATTCAGATAAGTCTTCAGAATGAGAATGCATAGAGCAGTTATCTGCTAGTTATCTAACCTCTTCCCAGTTGCAGAATATAAGCATGGTCTGAAAAAAATCTCTTTGTAGAAAAGTTTCTATGAGAACTGGCATCTTCTATCTTGTTCTTGAGGCTAGAAATCCCAGGCACTTTCTCACTATAATTTTCCTTCCAGTGAGATACTTGTAGTAAAATGCCTTATGAATGTCTTTACATTTGAAAAAGAAAATGTGATTAGAGCTTGTTTCAGCACACGGAATGATACTATATGATTATCATCTAGTAATTTCTAAATCGATGTATTAGACAAACATGTATTTAACATGGATGCTAAGCATTATGCTTGATGTTGAATATACAACAATGAATATGGTCATATCCTTACCATCAAAACAGGCACAATCTGGGCTAAGAGGGGAGAAACACAACATACATAACTACACAACATAAATGTGTTAAATGGTTTCTTAGCATATGAATGAAGATGGGAATACTCTGATGGTAGTAATAACTGATTCTTCTGTCAGGGAGAACAATTAGAAAATTTCAGATACAACATTTGAGCTAAGCTTTAAAGGTTTTTAAGCACGGGGACGAACAGATCAGAGCTATATAGGAAAGATGGCTGTAATTGGTGTATTGAGGAGGAAATGGAGAAATTAAATATTGAAGTGATGTAATGCTACAAAGTAATGATAGAGTCCAGAGGTGATGTGGGGCTGAATTTGGGCAGTGAAGAGAAAGGAAAGCATGGCTAAGACCGAGATTTTGGAGGTAATCTCATGAGCCATGAAGGACAGGTGGTAACAGAGTTTGAGGAAGGAAGAAAGAAAGCTAAGGAAGGGTCACAATTTACTTTCAAGTACTTAGTGTAGATTACTAGAAGGTTTTTTTTTTTTAATTGTTTGTTTGGGGAGACTGCAGGGGGTAGTGATTACAGGTCTAGTTTTGTGAATAGCAAAGTGGGATTTCCAGCATATTATTCTAGTGGAAGTGCTCTGTAGAAAGTTCACAGATGGGCTTGGAGTTTAGAAGAGCCAGTTCTGCAATTATTTACATTGGAGGCCCTCAGTGTGTAGCCACCAGTGTGATGGCAGAGGCATTTTTGGCTGATGTTCCTTAGGGAGTAGCTCTTTTTGATTACCTGTCTAAGCCTCATTTTCTGAGACTCAGTTACTCAAGTTTGGTTACTATGTTCCTCATCAGTAAAAAAAGGAATAGCAATAGTACTTATACTATGGATTGCTGGTGGGAAGATTGATAAGCCAGAGCATATACAGAATAGTGTCTGACATCTAGTAAGACATGTAGCGAGATCTACGTTAGTTATTACTATTGTGGTTGGTGTTGCTATTGTTATTGTTCTTATTTGCTTAAGAGCAGAGAGGACTGTTGATGGTGAATATAAACCACTCCTCCAAGGCATATAGACATGAAAGACACAAGAGACATGGACCAAACCTTAAGAGAAAGCCTTTTTTTTTTTTCTTGAGATGGGGTCTCACTCTGTCACCCAGGTTGGAGTGCAGTGGTGCAATCTCAGCTCATTGCAATCTGTCTCCCAGGCTCAAGGGGATCCTCCCACCTCAGCCTCCTGAGTAGCTGGGACTACAGGCACGTGCAGCCACACCCTGCTATTTTTTTTGCATTTTTGGTAAAGACTGGGTTTTGCCGTGTCGTAGTCTGGTCTCGGAAAGCCTTTAAAAAATGAGATGGAGAAATAAGTATATTTATAAGGTTATATAAATCAAGAGGGAGATTGAAGATACAAGAGAGATGGGAAAAATTTGAAGCTAGGGGTAAGTGGACATATTTCTGGACCCTCACCTGGTTGGGTGCTTGAATGACATGATAAAGGCTTAGAAACAGCTTCAGAGGGGAATGAGAAAATAGGCTATCCTGGGTTTCTTCTTTTGTTGTCAGTCTTTAAAGTTCTGTTGATTTTACTGGAACCTAGATTTTCTTCTCTATTAATACTTTAGTTCAGTCCTATAATATCATACTTTCTATTCATACCCTACCTCCCAGTTCAGTCTCTAAATAGCCAATCAGTTTTATATTTAACATATACATATTCTGATACTTTCCCAGTGAATTTCTAGTGTCTGCATGTTGCCCTCAAAAAGAAAAAAAGAAAAGATTCCTTAGAATGTTCCTTTATTCTAACTCATCTTCTTCAATATGTCTAAGGTTTCAGTAATTCTGAACTATCAGATGCAATTTCATTAGGTTGACCATATACCATATTGTCCAAAACATAACACTTTTGAGAGTGAATTGGAGTACTATTAAACAATTCTATCAAGTCAACAGGCAAAAACTGGATCCCACCATCTGTGACCCTCCTGACTTTTCACATTTGTGTCATATAATCTACTGTTCATTTTCCTTGAAATATCCTCTCTGTCATCAACCCCATTCTCTCCTTGGTGAAATCCTACCCATCTTTTAAAATCCAACTCAACTGCCAAGTGCCAAAGGTAATCAATTCCCTCTGATTTCCCAGGGCAGCTTAGTTAGCCATTTCCTCATCTTTGTTTTCATGACACACATTTTATATACCCCTGTTTCAACACTTATGTTGTTTTGTAACTTGTTTGCTTGTATCTTTACCCTTTCTATTCTACCGCAAACTCCTAGAATATAGAATATTGAGGTATCTTCGGCATCTGGTGTAGTGTCAGGCCCATAGAAGTCATTCATAATAAAATCACAGATGCCTTTGAATTGTTATCATTTGTGTCAATTTCTTACTAGATAGCAAATTCATGGAGACTTTTTTCCAGTTGTTTTTAATTCTCTTTAGTAGTAGCAAATTTTCTGGTAGGTAGTAGGTCCTGAGCTATATTTGTTGAATGAAACAATAAAAAGACACTGAAAAATAGTTAAGTTTCAGGCTACTGGTATATAATTCTAAAACCCTGTTTTTAAAGGAATGTAGTATTTTATAGAGTTCTTCCTTGTTAGATAATTTCCAACCTAAATTTTCGGCCTTGGGTTTATTTTCCAGAGAGATTATTTTTTGGGGGTAATGACAATTTAACTCTATAATATTTAAAATACTTGGACAAGCAAATCCTTTTGCCATCAGTTGAATTTAAATGTGCATTTTTTTTTTTTCACTCACTGAATATGTGAGTATGAAGTAGAACAACCTGTATCCTGGATCTGATTCGGGTTCTTGAACTGGGCTTTACTGTTTGTGTAGTGAGAGGTCATGGGGAGTTTTTTGTGAATCAACTGAAGAATTATGATTTTCATATAGAAAGAACAGATGCTGCTTTGTAAACAACAGGAGTATTAGCTGCTTTGTAAACAACAGGAATATTAGTTGCTTTTCACAAAGTGCCTTCCATGGAGAACTTAGAAGCAAGCCCTTCCCTTCTGATGGGGAAATAGATTGCTTGGCTATCTGCCTGAACACTTGGGAGCTTCCAAATATTCTCTGATGGTATTTGCTGGCTTAGCATTTTAGCTACTTTGCTCTCTACTGGTTGCTGTATTCAGATAAGATAAAACACAAGAGGTAGGATTTTTATTTTGAAGTAGTTACTGCAGAACCTTCAAACTATTAAACTAGTTGTTAGGTGACACTTTATTATTTGAAGTAATTTATGCTGTCAAAGGCTGAAGCTGTCTCATCCATAAACAGCTACCACTCTGAGGTGTCACAGACCAAGGGAATTGGGATTTTTATTATTGGTTTTATTTTTAGCTTGTGTCAGTCAGCCACGCTGACTGAGGGCTGACACTAAAGCCAGTATATAATGAGATGTCATGATTTGTTACTTTTATGTATTCACCTTGGGACAGTCATTATACCAAGTGAGCAGTTCACAATGTCTCTTCCTGTGGCTCTTAGTGCCATCTTTGGTTCCTGCTGTTCTTGCAGTCATCTTTCTCTTTCTCCTGCCAGGACCATCTCTAGCCAGAGCTTTCCACCTCTATTACTGATAGCTCCAGGCTCCTGGGGTTCAACTAATGTCTGAAGCTAAAGGCAGATCTCTCATTGAAGTGTTGTTTCCCAGAGTGTTGCATAGAGCTGTGTGTGAAGTTACTGAGAAAAGACACACCCAGCCTTATGTACTGGCATGTTCCCTCTTCCACTTGCAGACAACAGGGGTGCAGTTGGTCCAATTGACCATTACTGCTGATCAAATGGGCCCTCAATGAACTGTAGTGTCCAGCTGTAAAGCATTCTTCAGAGACAGGGTTTAAGGATGTCGCCCAGATCCTAAAGTGACCGCCCAAGGTTAGAAAAGACCATGATACTTTTAAGTGACTTTAAAAACTGTGATCTACTATTATTCTGAGTCTCAGATGAATTGATTCCTAATTTTTATTTTGTGCTCAGAAGGTTGGCAGTGATATATTTATTACGAAAATTATTACAATAATAAAATAAATGTGATGGTACAAAAGGATACTTCTTTTGCCATCAATAGGAGAATTAAAAAGAGTTGCTATGAAAATTTCTGTTCTTGTCTTTTGTTGAATATATATGTACACTATTTTTGTTGGCTATGCTGGAAGGAGATGGTGGGATCCTAGGGTATATACATGTTCAGTTTTAGTAGATACTTTGTTTTTCATTTAATGTGCTGCCATATTTATTTATTGCTACATAATCATTAAACTAATTTTAAGTTATGTAATATTTCATCAAGTGGTTATAATACAGTTTACCTAATTCCTTTCTTACTGTTTCAGTATTTTGCTGGTTTACAATTTCAGAAACCCTTAAAAGAGAGTTTACAAAATCTTTAGTAATTTTGGATATAACTATTTTTATTTTATTTGTGGAATGCTCAAATGACATTCTAAAGAAGACATTCATAGCACACATATGCACTCATTTACTATCTAACTTAAACCAGGCATTGAGAGAGGTGCTATGTTTATGAAAGGAAAATAAACACTACCTTCGGCACTCAGAGAAATTTGTCACCATGTGTCTGGGTCAGAATCTCTCCCTCTCACATCTCTTTTTAAGCACAACTCGTAGAGTACACTGCAAACTGTACCTGGATATTTTCATTTAACATTTTGTGGTGATTTTTTCCTATCAGCTCATACAGATCTGCTTTGTTCTTCTTAGTAGTTCATGCCATTTTAATTTGTTGAATTACTAATTATCATATTACTCAAATAAATATACCAACAGGTTGAAAAATCAATAACCAAGGACTAAGATATTAATCTATAGATTTTGGTAAAAATTTCCACTGTAGAAAGAGCCTTTTCAGACAGCAAGCCCCATTTTTGATAAATATTTCTTTACAAATATAATTTGTCTCTATAAAGTGGGGGACTATTAATTATTTAATTATTCCATTTTTCAGTGACTATTACCTTCACTGTTCATTTCTTTCCTCAAATGGGGTGACTAAAATTCTGGTGTATTATTCAATTACACCAACGAAACACAGCAAGTGGTATTAAAGCTGGGATTACAGTTCAGGGGCTCTACTGGTTTCAGGGACTGCTTATTAAGTCATGTTTCAATTAGGGCATCATTTCATATTCCCTGGTGCCTCATGCACATGCAAAATGTTTAAGTTAAGGAGTTTATGTTTTTAAGATCTCTAAATTGCATTTGAACATAAATTCCAGGAAGCAGATTCACCTTCAGAATAAAAAAGAATTTTATAAGAAGGGGGTCATGCAGTTAGGCGTCCAGGCTTGGAATGACTGCGTTTTGTTCCTCCTCCCTAAGGATATGTGGAAGTAGCCCCAAGGCCCTGTGCATAGCTTATTGTGTGAGAAACTGAACTATGATCAGATGAGCATGGAGCATGTCTCAGATTTGGAAGTGTTTTTTTCTCTTCCTCTATTGTTCTTTGTGATGTTTAGGTGAAGCTTTCTATAGCCACAAAATCTAAGTCAATGCAATGGTAGTAGTAGGTGCCTCATAAATACTTTATTAAATTGGCTTTTTGTTTGACTTATTTTTGCTTAGAAGTTTCTATTTTTAAGGTTTCATCTCTTCAGTATCCATTGACATATATGTGGAAAACAAGGATAAAAAGTACAATATTTCAAAATAAATAAGATACTTAATATTTAAACTAATGTAAATGTGTGTTAAATATCCAATGATCGGCATGACAAATGCATGGAGAAATATTAGTGTGACCTTTTTGGAATGTGTTTATTTACTACTTTAAACAAATATAAAACAGAAACGTGTAATAGTAAAGAATTTCTAGTGTATCCTCAAGCAATATATGTACATATGATATATATATATATATACACAATCTAGTCCTGTAAATCTTAAATGTACATAGTATGCTAATGCTCAATTTGATAATTTCTTTTCAAAATTACTATATCCTGCTGCTAAGAACAAAACACATATTAAAATCAGCTTTCTATGCTTTTCCAATGAGATGTAAGACAGCACACCCACATACCCAATATTTATTATATGTTGAAGGGTAAGCCAGTAGTCTTCAGATAATGAACAAAGATAAACATTTAGAAAAATCCTTCTCCTTTTTTAAAAAAGGTCCACCTCCAAGCAGCTTCATATTTTTCACCTGTCAACCACTTAAATGTTTCTTTAATGAGAAACAAACTGCTTTTTTTTTTTTTAAATAAAATAATGGTATATTTTTGCTACCATGAATGATGTAAGGGGGTTGTTGTACTTTTCCTATGGGAAAAATAACTTTATTTAAGTTGTTGAACAAACTCTGAAAATAGGCTCCATAAAGAAAACCTTCATCATATCAATAGCATCATAGCATTTTCTCAGTGAATTTTATCATCAATACAACAGCTAAATTAATATAATATATCAAAGAGCATCTTGAATAAAATTGAGACCCACTTCTGCCAAATGAATATTTCCTGAGCAGAATTAATTACTCTATACTTTTTAAATTAATCAAGCAAATGTTTTAGAAACATCAAAAAACTGTGTATACATAGTATTTATTCTTTTAACAATGATATTCCCTACTGAATAATATTTTGATGAATAGAATTTCTCTTTTATAAAAAGGATAGGGAGACATTGGATATGATAAGAATGCTGTGAAGTTTAATATTTCACAATTTAACAAGGAAGTACGTTTTACTGTATTTTTGTACCTACACATGCTATTCATCAACCAGCTCTTTACAACATGGTCATTTTTTTTGCCCAAACTGGAACAGTTAGAACAAATATTTGTTGAAGTTAGTTACAGAGAATAGAACCAAGTTTAAGCAGAACAAGATTTATCACAGGATGTTAAATGGCTTGCTGAATCTTTGGGATTGCTCAAGAAACAGATGCTAGGTTGAACTTTCAAGGACCAGTACAAAAGCTACACTCCTGAAGTGAGCTGCCAAGGGAGCAGCTGTTGTTGCCATGACCAGGAAGCTGTCTGTTTAACTGGGAAGCTGCTATGAAGGACCCCAGTTTCAGGATCCTTGTTGTCTCTGCCACAATTTCTAGTTAGCAAACTAGATGTCTCGTGCCATTCTCTCCCATTTGCTTCAGATCTAAATTCTGGTCTTGCTTGAGTACATCTGATGGCAGAGGCTGATATCTAGAAAGCTGATTACAAGAGAGTAGAGAAGTTCAGCTTTTAACTTTCTGGACTTTGTAGTATACAAAGGCACATTAGAAGGAGATTGGAAAACATATTAATCAAATCAGTTTATACCATATGCCACAGAAAAGAACAATAACACATAGGAATGCACAGGTTAAATAACTATTAAAATCTTAAATGATGGCAGATGTAGTTTATTGGTTTTATTGCATATTCAGAATATTGATTCTTTTTCACAACACCCTTAGTTCTTGCCTAGAAATTTCAGTTCCCAATCCTTTTTTTGACCGTTTCCAAAATCTGACATTTCCATAACCATTTCAGTATCTTAACCCTCTGACTTCTCAACACCACTCCTTTGCTTCACTCCCCTACTTGTACTATGTACAGCTATGCTTCCATACTTACTGGTAATCGTCTCTTTAGAATGCTCTCCCTACTTACTTTTCTGGACTGCTTTAATTCCTATCCACTCCCAAGGATCAACACAAAGTATTATTCCTTCAATGGAGCCCTCTTAAGCATACATTTCACAATGATAGTTTCTTAATTGAACTTGTGATAGTATTAGTTCTCTGTATGCCACATGTTACCTCCTGTATTAGCATTAGACTTCTTGGTTACCAGCAATTGAAATTGACCCAGTTTATCTGGATGAATATCAGGGATCCACAGAATCATTGAAAGGTTGAACACCAGGCTAGATAGTGAATTATAACAAAGGTTAGGCAGCTTATATAACAGCAAATATTAAACTCGAGTTCTCATGCTTTCACTATGCATCAGGGAAATCTAAAAACCACCAATCTCCATATTGTTATATCACTTGTTCAAGATTTGAATTCCCAAGTGTGTAGTAGAGTTTCTGATTGGGGGAACCTGAGTCAAGTGCACATAGCTTTGAGTCATATGTAAGATCTGCTGCCAGAATCAGAGACAAGAGATAGGAGTCAAAAGAGTGGGCCACATTCAGGCAAAATACAAAAGACCTAGAGGGGCCAGAGGCAACAACTGCCTTAAGGAGCAAGCTTATCATTTATTTCCCCTTTCCATCGTGGTATTGTAGCATAGCATAGGAACAAGGAGATTAAGAACATCTCCTTTATAGTCTGATAGACCCTGGCTAGAGTTCCAGCTTTGCCACTTCTTGCTCTAGGATACTGGGCAAGTTAAACTCCCAAAGTCTCTGTTTCCTCATCAGTAAAATGACAATAAATTTAGTAACTACCTCATGGTATTTTTGAGAAATTCAAATAATAGAAAACACTTATCAGAGAACACCACAAAAGCTTGCTATAAATGTTTTCTTGCTACATGTCTTTTGCTATATTTTAATTCATTTATTTGTTAATTTTAATGATGGAGCATGGAGTCTAAACTGAGTGTAACTGATGGCTTGGAGGAGAGACCATCTAAGGTGGTAAGATCAATGGATTGATAATCTTGGTAGGGTTAAATAATTATCAGAAAATTATTAGGCCAGTTGGAAAGATAGTTTGTGGTCAAGGAGTGAAGTCTTTGAAATTGGTATTGAGGTATAATTCTTGGTAATTACAAGGTCTAGTAACGACAAGGACATAGTTGGTAATGACAAGAAAGTATCCAATAGAAATATAATGCAAGCTACATATGTAATATTGTGATCTAGTAGTTACATAAAAAGTAAAAAGAGATAAGATTAATTTTAATAACATTTTGTTTAACCAAATGTATCCAAAATTATAATATAAACATATAATTGATTTAAAATTATTAAATATATTACTTTCTTTTTACATTCTAAACCTTTGAAATTTGGTGAGTTTCATACATACAGTGCATCTCAATTAGGAAGTTAAATTTGTGTTGGAAATACTTGATTCGTATTTAGATTTTAAAACTTTTACAAGTATAAAAGTAAATTTACAAACCCAAGCCAATCCAAGCATTCTTAAAGTTTTTCAACAACGAAATTTCTTATTATTTAAAAAGTTACACTTAAATAAAATAAAATACAATTTAAAAGTTAGTCCCTGGTCAGTCACACTAGCCACATTTCAAGGGTTCATTAGTACATGTGGCTAATGCCCAGTATATTGGACAGTGCTGGTCTGGGGTGTGACGATTGGAGTAAGTTGCTGAGGAAAGGTAGATGGCAAAATCATTGGAAGAGATAAGATCAAGAAAAAGGGAGGCCAAGGTATGAGAAGGCACATCTAAGATGTATGATGGGTTGTGTTGGAGAGAGTGGAATTACTCAGGAATCATAATAGAAAAATAAGGGATAGTGTGGATTTGACAGATGACTTACAACAAGCTAACAAACTGTAGGATTTCAGGGATATGTGGGTAAAGAAAAATGATTTGGAAATCAGAATGAGGAGCAAAGAAAAAAAAAAGAGACATGCACTCGAATTCCTAGACAAGTGAGGAGGATGGAATTAAAAACAGCCACTTCTTGGGAGAGCTACAGTAAAGACATACCTTCAGGGAAAAGCTAGGCAAGCAGATGAGGGGAACTTGCAGGAATCAAGTCGACTTAAAAAAGATTTTGCTGTGGCATATCAAGAGTGGCAGAATAGGCTAAGCATGGTGCTCCACGTCTGTAATCCCAGCACTTTGGGAGGCCTAGGCGAGAGGATCACTTGACGTCAGGAGTTTGAGACCAGCCTGGCCAACATGGCAAAATACTGTCTCTACTAAAAATACCAAAATTATCCAGACATGGTGATGTGTGCCTGTAATCCCAGCTACTTGGAAGGCTGAGGCAGGAGAATCTCTTGAACCCGGTAGGTGGAGGTTGCAATGAGCCAAGATCATGCCACTGCACTCCAGCCTGGGTGACAGAACGAGACTCTGTCTCAAAAAACAAACAAACAAACAAACAAAAAAGAGTGGCGGCATACACCACGCTGGGAAAAGTTTTCAGTAGTTGGGAAAAAGTAGACAGTCGGGAGAGTTAACTGGGACAGGCAAAGCAATATGGAGATAAGGTTCAAGTGTTGAAGAATCTTGGGCTTCTGGTGGTGACTGACTTAAATAGGGTAAAAGTCATAGAAGAGATAAACTCTGTTTTCCTTGTTTCTTTCCTAGTGCTGGGGAAAGGAGTATAGACGTCTTGTTTTTAACTGTACCAGTACTTACTTTTATGCTTACCCTTCCAAAAGCATTTTAGTGTGTCTTAGTCTTATTTCAAAAATCAACAGTGAAATTATACATATGCGCACATGCACACGCACACACACACATTTTATTGGAGCCACTCATTCCCCAATTTAAGATGATGAATTATGCATATATTTACTTTCCCTCAATTCTTCACATCCCTTTCTTTATTAATATAATCTCAGCTTTTATATCTAGATTATTATTACTAAATCATAGTTTCACATGTAAAGATTCTCTTTCAAGAATAATTTTAGACAGTTGAAGTCAGTTGTATCATTAGATTTATAAGTACATAGGCAGTTCTCTGATTTTATTTGTACCGTTGGTTCTTTCATAATGTGGTTCATTTTTTACATCTTTTCTTTTTGTTTCTTCTGATACAGAGTTAATGTTTGCATTTTCTTTCTAGGCATGGACATGGATGACATATTTTTGACCTTTTAAATAAGACTGTATTTCAGTTACCTGTGATTACAACTGTCTCATCTCAAAACTCTGCAGACATTTCTCCATTAACTTCTGGTATTTTGAGATTCTAGAGAGAATTTTGGTTCAGCTGGATGTTTGCTCCTTTGTTTCTGAGAACGTGTAAAGTGTTTTTCTATTTTTTTCGGCGTTTTCATTTAAAAATTTCACCCAGATGTTTCTCTTATAATTTTGCTTGGAATTCATACTCAATACTTGTTAAAGCAATTTTTAAATTGTAAAAAAAGGTATGTAATATAAAACTTGCCATTTTTACCATTTTAAAATGTATAATTCAATGGCATTAATTACGTTTACAATGTTGTGCAACCATCACCACTATATAAAAAGTTTTCATCAACCCAAACAGAAATTTTCAACAAATTGAGCAATAACTTCTTCTCCTCTCCCTCCAGCCTCTGGTTACTTCTAATCTACTTTCTGCCTCTGTGTATTTGCTTATTCTAGGTATTTCATAAAAGTGGAATTATACAATATTTGTGCCTGGCTTATTTTATTTAGCATAAGGTTTTCAAGGTTCATCCATGTTGTAGTGTACGTCAGAGCTCCATTGCTTTTCATGGCTAAATAATATGTCATTATATTATATATAGCACATTTTGTTTATCTCTTCATCTGTTGGTGGGCATTTGGAGTGTTTCCACCTTTTGACTATTGTAAATAATACTGCTATGAATTTTGCCAAAAATTATCTGTTTGAATGCTTATTTTCAATTCATTTAGGTATATACCTAGGAATGGAATGGATAGTTACATGGTAATTCTATGTTTAATTTTTGAGGAAGGGCCAAACTGTTTTCCATAGTGGCTGCGCTGTTTTACATTTGCACCAGCAATGCAGGAGGGTTTCAATTTCTCTACATCTTTGATGACATTTGTTATTTTTTGATTTATTAATAATGAAACGGCCATCCTAATGGGTATGGAATGGTATCTCATCTTGGTTTTGATGCATATTTCCCCAATAAGTAATCATGTTGAATATCTTCTCATCTGCTTATTGGCGGCCATTTGTGTATCTTCTTTGGCAAAATGTCCATTTAGGTACTTTGTCAATTTTTTAATTGGGCTGTTTGTCTTTTTGCTTTTGAGTTGTAGAAGTTCTTTATATTTTGGATATTAAATACATGAGATTTTTAAATATTTTATCCCACTATGTGGCTTGTCTTTCCACTATCTCTCTTTTTTTGGAGGTGGGATCTCATGCTCACCCAAACTGGAATGCAGTGGCATGATCATAGCTCTCTGTAACCTCGAACCCCTGGGCTCAAGCAATTCTCTCTCCTCAGTCTTCCAAGTAGCTCAGACTACAAACACATGCCACCACACCCGGCTAGTTTTTAAAATTTTTTTTGGTAAAGATGGGGTCCCCCTGTGTTGCCAAGACAGATCTCAAATTCCTGGCCTCAAACAAACTTCCTACCTCCACCTCTCAAAATGTTTGGATTACAGGCATCAGCCACCATGCCTGGTCTCTCTTGATAGCATCTTTTGATGCACAAAATTTTTAATTTTAATGAAGTCCATTTGATCTATTTGTTCTTTTGTTGCCTGTACTTTTTATGTCAGACTCATAAAACCATTGCCAAATCTAAGGTCATGAAGATTTACTCCTATGTATTCTTCTAAAAGCGCTTTAGGTTTTTTTTCTCTTTTGAGCCATTTTGAATTCATTTTTTTATATAATGTAAGGTAAAGGTCCAACTTCATTCTTTCCCATGAGGATATTGTCTAGTTTTTTAAGGCATTATTTGAAGAGACTGTTTGTTCCTCACTGAATGTTCTTGGCACCCTTGTCAAAACCAATTGACCATAAATGTGAGGATTTATTTCTGGGCTGTCCATTTTATTCTATTGGTATATATGTCTATAGTTATGTCATTACTATACTGTTTTAATTATTGTAGCTTTGTGTTAAGTTTTGAAATCAAAAAGTATGAGTGAGTCTTTTAACTTTGTTCTTTTTCAAGATTATTTTGGTTCTTCTAGCTCCGTTGAAATTCCACAAAAATTTTAGGATGGGTTTTCCCATTTCTGCAAAAACACTTTCGGGATTTTGATAGAGATTGCATTGACTGGGTAAATCACTTTGGGTAGTATTGTCTTCTTGACCATATTAAGTATTACAATCTGTGAACACAGTGTGTCCTCCCATTGATTTTGATCTTCTTTAATTTCTTTCAGCAATGTTTATAAAGTGTATAAGTCTTGTGTTTCTTGGTTACATTTATTCCTATTTTATTATTTTTGATGTTATTGAAGATGGAATTTTCTTATTTTCCTTTGTGCACTGTTTATTGCAATGTGGAAATACAACTGATTTGTTCATGTGTCGATTTTGTATCCTGCAACTTTGCTGAATTTATTGGTTTTAAATGTTTGTGTGTGTGTATGAGTGTGTGTTTGCACACATGTGCAGACTCCATATGTGTTACTACGTATAAGAACCTGTCATCTGTGAACAGAGATAGTTTTACTTCTTCCTTTCCTATTTAGATGCTTTTATTTCTTTTTCTTGTCTACATGCTCTTGCTAAAACTTCCAGTATCTTGTTGAGTAGAACTGATCTTAGAGAAAAAGCTTTTAGTTTTTTGCCATTGAGTATATTAGCTACAATTTTTTTTTTTTTTGCAGTTTAGAATATTATATGCACTCTCACCCCTCCTTCTATTCTTATTTTTTAGTTCTATTTGCTGTGGTGTATTTTTTGGAAGTATAAGCTATTCATGTGTTAGTTTCCTGTTTTATGCTCTCCAAAATTATAATCTTCTTTTCTATTGTTTTCATCCCTCTGCTCATTTCTTCTTGATTTTAGGAAGTCTTTTTAAATTTTGCTTTATATATTGCTGATTCTATTTTCTCAGTTTGAGTTTAGTTCTGCTGTCTCTTCCGTATGGGTTTTTATTTTGGCATTGCATATTTAATTTCCTGTGATCCACTCCACATTGTACATATTTCTTTTTTTTTCTTGCTTGTTCTCTTACTATGATTTTCTGTCTTTTCCTAGAGACTGGCATCTCTTTATATTATATTTTACATTTGCATTACCTTACAAATACACAAATACAATACAAAATGTATTTACATACATTAACATGCATGAGAATACCAGTGAATTTTATAAAACTTTACCTTGGATATGGCAATAGGTCTCCTTTCTATGTCCTTCTATACCTCAGTTTATATTTACAGTATTTAGTAAACATATGTGTTGAATTTTTGATTAATATCTGTCATACATACATGACCGTAACTTAATGCAGAGAGAAAGAATGTCTGGATTACTTTCCTTTCTATATCTAGTGCCTGGAACAGTGCTGATTACATAAAACAAGTTAAAATATATTCAGTGTAAAAATGAACAAATTAATGGTTCTTAGAGTAATTTCCATCTTTACCTTATTGTATATTATATATTTTTTACATATACAACAGGTTGAGCTGTTACATTTATTAATTTATTAACAAGGTGAGATCTGGCCTCACTTAAGATTTTTAAACATGAATATCCCTAGCCATACTCTTGTCTATTTGAGTGGTAGTTGGATTTTTGTTTGTGTGTGTTTTTCAACTGATGTCAAAAGGCAATTGGCATTCAATTCCAGTTTCTATCTGGAATTCACCTTATATAGTTCTGCTTTCCTTGGGGTGCCTTCCTATCTCTCTCCCTTTGGATCCTTAACACGCTGAACTAATGGAATATATAGAAAACTACAGGCCAGATGCAGTGACTCATGCCTGTAATTCCAGCACTTTGGGAGGCTGAGGCAGGAGGATTTCTTGAGCCCAGGAGTTCGAGACCAGCTTGGGCAACATGGTGAAACCCCATCTGTACAAAAAAATACAAAAATTAGCCAGGCATGGTGTTGTGTGCCTGCAGTCCCGGCTACTTGGGAGGCTGAGATGGGATGATTGCTTGAGCCTGGGAGGCAGATGCTGCAGTGAGCAGAGATTGTGCCACTGCACTCTAGTCTGGGCAACAGAGGGAGACCCTGTCTCAAAACAAACCAACAAACAAGCAAACAACTCCCCCACCCCCCTTACATATTCCGTCATGCATTACAGCCTGGAATTGTCTTGCAATACTTAACATTTTTAGAGTACACATTACAGGATGTAGCTTGCCTTTGCCCATCCTTCCAAGTAGTCTCCCAGTGGATGTAGTGAGCACATTTGGAGAGCTAGGGGTGGGGAGGAGATTTTCTCTCTCTCTTTTTCACTCTCTCTGTTTATAAAATAGTATCCTGGCTAGTTAAAGTTGTAACATCTTGAAACTATACAATAAAGAAATTAACACTTGGTTCTCATTTTGCTACAAATTGTGTGTGTCTACATTGGAGAACGGTTCATATTTTACCCTTTTTCAGGTGGTCTATTATTTATTGAGGTGAAGTCTAGATTGCTAAAAAAATTAATGCAGTATATTTCTAAATTTTTCACTTTAATTTTGATAGTAACTGTTTCTTTATTCGGCATCTATTTTCAGTTATCATGTGAATTTTGGACTCTTTTTCCTATATATTTTAATGGAAAGTAAGGAAACTTGCATTTGTGACTTCTTTCTATATGTCATTCTAAATTGTAAATTTCTGAATTCTCTTTTCAGATGGCTAGGTACCATCTCAAAGAATAGTAAATTCACAGAGTCCTTCAAATCCTATTTGCAAGCTAAATGTGGTGCTATCACCAGATGATTATCAGAGAGAAATCTGAAGTTTCTCAAGAATTAAAACATGGAACCATGAACCAAGATATGAGTAAAAATTTATAAACATACACCATGCTGGGAGACTGGCTAACTGTCAACATGACACCATTTCTGTAGAGATATCCCTGGCTAATAATGGATTAGTATATCTCACTTTCCTAATGAAAGCGAATTACACCGATGTTAAAACTTGGCTTTTTCAAGGACATGGAATCAACCTAACTGCTCATCAATAATAGACTGGATAAAAAAATGTGGTACATATACACCATGGAATACTATGCAGCCATGAAAAAGAACAAGATTATGTCCTTTGCAGGGACATGGATTCAACTGGAGGCCATTATCCTTAGCAAACTAACGTAGGAACAGAAAACCAAATATTGCATGTTCTCACTTACAAGTGGGAGCTAACTGATGAGAACACATGAGCACATAGGGGGGAATGACACACTCCGGGGCCTTTCGGAGGGTAGAGGGTGGGAGGAGGGAGAAGATCAGGAAAAATAACTAATGGGTACTAGGCTTAATACCTGGGTGATGAAATAATCTATACAAAAAAACGCCCATGACACAAGTTTACCTGTGTAACAAACCTGCACTTGTAACCCTGAACTTAAAATAAAAATTAAAAAGAGTAGGCTTTTTGAAATATGCATATATTTAAACCTATTATCTTTCCATCAGTGGCTTTATTGCAACCACGTGAGACACATCCCCCTAAGTTAGGTTAAGTTTGGTCAAGATATTAAAAGAAATATTTCTCTGCCAGGGCTCTGTCATGCCTGGGCTGTGCAATGGTCACTGTCTACCATGCCCTCAGTGGGCACTCAGTTGTTATGCCTGATACTCATAGGATGGTCCTTGATTTCTAACCACTGGTATCCTATTCACTCCTAGGCAGGCAGAAGCTGTGGTTTTTCTATATGATATTATTGAAACTTTACAGATTTGTTCCTTAACATTAGAGTGCAAAGTTTGGAAGCAATTTCTTACTATTGTAGCAAAATGAATATATGCATCTTAACCTGACATGAGAATTGACGAGATGATATGGCAAGTTGAATCCCCCTAAAATTTTAATATAGAATCTCTCAGTTTTGGCTATATTAATTTGTTTAACCCTCGAATAGAATTTTCTCAGACATATTGTGGTGAGTGGTGATTGAACATGTGAAATAAACCTCCACACTTGCAAAATAGAACATCTCATTTTCTTAGATGAAGAATTGCTCCTCATTTTTCTCAAATATTAACATGCTGAAGGGATAAGAAGGCATGACTAGCTAGTACTGATTGTTGATGAGAATTCTCTTGGGGATCATAACTATTTCTAGATCCCTGTGGGATGTAGTGGGTGGTGTGAAGATGAGCCAATCAATCTTGAACTCTTTCCCAGTGAAAACCAAAAAGAAATGTGATCCTGATCAGTTTACTAGACAGCCTGACTGGGTGACTATTTGATAGTTATTTACATATTTGCATGCCAAGCTCTGAATGGGAGAATATGATCTCTTCTTGTCATCATTGTGAACAACCAGTAATGGGCTTAATTACACACAATGCTTGCTCAGAACCTAGTCGGAGTCGGGGTAAAGAGTAACCGTGCATTTTGGGAGGCCGAGGTGGGCGGATCAAGAGGTCAAGAGATCAAGACCATCCTGGCCAACATGGTGAAACCCTGTCTCTACTAACAATACAAAAATTAGCCGGGCATGGTGGCATACCCCTGTAGCCCCAGCTATTTGGGAGTCTGAGGCAGGAAAATCGCTTGAACCTGGGAGGTGGAGGTTGCAGTGAGCTGAGATCGTGCCACTGCACTCCAGCCTGGTGACAGAGCGAGACTCCGTCTAAAAAAAAAAAAAAGAGTAACTGTAAATGCCACTATTTTATAAGCCAAGTAAGAGAAGCAGAAACTGGCTGAGAAATTCCTTAGGGTACACTACAAATTAGGAACAGAATTAGAATGAAAATTCATAAGCACCAAGTTTCCAGTCTGCTGCTTAGTCACTGAATCTTTCCTCTATTCAGCCTCAGTCATGGTTTTCCCTTCAGATTAAAAGACAAATTTACATATAAAAGTTGGTGCATATAGTGTGATAGGGAACGAACACAAGCAAGAATCCCAAGTAATATTTCTAAATTTAGTTTTTGTGAATATTGCCAAATTTAGATGGTAAAAACTTATTACTTTACTTCAGATTTATTTTTTGTCTTAAAGAGGATATACGCTTTCAAAAGAAAAATTTGGCAATTTGGCAATTTGGCAATTTGGCACTATAGTAAAGGAAGAAACAAGAATAATTTAAAAAAATTGTTTAGTTATTCCAATAATAAATTCAACATTTTATCAATTTTTTTCTTTGAACCCACAGACAGCTTTTATTATGTGTATTCTACCAATCTTTAAACAATGCTTTGAAATTTTAAAAAGTAATTACAGAATAATATTTAATAATTATTGTGAAGCTCAAATTCAATGGTTAAAATTCTAAAAGATTGCACACAATTCTGAAAGTGAACATAGAAAATATGATATAAATTCCTAGCTTGCCATATAGGGGACCAGGCAAAGTGTTCTATAATCTCAGCACCTTGGGAGGCCAAGGCAGGGAAGATCGCTTGAGGCCAGGAGTTTCAGACCAGCCTACTCAATATAGAAAGACCCTGTCCTTACAAAGAATTAAAAAAAAATTAGCAAGGCATGGTGGTGTGTGTCTGTAGTCCCAGCTACTCAGGAGGCTGAGGCAGGAGGATCAGTTGAGCCTAGGAGGTTAAGGCTACCGTGAGCCATGTTTGCATCACTGCACTCTAGTCTGAGCAACAGAGTGAGACCATATCTCAAAAAAAAAAAAAAAAAAAAAAAGAAAGAAAGAAAAAGAAATTTAAATTTAATAAGGATTTCTTGAACAAGTGAACATATGTGTGTGTATATATATATGTATGGATATGTGTAGATTATATATAGATATGCTAAGATCTATATATGTATGTAGATAATATTTAATCTCTATGTGTATAAATAACTATACTTGGCTTAACTGGCTGGAAAGAGACCCAGAAATATACCAAAGTCTTCTATGGGATTCCCTAATCTCATACTGTTACATAATAATAGTAACCATTTGTAGGTACTGATTTCTGTACACAGTACCATACAGATATAAATTCTATTTATTCGACAACTAAGAAAAATATGCATGATTATCTCTACTTTACAGATGATGAAAGGAAGGCTTAGAAAATTTAAGGCCAGGCGCGGTTTCCCACGCCTATAATCCCAGCATTTTGGGTGGCCGAAGCGGGTGGATCACGAGATCAGGAGTTCAAGAGCAGCCTGACCAACATGGAGAAACCCTGTCTCTACTAAAAATACAAAAAAATTAGCCAGGCATGGTGGTGGGAGCCTATAATCTCAGCTACTTGGGAGGCTGAGGCAGAGAATTGCTTGAACCTGGGAGGCGGAGGTTGCAGTGAGCTGAGATGGCACCACTGCACTCCAGCCTGGGTGACAGAGCGAGACTCTGTCTCAAAAAGAAAAGATAATTTAAGTGACTTGCAAACTTGCAGAAATTCATGCAGGTAGTAAGCAGCTGAATTTGAAACAAGTTCTATTTGATTCCAAAACATTCTGCTTTGCATTGATGCCCCTGCTATAAGAAAAATTAGTTGAAATAATTAATCTTCCAAATAGGAGAGTAGTGTAAGATAATATTTTCCCTTTAATCTTTCTTATAACATTTCTTAAATGAAATTTAGGTTGCTCTTTTTGACCTTTCACACATTTACAAAGATGAAAACAAACTGATCTTTATGGAATTGACCAGTTCTTGAAGTTATTACTTTGTGGCTGCATCCAACAGTTGTAAGGAGTGATAACAAACTTTGATTTCTGAATCTTGATAGTTTAACAAGAGATTAGATACTATTATATTAAAAACCTATAATGGGCTGGGTGAGATGGCTCACACCTGTAACTAGCACTTTGGGAAGCCAAGGTGGGTGGACCACTTGAGCCCAGGAGTTCAAGCCCAGCCTAGGCAACATGGTGAAACCCTATCTCTACAAAAAATACAGATATTAGCTGGGCATGGTGGTGTGTGCCTGCAATCCCAGCTACTTGGGAGGCTGAGGTGGGAAGATCACCTGAGCCTGGGGAAGTCAAGGCTGCAGTGAGCTGTGACTGCGCCACTGAACTCCAGCCTGGGTGACAGAGTGAGACCCTGTCTCAAAAAAACAAAAAAGCAAACCACATATCATGAGTGAAATTAAATTCTCTTACTAGCCAAACGCAGGGACCTATTCATAATAACATCTGAAGATTTATTCTTTCATAAATTCATGACACAGAGATACCTTTTATAGAAGGAATTGTTTTGTAAATTGTCAATAAAATAAGGGTAGAATTTTCTGAATTTTTTTTAGGTTGAAAATATACCCTCTGCTAAACCACTCTGGTCTACATATCACTTTAAAAAACAGATTTTTCTGTTCATACAATAACCAAGACAGGTGTCCATAATCATCTTCATTTAACAGATGAATAAATGGAAGTTTAGCAAGTTTATGACTTGTGCAAATCCTCACAGGTAGTAAGTTGTTGAATTTTAACAAACTCTATTTGATTCCAAAGCTTTCCACTTTCTATCAGTGGAAGCAAAGTGATTTCATTTTAGATATGCTTGAAATACAATAAATTGCACTTTTTTTCAGTTTTTAATTTTTTTAAAAAAATTTTTATTTATTATTTATTCTTTTTTTCTTTTTTTTTAAATTTTGAGAGGGAGTCTCTGTTGCCCAGGCTGGAGTGCAGTGGTGCGATCTTGGCTCACTGCAACCTCTGCTTCCCGGGTTCAAGCAATCCTCCTGCCTCAGCCTCCTGAGTAGCTGGGATTACAGGCTCGTGCCAGCAGGCCCGGCAAATTTTTGTATTTTTAGTAGAGACGGGGTTTTACCATGTTGGCCAGGGTGGTCTCGATTTCTGATTTCTTGACCTCATGATCCGCCCGCCTTGGCTTCCCAAAGTGCTGGGATTACAGGCGTGAGCCACCGTGCCATGCACACCTTTTTTTTTTTTTTTTTTTTTGAGACAGAGTCTTGCTCTGTTGTCCAGGCTGGAGTGAAGTGGTATGATCTCAGCTCACTGCAACCTCCACCTTCCGGGTTCAAGCAATTCTCCTGCCTCAGCCTCTTTAGTAGCTGGGATTACAGGCGCCCGTTACTAGGCTTGGCTAATTTTTGTGTTTTTGGTAGAGACAAGGTTTCATCATTTTGGCCAGGCTGGTCTTGAACTCCTGAAATCAAGTGATCTGACTGTCTTGGCCTCCCAAAGCACTGGGATTACAGGCATGAGCCACTGCTCCTGGCCTTAAATTGCACATTTTAAAAGTATATAATTTGTTAAGTTTGATATATGTGTATTCACTTGAGATCACCGCATACTTATCTTCCAGCAGCTTTTCATGCCCTTATGTAGTCCCTTCCTCTTACCTTTTTCTCTTTCCTCTCTCCCCTTTAGGCAATCACTGATCTGTTTTTTGCTGCTGCAGATGAGATTAATTTGTATTTTTTAGAATTTTATATAAATGGAAATTTATAGTATGTATTCTTTTTTGTTTGGATACTTTCAGTATAATTATTTGAGATTCATTTTATGTTTTGGATCCGTTTATTCTGATAAACTGATTGAGTGAATAGTTTATTCCTTTATATTGTTGAAGTAGTATTCCACTGTTATGTATTTACCACAATTTGTTTATCCATTCACTTGGTTGATAGACATTTAGGTGATCTCTAGTGTTTGGCTATTATAAATAAAACTGCTATGAACATCCATGTATAAGTTGCTGTGTGGACATAAACTTTCTTTTCTTTTGGGTAAGCACCTAGGAATGGAATAGCTGGATCATGTTGTAGGTGTATATTTAACTTTCTAAGAAATTACCAACCTGTTTTATGCAGTTGTATAGTTTTATACTCCTACCAGTAATACATGAGAGTTTACCAGTTTTTCTGTATACTCCTCTACATGTGAAAAGATCAGCCTTTTCAATTTTAGCCATTCTGATCTACTTGTCATTTAAAAATAATATTAACAAATTAAACAATCTTACTTTTTGTGTGATGTCAATATTCAGAGTAGGGTAATGTTAGGTAAAAAACGTCTAAAGAATAGGCTGGGTGCGATGGCTCAGGTCTGCAATCCTAGCAATTTGGAAGGCTGAGAGTTCAAGACCATCCTGACCAACATGGAGAAACCCCGTTTCTACTAAAAATATAAAATTAGCCAGGCATGGTGACACATGCCTGTAATCCCAGCTGCTTGGCAGGCTGAGGCAGGAGGATCACTTGAACCCGGGGGGTGGAGGTTGTGGTGAGCCAAGATCACACCATTGCTCCAGCCTGGGCAACAAGAGCAAAAAAAAAAAAAAAAAAAAAAAAAAAAAAAATTCTAAAGAATAAAGCTTTCCTTGACTCACAGTTATATAATACTGTGACTGACAATTATATAATATTGTCATTATATTTTATAATGGCATGAACATTTATCTTTCAAGGATTTCCAACTAAAATGACAATTAAAATCTTACTAAGTCAGAAAAAGTATTATTTATCAGTTTTCTTTTCATGGCTTAATACAGTTTTATAATTTTCTTATATAATTTTGTTAGTCTAATTTTAGGTATTTTGTATGTTTTTTGCTATAAATATATTTTATGTTTTATATTTTTAAAATGTTATTATGTACAATAACACTATCTTATCTGGTCTCTTTGATAACTCATTTTTTTCAATGGCTTATCTATAGATTCACTTGCATTTTTCATGTAGGCAATCATTTTGCCTACATGATAGGCAACCCTAAAAATGATAATTTTTTCTTTTTCCTAATCTTATATCTCTTATTTCTTCTTATTTTACATTGCATTGAAATTAAATGCTTTTGCTAAGGGAAAAATTATTAAGGTTATCTTATTAGCATTCATTTTGGATCAAATAGCCATGTAGTATGATGCCCTTCCAAGACATGAATTCTAATTTAAGCTGCTTATTATCTGCATAATCTTGAGCATGTAATTTATTTAACTGAGCCTCAATTTCCTCATCTGAGAATAGGGATAATAAAAATATTTGCTAGCCCACTATTAGGATGTTGTGAAGATCAAATGAAATAAAATATGAGAAAACAAGTTTTAAACTATGATATGACATGCAGGAATTAAATTATATACTTATTATGGAGGAGCTATTACATATGTTTCCTTGGGGTTATTTTAAGGAAGCTATGTTATCCCTAAATAAGTTTACAAATAATCATTAGCCTATGTAAGAACTATTTTTACTCAGTGATCAGTTCAGAGCCAGCTATAAAAAAATTTAGCATGAGAAATTAATATAAATAATGAGAAAATCATAACAGTTTGGGGTTTCAGCAAAATGGTGAAAATTTGAAAAAAGTAAGTTATATTCATAAATGTATCATTATATGTTAGAATGCTTTTGAGAATAAGTCAATGCCTTAGGTTAGAAATTAGGTCATATGAAAACCTAAAATAGGAAATCTGGTTATTATAAATGACATATATTGAACACAATCATCATCGTGTACTTATATTTTGGCAGTCTGTAAGAGTTCTACTGGTAGCTAGACTGCATATTAAGTAGTTTTTTCTTTTTCTTATAAGGAAAAATGTATATAGAAAAAATATAAAGCCACATACTGTAGCTCAATGAATGAGTTAATACTGAATTACTCATCAGAATGGTGATCAATAAATTGTTCTGATCTTTGAAGTAAAACTTGCATTCTGATTCTTGAACATTCACTCTTGTTGATCAAAGGCAAACTAGTTATCAAGAGAAGAAAGAAAAACTAGGTCAAAAGGTGAAAAACAAAATGGGGAACAAACTGAAAGTATCTCTCTTTCTTAGCTCATTAGTTAATCCTGTGCTGTCTTCTAAATCATATCTTAAATGTTTTTATTTATTGCAAGATGCCATCGATTATACTAGTTTTCCATCAATTTGAACTTATAACAGTGAACTTGATGTAATTCTTGCCACTCAGAATCTACCCAGATTTTATAACTTATTTTCTCATTACTATTATATGTTCATGCAACATGAATAAAATAATTGAACACTAATTTTAAAGTTAGGCATATACACCCAATTCCATGGTAGACAGTGTTCAAGCAAATAGCACATAATTTTGTCCTTGAGGGCCAGAAACTCTAAATATTTCCTGAGTTTGAGTTACCTTTGACTTTTTCAAAGTGTATGTGAGTCAATGTGTGTTACAGGAGGAGAAGAAAGAAAAGAGAAATCAGGAAGGTGTGCTGACAGGGAAGTCAACGCTCATGGAGATGAATGTGGCTACCAGCTGTGCTGTCTCGAGTTTGAGCTATGGAGAATGATGTGTACACATGACTTGGATGTTCAGCTTAAGGTTTCCAGATTAATTGGTAGATTGATGCTACTTGCTGAATAATGTTGTTTTGGAAGATCCTAAACAAGGAATCACCGTAATTAAACTATGAAATCCTGTATAGTTTCAATCTTTTCTATTATTTCTTCCAATTATTTTTACAAGACTTTTCTCAGTCTTTCATTTACCTTATTTCTACCATCTATTGACTTTCATCCATGTCTTTCATTTCTTTGATGATTTTTGCATATTGTTCAGAATTTTCTTCTTTATTTTGCACTCTCATCATTATCTCTGTGCTTAACTCATACAAAAATAGACTTAAATTTTCTAGATCACTTAAATTTGCCTAAGTTGTATCTTCAGTTCATTTCAGCCATGGATTGACCACCATAATCCCTTAGATCATGTCAACATTTGGAACATCTGAATATCTTTTTTTTTTTTTTTTTTTTTTTTTTTATTATACTCTAAGTTTTAGGGTACATGTGCACATCTGAATATCTTAAACTAGCAACTTCCCTCATCACAATCTCCTTGGTTTCATTCCTTTGACTCCTTCACTTCTTCTACCATCTTATAGCTTCTGAAAGTATTTGTTCCTCTCATTGTGACTTTTGATCCTTTGAATCCTTAGTTGTCTCTTAATATATTTCCTGTTCTATGCCTTACCATTCTGTCTGTGCAGAATGTTCTCCACCTATTGAAATATCCTTCAGCACCCACAGATCATTGTGAACATCATTTACCTGAAGCATTCTCTGATCTCATCAGTTACAATTAAAAAATACAACTTTACATCTATTAGGTGTTTTTCCCTGTAATATTTTATTTTATCACAACAACCTTGTGAATTATATTTCATCTATTTTATAGAAAGTTAGTAAATGGCAGAGCTGGGTGTATGAGTAAAGTTTTATTCCTTATTCAGTGCTCTTTCTGCTACCTCAGTGTGCCAGAAGCAAAGCCTCAGAATTCATTTAGTACATCATTTGCATTGTTCAATGACACAATGGATATTGGTTTATAATGTAGCTATTTTTATACCTGTAAGAATGCCTGCTTTTATTTTGTAAGCTTGAGATAATGTCTTAATTTCTTTTAGAGTCTCAAGAGTCTGGCCCAGTGCCTTAAACATAGAATGTGCTCAATATATATTTGTTGAATAGATGAACAAATTAATTACGGGACAGTACAAAAGATAGAGTGTTGGAAGCCAGAGCCAGGATGCAGAGCAACATGCTTTGCACAATACTATTTTGTAAGTAAAACAATTAAGGCTTAAAGAGGGCAAAAGGTTTCTTAGGGTCACATCACAAATTAGGAACAGAATTAAAAAGAAAATGCAGAGGCCCTGAGGTTCCACTCTGCTGCTTAGTCACTGAATCTTCTTTTCAGCTTTCAGTCATGGCTCTCCCTCTACATTGAAAGAAAGATTCGCTTATGGAAAATGGTGCATGTAGTGTGACGGGGAATGAGAGTCTGGCCCCATGACATTTCCATACAACCTTAACAAGATCAGCTATGTGCAGCATCTTTATCAGTTTTTCCCATTTCATGATCTTTCAGGTTAAAGTACTGTCTTCACTTCAATTTATTCCCATAACTATAGGGATGTTATGAAGATTAGTGATGCAAGACACATAATATCCTGTAAGCTTCATAGCAGAAAGATATTACATAAATACAAAGCATGATTATTTCTGCCACCAGCAACAAGACTAGGTTTACCAACACATAGTGCACAGGCAGCTGAGCCACCAGCAGATGATATATATATTTTTTCTCTACATGAATTAAAGTAGAAAAGATTTCCCTTGGGATATTTGGATCATTTACCCCACTTAAGTGTTTTCTTTAGCTGGGGAGTAGGGAGGTGGGGGTGGTGTTCGTGTTAAAGGGAGATTGTTAGAAGTGATATTCATTTCAGATTAAAACATGCATAGACAGCCAAACAGGAAAATTAGTATAAAGAAATAAATACAAAATAATAAGAATATGTGAAAAATCTAGTCTTGTTTGTCCTTTTGTTTCTTGTGATGTTAGGTTTATTCTGAAACACAGTATTATCAAATACATTGAGTTTGGTTGGACTAAAAAGAAAGATTATGACGTCTTTTGGGAGAAACTTCTGCATCAATAGAGAAATGATAGAATTGAGAGTAGATTATAAGAAACATTTTATTCAAATAGTTTTGTATGAAATCAGTGATATCACTTGATTTGTTATGATTCACAGTTCCCATGTCTGGAAGAGATGTAATTCTACCACTTAACAGATCAGACAATAATATTTAGTAATGGAAAATGGAGATCACCTTTGTTCTACTTCTGTTTAATGCATATGTCGGTGTTCTGGCATTTTTATATGAACTAACTTTAAACTTCAGCTGTAGTGGAAAAGTTACCTATCTACTTCTTGATGACATGGTTGGATGGCTCCATGATGCAAATGGTCCTAGAATTTACCATCAGGAAGACTGACACAATGTTAACTAGGAAAAGTGAAATATCACCTGAAAAGAATATACTCGTAAAGTTAGAACAGTGACTACTAAAATATCTCTATATACCTAGTTCATGTGCACAATAATCTGGGCTTATATTTACAGCTAACCGTCTCTGGAATGCTAGTGGCAAAGTAAGTGGCTCACAGTCATTATCCCTTGGAGGTGTTACTGAGATTTTTCTGTGGCAACTAAAAACTGGAAGAGTCTGTTTTGTACAGTTTCCAGGTTGATGTTAGACTAATTCCATCACGTGGAAATCTGGATACGAATTGAATAGTTGTCTAATTACTGATGGTGAACCACAGCTGTTTTCTGGGGAGAGTACCAGCTTTGCTTCTCTTCCATAAGGAGATATGTGGGCCTTTCATAGAAGGAGAATCTTGCATAGGCTCTTCAGGTAACATTAAAATTGTAGCAGTTCTACCTGTTCATCTGGAAGCCAAGAGATGTAGATGTTTCTTCAAACATCAGTAGGTGTTATCCTGTTATCCAGTCTGTCCTTATTTTTCTGCAGCAGATAATGCCATTTGCATGGCATGTGTTAGATGATTTTTATGTTCTGCCTCTATTCGTTACTTGCATAATTCTACTCAAGAAACTAAGGCTCAGGGAAGTGAAATAAGTTGTTTGACCAAACATAGTCAAATTCAGATCTCTTTTATTCCAAACCCTGTGATTCTTTCCATATGCTACCCTTATCTAAAATCTGACTGTGAGAAGTAATTTTTGAGGGCCATTAGTCCAAGGGCCTGTCCTCCATCAAATTTTGTGGCTAATTCTTATGCTTTATTGCTGGATTCCAGTTTGAAGACAGAATAGCAATAAGATCCATCTACATTAACTTACACATGATGAAATTACTCTCCCTGCCTTTAGCTTTTACTGAAAAAAAAAAAAATCACAAAAAGCAGCAACATTCAGCCTATTTCTTTCTCTGAGGTCTTGGATTAAATCCCACAGGAGAATTTCCTTTAGAATTTGGAGTCTAAGTATCAGAAATTTTTGTGAGGAATTGATAAGTTTCTACTTTCAGTTAAAGAGAACTATGCTCCTTTACACATGTCTTTTTTGCACTGGCTGTTATGAACCTCAAAGATAAATTGGATATTTTGTAATATGAGTCATATAATGCTGTTACCTACAATATTCATTTCAGATCCTCTTTTTGGTGTTGTTTTTCTAATTTATTAAGTGTATTTTGCATCTTACTCATTTGAACCATCTCAATTCCTGTAAATAAATGAGTAAGTACCTTT
The DNA here is from genome assembly GCF_000001405.40 of Homo sapiens. NCBI lineage: Eukaryota > Metazoa > Chordata > Mammalia > Primates > Hominidae > Homo > Homo sapiens. The sequence goes on from NC_000003.12 coordinate 147,483,853, forward strand.
ATGAAGAGAACAGAACTTAATCCTCCTTCTGCCTTTTGTCTTCTTATACTACGTTGAAGAGACATTATATGCTGTACAATGTGTCCTTTGATACAAGAGAATCTGAAGTCTAGATAAAGACATTAGGGAGAATAACCACGTTGAAGACAAAGAATGCAATTAAACTCATCCAGTGCTTTTTTTTTTAGCACAGGCTCTGTATTGGGTGGGCACTGTGGGGGTATTATCAGAATTAGTATAAACATAAACATAGCCTCTGAATGTTCTGGTATACATGTTAGAAAACAACAAAGAATGGCATAGTATATGAGTAAGTTTAGAGAAAGATTAAAAACCTTAAAGAAAGTGAAGAATGTTTTGAACGTTTTATTATGACAGTGACATTTAAAAACTTTGAAGCCATCTAAGATAACTTAAAGCTTTTATTCTTGAAACTGTACAGGAATATCTTATCAACTCATTCTAATATGCGCTTCACCTTGTGTTCTGATGTTCTTTATGCTCAGCTTTTTTTTTTTTTTAGTTCTGTGGTACATGTGCAGGATGTGCGGGTTTATTACATAGGTAAATGTGTGCCATGGTGGTTTGCTCACCTATCAACCCATTACCTAGGTATTAAGCCCAGCGTGCACTAGCTATTTTTCCTGATGCTCTCCCTCCTCTTGTACCCCCACCCCTCTCCAACAGGCCCCAGTGTGTGCTATTCCCCTGCCTGTGTCCATGTGTTCTCATTGATCAGCTCCCACTTATAAGTGAAAACCTGCGGTATTTGGTTTTCTGTTACTGTGTTAGTTTGCTGAGGATAATAGATTCCAGCTCCATCCATGTCCCTGCAAAGGACATGATCTCATTCATTTTTGTGGATACATAGTATTCCATGGTGTATATGTACCACATTTTCTTTATCCAGTCTATCATTGATGGGCATTTTGGCTGATTCCATGTCTTTGCTATTTTGAATAGTGCTGCAGTGAACATATGGGCACATGTATTTTTTTTTCAATTTAAATATGTATAGTTTACTGAACATCAATTATATCTCAACAATGCTGTTTATTTTTTATTTTTATACTTATTTATTTATTTATTTTTTAATTATATATATTTATTATACTTTAAGTTCTAGGGTACATGTGCACAACATGCAGGTTTGTTACATACAGTATACATCTGCCATGTTGGTGTGCTGCACCCATTAACTCATCATTTACATTAGGTATATATCCTAATGCTATCCCTACCCCCTGCCCCTACCCCACAACAGGACCCGGTGTGTGATGTTCCCTTTCCTGTGTCCAAGTGTTCTCATTGTTCAATTCCCACCTATGAGTGAGAACATGCCATGTTTGGTTTTTCTGTCCTTGCGATAGTTTGCTGAGAATGATGGTTTCCAGCTTCATCCATGTCCCTACAAAGGACATGAACTCATCCTTTTTTATGGCTGCATAGTATTCCATGGTGTATATGTACCACATTTTCTTAATCCAGTCTGTCATTGTTGGACATTTGGGTTGGTTCCAAGTCTTTGCTATTTTGAATAGTGCCACAATAAACATGCGTGTGCATGTGTCTTTATAGCAGCATGATTTATAATCCTTTGGGTATGTACCCAGTAATGGGATGGCTGGGTCAAATGATATTTCTAGTTCTAGATCCTTGAGGACTCGCCACACTGTCTTCCACAATGGTTGAACTAGTTTACAGTCCCACCAACAGTGTAAAAGTGTTCCTATTTCTCCACATCCTCTCCAGCACCTGTTGTTTCCTGACTTTTTAAAGATCGCCATTCTAACTGGTGTGAGATGGTATCTCATTGTGGTTTTGATTTGCATTTCTCTGATGGCCAGTGATGACGAGCATTTTTTCATGTGTCTGTTGGCTGCATAAATGTCTTCTTTTGAGAAATGTCTGTTCATATCCTTGGGCACATGTATTTTTTTTATAATTGAATGATTTATATTCCTTTGGGTATATACCCAGTAATGGGATTGCTGTGTCAATTGCTGGTATTTTTGATTGTATACTGGTCAAAAATTGCTGGTTTTGATTGCATATCTTTGAGAAATCACCACACTGTCTTCCCAATGGTTGAACTAATTTACGTTTCCACCAACAGTGTAAAAGCATTCCTATCTCTGCAACCTCACCAATATCTGTTGTTTCTTGGCTTTTTAATAATCACTGTTTTGACTGGAGTGAGATGGAATCTCATTGTGGTTTTGATTTGCATTTCTCTAATGATCAGTCATGGTGAGTTTTTTTATGTTTCTTGGCCGCATACATGTCTCTGTTCATGTCCTTCACCCACTTTTTAATGGGGTTGTTTATGCTTTTTCTTGGAAATTTCTTTAAGTTCCTTGTAGACTCTGGATATTAGACCATTGTCAGATGGATAGATTGCAAAAATTTTCTCCCATTCTCTAGGTTGTCTGTTTGCTCAGATGATAGTTTCTTTTGCTGTGCAGAAGTTGTTTAGTTTAATTAGATTCTTATGTTCAGTTTTTTATCCACAACAACACAGATCATAATGCTGTTCCATGAACAACAAGCTAAGCATAGGCAACTGCATTAATGTTGCAGCCTGTGGGTTATGTGCCATTTTTGGCCGACCAACCCACCTTCCTCTTCTCCATTTTAGAAAGCAGATGGGAATGCAAGTGATTATGATATTATTTTAGGGATAATCTTGAATATGCTCTCATTTATATAAAAATTCAGTTATGTTCAGACTACAACCTAACTGTGACAATAGTATGTCAACAAAATTGCTTTGCTACACCAAAACAGGATAAAAATTAATAGGTTTTAATTTTGGTCCAGCTTCAAATTCTTAATGCTTTACTGATATGAAAAATACCTGATCACCATCTCTCTTACAGAGTTTTTGCTTCCTTAAACTTAATTGTTTCAATATCTTTTAACCATTACTTATGTCTTATTTTTATTGCTAAACAACTCAATGCCTAGCTATGTGTTAGTAACCAATGGAAGACAAGAACCTACTAGGATCTATGGACTTATAAGTGTTCATTCTATAAATATATTAGCCACAGCGATTGCATGCACAATCAGTTCATGTAGGAGGCCAGGTCTTGTTTCACTTGACTTTATTGATAGTAAGAAAATCAATAAAGTGAAAATCAATAAAAGATTGTGATTCTTGAACGTATTACTTTGTTAATTTGACTAGATCTTTAACCTTCCTGTGCTGCTTAGAATTTCTGGTATGGGTCTTTCTGAAATGTCTTAAAGAATATGACTAATATAAAATGTTATAGTTATACATATTTGACAAGGCAAATAGGTATGTGATTTTGGTTGGGCTTTTGGAAAAATTTTACCACAATAACAATAAAACACAAGAATTAGCTACTGCCTTAAGCAGGATAGATTAGGTTATGCTACAGTAACAACCTCTAAATCTCGCCAGTTTAAGACAACATAGGTTTGTGTCTTTACATACTGACGCAGATTGTTGTGGGTGGGAGGTGGGTCTGCTCAAATCACTCAGAGGCCTAGGCTGGCAGAGTCTCTATCAGCTTATGATGCTTGTATTTCTACATGAGGTTTCAAGGTTTGCCATTGTAATAGTGGGAAACCATCATTGGCTTTTATGTGGAGCTACCTGGAAGTGGCATGTTACTTCTCACATTTCATTTGCTGAATCAAGTCACATGGTTATGAAAAACTTCAGGGAGCTTAATCCTGCAAGACAAGAAGGGGAAGAGTACAAGTAAGGTCTATCGTACTTATTGAGATTGACTATGGCATCTTTGTGTGGAGATTTTGAAGAAAGATAGAAAGCTATGTTTAAATAATTTATATATATTTTAAAATATTCTCATAAGTTTATTAATATATCATTAGAGAAAAAAGAAAAAATATAGCATTTAGATGTATTTTAAAAAAACTTTTTTCTATGTATTATTATTATTTAGTATAGTGATTTTACAATTTTATGACTTGTTTTTGTAACTTAATGTTATAACAAAAAGACTATCTCTATAAGGCTAGATAGTCTTTATGATCACAATTTCCAGTGGTTGCATTAAATCATATTTAATGGATATGCCATAATTTACTTAAACATACCTCATCATTGGGCATATTCATTGTTTACTATTGCTAGTGATTTTGAATGCTGAAAGTTACAAAGTCTTCATCAACTATAGCTTCTAAATGTTTTACAGCTCATAAATATGCAAAACAGGGATAATAAGTCATATTTCAAATATTTGCTGTGAGGTACATATTAGGTTTTAGATGTAAAAAGTCTGTAAAAATTCCTGGAACAAATGTTTGTTTCCTACCCCTTAGATGATTTAACAAATGAATTCTATTCTTTACTCTTCATCCTCATTATTACTCTCACAACTTTGACTATAAACTTTTCTGTATGAAGGCCAGATTTAATCTGTAATTTCGTGATGCTCCTTACTCCAGTATAGTCTTAGCCCAGTGGTTCTTAACTGGGGTAAATATTTCCTTCCAGGTGAAATTTGGTTGCATCTGGAGACATTTTTTATTTTTATGTCTGAGGTGTTGGGATTACTGCTAGAATCTTGTGGGTGGAGATAGGTGATCTGCCAAAACATACCACAATGCAAAGGACAGCTCCCTTAACCGACAAGGAATCATCTGGCCTGAAATACTATTTTAATCGATTAAAATAAATGAATATTTTCAGAGATAACATGTACAATATCTGTATTATAGTTTCTCGTTTATGATATAGCAAAAGAGTTCATTTGTCTCTTTGTGAAGTTTTATGATTTGTAAAAGCTTTGTTTTTAATTAAAGTGTATTATACAACATAGAATTTTTCTTCTTTATGTCAAGGAAGCATATAGAAATCTGCACTTTGAGATGTTACTGATTTATTTTGATGCTATAGCATTTTGCTCCCATATAAACATTTCCTGTGACACGAAAATTGATAGTTTTGTGCTCTGGAAAAGTCCATTATTATAGATTGCTTATGGTTTTGACTCCTGAACTATGAAAAATATGAGAAAACCCAGTTTGCTAAACAAGCGATTATAAACATTTGGTGCAGCCCAAAGCTAAAGAGAGAAATAATTATCTGTTTTGAGATGGCCAGTTTGGTTGTGGTCTCTTCCTTGTTTTGCATTAATTTTTTTCAGCAGCCAAGATGAAGTCTCACTATGAGATTCTTAGATGTGGAGCATACATTCTGGTCCTGGAGCTACCTAACTCTGAGCACACAGAAGTCAACACCAAGGAAAATAACAAACATGTTAATGATATATTCTATACTAATGTTTATGTGAGGTGCATATGCTTTCTTTATTCAATCTTTTGTAATAATAAAAAATCCACTTTCATAAATAACATAAACTATATTTTTAAAAAAACCTGAAAGTGAGCCACAAAAGACTGACTTTTTGTGATTTTTCAAAAAGCTTTTGACTTTTCTAAGGGATAAAATACTAAATACAATTTACAAATTGACACTAAGTTCATATTAAAAACATGACTAAAAATAATACAAGAATAGTATTTGGCTTGGATTCAGTTTTAGGAGTTGTGTCATGTCAGACTGCATCAGGAGAACTTGAATTGTGTTGCATAGGTGATACAGTTACCTAAAGCATCTAATTATTTAAAAAATTATTAGTTGAGGTTTTTGCCCTTAAGAAAGTGTCTAACCATTTGTTTATGTTTGCAAACATATGCTCTTTGGATTTCCTTTTATCATGAATATATGATAGTTCATACTAATAGTTGATAATATTATTATTTAAAAACTTAGTTATTTTGATGCTTTCCACTGAACAGTTAGTAGTAGTGCATGTAATTAAAAAAAAACCTTTCCAAATAGGATCTTGAGTATGATAGGGAAATATGTCAATATATTTGTGAAAACGTAGAATTGCATTTGATGTAATAAGTGATGTGAAGACACAGAATTTCATTTTATGTGATAAGTGACTATGTACATGTTCATTCTTTCTGTAAAAAAGCCATTTGAATTATTCAGCAATACCCAGACCAACCAATCATTACTTATCCTCATTTTAATAAAATTAGCTCTTGTACAAATGTGCAAGAAATAATTAAAACCACATGTATATTTAAATTTAAGTTTCAGACTTAAGTTGCTAAACTGACTATACAAGAGGTGACTATTTGAATACTTCTTTACAAGTAAAGCATGACTGAATTAAATCATCTGAGCCTAGGATTTAGTATAGTAATCAAACAATTTTCCTTGATTGTTTATACTAAATCATCTTGGGTTTTCTCTTACTCTACAAAAGTTAGTAGTAGGGCTAATAATTTCATGTAAAAATGACTCTATTTAAATACGTATTTTTAATACTAATTGCAGATAAAGTAATAAAAATAAGTATTTAAGATCTTTCCACTAATAATACTATATGTTTTCAAGTAGGAAAGACAGAATCTTGTACTGTATCCCCAAAGGGTAAACTAAGGAGAAAAGGAAAGTAAAAAGGATAAAGCATACAGCTTCTAGTTGCATAGGTCTTAAATTTTGAACGTTAGCAGTAAAACTTCATTTTTACTACTGGAGGGATACTTAGGCTTGCATGTGCTTTCTAAGCCAGGATCAAATGTAATATAAAGTTTTGTATAATTTTTTTCCTTATACTTTGAGTTGCACCTGGATGTAAATAGCTAGCTAGAATAGACTAATGATATGGTTGGTGTCGCCAACAGCCATGGAGTAAGCTCCTCTCCCTGCCTGGGTTCTCCAGTGAACTTTTAAATCATTGGCTTTTAATTCAGGAACACACTCCAAGGAGCTTGTCCTCTGCTCTTTATTGCATTCCAGGGGCAGCTCCATCAAACTGCATCACCATCACTTAGCACAGCACTTACTCTCTCTAATAAAAAAAACACTCCAGGTGCTATATTGGATGGATTATTATCAACAGAGGATTCCAAAATTTGGTTTATGCCCTACTCTTTCAAGATGCAAGGCAGGCTGAAGTCCCAGATGTGTTTTATGCATGCTAACATGACAACTGAAAAAAAATCTGGCCTGACGCATAAAGACAGTAAGTAGAGAACTGTATTGTGACCTATCATTCTATGTTGTTGACTTAGGAAACTATTTCAGGAGAAACAGATAGTTACTAAGGTCCTTTGTGAAAATGACATCTAAGACAAATGGTTGAGAAAGAGAAAAAGAGAAACAGTAACAATGTGAGTGAGAGAAATGCCAACAGGATCAACAGGATTGAGGACACAATTCCTTACATATAATAACTACCTTCAAAAAGGAGTCAAAAAGTGTCTTAATTCTCTCTAGAAAGAAAGACAAAAACGTAAGAAAAGATCTCAATGATGGGATCCGTATCCTCATCCAAGATTATTTAAGAAAAATATTTTAATATTTGGTATAAAATCCTGGTAGACTAGGCAATGAATAGTTGTTTTAAATATGAATCTGTGTCAAAACAGATTTTTGTGCACATAATAATTCCTTTAAGTCAAAGACTAAGCTCTAAAATGGTGTACAGTGATGCCTTGCTGCTGCTTCCTTTTCTCCCTTACCAGTCTTCTAATTCTTCTAATTATTCCAGCTCTCACATTTTTATGTTCCATTAGCACTAGAGGCCACATTATTCTCCACACGTACCCTGTTTTGTTTTGTTTTCTTTCTAATCTCTATGGCTTTGTACATCACCTCTTCTGTATCTAGATCTTTCACCCCTTTTTGTCTGCTTAACAAAACTCATTATGAAGACTCAGATGAAGAGTCCCTTACCCTAGGAAGCCTTCCTTGGTCTTCTCACCTCCAGTGAGCAAGTTTCTTTGCACCCTTCACTTCTTGATTTTAGGAAAATTTATTTTTCTTTGTCTTTCTATTTAACTAGTCTCTGACTTGCTTGACTACAGAAACTGGATTGAATGCATCATTAAAACACATTTTTCTGCATATTCAGTAAATAATTTTGGACAGAATGAATAACTGAATTGTGTTAATAAGTTGTACATCTATTTCTCAAAAAGATTAACTTGGACCATTTTATAAAGGAAAATGTTTTGTTTCCCAGTTTTGCAATAATTGTGAGCTTCAATGAAAAGCCTTTAATTGCTGGCTAGGCAAACTAGGGTAAGAAAGATTTTCTTAGTAGACAGGGAGACATTGAAAAAACTATTCTAACAGAAGAAGAAAAGTTGGGACATAACGCAACAAATCATTCAGAAATTGTGAATTTCAATTCATTCAGTACCTCTTAAAAATGTTGTAGCTTCTGTCATTCATTTATCCATTCATGTATTTATTTTTGAGAACTTTTAATGAGCTAAGCACTATGTTAAGCTCTGGGAAAAAAAGACTGGATATAGCACATATTTTGTCTCTGAGGGCTCACAGTCTGGTCAAAAGTAATTTTATGGCTTGCAGACAGTCCTACTGGGATGAAAGCATTTGAGTGATGAGAATGCAGCTTAGCAATATAGAAAAATCTTCAAAGAGAAATAGACAACTTAAATTTGCAGACTGGACTGGAGTGGATAAGGGAGGCAGGATGGGAGAAAGTGGTGATGCAGAAGTTTGATGCTGGGAGGCATAGGCAAGAGCTCAGATTCGTGTCATTTATTTCCCTGGAAAGAACTTTCATGGAAGGAAGAGAATGAAAGCAGTGAAAAGAGCTGCCTGAGATTGATTATGGTGGCGAAGGTGGGAGGGTCACACTTTTGTTCCCTACAGGTTTGTGATACTGAGATGAACTAAGCCTCAGTGTCCTCATCTGTAAAGTGAGAATGATGTGAGGATGAGTAAAGGGTAAAATCTGTATGCAAAGGCAAAGCAAAGATCAGGCAAAATGCTGCTTCCTTTTTACATGCTGACTAAACTTGCTAAAGACACTAATCTTATTAATGAAACCTCAGTCATTCATTTTAGCATGCTTCTGTGCACAGAGTATAAATGCTCTGAAATGCTCAAATGGGTAATATTTGGCTCTAGCTGAGGTGTCCCTGACAGAAGACCCTCTGAGCTACCCAGAACAGGCAGAGATGGCTGTGCAAGGCTGCACTGAACTTTCCAACACAGCCATGCCTTCTCTTTTCTGCATTTGTAGCTTGAGGCCTTAACCTTTTATCATTATTTTAATTATGTTTTTATGTTTAATTTAACTGTAAATCACATTAACAGAGTTTTGACTGGTATGTCAGAGGGCTTAAAAACTGAGTTAAAGTCTTTCTAAGAGCTAAAGAATTTGTCAGGTCTGACATGTTTAGTCAAGATGATCCAGTCAAGTGTGGAGATGTTGGAGAGATGGTGCGAGATGGTATTTAATTTGTTCAGGATTTAAGGAGCGGAAATAGACTTGCAGTAGAGATTTTGCTCCATATTAGCAATAGTTAAGAGGATAATTTATGGCTTTTGTTAAGGATATTAACCAAGGCAAAAGTGCCCCTATAAAGCAATTAATTACATATTACGCTTAAGTTATTTTCTGAGGAATACGATCAACCAGAACATTGCATAATTCAGGAAATATTAATGAAATGCTATACTTCCCTTGTATTGCATAAACATATTATGTTACTGAAAGACAGGTATTAATTTTTTCTATATTCGGAAAATAATATCTTTAGGGGTCAAAAATCTCATTTGTGAGGTTTTTACTAACAGACTTTCTTAAAACATTTTTATCACAAAATTAATAGATGTTTATGCCAGAAAAATATACAATACAAAAAATTACCATTTGCTTTAATATTTTGAGATATGTGTATATATTTACCCTTTTCTCTGAATAATATTAGGATATCATAACTACTAAAACAGATTTCCTCTAAAATATCAGTGGCTTAACATGATAGAATCTTATTTCTGTCTCAGGAGGGTATTGCTAGTGGTGAGATGGCATTTAGGTGGGGCAGTGCGGTGACACTCTGCTCCATGCAGTCATTCAGTGCAGTGCCATTAACGCCTCTCACTGGAGTTTCTTTGCCATTGACCTCCAGCCAGGAGGAAGAGAGAGAGGGATGACAAGTGAGATGTTTATGTGTTTCAGACCACAAGATAGTGAATATAATTGCCCTTTATACTAGAAAATGTAATTTGGCTATGTGCCCAGCCTGGAGAGGAAACAGGTTTAATGTTCACATTATTTTATTTGGTATAGGGAATATGTAGGTGAATAGGCTTATGTACTATACATATTTTGTAATATTGTTTATTTACTCAGCAATATATCTCAGTTTTTCCTTCTTATTTATATCATTGTTATTTGTTTGTGTCACAATTTTAACTTAAATCAGTTTCTTGCTAAGCGTTTTGGTTATTACCAGTTTTCATGAATATATGCAACAGTCCGATGACTTCTCATACCTTTACATACCAACATCATTGCTTCCTTAAAAATTTTCCAAAAGTGGAATTGCTAAGTCGTAGGATATGTACTGTTGTACTGGTTTTTTGTTTGTTTGTCTGTTTTTAAGGCATTTTTCTTTCTATTAATGGGATCTGTGGGTGGAAGCTGAAAGTTACCATTACTATCCTTTTTATTTTAGTGTGAATTAAAGCATTAAACATCAAGTACTTGCTGAACATCTACTCAGTGAGTTGCTTGTGCTATGAATTCAACAAAAGTAACTAAGGTTGTTTTCATTAGAAAATGGTATTCTCCCATTTGACCCAGCAATCCCATTACTGGGTATATACCCAAAGGATTATAAATCATTCCACTTTAAAGAGACATGCACACATGTGTTTATTGCAGCACTGTTCACAACAGCAAAGACTTGGAACCAACCCAAATGTCCATCAATGATAGACTGGATAAAGAAAATGTGGCCCATATATACCATGGAATACTATGCAGCCATATAAAAGGATGAGTTCATGTCCTTTGGAGGGACGTGGATGAAGCTGGAAACCATAATTCTCAGCAAACTAACCCAAGAACAGAAAACCGAACACTGCACGTTCTCACTCATAAGTGGGAGTTGAACAATGAGAACACATGGACACAGGGAGAAGAACATCATACACCAGGGCCTATCGGTGGGTGGGAAGCTAGGGGAGGGGATAGCATTAGGAGAAATACTTAATGTAGATAAAAGGTTGATGGGTGCAGCAAACCACCATGGCACATGTATACCTATGTAAAAAACCTGCACATTCTACACATGTATCCCAGAGCTTAAAGTATAATAATAATTAAAAAATCGTATTCTCTTCCATATATTTAACATTAAAAGACAGTTTCAGTTTCCTGCCTTTTCCTAATTCGGTAAGTGATGCATTGGTTTTTATTCTGGTTATAGAAGGAAATAAGGAGGGGTTAGGGTGTTTCTTAAAATTATAAAAGATTAGGGGTACTTTATAACAAATACAAATGAAAAAATAAGGTATTTAAATTTATTCTTAAAAATTATTGTGAAAATGACTTCAACAAGATTTCCAGGCAAAGGTAAATACATCGTAAGATTAGGTAAAGACAACATAAAATCTGGAGAATAATAAACACTAGTTTTAAGAACATGGTGAGAGATGACCTCGTAATCATGCACTAGCTTGGGTTTCATGCATTTCTTGGAGAAACAAGATACATAATAAGATCATTGTTGTCACTATAAGCTACGAATTCCTCTGGCCAGTAGTAGCCAAAGAAAATGTTAAATTTTGTTTGATTTTAAACATCAAGAATACTTTTAAAGAGATGTAAAATTGGAGGCATCATATGAACTTTCTAACTTTTGCTTATAATTTTGATAATCATTTTCAAATAGCTACTGATCATTATATGTTCCTTTAGGAACGTAACGTTTGAGGCCGGGCGTGGTGGCTCATACCTATAATCCCAGCACTTAGGGAGGCCGGGGCAGGCAGATCACAAGGTCAAGAGATGGAGACCATCCTGACCAACATGGTGCAACCCCGCAGCTACTAAAAAGACAAAAATTAGCCTGGCATGGTGGCGGGCGCCTGTAGTCCCAGCTACTTGGGAGGTTGAGGCAGGAGAATCGCTTGAACCCAGCAGGCAGAAGTTGCAGTAAGCGCCGAGATCGCGCCACTGCTGTCCAGCCTGGCGACAGAGCAAGACAAAGCCTCAAAAAAAAAAAAAAAAAAAGAAACATAATGTTTGGGTATACTTTAAAACCACATAGATTGATTGTATTTCACTGATAATACATTTTTCCTTCTATTGTTAAAAATTATATTGAAGTTTATCTTTTCTTGTGAAATTATGGATTTCCCAGATTTAGATTTGTTGCCATATTTATGCCTTAAATGGAAATAATTTTTGTAAAATTCATTAATTTTATTCTCATTTATTTTTCCATTATGAGAGATATTAATTTTTAGAGAAAAATAAGACCTTGAGACTTGCTGAGATGTAGCACCTGCAGAAAAATTATTTCCATAAAATAGAAATAAATAAAATCTGTAATTAGATACATGAGTTATAGGTATGCATGTAGGCACTTCTATTTTATATGTACTTCTATAAACAAATAAATTAATACATTTGCAGAAATCTGAAACTTTTCAGAAACCTACTCTAGTCTCTAAATACTTATAATGACCTTGTTCAAGCTAAAGTCATAATTGTTTTCAACACTAATAGGCATTCAAGCTAAAAGTTAAGATAATTATAAACACCAGCATCTAAAAAAATCACGTGAAAAATGAATTCATGTTTCTTTTAAAGAATCTAAAACAAAATTTTCAATGTCTAAATTTGTCGTACAATTACTGGTTAACTTCAAAGAGTTTTCAAAAATGTATACTTACCTAAGGCCATTTATTCAATGAATTCATCAAGCAGACATTGTGTGTGAGATACAAAGCCCACTTTCCTTAAGGTTTCATAGTCCACTACGGAAGATAGACAAGCAAACAGAAAACTATGGCTCAAAATGATAAATGGTCTTGGGGAAGTTCTGAGTATCCTGGGAACATAAAAAGGAGAATTTAACCTACAATACCAAAGAAGGATTCTTGAAGACCAGAGGTCAGAGATTATTTTATATTTGCATTGGTAATAGTCGTATTTTGAAGTGTTTGATAATTTGCTAGTTTTGAACATTTCTGAGCTATCACCATTGATAAAGCCTCTTCTGACAATCCAAAAAGGAATACATGCAGTTCTTCAAGTTTCTGAATAAGTGTTATGTAAAGCAGTGAAATATGGTCTATATCGAACCATAGTGGTCCTTTTAGCTTGTTATCTTTTGACTTCAATTATTATTGATGTTTCTATTCTAGACAATACTCTTTTGCAAATATTACTAAAATATACACATCCTAAAACTTAAGAAAAATTATACCATATAAATATTCATGAGTATGAGAATGTGCAAGAAGTTTTGGTTGCTTATATCCAATCCTTTAGCTTATAAGTGATCACAATGAAGCCCAAATAGACTTGAAGTTGCTTAGGTCAAGGTGGATTTGAAGGAATTAAATTAACCTGAGAGAATGTTAGAAAGAACCAGAAAATCTGGAAGCAACCTGCCGTCAGACTTGCCAGAGGTCAGGAAGACCTCTTTAGGAAGAGGGAGAGTGTCTGTAAAAGATTCCCAACAGCTGGGTTGTAAAAGGTACAGCTGGAGCAGTTGGAAGAGAAAGTGGAAAGGCCTGAAAATGCAAAAGAATGAGGGTAAAATGAGATGTGCCTTGCTCAGAACAATAAGAGAAAGGCAGGAACAGCTGCAAGGTTTGGATCTGAGATGCATGGCAAACCCAGTTGCAGGGAAGGCCTGAATGAACGGCAATGTGAAATGCATATATATATATATATGTGTGTGTGTGTGCGCGTGTGTGTGTGTGTGCGTGTATATATATGTGTGTATATATATGTGTATATATATATGTAGAAGACAAATACTTAGATAGAATTAATATGCTTAGAAAGTAAAGTTCTTAGGAATGAAGTGGCAGCAATAAAGATTAAAAGCTGGAGAGTATTGTAGTGACAGGTATTTTGATTATGCTTTTAGGATAGCAACATACTGTAAATACCAAGCTAAGAAATGCTTAGAACTACACTGGCTACACAAACCAATTATGTTCTGAGTTTGGCATATTGTAACTTCTTAACTGGGGCATTTAAAATATTCCCTAGTCTATTTATACATGGATTGATAGGAAATTCATTTAACTTGCTCTACAAATAGTTTTAAAATATTAAAACATTTACATAAGTTTGAGATATTTCTTATCTTAATTATATAGGGTACAGTAGTAGTCAATTAATTTTTTCTTTCACTATTAACAATGAGCTTTTATGAGATTGCTGCTTGGTGCAAGAGCTGCTGTCAGTCTTTGGGTTATTATAGTTGCTGATATGAATTTAAAAGGAAAATAATATTAATCCCCCAAAACAACCTTTCTTCAAATTATGTAGCATCTGCCTCCTTTTTTTTTCACTGCATAATATAGTCTGGCAAAAAATAAGTGTGATCTTAATTGTTAGACTTGTTTATTCCAGGGAGGAGCCAATGGAGCACTTACGGTAATTAACATATTTTGTCTGGTCTTCTCATTTTGTTAATGATATCTTATTGAAGGCTGAGCAGTAATTACTGCCCACTGAGGTACATACGCTGAAACAAATTAATGGCCAATGACCAATAATGATTACACTTGTAATTTTCTACTGTGAAATATCAGAAAAAATTGAAATTAAAAATAAAGTTATTTGAAGCTAACATTTAACTGTTTTGTTAAACTATGCTAAAATCATTTTAACAACTCAACAAAGAAACGATATACCACAACTTTATCATCACTTCCACCATTTTCATATTAATTTACAAGAAAATTAATTTTTCCAATGTTTTACATTTTTACCCAATGGGATACAAAAGTAAAAGTGGACAAAATAGGACACAGTTTATATTCACTTTCAGGTACGGCTTTTAGGTATTTGTAGCACTTTTACTTTAAGATTGACAACATAATTTTTCAGTGATTTCAAGAAGTAATTTTCTAGACCAGAAAACAGTATTTCCTCTTTTTTCCTTTTTAACAGGATATTTTCCCCCCAACTCCTTCTTGTTATTTATCTATGCATAAGAAATGCTGGGATACTTACCACTTTAAACAACTTTAATACTTTTTATTGCTCAAACTTTATCTCATGGGTTTATCAAAATAAATCATAATCTTCCTATAACACTGCCTACTATAACTTGGGGTAGAGGGTGATGATAGATGTTCCCAAAGTTTCTGTAGTATACAATTTGACTGGTAAAGTTGAGCAGCTTGAAACTCCTCTTTTTAAAAATTCTACCAGCAACTTCAGCACATATATTTCACATGTGGAAAAAAAATGATAAATTTTAGCTGAGAATTAGCATAGTGTACTATTGGCATTCTTTGGACTGGAATGTAGGAGTTCTGGGACATAAATCTGTGTCACTAATTAGCTGGACTCATTGGTTCTGGGCCTTGGTTTTCTGACCTGAGAAATGGGAGCTTTCTACTAGATTATCTCCAATGTCACTCATAGCTTTAATGTTCCATAGTAAGTGTTGTAATAAGGATCACAGGAGACTGGGAATTATTTTTCTTTTTTCTGGTTAGATCATTGTTTGAAAACATCTTATTAAGAACTTTAGGTAATTTTAATTACTTAAGAGTTCAGTTTGTAGCGTCAAATTTTCTTGTCTGTAAGTTTTAGGCCTCATCAGATAATTAAGGTATGGAATAGACTTATATGTTTTTGTTTACTGAATGGGAAAACTAACCCTAGCATCTAAACCTGGATAACTAGCTTAAATATATACAATATTTTAAAATAAACTTTAAAAATAAAATTCAGATAAATATTATTATGTAAAATTGTTAATAAAATGTAATGATTTCATTTATTACAGTGTTTTGTTTCTTATGAGAATTTGAGTTTCTATGGGATCAGAATTCAATTTTTACATAGTTTTGTACCCTGACTTATTACACATAAGACTGCAATAAAGATTTGTTTAAATAAAAAAAAATGTTAAAACAATTTTGGACTGTATGTTGCTATGTTGTTTTCAATTGTTTTAAGTTTCAAATATCTTCTTTTCTTTAAATTAGAAATGGACTTTTTATAAGATAAATCAAATGTTTTACAATGAAGCAATTAAAGCTTGATTCTTTGAGTTAAGGTTTATTATTTGGATATGGATATCACACTGGAATTTTGATCTCACTGTTATGAGCAGAATATCACATCCAAATTACTTTTTTTGAGGAAATTGGGCTTAACGAGGATACAAATTGCCAGATTATTATTAGCCAAAATTTCTGCCCTAGAGATTTTAGTCTGTCTACTAAAGTTTATCATTATCTTCTTTAGGACCCCCTAGCAAAAGATGAGAGTTGTTATCCAACTTTAAGTTATTTCAGGACTTCTGGCTGATTTTAATTTTTCCTTTAAATTCATGGGAACGGGTCGTGTACGCCTGGCTGAACTTGGTTTAGATTTTTGACAGTTTTTTATTTGCGTCCCTTTTGGATGTTTTTCAAAGTGTCCAGACTATTCACACCACATCTGAATAAGCACTACCCACTGGTTTAATTCAAATTGTCTGGCATACTTCTAATTAGTATTGTTAATGCTTACAGATTATTATTAATAAAATAAAGTGTTGCACCTGGAGTTTACTGGAGAAATGTTTAGAAGCTTAAACGAAAAATTTAAGCTTTTAAAAATTGATTTTAATAGAAAATTCGTGGTTGGAGTACAACAAGAAATGACAAGTAACCAAAATAACTATCTCTTATGATATAATTCCCAAACTGAAATTTTGGCAGTAATCCTTTAATATATTTAGACTTAGCATCATTGGCAAACTGAAAGTTATAAAGATGTATATGGAGAATACTTAGAAGCTAGTTTTGCTATACCAATGATTAGCAAATTTCAATTATGTCCAAATTCAGTATATGCCTGCACATCAGTACGTATTTTAGCAACTAAAAAAGCTGTTTGCAATAATATTAAGTTATAAATGGTTTCCAGTTCTTACTTCCTCAGCAGTGAGTGAAAAACACAACAGATTATAAAAATATTATCTAGAAGTATGCTGGAAAAATACATGTTTATGTGTGTCTACCTCTGTAATAATGGAGTGTTTTTCTTCATTTTTCTCAAGACCATTTAAGGAAAGTTATTTAAGAAGCAAATAAAGCAAGAACCTGAAATTTATTTAATTTTAAAAAGTATGACTTTCTAAAAGTGAGGTTGTGGGCACTTACTCCACCATCATCTTTTCTACTAAACTGTGCATCATGAATTTAAGCAAGTGGATTCATCAGTTAGAGGCTCATATTTTTAAAAATCTGATGTTTTATATTTTTCTTGTTTGGAGCATTAGTGAAGTTTTTCAAAAATCATTTGCTACATGTATACTTGTGTTAATAGTTTTGATTTATATCCATATCTTTATAAATTCTCTTAAAACGTATACGAGCATTTACAATTGAAATGCTCATATTTACAACTGAAAAATTTAAAACTTATGTACATATACCTGGTACACTAAAAAATTCAAAGGAATAAATTACTTTCCTTATTTTGCTCACAAATTTAAAATAATTCCTACTATGTCTTTTTCATCATTGATCTGTATATTGGAATTGTGGTCATCAGAATATCACGTTCATTATTTTGTTTTGGAAATATTTCAACATCTCTATTCAAGGACTGACTGGATCATGTTTACAGAGGCTTTTCAAGGCGTCTGTTCTTAGCCACAGCTGAGAATGGGGCCCACCGTGCTGACTGGAAGCATCCACCTAGAATTTGTTGAATTAAGTCCTTGCACCTGGATATAATTGTTGTAACGCTGTGCTGGGGTTTTCTTAAGCTACTGGTAAAACAAATTAGCTCAATTTAAACTGGCATCCAGTAGAGAAGCAACAACTCACCTCATATAATGTTTTCCAAATAATTATTTTTGTATTGCCAGGTTTACCTCATGAATATTTTCCTGAGGGTTGGTTGAGAAAAAATGTTTTTAAACTAGAGATGTGATGAAAATTCTGCTCATGTTATAGGCTTTGATATTATTGCAGTATAATTAAGATACAGATAAATATGTGATCATAATTTCAGTTAAGCTGGATTATTCCCCTTGCTAAATAAAACATAAATTCAGATATTTAGTTGTGAGTTAGAGCTGAAGAAATATTCTCATATCTGTATTTAAGTTTCGTTAGCCATTGTCATATTTGCTGTGGACTTAATGACATAACTATTTTTACAGGCAGAAAAGATGCACGTAAGGGTCCTGATCAGCTGAAGACAAGATTCATTTATGTTTGTCAGTAGAGCTTGTCATCTTATTTGGTTATGCATGTTTTCAGTCATTTATCCTTGGCAATTAAATATACAAGCTTTCTGGAAATCCAGTAAATTTTAAATTTTAGTAGCTGTTAAGAATGGAACTGGTGTATATGGGCATAGGAGACTAATACCCATATATACTTCTTTGTGCATTAATTACTTATGCACCTAATACAAAAATCATAGGCACCAAGTGAGTGCCAGGCAGAATTCTTAGCACTGAGGGCACAGCTGGGAAGCATAGGAAATTCCTGCCTTCCTGACGTTTACATTTTAACTGGAGAGACAGACAAAAAATAAAGTAGAAAGAAAGACAGACAGAGAGAAAGAAAGAAAGAAAAAAGAAAGGAAACAAAGAAAAAGGAAGAATATAATTTCAGTGAGTGTTATATTCTATGAAGAACATAGTGTGAGCTAGAGTATGGAGGAAAGGTACAACTAGATTGTTTAGACAGAAGGGCTTCTCTGAGAAAGTTATCGTGTATCAATAAACACACATGCTACCTGCATTTATATAACGTTTATTTCTTAATATGCATTTGTATTTGCAATACCTTGCACAATGTTTAGCATAAAATGAAAGAAAAATGCTCTTTGTAATTGGAGATGGAAGGCAGCTAGCATCTTGAAAAGTCTGTGCACAGATGTAGGGGCATATATGTAAAAGACTGTTGATATTATTGTTTTGCCAAATATAACATAGACAACGTAACAGCCTAATATTATAAAATTGTCTATTACAAAGGTTTGGATATAAAGCCCTCCAGAGTCCTTTTTAATCACTGTCTTCAAAAATTGTTACTTCTTCTTTCATTATAATTTGTACATATTTCTGTTATAGTGCGTCCCACATTGCATTGCCATTAGTTATATACAAATATATATTTCTTTCTAGATTTTTCTCCTTGACAGTGTTTGTCCTTTAACATCTTTGTGTTTCTAAGCAAATCAAATTTGTTTTGATAGAAGTGTGTGATAGTGGGGATTTTACTTTATTTCAGTTACAATGTTCTGACCTGATTACATGGGAATTTTTCACTTATATGTTGATGTTCTGAGAGAAAAATATTGTCTTTAAGTGGCAGAGCTTACCAAATTCCAGCAAACCAGCTAGCTGACTTGTGCTTATTGCTCATAGAAAACATTGTAGCTAAGTTGATTAGCAATGACAACACTACTGCTGCTGCTGGAAATATCTACCATTTTTTCAGCCTTTTCCAGTGTTAGCTATTGGCCACTACTTACATTGTTCTATCAAATCCTGACAACTACCCTATCAGATAGGTATTTATTGACCCACTTTATAAATGTGTAATTGAAACTCAGAGAGGATAAAAAACTGCCTGGTCACCGGCCTTGTCATAATATTATGTGTGCTGAGTTATATGAAGTTTGTTATATATAAGAAAAATACTATAAAATTTCAAATTAAAAATTTATAAAATGGCTACTTTATATATCTAATATGTGTGTTGTTACATGGCAATGGGATATTCTTTTGAATGTTTAGTGGAGAATGGGTGTGAAGTGTCAGGGATATGTATTTTGCTAAAGTTTGGGATGGGTGTATGTGTATATATGTCATATGTGTAAATATTTGCATAGTTATTTGATACTATTAGCTTTGAGCTGAGTAGCACTCACTATTATTCCACTCTACAAAAGGAACTTTGGAGGACAAGGGCCATTTCTTGTTATCTCTGTGGCCTCAATGATACAATGTAGACACCTACTAAATGCTTGTTAAAAAAAAAATTAACAAGGCAATTTCATCACTAAGGCAATACATAGCATAGGAGCCTCTAAGAGTTTTACTTTCTTCAAATTTAAAAAGCAGCATCAATAACAGGGGAAAACAACAAATAAATAGCTCTTGTTATTTTTATTTTAAAAGATCAGTAGAGTTTTATTTTGATTACAAGACTTGATCTTCAAAATTAAGTAAAAGTGTATTTGTATCTTCCTATGGAATGATGAAAGTGAAGGTCAGTCCCTACTGTTGGTAATTTATTTTATGGTTATGTGTCTACAGGTACATAAGAAGTAGAACATACTCAAAATGCTTTGTAAAGTTTACACATATTTGATTCTTGCAGCTCAAAGTGAAGAAGTGGTCTAGATATAAATGTAGGTGACTTGAATATAAAATATTGCTATTATATAATTTTGTATATCAGATATTAGAAAAAACAAGAATGTGATTATTTATGTAATAGGTTCAACTTCAGTAGTTACACAGCAATTTACTGAGTACAGAGTAAAAAAGTATTTAGTCCACAATTTCTATTAATTAAGAGTAGAAGATGATTTTTAGTAGAAGCTCCTTATATATTGTATGGTACAAGTCTAAAATTCTCAGAGTTAAAGAGAGGAGCTTTATGAACATGTGCTTATTCTGTTTCTCTTATTTTTTCTGGGAGAACGCTTAGTTCATTCTATGGAATTAAGGCCACCCCTGAAGTAATCTCTCTCAGAATTATGTGCTGCTTCAGGTATCCCAGTGAAAGAGGTCTCTCACAGTTCTAATATTTTTGATAAATTCATATATAGACCAAAATGTGAATGTGACATTATTTTAAATTCCCCAAATTATCTGATCTAATCTTAGTGTTCCAAGTGTAAATCTGAAGGGAAATTAAATCGTATTTTGTTGAAAGATAGTATTGTAGAGACTTACTATAAGGCTCTAGAAGTTACCTGTCTGTCATGAAAGATTTGTTTTTATGGGACTGAATGATATATTGTAGATTTCATAGAAAACTCTATGTTTTCAAATTTTTGATGTCCCAAATTTAATTTCACTAACTGATACCCATGGAGTGTTCATACTGAATTGATATGGGGAGAGATAACCGGCAGTGAAGAGGTGAACAATAATCTAGTTGCTCCAGGCATCTGTGATTTTTCCTACTTCTATATTATTTCAGGTGCTCTACATTTTGCTTTTAAAATAACCGTTTTAATTCTATTGATTTCTCTACATCTCTGCTTGTACCAGCTACCATCTTCTGTCACTTGGACTGCATGCTGACTTCCCTGCCTCTAGCCTCCCACTTTAAATGCCCTGACATTCATTCTCCGTACAGGAGCCAGTATTTTTTTATAGTGTAAGCCAAATTATGTCTCTCCTTCTTTAAAAGGCTTTCAAGGCTTTATTTATAATTGCCCAAACTGAAAATAATACAAATGTTCATCAACTAGTGAATGAATAAACAAATTATAATAATTCGTACAATAGAATTCTTTCAGCAATCATGAGCTGTTACATACCAGAACATCGGTGAGTCTGAAAGGCATTATGCTAATTAAGAGAAGCAAGACACAAAACCTACAAGATTCCATTTATTCCATTTACATGACATTTTGGAAAAACTATAGGGACAAAATCAGACCAGTAGTTGCTAGGGGGTGGTGGATGCAAGAGAACTTTTTGGTGTGAGGTAAATGATCTATTTCTTGATTGTGACAGTTGCACATCTTTATACATTTATCTATAATCATCAGTTTTACATGCAAAGAGTGAATTTTAATACATTCATATATGATGTGACATATTTGTATGTATCTGTCTCTGTCACACACATATACACACACACACTCTCTCTCTCTCACACACACACAAACACAAACACACATATATGTATAAAGAGAGTTCCAATCCTATAGAATGCGTTGTATCCCCCTAGAAATAAAAATAGGAAAGTAAACACATTTTCATAAAGTGCCTCCCTTTAACTCCAAGAATTTTGCACATGTATTGTAGGCTGTGAGGAGCTTCTGCCCCAAATTATGTACATGAGGTACATTATACCCCAATAAATGTGACTTAAGCATCAAAAAGCATTCAATGGCCTTCCTGTACTTAGACTGAAGCTCCATAGCCCTAACTGTGGT
The DNA here is from genome assembly GCF_000001405.40 of Homo sapiens. Lineage (NCBI taxonomy): Eukaryota > Metazoa > Chordata > Mammalia > Primates > Hominidae > Homo > Homo sapiens. The sequence goes on from NC_000003.12 coordinate 147,506,037, forward strand.
CTAGGAGGCCCCTTGTGAACTTGCGTCTGCCTGCCCTTCACCTGTTTTCTCCCACTACCTCTCATTGTTCTAGATCATTTAGTAAGTTTTCTTAGATGTTTGATATTTAACTTTCGAAACAATAATTAGCATTCAAAAGTAACATTTAATATTTGTTGAGGATTTAAAATGTGAAATTATATATCAATAATTCCTTGAAATGATACCTATATTTTCTCTTAAAAATTAAAATTCTTATCTACAAACTGTCTATATCTGTCATAATAGGCATCTTGATTTTTTGTTCATGGAAAGCGAAGAGAAGATTCAGTAATTTTAAATATCAGAGGGGTTGTTCAACTTAGACAACAGCTAGTTATTTTCTGTCAGTTGAACATAATATAGGATGAACTTATACTATATTAATTAATTACACAAATGATTTTTTATATCTATTATGTAACAGGACACATAAAGGGGGCATTTTCACTTTATAAATATACAAGGATTGAATTTTATTAAGTAATACGCTCTTCTATTTTATTTACAAATATAATTTAACATATAAGCCATCACAGTCATGTGCTTCAAGATATGTTTTGGCCAACTATGGACTGCATGTATGACAGTGGTCCCATAAGATTTTAGTGCTGTATTTTTACTGTATCTTTTCTATGTTTAGATACACAGATACTTACCTTTGGGTTGCAATTACCTGTGGTATCCAGTACAGTAACATGCTGTACAGGTTTGTTGCCTAGGAGCAATAGGCTATACTAAATAGCCTAGGTGTGTAAGCTACACCAGCTACATTTATATGAGTATATGCTATACTATGTTTGTACCAGGAGGAAATTGCCTAATGACACATTTTTTAGAATATATATCTGTAGTTAAGTGACACGTGATTGTACATATATTTCAGAAATATGCAATACAACTTCTTGTGTATTGAATGTGAGTCAATGCACAAATATATAGCAAGTACAATTTATAATGGGAGAGAGACTGAATATAGAAAACACACACACCCACAAAAAATTTATTCAATTCTAAGAAAAATACAGTTTTCTAAAAGTGGGAACATATAAAAGTAAAAATTTAGTTAACATATGTCTAAATTAGATTTACAAAGCTTCTATAAATGCATTAAAATAGATTCATATCAATCATTAAAATATCTCAAAAAAACTGATCATATATATTATCTGATAGTGTACCACATCACATTGGTCACCTTTACATACTATGCCTCCCAGGAGTATTTCAGAACTGGACAAAATTTTCAACTCATGTGAGAATTAGCAAAATACAAATTGAGCCCATAATGGTGTTATGGAATTTTAATTTTCAAAAATGTTCAGTTGGCTATTTCCTTCCCTCCCTCCCTCCCTCCCTCCCTCCCTTCCTTTCTTCCTTCCTTCCCTCCTTCCTTCCTTCCTTCCTTCCTTCCCTCCCTCCCTTCTTTCCTTCCCTCCCTTCTTCCCTCCCTCCCCCCAATTCTCACTCTTCTTTACCCTTCCGTTTTTTCTTACGCTCACTTATTACAGTCACTGTAAGAGGTTTTCAGTTTATGGCTCTAGGATATCTTCAATTCACCTGAAATTTTTGCTATTCTGCATGAATATAGTAAATATACAGACCACTGGCTAGCCTTAGTCCCAGAATTTACTTCTTTTCTCTTAGTTAATTTCCTTTTCAGTTCCAGGAACAGGAAAACATTACTCAGGGAACATCTTGTGCAATGATGCCACATCCATCACTTAATAAGAGCTTGTTTTCAACTTTCTGAACCAGCGGGGTGACCTTATGTTCCCAAGAGAGGGCCTAAAATGCACTGGGCAAAGCTCTACCTCTTGAAATGGCTGTTTGGTGTTACAGATGTTCAGGTGACTGACTGATGGTTTCCTCCCTCTGTATGACAGCTCCTGGGAAGCTCTAGGATGTGACTTTAAGCTGGAAAGACTCTCAGGAGCTAGGTTTGATATGGCACAATCTCAAGGCATCGCTAAGTCTGAAGTTCTTCCAGCAGGTCTGGTGAGTTCTGAAACTTTCCTGGCAAACCCATCTACTCTGACAGCACAAACAGAGAAATAAAAATAAGGGAAATATCAAAGTTAAGGCCTTCCTGGGTGTAGTATAACATACTGGTTAAAAGCTGTAGTTCTGAGGTTGAGATTGTTTGGGTACAATTCCTCATTCCACCACTGCTGGCTGCACAATCAGGGCATCAATTTTCTCATTTACGGTAATAAGAATATAATGATGAAAATAATAATAATACTTACATTCAATGGAATTACCATGAAGATTAAATTAAATTAACACAGCCTAGCACAAAATAAACATTAACTAAATGTTATCTGTTAGTATTGTTGTTATTGCTATTATACTGTTATTCTAAGCCTCAGCAGATAATTTGGCCACAACTGAGTAACTACTAGGGATTTTCTTGTATTATCAATTATACAAATAATTTATGGAACAGTTGTGATAAATATATACCTAAGGAGGCTGGGCATAGTGGCTCAAGCCTGTAATCCTGGTACTTTGGGCGGCTGAAGGAGGAGGATTGCTTGAGGCCAGGATTTCAAGACCAGCCAGGGCAACACAGAGAGACTTTGTCTCTACAAAAAATTTAAAAATTAGCTGGGTATTGTGGCACACACCTGCAGTCCTTGCTACCAGAGAGGATCACTTTAGCCCAGGAGTTTGCAGCTACAGTGAGCCATGATTATGCCACTGCACTCCAGTCCAGAAGACAGAGCGAGATCCTGTCTCTAAAAAAAAACAGAGTAAGAAGTTAAGAAAATTATTTTAAAATACATGTGGTTGCTAGAATTTAAAATATTCATCACCAGTTTGTATGGAGACAGGAAAATGTTGTGTCTTGAGTCAATTTTTATTAAGTTTTGTGCAAAAACATCTCATTTTCTTGGTTTTATAATTAGATAAAATATTCAAGGGCACAAAAATATTACTTAAAGGAGGAGGCGGCTTAAGAAGTAAGCCAATATATATTATATTTTCCTAGGATAATTTTCTGTAGGAAATTAGATTAGATGAGAAAAATAAAATTTCAGATTTCACTTGGCATTTTGTAACCCTGCTTACACAAAAGGTTAAAAACAAACAAAAATTTTACTTATCTCTTTTTATTGCACATACTTTCTCTGGTAAATTCTATGCCAGATGTAGGAAGCAAATTATTAAAAATACAACTTCCAGCAAATAAAGAGGCAATTATTGCTATACTGTTTTAATATAAAATCTGAGATAACTTTTCAATGAAAAATATTTATCATTTTTATATCTATTTCCTCATCTTCCTCTTTTTCTTTATTATTATTATGGTATTATCGCTGTAATTCATAGAAATGACACATTGCTAAATGGCAGTGAACACTGAACAAAGGTAAGACAAAATTAATTTATGCAGGAAAATGAGCTAGAAAAGCAGAAAGATCCTTTTCTACATAGTAAATACATTATTTGTAGAAATCATTTTTACTTGCTAAGTATTTCCAGGCATGCAAATAACTGTTATTCTCAACTGTCTTTTCTATGTCTTGGCCAAAGTAAACCACAAAGGACAAGCAGCTCAGAGATTAGCGAATGCGTCTCAGCTGTCCTAGAAAAGTGCTGTCAGCAAGTCTGAAGAGTTTCCCAGAAGCCCTGAAAGGACGCAATAGCATCATTTAGCAGAAAGAAACAGCCCTGGATTAATGTTCTTTTGGGATTCATCTTCTGGCTTTGTGATTTTGGGCAAGTTACTTATCTTCCTCCATTTATTCACATATATAATGAGAGGAGTAGTACCTACCTTACAAACTTTTCTGTGAGAAGCAAAAAAAATAAAAATAAAAAATAAAAAATAAAATTGTTAAATATTTGCTATGTGTAAAATGCTTATTCCTTTAAAGTTTTCATGTCAGTTAAAACATGTTATTGGCTTGAATCCTGACTCAAGAACGGAAATAGTAATTGTGTCTGCCATTCAGGGTGACACAGTTATTTCCACTGGTTCAGGGTGGTGGGGTGGGAGCTACTAGATAGAACAGGTGGGGCAATTCTTGATACATTTTCGTGTTTTTTGTTACTACTAATCCACCAACTCTTGTTTTCACTCAGAAGCAGATAAAATGGACATATTTATTATAGACTGAAAAATGATAAATGAGATTAATTTTAAAAATAAAATGAAAAGGAGAATAATTGTTTATAAATGTATGATTTATAAGTTCTGAATGTATAATTTATAAGTTCTGCATGTATGCATAATAAAATCATTTAAATTACAGGAGTATTAACTGAGTGAAGTAATTCTGATCATTTAGATTTATGTGTTCCTTGGACAGTCTTAAATGAAAACAAAACGTGATGGCTTTAGAGAATTTGACTTTGACTGGAAATGTTTTTAATTGGAGAGTATTTTGCATTAGCTGATGGAGTTAATTTCCCTAAGATCTTCAATAACTTGTGCATGTAGCACTAGCTAGTTGGAATCTGAGAATTCAGGGACATTCTTTATTATCTTAAGTAAAAAAATTGTGTTTGATGATATATGTAAAATATGCAAGCTCATATACTCTTTAAGATGGGATGAAAAAGAATAGTTCTATTGTACATTAGAATAACTGGGTTTTCTGATATAGTACTTCCCAGATGTTAGCAGCTGCAATGAAGATAACAAAATCAAGCACAATAAAGTATTTCTTGGGTCAAGTTGGAGAAACACAAGATTAATCAAAACTCTAAAATGATGCTTTCATTGCAGCATTTCTCAGAATCTTTACTATACCAAGGTGTATTGAGAATCTTTAAGGATGTTGGCAATATGTTCGCTGTGTTTTCTAATATTTGATCATCAAATCATTTTCTTAAGACGTTATTGTTAGGAATATATTTTGGAAAGTACTGGGTTGGAAGATCACTATGTTTTCTTGTCTTCATTTTTTAAATTAGGGAAAACAAAATTCATACAAATTCTAAGATGGCATATGAGTTTAGAATTTTCCACCACATATTCACCTTGTTTGATCAATTCTATTGGGGGCATTCTTGTATAGCTACCTTACAATGCAATTTCTAATGATAAGAGATTGTGGCTCCTGGCTTTTCTCTTTCTTCCTTCTAGCATTTTAAAAGTGTGGTTATCCCATATGTTAGGTCCAGAAAAATGTTGTGTTTTCCTCTGAGAATATCTGATCTTGATAATGGAGAACTAGACCAAAGTGGCATCTGGGATTTTTAAAAAAACTTTATTATACTTTAAGCTCTGGGGTACATGTGCAGAACATGCAGGTTTGTTACATAGGTATACACGTGCCATGGTGATTTGCTGCACTCATTAACCTGTCATCTATATTAGGTATTTCTCCTAATGCTATCCCTCCCCCTGTCTCCCACCCCTGGACAGGCCCTGGTGTGTGATGTTCCCCTCCCTGTGTCCATGTGTTCTCATTGTTCAACTTCCACTTATGAGTGAGAACATGCAGTGTTTGGTTTTCTGTTCTTGTGTTAGTTTGCCGAGAATGATGGTTTCCAACTTTACCCATGTCCCTGCAAAGGACATAAAATCATCTTTTTTTATGGGCATCTGAGATTTAAAGCATGAAGACAAAGAGAAGACACTCTAAATGAGTCAATTTCCACAAGAACTATCTTGGAACTTTGAAATACAATTTTAGAGACAGAATTTTAGAGACATCAATAAAATTGAGTCTGTAGTAAGTGATAATTATTATCATGTGTTCTATTCATCGTGTCCCAGGAAGTAGGGAAACAATAGAAAAAGAAAATCTCAGTTGAGAATTATGTTTTTGTTCTTTGTTGTTTTTGTTTTTCAACATTGATGCTACTGTCATTTTGGACCAGATAATTCTTTGTTGTGAAGGACTGTCCTGTGCACTGTAGTGTTTAGCCACATCCCTAGCCTGTACCCTCACCAGTATGGGGGCAAAACCACCCTGCATTGAGAATTATTGATCTAATCCTTTCCTATAATATTTTCTCCCTTTGGCACTCAAAGATGAGTATAGAAAATTCAAGGGCATTGTATTATGTATGTTCATGTGATTATACAATAAAACTACAAATAATTTCAGGAAGAATAACAATTGTGTAGTGGGTTTTTAAAATCATTTTTCTGAGTCTCAGTCTAGAAGTATGGGATCACTTTCTAATCTCCTATTAGCTGACCTAGCTGACTTACTTTTTTATCCTTGTGCCCTGACTGATTGTCATTTCTATTTAAAAGGATATTAGCAAAACTTTCACTTTTGCCTTAAAATGTTTAAGAAGAAAATTATTAAAACCGTGATTTAGAATTTCTCCTGGTTGGTATAATCTTTCAGGTATCAACAAACACTATTTTTTTAAATAAAACAAGTAGTTGCCAAATACGTTGTTTAAAACTATAAGCTAAATTGAAGGGGATGGCATACAATCCCCCATCTATTTATATTTTGACATTCTGTTGGGCTATACATTTTACACTTATCTCTCTCTCTCTGTCTCTTTCTCTCTCTCTCTCTCAATAGTTTCTTTTTATTTAAAAAATATTTGAGACTGTTACAAAACTAGGAATGAGGCAGTTTCTGATAGGTTAGAAAACATTGTCTGAAAATAAGCTGCTTGTTTACTGGTGCAATCAAGAGTAAAAATGTGAATTACAAGATTGTTATTTTAATTTTTTTTCCATTTTTAGTCTCCAGGACTGAATATTCACTTCTAGAAAGGAACATGGTAAAAATTTAAAATTTGTATCAACTTCTACTAGATTTGAGTAACTCCTTAAAGGGGAAAATAAATAAATAAATAAAAAGATAAAGCTTGTTTATTCTGATAACCAATTAGATTGTCAAAGCATAATCCATGATGTACTTGGAATAATTTAACATTCTGACATAATATCTTCTCTACAAGAAATGTCCAAATACATGTTTTCTAATTTAAAATACTCTAATTACAGAATAGGTAGAAGTGTGAGCCCTAAAGAAATCTATATCTTAGTTTAATAGCCAGAATATTATTTTCTTTTTGTTTTCCAAAGTTTTTTTTTGTGTACAGAGTTTAATATGAAATACATTCACCACCCAGTGTTCTTAGTGCTTATAATAGTATTGAATAATAAAAAGCTTAAAGTCCATTTTAAAATTTTACATATGATTACATTTAAGTTAATCTTCTTTATTTGTTTTCGTTTTATAAAAAGGTACTCTGCTACTTCTGTCAGATTACATTAGAGGATTTAGGTGACATTCTTGTACCAGGGAAACTACAAACACTTCTACAGGCTATGTATTTATATAGCCACAATAGGCATAATCCTATTTTTATGAAGAACAAACATAATTGACTTAAAATAAAAATACCTTCCTGAAATCACCTATTCTATTCCATTTTGTCCAATTTTTAAAAAATATCCTAAAAGCTTGATTCAAAAATTTAAATCAGATAAATAAGCACAATCCCTTGCCAAAGGTCAAAAAGATTGCCGTAAAAATCCAAACAGAATATCAATTGGGACCTGACAAAGCAAAAGAAGTAGACGATTCAAATGAATTTCTTTTTGAATACACATTTGCTCATCTTTGCTCAAGGGTCAAAAACTGAGAATTATTCTGGAATAGAAATGGTGACTATATGACCTGTTGTTTAAAGTGTGTTTCTAAACTGGCTTATAATTACCAAATTAATCTTGGAATATATTAAAAACCTATTTGCACAAACTATGTACAAGTGAAAAAGGGAGCAGAGCACTTTACCTGTATTGATACAAAGGACTGCATAACAAGTATTTGTTTTTGTAGCTATTGTGGCTTTGGGAACAAATAAATAAAAACAGCGGGAAACACAAATATGGAGTCAGTGCAACTGGAGGTTGTCAGGGAGCAGTATGGTGGCTTTAGGAGCTGAATTCTGCTTGAAATAAGCTTTGTCTCAGTATGCGTAAGAGGCTTTGGCGCTCTATCAGACCTCTAGGGCAACCGCTCAGCAGGACAGGGATTAACCGGTGGTTTACTATAGTCTGTGCTTCCCAATTCATAGTAAACTTGCCTCCTTGTCATACTCTTACATTAACTCACTAGGTACTAACTTTTCCATCTATCTATCTATATATTTTTTTTCTAGGAATTTAGACCTTTTGGCAAAAATAGAGTAGCAGATGTTAATTCAGAATCTAAAAAGTAAGTTAATAAACATAATTGAGAAGACACCAAACGTTTGACATCTATAGATAGCAAAAAAGAATAACGATGGGTAATTTTGCAAGCCGAGTTATTCCCATTTTCTGAAATTGATGTTTCCTTTTTATCGGTGGCCCTACCGAAAATGTCCTAAGCACAAATTGCTGTATTTTAATATAACTGCTATTCACTCAAAGTTCCAAATATATTTCTATTCTAACAATGCGATGCTTTTTCTTTTCTTTTCTTTTCTTTTCTTTCTTGAGGCTTGACAGGGTTAATTCCATTTAGCTGTGGGAAGACTATGCTGTGGTGGAAACCCCATGGTTATTCCAAGCGCATGACCATCAAAGAGCCAGATTAGCTGAACGAGGAGCGAAAGGAAACTGTGCACTTCCTGTCTCTTAATAAAGCTAAGATTACAGAAGTATTTAATAACCATTGTGGGTTTTAATAGGAAATTGTAAGAACACTTTTGGTAATTCACTCAATCTATAGTTACCCTTGAAGACTGTTTTTGTTTAAGCTAGTTTAAATATCTAAAAAGTGTTGTAAAATCAGGATCGTATTACGCATAGGACTGCTAAGTAATCAACTATAAAGACATTAGAAGTTCTTTTTGGATATCTCATTTGCATGGAGAAGAGTGAGTTGCACCACGGCTAACGAAAACAACAGCAATTGTTTTATAAGCATTGTGAAGGCAATAAAATGTGGATTCCTTATGTAGGTCCAAATGTAGCAGCTGGATTTGGCTTTATGAACCATGAAAAATAGTTCCCATCTGGAAGTTGATGTTGAGTAAAGATGCAACAGTAAGACAGCATTTTACATGAAACATTTTATACATGTCTAGCCCAATCATTGGTACTTTCTGGTTCTAAAAGGAAAATAATAATTGAGGGTCAGTGTGTTTAATATTAAATACCCAAAGTGTTCTTAATCCTAGTGTGGGTACTTATTTTGTGCATTGAAAACCAGCTAGGCAACACAAAATTATTTTTAAATTTTATTAATAAATAATTAGCACTGAGTAGTAATTATACAATTACAGACATAGTTACTCATAGTTACTTATTCTCAAGTTAAACATTCCATTGGTAATGGTGATAAATTATTTACTGAAAGACATATGCTAACATGTGCAATACACTTTGTCATTATGCAGCATATTACAAAATATTAATTTTTTCTTTGTATTCTTTATCACGCCTCCCATATAACAAATATTTCACATGTAATGAATGAAGTTACATATGAACTAGTCCTTCTGAGGTTATTTTACTATCACCCTGCTTACAGGGAGGCATATACTCAAATACGAAATAAACATATATCTGTAAATCTAATTTTAGAAGATTTAGATAACGCTTTTCAACATATTTCAATCTCTCCCTGAATGTATTATGTAAATTGGTGAAAATTATTGTGTAGTGCCAACTTTTTTAGTATATGTTTTGCATTTAGCAAGAGAAGACATAATTTGCCCCCCTTTTGCAATTCTGGCCATATTAAAATTGAGAGGTTGAGCAGGTAATAAGAAGGTTGACAGTATTTATAGGCTGTAATGGACATTGCATCACTTGATAAAGGTTGATCCAAGTTTTAAAGATTTAAACTCAAAAAAGCTATTGTTTAGGTTTATGCACATTGGTGTGTTATTTAAAACAGACAAAGATTTTAAGTTACTGGTCTTAGTTCTTTTCTTTTTTAAAAAACTTTAATTTTGAGTTACTAAATAATTACAGATAAAACAAAGCCAGCTTTAGTATATCTGCAAATAAAAAAATTCTTTGTAGTATATTTTGAGGTACAGTGAAAATGAAATAAAGTAAGAAAGGATAGAGGCAAAATAAAAAGTATAAATCTATTAAAATTTATTATAATGACACCATTTATTAGATAATTTTTTTCTAAACTTTCGTTTTTTTCTTAAACACTTATTTCTAAATTTATCTGTCAGCAAGGAAGCTCAGATATTGAATTGTTATTATGTTTTAAAGTAATTTTTCTTCATGTGAAAATTCCACATTATGATTACCTTATTCAAATATTTCATGTTTTCGCACTTGTTGTCTATCAGAATGAGTTGAGGGTGGAGAAGATAAAAAGTACCTCTATTTATCTATTAATTTAATTAATTTATTTATTTTGAGACGGAGTCTCGCTCTGTCACCAGGTTGGAGTGCAGTGGTGAGATCTCAGTTCACTACAACCTTCACCTCCCTGGTTGAAGTAATTCTCCTGCCTCAGCCTCCCGAGTAGCTGGGAGTACAGGCGCCTGCCACTGCACCCTGCTAATTTTTGTATTTTTAGTAGAGACGGGGTTTCACCATGTTTGCCAGGCTGGTCTCGATTTCTTGACCTCTTGATCCGTCCGCCTCCGCCTTCCAAAGTGCTGGGATTACAGGCGTAAGCCACCGCGCCCGGCCGATGAAAAGTCTTTAGTATAGTGCGTAGTCTATAAAGGCTCAATAAGTAGTAGCAATTAAGACCGAATAATGAAGAATCTTTCTTTTGTAGTATAATTTTGTTTAGGATGTTTATTGTTAATTATTATAAGAACAACAATGTTCAGAAAGTTAAAGAAATTTTAAAAAACCCAAACTAGATTAATAATTGGGATGTGTAATGTGTATTATGAATTCTATCTATGTAAGGATAAAAAAACAAACTACCAGAGACTTTATACTATGTTTTATTTTGATAACTATTCAAAACACTGATTTGTTAGGTTGATTTTCAGCTTTTTGCTAAACAGAAAGCTTTACAGCTTAAAATTTGTAGAATACAAAATTGGATATCAGACTCCTTAAAATTGTATGATTAAAATATGAGGGATGAATGAATATCAGTAGAAAAATATTCTTGGTTTTCAAATATAATTACGAATAAATTCTTTTTAAAAATGGAAAGAGAAAAATTCCTTCCCCATTTGTTTTCTTGTTTTTTAAAATTTTACTTTCCAGAATTTTATTACCTAAGCCTCTGCAGAGGTGGGCCAAATGTTTCATACTCAGTCTTTTCTCTCTAAACCAACCTTGAAGATGCAGCTAATATTGTACTATTCCATAAATAATACCATTTACTAATTCTTCCCCTACAAATCCTCTCATCTTTGGACTTGGAGAACTGGGATTACCTTAGAAATTCACTGAGTAATCATTCATATATGTATATATATACATACATACATACATATATGTGACATATGTGTAGTTTTATATTTGTATTTATGGTCTTCTACTCCTTAGATAATCCATACAAGTATAATTGGCATCTCTAAGTACATTATACCTTTCTTAAAACCAAGCACTATATTTTAACAATTCGATAGCTCATAACTCATAACTTTGTACATGATGGGCAGACAACAAATATCTGTTGATTCTATATCCTTTTGTTTTGTTTTGTTTTGTTTTTTTGAGACAGAGTTTCGCTGTTGTTGCCCAGGCTGGAGTGCAATGGCAAGATCTCGTCTCACTGCAGCCTCCGCCTCCCGGGTTCAAGCGATTCTCCTGCCTCAGCCTCCCGAGTAGCTGGGATTATAGGCATGTGCCACCACGCCCGGCTAATTTTGTATTTTTAGTAGAGACGGGATTTCTCCATGTTGGTCAGACTGGTCTCAAACTCCCGGCCTCAGGTGATCCGCCCATCTCGCCTCCCAAAGTGCTGGGATTACAGGTGTGAGCCACCGCGCCTGGCTCTATATCCTTGATGAAACATTGCATCAGTGATTTTTCCTCTTGATGGACATTTGGCAATGTTTGGAAACATTTTTGGTTTACACAATACTGGATGGAGTGGGGGCATTGAGGGTGGTGTTACTGGCATCGGGGGAAGAGGCCAGGGTTGCTACTAAACATTCTACAATGCACAGGACACTTGTTTCCTTGCTGTACTCTTATGCGACCTCACTAGTGTTTTAATTTTGAATCTTTACAATGGATAGTGCACCTTCAATGATTAGGAGAGACACAAGATGGAAATTTAGATTTCGTTACTTACAGGTCCTGGGCGGCACACAGCACACTTGGAAGACACACACACACACACACACACACACACACACACACACACACACACGAGAGAGAGAGAGAGAGAGAAAGAGAGAGAGAGAGATTAGGGAGTGTGTGGAGAGACAGAGAAACCTGTGGGCCTACACCTTTATTGGGTCCGGGGCATTATCCAAACAGGTTTTCCACAGGGAGTTTTAATTGATAGGTTTGAAACAAGGAGGTACAAGTTTCAGGAGGTTCTGCCGTGACTGAAAAGCAGTCTCTATGGCATTTCTGCGTAGTCCATGCGGGGTGTGAGAATCAGCGGGACCACTCATGTAGGCTGCATATAGTTGTTTCAAAGCGAGGTGATCACCAAGAGGAAGTTGCATAAGGCAGATATCTGCATCAAACACATTGAGAAACTGGGAGGAGGTATGGAATTGAAAACTGTGTCAAGGGTGACTGAGCCCTGCTTCTGTTATGAGAAAGTCCAAGTTATAGTGAAAGTGGGTGTCGAGACAACATAAAACTGTAAGAATTCACTATAATTAGGCATTAACTTTTCCATCTATTTTTTGCTACTGAGATTTTAGGGGGTTTTTTTTGACAAAAAAAGAATCATGAAAAAGAGTAGATTCTAAGACAAGAAACAATTATACAGGCAAAAGTTTTAATAATGCCACATTTAAGAAGCCCTGCATTACATCAAAGTCCATCATCACCCAGTTAAACAATAAAAATCCCAAAAGAAGTTTTGATGGGAAAACAGAACATCTTTATAAAAATCTTAATAATACAATTTTTGTCCAAAATTCTACTTAATTTCTCACTGAATGTAAATTGTAGGCACTTTTTCCTTATAAAAATTCTATTACCTTTTTTCCTTAAATATTTATTTAATGAGCATACTTATTATGCAGATTTTTAACTATTTTGCCAAGTAGTGTCTTTTCAGGTTTGAAAACAGACAGGTAGGAAGAAAAACACAATAGAAAACTCACAGAAATTATATATGTTTTCACTAGAAAACAAACCCCTGAAATTGATGCAATTCCTTAATTTTGCATATCTCAGAAACGTGATTTTAACATTTTATATTCAAATATTTTATCCACTTTTACTCCAGCCTGAGTTCTATACCTCTCTCTACAATATCTTATCTCCTTTACAAATACATAGCAAAAATTCCATTAAATTCAATTGCATTTTGCCAGCTATAACTTTCAGAAAGGCAAGTTCACTATTTTTTTTTCTAAAGAATTACAACGTATCATGGGAAGGGAGTGTGAGGTCCATCTAAGGACAGTGGTTGGTTGAGATTTCAAAGTGTAGTTTTGAAGATAGCATATACTTTTTACTCATTTGGTTCTCAGGCCCAGTCATCCTGTCACCTCTTCCCTGCACTCTGAAACTTGTGCCAGAGTCTTGGGGAAAGGACCTGTCACAAACCTTTGTCTTTCCAGCATAAGAAAGTCCCATTTGTTGTTTTTGTAACACAGTACAACATAAAATGGGATAAAGGGTTGTAATAATATTGACATCTTTGCGAATATTTGGTGTACTATATATTTTCAATATTTTAAGTTTTCTTTTAATTTGAGAATTTGAAACATTTGGAATCAACTTCTAAGTTCATTTTTAAATACCTTTCTACCTTAGTTTTTGAAATATCTTTTATACCACAATAAATACAGTTACAGAGAAATTTTAGTAATGGTAATTTCTTACCAAAAGCCAGGTATGAATTCTATGCTGCTGTTTACATATTTACAAATATTCTCTTGCTCTCTAGAAATATTAATATGTTTTAATTTTTTTAATTTCTATTTTTCATGGGTACATAGTAAATATATTTATGGAATACATGTGAATTTTGATACAAGCATGCAATATGTAATACCCACTTCAGGGTAAATGGGGTATCTATTGCCTCAAACAGTTATCATTTCTTCATGTAAGAACATTCCAATTCCACTCCTTCAGTTATTTAAAAATATGCAATAGATTATTGTTGAGTATAATCACCCTGTTGTGCTATGAAATACTAGACGATATTTATTCTATCTAACTATGTTTTTGTACCCGTTAACCATCCCTCCCTCCAAACTACACTTCCTAGCCTCTGGGATGGGTATCAACCATCATTCTACCCTCTATTGCCATGAGTTCAATTGTTTTAATTTTTAGCTCCCACAAATGCTGAAAGCATTTGAAATTTGTCTTTTTGTGCTGGCTTATTTCACTTACCATAATGACCTCCAGCTCCATCCATGTTGTTGCATATGAGAGGATCTCATTCTTTTTTATGGCTGACTAGTGCTCTACTGTGTACATGTATCACATTTTCTTTATCCATTCATCTGTTGATGAACACTTAGGTTGATTCCAAATCTTGGCTATTGTGAACAGTGCTGCAATAAACATGGGAGTGCAGATACCTCTTTGATATACTGATTTCCTTTCTTTTGGATATATACCTAGCAGTAGGATTGCTGAATCCTATGGTAGTTCTATTTTTGGTATTTTTGAGGAACCACCACATCGTTCTCCATGGTGGCTGTACTAATTTACATTCTCATCAACAGTATGCAAGGGTTCCCCTTTCTCTACATCCTTGTCAGCATTTGCTACTGCGTGTCTTTTTGATGCAAAGCACTGTAACTGGGGTGTTATGATAACTCATTGCAATTTCAATTTGCATTTCTCTGATGGTTAATCATCATTTGAGCATTTTTTCATATACCTTTTGGCCATTAGTTTGTCTTCTTTTGAGAAATGTCTCTTCGGATGTTTTGCCTATTTTAAAATTGGATTACTAGATATTTTCCTATTGAGATCTTTGAGCTCCTTATATATTCTGGTTATTAATCCCTTATCAGATGAATAGTTTGTAAATATGAATATGTTTTCATTTTATTTTATTCTTATTTTTGTGGGTACATAGTAACTATATATATTTATGGGGTACACAAGTGTTTTTAAATTGAAAACCAAACTCTGTAATAAACATGCTTTAAATTTCAATCTAATAGACTTAATCTATATTGAGATAGCTACTGGTTATTAAGATATTGTGAAGAACAACAGCAACAAGATGAATTTTTATGTATCTTGTTCCATAATAGCATGTTTTCAAAAAATAAATTTGTTTCTCTGAGAAGCAATTTTATGAGCCACCATACAAGAGGTGCATTTATTCAGACCCTAAACTTTTATAACAAATGTCACATCTATATCCAAAATTGTTTGCTATTCTTAGATGAACTTCATCATCTGTCTTGTTAATCCTTCTTTTTCTTCCAACTTTTTTTCAGGAATTCTTTATTTTTACAAAACACCCATTCATACTTACTTAGAAAAATAAAATATTTAAAAAATTCTTTCAAATGATTTATTTCTCTCCTCTCCAGTTATAATTATATGTGTGCTATAAATGCACATTCGGTTGCCTTTAAAAACATTTGTCTTCACTTTGAGCTTACTCCAAAAAGGAATGATCAATGAATAACTGTAGGGGTGCTTTGAAGTATGGTAGCTATCACTTATTATTATAGTTGGAAAATGCAGCTTTCTGTTAAATTATAAAAAGCAATCCCTTATTACTCATACACATGGAAATGACTCACTATTTTGCAAATCGTCTGTCTTACTCCTAGTAAATCTGGTTTGGCCTAGTCAAACAAAAATGCGAGTGCAGAAAAATAATGTGGATATCTTTAATATCCAATGGTAGTAGACCTGCTATAGATGCAATAAACACAACTCCTTTAAGAAATTTAGACAAGCAAGTAGAGAAAAGATATAAGTAATCAACATGAAGCTAACTGCTAAGTTAAATTTCTTACTGTTTTTATTACCAGTAGGAAGTTCCCACTGCCTAAATGATTTTTTTTAACATATATAGCTCTCCAGCCACATTATAAACTTCTAAGGGTAGGCATTGAATTTCATTATTAACTCCTAAGGGTAGGCATTGAATTTCATTATTTATGTCCCTGGAATGAAAGACCTATAAGTACATTCATTTTAATAATCAGAATACAAGAAAAATCTGTGGAAATATAGTAGTTTTGGATATTCATCAGTGAACTTTAAATAAAATTTAAAAGTTTTTCAAAGATACAGAGCAGTATGTAATTAAAATAACAAATATGTATGTAGCAAACACATAGATGTAACAGATGTTGACATTTGGCCATATTTGCTATAAATCATTTTAAAAAGTAGTTAAAATTCCTTTTTTTTTTTAAACTTTATTTTCATCCTCTTCACCTCTCTTCCTCTCCAAAGGCAATCACTGTTCTCATATTGGTGTGTTTACTTGCTTCTTTCTTTCTTTTTTTTTTTTTTACATTTTAGGATGTAATCTATAAACAAAAGAGTATATTGTTTTCCATGCTTAAAAATGTACATAAATGGCATTAGACACAAAGAGTCCAATGGCTCACACCGGGCACCATGTCTCACACCTGTAATCCCAAAACTTCGGAAGGCCAGGGCAAGCAGATTGCTTGAGCTCAGGAGTTTGCAACCAGCTTGGGCAACATGGTGAAACATTGTCTCTACGAAAAAATACAAAAATTAGCTGGGCATGGTGGTGCACTCCTGTAGTCCCAGCTACTTGGGAGGCTCAGGTGGGAAGATCACCTGAGCCCAGATAGGTTCAGGCTGCAGTGAGTCATAATAATGCCACTACACTTCAGCCTGGACAACAAAGTAAGACCTTGTCTCAAAAAATAAAATAAAATAAATAAAATAAAATAAAATAAAACAAAACAAAATAAAATAAAATAAAATAAAATAAAATAAAATAAAATAAAAGGCATTGACTTTTTGTGTCCTTCCACGTTTGGTGAATTTAAAGTATGTATAATAGTATCTCAGTATTAATTCTCCTTACATTTTCATTTCCCTGATTTCTAGTGAGAGTGAGCAAACTAATAAAGATTTATTTTCCCTGTGAGGTTTGTTTGTTTGTATGTTTTATTCTTAATTGCTTATTCATATCTGTTGTCCAATTCTGTACAAAAAAATAACCAAAACAAGACAATGAGTTATATGCATTGCCAATAATCACTTCCGATATGATTTGTCTGTAAATATCCATAATGCCTTTATTGTACAGGCACTTTAATTTTTTTTTTTAACTTTTAGATTCAAGGAAACATGAAGATTTGTTATATAGGCAAATTGCATGTCATGAGGATTTGGTTTACAGATTATTTCATCACTAAAGTAATATGCATAGTACCTGATAGACAGTTTTTTGATCCTCATCTTCTTCTCACCCCCGACTCTCAAGTAGGCCCAAGTCTGTTGTTCCCTCCTTGGTGTCCATGTACAGTCAATGTTTACCTCCCACTTACAAGTAAGAACATGTGGTCTTTGATTTTCTGTTCCTATGTTAATTCAATTAAGTTAATGGCCTCCAGCTTCATCCATGTTCCTGCAAAGGACATCATCTCATTCTTTTATGACTGAGTAGTATTCTAGGGTGTATATGTACCACATTTTCTTTACCTAGTTTATCATTGTTAGGCATTTAGGATGATTCTGTGTCCTTGGTATTGTGAATCGTGTTGCAATGAACGTACATGTGCATGTGTCTTTGTGGTAGAACAATTTATATTCCTTTGGGTACATACCCAATAATGGGATTACTAGGTCAAATGGTAATTCTGTTTTAAATTCTTTGAGAAATCACCTAACTTCTTTCCACAATGGCTAAACTAATTTACATTCCCACCAGCAGTGTATGAGCATTCCCTTTTCAAGATGTAAATGTGCAGCATAATTTCTGGGTTCCCTATTCCTTTTCATTGGTCTATGTGTCTGTTTTTGTACCAGTACTATGCTGTTTTTGTTACTGTAGCCTTGTAATATAGTTTGAAGCCAGGTAATGTGATGCCTCCAGCTTTATTGTTTTTGCTTAGGATTGCCTTGGCTATTCAGGCTCTTTTTGATTCCAAATGAATTTAAATTTTTTTTCCAATTCTGCAAAGAATGTCATTGGTAGTTTGATAAAAATAGCATTGCATTTATAAATTACTTTGGGTAGTATGGCCATTTTAACAATATTCATTCTTCCTATCAAAGAGCATTGAATGTTTTTCCACTTATTTGTGTCATCTCTGATTTCTTTGAGCAGTGTTTTGTAATTATCATTGTAGACATGTTTTACCTTTGTAGTTAGCTGTATTACTAGGTATTTTATTCTTCTTGCAGCTATTGAGAATGGGATTGCATTCTTGATTTGGCTTTCAGTTTAGACATTGATGTATAGAAATGCTACTGATTTTTGTGCATTGATTTTGTATCCTGAAACTTTACTGAAGTTGGTTATCAATGTAGGAGCTTTTGGGTAGAGACCATGGGATTTTCTATGTATAGAATCAATATGTCAATAAATCAACAATATGTCTGCGAAGAGGGATAGTTTGACTCCCTCTCTTCCTATTTGAATGCCTTCTATTTCTTTCTCTTGTCTGATTACTCTGGGTAGGACTTCCAGTACCATTTTGAAGACGAGCGGTGAGAGTGGGCATCCTTGTCTTGTTGCAGTTCTCAAGGGCAATGCTTCCAGCTTTGCCCATTCAGTATGATGTTGGCTGTTAATAAAAGGCTCTAATTATTTTGAGGTATGTTCCTTTGATGCCTAGTTGAGGGTTTTTAACATGAGGGGATGTTTAATTTTATTGAAAGTATCTTCCGCATTTATTGAGATGATCATATGGTTTTCATCTTTACATCTGTTGATGTGGTGAAACACATTTATTTATTTGCATGTGTTAAACCAACCTTGCATCCCAGGGATAAAGCCTCCTTGATTGTGGTGGATTAACTTTTTGATATGCTGCTGGATTCGGTTTGATAGTATTTTGTTGAGCATTTTTGCATCAATGTTTATCAAGGATATTGGCCTGAAGTTTTATTTTTTTGTTGTGTCTCTGTGAGGTTTTGGTATCAGGATGATGCTGGCCTCATAGGATGACTTAGGGAGGAGGCCCTCCTCCTCTATTTTTTGGAATAGTTTCAGTAGGAATGGTACCAACTCTTCTTTATACAACTGGTAGAATTTGACTGAATTTTTCTGGTCCTGGGCTTTTTCTGGTTGGTAGTCTTTTTATTACTGATTCAATTTTGGAACACATTATTTTTCTGTTTAGAGATTTAATTTCTTCCTGGTTCAATCTCGGGAGGCTGTATGTTTCCAGGAATTTATCCATTTCTTCTAGGTTTTCTAGTTTGTATGCATAGAGATGTTTGTAGTAGTCTCTGTTTTTTTGTGTGTGTATTTCTGTGCAGTCGGTGGTAATGTCTCCTTTGTCATTTCTGATTGTGTTTATTTAGATCTTCTCTTTTTTATTAGTCTAGCTAGCAGTCTATCAATCTTATTTATTCTTTCAAAACAAAAGCTCCTCAATTCATCTGTCTTTTTTATGGTTTTTCACATTTCAATTTCCTTCATTTCAGCTCTGATTTTGGTTATTTTTTGTTTTCTGTTAGCTTTGGGTTTGGTTTGCTCTTGTTCCTCTAGCTCGGGGGTGTCCAATCTTTTGGCTTCCCTGGGCCATATTGGAAGAAGAATTGTCTTGGGCCACACACAAAATACATGAACACTAACAGTAGCTGATGAGCTAAGAAAATTTCCAAAAAAATCTCAGAATGTTTTAAGAAAGTTTATGAATTTGTGTTGGGCTGCATTCAAAGCCTTCCTAGGCTGCATGCATCCTGCAGCCTGTGGGTTGGGTAAGCTTGCTCTAGTTCCTCTATGTGTGATGTTAGGTTGTTAATTTGAGATCTTTCTAACTTTTTGATGTGGACATTTAACACTATAAACTTACTTCTTAATACTCCTTTAGCTGTGTCCCTGAGATTCTAATATGTTATATCGTTGTTCTCATTAGTTTGAAAGAATTTCTTGATTTCTGCTTTAATTCTATTGTTTATCCTAAAGTTAATCAGGAGCAGGTTGTTTGATTTCCTTGTAATTGTATGGTTTTGAGTGATATTTGTAGTATTGATTTCTTTTTTTATTGCACTGTGGTCTCAGAGTGTGTTTGGTATTTTTTTTTTTAATTTGCTGAGGATTGTTTTATGTTCAATTGTGTGATCAATTTTAGAGTACATGTTATATGCAGATGAGAATGTCTATTCTGCTGTTTTGTGGTGGAGATTTTCAAGAATGTTTGTTAGATCCATTTGGTCAAGTATTGAGTTCTGGTCTTGAATATCTTTCTTATTTCCTGCCTTAATGATCTAATACTGTCAGTGAAGTATTGAAGTTTCCCACTATTATTGTGTGATTATCTAAGTTTCTTTCATAGATCTTTAAGGACTTGCTATATGAATCTGAGTTCTCCTGTGTTGGGTGCATAAATATTTAGGGTAGTTGGGTTTTCTTGTTGTATTGCATCTTTTATCATTATGTAATACCCTTCTTTGTCCTTTTTAAAAAATCATTGTCTGTTTAAAGTCTGTTTTGCCTGAAATTAGGATAGCAACTCCTGCTTTTTTCTGTTTTCTGTTTGCTTAGTATGTTTTTTTCCATCCCTTTATTTTGAGCCTATGGGTATCATTGCATATAAGATGGGTCTCTAAAAGACAGGATAAAGTAGTGTCTTGCTTCTTTATCCAATTTACCACTCTGTGCCTTTTAATTGAGCCATTTAACCTGTTTACATTCAAGATTAATATTGGCATATGCAGATTTGATCCTGTCATTTTGTTGTTAGCTGGTTAATATACAGACAAGATACTGTGGTTGATATGTGGTGTCACTGGTCTGTGTACTTACGTGAGACTTTGTGGTGGCTGGTAATGGTCCTTCCTTTCCATATTTAGCACTTTCTTAAGGACCTCTTATAAGGCAGGTCTGGTGGTAACAACTTCCCTTACCATTTGCTTGTCTAAAAAGGGTCTTATTTTTCCTTCACTTACGAAGCTTAGTTTGGTTGGATATGAAATTCTTGGTTGGCATTTCTTTTCTTTTCTTTTTTTCTTTTGAGACAGTGTCTTGCTTTGTTTCCCAGGCGCTACAGTGCAGTGGCACAATCTTGGCTCACTGCAACCTCCACCTCCTGGGTTGAAGCAATTCTCATGCCTCAGCTTCCTGAGAGCTGGGATTGCAGATGTGCACCACCATTCCCAGCTAATGTTTCGCATTTTGAGTAGAGACGGGGTTTCACTATGTTGGTCAGATTAGTTTTGAACTTGTGGCCTCAAGTGATCTTCCTGCCTCAGCCTCCCAAAGTGCTGGGATTATAGGCAAGAGTCACCATGCTCAGCTTGGAATTTTGTTTCTTTAAGAATGCTGAATGTAGGCCCCCAATCTCTTTTGGCTTGTAGAGCTTCTGCTGAAAGGTTTGCTGTTAGCCTGATGGGATTCCCTTTGTAGGTGAGCTTCCCCTTTTCTCTAGCTACCTTTAACATCTTTCATTCTATTTTAACTTTGGAGTATCTGATGACTATGTGCCTTGTGGATGGTCATCTTTTATAGTATCTTTCAGGGGTTCTCTGCATTTCCTGAATTTAAATGTTGGCCTCTCTAGTGAGGTTGGGGAAATTTTCATGGATGACATTCTCAAATATGTTTTTTAAATTGCTTGCTTTCCCTCCTTCAGTTGCTTTCTCTCCTTCCAAGATTGCTTTATCTCCTTTCAGGAATGCCAGTGAATCCTAAATTTGGTCTCTTCACATAATCCCACATTTCTTGGAGACTTTGTTCATTCTCCTTTATTCTTTTTTCTTTATGCTTATTTGACTGAGTTATTTTGGAGAACTGGTCTTTGAGCTCTGAGATTCTATCCTCAGCTTGGTTGATTCTATGTTAATACTGGCTATTTTGTTATGAAAATCTTGAAGTGAGTTTTTCAGCTCTATTATCATATCAGTTTGGTTCTTTCTTAAAATGGTCACTTTATCTTTCATCTCATGTATCGTTTTATTGTGTTTCTGAAGTTCCTTGGGTTGGGTTTCAACTTTCTCCTGAATGTCGATGATCTTCATCCCTATCCATATTCTGAGTTATATTTCTGTCACTTCAGCAGTTCCAGCTTGGTTAAGAACTATTGCTGGGGAGCTAGTGTGGTAGTTTGAAGGTGAAAAGACACTCTTGTTTTTTGAGTTGCCAGAGTTCTTGTGTCGGTTATTTCTCTTCTGTGTAGGCTGAAGGTCCTTCAATCTTTGAAACTGCTATCCTTTAAATGGGTTTTTGTACTTTCATTTTCGCTGAGGCCCTTGGGGGTTTGAGTATGGTATAAAGTGAATTCTGTCAACTGACTTCATTTCTGAAAGATTTTAGGAGGGGCAAGGATCAGCTCAGCATTTCCAGGCTGTATGCTGTATCTCTGGAGGCCTGGTACTCGTCTCTCAGCTTTGTTTTCTGGCCTCTTGAGGTTAGGAATCTGCTGCACTGGAGGGGCCAAGATGTTCCTGGTCTGCTGGCCACAACATTCAGATGGGTGGTGCTGGCTAAAGCATTTTGTTGGGGTGGTGGTAGTGGGATCCATGCTTACTTGCATGTGCCAGCAGCTGCAGCAGCATGGCAGGATGCGCGTGTGTTGGCTGGGGGAATGTAATAGTGGGAATGGGGCTGTGATGTTTCTGTGGGTGCTCACACCAGTGGTGTGGGGGACTCAGTTTTTAAGAAGATAAATTTAGATTTGTCTCTGATAGGAGATATTATTGTTTTATTAAAATAACCTTTGAATACCATGAAGTCACAAACATTTTCACCATATTTTCTTCTTTTCTCATTTAAGTCTTTAATTTATCTGGAATATACTTTGGTATATGGAGTGTGTTAGAGATCTTATTTTATTTTGTCCCATAAGGATAACCAATTTTCCTGGTCCTTTCCCTTGAGTATAACGTTCTCTATTCATTGCATTGTAATGTCACATGTAAAATTCTCACATACATATGAGTTTGTTTGTGGCCTCTCAGTTCTGTTTCATTGATTTATTAAATTATTTGTGCACAAATGCCACGTCATTTTAATTATTGTATTATTATATTATGCCTCAATATGTGCTAGAACAAGTCCTACCTTTTTGTATTGGCCATTCTTGGCTCTTTCATATGAATTTTTGAATGAACCTATTAAAGTAAAACTTGTTAATATTTTGACTGGACTCGCATTGAAAACATACACAAATTATAGAGAAAAATGGCATCTTTATGCTATTAAGTGTTTCCAACCTGAACACTGTGTATGTCTCCAGGTTTTAAAGACTTTTTAATGTCCTTCATTAAAATTTATTGATTTTCTCTATAAAGACCTCATTCTTAACTTTATTTCTAACAACCTTATTGATTCTTCTGGATTGTTATGCATGACAAAGTGACATTTTTTCCATGATCTAGAATAGACAAGTCTTAAGAAGTCTGGGTTCTGTGTTTGTACACTGCAAATTTGTACAGTCACTAAAGAGAACAGTACGGAGGTTCCTCAAAAAAACTAAAAATAGATTTACCACATGACCCAGCTACCCCTCTGCAGGGTATGTATCCT
This sequence comes from Homo sapiens, assembly GCF_000001405.40. Classification (NCBI taxonomy): domain Eukaryota; kingdom Metazoa; phylum Chordata; class Mammalia; order Primates; family Hominidae; genus Homo; species Homo sapiens. The sequence continues at coordinate 147,529,724 of NC_000003.12, forward strand.
AAAGAAAGAAAATTAGTATGTCAAAGAGATATCTGCACTCCCACGCTTATTGCAGCAGTATTCACAATAGCTAAGTTGTAAAATAAACCTAAGTGTTCACAGGCACATACACATACACACAGAGATTCTGGGATATTATTTAGCCACAAAAAAGAAGGAAATCCTGTCATTTGCAGCAATATGGATGGAACTAGAAGTTATTATGTTAAGTGAAGTAAGCCAGGCACATAGAGACAAATATCACATATTCTCACTCATATGTGAGAGCTAAAAAAGTTGATCCCATGGATGTAAAAGGTAGAATGATGGTTACCAGAGGCTGGGAAGGATAAGGAGGAGGAGATGAAGAGAGGTTGGTTAATGGGTACAAAAATACAGTTAGAAAGATGAAATAAATTCTAGTGTTTGGTAGCACAGTGAGGTGACTGTAATAAACAATAACTTATTGCATATTTCAAAATAGCTAGAAGAGGAGATTTAGATATTTCTAACACAAAGAAATAATAAATGTTTGAGATGATGGATATCCTAATTACCCTGCTTACGTTATCACCATTGTGCAAATATATCAAAATATCACATGTACCCCATAAACATCCAATTATTATGTATCAATAAAAAAAGTCTGGGTTCTGGATCCAGTGCCTGAGTTCAAATTTTGTCTCCACCACTTTCTAGATGAGTCTCAGTTGATTTAACCCTATGTTGGGAACAATAATAGCAGTCATTCAATGGGGTTGTTGTAAAGAGTAATTGAGGTAATAAATGCCTACAATATAGCACTTAGAATATTTGAGCTATTAGCACTTCTCCAACTCCTATTACTCCTATGCTTTAGTTTTTGCTGTTATAAAGGATATTATTTATTTTTATATGCTGGTATTTAGATACTTTTGATTTTTATGATAAAAATCATAACATACATGAAGAATGATGGCTTCCTTTTTCTTTTTAAATTCCTATTCAGGTTATTTTTTTTTCTTGGCTTATTGTGTTTGCTAAGACTTCTAATGTTGCATTTAAGTACATTACTACATCTTTATTTAAACAAGCTAGAATTTCAGAGAACATTGTTGACAGTTTGTCCTTTGCCAATGGTTAATTACTGTAAAAGTTGTAATGTGTTCTTTTTGCTTATTTTAGATATTTTGCCAAAAAAGGGACTCATATATTACTAAGTTTTTCCTCCTCCTTCCTTCAATGTTATCCTTCTGTCACATTTACCTCTTCAATTCCTACCTACTTTTTGAAGCCAGTTTAAATGCAACCTTTTCCATGAAACTTGTGGCTTCTTTTAGCTGGAAGTAAAATCTGCAGTCTTTATCCCTTTACACTTCATCAGAATTTCTCCTATTTATACTCCAAATTACAGTATGCATTTTATACATGTTTTGTCATCCCCACTCAGATCCTAAGATTCTCGAGATAAGGATTGGCATCTGTTTTATTTAGAATTTCCTTTCTTGCTCTCGGCTACTAGCAAATTTGTCAACAAATAATAAATAAATAAATAAAAGAATAAATCATATCTGGAACTAAATGTCAAAAAGATCTAAAGTTTATTAGGAAGCCAGGTGTGGTGGCTCACACCTGTCATCCCAGCACTTTGGGAGGCTGAGGCAGGTGGATCACCTGAGGTCAGGAGTTTGAGACTAGCTTAGTCAACATGGTGAAACCTTGTCTCTACTAAAAATACAAAAATTAGCCTGGCACGATGGCGGGTGCCTGTAATCCCAGCTACTTGGGAGGCTGAGGCATGGGTATCGCTTGAACCCGGGAGGCAGAGGTTGCAGTGAGCCACAATCGTGCCATTGCACTCCAGTCTGGGAGTCTGGGTGACAGAGGAGACTCCATCTCAAAAAAAAGTCTATTAGACAAGAAGCATATAAAAGAAATATATTCTTATTACTTTGTGATAGCTTGTTATTATTCCTAAAATTGTGCTTGGCCATGAGTATACATATATATAAAATTAACCTTCTGCAACAAAATTGACTACCACTGTGATTTTTGATTAATTAACTGTACTAGAACTTGTGACAGAATAGAAAAACAGTACAAGAGAACTCTCATGAGGACAACCAGGATGCACAAATAAATGGCAAAAATGTCCATTTAACAGAAAACTTAATCATCTATTCAGTTTTATTCTCTCCAGCTTAATCCAGCCCATTTCAAGAAATGTTTGGAGAAATGTTTTTCAAGAACTAAGCTGACTCAGGTGTTTGTAGGTATGACATTTTGATATTTACTTCTGTTTTTTTGGACAGTAACTTTTAAAGTAAAGGAGGAAGTCCTTAATGAAAAATATGTTGTAATGGATTTCTATCATCATTCAGTTTTTCAGTTTTTCATAGCTGCTTTATCCTAAATGAATTTGTCCTTTGGGAATCTCTATGTTTTCAGCATCTAAACCAGTTGTCATAGTACATAGAAAATATCTAGCAGGCTATTTCTTCTTTGAGAAGGAATAGAACCCACAGCTTTGTTCATGCCTACACAGAGGCTTTATTTAAAAATGTTCAAAGGATGTAAACATAAAATGTCCTGTAAGTAAGTTCTTAATTTATGCCTCCTTTGTTTTTAGAATCTTGATTTCAACTTTATTTTAAAAAATATATCTGCAGAGGTCTGCAGGTTTCTGCAGGCCAGCATCTGCTCCTGGAGGTGAGGCTTCCAGCTTGCACTGACTTTCAGGATTTTCTTTCAGGTAAACACCTGGAGGCAATCATCTGCAGATGCCAATCTGCAAGCAGATGTATATGGGTAGGACAGCAGCACTTTATGCCATTAGAGCAGCTGGGAGGAGAGGAAAATGAATGTGTTCTGCTTTCCTTTGTGTCATATAAAACTCCCTAAGAGCATTCTCACCTGGAACCCATTTTCCTTCTCTCCTGGTCTTGGCTTGTTTTGATGGAGAAAGAAACTTACTTCACTCATCCTTCCAGGTTAAGAGGAAGTTTGTCCTTCCTTGACATCAATCACCTTGGTTGAGAATGATGCTCAGCAAAACTTTGCCTAAAATGTTTTCCAGAAAGTGAGCTCCTTGAAGGGATTGCCTCTGATGCTATAATCATTCTACTGTATGGTGCTTAGTACAAGTCTAAGTACCCAGAGACACTCATAAATAATGATGGTTTCCAATTGACATCTCAAATATGGCTGATAACTTAATGTGGGTAATTTTATTTATCATTTGAAAATATATCCTCAGATACGGTTTACTAATGAGATTCCATTTGGAAAAAATATTATTAAGTTTAATATAACATTTGTGAAACATATTGAATTTTCTTGATTTTAACTGTTAAAGTAATATGTTGGCCCAGTGAAAACACCAAATAGTAAAGAACACACACACACACACACACACACACACACACACACACACAATATGTTCTCTCTCCCATACTTTCCTTCCTTTGGTCTCAGTCCCTAGAGGCAAACTTTAAATTGCTTCTGTTTAAGTCCCTCTCTCATTTAACTCCATTAACACCAGATAATATGCAGATACTTCAAATTTCTCAATTTATTAGGACAATATCAATTTTTACATGAGAGATAAGAATTAGCTGACACTAATCCTATCTTCGTTCTCTCTCTGATCCAATTTTATCAAACATTTTATTTTTAATTCTCCTATTGGATACGTTTTAGACCTAAGATAATATATTGATAGCTCCAGTTATTGATTATTCCATCAACTTTGGTATCTCAAATACCCTGTATGTAAAATAACACCAGTAACCCTTCTCTTTTGTTTTTGAGTCCATTATCCCTCCTTAATTTTATCTTTCACATTCTCTTAGTCAAAGCTATTAACATTTGCTTTTTTTTTAACGTTTATTAACATTTACATTCTGTTTTGCCAAAGTTGTTCACATTTACTCTCTGTAATTATGAGTTAATATTCTGTGCTTTGACTATAAGCTCATCCTAAAAGTTGAAAGCCCAATAAATAAAACTTCCATTGTCATTATGTAAATAGAATTTACTATAGCTACATTTTGTGCTAAGATTACATATTTGTGCTAATAAGAGAATGCTATTGATGTAAAAAATGAATTCTCTTCATTGCTTAATTTTGTTATGTAGAAAAAATTTATTTAGAGATTTTTGAGGTAAAATTTACTTAAAATATACACACTTGAAATGTACAATGTAAAGTTTGGACAAGTGCATATACCTGGGGAATGCATAACTCTATCAAATCAAGAATATTTTCAACACTCCAGAAAGTTCCCACATACACCTTATCAGCAAGTCCTCACTCACCTGCAGAGGCAACAACTTTTCTGATCTTCTTAACTGTGGTTTAATTGTGCTTGTTCTAGAACTTTATATAAGTGGGATCATAGAGTAATTACCTAGAGGAATTCCATTCATATATATGGAATTTTTTTTGTATCCTGATTCTTCCTCTCAGCATGATATCTGTGAGATTCATTCATATTGATTCATGTATGGGTAGTTTATTAATTTTTCTGATGGTATTCATTGTGTGACTATACCACTTTGTTTATATTCTCCTTTTGATGGACACCTAGGTTGTTTGTACTTTTTGCTATTTTGGATAAAACTTCTATGAATATTCTTATAATAGTGTTTTGAGACATACATTTTTATATATTTTGGGCAAAACCAAAGAGTAGAATTGCTGGATCTTATGGAAAGCATATGCCTATTACTTTTATTATTTTTTGCTTTATTTAAATTTTTAAAACTAAAGACTATGGCAAAATTGGCTTTTGTTAGTGTACATTTCTGTGGGCATTAATAAAAGTATATGGTCATGTAACCCTCATCACAATCAGATATTGTTTCATCACCACCCCCCCACCCATATTTTCTTATGCCAAATTGCCGTCAACCTTTTCCCCAACTCCAGCTCCTGGCAACTTCTTTTCTGGTTTCTGTTCCCATTATACTGTCTTTTCCATAACGTCATATAAATACAGTTATATGATATGTATATAACTGTTTGATTTTGACTTCTTTCACAATGCGTAATGCCTTTGAGATTCATCCACATTGTTGTATGTATTATCAGTTTATTCCTTTTCATTCCTGGGAAGTATTCTTCTATAGAAATATAGCATAGTTTATACATCCATCAGTTGAGGGACATTTGAGTTGTTTCCAGCTTTTGTTGTTTCCAGCTTTTGATGATTTTGAATGCAGTTATTATTAACATTCATGTATAGGTTTTTATGTAAACATAAATTTTCATTTCACTTCGGTAAATACTTAGGAGTGAGATTGCTAGGTTGTGAGGTAAGCATACGCTTAACTTTATAAGAAGTTGCCAAACTCTTTTCCAAAGTGAGTGTGCCATTTGTTATTCCCATAGCAATACAGCAGAGTTCCAGTTGCTCCCCAACTGGACTTTTAATTATTGAATTAATCATAATACCTAATAGTTAATTGTATGTTCACTGCTTCGTTTAGTATGGCAGTAACCCTCAATTCTTCCCGAGCTTCACAGTATAGGTATTTTCTATTTAGCAGAAAATCAGATGCCACCTGGATTTTCAATAATAAAAACCATATATTTAAATTAAACAATGGCTCTGCCATTTACTAGCTGTCTGATCTCACCTAATGCTTCTGAAACTCAGTGTCATGAGTTTTGTAATGAAGATAATAATATCCATTGACTCAACAAATTTTGCTGAGTATATGTCATGTTCCAACCCCTGCTCTGGCACTGTGGATACAATAGTGGATACAACATAGGCCCTGCCTAAAGAAACCTAAAGGAAGGTACAGTGTGTTAAGTGCCATGATAAGGGCAAGAACCAGTTACTATGGAAGCACATTGAAAGATCAACTCATGGCATTGTGGGGAGAGTTAAATTAAATATGGCTTATTGAGCAACTGACATGATGCTTAACACATTGGATATAGTACCAACTGGGTCTAGACAGTTTTAAAATTCTGCTTTGAAATTCCTTCCGAACCTCTGACATGTATATGAATGACTATTGATGCAGTTTTGTACTTTGAGTCTGGATTCAATTTTTAGAAATGTCAGAAATCATTTGTTGACCTGACCTGGTGAAATGAGGAAGAGATCTGGAAATAAAATATCTCCAAGTCAATGCAACTGAGTTTTATTAAGTAACTCTCCTTAGACCTCAGATTTTAGGGAAAAAATGCACGTGAATACATATATTCTGGGATATCTGTCAAAATCAATCTTATTCTTTTAAAGCCACCTCTCATATGTAAATTGTTTGACTTTATAAAGTACGACCTTCTTGCCTTTTTAGATATTACAATTCATTTGGTGGACAATTAGTGGTGGATTATTGAATTTTCATATTCAATAACACCTAGGCTTATTATAAATTATCTATTGAAGATTTCCAACCTATTGTAGTTATAAACTATATAGTCCTCTTTTCTAAAGTTATTATTAAAAATATTTATTTGAGTTGACTAACATTTATAACAGAAAATAAAATGTCTACATCTTGAACCTTTCTTGAGTACTAAAAGAGCACTCCAGAAGGATGTAGTTGCTCTGGAGATATTGATACATTATCAACTTTTGAAAGAAAAACAACCCTTGAAAGTTACCAATAAGGGATCTAGAAGAACGCCGTCCATATAACAAGAAGTTGTTTGATGAATTAATATGCTTTATGCTATAATTGAATGACTGAAATAACTAGTATATAACTATACTTTTATTAAGCAAAACCATCTGAAAGTAAAGCATATTGATAATTACCAAGTAGTATTTAAATGATTGTATATTGATAGTTGATTAATAGATACCATGGTCTTTTGATAAGATTAGTCTTAGATAATTTAGATTCTTTCTTTCTAGGAAGAAAAACAGTAGTGGATGTCTTAAGTGCTTCTTAGTCTATCAGTGGTGCTAAATAAACCTTAGTGTGGTCTTTCAAATATCCAGTTTCCACATGTAGATCAAAGGTACAAAATCTAGGAGGTTATTTGTGGTGATGGTTATATCCTTCTCAATAGTAATTCAAATAAGATTCTATTGATTTAACTTTCTTTAAACTTAGTTGAGCCGCACATATGCACATTTTAATGTTTAGTAATAGGTGGTAAGAAAATTATTCTCTGGTGGTTAAACCTAGTTTTACTGCCTTATTAGTAATAAGAGCTCTGCCACCCCTCTGATTAGTCATGACTTTCTTGTTGGCCCCCACTAAAATTTGGAGTTCTTTACATGGCTTCTGATGTTCAAGAAAGTGACACAAAGGTCCCCAATTTTGGGGACTCCTTTTTTTGTTTTATATTCATGCCTTAGTGAAGCACACATGCAGTAGCTAGATCTGTATCTCTTAAAAACTCACTTCAGAAAGTCAGTGACAGACGTTTTTGAACTCATCTGCCAAGAGACTGTTTCATCCTGTTTGTTGAATAATGTAGTTCCCGAGTATTTTTTCTCCAGGCAGAGGTCTTCATCTGGAGTACCAAAATAGTGGCAAAAATTTTATTGCTTTAGTGTCTTTACTTTCTGTATCAGGTGTTTGCCCCCAAAATATCACAAAGTTAAGCTTGCATCTGCTCTCTTCCTATATTACTTCAACAGGAGATTTTATGCAAGTGTGGCAGAGGCAGAAGTGGCTTTTAGATATGGGATTCAAAAGTCTCTTGCGTATCAACAAACTTATCTCATTGATTATGAAAATATCATCTGACATTGTAGCTTACTCTCTTTTTTCTTATTGATTTAAAAAGTATAATAATGATTTGGCAGTAATTTATTGGATATAATACCAAAAGCACAGGCAACAAAAGTAAAATTAGGTAAATTGGGTTACATAAAAATTAAAAACTTCTTTACTTCAAGGGACACAATCAGCAAGTGAAAGGGCAATCTACATAATGGGAGAAAATATTTGCAAATCATAAATATTGTAAAAGTTTAATATCCAGAATATTTAAAGCACTCAACTCAAAACATGCAAACAAACAAATAAAATAACCTGATTAAAAAATGGGCTAAGGGCTTGACTGGACACTTTTCCAAAAAAGATGTGCAAATGGCCAATAAGCATAAGAAAAGATGATCAACATTCCTAATCATTAGGAAAATACAAATCGAAGTACAATGACATAACGTCTTTGCAGTAACATGGATGGAGCTGGAGGCCATTATCCTAAGCTAACTCATGCAGGAATAGGAAACCAAATACCAAATGGATGATCTCACTTAAAAGTGAAAGCTAAACATTGTGTACACATGGACACAAAGAAGGGAACAATAGACACTAGGTACTACTTGAGGGTGGAGATTGAGAGGAGGGTGAAAACTAAAAATCTACCTATAGGGTACTATGCTTATTACCCGGGTAATGAAATAATCTGCATATCAAACCCCCACGACACAAAATTTACCTATATAACGAACCTGCACATGTACCCCTGAAACTCAAACAAAGGTTAAAAAAAAACTACAATGAGATATCAGTTCACACTCATTTGTATGGTTACTATAAAGAACAAAATCAAAAGTGAAAGCCAGAAAACAGGAAGTGTTGGTGAGGCTGTGAAGTTACAATATTTGTGCACTATTGGTGGAAACGTAAAATGGTGGAGCTGCTATGAAAAACAGTATGAAGATTAATCAAAATATTAAAAATAGAATTACCATTAAAAATAGAATACCAAAATTCACAAAAGCATAATAGTGACATATTTGTTGTTTTAAAAAAGGGCAATCATACTGAAGTGTATAAAGTATTAAGTTAAACTCTTCTCTGGTCCTACTCTTGAGAGGTATCCAGATTAAACTGTTTGAAAATTGTTTCTCTCATGCCAAATGAATGAGGTACAAAAGGTTTCTCTAAGATATTCATAAAGAAAGCCAGACACACTTGTATAACCATCTGTTCACAATCAATATATGATATGTAGTGTCATTTTTTCTGGGCAATGCTATATATGTAAAAAAAAAAAAAAGGTGAGGGGTCTTAAATTGGGTAGCGTGATGCCTCCAGGTTTGTTCTTTTTGCTTAGGATTGCCTTGGCTCTTTGGGCCCTTTTTTGGTTCCATATAAATTTTAAAATAGGTTTTTCTAGCTCTGTGAAGAATGTTGTTGGTAATTTGATAGGCATAGCATTGAATCTGTAAATTGTTTTGGGCAGTGTAATGGTTAATATTGAGTGTCAACTTGATTGGATTAAAGGATGCAAAGTATTGTTCCTGAGTGTGTCTGTGAGGGTGTTGCCAAAGGAGATTAACATTTGAGTCAGTGGACAGAGAGGCAGACCCACCCTCAATCTGGGTGGGCACCATCTAATCAGCTGCCAGAGAGGCTAGAATGAAGCAGACAGACGTTGAAAGGATTTTACTTGTTGAGTCTTCAGGCCTCCATCTTTCTCCCATGCTGGATGCTTCCTGCCCCCAAACATCAAACTCCAAGTTCTTCAGCTTTTGGACTCTTGGACTTACACCAGTGATTTGCCAGGGGCTCGTGGGCCTTTGATCACAGACTGAAGGCTGCACTGATTGCTCTGGCTAGGACTTCCAATCTGTGTTGAATAGAGGTGGTGAGAGAGGACATTCTTGTCTTGTGCTGGTTTTCAAGGGGAATGCTTCCAGCTTTTGCCCATTCAGTATAATGTTGGCTGTGGGTTTTTCATAGATGGCTCTTACTATTTTGAGGTGTGATCCGTCAATACCTAGTTTATTGAGAGTTTTTAACATGAAGGGGTATTGGACTTTATTGCAAGCCTTTTCTGAGTCTATTGAGATAATCATGTAGCATTTGTGTTTAGTTCTGTTTATGTGATGAATTACATTTATTGATTTGCATATGCTGAACCAACCTTGCATCCCAGGGGGAAGCCTTCTTGATCATGGTGGATTAGCTTTATGATGTGCTTCTGGATTCAGTTTGCAAGTATTTTGTTGAGGATTTTTGCATTGATGTTCATCAAGGATATTGGCCTGAAGTTTTCTTTTTTTGTTGTGTCTCTGCCAGGTTTTGGTATCAAGAGGATGCTGGCCTCATAGAGTGAGTTGGGAAGGAGACCCCCCTTCTCAATTTTTTGAAATAGTTTCAGTAGGAATAGTATTATGTCTTCTTTGCACATCTGGTAGATTTGGCTGTGAATCCATTAGGTCTCAGGCTTCTTTTGGTTGGTAGCTATTTATTAATGATTCAATTTTGGAGCTCATTATTGGTCTATTCAGGGAATCAATTTATTCCCGACTCAGTCTTGGGAAGGTGTATGTGGCCAGGAATTTATTCCTCTCTTCTAGGTTTTCTAGTTTGTGTGCATAGAGGTGTTCATAGTAGTTTCTGATGATTGTTTTTATCTCTGTGGTGTCAGTAGTAACATTCCCTTCATCATTTCTAATTGTGTTTATTTGGCTCTTCCCTCTTTTCTCTTTTATAAGTCTAGCTAGCAGCCTATCTTTTTTTTATATATAAAACACCAACTTCTGAATTCATGGATCTTTTAAATGGTTTTTCATGTCTCGGTTTCCTTCAGCTCAGCTCTAATTTTTGTTATTTCTCATCTTCTGCTAGCTTTGGGGCTGATTTGTTCTTGCTTCTTTAATTCTTTCAGTTGTGAAGTTAGGTTAATTTGAGATCTTCGTAACTTTTTGATGTGGACAGTTCATGCTATGAATTTTCCTCTTAACACTGCCTTAGCTGTGTCCCAGAGATTCTGGTATGTTGTATCTTTGTTCTCATTTTCAAAGAATTTCTTGATTTTTGCTTTAATTTTACTACATACCCAGAAATCATTCAGGAGTGTGTTGTTTAATTTTCATGTAATTGCATGGTTTTGAGCCATTTCTATTGTCTTGACTTCTATTTTTATTGTGCTTGTTCCAAAATTGTGCTTGGTATGATTTTGGTTCTTTTACATTTGTTGAGGATTGCTTTATATCCAATTATGTGGTCAATTTCAGAGTATATGCCATGTGGCAATGATAAGAATATATATTCTGTTGTTTTTTGGTGGAGAGTTTTGTTAAGGTCTATCAGATTCATTTGGTTCAATGTTGAGTTTAGGTCCTGAATATCTTTATTAATTTTCTACCTCAATGTTCTGTCTAACACTGTCAGTGGAGGGTTGAAGTCTCCCACTATTATTATGTAGGAGCCTATGTCTCTTTGTAGGTCTCTAAGAACTTGCATTATGAATCTGGGTGCTCCTGTGTTGGGTGCATATATATTTAGGATAGGTAGTTCTTCTTGTTGAATTGAAGACTTTACCATTATGTAATGCCATCTTTGTCTTTTTTGATCTTTGTTGTTTTGAAATCTGTTTTGCTTGAAAGTAGAATTGCAACTCCTGCTTTTTTCTGTTTCCCATTTGCTTGGTAGATTTTCCTTCATCTCTTTGAGTCTATGAGTGAGATTGGTCTCTTGAAGACAGCATATCATTAGGTCTTGCTTTTTTTTTCAGCTTGCCACTTTGTGCCTTTTAAGTGGAGCATTTAGCCTGTTTATGTTCAAGTATTTATATGCATAGATTTGATCCTGTCATTGTGCTGTCAGCTGGCTATTACATTGGCTTGTTTGTGTTGTTGCTTTACAGTGACCCTGATCCATATGTTTAAGTGTGTTTTTGTATTAGCTGATGTTGGTCTTTCCTTTCTATATTTAGTGATCCTTTCAAGATCTCTTGTAAGGCAGGTCTGGTGGTAATGAATTCCCTCAATATTTGCTTATCTGAAAAGGATCTTATTTCTCCTTCACTTAGCTTGGTTTGGCTGGATATGAAATTATGGTTGAAGATTTTTTTCTTTAAAAATGTTGAATATAGGCCCACAATCTCTTCTGGCTTATAAGGTTTCAGCTGAGAGGTACACTGTTAGCCTGATGGGATTCCCTTTGCAGGTTACATGACCCTTCTCTCTAGCTGCCTTTAGCCTTCTTGTTTTCATTTCAACCTTGATGATATGTGTTTTGGGGATGATCGTCTTGTATAGTATCTTGTAGGAGTTTGCTGTATTTCCTGAATTTGACTGTTGGCCTCTCTATCAACCACAGAATACTATTTAATCATAAAAAAGAATCATACCATGTCATTCTATCATGTAATTTGTGGGAACATGGATGAAGCTGGAGGCTATTATCCTTAGCAAGCTAATGCAGGAACAGAAAACTAAATACTTCATGTTCTCACTTACATGTGGGAGCAAAATGATAGGAACTTTATGAACACAAAAAGGAAACAACAGGGGGTCTACTTGAGATGAGAGGGTGGGAGGAGGGAGAGGAGAAGAAAATATAACTGTTGGGTACTGGGCTCAATACCTGGGTGATGAAATAATCTGTACAATGAATCCCCTTGATATGTGTTTACCTGTGTAGCAAATGTTCACATGCACCCACAAACCTAAAATAAAAGTTTAAAAAAAAGAAATCATATTTGTTCATCCCACATCACACAGTGTTGCTAACATTCCTCATTTTCTAATGTGGAATAAACATGCCATCTGGTTTGTAAACAAAAAGGGGGGTTGGCTAATACTTCTCAGTATCTACAATGTGTTAGGCAATGTGTCAGTTGCTCTATAAATATTCTTATTTTAACCCTCTCCAGAATGCTAGGAGTTAATCCTTTAATATACTTCCATAGTAACTGGTTCTTGTCTTCATCATGGCACTTAACATACTGTACCTTCCTGTTGGTTCCTTGAGGCAGGGCCTATGTTGTATCCTCAGTGCCAGAGCAGAGGTTGAAACATGATGTATACTCAGCAATATTTGTTGAGTTGATGGATATTATTATCTTCATTTTAAAACTCATCACACTGAGTTTCAAAAGTGTTAGGCAAGATCAGACAGCTAGTAAATGGCAGAGCTATCATTTAATTAGTTAATTTTTATTTATGTATTTATTTATTGAGATGGAGTCTCATTCTGTCACCCAAGCTGGACTGCAGTAGTGCCATCTCAGCTCACTGAAACCTCTGCCTGCCAGGTACAAGCAATTGTCTGCCACAGCCTCCCATGTAGCTGGGACTACAGGTTCATACCACTGCACCTGGCTAATTTTTGTATTTTTAGTAGAGATGGGGTTTCACCATGATGGCCAGGCTGGTCTCCAACTCCTGACTTCAAATGATCTGCCTGCCTTAGCTTCCCAAAATGCTGGGATTATAGGCATGAGCCATTGTGCTTGGCTTATCATTTAAATTGAATATATGGTTTTTCTTATTGAAAATCCAGGTGATGTCTCTGATTTTCTACTAAATAGAAGATTCTCATACTGAGGAGCTAGGGAAGAACTAAGGGCCACTGCCATACTAAATGAAGTAGTGAATTTAGAATTAGGTACCCAGCTCAGTGGAATCAGAGACAAAATTAAGTCTGACATGTATGATGATAACAGTTGGCATTTGCAAAAACTTTATGTGGCATTATATATTCATTAATTAGTCTACATAATACTTCATTATCTGAGTCTTCATTACTGAATTTTAAGTACTTCAGAAACAACACTGAATTAGCAATTAAACCAAGTCACATGAATAAACAGACACAGTAAAACATTCCAGGAAGTCAAAGTGAACCTTCATGTTCTTGGGAATAAGAACTCAGAAATCAGGCTTTTCTTCATACTATAATGAAAACTATTCTTCTTCTTTAGGCTATCATTTCCCATGAAGCAGCCAGACAATTTAATGGTGCATCTGAGTTAATGGAGTTTTATATTTCAGTTAAATAATCAAATTTTTTACATTTATTTCTGTTTTAACAGAAATTAGTTATTCAGAATTTTATTATCCAATGTATTTTTTGAAATGTAAATTTTTCAGTCTCTGGAAGTGAAAAAAAGCAGAATAAATGTTTAATATATACATTCTTTAATTAGACTGAAACTTTCCAGGTTAAAAGTAAAATTAATTCAGCTCTGAAAAATATTTACCTCAATATAAAGAAATAGAGAAAAGGTGAGGGGGAAGCATACAGAGTAGAAAGTGTGTTTTAAATACCGAGTTTTTTAAAAAATATATACTATATAGTGATCTTTTTACCTCTTTTTTCATGGGAGATGTGAATGGGAGGTAAATGTTAGAATAGGTATTTGTTTCAGAAAGAGATGTCTGCGAAAACTGACATATTTCAGTTGAAATGGGATTTTGGAAAGGGAGAAGACTATTCCACAGGTTCTTTTTTCTATAACAGAGAAGCCCCAGGAGGTGATTAAGGCCATCCCTACACCCCTCCTGGACTCCTGCTAGAGCTTTAAGGTAATGACTCAAACTAAACGGTGGGCAAATGGGATTTTCCTCTGTGAATTCTTATGTTTTCAGAGCTTTCCAGAAGCAATATTTTTGGAAGCCTGGAGAAGAAGCCTTGTTGTTTCTTCTGTCTGCTGTGAGAAGGAGCCTAATAACAGAAATTGTGCCATGCTCTGGCCCCATGAGGAGGCTCTAGTTTTGTTTCCTTCCTCAGACAAGGTGGAATTATTTTTAAGTGGTTGAAATGAAAACAGATCAAGTTAGTAGTTCAAAAATCTAAACCATGAACAGTTGCTACCCACTAAGAGCTGTAAAAATGCTAGGTCTTAGTTAAGCAAGAGACATCTAGGAAATATTAGAACCTTGTCTGGAGTGTGGCTGGTACAGTGGGTATTTCAAGGCTTGAAGCCAGAAAGAACATCTGTAATGTGGAGGAAACAGGCAGGTTCACTAGCAGTCCCTAGAGGTACACATTGATGGGTGAGGGTTAGCAGTGCTACAGATCACTCAAATGACATGGAAATAATATATCTATTCCTGATGTTTTTGACTCCAGATTGAGATGAATGAAAAGATGTCACTCTGTCTTTGAGGATGCTGTGTCAATTTGGTCATTAGTGTTACTCATGGAGTGGTAATCATACACAAGAGACAGGTATATGGCATCTAAGAGAAAAAAATGTAGTCAAAACTTCTTTAGAAATACTGAGGGGGATGCATTCAATTGTAAAATAATTTTAAAAGTTGAAAATACAGTCATTCATTTCTTCTCCATAAAAATTGCCTGTCAAGTTAGGTGGTGAAGAAATATGAATGAAACAAGCTAATTTATAAGTAACTGATTTAAAACAGAGTTGTAGGGCAATGAGATATAATGATGGTCTAGCCACATGTTTCAGTTGCACAGGTTTCTGTGTTTCTACTTAGGCCAGATTTGTGTACCACTTATGTAGAAATTTTTTTTAGTAGATTCCAAAATTGCCTTGGTAAAACATTCATCAAAAATTTATTTTAAAATTTCATAAGAAGAATGCAGATGGGCTGTATTTTATGTATATATATATATTATATATATATATATGTACACACACACAATATGAGAAGATATTCAGCCTTTCTACAAAAGCACAAATTAGCAAAAAATATGTTGTTAGTTTAGTTCAGTAAAAACATGATATTTTAAAAATATGGTAATTAGCAAAGATGAAGTAAAGTGTGTATTCTCCTGAGATGCTGTGATTATATAAATTGGTACAATATTTTTGATACTATATGTCAAAATGTAACTTTCATACACACTCTGATTCAGCAAATTTAATTGTTGAAATTTATTCTTAGGAAATGACTGGAAATGTGTTCAAAGATGACTTAAATACTGGAATAGCAACATCATAATACCAGTCAACCAACATATCTGTGAATTAGTCAAATAAATTACGGTATATTCATATAATAGAAAACTCTGATTATCAAAAATATTGTATTTTTATATTTATTGACAAGAAAAGTTTGCTATGAAATGTTTTTGAATGAACTGTGTATATTAAAATATAGCATTTAGATTAAACCCATTAAAAATTACATATGTATGTATTGCAAGATGTTAGGAATTATGTTTCCCAACATGTTGAGTAAATCTTCCTTGGTTTACAAGTAATTACAAGTAATGGTTTACAAGTAATTACAAGTAATGTTTAATGTTAATATTTTTTGCTACATTCTTTTGTTTGAATTTTGTACAATGAGTATATGTACAAAAACTCTGAAAAACTATATCTATTTTAATTTTGTAAAACAAACTCTTCTTAAATGTTGTAACAATACATACTTTGTTTTCATTATTAAAGAAAAGGAAATTTCACCATAATTAAGGTACTGTTGTTCATTTGCTGTGCTCAATCCGTATTTCCATGGGAATGTTGATTAGGCATGATATTTTATTTGTGCAACTTCTGTAGGGTTTAAAAAACTAAATCTCCCCCATAATTATACAAAAGGCAAACTGAATTGCAAAGATTGATGCTTTGATATTTGTTCAGGTAACCATTTAAACATAGGTAGTATTTTACAGAAGTAAGACTACAACCATGTTTTTTGTTTTGTTTTGCTTTAGTTCTGAAAAATTTATTTTACTGTTTTATACCATTTCCTAAAGTAACATTGATACATTATTCTTTTAATTGCTGCAATGTCCCCAGTGAAAGTCCTATCCAAAGCAAAGTCCTATATTTCATTTTCAAATTTGTTAACTCTTGGGAATTTATTTTTGATAAGCAAAATGGTAAATATTTTAAGTTTTTAATATATTAAATTCCTGCTTCTGAAGGAAGCTAGAATGTGCTAATAAAGTTAGAAATAGAGCTGGTTTTCCACCAGTTGGTCCTGATAAAAGTCTGGTTTTAATAACAGAGGTGCTAGTAACAATATATTTACAACTTGCAGCAAATGGAAGTTGTAGTGGATTTCTCTATTTTTGAGCTCAGAATCTTTCAGCTATCATAGTTCTACAGGCTTCAAGATTAAACACTTATTATCTTGTAGAAAAAAAACTGGAATGCATAAAACAGTAGAAAGTAGAATGATAATTTTAAAAAGCATTCTTAAAGAATTTTACATTATGAATAAATGAAACCTACAATGCAACACAACAGTATCATTCAACATGAATGGAATTCACTTCTGTAATGCAAATTATGAAAGTATTGTGAATGCCGGGTGCGGTGGCTCACGCCTGTAATCCCAGCACTTTGGAAGGCCGAGGCGGGTGGATCACCTGAGGTCAGGAGTTCGAGACCAGCCTGACCAACATGGTGAAATTCCTTCTCTACTAAAAAATACAAAAAAATTAACCAGGCATAGTGGTGAGCACCTGTAATCCCAGCTACTTGGGAGGCTGAGGCAGGAGAATCATTTGAATCCAGGAGGCAGAGGTTGCAGCGAGCCGAGATCGCGCCATTGCACTCTAGCCTGTGAGACAAGAGTGAAACTCCGTCTCAAAATAAATAAATAAATAAATAAATAAATAAATAAATAAATAAATGAAAGTATTGTGAAAATCATGTCCTTTAAAGCAGCAACGTGAATGCCGCTAGAGGCCATTATCCTAAGCAAATTGACACAGGAACATAAAACCAAATACTGTATGTTCTCACCTGTAAATAGGAGCTAAACGTCGGGTACTCATGAACACAAAGAGGGCAATAATAGACACTGGGGACTTCTATAAGGGGAAAGGAGGGAGGGAGGCAAGGGTTGAAAAACTGTTGGGTTCTATTCTCAGTACCCGAGTGACAGGATCACTTGTATCCCAAACCTCAGCGTCACGCAATACACCCAGGTAACAAACTCACACATTCACCCCCAAATCTAAAAGATGAAAAAGTAATAAAAAATGTCTTGAATTCTGTCCCTAACTTTGCTAGGCAAAATAAGTACTGTATAATTGTTCAGGAAAAATAAAAACACTTAGTATTCTCTAAATTTAAATTTTATCTTGTTTTATGTCAACTTCTTTGGAGAGAAATTCTACTTCAGCATGAAAATAACCAATTTTAGGTAAATTGTTACTCATGAAGTAATAACAGTATTGAGTAATTTATGCTTTAGTATTTCTGTGCTGTACAAAAATTTCTCATGTTTTGTTGATGAAACTTCTCCAAATTCTTTTCACTAAGAGTTTTTACTAATTATTTCTGTTTTGATAATGTACCTTTTTCCATTTATACCATAGTCACGTCCTTCTAAATAGGTTTACTATTTATAGTGTGTCCTTGATGAAAAGATTGACAATGTGATTTGAATGAAAATAGGACAACATAAAGGCTTTGATATTGGGATTGAAACAACAGGTGTTTATAAATAGATCTTTGAGTTGAAAGAAAGTTAATCGTCGGCTGGTCGTGGTGGCTCACACCTGTAATCCCAGCACTTTGGGAGGCCAAGGAGGGAGGATCACTTGAAGTCAGGAGTTTGAGACCAGCTTGGCCAACATGGCGAAACCCCGTCTCCACTAGTAATACAAAAATTAGCTGGGCATGGTGGCATGCGATGGTATTCCCAACTACGTGGGAGGCAGATGCAAGAGAATCGCTTGAACCCGGGAGGCAGAGGTTGCAGTGAGCTGAGATCACACCATTGCACTCCAGCCTGGTGACAGAGTGAGACTGCATCTCAAAAATAATAATAAAAATAAAAAAGAAAGTTAATTGTAATGTGGTTGGAATGATATAGAAATTTAAGGACTTAAGGACTCTATAAATCAGTGATTCTTCTGATTGGCATTTGTTAGTTAACTAGCAAAAAAATCAATGATTTGTAAAAACTCAGTTGATTAATTGACATGTAATTTGAATGAGCTGAAATAACACAAGGTTAATTAACCTGAATTAACAGAAGACGAAATTGTTTGGGTCATTCTCTTGTCTGACTAATGGGTAGCTTTTATTTCTTAGTCACTTAGAAAATAAACTATCCAGGATTTTCCTCTTGCTTTTTCTTTTTGTTTAAAAAATAGTTTACCATGGAAACTTATGAATGATTTCACTTCATATTATATTGGCTTCAATATGCTATTTCTATAGATCAAAGATAAGTGAAGTTACTTATAATAGAAAACAAAATAAGTTTCCATTATTATTTAGCAAAAGTTGGGTATAATATTAATCACAAAATCTTCATCACAAAGAAATTCCATGCTAAGTATCTATTTTATCTCATAAAGTGAGTGGAAGAATAGAGTTCTCTAAAACTTTTATCATGTATCCACTGATTACATCCATATATGGAATGCTTATGTAAACTTTGATTTCTTTGTAGTTTCTTTGGAATGTAAGGGAAATCTTCATACTTCATTTGGAAAACTGTACATTTTTAACTGAAACGTTATTTTACTTGGAGACAGAGACTGTTTTTCTGATAGAAATATAATGATAATAACATATTTCAGGACTCTTTAGTGGTGATATATAACCAAGAAACTTAGATTATTATGCTTACTATTTAAAGCTATGAGGTATTCTGTCTGGAGGCCTGGGATAATATGCTTTGTGCATTTTTTTTTTTTGCCAATGGTAATTAAATTTTTCAGTGTAA
The DNA here is from genome assembly GCF_000001405.40 of Homo sapiens. NCBI lineage: Eukaryota > Metazoa > Chordata > Mammalia > Primates > Hominidae > Homo > Homo sapiens. The sequence goes on from NC_000003.12 coordinate 147,549,013, forward strand.
ATCCAATTACCAGTAAAATTTATGATTTACTTTTGTGGTCTTTTTTTTTTTTCCATTGAGTCTTCCTTCTGGTTTTAGAAATGACAAGAGTAGTAGTTATGCCAGTTTTATGTCTTTACCTGTGTCTTGCAATCTTCTATTTTATGTTGGTCATTGCATTTGAAAAACTATTTGTAGAAAAAGTTTGTGGTTAATATGTTCTTTTGAAAAGGATTTTCTTTACTTTTTCCTGGCACATGGGAATGCTGGAAATCCATGACCATCTTAATCCAAATTCAGAGCTACATATATTCTGAGATGCAGAAATGACTTGAAGCCAGGCATCAGTTGATTGCAAAAGTGGCTCACTTCAGGTGCAAAGTAACTCCTAGAATGCAACTCTTGAGTAGAAGCTTAGTGGGCATTAGTTTATCCAAGTGTCCTGATGATATGGTTAGGATATTTGTCCCTTTCAAATCTCACGTTGAAATGTAATTCCCAATTTTGTAGGTGGGGCCTTGTGGGAGAAGTTTGGATCATGAGCGTGGGTCCCTCATGAATAGCTTGGTACTGTCCTCATCATGGTGAGTGAGTTCTTGTGAGACCCAGTTGTTTAAAAATGTGTGGCATCTCCCCGCTTTCTCTCTGCCTCTGCTCTTGCCATGTGATGTGCCTGCTCCCTCTTCACCTTCCACCATAATTGTAAGTGTCCTGAGGCCTCACGAGAAGCAGATGCCAGGATCACGCTTCCTGTACTCCCTGCAGAACAATGAGCTAATTAAACCTCTTTCTTTATAAGTTATGCAGTCTCAGATATTTCTTTAAAGCAATACAAAAAAAATGTCCTAATACACCATCCTTCATTAGCTCTGGACTTTAACTTTTGTCTGTAGTCCTGAGTGTTCACAAAAAGAACTGCTCAATTTATTACCTACCTCTTCAGGTTTGGCAAATATAGGGTGAAGACAATCCAAGGGCCATAGTAACCTCTCTGAATTTTGGAATGGTAATTACTTCTTATATTTAAAACTTTAAAAGGAGATTTAAAAATATTTCATCTGATTTTTTTTTTAGTTATCTTCAGTGGAAAAATATGTCTAAATTACGCTGCCACTAACAGAAATGGAAGTTGCATATGCGTTTTCATTGTAAATATTCCCTCATGTAATTTTTCCTCAAGTGTTCTTGCTTGTGAAATTATTGTTAATAATTATTACATTATCTCATATATATACATATATGTATATATGTACATATATAACTTTTTGCCAATTGTTATCTAGCCTTAGTAGGATAAAAATTTTTGAGCTGCTAGCTACACAGTCTCATTTACATGAATGTGCGTATGTGCATAAACTTCGGTGTTAGACTTGCACTTAACTCTTGTTAAGCATTTATTAGCTTTTGACTTGTGCTTCACAGCATAATAAATTCTCTGAGCTTAGGTGTTCTTATATATAACATAGAATTGCCTCACAGTTAATGATATCTTGAATGTTCCATGTATAAAACAATATCTTCACATGATAAGAGTATGAGAAATTTCCTATCTCTATCTCTCATATTTAATCTGGCAAAATTAAAGAGATAGATCTTTAAGAAACAGGTCCTTAATAGGCATGTTTTCCCTCCATGACCCCTTGAGTTATTATCAATGATCCAATAACTTCCCCCTGTAAAAATTTAGTATTATTATTGTTGTTATTATTTTACTTGCCTGTTTTGTGCAATAGACTGTAAAGTTCTCAAGGACAGAGTCTATTCTTTGCCTGTCTGTATTCCTAGAATCTAGCAGCCTCACACAATATAGTACTCAACAACCATTTGGATCAATAAATATTTATATTTGGTTCTTTCAGAGATTCGTCACATACTTTTCAGATTTTACTTCAGCTTGAATGGCAAAAGAAAACTAAATATTTTTCTGTGAATAGTGTATCCAACTCCTAAAGCTGCATTTTGAACTATGTCTTACCTTTATAAGGATACTGAAATATTTTCCTACGCACCCTAAAACGTTTATATAATTATAGTAACTGATTTCCTCATTTCTTCACTGTTTTCTCTTATTGAATAGATGTTTGGACCATAGGTATTTTTACCTTTTTCCTCATTTCAAAGGGAAAGCTTTCAAAGTTTTACCATTTAATACAGTGTTTGCTATAGATGTTTTTTGTAAGATAACCCTCGTCAGGTTAAAAAAGCTCATTTCTGTTTCTAGCATGGTGCAAATGTTTATCACCAATGAATTTTAAATTTTATCAGTGCTTTCTCTATTTACAGTAAGTTGATAATATGTTTATTTCCTTTTTTCTGTTGATGTTGCAGTGAATTACATTGATTTTTTTTAATGTTAAGCCTACATTTAGTTTTGTGACAAAATCAAGGGGGTCATAATATATTATGTTCTTTATATATGATTTGTTAACTTTTTCAGACTTTTATATTCTGAGTGAGACTGTGAAACTAGCTTTTAATTTTCCTTCCCCATGCTGTCTTTCATAGTTAGTATCAAGTTTATTTTAAAATGACTTGAGAAGTATAACATGTTTATTTTCTGAAAGAATGTATATAAATCTGTCTTCATCTGTTTTAGCTTCCGTAACAAAATACCACAGACTGGGTGGTTTAAGCAACAGAAATTTATTTTCTTGGAGTTCTCAAAGCTGGAAATCCTAAATTAGGGTGCCCGTATGGTTGGCTTCTGGTGAAGGTTCTCTTCCAAACTGGCAGATGGGAGCCACTTTCTCTCTGTGTCCTCACATATGCGGAGAGAAGAGGGGTGGGTGGGGGGTAGAGAGAAAGTAGGCACAAGCATAAGAGCAAGACAGTGAGAGAGGGAGCACAGACTCTGGTGAGCAAACTCATCATAATCTTTAGTATATAATCCCACCATGAGGACCCTACTCTCATGACTTCATCTAAGCCTAATACTGTACTTCTCAAAGATCCAGTCTCCAAATACCATCACACTTGGGGCTAGGGCTTCAACAGAGGAATTTGTAGTATTGGTGCAAAATTCACTCCAAAGCAATATAGAGTTTTTCTATATTGATTGCTTGGTAAACATTCATAAAGCTATCTGGGCCTGTAGTTTTCCTTGCAGGAGAATTTTTAACACTTGATTCAATTTTTTAAAGGATTATTTGGGTTTTCCACTTCTTTTTGAGTCAAATTTTGTTAGAGACATACTTTTCTAGGACTTTATTTATAAATTTATTTGTAATATCTCTTTTGGTCTGTTTTACGTCTGCAGCATCTGCAGTGATTTTTCCTGTTCATCCCCCAAATTCTCTTTCCCTCCCTTCCTGTTTCCATCACTTTCTGTCTCCTTGATCAATCTTACCACAGGATTTGTCATTTCAAACACACAACCTTGGCTCTGTTGGTCTTCTCTATTTTACAGTCTTAAACATTTTATTAATCTCTGCATTTGTCTCCATTTTCTTACTCCACATTTCTTTGGCTTTATTTCGTGATTATTTTTCTAACTACTTTAGATAGGTGTTTAGTATACTTACAACATTTCTCTTTTCTAATACATGTATTTCGTGCTAATATTATTTTACATGCTTCTTTAAATTTATTATATATATTTTGCTTTATAGCATTTGTTATTATACCATTGAAAATATTTTGTAATTACTTTTATAATATTTCTTTCACCCACGTGATATTTAAAAATATGTTGCATAAGTTCTGAAGATATGGGAAATTTTCTAGGTTTGAATTTTTACATTAATTCATTGTAATCAGAGGGCTTAGTTGTGTGGTTCATATTTATTTTAAAAATATTATGAGACACAAATTATATACAAAAATGTGCATAAAATGTAGCTATATAACAACAAATTATCATAAAAATTTCATGTTACTACCATCTAGAGTAAGCTACAAAACAATGCTTAAACTCCAGAAGCTTCCTTGTGCCCCTTTCCTATTTTCTGTGTGATTTCAATCCCTTCATATTTGTTGACATGTAATTTATGGCACAATATACAGTAAATTTTCTAAGTGTCCCTTGTGTGTTTGAAAAAATATTATTCTGCAATTGCAGTGTAATGTCCATACATCAAGTTTGTTAATCATATTTTTAAATCTTCTGTACTGTTACTTATTTTTTTCTATTTATTTTGCCAACTAAGAGAGATATGCTACAATCTTCCACTCTAACTATTAATTTGCCCCTCCTTTTGGTACTGTCAATATTTGCTTTTTTTTTGAGGCCTTGTGATTAGATATGTAAAATAGGAGAAACACTGTCACATCCTCCTGGGACTTTTTCCTACACCCTTCTTGTCTCTTACCTTCTCTTCTGTGTTTATCATGGTTTTTATCTCAATCTGTAGCAGTGTGGATATTTTCTTCAGATCTGTCTTCCAGTTTACTACTTTTTGCTACTTTAATACTATGCCTGGTTTGCTGCCAAATATGTCCACCGAGAATTTTTTAATTTTATTTTGTATACTTTATTGTATTGAATCTTATAATTATTTTGTATTTGATTCATTTTATTTAATTGTATTTTATTGTAATTTTTATTTCTTCAAACTATATTTGTTTTTTAAATTTATGTCACTTTTTCTAGCTTTCCATATCCTGCTGGTATTTTTGAGCTTGTATCTGTTTCTTTACAGTAACATAGCTATTTTGTAATCTGTGATAATGTCAATATATGAAGTTGTCTTTTTTATTCATAATTTTTTTCTTTTTCTTTTCTCATGTTTGATTATCTTTGATTTTCATTGCCCTTGAAAAATCATTTTTGGATATTACCCAAAGTTTAAAGTCTAGGCATCTCTTTTTGTGAGACAATTTGCTTATACATCTGTGGGTAGTTGCAATCTAAGATCACCTTAAACTAAATTTGAAGCTTAAAGTTACAAATCTGTATAAAAACCAGGGATGAGATTTTAGAAAAGCAGATATCTTAACTACTATGACATCGTGCCTCCTTAAAAAATAATTCCGACAAATTAAATAATTAATTGACAGAAATTTCTCCCCAACAGGGATGGCCTCATACCCCACCAGGCAAATAATTTCTAAACGTATTAATAGAAATATTAATAACAGTAAAATTCTATGTATTGAACACTTACTCTATACCAGGCACTGGTAAACACAATATATTCTTTCATCCTTAATATAATCCTGTGTGGTATTTACTATTATTCTCATTTTGCTGTTGAAGAAACAGATCCTTTGCGGTAAAGCATCTTGCCCAAGGTCACAACCAGCTAAGAGTAGAGCTGAAATTCATCCTCAGGTTCCTAACATACCTACAGTATCACACTGTATGACTGATCTATCCCTTTTTTTATGAGGCAAAAAGAGACTTAGTCTATATATTCATAGTATAATATTTTTAGAAACATATGAGCAGAGAGAAAGAAAAAACAAAGATCCATAGTATCATCTTTGGCATTTTTCCAAAAAGTACATTAGCATGTTAGCTTAGAAACAGTTGTTGGCAAAGAAAATACCTAAGCTCTACCTTGTCTTCTGTCTTATTTAGACAGTTAATTCATTTTATCCAGTCTTGAATAAATTCTCACAGTATATTAAGCTGTTTTTATGAGTGAAGATAATAAAATACATTAAAATTCTTCTGGATTAAAAAATAGTGAAATACTTTTTCACATTTGATTAATATTGCTTCTGCCTGAAGTATTGCTCATGGCATTTAAAATGGATACAAGTGCAATTTTTACATTCTTTATGGAAGAAATAAGAAAAGAGCAATTGAGAAAGAAAAATATAAACATTTTTTGGTCAATGTGTAAAGAGTAAACAGCTAACTCTCAGTTTTAATGGAGGAGCATAAGGACAAATAAATAGGACAATAGTAACAAAAATAAAAATTAGGAAATATATGTGACTTGTCAACAGATCCTGGCATTTTGTGAATTGTAGTCTCTTCTTTCTTTTCTGAGGGGTAAGAAGACAGTCGTTTCAAAATCCTGAAAAATTTTATTTATGTTTCTGCATTTAATTGTATTGCTAACACCTAAGTGCATTTTTAAAAATACAAAATCAGGTTCAGAATTATGTGTCTCTGTGGTTGGAAACTCAGCAGTACTTTGCTCTGCTATGTATCTTACACATTCTTATAATTTTTTCTTGATAATTTGTGACACTGCATTTAGAATTATCTTTCCAGATTGTACATCTGAGGTCTCTTGCTTAAAATTCTTTTTAAGCACTCTTCTTTGCTTGCAAGGTAAAAGAGAAATGCTGTAGCTAGTGTACAATGTCTTTTGTTTTCTGGCCTCTAGCTAACTCCAGAGTTTGGTGTAACTCCTTCAGTTGCACCAAATTATTTGTTATTCCTCAAATGGGCCATGCTGTCTTAGGTCTATGTGCTGTACACATGCTGTTTGGTCTGTCTGCAATGCCCTTTCTTTCTGACTTCCAGATACTTTTTTTTCTTTACAACTCCATTCACTTATCACTCCCTCTTTGGAGCTCTTAGGCCCTCCCCATCAGAAAGGTGCTCAATGTTCTCAGTCAGTTAAGCCTTCTGGAGCCTTATCCTGGCTTCTATATTAGTACTTCTCCATGGTATTGTAATAATTTAGAGGCTTAGTGCTACTCCCCTAGTGAGCCTTAAGCCTAGCTCATATTTTATTGAATAAAAATTGCATGAGTGATGTCTAATTCACAAACTTGTTGTAAAACTATGTAAAATAATGGACATAAAACTCTTTGTAAGCTATCAGACACTATAGAATTGATATTTATATATTTATACATTTTCTACCTAAATGCTCAGCAAATCAGGCCAGACCACTCTAAAGACACTTGGGAGAGAATTAAAAATTACACATTTTTATGATTAAGTCTGTAAGATGTGTAAAAACTATAAACATAATTAGGAATTTAAAGATCACTCTCTGACATCAGAAATCCTATCATCTATATCGTGAGACAAGACATAAAAATATTGGAATAACAAATGATGTAGGATTGCCTATGAGTGAGTGGGCCTTTTGTCCTGCAGTAGTTACTAGCAAGCATACTAAAGTGGGCAGACTCCAAAGCTGGATTTGAACCAGGCCTTAGATAGGGGAGATTTATATATGAAGGGTCATAATCTTTTAATTAAGTGGGTGTGTACAGAGGCTCAGGAAGGAGGTGCCATGCTCTTTTCCGATAAATTTCATATACTGTGTATATAATTTCCTTTTTGGAATCTTCTCCTTAATGAATTTCTGTAGTATGACTAGATGATAAAGTCCTGTTTAATCTTCTAGGTTTAGCTCAAATGCTACTAAAAACACCTAATGGAAGTATTCCTTTTTTCTCCTCTTTTTAAATAAATTTCCAAGAGTATCATATTGTTTAGGATCAGGTTCAACTTTTTATGACAGAATTGCTTCTCCTTGCCTCCCCTTCCTAATATTCTAAGATATGTATATGGACTCCACAATCATAAAGGACTTAGGCCCCTTTTATTTTTCTGCTCCTTCCTGGATTTCATTTTAGATTATTTCACTATCCAAGGTGGTTTGCTGGCGCTCTAACCACCTTGTTCAAGTTTCAGACAGCAGGAGATAGGAAGGAAAGAACAAAAGGGATGCACTTCTATAAAGAGCTTTCCAAGGAATTCAGCCCAACAACTTTGGCTTTTATTTCCTTAACCAGAGCATCACATGGCAACATCAGCAGCAAGTGAACTTGATAACAAATAACAAAGCCTTACCTGGCTGCAAAGATGGTTGAGAACTTTGCAGGCTATCATACAACTGGGTTCTGGTATTAAAAGGAAGAGAAGCATGGATATTGTGTGAGTAAGTGTCAGTCTACATCACAGGTGCATTCTTTGCATGTTTCTTGGGACTTTTATCATTATCTTCTTTTCATACTGGTTACTTGTGACAATGTTTTTTCTTCATACCAGTTTCTAATTTCTTGAGAGAATGGCCAAAGTCTATAAATGTTTAAAGGGTATTAAGTATATAAGGATAGAGAACTAGATGGGATCAGAGGATGTGTGCTGTGGGGTACTGGGAGATACAAAGATAATGTAGATTAAGGCCAGATTATAAAAGTAAAGAATAAGTAAATATACCATTGTTAAAACTTATAAGCATTTACTTCAATTTCTATGAAAGACGTTACCTATTTAGAAATTACTTCTCAATTTCCTTTGAAATTTGTATGTTAATACAGTAACAACTAACAGTCTCACTTTTCCCAAAAAGGAGTAAGTAGATATAACACTGAATTATCCCAGGCTAATATGGAAAATAAGGAAAGTTAGATGATGGAACTCTGGTTATCAGGAAGTCTTCACGAAGAAATGGCCCTTCCACATGGGACATTTCCTTCAATAATATAAAATAGAGAACAACACATTTGACATTTTATACAAAATCTCTCTTCTTTGATAGAGACCTGTTTGGATTTTTGTTTGCTTCATTAAATAGTTCATGTTTGTCTGGGGTGTGTGTGTGTGTGTGTGTGTGTGTGTAATATCAGAGTCCTCACACTAAAAAAGCTTTTCAAAAGCTTTTTGGTCAGCACTTTATCCATTGTAGACAAAGTAATCTAGTTTCTAAAATCAGTAGTCTCCAAGTTTCAAAATTATGAGCCCTAGGAGTAAAATATTTTTGACTTCCTTCAATACATTTAATTCTTATTTCTAAATTTATTATGTATGTTATAAAACTACATTAATATAGAAATTAAAGGATGATATAAAATATACATTACTGAAATTTTATTATTTTCATCTTACCATGCAATGGATCATCTTGCACACCTTTACATGCTGATGTATCATAGAATAAACGTTATTCAACACTCATGGCCACCTCCCCTGACCTTTGACCTCATTCCATATCTCCTCAGAGATTTGGGAGGACTACTGAGGTTAAACAGTGGTTTTCAAGCTTCTTGTGCTCAGGAACCCTTTGAACTCTTCAAAAATTTGAGGACTTCAGTTTTTTCATGTACGTGGATCATATCAATAGACATTAGAAATCAACACTGAAAAGTTTGAAAAGTACATATGTGTTAATTCACTTAAAATTAATAAAATACTGAATATTGAAATAAATACCATCTTTAAGAAAGTAACTATATTTCTAAGGTTAAAATAATTAATGAGAAGAGTGGCATCATTTTACATTTTTGTAATTTTTTTAATGTCTGTCAAAACTGAAGAACCAGGTAACATATCTGCTTCTGCATTCAATCTTTTGGGACATTTTGTTGGATTGAAATATATGAAGAAAATCTTGCCTCACATAGAAATGTTATTGAAACGAGAGGACCTCATGGACCTATTGAAAGGATCTCAGGGACGCTTACGGGTCTACATTTTGAGAATTGTTGAGATAAGTTAATATGTAGCTACAAAGTGTTAAAAATCAATAAAGAAAACCAATTGGATTTCCTTTGTTGTAAATGTAAAAAAATTTGAATCAATAAATGTTATTATTTGTTTAGAAGATTCAATTTCATCAGTTTTTAGAGCATGGTTTGTTATACTGGCACCTGTTTTCTTCTTTTTAAAGTGACGTTCCAGAATGCAAATTTTGCTTATACTGTTCTGAGAAAGCAGAGAGTTCTGTCAGATATTATTCATAAAATCTGTTAAACACCCATTGCCTGCTTAATTTTGGAAAATAAAATGTCTTTACTTAAAAGCTGTTTTATGTTTAAACGTAATAATGGATGTGAAAGTGTTTAATCTTCCCTCCTCTCCCTTTCCTAACAGCTACTCGAGAAGAAAGATCCTTCAGAAAAGAAAAAAAATTGTTATTTTGAGGAAAAGTTTTTTCTATTATTAAAAATATATGTAAATATATACACACCCAAAAACCATCTTAGGAAAAATAAATGTTCTGTTTAACTGACTGAGTAGGCTTTTTGAGGAATATATGCATGCTTGGGCTTGTTTTCACACTGAATTATAATTCAGTGTAGCTTATGAGTTGAAGGAAGACTAATGTGGTATTAACAGAGTTTGGCAGGGGACATAAAGTCTCAGGAATCTCTTGGAGTACTCCTAGAGTTTTGAGTGCTGATGGTAACTTGCTAATACTTTGACTGGGCCCACCACTGTTTTGAAGGGATGTGTCTGTTACTCAGATATGTCAAATTACGTTTTTTGCAGTAGGGATGAGGGAGTGTGGGGCTCTTCTTTTCCTTTCCTTTAATTGGTTCCTGTCACTCTTTACGAAGCCACACCAATGTCTTACCTAGGTTATACGTTTCCTATTGCTGCTATAAAACCTATGATATGGTTTGGCTCGGTTTCTCCATCCAAATCTCATGTAGAATCGTGATCCCCAATGTTGGAGGAGGGGCCTGCTGGGAGGTGATTAGATCATGGGGGCAGACATTCCTCCTGCTGTTCTTGTGATCGTGAATGAGTTCTTATGAGATCCTGGTTGTTTAAAAATGTGCAGCCCCCGCTTCTCTCTCCTCTTCCTCCTTCTCTGGCCATGTAAGAGGTGCCTGCTTCCCTGTCACCTTCCACCATGATTTTAAGTCTCCTGAAGCCTCCCAGCCATGCTTCCTGTATAGCCTGTGGAACTGTGAGTCAATTAAACCTCTATTTTTTATAAATTATCCTGTCTCAGATAGTTCTTCATAGCAATGTGAGAACAGATTTATACAATGCACCACAAACTTAGTGACTTAACCAATACTACTTTGTTATATTTCAGTTCCGTTGATCAGAAGTCTGACTCAGGACTCACTGGGCTAAAATCAAGGTGCTAGTAGGACTTCGTTTCTTTATGGAGAATCTAAGGGAGAATCAATTTTCTTATATCATCTGGCTTCTAAAGGCCACCTGAATTCCTTTGCTTATGTCCCCTTCCTCCACCTTCAAATCCAGCAATGTAGCATCTTAGAGACTTTTATCATCATCTCTTCTTCTGACCTCAGCTGGGAAAGGATTTCTGCTTTTAAGGACTCATGTACAGTTATTGCCACATAACATTACAGCTAATGACAGACCACATATATGCCAGTGGTCCCATAAGATTATAATACCATACTTTTACTGCACCTTTTCTATGTTGAGATATGTTTAGATACACAAATACTTACCACTGTGTTACAACTGCCTACAGAATTCAGTACAGCAACATGCTGTTCAGATTTGTAACCTAGGAGCAATAGGCTTTACCAAATGGCCTAGTTGTATAGTGGGCTATGCCATCTAAGTTTGTTTAAGTACATGCTGTGATGTTAGCACAATGATGAAATTGTGTAATGACACATTTCTCAGCATGTACTCCAATTGCTGAGAAACACACGATTGTAATTCCATTGGGCCCACCCAAATAATCCAGGATAATTTCTCTATCTTAATGTCTGTACATTAAGATGTACAGACTTTGTCACATCTGCAAGGTCTCTTTGGCCAGGTAAGATAAAACATCTTTACAGATTCCAGAGAGTAATATGTGGGCTTCTTTTGGAGCCATTATTCTGCCTCACACACCCAACTTGAGAAAATCTCATTGGCTTTATTTTTGTTAATCTTCATTTTAAAATTACCAAACTAAAATGTCAGGCTAGAAGAGGAAAAGAAATATATGGAAAAATAACATTGACATTATCAACTATAGTCTGGAAAATGCATGTTTAATACTCTATCATTCCACATATATTTAGGATAAAACAATATAATTCCATTATTGATTGTAGTTATTATATAATCAATTTTAGTGTAAGAAATACAAATATCCACACTTCACAGTCAGCTCATGTGTCATTTGATCCACTGGCTGCCATGGAGATTGTTCATTTTAAGTAAATATTAGATAGCATATAGATCTGCATAAGATGACATGATGTGAATGGGCATGCATTCTGAAGTTTATTTTTTATTTCTTAAAGACATGTTATTTTCTTTTTATTTCTTTTTAAATCTGACCTATTACTATTCATATTTTACTTTATTCATATTTAATATTCATATTTTGCTTTATTGAACTTTTAAAATGTTGCAATGATGTATATATTTTATTTACACATTCAAATATATGTACTAAGAAAGGAAAACTCGATTTCCTGCTTTTGATAAAATGGTTGAAATTAATATAAAGGCAAACAACCTTAGGCAATTTTTAGATAGATTATCTTAAGTGAATTAACATTATTTAGGTCCTGTAATCAAACTGAAACATGTATTTTAAATATTACATACTTAATTGAATAGGTCCAAGCATTATATGTAGTTTTTCAATCTAAAACATTCAATGTTAATTTGATGGATGTATCAGATGTGAACTGTGTATAAATTATAAAACAATCATTGTTTTATAGGTACATTATAGTAATTTATTGTCACTGCAGATATCTCTTGGTCATTGCCATATACCTTGAAGAGTGTACATTAGACAAGGTTAATTAGATCCTCTAAGTCGAGTTTTATTTGTTATTTAAAAATGCAAGTTAAATTAGCTTGAGTAGAAAGATCACTCAAAGATCTCTGTAAAGGGAAAGGAAGAAGCTGGATCTTACAGACAGCTAGACTATAGGACTTGACTGTTGTGGGATTTTATTTTGCTACCTGTTATGGCTTCTTTTCTCTCTCCTTTTTTTGAGATGGAGTCTCACTCTGTCATCCAGTCTGGAGTGCAGGGGGGCTATCTCAGCTCACTGCAACCTCTGCTTGCTGGGTTCAAGCGATTCTCCTGCCTCAGCTTTCCAAACAGCTGGGGCTACAGGTGTGCACCACCATGCCTGGCTAATTTTTGTATTTAGTAGAGATGGGGTTTCACCATGTTGGCCAGGCGGGTCTGGAACACCTGACCTCAGGTGATCTGCCCGCCTCGGCTTCCCAAAGTGCTGGGATTACAAGTGTGAGCCACCGTGCCCTGCCTTCTTTTCTCTTTATGTTAGCTTAGCTCGCTTGTCCTGCAGACTGGCTTCCTCTAGGATAGGACACATAGTTACTGAGCATACCTAAATTTTACCACCTTTGACACCCACCCATCTAAAAGATCTAATCTTCTTGTCTTAGTCCTAATTCATAAATATCCCAGGGAAAGAATCTGATTGGCTCTGCTTAGATCAGGTTCTTTATTAACTAAGAGCATATAAAGGTAAAATAAGATTGGGGAGAATCTAGTAAGGAAAGTAGGTTTAGGGAGAAGTGATTGAATTGTTTTGAACTTTTGCTTTTGGAGATCATCTAAAAGGTGATATTCAATAAAAGGGTGGAAGGTAGATAGAAAGATAGATAGATGGATAGATACACAGATAGATGGACAGTGATAGATAGATAAATAGACAGTTTTCTCTAAGAAAAGACAACTATGGAAGTGGTGATGATTGAATAAAAGGGAGGAGATGAATAGTTCAGATAATGCAGGACAATTGCAGTGAATAAGACATTTCTAAGTCCTAGAAGGCAGGTTAGTAAGGAAGTTTTGTCTAGAATGCTTTTCCCATATAGGTCTGCATAACTGTAAAGTACAACATATACTAAAAGTACATAACAGATGAATGAATAAATTAAAAAGATGCATTAATGTAACTGTCACTAACATACAAAATTGAAATTTTAGGCATCCAAAGCTTCTTTGGTGTTCCTTTCTTGATCATACTCTGCACTAGAAGTAATCGTTATTTTGATGTCTATTGTAATCACCACTCTAAACCTTCTTTTTGAAAGATTCAAGATTTATATATGAATATTAATATATTCTAGTTTTTCTCCTGTTTTCAAACTCTGTGTAAGTGGAATCATGATGTAAGTATTCTTTGTGTTTTACATTTTTATCTAGCATTATGTAAGATGTGCTGTGAGTAAATTTAACTTGTTACTTTTCATTGCTCTATAGTGTCCAATTGCATGAATATACCAAAATTTGTTTATTCATGCTACTGTTAATGGACTTGAGTTACTCTGTTTACATACATTTCTTCAGAGTGAACACAAGAACTGGAATAGCTGTGTTACAACATATAGGAAGGGGTTCTTTCACTTGACTTCATAGTGCCACACTGTTTTCCAAGGTGTTTGTGTCAAATACACTCTTACCAGGTACACATGACAGTTCCTGTTGCTCTACGTCTTTGCCAACATTTGATATGCTTGGGCTTTCGATTGTTTTTATCTGGTGGGTGTATAACATGTTTCATTATAATTTTAATTAACATTTCACTGATTTCAAATTAAATTGAGCAGCTTTTCTTTTGTTTATGGGCCAATTGTATAAATTATTTTATGAAATGCAACATTGAAGTATTTTGCCCATCTATCTCATTTTCTGTTTTCTTCTTTTGGTTTGCAATTATTTATATATTATGGATACAAGTCTTTTGCATTTGCATTTGTTGCAAATGTTTTCTTCACTTTACTCTCTTAAAAATGTTTTTGAAAACAGGATTTATTTATTTTAATAAATTATAATTTATCAAATTTATTTTTTGGTTATTTTTATTTTGGGTTAGTTCGTGTACACACATGGGTGAGTGTGTTTTTAAAAAATCTTTCCCTATCCTAAGGTCAAGAAGGTACCTTTCACTATTGGTATATTGGCATTTGCTATGGTTTGAATGTATGTGTCTGTCCAAAATCCCTATGTTGAAATTTAATCATCATGATGATGATATTAGAAAGTGGGGCCTTTGAGAGATGATTAGGTGGCAAGGTTCCTGTCCTCATGAATAGTATTAGTGCTCTTATAAACTAGCTAGGTCCTTTTGCCATTTTATACTATCATCATACAAGGACACAGTGTTTGAGCCCTCTGAAAGATGCAGAAACAAGGCTCCATCTTAGAAGAAGAGAGTTAACCCTTACCAGACAATACATTTGCTGGCACTTTGATCTTGGACTTCCCACCATCCAAAACTATGAGAAACAAATGTCTGTTATTTATACATTACCCAGTCTAAAATATTTTGTTATAGCAGCACAGAAGGTTGAAGACAGGTATATAGCTAGAAAAGGGGAACCATAAAGTTTCCAGGAGATAATTAAAAAGGAATATTTTTATGACCATGAAGTAGAAGATTTCTGAAAAAAAGGAATAAAAATATCTACAAGCTAAGTTGATTTTTATCTGGTGTATAATTTAATGTTGGAATCAAATTCTTTTTGTTGCATATAGATATCAAATTTTCATAATATAATTTATTAAAGACAATTCTTTTTCTACTGCTCTGCATACTATCTTTGTCACAGGAATTCTGTTCTCTTCTATTATTATATTTATCTAGTTTGTGATGATTACACACTCATTAAATTGAGAGTTGTTTGAGCAAGTTCTTCCATCTTCTTCTTCTTCTTTGTGTCTCAGTTAAGCTAGAAAAAGCTCCATAAATGAAGGAGACATAAAAAGTCTTTCCTAGGTAGGCAAATGATGACAGCATTTGTCACTACTGGACTTGTGCTACAAGAAATGCTTAAAACAGTCTTAAACATGGAAATGAAAGGTCAATATTAGCCATCATAAAAACCCATAAAAGTATAAATCTCACAGGTCTTATAAAACAATCACACAAAAGAGAAAGTGAAAGGAATCAAATGGGAACATAACAGAATTCCACCAGACCCAAACAACAAAGAGGAAAAGAAAGAAACAAAGAATTTATGAAACAATCAGATAAAAATTAACAATATGACAGGAACAAATCCTCACATATCAACATTAACCTTGAATATAAATGCAGTAAATGCTCTACTTAAAAGAAATGGAATGGCAGAATAAATTTAAGAAGCATCGTCCAACTTTATTCTGCTTATAAGAAACTCACCAGACCTGGAAAACACCCATGGACTGAAAATAAAAAGGCAGAAAAAGATATTCCTTGCAAATGGAAATCAAAAGCAAGTAAGAGTAGCTATACTTATAGCAGATAAAAGACTTTAAATCAAAAACAGCAAAAAGACAAGGTCATTGTGTAATGATAAAGAAATCAATTCACTAAGAGAACATAGCAATCCTAAATATATTTATACTCCAAACTGGAACACCCAAATACATAAGACAAATATTACTAGACCCAAACAAAGAGATAGACAGCAATAAACAAATACTGGGAGGCTTTAACACCCCATTCACAGCACTAGACATAATATTGAGACATAAAATCAACAAAGAAACATTGGACTTAAATTTGACTTTAGATCAAATGGACCCAACCAGACACAGAACATTCTTTCCAACAACTTCATATTATATATTCTTCTCATCCACACATAGAACATTCTTCAAGATAGACCATATGTTAGGTCATAAGACAAGTCTTAATACAGTTTAAAAAATCAAAATCATACCAAGTATCTTTTCATACTAGGTATAATCAAACTAGAAATCAGTACCAAGAGGACTTTTGGAAAACATTCAAATACATAGAAATTAGACGTCAAGCTCTTGAACAATTTTTGGGTCAATGATAACATTAAGACAGAAATTAAAATTTTTTTAAACTCATGAAAATGCAAACACAACATACTCAAACTTCTGAGATACAGCAAAATCAGTGCTAAAAGGTAATTTTAAAGCATTAAAATGGCTACATCAAAAAAGTGGAAAGATTACAAATTAACAACCTAACATCACATCTGAAGAAACTAGAAAAACAAGAACAAACCAAATCCCAAGTTAGCAGAAGAAAATAAATAACAGTGATTAGAGCAGAACCAAATAAAATTGAGGGAAAAAATACAAAGAATCACTGAAACAAAATGTTGGTTTTTTGAAAAGATAAACAAAATTGATAAATTGCTAGCTAGACTAACCAAGAAAAGAGGAAAGAAGATGCAAATTTAAAAAATTAGAAATAAAAAAAGACATTACAACTGATACTATAGAATACAAAAGAACATCAGAGACTACTATGAGCATCTCTATGCACAATACCTAGCAAACCTAGAGGAAATTGATCAATGTATGGATACATAAAACCTTCCATGATTGAACCAGAAAGAGATACAAATCTTGAACAGTGCAATAACCAGTAGCGAGATTAAATTACTAATAAAAAAATCTCCCAATGATAAAAAAGCCTAAGACCAGATGCATTCACAGCTAAATTCTACCTAATATACAAAGAAAAACTAATACCAACCTTCCTGTTCTAAAAAATTAACAAAGAGGAAATTCTTCCTAACTCCATCTACAAGGGCAGTTTTACCTGATACCCAAACCAGACAAGGACACCACAAAAAAGAAAACTACAGACTAATATTTCTGATGGACATAGATGCAAAAATCCTCAACAAAATACTTGCAAACCAAATCAAACAGCACATCAAAAAGAAAATAAACCATGTGGGTTTTACACCAGGGATGCAAGGATGGTTCAACATTTTCAAATCAATAAATGTGATACATTACAAAAAACAGAATTAAGGCTAAAACCCATTTGATTATCCTAATAGATGCAGGAAAAGCATTTATTAAAATTCAGCATCCCTCTATTATAAAAACCCTCAACCAACTAAGCACAGAAGGAATATACCTCAAAATAATAAAGGCCATCTATGAAAAACCCACTGCCAACATCATACTGAGTGGGGAAAAGTTGAAAGCTTTCCCTCTAAAAACTGGAAGACGTTTTAGAACTTCTTCTAAAGATGTTCACTTTCACCACTCCTTTTCAACATAGTACTGGGAGTCCTAGCCAAAGAAACAAGGCAAGAGAAAGAAACAAAGCAAAAAACCATCCAAATTGGAAAAGAGGAAGTCAAATTATCCTCATTTGCTGAGATGTTGTATATAGAAAATGCTAATGCTTCCACAGGTTGACAAATGAATTCAGCAAAGTTTCCAGAATACAAAATCAACACACAAAAACAAGTAGTCTTTCTACACATCAATAATGATCAAGCTGAGAACCAGATTAGGAAGGCAATTCCATTAACAATAGCTAAAAAGAAAAAAATATCTTCAAATATATTTAGCCAAAATGGTGAAAGATTGCTGTAATAAAAACTATGAAACACTGATGAAATTGTAGATGACACAAATAGAAACTCATCTCACACTCATAGATCAGAAGAATTAATATTAAAATGACCATACTGCCCAAAGCAATCTACATATTTAATGCAATCCCTATCAAAATACCAATGTCCTTTTTCACAGAATTAGAAAAGAAATTCTAAAATTAATATGGAACCAACAAAGAGCCTTAACTACCAAAGTAATCTTAAGCAAAAAGAACAAAGGCAGAGGCATCACATTATCTGACTTTAAATTATACAAGAAGGCTACAATAACCAAAACTGCATGGTGCTGGTGTAAAAATAGACACACAGATCAATAGAACAGAAAAGGGAACCCAAAAATGAAGCCACATACTTATAGCCAACTGATCTTTTATGATGTCAACAAAAACACACTGGAGAAAGGACACCCTTTTCAATAAATAGTTTTGGAAAAATTGGATTGACATCTGGAGAAGAAGGAAATTAGACCCCTATCTCCCACCACATACAAAAATCAACTAACATGGACTACAGACTAAAATGTAAGTCCTGAAACTATAAAATACTGAAAAAAAACATAGGGAAAATTCTTCTTGACACTAGTCTAGGCAAATAATTCATGACTAAGACCTCAAAAGCATAAGCAAAAAAAAAAAAAAAAAAATAGACAAATGGGACTTAAGCTAAAAAGCTTCTTCAGAGCAAACAAACAAACAAAACAAAACAAAAATCCCAATCAGTAGACTTAACAGACAATATGCAGAATGGGGGAAAATATTTGCAAACTATGCATCCAACAGTAGACTAATATCCAGAATTTACAAGGAACTTCACAACAAATACTTGCCCCCGCCTGCCAAATGCTCCCATTAAAAAGTGCTCAAAGGACATGAATGGATATTTTTCAAAGGAAGACATATGAATGGCCAACAAGCACATGAAAAATGCAAATTAAAAACACAACAAAATATCTTGTTACACCAGTCAAAATCGCTATTACTAAAAAGAGAAAACACATGTTGGAGCAGATTCAGAGAAATGGGAATGCTTTTCCACTGTTGGTAGGAATATAAATTAGTACAACCTCTATGGAAAACGATGTTGAGATTTCTTAAATAACAAAGAACAGAACTACCATTTGATCTAGCAACCCCACTACCGGGTATCTACCCCACCCCCCCCAAAAAAATCCTTACATTAAAAAGATATCTGCATCCATATATTTATCACAGCACTCTTCACAATAGAAAAGATATGGAACCAACCTAAGTATCCATCATCCAATGATTCGATAAAAAAATGTTGTAAATATACACCATGAAATACTATTCAGCCATAAAAAAATCATGTATTTTGCAGCAACATTGGTGGCACTGAAGACCATTACCTTACGTGAAACATCTCAGAAACAGAAATACCGCATGTTCTTACTTATAAGTGGGAGCTAAATAATGTGTACACGTGGACACAGAATATGGAATGCTAGACACTGAGACTCAAAAGAGTGGAAATGGAGAATGGAAATAGGGAGGATGATAAGAAAATACTTAATGATTTTATTACATTATTACATTAATGTAATTTTAGTACATTATTACATTAATGTACTTAATGTAACAATGTACATTATTTGGGTGATGGATACACTGAAAGCTGACTTCCCCACTAGGCAATATATCCAGTAACAAAATTGCACTTGTACCCCTTAAATTTACACAAATAAAATAAAGCATGTGCACAAAAAGAAGTGTATTGGCTATGCATGGTCTTTTCCATTTCCATGTACATTATTTTATTTTATTTTATTTATGTTTGTTATGTTATGTTATGTTATATTATGTTATGTTATGTTATGTTATGTTATGTTATGTTATGTTATGTTATGTTATGTTATGTTATGTTATGTTATGTTATGTTATTTGAGACCGAGTCTGACTCTGTCGCCCAGGCTGAAGTGCAGTGGTGGGTTCTCGGCTCACTGCAAGCTCCGCCTCCCGGGTTCAAGCGATTCTCCGCCTCAGCCTCTTGAATAGCTAGGATTACAGGTGCCTGTCACTAGGCCTGGCTACTTTTTGTATTTTTAGTAGAGACAGGCTTCCACTATGTTAGCCAAGATGGTCTGGAACTCCTGACCTCAAGTGATCCGCCCACCTCGGCCTCCAAAAGTGCTGGGATTATAGGCGTGAGCCACCGCGCCTGGCCGCATTTCCATAAAAATTTTAGAATTAGCTCGTCACATTACACAAAACTCCTTGTTATTTAACTGGGCTTGTATTGAATCTGTAAAACCACATGTGAAGAATTAACATAGTTTTCAACATTGAGTTAATCATGTATATAAATGGCCTATAAACAATAGATATATGTCCATTTTCTCTTAAAATTCCATTTTCTGTTTGTGGCTAGCATATAAAAAGCATCATGTCTATTTATTACCTTTTTGTTTGGCAAATTTCTTAAATCTCTTATTAATTTTAGTAGCCTATGTACAGACTTTGTTGGATTTCCTACGTAAAAAATAAGAACTAAAAATAGAACTGTTTCTATAAAAATAAACTATAAAATGAGTCTCTATAAAAAATAAAAATTAGCTGGGCAGGTGCTGTGCACCTATAATCCTAGCTCCTTGGGAGCCTGAGACAGGAGAATACTTTGAGCCCAGCAGTTCCAGGCTGCAGTGGGTTATGACTGCACCACTGCATTCAAGCCTGAGCAACAGAACAAAACCCTGTCTCTGAAAAAATAAAATATAATCATGTTAGCTGAGAATGATGACAATCTTGTTTGTTTCTCTCAATTCTTATGCCAATTATTTATTTGTCTTCTCTTACTGCACTGGTTGTGATATAATCAAAGTGTTGAATAGAAGTGAGAATGGAGAATGTGTTTGTTTTACTTCTAATCTTAAAGAAAATTTGCATTGTTTCACCACTTATTATGATGTTTGCTGTAGGTTTTTTTTACGTATTCCCCCCCACTAGTATTTTGAAGGTCTTTTCTATTTTGGCCTGCTATAAGTTTAAAAAAATTTTTTTTAAACCATAAACACATGGTGAATTTTACCAAGGCATTTTCTGTATCTATTAAAATGATTGTACAATTTTATTCTTTACTCTGTTTATGTGGTAAATTACATTGAATATCTAATGTTAAATCAATTGTGCATTCTTGATATAAAACCTATTTGGTCATGATGAATTGTCATTTTTATATAATTATAGATTCGGTTTGTTAATATTTTATTTAGATGTTTTTTGCCAATTACGTATGTAAGTGAGATTAGCCTTTACTTTTTCTTTCATGTCCTGTCCTTGTCAAGGTTAGCTGGTCTCATAAAATGAATTGAGGTGTGTAAGTGTTTTTCTATTCTCTGGAGAAGTTTTATAGTTTGAATTACTGCCTTGAGTGCATGATATAATTTGTTAATGAGTTTTGCTTGGTGGGAAAATCAGTGATCACAGATTTCATATCTTAAATTGGCTTCTTCCCAAATTTTCATAATTACTTAATTTCTGAATTAGTTCATTTCATTGGCATTCTCAAATTTATTGACATTAAGCTACTTGTAATATCTTTCTACAATCATTTCAGTTATTCATAGAAATATTCCTTGGCCTCAGATTTTAGAGTTTTCCTGAAGAGAGAACTTTCATTTTTTTGACTTACTTCTCTAGGTTTTTGGGGTCTTCTATATTTTGGCCTGGTATTTCCTCATTCTTTTATTGATACTTTTAAGGGCATTTCAAAAAATTCTATTCCTCCTTTTTTTTAGTTGTCCCCAGCAAGAAGCTTGGCCTGAGTTATTTCATCTACGTTTACTGAAATTATATATTCCTGTACTTCAGGTATTTTCTGAAAAGTCATCAGCCACTCTATCTGCATTTTCAACCCTTATCAATTTCATGTTCCCCTTCCATCCTTAATTTTTTTAATAGTTATTACTATCACACAAATAATATATTTTACTTATTATGCTATTTATTGCTTATCTTCTTTGTTCCACACTTCAGACATCTTTTTTTCTTTTTTCGAGGCAGATCCTTGTTCTGTCACCCAGACGAAGTGCAGTGGCACAATCACACAATCACGGCTTACTGCAGCCTCCACCTCCTGGGATATAGTGATACTCCTAGCTCAGCCTCCCAGATAGTTGGGACTACAGATGTGTGCCGTCACACCTGGCTTATGCTTTATTTTTTATAGAGATGGGGGTTTCATTATGTTGTCCTGGTGGATCTTGAACTCTTGGGCTCAAGTGATCCTCCCAATTCAACCTCCCAAAGCTCTAGGATTACAGGTGTGCCACTGTGCTCGGCCTATTTTTTAAAAATTTATAGGCCGGGCGCGGTGGCTCACGCCTGTAATCCCAGCACTTTGGGAGGCCGAGGCGGGCGGATCACGAGGTCATGAGATCGAGACCATCCCGGCTAAAACGGTGAAACCCCGTCTCTACTAAAAATACAAAAAATTAGCCGGGCGTAGTGGCGGGCGCCTGTAGTCCCAGCTACTTGGGAGGCTGAGGCAGGAGAATGGCGTGAACCCGGGAGGCGGAGCTTGCAGTGAGCCGAGATCCCGCCACTGCACTCCAGCCTGGGCGACAGAGCG
The DNA here is from genome assembly GCF_000001405.40 of Homo sapiens. NCBI lineage: Eukaryota > Metazoa > Chordata > Mammalia > Primates > Hominidae > Homo > Homo sapiens. The sequence continues at coordinate 147,571,514 of NC_000003.12, forward strand.
AGACTCCGTCTCAAAAAAAAAAAAAAAAAAAAAAATTTATATCAAATCAATACACTTCACCCTGAGGATCAGAAAACAGAGGCCCATTTATGGGAAAAATGTTATCCAGATGAAGTTCTTTGTGCATTCTGTATCTTTGCTCTTCCCTCACTCTTCTCTTTTGGGGAAAAATGTACTCTTCAAACTGGACTTCTAGGATTCCAAAATTTAGAGACTGTGGAAGGAGCAGGAAGAGCTTTTTCACAATCAACATTAGATGTGAAATGCCTGGAAACTTGATCTTGTTACTGATCAGGGCTAGTGGTTTGGGTAAGAAGCCTATTGTCTTCACTAACTTTCAAATATCATAGGTGAACAAGAGCTCCAGATTCTATTTTCAAAAAATTCTCTGACCATCTATCTGAAGTTTTTCTTCTACTTGTATGGGTGACAAACATTTTTCAAATGTATTTGTACTAGATCTTTCAAATACAATTGAAATATCTTGTCAAATATGTACCTTTAGACATACCACTTTAATATAGGACATTCTAAGGCACACATTTGCAACAGTAACTTAAAATTTCACTGGAAATGCATGATCCACATTTATGTCTAGGGGCACTTACGATACACTTATCAAAAGAAACCACTCCAGGACAACGATAAAACAAACAGCAAGGCAGATGTGAGGGATAGGTATTTTCTAAGTTTTTTTTTTTAATGGCAGTAATACATTAAATATGAGACACGATTTAATCCAACCTATTCATTTCTTTCCTTTTTAAAATAATATTCTCATTTAAAAAACTGCTATGAGTTCATCATTCCTACAATGCAGTAAACCCTTTCACTTTTTGTTTTGTTTTGTTTTGTTTGTTTTGTTTTGAGGCAAGGTCTCACTCTGTCACCCAGGCTGGAGTGCAGTGGCACAATCACAGTTCACTGCATCCTCCACATCCCGGGCTCAAGTGATCCTCCCACCTCACCCTTGTGTAGCTGAGACTACAGGTGTGGCCCACTAGGTCCGGTTTATTTTTTAAATTTTAGAGATGGCAGTTTCACCACGTTGCCCAGGCTGGTCTCAAACTCCTGGGCTCAAGCCATCCTCCCACCTCAGCCTTCCAAACTGCCGGGAACACAGGCATGAGCCACTGCCCCTGGTCCCGTTTCACCTTTTGAGAGAGCACACTACACCGGGTCTTCTGAGCAGTAGACTTATTCTAAGCTTTGGTTGTCCTTTAGTTATTACCTCGTCTTCCATGACCTGTCCCACATAGCTCCCAGCTCCTGATGACTCTGCACTCGTGGTGTTTCTTGGGTGCTGCTGGCAAGACTGGGGCTCACTTTCACAATGACTTTTTACACCAGCATTACATTCAATCCCTTTTGAGATAAGGGAGGTAGACCCAGGCAAATTGCAATTGGTTCAAAGTTATCTTCTGGATGTTTTAGGCCTTTTAGGCAAAGAATATTTTATTTTGTTTTATTCTTTCATTGTTTGTTTGGCATATGTGATATCCCAGGTGATATATTAGATATTGAAAATATAAAGATGAAATACTTTGTTCCAGCCCAGTGTGTTCCTGTTCCAGTTGAGGACACAGATACAGAATGACACATGCTATGACACATCAAAAGGGGATTTTACTCCAGGGTATGGACTAGGTCAGAGAAGGCAGCTGGAGGAGGAGCCATTTCAGGATGGGTTTTGAAGGCTGAGAAGGCATTTACAAGGCAAAAGAGGGTAAAGTTCTTCTAGAAAGATGAAATGGCATGTGTAAAGATGAAATGGCAGGAAAGAGTAAGGACTTCAGTGGAGTGGGAAAGGACAGTAGGCAATGGATTTAAAAAAGAGTTTGGAGGTATATTTGGTAAAACTTGTTGTTCATGTGAATGTAAGGGTTGCCAGAAGGATATTACCAGAGATGACCTTGAGGTTTGAGATTCCAAGTTAATCAAGTTTGGACATATTTAGTTCTGAACACGCTGAGCTCTTGTGGTGAGTATTTGAAACGTACCTGAAGGTATTGGCTGGACTGCTTAAATTCCTGTCAGTTTCAGGAATATGGGTGGGACTAATGGAGATTGGTGGCTTGGGACTAATGCTTCAGGTGGCTAGGGTACAAACCCTGGTACCTGGCGTCATAGACAGAACATCTAAGCATACTCTGGGGGGGTCAAGAAGCAACACAGAACACATTTACTGTACTTTAATTTTAGGTTTTTAAAAACAATTTTATTTTGTTTTGGGAATGATCATATGAAGGAGAAATCTGAGAGACAGAGAAAAACATAGTATATGTATTCTCCCCTGTTAAGTATAATTTAAATTTGAAAAAAAAGAGGGATTTACATTGAAGTTCTTTAGTAAGAAGGAAGAAAAATAGGAGTAATTAAAACAACTTATGGCAGAGATGATATGCACACCTGGATTTTTTTCTACCTCTATATTTTTATAAAACGTCAATGGAGTTAAAAAAAAACACTGGGGTGATTTGGGGGTAAAAGTAATGGTGATTTCCCTGATTGTTGAAAAATAAAAAATAATCACTTGCAGATGCGCAGAAGACACACAAAAAGAGATATTCTCATTAACTACAGGGACCTTGATGTATTCATACTCTTTACCAGAACTTATTTGCTTGATATTATTTAAATGAAGTTTTCTCATTTGTTAAAGATTTTGTGTCAAATTTAAAAGCAATTGTATATGTTTTAGAAAGGTGTAATGAAGGATTCTGTGTGCTAATAATGTTGTGGTACTTGATTACAAGTATATTCACTCAGTTTACAAAATTTGCCAAGGTATATAAATAGGTTTCTGAGTGTTTTGGTATGTATTTTATGTCAATAAATTGTTTAATTAAAAAACTTACCCATTTCAAACATATCTAATATGCTTATTTTTTATACTTTTTAAAATAACAGATTATGCAATGGAATAATTTTATTAGAAATACTATATACTATTATTCATTTTTATCTGTTCTATTTGCATATGTTTTCAGGTAGTCACATAAAAATTGCATTACATTGAGAAAACTTGCTTAAAAATACAGAATGTGCTCTTTGTGTGTGAAATGATTTAAGGTTTTCCAAACCGTGTTCAGGGATTCCATTTATGCACTCAAATTGCAAACTGAAACTTAGAAAAATGCTTCCCTGAGGTGAAGTTAACTTGCCCAGGACACAAGACGTTTTTTAGGATGCCAGTTTGCCCACTGTATGGCCCAAGTGTTTATTCAGCTGAGGCTTGGATGAAAGCCACCACATCAATGTCACAGTCTCTCAGCACATGTGAGGAAAATACATGTGATACATAGCAAATTAAGTGTCATGCTCTGAGAAGGGCAGAATGGGATTGATTTGCCACTTTTAGCAATGCTCTTTTACTGTCAGCTGTGGCTTTCAGAAAAGCATTAAAGATTCTTGTCACAGATGTTTCTTTCATAAAACTGTTGTAGGAGAATGGCATTCTGCAAAAATGGTTTACTACTCTTCTTTCTTCTCTTGGGGAAACAAAGTACGCTCACGATCATAGCCAAATGGACGCAAGGAATGCTCTCCATTTATGCCACAAAAGCATTAAGGATCATGACATTTACAAAGTTCATTTTAGAACTTTGTTGGCAAATGTAGTATATTGAGGTATTTATTCAACATATGTGCCATTGACGAGGTTTTATAAGACCTGTTATAGGAGATAGTAGAACCAGCCTATATTTAAAACTGAAATTTAAAAATATGCATATGAATTTAATTTAATGGTTCACAATTGTAATTAATCATTTTAGCATATTGTATTCCATGCAAATGAACAAATAATGAGAAGTTAAAAATTCTTTCTAGATCAGCCATTTTTGTTTATGAGATATTGAAGTTTATGAACAACAATGATATTTCTTTGAAAAAATGCTTGATAGAATTACATTATTGTAGTTTTAATATTAAGGGACAAGAATTGCTTATCCACTGAGAATTTTTTATTTATCACTTCTATTTGGCAGATAAAATCACTTCTATTCACAAATTCACTGAGAATTTGTGAATAAATGTAAGCATTCTGTACCTACGTATTTTCCTGCTGAACAAACATACGGTTACTATAGCAACTGCAACATCACATGGGCTCTAAGAGATAGAAAGTATATTTTACAAAATGCATGTTTTCCAAGTGTCATATTAATTTTTCTACTTTATACTATGTAGGAGTCAGAATACTTTTTTCTGTTGCTAGGCAGATATCCAATGTTTATTCATTAAAGGTTACTTTTACCCACTGAATGTTCAAATTTGCCTACAGAAGTTTTTCTGTTTTCTGAATGCAAGTGCCTACATAGGGGTACATAAAATGTCATCTGCCAACTTAGGTTGAAAGTTAAAATATGGCAATTGCCTATTTTTAAAATGAGTTGGCTATTTAAAAAATGTATATGAAAACATAATGGGCCGTGTTGTTTTGAAGAGAAAAAAAAAACCACAACACTATGTTGGGGCAGGTCATGCCTGCTGATTGAAACACTTTAGCCCTCTTCCACTAGGCTGCAAATAAAGTCTTAAATGTTTATTTTCGAAGACTTCCATCCTCTTTGCTTTAATTTTTTAAAATTAATTGAGTGTAAATGAATGAAAAACAGATGGTGAAATTTTATTTTTGATGCAGATGATTTAAAAAGTTATATCTTTCTATATTGGTTTAAAAACACACACACAAACACCTAGTAATTTGTTCATTCTAAGGTCTCGCCTAAATCCTGTATGAGGCAAAAGCATGTCATGGAGTTTTCTGTATAACTATATGCTAATAGTATGTTTCACAGTATCAGTTCTTAAGCATTTTGGAGTCTGCATCTGCAGGGGTAGAAGGGTTAAGAGTAATTTTCCCCAAATCATTTTCTGCAAACTGCTACTTTTGTGAAATAGGTTGAGCTCTATGGAAGTTTTTGCTAGATAACAGGCTCACTGCACTAGTGTGGAAGTAGCTTCAAAACCCTTTTTCTTTTCATGTCTTTACTTTGTGAATTCTAGATTCACATGGTTTAAGATCGTGGTTTTAAAACTGAAGGTCACTGAGGAGAGGCTGAGAGAAGTGTTTGGTTTGGTTCTTCTCTCTTCCAAGCTTTAAAAAATACAGTAATATTTTACTCAATGGAGATTCGAACTGGACTTGTTGGAGACACAGAAGGCTTCTTGGGGGAAGGCAATGCCTGCAACTTGAAATAAGGGCTTTTTTTTTTTGACGGAGTCTCGCTCTATTGCCAGGCTGGAGTGCAGTGCAATGGCACGATCTTGGCTCACTGCAACCTCCACCTCCCGGGTTCAAGTGATTCTCCTGCCTCAGCCTCCCGAGTAGCTGGGATTACAGGCACGTGCCACCACACCCAGCTAATTTTTGTATTTTTAGTAGAGATGGGGTTTCATCAGGTTGGCCAGGATGGTCTTGATCTCTTGACCTCGTGATCTGCCTGCCTCAGCCTCTCAAAGTGCTGGGGTTACAGGCGTGAGCCACCACACCTGGCCATGCGTGCTATTTTTTAGTGGAAAGTGTCTCAAGAAATTGGAAAAAATTCAAAAAATTCAAAAATAAAAAAGCTTGGGTGGCTATAAAATATCTGTTGAATTTCATTTGTGTGCTTGTTGACACATAACCCTAAACTGTAAAACTTTAGTTTACAAGATTGTTTCCAGTTCTGCACCAACAAAGATGCACAACAGATAACTTGCTTTCTGGAGTAGTAACACCCATATCATAACTATCTTCTTCCCTAGTACCAAAAAGGGACTTGTTTTATTTGGTAGTATCGGTACCTGACCTCTTGGCTTAGAGATTGCTTGATTGTTGTAAGAATCTACTTTCTTCTACCCACCTTAAAGAAAAAACAAATTAACACAATACATTCATGTTTAAATCCTCTTCCTTTATTTTTTATTAAATAGCTTTGGCTATTTGTAATAAACCTTGGGTATGATTTTCACTTGAAATAGTGATAAAATAGTAAGAAATTTGCACAAGCTCACTCTTCCCTCACACATCATGCCATCAAGTTGATCAAAATTGGGTTGAATTGATCAGGCAGCTTTGAATATCTGTGATAGATCTTATGTATAATTTCCATTTCAAAAAGCGATAAAATAACAAGAACTGTGCACAAGCCTTTTCTCCCTCACCATGTGGCATACACAACGTTGATAAAAATTTTATTGAATTAGCCAGACAAGCTGGTTTGGGGATTCTCAGGTTTTAAAAGTCTAATCTTAATTTTCTCAAAGCCTTGGTCACAATTATTTTTTCTTGCTCTCTCTTCTCCCTCTCTCTGAGAGAAAAACTGTGTGTGTGTGTATCTGTGTGTGTCTGTGTCTGTGTCTGTGTATGTGCACGCATGTTAACAGCAAAGCTAATGAATGATGTCAAGGTGTGTGCTGGTTGCAAGGGTACCAAACAAAAGGGGGAAATGACCCTGATCTGATGCTGAGCTTACTACTTCACTGCTGGAAGTTCCTCAGACCAAGAGTGGATGGCGGTGCCATAGCAGCCACATGGTAGTCACGTGAAAGACTAAGCGTATGGATCTTCAAGACTGCTTGTTCTTGACAGTTTTTTTTTTCTAAATGCTTTGCCTAGAGGTTAAGATAATGACTCCAACATAATGGTGGTGCTATGTTTTGGTGCATATCTTTGTAATTTAGTTCTTCCTTAAACAGATGGAGAAAACGCAGAAATGGACTGATAAAAAGGCCATGCTTGCTCTTTTCGGTATAAAAATCATTAATTAAATAACTACTTAATAATGAGTGGTTGATTGTAAGAAAATACGAGATGAAGAAATAAGAAACCCAGACACCATTAACTTTTTTTTCTTTTGAATCCCACCTGGGATGGCAAATGTACTCAAAGCTAGAGCCAGCTCATGTCACTACTCTTTATGGTGGTTCTCCAGGATTTTCTCTGTGATAGGTAAAAGGACTTGTTAACTCTCAATGATCTCATTAAAAACCTGCCTCATCTTTTGTTTTGCCCTATACTTACTGTGATGAGGCAGTCATTGCTTGTCTTTCTTGGTTTGAGGCCAACGCTGCTACTCCTAAACTACAAACGAAAAAGAAGACTGCTCATGCCACCAGCATCTCTACAGTCAGGACTTTTTCCTTTATTAAAAATTATATCTGCTCCTCTCTACCTTTATTAACTCAACAGCTTAAGTCAATTAATATGCAATGAGGATTGGACCTAGATTGACTACCAGGCAGTTTTCATCCCCCTCTCCCAAATTTCATGCATACCTTTCGCACTATTTCTCCTTCCCCTCTTCACATCCTTCTTCCAACACTTATGTCCTGGATTCTCAAGAGTCCAGTTTTGAAAAAAAGTTTTGTATATTTAGAAGAGTTGGTTAACTGTTTTAAGAAGTGACTTTCCAGCATATACTTACCTTTTTAAAATGTATACAGATTTTTTCCGTTAACCTGAGCCCATATTAATCACTACTCTACATTTCTGAATTCAATTCATATTGAAAATTTTCCCTTAGAAACAGAGAATTCGAAAATTTTCAAGTGACAAGACGGAAAATTTACTTTAAAATTCTTTCAAGGTTTTTATGAATTATTTTAAATATTTTCTCACCAATTCTATTTTAAGCTGTTGAGAACATAAATGGTCTTAGTCTGCCAACAGTAGACTGCAACTTAGTTTGCAAATTAAAAGACTTCTTCCAAATTAAATATTTTAAGTGTGTTTATAAAATATGACACAATGAATATAGGCTTGTTGTAAAATTGTCAAACAATACACAAATATTAAAGTAAAAATAAGTCACGTTTTACCATCTGTCTCAATCCTAATCTCCTCCCCACAGAAAAGCAATGTGATAACAGATTGGTAAGTGTCCTACAGGCCTTTTCTGTGCATATGTACACAAACAAATAGTTCTGTAAAAGATGCATATTTTTCTATGTCTTGGAGATCTTCCCATGTCAGTACATAGACTGATCTCATTCTTTTTAACATGCATACAACACAATAATGTAACTATTTTTAATGTTAAACACTTGTTTTAAAAAACTATACATTTAAAAATAATATTATAAAAATGCCATATTTTTGTCCATATATGAAGATTTTTTGTAGCAAACTTTCTTAGGAGTTGAAATGCAAGTGCAGTTTTAAAAAATAGCAAGTAATGTAGTTTTATAATGATTCTTATATTTATAGTGGGCTCAGAGGCTCTGATTAGAATTTTAATATGCTGTATTCAGCCATTGGATTTTAAGAGAGATATAAGGACATTTAAGAAAGTGGTTAAGGGAAGATGACATCAGTAATTAAATAAATACAGAATACGATTTCTTGGGATAAATTGGGAGTAAGGGCAGTGTAGCCACAGAAGAGAAGGCTGTTCAGGGTGCTGCCCAGTTGTTATTCACTTTTGCAGAGATTCTGTTGTAACTTTACATTCTAGCAACTGAATTCAGCCAAAACACATATTGTGAAGACCTCATAGTTATACATTTCCTTATACACTAGGATTAAGTATAAATGGAAGTTATACAACCTCTGATCCTGGGAGATTGAAAATTGAGTACACATCTGCATTTCCTACATTTTTTTATTGAAAATCCTTCATAATTAATGCTAGGAAGAGAACCTTCAGGTTTTTTTCCATTTGTATTACCATTGCGTAATTGGTTAAATAACTGTGCTAATCTTGAACATAAATCTCACTCCTATAGGAGTTTACAAATAAAAATATGACTTGTTATTCTCTTCCAAAACCATGGATAGTAATCCTCTGAACTCCTTTGACTCTGGTTTGTCCCCCACACACGACGTTTAACACAAATCGCCTTGTCTGGAATGTATTTGGTCACTGTTTCATTTCCCATAAGACATTTTAGGTTTCTTGGTGGTAGGGAGAATGTTTTGTTTATTTTTGTGTCTTGTGTCTTGTCCAACATTCAGCACAGTTTCTTATGCACAAACAATGTTCAATAAATATTCCAACGAATAATGAGTATATAAAAGGCATGTTTACTACTGAGCACAAAGTCGTTCAGAAAACCTCACGCTGCTATGAGAAATGTAGTTTAAGGAATGGCCTGAATGACAAGGAATCTGAACAGGAAAGGCAATATCTTTCTATGAAAATAATTTTTAGTGTGAGAAGAGAAATTGATGTAAAATCACAAAGAACATTAAAAACAATCTTCTGAAATACTATTGATTCTATATACGTAATATATATTTGTTATAGAATGTTATGGTCAAAATTCTGTAGTTCTATTAGACTATACTTTGTAATGTGAATTTTTGATATTTACCAAATTTTTTTTTTATTTTTTAGAGACAGGGTCTTGCTCTGTTGCCTGGGCTGGAGTGCAGTGGCATGATCATAGCTCACTGCAACCTCCAACTCCTGGCCTCAAGCAATCTTTCTGCCTCAGCCTCCCAAAGTGCTGGAATTACAGGCATCAGCCACCATGCCTGGCTGCCAAAATATTTTCAATAAGTGACAATGTAGGAAAAATTTTTAAGCCACTATTCTCTAAAGAAGGAACATAGTGTACTTTGAAGCTGAATGAAAGCATTAGCACAGGGGGATGATATAACATAGAGACCGCCCCTTACATTATCTAACAGGTGCCACCAAAAGTAAAATAGTAGCATCAGTATTAGCAGAATACAGTAGGAATGTAGAGACAGGAATAGCATTCAATGAACATTTATTGTAACACATTGTTTCTCCTCTTATGGTATGTTACTACTAAGAATTATTGGGCTAATTCAAGACAGCTGTACTTTGAAAGGGTTTTGAAGATATTGCAGCATTTTGTAGGATACTATTCAAAGGTCTTAAAGGTAAAGTGTTCTCTTCTACTTGCCTCCAAAGTGAGGTAAATATTATTTTGACAGGCCCCAAGGAAATAATTGATTAAAGAAATCTTGTGATGTTTAAAAAATATAATAATGTGATTTAAAAACATTCCAAATAAGGACTACTACTCTTTCAATAGCAGACACAGTCTGATTGTAATTTGCTTGTTGGGTGTGACTTAGTCTAGGTCCACATTTGCTGTTATTCCTCATGTTCTTTGATAAATTAAACAGGGATAATTTTTAATAGTAAAAATTTATATACCAGGATGCCTGTCAGAGAGGGGGGCAAGGGCAGGAGTGCTGACTGTCAGACAAATCTGTGTAGTCAGTTACTGGGAAAATGTTAAGGGGAATTATGCCTGTAGTGTACCATCTTGGTGCATCTACAGACTTCTCTAGAAATGGATGATGCAGAAAAGGTGGGATTTCGAGGAACCTCACTGGTCTTTTTACTCTGTGACTTTTATAGAATTATGGTCCCGGAAGAGACTGGCGACTGAGATTAGCCAGATTAGTTTTCAAATCTGATTGGTGAATTGTTACAAATTTGTTGGAAATTCTTGATACAGATGACAAAAGGAATTGATTAGCTATCAGGCATTAAATTCTGAGAGGAGCCTTATGTTTTTTATTTCCTCATATATCCACAGTGTTAATATTTTTGCTTTTGGTATACCCATGTGAAGATAGAGTATATTATCAAAATACAGAAACAGTTATTCTTAAACCACAGCTGTAGTAACATAAGTCCTACTGAAAGCAACCATTTGTCATTATCTAGGGGCAGGACAATTTTTGAAAATCTGAATGAGTATCCATAATAAAATATTTAATTAAACAAATTTCTTAGCGAGAGAAACCAGATGTTATGATTTAAAACGGATAAGAGTAAAGTTATTCTCTGACTAGCATAGACTTTCTTTTGGTTATTCTTGAAAAATGCAATAAAATTACATTTGATGTACAAATAGTTTTGAGAAGATTTAAAATCAGAAATGAAGAATATAAATAACATTAAACTTTTTTACTAATCTGGTTTTCAGTCCAGAGATAGTAGAGGTGTAAGCCGTTCCATGTTAGGTGAAAGTGTTTTCCAGTGTGCTATTTTTCTATTTAATATAAGCTATCCAACACATATTTTTGGATATGGGAGAAGCGGAGTACATAGATAATAATTGTAGTCTTTGTAATCTTTGTTTCTTTTCAAGGGAAAGGTCCACATCACATTCAACAAAAGCTTTCTGCTTAGCCAAAATTTGGTCAGATTTTGGTGGACAAGATTTTCCTGGAGTGGGACTATTAGCACTCAAATTATAGTAATTTATTAGAATTTGATTCTATGAGACACATATGACTGTTTCCCAATGCTACATTTATTTCCATCATCTTGTTATTTGCCAATTATGAATCATTTAAGTTTACAAAACATAAATAGAATTCTGCCTAGAAATAGTTGGATGGCTACATCAAATGGTTCTGTATTTTTAGAATCATTGTGACATGACTTTGGAAGACAATTTTCTTGCCTTACTCTGGGTAACTGGACTAATGCTCACTGAAAGAACAAACCATGATATTTACATAATATAACAATATATTCATTATGCAAAGGGAACTAGTAGAAATGTCAATGGTAAAACTATCTTCTGCTATTTTTCAGTGACATTCAAAATAATGAACTTTGGCTTTTTCTTACAGTACAAACTTTTCACTCTGAATTAGGAGAAATTCAAATTGTTTATTTTTTTCCCTCCAAATATATAGGTAAATAAATATATCATATCTATTTAAGCTATCAATGAAATTTGCAGGAATCTCACTTAAAAGGCCAGGTTTTGGTTATTTTCTTGTTTATCCATTCACATTTGACTTGTTCCCATTTTTCCCTATTATGAATAATGTTACTTTTAATATTAGATTGTGATGATGGTTGTAGAACTCTGTACATTGACTAAGTATCATTGGATTGCACACTTAAAATGGATAAATTTAATGGCATGTAAATAAAAGATCAATGAAGCTTTTCAAAAAATGTCCAGTTTTAACTATAGCTAAATTATACAGCTCTAGCTGAGAACTTACGGGATGTTAAGAAGGCTCTCTTGCCCCCAGAACAGTGTATCTTGCTCATTTAGCTTTATCAGTATCTGACATTTCACCACCAGAGACTTATTATTTGGGTTATGAACTTGACCGTACTTAAAATGCCACTGGGAGGAATAACATATGAAGGCTGATCACTTTGTTGTGGGAGGCACAAATTAATGATTTGTCAATGAATTAAAAATATATAGTTGCGTGTAGTTCAGGAAATACCTTTGCAGGGTGTTGATTGGAATTAAACATAAGATGAAATAAAGTGCTGCTGGGGGGATTTCTCAGAAAGAGAAGATGTAGATTGCCTGTCACTGAGGAGGTCCTGAGAAAGCAGAAAGACAGTAGAAGCCCTGGGAAGGGTGCATTAAGCTTGTGGAGAAAAGATTCAAGAATGATGGTGATAGCTTAATATACAAGTATTTACCAAAGTGCTTATATACAGGTATTACAGTGCTTACATATATAGGTGCTTATTAAAAATATAAAAGTCTCACAATGAAGCACTTGGTGTTGTCAGCCTAGTGGTGGATGGTCAGCACCAAAGAGATGCAAACTGCTTAGAGTAGCATTGTGGTGAAAGCTAGCTCTTGGGTAATCTTAGAAAAAGAGGGTATGGAATGTCTCAATGAAAGAACATCTTGGTTCATTTTAAAGTTTTATGCTGCATGCCTGAATTCCTAAGGCTTTCCTTTGATTGGGGATGGGATTAATACTCCAAAAAAGTAATTATTGTAACTGTGTAATGAATTATGTTCCAAATAATAGTGTTTCTGATCCTATCTGGCAGTGCTTATTGTATTTTTGCTTTGTTTTGTTTTGTTTTTGTTTTGCCAAAATTTCAGCTTAGGCCAATTTTTTACTGATGAAGTTACCTTCTCATGGCTACCTGTTTTGTAATAGACTATTTGCTCGCAGCAGAAAGACAGTGATCTCTAAATACCGAGCTGCAAGCCTGAAGGCACTAGGAAACGGTTTCTCATCTTTTATATTCAATATCTCTGGATTTTGGTGAATAATTCTAAAACATGCATGAGAGATTGTGGTGAGTTTTTAAAAAATCACTTTTATACAAGTTTCCTCATTATTATTTCATTGGAGCTAAATGAGGATAGGGCCAGTCAATGAGTTATTCATCTAATGCAGGGAAGCAATTTCACTCGACTCCCTGGACTCCTGCAGAGTTCCAGAGATTTTTACCAAAATATTTTTGTAGATTTCTATTTTTTTAAGTTAAAAATATGGAAGACCTAAATGAAATGGATAGGTCTCTTTCAAGAGTCAAAAATGAAATTCAGTTTTATCGCTCAGCATGCAACATTTTCCTCTGTGTTTCAAATTATATTGTGAAAGTAGATCTCCATGTCTTTTTAATACAGAAAATTAGTGTTGTACATTGAAAAAGATCATACAGTAGAAGAGTTCAACCTTCTGTTATTATGTTTTAATATTTAAAAAATCGGAGTTCTATTAGTAATACCTTTTGCATTTATTTTATAAAGAAAGCAACATTTAAGCAAATTTTTCTCATTGACTATGCAGGAAGAATATATGCACATAGGAGAAATTATATAACAGCCTTTTTGGTCTCATGAAACTAAATAACTTTTTGCAAAAAAGTCTTTCCAGACAACTCTAAAGGCTAAGTGTGGCTTACGAAAATATTTATACAGGGCCTGATAGGAACCCTATTGGAAACAGTGGCATGCCAGGACGAAGTCTCATAAAGATACCAATTTTCTTTAAAGAAAATTTCCAGTAAAACACAAATCATTGTATTTTATATATAACAAATTAAAAGGTTTTTATCTTTTTGCATTTGATGGTAGATTATATTCAATAAATATATTTATGTCAGTTTGTTGGTGCTAGAACATTTAATCAGTTGTTATGTATCTAGAAGGTGCTTTCAAGTCCACATTACCAAAATCTACCAATAGAAAGACTATTAGACAAGTATGATACCTGTAATTATAATTTTTAAAATGAAACTGACTTTCAATAATTTTGAAAGGCAAAAGCAGTTCAGGTGTCAGTTCAGGAAAATGAAAGGCTAAAGCAGTAGGGTTTTTATATAAATAATTTTACTAATAGCTAACATTATTGAACCTTTGTTATATGGTAGGCACTGTGGTAAATATTTTGTATTTATTTTCACAAGGAATCCTAACATCGACTTTGTGATAGCTAAAACTTTAAGAGGAGCACCTCATTTTTTTAGAGATGGGGCAATAAACAAAGAAGATTCTCCAAAACACACAGTGTGGCAGACACTGAGATTTTTTTTTGCCTACCCAATATTTATTTCTGCCACCAGAACCCCTAGTGCAGTGATGTACACAGCTGCATGTGATGGATCATTATTGGTCTAAACTATGGTCACAAAACTTTCTATAATAGATAAGATAGTAAATATTTTAGGTTTTGTAGGCCAGGAGGTTTATCATGGAGTTACTCACTTTTGCTGATTTAGCATCAAAAAATTCATAGATAAAAAATTTTTTAAAACAATATGTGTGGTTGTGTTCAAATAAAACTTTATTTACAAAAAACAGAGAACAGGCAGCATTTTGCCCATGGGATGTAATTTGCTAACTCCTGGTCTAAAGCAATCATGGCCATCCTGTTTCTCAATTTTTCAGCCTCTTGTGGTGTGATCTTGAGATACTACTCAGATGAATGCAACTTAACTAGACATCTGCTGGGAAGGTGTTTGGACCTATGGCATTGCCTGTCTCCGTTTTCTTATTTTCTGCTTTAAATGCTTTGCTGGAGGAAAAGCTGTCATTTTGTGACCATGAAGCAACAAAGTGGTGTGGTAAGAACAGAATGGAAGATGGAAGAACAAAAAAACAGGGAACTCAATTTACCCCATGTCTGCAGAGTTGAGCAGCTGGACCATTGCCTGCAACTGCCTATTTCTGGACCTATTATTTTAAGAGAAAAATAAGCTATGTTGCCTAAAACATTTTGTATTTTTTGTTTGTTTATTTTTTGAGATGGAGTCTCACTCTGTTGCGCAGGCTGGAGTGCAGTGGTGTGATCTTGGCTCACTGCAACTTCTGCCTTCTGGGTTTAAGCAATTCTCCTTCCTCAGCCTCCCAAATGACTGAGATTACAGGCACGTACCACCATGCCCTGCTAATTTTTTTGTATTTTTAGTAGAGATGGTGTTTCACCATGTTGGCCAGGCTGGTCTTAAACTCCTGACCTCAAGTGATCCACCCACTTCAGCCTCTCAAAGTGCTGGGGATTACAAGCGTAAGCCACCGTGCCTGGCCAACACTTCAGTTTTATTGCTGTAAGTTGCCAAATAAGATAATTCTGATATATTTCTCCAGAAATTTAAATATAAGTGCATAATCTTAAAGGGCTAAATTATTTACCGTAATTTTGAATAATGCCATTTTCGTATTAAAAAATATAATTATCTACATTCAGAGCACATTTGAACCTACAATGTCTAATTTTAGAAATAGTGAATTTATCCTTTAGTATGAATTACTTTTTTATAGACCTCAACATTTTCTGGGAAGTCGTTTAAGTCTCTTTTCTCATGTTTTCCCTTACTAGTGATTCTCAAACTTAAGAAAGTATGGAAAATATTAAAAGCTTGTTATACCTTCAAATCCCTAAATCCCATTGCAAAATTTTCTGATATAGCAGGGTTGTAAATAAGTTTACATTTCAACTAATTACTCCAGGTGAATATAACACAGATCACCTTGAAAAAAACACTGCTCCAGAGTCTAGACTAATTTGACTGGGTAACCAGGGACAGAGTGGTGGTAACTTTTATGAATTGATATGTAACAGAAATCATTTCTATAAGACTGTTCTCTTATTTCCTGCCAACAACCAATTATTTATCTTACAGTACTAGCTAATAAATGAAATTTCTGTTTTGTTGACTGGTAATTTGATTCAGTGGGATGTGTGATTCTGTTTCGTTTTTGGCTGAATAGTATTGAGTGACACCCAGTAGATTAGTCAAAGGACAGCCATGGATAGGTGCAAGCATATGGGTATGTGTTCCTGGCTTTGGTCAGGAAGGCTGTATGGGTGGTACCCAGTACTTTGAAAATATAGGTGCACAATAAGTATTTGTTGAACAAATTGTAGCTTTTGGTGATAAAATTTCCTGAAATACAGATTTTACCAGCATTTGCTTCTAAATTTGTTGTGGTTGTAAGAAGAAAAACATTTAGCATGAATAGCACTCTATGAGATACAGGCATACACTGAGGTGCTCATGAGACACAGGAGCCTTCAAAATTTGACTGGAGCCAGAAGTTCTAGGTTCAAATTTTGGCTCTACCACTGAATGGCCTTGAATAAGTTAATCAACTTCTCTGTATCCCATTTTTTTTTAACCTGTAAAATGAGAATGCTTCTCATTTTCTTCACAGGGCTGTTGTGAGGATTAAATGAATTAATATGTTTAAAACAGTTAAAATAATGTATAATATACTCTTATTACATGGCAACTACCACATTTACCAAAAGTTTGAATTTGAATTCCTTAGATGGAAAAAGTATTGTCTAGTTTGCTTAGTCTCTACAACTCTTTGTTAGTTGCCTTTGTACCTTTCATACATTTATATTAACCGTCCTGCCAGTGAAGACTAACATTTAGGAAATTTGCTCATAACTCCTTATTATGCTGTAATTAATTTTCAAAATATAATGGAAAAAGTTGATTGACCTGCACACAGAAAGGGAGTTAATGGTGGTAAGGAATAAGATAAAATATCCATGATTCAGAGTACAAGTAGCCCATGGATTATTAATTAGCTAAGCCCCACCTGAATTTCAACAGAGGAAGTGTAAGGCCAAAATGTTAACCATGGTTCCAGTTTCTAGAGTCTTATATATTTCCAGTATAACTTTTCAGCTCCTCTCTCTAGCACACAGCAATTAGTTCAATCAAACTGGGCACTTTGCTGTTTCTGACATTGGTATCTTTTCTCATAAATACTCTTCCTACAATGCTCCTTGCTGTCCTCCTCAATGACACTGTCAGAAGAACTCTTCCTCCTCTACTAAAATCTACAGCCTGGACCTGTAGATGTAAGTGTTCCTTACTGCTTCCTGCTATAAAATCACACAGTACACTGACAAGAACGTGGGCTTTCAAGACTGAAAGAACAAAGTTAGTATTATCTCATGTTTGTTGGATGACCTATGAAACTCAGTTTCCTCATGTATAATGGAGAAAATACTACCCACCTCTCAGAGTTGTAGCAAGCTTTGGAGACAATCTGTAGTACTAGGAAGAGGCTGTCTTCCTAGAGACCCTGGTTTTGCTGCGATTCTACAGTCACAGCTCAGGTTGATCAAGGCACTACAAAGGCATGAGTCTGCAAAATGAGATACAGGAGCCTTCAAAATTTGACTTATTCCAGTACTTGCTTTAGTCTTACACTACAGTGTCGGTTTGAGGTATGACACTTATAGATTACATGGGAATCTATAGTTCTCAAAAAAAATGAAATTCAATGAGTTACATTAAATGTATTTCTTAAATGTCCTTCAGAATGACTCCTCTGTGGTCTCCTTCCAAGCAGATGTCTTGGCAGGGCAAGGAGTGTGGCCTGAGCTACAGATGACTTTTAACACATTCCTTTCTATTGTGTCTTTTTCTGTATTGGATCACCCTCAAATGAAGTTACCAGTAGGCAATGGAGGAAGTGAGAAGTCCAAGATATTGTGGTTGCTGAGGGTTTGGCCTTTAATTTCCTGCTCGCCTCACCAGCAAGTGTTATACTTCACATCTGGTCTTAGCTTTATGCGTATATCATGAAGACCAATGCTGGTAACACAATAAGTATGTAGTAGTTACTCCCAATTATGATGTCATTCTTCTCTCCTGAGGAAATGTCTAGCATAATGCCTTGAGTGTAGCAGGGACTTACCATATTTGTTAACCAAATAAAAATCTTGTAAGGGCTTCATTATAAAAGAAGAGACTGATTATGTGAAGGGCAGAAGATACAATTGGAGAGAAGGGAGGGAAACAAGTAGATGGAAAGGCAAATTTCATTGATGTATTATAATTTTGATGCAGAATGTACCTTGACTTTATGTGTTCGGCCTCAAAGAAGCTGAGAACAACGATATTTTATGTTTTCATTTCTTTTCATTTTTCTTTGCAGCCTGAGTTTTTCACATAGTGTTATATTGTAAACATTCGAAAGGCTGGTATAATGTTTATCATTATACCTTTGTTTGCTTCAAAACATTTCAGTGAGCTTGTATTTTCTTCAACCACTTTTCTACTGTAGATACTGTTTTTTCAGGTTTTGTCAATAATAGACAATATCACATTAGTGGAGTTATTTTGAGCTATTTCTTAAGATTAAATATCCAATATTATGCTTACAAATGGTAAAAATTATAATGACTTGTGTATTTTTTGGATATAAGATAATTGTATTGCTGTAGAGAGTTACTGATGTATAAATGCACCATGTCAATACTTTGCACTTGTATAACATGCTTCACGTGGCTGTGTATTCACTGGAAACAATAATAGCACCATGATGAAGGTAGTTCTGGAATCAGCCTATACGGGTGAAAAAAAATCTCATTTTCTCCACTAATGTTTGACTTTGGGCAATTACCTAACCCCTATTAGTGTCCATTTTCTTATCTCTAAAAATGGGAGTAATAATAGTACCTTTCCTTAGCATTTCTGTGACAAGTTAATCATGACAAGTACAAATTTACCTAATTCAATAGAAATACAAATTTCAAATAGACCAACTTAATACAATAGAAATACCAGACTTGATACAATAGAAGTTTGTTTCCCTCATATATAACAGTCTAGACTTAGAAGGGTGCCTGAAATAGGCTGGTGGCTTTGCCCTGTGGAATCATCTAGGAATCCATGTTTCTTCTATATTATTAACCTGCTATTTCAAGGGATTTTGTCCTAGTCTGCCTGGTCAGAGCTTGCCAGTACCATGGAAAGGGTATAGAAGAATGAAGTAAGAGTGGAGGATTGTCAGCTTTCTTTTTGTGGATGGGACTCCAAAGTCAAACACAATATTCATATTCATAGTTGAGAATTTATCTTATTTTGTTAAGCCTAATATGTCATCCATTGTAAGACAAAAACATTATTTTATATTTTTATTACAGTTAAACTATGACTCAATGATTTATTAGTCCTTGTATATTTTATTTTTATTTGTATAAAGAGCTCTTAGATCTACTCATTTTTTTAATTAAAATATTGAGTTTATTTCACATGTATATTTTTGTCTCCCCACAATATCCATGTTTGACCGCCACTACTACTATGTCCTGTCATAACATTCTATACATATTTAAAACAAAGCAAAGGGCAGAGTTCCATCTTTACAAAACTAAACAGGCATTTTTGACAACATATTCTTGGCAATGGAACCTGAAGAACATTTATCAAACACAGTAGGGGAATATAAAGGACAGCCAGATATCAACTGTTAAAGAAATGAAATAAGATGAAAAATTTTGCAAAACTGTTTAAATTATATTCTTAAAGCGACTTCCTCCACTGCCAGAGATCTTGAATAGCCTACTAGTCAGTCATCCAAAAGCAATTATTCACATAATTAATGAACTTGACTTCCACTTTGGGAAAAGAACCATCTTTCTCTATACTTGCATACATTTTTGTCTTCATATCTTTTGTAGACGTAAGTCCTTTGGGCGTTTTAGGAGTTTTTTTTTTTTTTCCTGTTTTTTGAAGGATTCTTGACGTTTTGATCTTGGTGTGTTGACAGTTTCGAATCTTTTCTATTCTGCTTTGATTGTTTTGCATCTTTGGCTGGCACATCTCATGTAGATTTCTTCACTGGAGCTTTTTCTTCAGTTTCCTCATCATCAAAATCATCATCATTTTCATCAGCAGTAAGTTTTACTTTATCCTGTGGAATCTTGCTACCACCTCCAGGGGCAGATTGCCTTCCAGACATGCCTAAGAGTTTCACATCCTCCTCTTTTTCATCTTCCGACTGTGTGTCTTTCTCCCCAGCTACAAAGTGCTGTCTACTAGTATGCACTGGCTCTGAACCATGCTTCAACTCTAAGACCACAGGTGGTGTTATTTCAAAGCCCCAACGGAAACCGTTGGTATACAGACATTTTCAAAGTCACCGGTGCTACTTTAATTGGACTGCCTTCATAATTCATCGCCTCTGCCTCAACAATGTGTAATTCATCCTTTGCACGAGCCCCTAAACTCACCATTCTTAAGGATATCTGGCGCTCATTTTCATCATTATCTACTTCAAAGTGATCATCTTTTTTGACCTTTAGTTCAGAATTGAAAAGATAGTTTAGGGTCTCAAGGGGCTCATGTCTATGTCCATCGAATCTTCCATGGGTGGTGGCACACACATAGGTGGGAGAGAAGGCAGACAGAGATAAAAGACTACTGCTCCAGAAAACAACCGCACAGGATAGAATCACAAGAAGGAACATAGTTTTAAAGATACCATATATCACTTTGGGCACTTATAAACAGAAAAATAAAAAAGCAATAAATTAATTAAGATATTATTAAACCTTATTTACATCTGAATTCAGATTAGTGAATCACTATTTGGTTCAGAATTGTTGATGTCCATGTTAACTCGCACAATATTGTTCTTTGTGCCATGAAGATCATTTGTGATATGGCCTTTCTTGGAAGTGTGCTCCACTATTATCTCTAAGATTTTGCTTCAAGCTAATAACACCCATTTTTTCATGTCAACAGTTTCTTATTTGGTAAAACTCATAAATTCATTTTTCCTGAACTGAATTACATGTCATTGAACACTAAGCAGTTTCTTTTCAAATCAGTAGCAAGTTCATACAAATAAATGATTAATACCTCAGTGACAGTCTGTGCAATGTATACATCTTTCACATAATCTATTAGTAGCTTTTAATTTTCTTCTTTTATTTTTGTGGAATTTAGCAGTGTCTAATGCCCTAGTTGCATTGCTTGGAGTGTAGAATCAACAACCACATACATAACCTAAATTAAATGATGCTGATATTGATAATTATGGCAAGTAGCTTTTTTCAAACTAATAGAAATTTCAGCTGGGCATATATGTGCCCAAAATAAAAACTACATTTTCCAGCTTCCTTTGCAGTTAAGGGTCAGGTGTGAGATTCAATTTTATTTTACTTAGGAGCCAATAAGTTGTCCTGTTTATGGATTCTGGAAAAAGATATGAGGCTCTTGGGTCTCATGCCCTAAGTTTCATGATGGCAAGACAGAGGAGCCTAGATGGATGCTCATATATAGTGGGTTCACATCACATTGAGGAATTTCAAGTATAGCAAATAATAAGCAAGCCTGCTCTTTGTCTCATACCAAGATATTACCTCATCCTTCAGAGTTTCTCACTGTAAGCTCAATCCTAAATAATGGCCAAGTTCAGAGTGCCCAGGGCTTTTAATTCTTGGCATACTCCCAAAGATGTATAGGATCATGCAGGAACCATGGTAGATCATATGCTAGTACTATGTATTATGAAGCTTGCGGACCTGGATGAAAGATTCTCTGGGACAGATATATTTGTAAGAGCAAAACTGATTGGTAATAGAGTATGAGTAAATATCATTTGAAGTCTTCTTTTCTCAGTCCACAAAATGGATGTGTTGCCCCCTCTCTTGTGAGGCTGATTTGATTGTAGTGGTCTAATGCAGGTAATCCACTTGTTCTGGTGACTGACAAAAAGAAGAGATATCTAGTGAATGGTAGATGTAGCTGCTGCTACATCAAGCAAACTGACTTACAGAGTAAGAACTTTAGTATGTGTGTAGTATGTGTGCATCTTCTATAGTACTTAATATTGTAGTATAAAAGTTATCTATGTTCTTCAAAACAAAACAAAACAACAACAACAACAACAAAAACCTCTGCCTTGAAACAATCCAAAGTGGTTTGGCAAAGGAAATAAAAGAAGTCAGTAAGTTTTTAATTTGTTGGGTACTCTGTTACCTTTTAACTAAAATGAAGTTTTGAAATTAATTTTAGATTTTTACCATTTTACTTAAGCATTGAACAAAGACAATGGGAGTTTAATTGCCACATGAAAGATTTAAGCTAAAGAGAAGGCTAAATAAAGAATATATCTATTATTGATCACTTTAAACCAACACTGGGCTAAATGCCTTATGTAACTCATACAAGTCAGTGAGGGCTGCATTGGAAAATAAATCATATTATTTAGAAATCATTTATTGATTATTGTGAATAAACATATACATAGGTTAACATGGATCATCTTTTTTTGAAAGAGAATGATTTGATTTATGTTCCAATTCACTTCTGATTCTATAATTTCTATGTAAGTGCTTATTTTATTTTATTTTTTGTTGTGATTTTTTAAAAATTATTATTATACTTTAAGTTCTAGGGTACATGTGCACAATGTGCAAGTTTGTTACATACATGTGCCATGTTGGTGTGCTGTACCCGTTAACTCATCATTTATATTAGGTATATCTCCTAATGCTATCCCTCCCCCACCCCCCCACCCATTAACAGGCCCTGGTGTGTGATGTTCCCCTTCCTGTGTCCAAGTGTTCTCATTGTTCAGTTCCCACCTATGAATGAGAAAATGCAGTGTTTGGTTTTCTGTCCTTGTGATAGTTTGCTGAGAATGATGGTTTCCAGCTTCATCCATGTCCCTACAAAAGACGTTAACTCATCCTTTTTTATGGCTGCATAGTATTCCATGGTGTATATGTGCCATATTTTCTTAATCCGGTCTATCATTGATGGACATTTGGGTTGGTTCTGAGTCTGCTATTGTGAATAGTGCCTCATTAAACATGTGTGTGCATATGTCTTTACAGCAGCATGATTTATATTCCTTTGGGTATATACCCAGTAATGGGATGGCTGGGTCAAATGGTATTTCTAGTTCTAGATCCCTGAGGAATCACCACACTGTCTTCGACAATGGTTGAACTAATTTACACTCCCACCAACAGTGTAAAAGCATTCCTGTTTCTCTGCATCCTCTCCAGCACCTGTTGTTTCCTGACTCTTTAATGATCGCCATTCTAACTGGTGTGAGATGGTATCTCATTGTGGTTTTGGTTTGCATTTCTCTGATGGCCAGTGATAATGAGCATTTTTTTATGTGTCTGTTGGCTGCATAAATGTCTTCTTTTGAGAAGTGTCTGTTCATAGCCTTCACCCACTTGTTGATGGGATTGTTGGATTTTTTCTTGCAAATTTGTTTAAGTTCTTTGAAGATTCTGGATATTAGCCCTTTGTCAGATGGGTAGATTGTAAAAATTTTCTCCCATTCTGTAGGTTGCCTGTTCACTCTGATGGTAGTTTCTTTTGCTGTGCGGAAGCTCTTTAGTTTAATTAGATCCCATTTGTCAGTTTTGGCTTTTGTTGCCATTGCTTTTGGTGTTTTAGTCATGAAGTCCTTGTCCATGCCTATGTCCTAAATGATATTGCCTAGGTTTTCTTCTAGGGTTTTTATGGTTTTTGGTCCAACATTTAAGTCTTTATTCCATCTTGAATTAATTTTTGTATAAGGTGTAAGGAAGGGATCCAGTTTCAGCTTTCTACATATGGCTAGCCAGTTTTCCCAGCACCATTTATTAAATAGGGAATCCTTTCCCCATTTCTTGTTTTTGTCAGGTTTGTCAAAGATCAGATGTTTGTTGATGTGTAGTATTATTTCTGAGGGCTCTATTCTGTTCCATTGGTCTACATTTCTGTTTTGGTACCAGTACCATGCTGTTTTGGTTACTGTAGCCTTGTAGTATAGTTTGAATCAGGTAGTGTGATGCCTCCAACTTTGTTCTTTTGGCTTAGGATTGTCTTGGCAATGCAGGCTCTTTTTTGGTTCCATAAGAACTTTAAAGTAGTTTTTTCCAATTCTGTGAAGAAAGTCATTGGTAGCTTGATGGGAATGGCATTGAATCTATAAATTACCTTGGGCAGTATGGCCATTTTCACAATATTGATTCTTCCTATCCATGAGCATGGAATGTTCTTCCATTTGTTTGTGTCCTCTTTTATTTCATTGAGCAGTGGTTTGTAGTTCTCCTGGAAGAGTTCCTTCACATCCCTTGTAAGTTGGATTCCTAGGCATTTTATTCTCTTTGAAGCAATTGTGAATGGGAGTTCACTCATGATTTGGCTGTCTGTTTGTCTTTTATTGGTGTATAGGAATGCTTGTGGTTTTTGTACATTGATTTTGTATCCTGAGACTTTGCTGAAGTTGCTTATCAGCTTAAGGAGATTTGGGGTTGAGACGATGGGGTTTTCTAAATATACAGTCATGTCATCTGGAAACAGGGACAATTTGACTTCCTCTTTTCCTAATTGAGTACCTTTTATTTCTTTCTCTTGCCTGATTGCCCTGGCCAGAACTTCCAACACTATGTTGAATAGGAGTGGTGAGAGAGGGCATCCCTGTTTTGTGCCAGTTTTCAAAGGGAATGCTTCCAGTTTTTGCCCATTCAGTATGATATTGGCTGTGGGTTTGTCATAAATAGCTCTTATTATTTTGAGATACGTCCCATCAATACCTAATTTATTGAGAGGTTTTAGCATGAAGGGCTGTTGAATTTTGTCAAAGGCCTTTTCTGCATCTATTGAGATAATCATGTGGTTTTTGTCTTTGGTCTGTTTATATCATGGATTACGTTTATTGATTTGCCTATGTTGAACCAGCCTTGCATCCCAGGGATGAAGCCAACTTGATCGTGGTGGATAAGCTTTTTGATGTGCTGCTGGATTTGGTTTGCCAGTATTTTATTGAGGATTTTTGCATTGATGTTCATCAGGGATATTGGTCTAAAATTCTCTTTTTTTGTTGTGTCTCTGCCAGGCTTTGGTATCCGGATGATGTTGGCCTCATAAAATGAATTAGGGAGGGTTCCCTCTTTTTCTATTGATTGGAATAGTTTCAGAAGGAATGGTACCAGCTCCTCATTGTACATCTGATAGAATTCAGCTGTGAATCCATCTTGTCCTGGACTTTTTTTTGTTGGTAGGCAATTAATTATTGCCTCAATTTCAGAACCTGTTTTTGGTCTATTCAGGGATTCAGCTTCTTCCTGGTTTAGTCTTGGGAGGGTGTATGTGTCCAGGAACGTATCCATTTCTTCTAGATTTTCTAGTTTGTTTGTGCAGAGGTGTTCATAGTATTCTCTGATGGTAGTTTGTATTTCTGTGGGATCGGTGGTGATATCCCCTTTATCATTTTTTATTGCGTCTATTTGATTCTTCTCTCTTTTCTTCTTTATTAGTCATGCTAGCGGTCTATCAATTTTGTTGATCTTTTCAAAAAACCATCTCCTGGATTCATTGATTTTTTGAAAGGTTTTTGGTGTCTCTATCTCCTTCAGTTCTGCTCTGATCTCAGTTATTTATTGCCTTCTGCTAGCTTTTGAATGTGTTTGCTCTGGATTCTCTAGTCCTTTTAATTGTGAAGTTAGGGTGTCAATTTTAGATCTTTCCTGCTTTCTCTTGTGGGCATTTAGTGCTATAAATTTCCCTCTGCACAATGCTTTAAATGTGTCCCAGAGAATCTGGTATGTTGTGTCTTTGTTGTCATTGGTTTCAAAGAACATCTTTATTTCTGCCTTCATTTCATTATATCCCCAGTAGTCATTCAGGAGCAGGTTGTTCAGTTTCCATGTAGTTGACAGGTTTTAAGTGAGTTTCTTAATCTTGAGTTTTAGTTTGATTGCACTGTGGTCTGAGAGACAGTTTGTTATAATTTCTGTTCTTTTACATTTGCTGAGGAGTGCTTTACTTCCAACTTTGTGGTCAATTTTGGAATAAGTGTGATGTGGTGCTGAGAAGAATGTATATTCTGTTGATTTGGGGTGGAGAGTTCTGTAGATGTCTATTAGGTTGGCTTGGTGCAGAGCTGAGTTCAATTCCTGGATATCCTTGTTAACTTTGTATCTTGTTGATCTGTCTAATGTTGACAGTGGGGTGTTAAAGTCTCCCATTATTTTTCTGTGGGAGTCCAAGTCTCTTTGTAGGTCCCTAGGGACTTGCTTTATGAATCTGGGTGCTCCTGTATTGGGTGCATATATATTTAGGGTAGTTAGCTCTTCTTTCTGAATTGATCCCTTTACCATTATGTAATGGCCTTCCTTGTCTCTTTTGATCTTTGTTGGTTTAAAGTCTGTCTTATCAGAGACTAGGATTGCAACCCCTGCTTTTTTTTGTTTTTCATTTTCTTGGTAGATCTTCCTCCAGCTCTTTATTTTGAGTGTATGTGTGTCTCTGTACATGAGATGGGTCTCCTGAATACAGCACACTTATGGATCTTGACTCTTTATCCAATTTGCCAGTCTGTGTCTCTTAATTGGAGCATTTAGCCCATTTACATTTAAGGTTAATATTGTTAAGTGTGAATTTGACCCTGTCCTTATGATGTTAGCTGGTTATTTTGCTAGTTAGTTGATACAGTTTCTTCCTAGCATTGATGGTCTTTACAATTTGGCATGTTTTTGCAGTGGCTGGTACTGGTTGTTCCTTTCCATGTTTAGTGCTTCCTTCAGGAGCTCTTTTAGGGCAGGCCTGGTGGTGACAAAATCTCTCAGCATTTGCTTGTCTGTAAAGGATTTTATTTCTCCTTCACTTATGAAGCTTAGTTTGGCAGGATATAAAATTCTGGGTGGAAAATTCTTTTCTTTAAGAATGTTGAATATTGGCCCCCACTCTCTTCTGGATTGTAGACTTTCTGCTGAGAGATCCACTGTTAATCTGATGGGCTTCCCTTTGTGAGTAACCCAACCTTTCTCTCTGTTTTCTCTTAACATTTTTTCCTTCATTTCAGTGTTGGTGAATATGACAATTATGTGTCTTGGAGTTGCTCTTCATGAGGAGCATCTTTGTGGCGTTCTCTGTATTTCCTGAATTTGAATGTTGGCCTGCCTCACTAGGTTGGGGAAGTTCTCCTGGATAGTATTGTGAAGGCATTTTCCAACTTGGTTGCATTCTCCCCATCACTTTCAGGTACACCAATCAGATGTACATTCGGTCTTTTCACATAGTCCCATATTTCTTGGAGGCTTTGTTCATTTCTTTTTATTCTTTTTTCTCTAAACTTCTCTTCTCGCTTCATTTCATTCATTTGATCTTCCATCACTGATAACCTTTTTTCCAGTTGATTGAATCGGCTACTGAAGCTTGTGCATATGTCACGTAGTTCTCGTGCCATGGTTTTCAGCTCCATCAGGTCATTTAAGGACTTTTCTACATTGGTTATTCTAGTTAGCCATTCTTCTAATCTTTTTTCAAGGTTTTTAGGTTTCTTTGCAATGGGTTTGAACTTCCTCCTGTAGCTCAGAGAAGTTTGTTATTACCAATTGTCTGAAGCCTTCTTCTCTCAACTCGTCAAAGTCATTCTCCATCAAGCTTTGTTCCACTGCTGGCGAGGGGCTACATTCCTTTGGAGGAGAAGAGACACTCTGATTTTTAGAATTTTCAGCTTTTCTGCTCAGGTTTCTCCCCATCTTTGTGGTTTTATCTACCTTTGGTCTTTGATGATGGTGACGTACAGATGGGGTTTTGGTATGGATGTCCTTTCTGTTTGTTAGTTTTCCTTCTAACAATCAGAACCCTCAGCTGCACGTCTGTTGGAGTTTGTTGGAGGTCCACTGCAGACCCTGTTTTCCTGGGCATCACCAGTGGAGGCTGCAGAACAGCAAATATTGCAGAACGGCAAAGGTTGCTGCCTGATCCTTCCTCTGGAAGCTTCGACTCAGAGGGGCACCCGGCTATATAAGTTGTCAGTTGGCCTCTACTGGGAGGTGTTTCCCAGTTAGGCTACTCAGGGGTCAGGGGCCCACCTGAGGAGGCAGTCTGTCCGTTCTCAGATCTCAAACTCCGTGCTGGGAGAACCACTACTCTCTTCAAAGCTGTCAGACAGGGACATTTAAGTCTGCAGAAGTTTCGGCTGCCTTTTGTTCAGCTATGCCCTGCCCCTCAGAGGTGGAGTCTACAGAGACAGGCTGGCCTTCTTGAGATGTGGTGGGCTCCACCCAGTTCAAGCTTCCTGGCTGCTTTGTTTACCTACTCAAGCCTCAGCAATGGTGGACGCCCCTCCCCGTGCCTCGCTGCCATCTTGCAGTTTGACCTCAGACTGCTGTGCTAGCAGTAAGCAAGGCACCTTGGTTGTGGGACTCTCTGAGCCAGACATGGGATATAATCTCCTGGTGTGCCTTTTGCTAAGACTGTTGGAAAAGCACAGTATTAGGGTGGGAGTGTCCTGATTTTCTAGGTACTATCTGTCACAGCTTCCCTTTGCTAGGAAAGAGAATTCCCTGACCCCTTGCACTTCCTGGGTGAGGTGATGCCACGCCCTGCCCCATGGGCTGCACCCACTGTCTGACAAGCCCCAGTGAGATGAACCCGGTACCTCAGTTGGAATGCAGAAATCACCCATCTTCTGCATCGCTCATGCTGGGAGCTGCAGACTGAAGCTGTTTCTATTTGGCCATCTTGGAACCTCCCTCCAAAGTGCTTTTAAAGGTGTAAAAGGAACATTCTGCAACAGTCTTTCTTCAGAAATGGTCTAATCTAGGCCTTTTGTCCAGCACTCATAAAGTACTTGAGGACTCATTTCTTGATGTTCAAAATATTGTTAGATAAGAATGTGGGATGATGATGATGATTATTATTTTTGAGACTGAGTCTCGCTCTGTCACCAGGCTGGAGTGCAGTGGCACGATCTTGGCTCACTGCAACATCCACCTCCTGGGTTCAAGTGATTTTCCTGCCTCAGCCACCCACGTAGCTGGGATTACAAGCACGCACCACCATGCCCAGTTAATTTTTGTATTTTTAGTAGAGACGGGGTTTTACCATGTTCACCATGTTGGCCATCCTGACCTCGTGATTCATCTGCTTTGGCCTCCCAGAGTTCTGGGATTACAGGCGTGAGCCCCCACGCCCAGCCAGGAATGTGGGATTTAACAAGATGTAATTCTTGCTCTCAAGGAACCCACAGACTAAAGAAAAATAGGAATGCAAATATTCCTTACAATACCATTTGATAACTTTTCAAATAGAGCCTTGCAAACAAGAAAAAAATCCTAACTTTACCTGAGGAGTCAGAGATACTCTTGTCTCAAAAAGGAGGAGAATAAGCTGAATTGAGAAGTTCAGCAGGTGAATTACCAATTGAACGTGTGGTAAGGAAGAAAAGATAGAGCTAATAGGATGTGCAAATAAAAGAAAAGGTTTGTTTGCTTCAGAAACTCTATATGAGCTAGCATGACTAGGACAACACGTTGAATATGAGGTAAAAATAAGGCTGGATGATATAGATGGGATGTAGGTAATGATGAGCTTGGCCTTTTACTATTCTGTTGGTCAGAGTTTCTGAAAGTTGTGTGCATATGATTCACTTGGACAACTTATTTAAACGTATATTTTGATTGATTTCTTTCTGGAGTGAGGCCTGAAATTCAACCTTTCTAATAGGCTTCTACACATGCCACTGGCCCCCAAACCTCAATTTGAGTAGCCAAGACTTAGGAGATGTGTATGTAGTAAAGATTCTGAAATAAGGTAGAAACTCAATTAGGTTTGTACTTTAGAGAGACAGTTCATTAGATGTAGGGTAGAATGCAAATAGATTTGAGAGCTGTCACTGAGATGCTTTATTCCAATGGAAGCTTATTTATTAATATCTGCATGAAGAAATTTGGTAGCAATATAGAGAATAGCAAAAATAAATTTCACAAAGACAAACTATTTCAACAAATGATTTCTGATCATTAATATATCATAATTTAAACAATTAGAAGTTTGTTTCTAATATTTTTGACATCTCAAAGACATAGTTAAAAATAGAGAGGCACAAAATTATTATCTTTCTTACTCTACTCTGACTCTCTGTCACCCAGGCTGGAGTGCAACAGCACGATCTCAGCTCACTGCAACCTCCTCCTTCCAGATTTAAGCAATTCTCCTACCCAGCCTCCTGAGTAGCTGGGCAGGCACACGCTGCCACAGCCGGCTAATTTTTTGTATTTTAGTAGAGATGGGGTTTCACCATGTTGCCCAGGCTGGTCTTGATCTCTTAAGCTCAGGCAATCCTCTCACCCTAGCCTCCCAAAGTGCTAGGATTACAGGCCTGAGCCACCGCACCCAGCCACCTCACTATTCTTTTTAATGGTAGCCTCAGAGTTGGCCAAGCAACATCAAAATAGTGCTATGTGAACATGTATTTGAAAAAAGTGAGCCAGCTCCTAATATCAAGAAGTAAACAGTAAGAGGAGAATTTTTTTAAATTATTGTACTTTAAGTTCTGGGATACCTGTACAGAACGTGCAGGTTTATTACATAGGTATACACGTGCCATGGTGGTTTGCTGCACCAATCAATCTGTCATCTACATTAGGTATTTCTCAAGAAATTCCTAAAATGTGATCATTCCTATGAAGTTGATATTATTATAGTATTTGTAATTTTATAGTTCTTACTACAGCTTTAAAAAATTCTCCTCTTTTAAGGCTATAGTAGAACCATAAAATTACAAATACTATAATAATGTCAACTTCATAGACATGATCACATTTTAGGAATCAGCATCCCTAAGAGCATCTGGTTAACTCTGAAACAAACATGCAGTGATTACAAATTGCAAGTGTATCACCTAGAAAAGGGTCAGACATAAAACTCTGTGGAAGAATGTGTATAGTTAGGAGTTGTGCAGTTTTGGTAATCCATTCACACTTGGTTGGATAGTTATTCATGGCAACTATCTCTCTAGAAAGGTAGATAACCTTCTTAAGACATCAGATAGGTCAGTGGTTCTGAACAGCTGGTTGAATGTTGGACTTATAAGGGGGAACATTTAAAAAACACACCAATGTCCAAAGCTCTATCTCCCAGAGACTCTGATTTAATTAGTTTGGGATGGAGCCACAGCACTGAAAATTTTAAAGTAATTTTAGTGAAGTATAATGTACATTTAGAAAGTGCACATAAGCATGCAGTTAGGTAAATTATAATTAATTAAAATATCCATTAAAGAACACTCAAATAAAAAACAATAATATTTCAAGTCCCCATCATAGCAGCCAGTATTGACAGCCCCTGATGTTATGGATGATTCTATAATACTGTAGGACCTAAAAGAAAGGAGACATCCTTTCAGAGTAGTGGAAAGATGAAGAGAAAACTTTTGCTTTTCTATGGAGGATGTGACATCTAAGGTTGGAGTTGAAAGATGGCAGAATTTGGAGATGTAGTTTTTGAGAAGTTTACAAGTAGTTAGATTTATATAAGTGATGAAAGATTGGTGGGAAATGAATGTGATGTTTGGGGAACATGGGGTAGTTCAGGTTACTTGCACAGGAGAATGTGAGAGGTGGAGTAGAGCAAAGCTAGGGTAGAAAGCTGAATATTTTCAAGGTTTTTAATATTTTAAGAGCCCAAGTTAATAGGGTAAAGAACATCACACATGACATAGCATTAAATTGTTTTATTTATGGAACAAAGGTAAACTTCATCCTTGTTTTTTTATGATTTTAGGCATTTGCCTTTCATAAATCTGTATTTAACAAACAAAGAAAAAAGTGGAATTAATACAAAACATACATATGGACTGTCACATTCACTTGATAATATTTTTCATGTTTATAAATTCATTTACTCATTCTGAATAATTTACATCAAGTAATTTTCAAAAAAAATTTAAACCTAATTTTACTTCTCTTCTTTTTGAAAAAGATTCTCCAATACTTATACTATGTGCAATATTTTTAGATCTTCCAATACCATAAGAAGGAAGTATAAATCATTATTCCAAGGAAAGATAATCTTTTATTTCAGGTGTATATGTACTCTGAATACAAAATTCATCATAATATCAATAATTAGCCCTGTCACTTAAAAATGATAATTATCTCATTTACATGTCTATGACTTTTAAAATGCATCATACTACTTCCATAAATAAATTACATTCTGTATTATATCAGTTTCTTTTCAAGAAAATGAAGTTAAATCTTTGTAGTAACCAGCAGCTTAATTTTCATAAGGCCAGCTATTTGTTAATTAGTCATGCACCATAAATCAAACCCCAAGTCTTCTAGTTTCTTAATTGAAAATTATTGCTTCTTGGCTCTCTGGTTAAAAGTGCAGCAAGTGTGAGTGTGATCGATGTGGAATCCAGCACAAACAGTTTAAGAGAGTCAGAACTTGATAGATCATTGCCCTGAAGGGACTTGTAATGGTGGATAGGCAGAAATCTCCAAATTAAAGATTTGCTTTTAAAATTGCAAGTGTAAAAATAGCTCTGGTATACCCAATCCATCTTGACATTTTGACCACTTTTCTTTTCTTTTTTTCTTCTTTTTCTTTTAATGTCAGTTAGAATCTATTCGTTTGTACCAGTTACTATGGAGATAATATTAAATTATTGTAAAGTCCAACTTTTTGAGGGAATAAAATATGAAAATATTCCTTACCAATGCCATGAACAAATATTGAATTTGTTGATATTTTAAAGCAATTTGAAAACATTGACTAAAAACACTCTACTCATTTGACAGCTAATCTGAGAGAACAGATGGCTACCCAAGTATTGCCCCCAGTCATAAAATCATTTCAAATATGATACTGTTGAGGCTAAGTAAAAGACTTTGCAAGTAATAAGGAAAATATTGCTTCATTGAATGGCTGCAGCTTGTTGCCATTTTTCTTCTGACAATCTAGGAGGATTTGCAGAGAACTTTGGTCATGTTTGTAGTTCTTTAGTTAAGAACAGCCACAGGGTTTTCCAGCATTCATTTCTTGTTTCCTAGTGGCCTGACAGCCAGGACCTGATGAGGGACGCAGCAGGGAGTACTGGGAAATGCCCCATAAATTTCAATGTGTGAAGTAAAAGATCTAAAAAAAATCTGGGCACAAGAACCAAGGTTGGAATTTGAAAATCACCTGGACAAATGTACCCTGAAATAAATATAGCATTTTACGAATTCCAAGTGTAAAGTGAAGTGGGTGGTTAAAGGTGGGTCCCTTGCCAATAGTTAATAAAGGCTAATGTTGATGTTATTTAATCCAGAATAATCGCGGTACCATTATGTGCCATAGTTACATTAAACCTTCTAGACGGCACATTGAAATAATTTTGATGGCTTTATGAAACAAACATAAAGCTTCCTGATGAATTATAGTTTGAACTGAAATAGTAATCAGCTAGAATGCTTGTGGAGATATGATACCTAGACATGAATTATATCTTAGAATGTAAGAAATCTTATTACGTCTTAAAGAAAATTCCAAAATAATTAAATGTGATAGATAACTGTCTTTAAGTCTTAAACAAATTGTTAAGACTTTCTATACATGTTATCTCATCTATAAAATAATGGAGTTATGATCACTGAAATCCCATATTCTTTCTTATGCTAACATACTGTGATTTTGAGGAAATTTGTATATAAAGCTAAACTTCTCATTCTTGATTATATTGGGTTTTAGCGTAGGAGAATAATTAAGATTCGTATTCATTTACAAAGGGTGTGTGTGTGTTTGTGTATACATGTTAGAATATGCATAGACAGTCTCACAAATTAGCTGTATGCAGGCCTGATTCTATCAGCAGATGTCTTTTTCCTGGCTACATATTGTTTTACAAAATCTTGATTGTTTCCAACATTTCAAAATCCAGAAGTGTCACATAGAAATCTGGATTTCTGACTTGTCTTTAGAAACAAAAAATAAAGAAATACTTTTTTTTTCTGCAAAAATATAGTCACCTAGAACCAAATAGCAATTTCTTTCTCCATATATTATAGTCTTCCCTTTCTTAGCTTTCTTGTCTATCCTAAGCCTGGTGTCAGTTACTATTTATTAGTATTCTTGTCCTGTTACACACTTTGTTCTACATAGACTCTTCATTACATTTTTCTTATCTAGCAATAAGGTAAGCCCCCGAGTGCTTATCTGCTTTTCTCTCTCATCTTCCCCAGCCAGCCACAGCCACTAAAAACGGATGCATTTGAGGCTCTAGGATTTTCTTACCTGTCTGTTTTTTTCACTCTATCAGTGCTGCCAACCCTTTTGAAATTTGGACAAAACTCTGAGGATCCAGAAAGGCATTAGGAATTGTGTCCACTGAATTATGTCCTGAATCTGATTATTATTCTTTGCATCCCTTGTTTGTTGGATCAATAGCAAACTAAAATGAAAACAACCTTTGTGGTATTTGAGTCATGGTTCAAGTCAATCTTTGGACATAGACCAGCCATTGTATAATGGTCCAACTCACCTAGTTGGCTAGTGTTGTAGATACTATCTTGAGTGTTAGAGGTGCAGATACATTTCTCCAGATCTCCATGCTTCTTTCTAAAAACAACTCTCCAACCCTAGCAGTCTGAGAAGAATTAGTTCTGATTTTCCAACTAACTCTCTCTTGAGCACTGACCACAAAGGCTGACTTGACTAGGCCAATCAGATTTATTCTCTGAGAAATCGAAATTGAGACATGGAGACTAAGTCATTTAGTTGTCTGGAACCAAAGTAGATGATCCTGTAGATGCAAGGCTGATGCTGTCATTTTGGGGAGAGTTATTCATGAGAAACCAGAATCAGTGGTTTAGAGAAAGACAATTCAGTCACATTGTGGCTCAGTGAATCTTTGACATCTTTCCAGTAACTGTGGCCTAGGAGATTTTCTGTGATCAACTTTCATTTGATTTGCAAACAAATAATTTCTAACTAGATACATACACTGAGATTTTCCTAGATAAATTACTGTAAGATAATCTTTAGATCAGAAAGTATGCTTCTTTTAATGCTCTTCGGATGTATTTTCAAATTGTCCTTTGGAAATGTTGAACTAATTTTTACTTCTGTAAGAAGGTATAGGACAACAACCATTTGTCCATACTGAAAACATCCTTTTGGGGAAAGTCGGTATGGAGTTATTATACTATTAGTTATGACATTAATTGTACGCCAAATTTTCCTGGTGATAAATAATTTAATATATTCACTGATTGTGAAGATTTCTTTACCCCAATATTTTTTGGTGATGAACATTATTATGAACACTCCAAAAACTTGTGGGGCCTTCTTGCATATTTTTATTAAAATATGATATAGGTACATTCAATTAAACATGTCAGATTAGAAACATATATTTTATCATCATTCTATCCTTAACTGCAATGGCAGACATGTAAAACTTATAAATAAGTCCATAAGACAAAGAGTGTAAAAGAAAATATAACAGAGGATACCAGTAGGTTTATAGGAGGTGAAAAACAGATGAAATGACAATAACTGACTCAGCAAAGTAGAAGGATTGGAAACCTACATGTTTGCAGAGGATGATAATGATGAGAAGCACAGCAGCCTGCCCTGCAGAACCTTGGTAAGGATTAGAATTTGGAGG
This sequence comes from Homo sapiens, assembly GCF_000001405.40. Taxonomy (NCBI): domain Eukaryota; kingdom Metazoa; phylum Chordata; class Mammalia; order Primates; family Hominidae; genus Homo; species Homo sapiens. Next base: position 147,606,863 of record NC_000003.12, read on the forward strand.
CTCCAGATACAACAAAAAAGGAGATGAGACTTGGGATGCCAGGCACAGGCAGCATGGGAGTAAGAAAGATAAGTGAAATGGTGACATCTCCAGACGAATTACCTCACTTGGGGCTACCAGATTCTTAACAGCTGGGTTGATATTCACCATCAAAGAGACTGACTACAACAGAGACACTCCACTCAAGCGTGCATCTAGTTAAAGATGCTTGTGCTTCCTTCCTACAACGAAAAGGTGGTTTCACTCATATCTTTAAGCTCTTTTCACTAAAGCAGAGCCTCTAACCAACTTGTTGGTGACTTACTCTTGAATATGAAAGAAGTGGTAAGAATCTCCAGACATGTTAGAAGAGGCTGAAAATGTAACACACAGAGACCAAAATAAACAAATAAAAAGTAAACTACAATGAGAGGCAATTCAGGAAACAGAAGAAAACAAAAACTAATTGATATGATTAGAGACACAAAATTATTACTTTAATGAAACAAGAACAGGATGTTATTTAAAAAAAATCATGGAATGAAAAAGGGCTATTCAGAATAAAAAGTAAATATATAAATAGAAGCGTTGAAAGGTTAAATGGGGAAAATATTTGGAAAAGTAGTATAAACAGAAAAAAAAAATTAACACTAGGAAGTAAAAGAAAATTAGACTTTCCAAAAAGTCCAACATCAAGAAGAATAGAAATATAATATAGGTACATTCAATTAAACATGGCAGACTAGAAACATATATTTAATCACCATTCTATCCTTAACTGCAATGGCAGACATGTAAAACTTATAAGTCCATAAGACAAAGAGTACAAAAAAAAAAAGGAAAGAGAAAACAGAGATATGATACAAGAAAATACCCTAGAACTGAAGGACATGGGTCAACAGATTGGAAAGTTCTACCAAGAACTTAGCACGTAAAATGTGATGAAAACAATTTCAACCTAAAAATCTATCTGCAGCCAAATTCTGGCCAAGTTAGAATAAAGACTTTTTCGCACATATAAGACTTCAGCAAATTATCTTCCAGACACTTATTCTCAATCAAGTACTGCTGTTCACTAGAAGAGAGGGAGTTAATCAAGGAAGAGAAAGACATGGGCTCCCTCATGGGAGAGAGACAAAGGAAAGTTCCAAAATAACAGCTCTGCAATAGGCCTGGAGAGCAATCAGATAAGGTTTCACAAGAAATCAGAGGACCCAAAGAGGAGGATTTCTGGGAGAAAATAATTTTGACTCAATTTGATTAACTTTGACATGTAGAAAATGGTATTGAGATGTGTATAATAATTGTGTTTGAAATTTTAGGAAGAATTAACTATAGGTAAACATTACAAAAAGAAAAATAATTTTAAACAGGCAACTATTGACTTTATGAAACATAACACGTAAAGCAAGTAAGAAAAAAGAATAGCTTGTTTGACTATCATTGGACTCAGCAAGGAACAATATGTATATAACTCACAACATGTAAATCTTAAGAAGTATGTAATTACAAAAGAGGGGATATAGAAGGTGTTTATATAAGATGATGCCATAACACAGTCAATACACAAATTATAAAATTGATAGATCATGAAATGTAAGTCTAAGGCATATATTTAGAAACATGGAAGCAAATAGATGTGTAAAGGAAGTCGTTGTTCTTGGAAAAAAGAATTTAGTAGGTTAGGAGATATGGAAAGTAGAAGTCTTTTTCTTGATATTGTTTTAAGACTGTGCCAGGCCAGGCACAGTGGCTTAGGCCTGTAATCCCAGCATTTTGGGGGACCGAGGCAGGCGAATCACCTGAGGTCAGGAGGTCGAGACCAGCCTGGCCAACATGGTGAAACCTTGTCTCTACTAAAACTACAAAAATTAGCCAAGCATACTGGCGGGAGCCTGTAATCCCAGCTACTCGGGAGGCGGAGGCAGGAAATCGCTTGAGCCTGGGAGGCAGAGGTTGCAGTGAGCCGAGACTGCACCACTGCACTCCAGCCTGGGTGACAAGAGCAAGACTCCGTCAAAAAAAAAAAAAAAAAAAAAGAACAAAAAAAGGACTTGCAAAACTGAATGCATTGATGATGAGACAAAAAAAGCATTTAAAAAAATCGGTAAAAATTCAAACAGAACAAAATTTCTATTCCACGAATAGTCTAAATAATCTCAAACATATAAATGTATGGATATATCTCTATTTTTCTTACATGGGTAGTAGTAAACTGTTCACTGTCTTCCAAAATTTTAAAAATATTTATCAATATATTTTATAGATTGTTTTCTATCTCCTTTCTATCTATAGTGATCTACTTTCTCTTTACAGTCTGCTCAGTATTCCATTTTATGAATAAACTGTGATTTATTTGATGGTAGAAGCCCTCCTCTTATTTTTATTTTTATTTATTTATTTTTTTGAGATGGTGTTTTGCTCTTGTTGCCCAGCTGGAGTGTAATGGCGGGATGTTGGCTCACGGCAACCTCCGCCTCCCAGGTCCAAGAGATTCTCCTGCCTCAGCCTCCCGAGTAGCTGGGATTACAGGCATGCGCCACCATGTCAGGCTAATTTTGTATTTTTAGTAGAGACGGGGGTTTCTCCATGTTGGTCAGGCTGGTCTTGAACTCTGGACCTCAGATGATCCACCCGCCTGGGCCTCCCAAAGTGCTGGGATTACAGGCGTGAGCCACTGCACCGGGCCGAAGCCCTTCTCTTTTTTTTTTTTTTTTTTTTTTTTTTTTGAGACGGAGTCTCGCTCTGTTGCCCAGGCTGAAGTGCAGTGGCGCGATCTCGGCTCCCTGCAAGCTCCGCCTCCCGGGTTCACGTTATTCTCCTGCCTCAGCCTCCTGAGTAGCTGGGATTACAGGCGCCTGCCACCACGCCAGGCTAATTTTTTGTATTTTTAGTAGAGACGGGGTTTCACCGTGTTAGCCAGGATGGTCTCGACTTCCTGACCTCGTGATCCGCCCGCCTGGGCCTCCCAAAGTGCTGGGATTACAGGCGTGAGCCACCGCACCCGGCCCACCCTCCTCTTAAAACGTACAATTCCTTATGTAGTCAGCCTATATGTAATTTGTGTACAAATTAATTTTGCATAGAATAAAATACCAATACCCCAAAAGGCATAAACTATCTTGGAGGGCTAATGAGATATATATAAAAATACTTAATTTCAATTGTAAATGCTGATTAAAAATAAATTTTAACTGAATATTCACATATTTTATTTTTGGGTAAATTCATGTTTCTGCAAAATGGGTTTTCATAAAATAATACATCATTTAACATTAATACTTACTAATGTTAACAAGTATCTGTCGTGTGTTTAATAAATATGTAAAGCTCTAAGGGTGTCATGAGGGAATCATGGAACATTCACTTCTGAGTATAGTTAAATTAATTAAGAGGCCCCTCTAGTTTGAAAAATGTAATAATTAGTATTTTAAAAATATTTGTACTGAATATATATATGTATTCAAAGAGAAAATTAACAACTTTAAAAAATACATATTTAAAATAGCTCACTGTAGTCATCTAGTAGGAAAATACATCTTTATACAAACAGCAAGGAGTGATGGTTATATTACCATCTATTTTTCTTTTCTTCTTCCCTTTTTAATTATTCTCTCTCTCAGAATAAAGTCAAAATACTATCAAACATTTTTTTAAAATAAAATTATCTTGGTTACTAGCGATAGGCAAGTACAAGTTTCTGACCGTAAGTACACTCTTTCACAGTAATCTTTAAATTGGAAGAGTGTAGGGCATTTCAAATGGGCTAATGAAGATTTGAACACATAGGAGACAATAAAACCCATATGATTACCAAGTCTAGAACAGATGATGAAAAGAAAACATGATATTTGAACTTACAAATGGGAACATAGCTTAAATGAAGTGAGAGAAATTTTCACACACGGAAAACATTAATTGAGTGTCTGTAAACTAAATTTAATTCAATTCAACAAAATTTACTGAATATTGATTATGTGTTCTGGACCTTTATATGGTGCTAAAAACACAAAGTTATGATCTTTAATTTAATATTGTATAACAAAGTTATACAATAACACTTAATTATAAAAGTATGTATAAAGTGAAATGGAAACATAAATGGGGGTCTATGCTTATGAGAATTCGGGAATGTAAATACAATGTGTTAGAACTGCCCAATGCGTGCGTGTGTGCGTGCGTGCACACACACACACACACAAAGGTAGCTTCGGTGGGACTAAGATATTTATTACGGAAAAAAGAATACTAATTGTTTTGAAATAATTTTATCTTTATATATCTTTATCTTTATATATCTATTTCTGAATCCATACCTGTATCTTCAACTTTATATTCATGTTCAATTTTTTCATGCCAATTTAATATGTTCTTTATATACAATAACCTACAAAACTGATACTATTCTTTTTTTCAGTTTACTACATAAGAAATTGAAGCATAGTAAAGAAAACTTGGCCAAGGTCACACTTAATGAGTGACGAAATTCTATCATTTTTCAAACATGCTCTAGAACAACACTGTCCCATAGAATTTTCTGCAGCGGTAGGAATGTTTTCTACCTGAGCAGTTTAATTCTATAGCAACTGGCCACATATGACTATTAAGCACTTGAAATATAGCTAGTGCACCTGAGGAACTAAATTTTGAATTTTACCTAATTTTAATGCATTCAAATTTAAATAGCCAACTCCAGAACATATAGAAGCAGACAGTGGAGATGTAGGAGGAAGGAGGAAGAACTGAAGGAGTAAAGTTTTTTAGAAAGTGGAAATAATAAGGCCTTACCCCACGTGGAAGAATTGGACTTCACTAGGATAAAATGCAGCTTTTCTGATGTTAGAGGAGGAAATAGGAGAAGAAGGAGATACATAGAGTAGGTCAGTGGATGAGTAAGGAATGAGAGCATTGTGGTGACAATGAAATGTGAGACAAAGGTGACAGTGAGGGACAGAGCCACAAACAGATATTTCAGGAAGGGCTATAGTGGTTGATTCTATTTCTTATACATACGTAAAGACACAATGAACGAATATATCAAAACAACAACGGTTATCTGACTGGGGAGTCCGGGGAACTGGATAAGTGGAGAGAGGGTTAAGAGGAACAGTTTTCACTTGTTCACATTTTTATTCTTTATTTTGGTTTTCCAACACATGATAATGTATTACTTGTTCAAAAAATTAAGTTAAAGAATTAAAAATATTAGATGAGAAGACTTAGAAATGTTTTTACTAAATAATGATAAACAGGATTGCTGGGAAGTATTGAGGACCCTGCAGAAATCTCAGTTTTATAAGAAACAGTAACAACATTTGTTGTATTTTTTAAAAATTATTTTCCAGTGCATATTATTACAGAAAATGTCAATTTCATACAAACAACGACAACAAAACAGTTTTATCTGATGAGATTTTTGACAAAGTAATACAGTTGAATATATATGTATTATATATTATATATGTATTATATATAATATATATGTATTATATATTATATATGTATTATATATATTATATATGTATTATATATAATATATATGTATTATATATAATACATATGTAATATATATTATATATATGTATAAATGTATAGATTCATACCTGTTGGGTCATTGAGAGGGCATTGATGGAAGTGGGAATAGGATAGTGATTGTGAATGGGTCTGGAAACTTTAAACTCTGAATAGGGTATAGATCTTTTGAAATTAGTTTAAAATAGTTTGGACCTAATAACTAGGTGCTGCTGATAACTAAATACATGGTAGAGATATTCCATGGTATCCTTTCTATAAGTAGACATTGCCTAAATCTCAAGCTTGTTGGATAATGATATTGTACTAACAAGGAACTTTATATCATAAAAAATATGAGATAAAATGTTAAATGCAGGTTTTCTTTCACGTTCTTCTTCCTTTCTGATGGCTGAAGAATTTTGTTCTCTAGTTTCCTGAATTATCTTTCCTTTACTCGTTTTGTTTTTTTAACACCAAGTACTCTATTATTCTATGGCGATATAGCCGTGGTGGGCTTCCTGATACTTGAACTGGGGCCTGGGAATCACACTGCTTTAACATTAAGGCAGCAAAAAAGGAAAGGAAAAAATGGATTCTGCTTAGATTTGTACACATTCTGATCCCATTTTCAATAGAATGAGGACAATGGGCATCACTTTGCCTTCTCTTAGCTATTTAGTTTATCATCCATCCTTGTTTTTTTCTTCTAGCTTTCTGTGGAACTAAAACACACTGTCAGGCCTTTTGCTATGAGTGTGAAATGCACAGCAATATAAAAAAGAAAATAAGTGCAAAAAGAATATAGCAAATTAAATGCCTCTGTGATCTCAATTCTATATTTATGTGTGAGATTTAGGGGTAAATATGTATATGATATCAAAAAGACTATTACATATTTAAAATTTTTTGTTAATATTAGATTTTATAGTGATCATTCTTCAAATATCTTCCACACAAAACCTCTATAATGAGCAATAAACATTGCTTATTAATGAAACACATTGCTTAGCCTGTCAGGATGCTGTGATACTTTTCTGTAAATACTTTACATGTGGGTTTTCTTTCAAGTCAGTAGAAAAAAAATTGTAAAGAAACATGCAGAAACAATTGTGTAAGATTTTAAAAAGCAAGATTGCTTGGTGGTTCCGGGTATATGGTGGGGAGGGGTCCTACCTATTCCAAGGGAGGAATTTCCTCAAATTCGTGAGAGATTTTCCTAATTTTTGTTCACAATTCCTGGAAGAGATGACACTCCTTTGCCTTCAGACCAAGATAAACACATCATGTTGAAATATTAATTCCAAATAATCTATTGCTATAAAGGTGCGGACATTTTGTTATTTAATATTCAACCTCAAATATACCAGAGTATTAAGTAGAAATAAATAGTATTTTAAGGACTTGCATTCTATAATCTCTCAGTAGCAGAAGGGGATCTCTGTTGTAGGCTACTGTCAAAGGGCACTTAAAATAAGATTGAGAATGAAAAATGAAACCTAACACCAGTGTCTCTTCTGACTACTCTGCATAATCTAACGTACTTAAACTCTTCCTGCAAAACCCTGCTGCTTTTCTGTTGCTTGACATTCTGACCGTTTTTGAACCCTTGAACTCTGACAGAGAGGAGGGACTTGGAGAGGTTGTCATCTGATCTATGTTAGAAGGCAAAAGGAATAGCTTTCTCTCTAATAGCACTTCTTTCTGCCTAGCAGTTGGTGGGAGATTAAAACGATCTAGGTGGATAAGGCTGGTTAGAGGTCTGGGGACATCACTTTTTTGGGAGGGCTTGTCTGCATGTCAAAAACATAGGTAGGTCATTAGAAGTGGAATGTTTATTTTTTCCCCTCTTCTTTTCTGCCACACATTAATAACATTTTACTATTTATTCATTTTTATGATTTACTCCAAGTTTTGAAGAACGAATTCCTGCTATGCTACTGTCCAGCCAGGATCGTGGTTAGACACTGACATTCTGAATTCCAGCCATATTAATTGCTGGATAAAGGCTATAATCCCTCTCTCTTTGAAGCCCAAGGCTGATTTTTAGGCAACACTTCAAAAGCAGAGCACAACTGAAGAGGCATATTTCCTACCAGCACTGAATTACCATGATTGACTCAGCTTGCTTTAGACATGGGCCTTACATATTTGGATATCCAGCAAAACAGTTAGATTTTTGATATTAGAGCGTGAAAGAAAATACCTTTTGTGATCCAAAAGCTGATCTATTACTCTTTGGGAGATATTTAGATGGCTGTTTAAACTACTTTAAAAATAGAAACACCTAAGTCATTCTTTTTTCTAATAGAAAACATCATGCTTGAAAGTTGTCTCTCTCTCTCCTTTCTCTTTCATATTATGGCACAAATAATATGAAGCCATCAGTCTGAGTCCACTATGATTAACGACAAAAGCCTATGTAAATAAGATTTTCAAACATTCTCAAATTATTATAACCCTTAGAGATCCTTTTAAAAATACTTTTAAAATCAGCCATTGAACATTTATATCCAACACTCGTAATGCCATTGTAACCAGCATTTTAAAATAAGGAAGTGTGATGTATAAATATCCTTCAAAAGACTAGACAAAAATGATAACCACTAAGAACATAAAAACAAACCCCCAACCAAAAAATGACTGAAGTAAATGAAAATTTATGACCAACATGGAACTTTATATTAGTGTCTTTTTCACTTACAGCGTGTTTATCTCCGAATCTGTACTGTAAGGACTTTCTCATATAGGATTTGCCAAGTATGCTTAGTGGGCTATGTTTGAGAAAGATTAACAGTATTTCACATCAAAGGAGGACCCTGCTGCATGGTCTTACGAGATTGTCATTCACTCCCATTATGGCTCATTTGCACAAGATTTTCATGTAATATGAGCCATTGTTTTGATGGCAGTGATTTGACATAAAGACAGGGCCGAACTGCATCTCAGCCTCCTAGTCAGTCAGGCTGGGGGGTATCTTGGTCCCAAAGAACTTGCCAAACATAAAAGGCAACTGTTACTCAGTTATGGATTGGCCCCACCCCCCTCAACTCTACTCCCTTGTTTTTAAGGTGGAAAACTTCTTGAACGTGCATGGATACCATAAAAATTAGACAATGCCTGCTTGTGCAAGATTAGATACAGTTTAACCAGACAAAGTTTCAGATATCCTATTTAAAATTGCAAGTTATGAGCTATTTTAAAGAGCTGCTTTTTCTTTTTGTGCTTTCTGCCATACTTATTTTGATTTTAAAATAATTTGAAGTGGTGAAAAGTAATGCCTGAGCTACATTCAAAACTTTTCCACAAGCAATATTTGTGTTTTTTTTCTGGTGAGTTAGTTTCATGGCTATGCATAGAATACGTATTTACATACACTAGTCACTAACATTCTCTCCCTCTTTCTTTCTGCAAGCTAGATTAAAAAGAAAAAGAGATGCTATTGATGCTTCCGCAGTGCCTAATAATGTAAATAGAAAAGAAATATTCAATCAATAATCTGGATGATTCTAAATGTGATTTTTATTTAACTAGATTTTATTTAACTAAAGAGACAATTTTCTTATTAAGTCTATTCAGTATATATATAGACTTTAATATAATAAACTTAATAAGATACTTTACAATATTTATAAAATATATTTAGATGTATTAAATATATAAGTAACATGAAAAGAAACATTTTGAAATGGTTTATTCAAAGTATTAAATTAAATGTGAAGAATTAAGAATGAAAACTACCTTAGAATACAATCAATGTTTAGTGCCTGGTTTGAATTTTCTAAACTAGTGTGTTTAAAATCTGTAATTGTAACTCTTCTACAGCATGTACTATTAGTAGCAAGGTACTGGTTAGTTTTATGTAACATTTGTTCCATGCATTTAGATACAATGATGCATCCAAATATTTAAATTTTTGAAATTCATTTTGTAAACTATACCAATATCTTACCTAAATTTTGTGTTTAGAACAAGAATGACTATAATTTTGGGGGGGTGTTGACTCATTTTTAAGCTCTTTACAGCAACCATAAAACAAACAAAAGTCATAAAACAAAAGTGAACTCAGGTGATTTCGTGATACTTGAGAAAATATTTACAAGTGATTAATATTTACTCACATAACATTTTGTAAAAATATGAGCAAATATAAATTTTTAGTCTAAAATTATTGACCCCATTCAACCTCAAGAAATTAATGACAGAAATATAATTAGGATAACATTTTATATTTAAAAACTGCATTAAAATTTAGCATACAGAAACTAGCATGCTCAGTAAGATATTTTTAAAATATATATTTTCTTAGAAAAATAATGAACAAAATAAACATAAAAACTAAGAATGAGATAAGCAATCAGAATATTTCCTGCAAATTTTTAGTTTGAAAAATTTTAACATACAAAAAAAGTTGAAATACAGTACAGTAAACATTCGCTTGTTCTCCACTCAAAATCAACATTTTTTTGCTACATTAAGTTTATCTTTTCCCTAAATCGCTTGAAAGTAGTGACACTCCTAAATTTTGCAGCACGCATCTCCTATGCACAAGGCTATTCTTCTACATAACTACAATAAGAGAAAAATTGAAATACTTCTGTAAAATCTGGTTATCATAATATTTAAAATTAATTATAGATTAATTAGAGCTCAGGGATAATTAAAAATGCATAAATCTTTAATGGCAAATGCAATTTTACTGATCTATATAAACACTTTTTCAATTACTTTAAATTTATATTCAGACAACACATTGATACTTCCATTGGAGTTTATAGATACATTTTGAAAACAAATACTAAATTATTAGCTAAATGTATTTTCCTTTATGAAACGCTTTCAAAATACATGAACAATAGCGCCCTCTACATTTGGATAGCAAATCATGAAAAAGATTTTACTAGTTGAGAAAAGGAGCATTTAACAGTAATCACTGTGGGTTTGGGGACAAATTATGTGATTGCAATACATTACAAAATTACATGGCAATCTCTCACATGAGTTTACAGTATTTTAAACCATTGATTTAGTATAGAAAATCAAACTCTGGAACCTCAATATTGTACCATGTAGCAAAACACTGACAAAAATAATAGTCAAGAGGAAATAGAAGGCTCTCTAGGAAAATATAAACCTACTTAAAAATAAATTTAATTATATTATTTAATAAATTTTCAGAAATCAGTTATAAGTAGTTAAAATTGTGTTATTTTCCTTCCTTGCTTATATAAACAGAACCTTATGATGTTTTCAAATTCAGAGGTGCTCCAAGTCTTTTAAAAATGCTATTTTCCAGTATCTACCTATTGAAGAAAATACAGACTTAGAATCTAACCTTTAATATGCTTTCATAAAATGAAATAAAATTAATTGGTAATTTTAAGTTCTTTTGAAAATTCTTTTTCCGATTAATTCATAATAAAGTTTATAAAATTACAGACATATAGAATATAATATTATATATAAATCCTCATGTCTGTCACTAATTAGCAAAACCATCCCCTAAACATTTAGTACATCATCCTGCAAACAATTCAGAGAAAAATATGTGCATATTTAATAAGTTAAAAAAATAGATTTTTGTATCATAAAACAAAATTATAAATATATATTTGTGTTTCCTTTTTCCAACTATAAACACTTTATTTTATGGCACCTGAATTTTTATTTGTCTATAGTCAACTTCGTAAAAAAGATGTACCTAATGTCAATAAAATCAATTCCACGTATTTGCATTTGGAAGGTTTTGTTTTCTGTTTAATTTTGTTTTTTCAGTGCAATTTTTTCACTTAAGATAAATATGCTTATTTAAAGAAGTAATATTTTGCTTAAATATATTCTTTTAAATACATTTGATACTGTGTCACTATTAAGCTTCAAGGACAACGTAAATGCTGTAACCTAAAATAAAAACTTTTTAGTAAATTATTTGTGAGCTGTCAGTGGTTAAAGAGCAGATTAAAGTAGTTAAAAACTGGAAACATGTTCTGTTATTCCTGCTGAATTTAATGCAAGAGTCTCAATGTCTAAGATACTGCATTTTAAATAAAAGGCAATAAAACAAAAGTTAAAAACGAATAAGTGACAAACATATTTTATTTTTAAATAGTCAACAATTAAAATATCTGAAATGAATTAAATTCCTGCAAACTATTTTGTCTATGTTAAGTTACAGGAAAGCTGCACAATAAAAAAGCTTGTGAGGAAAAAAAAAGGAATGCTCTTTGAAATTATCCTTTTAGTCTTTTCCTTGGCTTACAGTGCCATGAAAAATCCTAGAACATGCTCTAAAATTCTAAAGACAAAATGCCAGTGACTCTGGGGATCATCTTGTTCATTTTAAGAGCAAATTAAAACAGTGAAAGAATGGTGCAAATAATTGTTTCATATGTTCTTTGCTTGTGACTGCTGTAATCATCGGGCCTGATTTACAAATGTAGACTTGAAGGTTTCTCAGCTTCCTGCAGGGTAGAAGACTGTTACTTTGGCACTCGCCCTCTCGCCCTTGTAATCACCACTCAAAACTGTGCCCTGGTACTTCCAATTCCCAGTCTCTTGATTGAACACCTCATTCTGTGCTAACAAGGTGTCCAAGGTATTTGAACAGGGGCTCCAGTCGGAAAATTGTTAATGGTTTTGCTCATTAAGAGTTCCTGCACTAGTTTTGGTAATTTGATAACTGTCTAAATTGCAAGTTGATTTTCCCCCCTTCAGCTTTAAGGATGCTAAATTTAAGACAGCAACAGTAATAGCTGAGTTTCAAAATTGACAAGGGAAGTTGAATACTGTCTGTGTTATTATGCAATAGTTTCCACAGGATTAATAAAATTATCTTGAACGTCTAGGTTTATTTTCCATTTATTTTCAAGATTTTATTGAATATAAAAAATTTTCATAGGGTGCACCTATGAAATAGCTAAGATTTCCTGAAAGTTTAAGGGACAAAAAGAAGCAACAACAATGATTTGTTTCAAAATGTGAGAAACAATAGAGCTATGACAGTATTTTAAAATACTTTACATTAAAATAAAATCAATTAATTCTATTTTTGACACAACATGATTTCTACAAATATGTAAGTATGTCTAAAAACACATATAGCCTTATTTATTTTTAAAACATATAAATAATGTTGGTTTACTTTACTATTAGAATGACTTTTCATGGTCATTAATTATAAAGTCCATTTTTATTCATATAGAAAATTTTAATAGATATATATTTTTGCTGAACAGTTTATTTAAAGAATAATTGCAAATGTGGTCTGAAAGCTTAAAATTGGCTTTTGGAAATAATAGATGTAAAAATTCTGAGAACATTTTTCATGAGTTAAATGCATTTGCCTCTATTGAAATGCCTTAACAATGCCAAATTATTTTATTATAGAATCCATTTCTTTATATTTCTATACTCTATAAAAGATATATTCCCTTAGTGGAATTAAGAAAGCCAAATTAAGAAAAAATCAATATTTATTGATTCTTTGGTTCAGTTTAAGACCTGTGATCTACTTTATCAATTCAGATTTTAAAGGGAGAATATTTCTAAAAAGAATTTTTCTTACTACCTATTTCCTTTTTTCTTAATCACGAAAGGCTATTACTAAGTTTGGCAGCAACATCTCCAGGGATTTCTTTTAAATTGTTTTTAGTGATTTGGACAGTTGCCATTTTCTCAGAGATGAAAATGTGGGAGAGGAGATTCAGCTGAGGATGGAAGTTTCTCCCTATATGGAGCAAAGGGCTGTTTTAAAGTGATTTATGTGGCAGTTTTCTTCTGTGTCACCATTATGTCCCTGCTGCCTGAGTGTGACAACGTGGTGCTGGCTAACATTTTGGTAATAATTTATTGGGATGAGATTTTTTTGGGGGCCTGAAGTTCAGCCTGCAATCATTTTAACACTCTGCTAAAAGGCTTAAGTTCTCTCCAGGCTTATTTATTTTTCACTTTGGAGCTGTGCACTCACACAAAAACCTGCCTACATAAATCTGCAACTTTTCTTTTTGAATTGAAAGTTGAATGCAGACCATGACTTGTGCATATAAAAAAATGCAGAAATAATGCCCCCCTACTGTGTAAGTATTTTTGTTTTTCATGAATCAAGCCCAAAGTTATTTAAATTAATTCTAGCCTCATCAGCGTAATAGAATATCATTTTTTGGCTTCTTAAAAATACTGATGCATGGATGTATTTTTACTGGTTATTTGATCAAATTTCTCATACATCTTAAAATTATATAACACAAAGAAAAAAACTGATGGCTATAGTTTCATGCTAACAGACTTTAATCAATCAACATTAAAGTATAATTTTTGATGGTTATAAATCATTATATTTTATTATATTTTTGAAAACACAGAAAACAAAGAATTTATAAGGTTTTTTTGTGTGTGTTTACACTGAAAGCTCTGCAATTGATTAATCAATCGGGGACTCCTTGAAATTTTACTCTTTGAAGTTGGGTGTCAATTTAGAAATTCTATCACACATCTAAGCTGGATGCCTTTGTTTGAATATAAAAGCCCCAACTTCCCTACATGTTTGACTATAAGAACAGGCAGGTTAAAAATATAGTTTATTATGCTAGACCAAGATTTAGTTGTAGATGAAAAATAAGTTACTTTTGTTTAACTTGAAATTTTCAACAGCTGATCAATATGCCTATGAATATATTAGGATAATTTTTGTTAATATTGGTGGCAAGTAGCTAGAGATTGGATTTTTTTTCTTCCCCTGTGGGATGAGTCAACAGATTCCTGCTTTGAAAATACCATTGACTTCATAGTCATGCATCTGTAATTAGGATATGATCAAGCCAAAAATGGAAGTTAACAATAACTAATGGGAATTCTAGGCTTTTAAACTTACTTTTAAAATTTTCTACTGGTCCTGTAATTTTCTTTAAAAAACTAAGTACTGCCAAGTCAAAGAAGATGACATTGTTTTATGATGCTTTAGCGAAATGATATCAATGTATAGTCAATTTAGGTAATTGATTTCTATACCTGGTCATGAAAATCCCTCAAAATTTACTTATATTTCTTGTATGGATAAAATTATTATAAAATACAATAAAAGAAAGTTGTATTTATCTCGATATTTTGAATGTTTTTACTAGTATTTTAGCATTGTCTGTGACTTTTGTTATTATGTTATGTTATTTTAATCATGAGCACCCTTATAAAACAAAGTAAGCTCCACAAAGGGAAGATCACACAATTTTTTTTAACGTGAGAACTTAACTTTGCTTGTGGTTGAGTGCTTAATGTATTTTTTTTCTTTTTAGGAATTGCTGAGATGCAAGCTCATAGTTAGCATTCTAATTTCTATCAGAAGGTAAAGGATTTAATGCTTTGAAGCTTAGTATCTCAGAGTGAAAAGACCATGAACATTTAGATACTTATTTTTATTAGTTTTGTTTATGTTAGTGGAAATAATAATACAATTACTGTTCCAATGTTTTAGTTCTCAAGTTATGATTATAGTAAATCTAATGATGTAGTTCACTAATCTATAGAGAAGATAAAAATTTTACTATGATATAATGGTATTATAAATTATCTTTTAAGTGACTAAAATATGATGAATTTCTAGGCCTGAGAACATTTTGGCTAGAGTGAGTTGATTCCAGTGTTTGAGAAAGCTGGCTTAGTATTGATGTTTAGCAGAATTCACATTTATTTTATCTCATCAGTCATAGTAAAGCAAAGTCAGTGTTGGAAAGGATGTTAAAGGCCAATTTACAAATAGGCAAAATGAGATAGACAGCTAAGGTAAACTTGGACATGATTTTTCCTTATAGATCTTGACTTTTCAATTCAGAAGGGACTTTTCAAATGAATTAATCCAGGGGCTTCATTTTAAAGATGAAGAAGTCGAAGACAGAAGAGGTTCAGGAGTCTTTCCAAGGTCCCACAGCTAATTAGCAGTCCCAGGACTAGAATCTGAGTCTCCCACTTCACAGACCAATAGTCTTTCCACTCTCTCTGACCTCTTCAGTCACATCAAAATTAATGCGTACTTGAGTGGTTACACTGAATGGAAAAATAGCAGTTGTGCCTGTGTAGATTCACTGACCTATTGAAGATGACTTGGTCCTACTCATCATGTATTTGTGACTTGTAAAACATCTTTAAACCATTCTTATACACTAATTCATGGTACAGAGATCAGAAATAGGACAAGATGACATTCTGCTAAAATTACTAGCAAATTTAAAAGTAGATTACTTGCATTTTTTATTGAAGTTATCTTGAATATGGGAAAACATTGAAGAAAGGAAGAAATTTTTAAGAGCTTGACAGTGGTTTGATTTTCATGGTATTTTTATGTTACTGGAAAAACATATTTTAGAGGAAAGATTTGAGTGTGTGTCTATGAGTATGTGTGTGTAGTTTTTAGGGGGTATAGAGTTCATCTGTTATTCTGTATGCTACTTTCTAGAAACAATCCATACCAGCCATGATTATGAGAGGCAGGGAAATAGCTGCAGGAAACAAATTTCTAAGATCCAGCCAAACAATGAGGGCTCGTATATGATCGTGTTATGTGGAGATATGGTCTAAGACTACAGCGATAGAGATAGAAGAGCTGTTATAAAATCAGAGATGGTCATGAAAGACTTCACAGAAGAGGTTAATTTTCAAAATAAATAAATAAACAAAAAGACTGGGAGGATAAATAGGAGATCATTTTGGTAACAACCAATGCAAAGAAGGTTATTATTATAAGAGTCCACCACATTCCCTAGCCTACTGGACTATTTTTGTTCTGAATATGCAATATGCTTTCACACCTCTGTGGAACTGTCTCATGCTCCTCCTTCTATGTAAAATATACATTCTCTTTTTGTTTGACTGGAAAATACCCATTCACCCTTCAAAACCTAACGGGGGTGGTATTAGAGCTCTTTAGCTTTCCTAGACTTTTTCTCTTGCCTCAAACAAAATTGTGTGCTCACATACTATACATTACATTTTATTCTAAATTACAACAGTAATAAATGCTTGTTTGGAAAATAAACATTCGGTGTCCTATCACCACAGAAAATCACATGAACACTTGGTACCTTTTTTTTACATAAAAATACATATAGATGGACATATATACATGCTATATACACATTACACTATTCATATATGATTGAAATGATACTATTTACATAGTTTTTTAATCCTGTTTTGTTCACTTACTATTATATTGTGAGTATTTGCCCTTAGAACTATGTCTTCTTTATTTTGATAACCTAATAAATCCTTTTTAAATTGAACAAATGTAGGTTTAGAGAGAAAACTGGTGGTTGTGGGGAAGACAAATTGGAGGGAAATCAGTTCTTACAGTGTCCCAAGCAAGAGCTGATAAAGGGTGGGGCCAGAGCAATGGGAATAAGGAGCAGAGATGGGTAAAGCCTTGGCAAGGTCAAATGTGCTGGAGAGAGGTCAAGTGGAATGGGAATCTTAGAGGGACCCCTGAACCTAACAATTAGTAAATTGTTAGTGATGTTTGTAAGAATGATTTGGGAGAAATGAAGGGCCAGTAGCAAGATGGCCCACATAGAGTAGGAAGAGAAAGATGAGAAATTAGGTGCTGTGATATGGATTCTCCTCCAGGAATTTTTCCAAAAGGGACAGAGATGAGTAGGGAAGGAGCTTGAGAAGAAGGCAGGGACCAGGGAAGTATGTTGTTGTATTGTTACATAAGAAAACAATAAATACATTTGAATTCAAATTGGGAGAAACCAATGGAGAAGAGAACAATAGAAGATAGAAAGATGATAGAGAGTAATTTGCAGACTGACACCCCAGGGACACAGAGTGATGAAACACAGAGGAAATTTGCCAATTTTTAATCTAATTATTTTTGTTGTAGCTGGGCATTTTAGAATATTGAACCTGAATGTGTAGAAGAGATGTTTATCATGGAAAGCTTAATTTAATTATGCATAAGGATTATGTGCTTTGGTTGAGCAGAGTCCCACCTCTCTGTGATTTGAAGCTGGTTTACAGTTATAATGCTTTATTTATAGGGTTACAATAATTCAGTCCTCACAGCAACCTTCTGATTGGCCCTATCACTATTCCCGTTTTATAGATGAGAAAACTGAAGAATGGAAAGGTTTAATTACACACCCAAAGTCACTTAACTATTAAAACTTAAGAGTCTGGGCTGGGCATGGTGGCTCACACCTGTAATCCCAGCACTCTAGGAGGCTGAGGCAGATCACCTGAGGTCAGGAGTTCGAGACCAGGCTGACCAACATGTCGAAACCCCATCTCTACTAAAAAATGCAAAAATTAGCTGGGTGTGGTGGCAGGTGCTTGTAATCCCTGTTACCTGGGAGGCAGAGGTTGCAGTGAACGAAGAGATCACACCACTGCACTCCAGCCTTGTGACAGAGGGAGATTGTCTAAAAAACAAAACAAAACAAAACAAAAAACCCTGAACTTGGCAATTTGGAGCATATTTACTCAGGGTTCTGTCTGGTAGAATTTGGTATGCTTTCTTACTTTTGTCTTTGAGCTTTCTAGTATTGTTTGATTTGTTTTTCAAAAACATAGTTCTTTAGGTAAAATAAAGTCATTGTTTTAAAATATTAAAAGGATTACACTAGATGATTAGCAATTCCCTTCCACCTTCATTTTGTTATACTCAGTGTGCTGTCTATTATATATTCTGATGCTGAGCCTCAGACTCAGCCTTGGTATTTGTCCCACTGTGGTGATTTGGTTTGTTGTCTCTGAAATCTAGTTGCCTGCCTGTAAATTCTAGCCCTGCTCCTTACACTGTGGGTAAGTAACTTAAACCCTCTAACCCTTATTTTCATCAAATGGGGAAAGATAACACCTAACTTATAAGGAAGTTTTGAAAATTTAACGAGCTAATAATCTAGAGAAAGTGTTGAACATAAATGTCTGACAAATCTTAAATTTTCAACATTCTAAGTTCTTACCATTATACTGCATCCAGGATGCTGGGTAGTGACACTTGTTCTCTTTCCCATATTAGACCATAAAATTATCAAGGGCAGTGCCAGGCCTTATTGTCTGTCTTATGCCCTGGATCTAACATAGTACTGGAACCTCTCAAGAGTTCAATATATCCTATAAAATAGAATCACTCAGAGACTAAATGAGTACTTTCAGAATTAAACATGTAATCACAGAAATATAAAATTTGGTAGACAGGGTGGCATATAGATCTAAGAACATTTCCTAAGACATGGGGGAGAAAAAACCAAAAATATGAAAGAATGATCAGTGACATGGAGATTATAGTGCAAATGTTGAGAGGCTGTCCCAGGCCTGGCATGTTGGAGAAAGGACAAGGTGACCAGCATAAGCATGGTGCATGAGGGTAACAGAAAGAAGCAAGGTAGAGAGCTAACAAGTGGCTACCTCCAATGGTGTAGATCGACAAAGTTTCTCTCATGCTACGTAGTACACTTTAGGTTATATCTCTCTAGGTTATATCTCTTCTAGTAACTTTAGATTATATCTCTTCTATAAATAGAAGTGTATTATTTTATTCAAAGTTTATTTACTAATTATAATTAGGTATGTAACATTATAAAAATAGATAGTAGGGTATTCAAAGCAAAACAACAAACACTAAAGAAGATAGCAAAATAAAACTAGTTCCCTACCTTTCAAGACAGAGTCTATAAATGTGTGTAAAATAATAAATCGAGAAAAATAGGTTATTAGATTATTAGATTCATGGTGTTAACTGAAGAACTAATAAAGTTAAAAGTGTTTAAGTCTAGAGAGTTAAAGTGAGGATAGTGAAGAATACTATTGCACTTCATTTAATACTGTTCTTTAGTGTTTGAAATGGTTTATCAAATGCATGTATAATTTTATAATAAAAATTTTTTAGGACAAATAAATGAGTTGAGCCTGGGTAACAGAGTTAATGGCATGTTTTGGCTCTCAACCTCTGTTCCTCAGAGTTCTGGTTCAGGTACATCAAAGGCAGTTCCAAGAGTTCAAGGTTGCTGAGAAATCAGGCATTGTGCTTGCTACCCGACTTTACTAGAGCAGTTTGGGGCTTTTTATTATTGTTATTTTATTTTTTTAGGAGAATTGTCATATTAGATTTCATTTGAACAAAATATCTTGTTTATATTTTCTCTCTTTCTTTTTCCTCCTTCCCTTCTTTCCTTCCCTTTTTGAAAACCACTGCCAAAGTGAAAAGTACATATATTTTGGATCCAGACAGGCTTATATTTTTTCCTGTGACTTGTTAGTTGTGTGATCTTAATGTAATCCTGAACCTCTCATCAACTAAGTTCTCATGTACAGAATGAGAACATATTGATATTATAGAACTGTTTAAAATAGAATATAATTCATATTAATAACTCAAAGAAGAAAAACTTACAATCATCTCCATAGGTGCCAAAAAATACGATTAAAAAATTTAGCGTCCATTCTTGATGATAATTTCTTAGTAAAATAAGAATAGATGAATACTTTTGTTTTACAGGATAGAAATATATTTCAAGCATAAGCTTAATGGTGAAATGTAAGGACATTCCATCTACTATTATTATTTAAAATTTTCTAGAATTAATGGCAAATGCAATTTAAAAATGAAAATAAATAAGAAGTTAAAATTTTATAAATAATTTGAAAAAATGTAAAATTTACAAATATGATGGTATACTTAAAAAACTTCAGAAAATAAAATGAAAAAATTAGAAAAATAGGAGACTTTCATACTTTTCTTCTGATTGAAATACATATGCTTAAGTTTCAGAACATTGTTTCTCCTGAATGTTCATTTATACCATTCATCCTACTAACAATGTAATTACAACTCTGATTTAGAATTGGATTTTATGTAAAATAAGAGGATTTCTAGCTCTGGTACATGAAAAAGAGAGAAAAGAAGCTCAGGAAATAGTTACGGAAGTAGTTTAAAAAAAAAAAAGGATCCAGCAAAAGAGAGAAGGAACAATCAGAATAGTGGAGAGAAATTCACAGAATTTAGGGTTACAGAAATCTCGATGGTAGTTTGAAGACAGCATGATCAATAGAGAAAAATAGTGTGAACAAGGCAAACTTAAGAAAGACTGGAGGGAGGATTGTATGTGATATTGAAAAGGTTGATGGTCATGTTTGGCACAGTAATCTCAGTAGAGTGAAGAGGCTGAAATAAGACTGAAATAAGTTATATCCTAGGGAAGTTGATATCAAAAGAAAGAGCTGGCATCTTAAAGAGGCAAGGCCAATTTGTTATGACTATTATGACTATTTTTTTTTTACACTAGAAGTTTTTGCAAGCAGAAAGTTGGAGGAGAGTCTTCAGATGTTACAATATCTTGGAGAAAATGAAGTAAAAGCTATTAAGAGTAAAAATAGAGAAGTTAGTCTTGGTAACCATTGAGAACAATTCTCTCAAAGACTGGCAGCAAGAAGGTGAGAAAGCAGAGATATAAAACTGAAATTTTTTGAAGTAGGGGACCATAGTAAGCGGATTACTGTCTTCAACAGGAGAAAAGGTAGAGGACATTGGCAGCAGCCACAGGGTTACATATTTAAGGAAAGTGGAGGAAATTTGGTAGACTTTTGCAAGTGACATCATAGAATAACAAATTAAGAAGGATTAAAAAATTTTGAACAGATACAGACCCAGTAGGTGCTAAAAAGTAATGCAATAATATAAAAGAAGCCTGATGAACTCTGAAAAAGTTACTCAAATCAGCTGCTCACTCGACATTAAAAGTTACTCAAGACAATTAACCTGTCCCTTTTTGTCCAACCACCTTCATTTGGACATCAGAAATTATGCCACAAATCATCATTGGCAAACTTACCTCAATTTTTCAGCCAGTTTTAATTTAGTCAAAATAAAGTCAGAAAACTTTTACTACTTAAAAATCATTTTCATTATCTCTCTTGGAAATTCTTGTTTCAACCTCATGCATTTGGAATATGTATAAAACATATGTTGACTGAAATACATGTGCTTAAGCTGTAGAATGTTTTTTCTTCATTAATGTTTATTTACACTGCATTTTTTACAAAAAATGTAATTTTCATTCAACCATTTAAATTTGTGTTTTACAAAAAAGTCTCTTCATTTTGAAAATGTCATTGTATGTGACTCCTTTCAGTCTGATTTTGTTCCAAGAACCCTCTAGCGTAAAATGAGAGTTTAAAATTTGGGGCACTTGGATTATCTTGAGGACTATGCACAAATATGAGATTCCTTTATGGTCTTGTACACATTTTATTTTTATGTAGAACTCAACATATTTTAGCTTAATTTTTCATATTGCATTGATCGTAAAAAGAGCAATCTTCCACTTGCCTCTGGACAGACTCTACTCATTGTGTACTGAGTTAGTTCTGAGTTCTTTGTGAAAATGTAGTAATAGTAAAGAAAGATCCACATATATATTCTGATTCTATCACTAACTGGGTGACCTGAAATGAGTTATTTAACTCTCTAGATCTCATTTCTTATTTTTCCCAGCCCAAAACAACTTTTCCTTTTCTCTCAGAATTTCTTACTACAGGAGGCCTTTATTAGTATTTCGTGCTCCTGTAACAAATTACCACAAACAACACAATATTACTATCTTATCGTTCTGGAGATCAAAATCTGAAATGGGTCTCACTGGGCTAATATAAAGTTATCAGCAGAGCTGCACTTCTGTAGGTTCTAGGAGTGGATCTGCTTGTTTTTGTGCCTTTTCCAGCTTCTAGAGGTTGCCCTGCTCCTTGCCTATAGCCCTCTTCCATCTAGAAGGCCATCAATTGCATCACTCTGACCTTTACTTCTTCTCTGACTCTGAACCTTTGCCTCCCTCTTTTACTTATAAGGACCTTTGCAATGACACTGGGCTCACCTGGATAATCTCAGGTGACCCTGTGTTTCAACATTCTTAATTTAATCACATTTATAGAATTCATTTTGGTATGTAAGGCAATATATACACAGAGTACAGAGATTAAGACATGGACATCTTTGGTGGGATGTGGAGGATTATTCTACCCATCACAAGGCCAGCAAGAATATTCTTAATAAATGTCCATCTCCCCACCTCACCACCTCCAGGAAAGAATATCACTTTTGTGAAAAATCTTTACATAGGTGTTTAATTTCAGAGTTTATTTGTGTAATGAATTATCTCCTTAAAAATGCTAAAATGTAAGGGTTTTATTAGTATGCTTGAATGCTAATTAACAGGGACACTTGCTCTTATTTCATTTGACTTTCATAGGCTTTGTCCATCAATAACTACACTGTGGAATTGATGATTCTTTCCCACTGCAACATCTTACTTTTATTACCTATGTATGGCTTCATGTTAACCAAAAGGTTAGATGCTACAATTACTTATGCTAATCTCAATTTGCATTTATGCTGTAGACAGTACAATAAAGCTGTAGCAATTGATTACACATCACTGACAGCAGAAGGAACATACAGTTTCATCAATGGAAAAACTGAGTCATGTTACAGCTCAGTAGTTGTGTGCAGCCTCATGAGAATGACAATCAAAACCAAGTCGTAATGATATGAATATTTATTGGGTACCTCATCCTGGTTGGGTAATTTTAATAATCTGTAAAAAAAAAAGTGTAAAGGCAAGCATTTCTGTTTTTATTGAATACTCCTTTTTAATTACAGTGTATTCATATTGGAGTTTAAAATACTTTTATATTGGTTTTCTTGTTTTGGGGTTTTATTATTGTATTTGATTTCATCCTAAGAATGTGTAAATATCAAATTTAAATATCTACATTTGTAAACACACTTTTGCGTCTGACTCAGGTTTATTGTTGTCTTTATTGAATACTGTTTTGGTAAATTAGGTGGAGGAATTGTTAGAAATGACATAAAGCAATAAAAATGATGTCTTAAACAGTTAAAATAAACCTTTGTAAAATTTCTTTGTCAAAATGTCTAAGGTTTTGTAATAAATTACTGAAAGAATAGAAATAGAATGCGAAACTTTCGAACTGTTAGAGGGAAAGAAAAGTGAGGATAGAGAAAATACTCTTAGTTCAATAAAAGACCGGAAAGGAGGGGATAAAATCAGAGATGAAATATGCCAAATATATTTATTAAGCAAATATTTAATGGATATCTGCTATAGATCCCTGAGAATGTTATCCAAACAAATTGATAAGCTCAATAAGTGTAAATAGATTTAAATCTTCTATTAAATGTCAGAGACTTTCAGGTTGGATGCATTGCTTTCTAAACTCTAGATATATGGAAGTAACATATCTAAATAAAAACAAGCAGAAAGACTTGTAGTGAAGAAATGGAAAAAGATGTGTAATATGAAAGTACTTCACGTAAGAGCATACACTTGAAATATGTAAAGTCTAAGATAGAGAATTACAAGGTAAGTCCAACAAATGCAAAATCATACGGAGTGCTTTTTATTGTTACACATTGTCACAAATCAATAGATCGGTCATAACTAAGTTTAGTAAGGTTTTTAAAAATGCCAATATATAAATTAAATTTTAAAAATTAAAAGTTACCTTAATAATTCATAGCATAAGGTGTTTCACTTTTGTTTTCAGTTTTCACTAACTAGATTGTCAGATCATCTCATCAATCTATTCAGTTATACGGCAAAATTTTAACAGAACCTTCTTCTGATTCTGAAATCAAAATCCTGTGTTGATCTGGCTAACAAGCCTTAACAGACCTGCCTTCTGCTTCTCCTTTTCCCTTGCTTTATCAGTAAAAAATTATCAAAGAGGATTAAAATACAGCCCTCAGGGAAGGAGGAAACAGGAGAGAAAGTATTTGCTTTCCAAAGGATCTCTGTGAGTAAGTAAAGGAAACCACAGTATTCTAATTCTGTAGGAGATAGATACTCTCTGTATTTTTTTAAACACACTCAGATTGCCCAAATGAATGAGGAAATACATAAAAGTTTTGAATCCCACAACTATGTATTCTAGTTTCCAAAAGGAAAATCATAAAATGTGGGCATTCTAAATTTAGTTTGGTAAATAATCTAAAAGAAAAAATCTTGTTAATAATAAAAAATGAGATGCAATATGAAAAAGTTATGTTATTCAGAACAATTTGGTTGTTTAAACTGGGCTACCTTATTTTGTTCTGGAGCTTGCTAGTAATGTGGTACTATGTCATTTGGATTTCTTTTGGTTGAACCATAGATTGGATATTAAAACATAAGGAATGCCTACAACAGCCAGTTATGTCATATCTTTTCAACTCAGAGATGTTCTTTTTAAAGTATGATAACTAGGGAATACAATCAGCTGTATCCACGATGAAATGAAATGACAGCCTAATGTTCAGCATACTTTTGTATTTTTAGTAGAGACAGGGGTTTCTCCATGTTAGTCAGGCTGGTCTTGAACTCCCAACCTCAGGTGATCCGCCCACCTCGGGCTCTCAAAGTGCTGGGATTACAGGCATGAGCCACTGTGCCCAGCCTGTTTAATATTCTTTATTCCTATTTGTTATTCCTATCCTCTATTACTATATTTTTAAAACTCAAAAATACTTTGCTTACAGTTTAATTAATTTTTATCTTAGTTGCCTTGAGTCTGTAGCTTTATTACAAATGATTACATAGTTGACATAAAATAAATGTTAACCCCTTAGCTCAAAAGAGGTGGAGAAAGGATGGGATAAAATAAAACATAATACTACTTTCATCATGATGAGCCAGTAAGTTATTTTGTTTAAAAATCTCATCTTAATGTGGCTTAATAAATTTGTTCAAATAAGTTTAGATATTTCAACTTTAGCTAGCTGGACTAACATTTCCTTACCAAGTAAATATGGAAAACTAAGAGTCACCACCTCAACTTTAGTTGAAAATGTCATGCAACTTAATTTTACCATTAAAAAATCAACTTTATACTTGCAGATTGGTATTCAAAACTGAAAGTATAATCTACTAAAATTATTTTTCTTTTTAAACCATGTAAGCTTAAATAAAATAACCCATATTACGTTAGTGACTTCTTAAAATCCTTCTTTCTTTCTTTTAATTTTTTTCAATCTGGCTCATCACTGACAGATTAAAATTTTTCTTATTTTCTTTTTTTTTTTTTGCTGTGAAAGTCTTTTAAAATATTACTGAAATAAGGCTGGATGCAGTGGTCTGCACCTGTAATCTCAGCACATTGGGAGACTGAGATGGGAGAATTGCTTGAGGCCAGGAATTCAAGACTAGCTTGGGCAGCATAGTGAGAACCCATCTCTATGAAAAATGAAAAAATTAGCCAGGTGTGTGAAAAAATTGGCATGTGACTATAGTGCCAGCTACTTGGGAGGCTTAGGTGAGAGGATCACTGGAAACTAGGAGTTTGAAGCTCCAGTGAGCTTCCCAGACTGGTGAACAATGATCTGGGTGTTCCCAGACTCTAACACCCAGACTGGTGTGCAATGATCACCCACTGCACACCAGTCTGGGTGTTAGAGTGAGACTTTCTCTCTCTCACTGTCTCTCTCTCTTTCTTTCTCTCCCTCTCTCTCTGTGTATGTGTGTGTGTGTGTGTGTATGTATATAGGTTTATAGATATATAAAGATATAAGATATATATAGATGTAGATATATCCTAGTAAGTTTCTGGGATTACATATACCTTATGGACTGGAACTGGAATTACATTTTCTGTTTTATGTACAATAAATAAAACTTAAAAACTTATGTAGAATAATCATACAGTGTAAATTTATAATAAATGTTCTCAATCCTTGATGTGGCTTGAAAGAAAATAGCATTGTGGTAGACAATGACACAACTGAACTGACAATTAAGTCAGTACTTGGGCTGCAATAAATAGAATTTACATCCCTGGAATGAAGAAAGTAATAACCTGACTGAATGCCTATGTTATTGTGTTCACTGCTGGTTCTCATTAAAAGGAATGTAGTATCAGTCTGGTGGTGAGACAACAGGATGGAAAAGATTCTAAGAATCAGAGCATGTGAGAAACCATTAGAAGAAAAGAAAAATGGAGGACTCTAGGATTATATGATAACAATCTTTAATAATTTACCAAATAAAAGGGATTTTTACATTTTTCTGTGTAGGACAGACAACATGTGTAGAACCAAAGTGTGAGATTACTTGTAAGTAAAATTGAATGCAATAAGAAACAATTCAAGCTACATAAAGTTGGAATGAGGTTGTGCTTTCCCTCTAGGGAAGCCTGAATAATCATTCATGAGAGGTATTTATAAAGAATTTTGGTACAGTTGAAAATCTGGGTTAGATAACTTCTAATGCTTTTTTCAAACTCTAAATTCTATTTCTCTGTATTTAAAGATAAAAAGCAGCAGAAATTTCCTACCCAAACTCATCCTAGACATGCAAAGCATTTCCCTCTGATTAATTGTATTCTAGTAATAATAATAACAATGAAGATATATTGTTATGATTTCCATTTTAGAGATGGGTAAACTGAGGTAAAGTGAAGTTCAGCAACTTACCCAGTCACAGAATTAATGAGTCATGGAACTGGTATTTTTAACCTACATAGATTTGACCCCTGAGACTGAACTCTTAATGCATACACTATTGCTCACTTATTTTTCAAAAAAGGTTGAATTACCAATGTGATCTCCAATCCGTGGAGAATCCTTTTATTTGAGAAAGGAAATTATGGAATAGGTGTCTTGAGATTTCTTTCTTTTTTTTTGAGATGGAGTCTTGCTCTGTTGCCCAGGCTGGAGTGCAGTGGAGCTATCTCGCTCACTGCAAGCTCCGCTTCCCAGGTTCACGCCTTTGTCCTGCCTCATACTCCGGAGTGGCTGGGACTACAGGCGTCCACCACCATGCTCGGCTAATTTTTTTTGTATTTTTAGTAGAGACGTGGTTTCACCGTGTTAGCCAGGATAGTCTCAATCTCCTGACCTCGTGATCTGCCAACCTTGGCCTCCCAAAGTGCTGGGACTACAGGCATGAGCCACCATGCCCAGCCGAGATTTCTTATGTCATAATTATGGAGGATAGAGTAACAATAGTGAAATCAACAGTAATTAGCTATAGAACTGAAAATGGCAGATAGGTGACAAGACTAATATGCAGCTTCCACTTGGGCAGAAAGAACAGCATGTGGAGACTCACATTGTGAACTTTTGCTCCGAGAACTACTGCAGGAACATACCAAAAATGATAGTAATAATAATAATAATTCACAGATCCTTTGAAATAAGCAGCTTGCCTCTGCCAACTCTGCAAGACAGCTGAAAAACTGTGAGTTCCCAAAGTGTGAAGTGGGGAAAAAGGCTGCCTCTGAGAGCACATCCCCACTGGGGAACGTGAAAATCCAGATCATGGGAAAAGGATTTAACCTTACCTAGATCTGAAGTGGATTTAGGGAGCCGAGCAACACATAAAGGTAGAATAAGCAATGGGAAGAGCCCTGTAGGCACTCCAGGTCCCTAGCTCAAGCCCAGGGAAGTCATTCCTGGCCTTATCTCACAGAGGTCCTTGAGGAAGGCAACCAGCAGAATTGAGGAGGGACCACAGCATGAAGGAAGCTCCTAGCTGAACTTCGTAATAATTTCAATTGATTATGAATTTTTCTGAGCAGAATCTTGGAGGGGTGTAGGGGTGGGAATGGGAAGTAGAGATATGAGCACAGAAGCAGCACCTGAAGGTGTGGGCAGGCAAGGAGGGGCAAGGTCTGAGAACCCTGCTTACTTTCTCAGTGGGGAGGCATGTGGCTTGGGGCAAGATCTCATCCCTACTCACTAGCTGCCTGGATATAAACTTGGTGCTGTTGTTGGAGCATGATGGGAGTGAGGCTGGCCTTGCTGACTACATTCAAGCTGGGTGAGCCTTGTCACTGCTTTGGCAACCTGCGTGATACAGCAGAGGCAGTTATAATCCCTTTTGAAACGTAACTCTATTGGCCTGGGAACCACCCACTACCTGCCACAGTGGCCACAGCAAGCCATGCTCAAGGACAGTGTGAGCTCAGACCTGCCTCAACCCGCCCTCACCTGGTGGTTTTTCTTGACCCACCCTGGTAGCCAAAGACAAAAGACATAAACTCCTGGGAGCTCTATGCCCCCCTTGATCACCTGAGAAACCTGAGTATGTATCTCAAGCCATTACAGCAACTCATAACAGAACAATCCTGGTCCAAAGAAGGAGAAAACAACAGCTAATTCTGCCACCTGGAACACCTTGGCTAACCAGACTTTCTGAGTTTGTCCATGTGGTATCACCACTAGCATAACCAGTATTCAAAACCAGCATGCTAAACAAAACTACAACCAAGGACTCCCACAGAGTCCACTTCACTCCCCTGCCACCTCCACCAGAGCATGTGCTACTATCCATGGCTGGGAGACCTAAAGATGGATCACATCACAGGACTCTTTGCAGACATTCCTCAGTGCCAGCCTGAAGCCTGGTACCCCTGCTGGGTGGCTAGATGCAGAAGGGTGATAACAATCACTGCATTCTGGCTCTCAGGAAGTCCCATCCCTAGGGGAAGGGGGAGAGTACCAAATCAAGGGATCATCTCATAGGACAAAAAAAATCTGAACGGCAGCCCTTGAGTTCCAGATCTTTTCACTGAAACAGTCTACCTAAATGAGAAGGAACCAGAAAAGTAATTCTGGTAATATGACAACACATGGTTCTATAACACCCCCCAAAAGATCACACTAGCTCTCTAGCAATGGATCCAAACCAAGAAGAAATCTCTGAATTGCTAGAAAAAATTCAGAAGGTTGAATATTAAGCTACTCAAGGAGGTACCAGAGAAAGGTGAAAAACAAAAGAAATTAAAAAAAAACTACAAGATATGGATGAAAAAGTCTCCAGAGAAATAGATAATATAAATAAAAGACAATCACAACTTCTGAAAATGAAAAACACACTTAGAGAAATGCAAAATACACAGGAAAGTTTCAACAATAGAGTCAAACAAGTAGAAAAAAGAACTTCAGAGCTGGAAAATAAGGCATTTGAATTAATCCAATCTGACAAAGACAAAGAAAAAAGAGTTTTGAAAAATGAGCAAAGTCTTCAAGAAATTTGAGAATATGTTAAATGACCAAACATAAGAATAATTGGTGTTACTGAGGAAGAAGAGGAATCTAAAAGTTTGGAAAACTTACTTGAGGAAATAATTGAGGAAAACTTTCCCAGCCTTGTTAGAAATCTAGGCATCCAAATACAAGAAGCTCAAAGAACACTCAAGAAATCCATCACAGAAAGATCATCACCTAGGAACATAGTCATCAGTTTATCTAAAGTCAAGAGAAAGGAAAGAATCTTAAGAGCTGTGAGGCAAAACCATCAGGTAACTTATAAAGGAAAACCTATCAGGTTAACAACAGATTTTTCAGCAGAAACCCTACAAGCCAGACGGGATTGGAGTCCTGTCTTTAGTCTCCTTAAACAAAATAATTATCATCCAAGAATTTCGTATCCAGCAAAACTAAGCTTCATAAATGAAGGAGAGATAAAGTCCTTTTTAGACAAACAAATGCTGACAGGATTCACCACTACCAAGTCAGCACTACAAAGAATGCTAAAAGGAGTTCTAATCTTTAAACAAAACCTTGAAGTACACCAAAATAGAACCTCCATAAATCTCACAGGGTCTATAAAATAATAACAAAACAAAACAAAAACAACAACAAAGTATTCAGGCAACAACCAGCATTATGAATAGAACAGTACCTCACATCTCAGTACTAATGTTGAATGTAAATGGCCTCATTGCTTCACTTAAAATATACAGAATGGCAGAATGGATAAAAAATACACAAACCAAGTATCTGCTGTCTTCAAGAGACTCACCTAACACGTAAGGACTTACATAAACTTAAGGTAAAGGAGTGGAAAATATATTCTATGCAAACGGAAACCAAAACTGAGCAGGAATAGCTAATCTTGTATCAGACAAAACAGACTTTAAAGCAACAACAGTTAAAAAGACAGAGGGACATTATATAGTGATAAAAGGATTAGCCCAATGGGAAAATATCACAATCATAAGTATATGTGCAACTAACACTGGAGCTCCCTAATTTATTAAACAATTAGTACTAGACCTATGAAATGAGATATATGGCAACACAATAATAGTGGGGAACTTTGATACTCCACTGACAGCACTAGATAGGTCATCAAGACAGAAAATCAACAAAGAAAAAATGGACTTAAACTATACCCTAGAACAAAGGAACATAACAGGTATTTACCAAACATTCTACCCAAAAACTGCAGAATATACATTCTTTTCACAAGGACGTGGAACATTCTCCAAGATAGACCATATGATAGGCCACGAAACAAGTCTCAATAAATTTAAGAAAATTTAAATTATGTATGTACTCTCTCAGACTACTTTAGAATGAAATTGGAAATTAACTTCCAGAGGAATCCTCAAAACTATACAAAAACAGGTGAAAATCAAATAATCTGCTCCTGAATGATCTTGGGGTCAACAATGAGATCAAGTGAAAATTTAAAAATTCACTGAACTGAACGACAGTAATGACACAATGGTTCAGAACCTCTGGGATACAGCAAAAGTGGCACTAAAAGGAAAATTCACAGCATTAAATGCTACATCAAAAAATCTGCAAGAACACAAATAGGCAATCTAAGCTCACACCTCAAGGAACTAGAGAAACAAGAATAAACCAAACCCAAACTCAGTAGAAATAAAGAAATAATGAAGATCAGAGCAGAACTAAAGGATGTTGAAACAAACAAGAAAAAAATACAAAAGATAAATGCAACAAAAAGCTAGTTATTTGAAAAAATAAACAAAATTGGCAGATCGTTACTGAGATTAACCAAGAAAAGAAGAGAGCAGATTCAAATAAGCTCAATTAGAAAAGAAATAGGAGATAGATAGTACAACTGATACCACAGAAACACAAAAGATCATTCAAAGAAGAAATGGTACCAATCTTACTGAAACTATTCCAAAAGATAGAAAAAAGGAAATCTCGTTAAGCCATTCTATGAAGCCAGTATCACCCTAATACCAAAACCAGGAAAGGACCTGACAAAAACAGGAAACTACAGACTACTATCTCTGATGAACATATCTGCAAAAATCTTCCACAAAATACTAGCTAACCAAATCCAACAGCATATCAAAAAGATAATACACCATGAACAAGTGGGTTTTATACCAGAGATGAAGGGTTGGTTTAACATACACAAGTCAATAAATATGATACACCACATAAACAGAATTAAAAACAAAAATCACTTGATCATCTCAATAGATGCAAACTGATCTTTGACAAAGCAAACAAAAGCATAAAGTGGGGAAAGGACGCCCTATTCAACAAATGGTGCTGGGATAATTGGCAAGCCACATGTAGAAGAATGATACAGATCCTCATCTCTTACCTTATACAAAAATCAACTCAAGTGGGATCAAAGACTCAAATCTAAGACCAGAAACCATAAAAATTCTAAAAGACAACATCAGAAAAACTCTTCTAGACATTGGCTTAGGCAAAGAGTTCATGACCAAGAATCTAAAAGCAAATGCAACAAAAACAAAGTTATATAGATGGAATTTAATTAAACTAAAAAGCTTTTGCACAACAAAAGAAATAATAAGCAGAGTAAATAGACAATCCACAGAATGGGAGAAAATATTTGCAAACTACACATCTGACAAAGGAATAATATCCAGAATCCTCAATGAACTCAAACAAATCAGCAACAAAAAACCAAATGATCCCATCAAAAAGTGGGCAAAGGACATGAATAGACAATTTTCAAAAGAAGATATACAAATAGACAACAAACATATGAGAAAATGCTCAACATCACTAATTATCAGGGAAATGCAAATTAAACCACAGTGAGATACCGCCTTACTCCTGCAAGAATGGCCATAATTTTAAAAATAAAAAAATAACATGTTGACATGGTGAAAGGGAATACTTTTACATTGCTGGTGGGAATGTAAACTAATACAACCGCTGTGGAAAACAGTATGGAGATTCCTTAAAGAACTAAAAGTAGAACGACCATTTGATCCAGCAATCCCACTACTAGTATTTACCCAGAGGGAAAGAAGTCATATATGAAAAAGACACTTGCACGCACATGTTTTTAAGCAGCATAATTTGCAATTGCAAAAATATAGAACCAGCCTAAATGCCCATCAAACAATAAGTAGATAAAGAAAATTTGGGATAAATTATATATACCATGGAATACTACTCAGCCATAAAAAGAAACAAAATAATGGCATTCGTAGCAAACTGGATGGAATTGGAGACCATTATTCTCAGTGAAGTATTGCAGGAATGGAAAACCAAACATTGTATGTTCTTACCTATAAGTGGGAGCTTAGCTATGATGACACAAAGGCATAAGAATGACATAATGAATTCTGGGGACTCAGGAAGAAGTGTGGGAGGTGGGGTGAGGGATAAAGGATTACACATTGAGTGCCATGTACACTGCTTGGGTGATGGGTGTACCAAAATCTCAGAAATCACCACTATAGAAGTAATCCATGTAACCAAATACTACCTGTTCCTGAAAAACTATTGAAATAATAAGAAAGAAAAAAACAATAATTATACTTTCTCCTATAACTATTGCTATCCTAATTTATTGACATTTATGAAGTCACAGGCACACTGCTAAACACTTTCAGCTATTATCTCATTTTATCTTTAAACAACCTTCCTTATAGGGTAGGAATGATTATTTCTGCTTTAAAGATGAAGAGGCTGAGGTCCCAAGTCATACTCCAGGGAATGAGAGATGCTGTGTTACTTAGAACAATTATCTATTATTCTATCAGTTTAGTCATTTATTCTATAGAAAATTGTAATCTCTTATCTAGGAGTTGTTCCAAATGCAAAGTGTGACATGTCCCCAAATCAAGATTATGGATTACTCATGTAAGTCCATTTTAACATCTATTTTTAAACAAAGGAATTCCTATGGAGAACAGTCTATTGATCAACTAATCAATTACTTAATCAGCAATCAATTAGCAATCAATGTGCAAGACACTGTGAAGGATACAATGATTCCTAAAGTCAAAGAGCTTATGCCTTAGCTAAGGAATTAGAAATTATAGACTTAAACACAGTTAACAATAAAGGAAGTCAAATGATTGGTATAGATGATGACAGATTTTTCATGAGAGAAAAAAAAATTACGGTGAACTGTGAGTACTAGGGAAATCTTGATGGGATTTATCCTGTGTGCAGACGAATGACTGATTTAGATGAGTAGAGAGGATCAGATGGAACAATTGACACAGAGAGAAGGAACAGTGTGAATCCTGACAAATAGTTTGCAGTATATAATATATTGGACTCCAATGACTAGACAAGGGTAGCTTCTTGCTACTTGATTATTTACAATTTTACAGTTTATTTTAGGAGTAATTCCTTTAAATTTTCCTTAAGAAAATATAAAAATATTAATATATATAAATATATAAATATTAATGTGGTAACATTTAAAGCTTGGCTTGTTCAAGAATGATTGCCTGCAGACCAGCCTCCCAGAAAAAAAAATTTGGGACCTGATACAGATCCTTAGAATTTGGCTCTTTCTTTATGCTTAAATGTCTGAATCCCAGTGTGTCATTTACAAACATGACCCAAATATTTGACATTTTTCCCATCAGAGATTGGTTCTAGGTCCCATCCCCTTGAATTTGAGTGACTCATGACTGCTTTTACCAATAGAGTACAGCAGATGGGGCACCTTGGACCTTTAAAAGCCGTGCAGTTTTGTTCTTATTCACTGGAACACTCACTTTTGGAGTCCCAAGATACTATGTAGAAAGACTGTTGGCCAGGCATAGTGGTTTATACCTAAAATCTTAGCACTTTGGAAGGCCAAGGTGGGCAGATCACTTGAGCTCAGGAGTTTGAAACCAGCCTGAGCAATATGGTGAAACCCCATCTCTACAAAAAATACAAAAATTAGCCGGGCATGGTGGTGCATGCCTGTAGTTCCAGCTACTTGGGAGACTGAGGCAGGAGGATGGCTTGAGTCCAAGAGGAGGAGGTTGTAGTGAGCTGTTATCATGCCACTGCACTCCAGACTGGGCCACAGAGCCAGAACTAATCTCAAAAAAAAAAAAAAAAAAAAAAAAGCCTACCTTGAAGTTTTCTACAGAGGGAGGCCATGCTTGGGTGCACTGGTTGAAATTGTCAGCCTCACTCCTGCCTTTCAGCTCTCTTTGCTAAGGAACTAGGCAAGTGATTGAAGCCATGCTAGATCCTCCAGAGCAGCTCATTTTCCAGCTGAGTACAACTCGAGCTTGATCAATGTCCCATTAAACAGAAGAATCGTGTAGCTGGGACTTGTTTGAATATCCAATTCACAAAATCATGTGGTATTATAAAGTAATTGTTAAGACACTAAGTTTTACGGTTCTTTGTTTTGCAATAACAGATAACTAGAACATCTGGTCAACTGTAAGTCTTGGAACCCTGACCCCTGCCATCAGGCTAGCGGTGTAGCTTTTGCTTCTCTAGGCAGTAAGTCGGATATGGCAACACTGTCACTGTCTTGCACTGCACTAGAATGCAACAGGCATTGAGGAAACTGTTCCTGACTCTTGCTGCTGTTTTTGTGGTTTTTCCAGGTGCACATTGCCTGAGCGGTCCTGGAGGGTAAACTGCTCAGCCACCAGTCTTTGCACAACACATGGATTTTTCAGTGTTACATGAGGCACTGTGGAATTGTGCCTCAATAATAATCTAGAAGTAAGTTGGATACCAAAACACTGGGAAAAATATATTCAAAAACAAGGTACAGTTCATACCATACCATTGTGATTTTCTGTGACAGCCCTGATTCTAAATTTCTATCGCTATCACAAAATTTATTGAAACATCTTAGAATTTCCTATATTTTTGGTGTATAACTTATTAATTCCAGACTATCTCTTTCACTGGGAGAGTCATAAAATCTTTTGTCAGACTATGTGTCCCAATTTTATACAAAAAATAGGCCAATGTACTTTTAACTCAGAGTTACAGTGCAACAAATTTGGTACCTATAATAAGAGTATAGAAGCTGAAGGCCTGCTGGACACTATAAAAGGGGAAAGTGGAAGAAAAATGGTTTCTATATAAGGTTTATATTTAGT
Organism: Homo sapiens; assembly: GCF_000001405.40. Taxonomy (NCBI): domain Eukaryota; kingdom Metazoa; phylum Chordata; class Mammalia; order Primates; family Hominidae; genus Homo; species Homo sapiens. The sequence continues at coordinate 147,642,443 of NC_000003.12, forward strand.
TCATGTATACAGATATTCTTGAAAAAGCTAATAATTTAACCTAGATTTTTAATAGTCGAAGTTGTCATTATAACTCAATCTGGTAGGTGTGCATTTTTCAAAATTTTTTTGTGTGGATTTTAAAAGATGTATTTTTAGTATCATAAGAGAAGAAAAAATTCATCTCCAGAAAGAAACTGTTAAATTATTTAGCCCATTTTTGTGCTCGTCTTTTCCTTTAGTGATTCACTAGACTTTTAAAATTATGGTAGACCATAGTCATTGTTATTATGCAAAATGTACCTTTGTATTCTGGCAGATTAGGAGTCAAAGAAAAGTAAACAAAACCCAACAGCACCATAAATTAACTGGGTTTTGACCATTCCACAGAGTGTTTGTGGGGCTAACCCTTCACTGACATGTACTGCTTACCATACATAGCTAAACTCGCATGAGGTACCTTCTCATAAGAGATCACCAAATGAAGATTCATGTACAATACGCATGTGCTTAATGATCCCAAAAAAGAGAAAGAGACTTTGATTAGTAGAAACAGTATCTGCCAAATAAGCCATTTTCTCCTCTTCCAGGATATTAATGTCATCTAAGTAACTCTCACACTATTGATGTTCATAATTAAGAAATTAAGAAAATTATAGTCCCTATATTTCTAATTATACCTGTAATTAATTATACTATGAAGCAAATTTTGCTGCCATGCTACCCTACTGCCTTTCCTCTAACTCATCATTGCGTTTTTTTCTTAAACTTGTTTTTATTACTCCATACATTGAATCGCCCTGTTGATCACCAGTAGTTCATAAGGATGCCATAATAGTTAAAAGAAACATGACTGAACTTAGGTAAAATTTTAATGTCACTTATCAAGAAACCACACAGTAACTAGATTTTAAAACTTTTTAAGAAAGTGTTATTTTTTTGAAAAAATAATTTCCTAAAGAGGGTGGCCACTTTAGGAAATAAGGAATGATTGCAAGTAATGAAAGTTTATTACTTGGACAAAGAGTGATTCAAGTAATTGAGCATGCTTAAAGGAAGAAAGAGAAAATTAAGTAATGAGTTATTTAGTTGCCAACCTTCCTGATTAACTGACATCAAAGGGCTTGCACAAAAATTTACATTGATTGGGTGCAAATAGTTGGACTCCTTCTCCATGTTTTGTGTGTCTGACAGAGAAAAGATCTAGAAACTGAGGTAATAAAAGACGCAGTTGGGAACCTGCCTCACTGTTGAAGAAATTCAGCTATCAGTGATTCTCAGTGAAAGTAAAATATAGGAGAAGGTACTCTAATGACTTTTGTAACTCAAGCTGCAGGTGGCTTGCCTGAAGTTGTGGACAAGAAAAGGCAACGGTATATTTCAACTCTTGAGAGCACTCTACTGAAAGCAAAGGCATACCAGGGAGGAGAGGGAATCTATCATTTATTTAGGAAGTGATTAGTAACAGTTTAGGGAAGTAAAACTCTATAAGCAAATATTTGCATTTATTTAACTCTTGAATCTGTGACTTGACTTAAATACTTAATAATATGCATGGTGTAGTGGGAGCATGTGAGATCACAATTGAACAACCTACGCAGATATTCTAATTCTGCTCCTTACCAGTTGTGTGATTCATAAACTGAATATGATTGGTTGTTGTAAGGAATGAAGAAATTGTTTACAACTGGCATAAAATGATAACTTTCATATACATGTTTATTATATTATCAAGTTAAAAGATTAGAAAGGGGAACATTTATTGAAGTGTAGACATTGTCTTGTAGTTATCTCCTCATGCCTGTAAAGGAGGGGACAAGGGAGGTAAACAACACTTTTTGAGTTTTTACTGTGTACCAGGAATGATGCTAGGCACTTGATTACCCAGTTCCTGAGAGGTCTCTGAGATGATTACTTTGTCTCCATTTTATAGATGAAGAAGCTGAGCTTCAGAGAGACAATTTGTCCACATTTTTCTGGTGATGGTTTATTTGGTTTGATTGAAAGTCAAACATGGGTCCATAGATCATGCTTATTTTATTTTATTAGGTTTCTAATGAAACTATATGGTACAATAGGCTTCACTGATGTGTCTTGGAATTGCAGAGATAAGGCCTGGGAGCAACAAACTGTTCTTTGGTCATTAAAAAAAATGTACTTAATGACAGGTAACTACACTGATGTGGAGTGGATCTTCAATTCCACCAGCGTTTTTTTTTTAATGGCTGTTTCAGGGGCCAATATTCTTACTCTCTCCTGCTCTCCCGCTGTGCCTAAATATTTGATTATCATTAAACATTAGTTTACTTTGAGTTAGTGTGCTAACACTTCCAGCAAGGTTTTTATTTTCACTAATATTTCTAATAATGGTAATAATTTTAAAAAGCTAAAATGTGTTAAGAGGCACCCAGTGAAAGCATATCGTATGGCTGTTGCTAGGCATTATTTTATTTAAACCTTGTGACAACTCATGAGGTGATTTATAATTTTCATTGTATCTTACACATACTGAAATCAAGGCTTGAGAGGTTGCCCACCTCATATAGCTAGTAAGTGGTGGCACTTGGATTTCTGATGCCAACACCCTTGTGACTGGGCACTGTGCTGCTTTGTCAGGTTCAGGACAATCAGTATCTCTTGTTAGCATGATCCCTAATATTCAGGAAATGTGGGAAATATTTCAGGGAAACTTTCCTAGGTCTTTTGAAAATATTTACTTAATGTTGACTCACAATGATCACATAAAGGGCATACACACACACACTAATATTTAAGGAGAGAACAGATGAACCATGTAACTTCTAGAGCCCATTTTGTGAAATGTTTTCAGGACTGATTGAATGTAACTTAAATCCTTCTATTTCCTCATGATGCATATGTTTTCTGAAATAATATCCTAAATCTAAATCTAACTTCTGTTTCAGTGAACAAAAGAATACCCTACATGAACAACCACAGCATCAAATTTGTGGGTAGGAGGTTGTCATTCCTGCTGCCTCACTTAGGATGGTGCCATGTGTGTTCCGGGGGGTGGGAGGATTTCCGAATTTAAAATTCTACATGATTTTTGTATTTTCTCACTAAAGATTGGCTTTGGATAGCCAGCCATATTCTAAGAAGGAACTCAGATACATTTGTTATTATTGTTCTTAATAGAACAATTGGTATTTATTGACAGTATGCATTAGGAGTGATTTTCAATAAAACTGAAGCCAAAATCTTGATGGAGTATATATTCATCCTATTTTTGTCACTCTCTTGTTGTCAAATCCAAAGCCCACACATTGCTTCCTATGTACAGTAGCATTTGAAAACAATATCCACAGTCATGGGATTCTGTGCAAAGTATCAAGGTGAAATAGCAGATAATTGATTAAGCAATAATAACATACTGTGCTGTTAAATATACTTCTAACTATTTAGGAAAAGCTATTCAGTAAAACATATCTTTTCTCTTTTGATATTCAATGTAATTGGAAACAGACATATCCTAATTCCAAGTCTCAAAGTGCAAGTATATATTCCCTCATGAACCAATCTTCTTCCAGCTGGCTGATTTAGATAATAAAATGAAAAAGATACAACCAAACGGATCCTCAAAGCTTGTGCTTCAAGAATTGGAGCTGGGAGCCCCTCAGGGTTGCAGGGCAATTCTGAGGCTGTTGAAGCTCTCAGAACAGCTGTTTGGTAGTAGCCTCAACAGAGCTCATTAGCACAACTCCTGGTTGGGGCCATGTTAACTGGATCCCTTTACTGTCATCGGAGCCACCCCACTCCCTCTTACCATGTTCCTCCATTATCACTTTCCCCCCTTCCCAGCTTGTTCTGTTAACGCTTCTACTCTCCTGAGAGGAAAGAATGTTCTCTCCTTCTTTACCTCTCTTCCACCTCCCTCTGACTAATTCTTCCTCATCTCTCCCACTTTTCCCTCTTTGCCCTTCCCTGCTCGTTCCTCTTTCTCTTTTCTCTTATGACCATTTTTGTCAGAACAAATGTGTGGGTTCTTTTTTTCTTTCTCACAAGCTCTATTCTTCACTAGTTTCAATCTCTGTGACGGAAGCAACTGCCTGAATATCTTAAATTATGAGACTAGAGGTGTATCCAGTTCCTTTGGAAGGAGGCAGTAAACAGAATTGTTTAAGAATACAGGCTTTGAACCTGTACTAGAACTGGATTTAAACCACAGTTCTGACATTCTGTGGAATGCAGAGCATGTTGCTTAAACTCCCTTAGTTCCGATTTCCACCTCTGTTAAATGGGGACAATAGTGTGTCTTCCTAAAGGTTGATACAAGAATTAAAGAAACCGTTGTTATAAATATACTTCACACAGTGCTTGGAACAGGACCAGCAGGCAGTGAAGAGCAACTCTTGTTATTTATAAGTGATACCTGTTGGTTAGACAGTACAGGTCTCAAATCTTTGGCTTTACTAAGTTTTCTTGGTCTTCTCTCTTTGCCTAGCATGGAAGCCCATCTAAGGCACCTACTTCATTTATTTGTTTGTTTATTCAGGAGCCTACATAGAAAATACGTTATGTCCCATCCGCAGATACTTTCTACCACTTTGCCATAGTCACAAAATTAATCACTGGTAAATTATTAGTTGATAAACTTTAAGGCATTATTCCTTATAGCTACTGTAATGACATGAAGGTGAGGGGAAGAGAAGGGAAAATAAGAAAGAAGGGTGGGATGTTAAGGAGTCCCTTTAACTTCTAAAAGGTCTTCTATCCCCAAAGAGTAGACTTGCTGATCATGGAACAGCTATGCAGGCAGGTAAGCTATTCTGGGCTAACACCATCTCTGCCCTTTCATGAACAAAACTGTTTCCAACATCTTGCTTGTTTCTTGGCTGCAAATAACTGCTGTATTTGTTTTGTATGTACGTGTATATGTATGTGTTTGCATTGTATGCATGATGTGTGAGTAAAGTATCAAGCAAATTAATATGATCCTGACACCATGTTAAATATACTTGTTAAATGTAATGAATTTTTTGTGAATCTTTTGTAATGCCATTTGATTCTCACAACATTTGAGGTATTTTTTTTTTCCTTCTGAGACAGAGTCTTGCTCTGTCGACCAGGCTGAAGTGCAGTGGTGTGGCTCGGCTCACTGCAACCTCTATCTCCCAGGCTCAAGCAATTCTCCTGCCTCAGCCTCCCAGCCTCAGCTGGGCTTACAGGCGTGTGCCACCACACCCGGCTAATTTTTGTATTTTTAGTAGATATAAGGTTTCGCCTTGTTGGCCAGGCTGGTCTTGAACTCCTGGACCTCAGGTGATCTGCCTGCCTTGGCCTCCCAAAGTGATGGGATTCCAGACGTAAGCTATCGCGCCCGGACTGAGGGAGTTATTTTTATTCCCATTTTACAGAGTGCAAATTGACTTACAGAGACAATAACTAGCTCACCTTAAATCACTTAGCTAGTAGATGACAGATTCTTCCAATGCCTGAACTCTGACTTCACTTTCTACACCATACTCACACTGCCTGTCATTTTAGAGGTTCTGAAACATGACAACTGTCTCTATCCTTTCTCCCCTAATAACACTTAAATTATATTCAGAGATGGAAACTTTTAAAAGTCCCAGGTAGACTGTGATCCCCCTAAGTAGTACTTGGGACCACTCTTTCCTCACTAAGGAGGAAAAAAGCTGGAGGGGAGAACTAGGTGCCCCTTGCAAAAAATCTGATTCCTCATCTACTAATAGCCATAAAGGTTTCTCCAATATCTGTTTAGGCACTGATGCTCTATCTTGCTCTTCATTTTATTTAAAGGAGGAAGTGAAAATGTACATTTTCTTTCCACTTTATTTAACCATGCTTATAGTATATTTTTTTAGAATTTGCTTAATTTTCTTCAGGTACAAATTTTAGACCAGAGTTTATATCAGAGTTTCATTAAGTTGGAGGCAAAACGAGCATAAATTTATGCTCCTATAGAATGATATACACTTGCTGAACACTTAAAAATGGATGGGGCAAGAAATCAGTTATGATATTTTACAAACATTATGCATTGTGCTTGGCCACATGAATGCCTACTATTTTAATTTGTGAAACAAATTCAACCCCATGGTTACATTCAGGGCATAAAATTCTACAGCACTGTGTGTAATCGTGAACTGATGAAATTACAAGGGCCATAAAACACTGATTTTTCAACTCTACTTAACTATTTACGACAAAAAGAGAAATCGTGTGCCCATGCCTCGCCAGAAAAGAAGGAAGATTCTAAGTCAGAAGTTCCAAACCACTGGACTTCAAGCTGAATCCCACCAGCAAGTATGTATGGTTTGGTTCACCCAGTGCTTTGGTTTTGGATTTAGTTTTTAATTGAATTATTTGGCAACATTTATAAATCAGTAGATTTCACATGCAAATCCAGTATAATTCGATTTCCAGTATAACTTGAAAGATCTGAAGACTTTGTAGTACTGAGCTCAGGAATAACAACTTCCAGCTTCTGTGGGGCACACAATCTCCATTGTGCTGCAGTCCTCATCTCACCAACATTTTATTTGCTTAGCTTATTCTTGTAGACATCTGAAGTGGGGTTTGTTTTTTTCCTTCCTTTGTTTTAGGAGCTGGGGTCTTGCTATGTTGCCCGGGCTGCCTTTAAAGTCCTGGGCTTAAGAGATCCTCTTGCCTCAGCCTCATGAGTTGCTGGAACTAGAGGTATGTGCCCTTGTGCCCAGCTGGCATTTGACTTTTGATAAAACATTTAAGGAATGGCTTTCAGATTACCTTTCAAATACACTAACTTTTTATTTTCTTCCGACTCACTACTTATCTCCTACCACCTTAACCTTATTTTTAGGATGGGTACTCAAGAGATCGGACTAGGCCAGGCATGGTGGCTCATGCCTGCAATCCCAGCACTTTGGGAGGCCAAGGCGGGTGGATCACCTGAAATCAGGAGTCCGAGACCAGCCTGGTCAACATGGAGAAACCCTATCTCTACTAAAAGTATAAAAATTAGCCAAGCGTGGTGGTGCACACCTGTAGTCCCAGCTACCGGGGAGGCTGAGGCAGGGGAATCATTTAAACCCAGGAGGCAGAAGTTGCAGTGAGCCTCGATCGTGCCGCTGCACTCCAGCCTGGATGGCAAGAGCAAGAGTCCATCTCAACAACAACAAAAAAGATATGAGACTAGTGGTCAGACTGGCTTCCAACAACCAAGCACCAAACTAGGAAGGAAGCAGGTTACCACAGAACAGCAGCAGAGACTAGAGATCTTTTGCTGTGCCAGGATTTAACCCTTTTGTTTCAAACCCCAGGGAGATTAGGGGAGGAGGCATCCTGGGGAGGAGCTTCATCAGTGTAACTGAAGGAGGACACTCCAGTATGGAAGTGCTTCAACATTTCAACCAAAAGGACTGTTGTGCCTACCCATTGAGTATCAGCCCTATCTGTGACTGAGATGAAGTGGACAGTATTTTTGCCCTTGAACACACACTCTACTTAGTCTGGCTCTGTGTTTGCATTAGCTGCGTGTGTGTGTGTGTGTGTGTGTGTGTGTGTGTGTGGTTTATTTACTAGATTTAATGGAATGAGTTGAATTATTTATTTATTCCACAGGCTTTGTAATGTTCATGGTCAAATGACAAATGAAACCATGTTTGGTTTCCTTATGCATATTTGATTTTCATACACTTACATTTCATACCGAGAAGAAACCCCATCATCAGTCACAGAGAAATGCCTCTGACCAATGCATAAAGCCTTACATAAACTAACATTTAACCTTTAAAATTAAAGTATAAAGAGGAGGAGAATTCATGGATTTGCTAATTGTCTCACCCTGCTGTGGACTGTAGCAGGCATTCTGTCTTTAGCTACTACCATGAATGCATGCAATAATTAATGCAGAACCTAGAAAAATTAGTCCAAAATCATAAAGGTCATTTTTAGATCATAAGTATTGATAGTTAGTGCCTTTTATTTTCATCCTCTATTATAATTTTAAGCTTTGGGAATTTATAATACAGACAGAAACAATGGGAAGAAATAATTGCTAGAGGAAATATTTCTATTAAAATCATGGATTAGGGAGAAGGCAACATTTTCCTGGCTGAATACAAATTTTCTATGGATAATTATAAAAACATCTTACAATAATAGTAAAAGATTCTTATAAGAAAATTCAATAAATGGCTGTGTATTTGATACAGAAGATTTGGCTCAAATGTTACATGAGTAATGGTGCGTAATACTTTCTAACTGAAACTTCAAGGAGCCTTATCACTGAGCCAAATAATTTCTTTCTGTTTAGACAGTACTGTGAATAATAATTTATATTTGCTAGGGTATAAGAGACTATTTCTCTTTGAAACAATGACTTTTTTTCTAAACTGACTGTCTTTTGTAAAAAGATGTCTTTAAAGATATTGGTAAGACACAGTTATTGAATTGACTTTGTTAAATGAATCTGCTGTTTTTTTAATAAAATATGTTTACATGCAATTTGAAATTTGATGACTTAAAAGTTAATTTTTAAAATGCTAATAATTGATACAAAAGCTATTTGACTTTCAAATCTCAGATAACACCCCTGATTAACTGTACACACACACTTTACACTTTCATTTTGCCATAATGTGAATAGGGTTCTTGTACTTTTTTTATTAAAGGTAGCTATAATTTCAAAATCTAAATTACATAAAAACGGATATTTAAGTTGTTTCAAAGACAACTATACAGTGGCATAAAAGTGTTGTTAAAAACTCTAACCGTATTCATAGTGTTATAACAGTGAAGGAAGGGTAAGTGCAGTGTTCCAGCAGCAGTGGCCTGGTTTGCCTGCCTTTACTCATCATCCTCTGCAGAATGTTGGGCTGAGTCCAGGGTCTTCAGTTGACAGAGCTGATCTTGGGCAGCTTAGGAAAGAGCTGTCAGTACCACGGTGATAGTATCAAAGCTAAAACCAGAGCTGTCCACTGTCAGTCACATGCTGAGTCACCTCCTACTTAACTTTCAGTCAGAGTGTCTTCTGTGATATCTGTCACTACCCTCTGAGAAATCTTCTCTACCTCCTCTCCTCTCCAAACTGAATAAATTACTTCTACTATTATACATTGTATGCTGTGTTGCAATTATTTATTTATGTGTCCTTCTTCCTTAAGAGAGTCATAATAATTTGAATATAAGGTCCACGCCTATTCATCTTTGTGTATGGCTCATAGCACAGTTCCATACACATGACAGATGCTTACCAATAGTGTGGTTCTGGGTTGGTTGGAGTTTATCTGAGCATTGGGGAAGTGTGGATGTGGAGAAGATGTAATGTTTGTCTCTCATCTCTTCATGTATATTCCTCTAGAATTTATATTCTTTGTTGAAAAGAATTCCTTTCTGGATAGGAAAAAAAAACATTTTCTAGTTAATACTGTCAATGGATTTTCTACCATTAAGATGTAATTATTTTATTAACAGAAAAAATATTCATTGAATATTACTTGCAAAGGAAAACATCATTATTCATTCAACTCATGATTACTGAACACCTACTGTCTGTTAGATACTGTTCTGATCACTGAAGAAGTACAATAGGAAGTAAACAAGGCAGACTCAAATGCCCAACTTCCTGGAAAGAGAGAAGAAAGGGAGGAAGAGGAGAAGGGAGGGAGGGAGAAAGAAAGAGAAAGAGAAAGAAAGGTAGATAAAATAAATATGTTTTATTAACACAGAGAAAGCACAACTTACTTTTCCACAGATACTATATGATGTTTTCTTCTTCTCAAATCCTCCTTCCCTCCTCACTACATTATCACATTAAAATATTTTACAAGTGTAGAAGTAAATGTAAATACAAAAATTGAAATGTTTTTGGAAGGGCTGGCTCAAAAGTCTTGACAAATATTAGGAATGGAGTTTCCACACATACTTTGTTGAAAAGTGAGAAAAGCCTGCCATTTTGTTAAGATTAATTTGTATGCCCAGCACAGAAAATCAGTGTTTCCTGCAATAATATCACCACTACTAACTTGTGTTTTGGTCAAAGTAAGCTTTTAAGAATATGTTTTATGTTTTGCTCAATTATTGTATACTTGTCTGCTCAGGCAGTGAAAGTATATGTGGGTGGTTTGGGTAAAAATAGCTCTTCAAAGTTAAGTTGATCTGGTTCTTATACTACTCAACCATGTGCTTCAGTAACTTTTCACTTAAATGGACAGCATGTAATATTCAGACATCTCAGTACAGTAGTAACTTGTATTCTCCACTTTTGGGTGATTTTTTTCGAAGTCTTTTTGATTAATATGCCTATCATATGACTATAAGAGCAACATCTGCCCATTTTTTATTGTACATAGTTTAGCTACTTAATACTAAAGAGTTTATAGTGCCTAACCACACTGGAGAATGGAAACAGAATTTTAATGGATGTCAAACAAGAAAAGCAGTATATACCTAGAGAAAAATGCTTTACATTTCAGTTGAGTAATGATAGTACCATTTACATAACTGTAAGCCAACTCATTCTTCTTGGCTAGAAGGCAGTTTTTAATAGTGTATGTCACAGGGACACAAAACTAAATTTTTCATATGCTCTCACAGAGGAGTCTTATATTCCTGAAGTAATAATTAATAAAGTATAAAGTTTACGCAGCAGAATTTTGTCATATGGATTTTATTTTCTCCTTCGTTTAATCACAGCTTTTCTTATTGCTCTTTATGGCTCACTCCTAACTTTGGAAACCACAAAATCACACTTAGGCAGAAGCACAGGAACAATAGTTCTGGAAAATGTAGGCCAATGTTGCTGAGAACTCTTGCCAGAAACTAATTTTAGTTAAAGGGATCAAACTATTTTCAAACCATTCACTTTCCACCTTTTCCTACCAATCCTGGAGCTCTACAGATGAAAGTGTCTCATAGAGTTTGGAATTCATGCCTGTGACAAGCTTGAAGAGAATTCTTTAAACTTTCTTTTATCATTTCATACCAAACTCAACAGTTATGCTAGGTCAGGGGTTGATGACCTTTGGCATGCACACCAAAAATGAACTGATATGAGGGACATCTTGGGTACATTCCTCCTTTCTAACAAACACTCCTTTCCTTTCGCTATGCACCCTTCTTATCCCCAGGAGAGCTCCACACCCTCAAAACCCTCACCCAGTTTCTCTTTCTCTATTAGTTTGGTTTCCAGTACTAAAGTGTTATGTGATAGAAAAAATGAGTAAATTAAGGGCAACCACTTTCAAATATGCTTGCATTTCAAAGGAGACACTGGGAGCTAGAAGAGCCTTAAGGCAGCTTTAAGGCTGGAAAGAGAGCAGGGGCTGCTATTGTTAGACCCAGGCAGCTAGGCTCTCTACTTTGTAGGACTGCCCCCTGCATTGCAGCCAAGATAATAAGTAGATGGTTACAAATAGCTTCCTTAGGTCCAAACTCCATTTTAAAAACAAATTTATTCTATTTGTAGTTTCAAAAAAATAATCTTACAGGCATCTAAGATCCTTATTATGTCAATCACTCCTGAGTCATCCTATTTTTCATTTTTACCAATTTTAATTTCTGTTACGATTTCTTATGATTTCTTTTCATAGTCACCTTTCCTAATTCTATAACCAGCATCACTGCTTTTTTTCTGAATTGTCCCCAAGATATCTTTTTTCTCTTAAATTTTGCAATCGATAACCAGATAAATTCCTACAGTAATATCTAACATGCAGAGAAGTTTGAACCCATTTTTTTTTGTAAATGGATTCTTGTTCTGTCGCCCAGGCTGGAGTGCAGCGGTGCGAACTCGGCTCATTGCAACCTCTGCTTCCTGAGTTCAAGCGATTCTCCAGTCTCAGCCTCTGGAGTAGCTGGGATTACAGGCACCCACCACCATGGCCGGCTAATTTTTTGTACTTTTGGTAGAGACGTGATTTTGCCATGTTGGCCAGGCTGGTCTCGAACTCCTGACCTCAAATGATCTGCCCGCCTCAGCCTCCTAAAGTGCTGGGATTATATGCATGAGCCACTACGCCTGGCACCAGATTTCTACAGATAATACTGTTGATTTTTACTGTTTTAAATTCATCTTATTAATTTCAAGCATAAATCTGTGGATAAATATGGGACTACTCCTTTATATGTCCGTGTTTAGACAGATTCATAATGAATTTGGGGAAATAAAAATAGATGAAGATACTGCTATCTCTTGTTTAATTTGCAGCCCCAGGGTGAGCATTAGACCCCTTAAACTTATTCACAATTATATATAGTATATTTTATTTTATGTTTAGATAATCTAAATTACTTTTAAGTTGTACCATCCACTGTATGTTTCTTGAAATTGCTCACACTTTTCCTGATTATTTTTCCAAGTCATTTATATTTCTTGAATTTTAATCAAAATTTTCAAGAGATAAACAACACCTCCTTCCGGGATCTATCCTTAAGTTGAATAAATAGAACCCGTGTTTCATCATCCAAGTCATGGATAAAATGAATAAAAGCATTTGGCCTTGGTACTGTCTGTAATGGAACACATCCAAGCAGTCCTTAACTGGTGTCCCAGAATGTATGAATAAGAAATAATATTTCTCTAATGCTTGACCACAGCCACCACAGTCTGGGAAATGAACACTGAATTTCCAACCCATTTGCCCAACTTGGACATCTCACATTATTGAGGCAGAGTTAGGTAGGCAGAATACAGACGAATGTCCCTGGCAATGCTACAATGAGACAGGCAGTTTTCTGCGGGGGTGGAGTGACATGAGGTGGGGAGGATAAATTCCTGAAAGGCCTGTTAAGCATAACCTGGATTCAGAATAGTCAGTGCATTATCCCATGCCATATTTGAAAAACTATTCAACATTAATTTGTAGAAATTGTGTACCTATGTGTATGATGGTAAGTTATGACAAATATCAGCACAGATTGAAAGACAGTGAGGGAGAGAACTTGAGATTCAGTCAGATAATTTACTCTCAGCCCAAATAAATGCTTTTTTTTTTTTTTTTTTCAGAGAGGAACCACAAATAGCTCAGTGTGGTTAAGGATGAGCTGGGGCCAGAACCCATGTTTATTAAGTCATAGACCCACGTTCTTTCCAGCACACTGTCACCCTCACATAGCATTCCTAATAATTACCTGTCAGTCTAGCAGATTCTTTCACTGTATAATCACTATAGTTTCACTATAGTTGAAATGTCTCTGAATTGGATCTCTTTTTAATGAGTTAACTGCTTTTGCGATGATCTGATAAAAGTTTTATTAAAATTAACAAACAATTTATATTGACTCCATTACTCAAATTTTATAACCTTTCTTTAATATTCATTTATTTTTATCTGACTTTTCTCAGTTTTTTTTAAAATAAGGTAAAGAAAGCAAAAGAAGGTAACTTTCATACATGCCCAAGTCAGATTATTATAATTTTTCAGTTGTTTTTATTAAAATGGCCTAAAACATTTTCCAAAATGCAGTTAAAAGGCAGAATTCTAGCTTTGTCAAATATGCCATTTCCATTAAGAGAGAAAAAAAGGTATCCAAAGGTCTTTCTTTATAGTTTTTCCTTCTACTTTAAAAGCTATTTTTTCCCAAATCAGGTATGTATTTTATGGTATGTTTATAGATGTAAACCCTCAAATATTGTGTATGTTTCTGACAGGGAAATTTTCAGAATTTAATAGATGTCAAGGATACCCTAATTTTCTGCTAATAATTTTCATGGCTGCTAATTGGAGGAATTCTCCACAGACTAACTTCTGGCTCCCGTTTCTTTACCACAAGCCATGAACTTCCTGCACTGGGCACCACAGGTATGTTCATATCAAAACACAATCTCTGGCCCTGTACTTTTATGTCCTTGCACTGGGTAAGTCAGCACAGCGAGCAGTTGAAATATTTATAGAAGCCTTGCCTAAATGTGTATGGCTAACAATAACTTAGCTATACATAGAAGTGACTGCAAACCTCATAAATATATCCCACTAAGCCAAAGTAAAAGAATCTCCAACTCAGCTTCCATTAGCTAGATCTCAAATATGTCCACAGCTTTTCCATTAGAATGGTGTGTGGTAAATGGTTCTCCAGGACAAAATGTATGAGTATGTATATGTATACATTTATTGTATATATTGTATACATGTATATATAAACACAAATTATTATAGATTTTACTGATCTAAAGGATGTGCAGCACACAATTTAAAAAATAAAATATGCAATACTGTATTATAAATTCCACATAACCAATTGATTGTCACAGAATGCTTTCCTTGATTTTTGCTGCACTTTTGTATTGGTGGCCAACCTATGGTTTCAATTCAACCATGATCTGACAAATGCAGCTACATCCCTTTTATTATAAAAGAAGAAAAAAAGTAAAGACAAAAGCAAAAAAACAAAAACTAAGTTTTAGCCAAAAAAGAATGAAAACCATTGATTTTTTAATTCTCTTATCCTTCCTCCCATTTCCAGGCCTTGAAGTAGTCCCTGTTGACACTTTCCAGGAATGTTTAACAGAAACACCCTAACGTGATGGTTAAGACTCCCGCTGCTTAGGTTCCATTTCTGGCTCTGTTACCTACTGTCTGTGCTCTCAGGCAAGTTACTCTACCTCTCAGTTTCTTTGTATGAAATTAAGGGCAATAATAGCACCTGTGTCATAGGGTTTGTGTGAGAATTAATTTATTTAATATATAAATTGTGGTATTTAATTAACAGTTAATCAGGACAAAAATAATTAATAAATACATCTTAGCATTTAGTACATGGAAGAGAAAGGGAGACATACAGATGATGACTAAAAAATTATTAATATGTCATAGCATTTAGTACATGGAAGAGAAAGGAAGATATACAAAGATGAAAAAAGACAAACTTTACACATAAATACATTTATAATTTTAAAAGGAAAAAGTAGCAAACTGACATGGATTTTGGAAATATGCTTCTGGTTTAATACATGATATTATTTGAGGTTATCACCCCACTTAGCTTTCATTCATTGATTCATATATTTATACATTTAGCTAGTGTTTATTTAGCAGATATAGATATAAGATACTGCATCATGGATATACTTTAAGATGAATAATTGTATTCTTTTCTCAAAGAGCTTATTTTGTAGTAGTCAATATTATACATCTACACACAAACACATACACACACACACCAACGCAATAAAGAAAGGTGACATCTGTTTTGCATATGAATAGATCAGCAAAGAGAGAGAGAGATAGCTTCTAGCCAGTATGGTCTAGAAAAGGATTTACAGAGGTAGAGGATTTGGCCTGATTCATTGACGTAGGAAAAACAAAATGATGACTTAAAGGCTAAATTTGTTATGAGGTTAAAACACACCCAGTATTTTAAGGATTTTTTTGGTATTATTTCCCAATATTTAAACATTGAAGTTTTTAATAAATGTCTGTATTTTCTGTATTTTGGATTTCCTTTTAAAAATTGGAAGATCTGGAAACAACCTTCTTTTCACACTGCCACAATTGTTGGAGGCAAGTAATGATTGCCCCTCTAAAATGGCATACACTCTCTGCACTGCTGTGGCAGCAGTAGCAACATATTCAAACTTGTGAGCTGGATTCCAAACCTATAGCCACTGAAGAATCAGTGATGCACACAAATTAAAGACTTCAGTTCCAGGGTTACACAGTGCTTGCTGCATAGTGCCCACCAAATCAGTCACTCTTTTACCTGTTTGGTTCTTTCTTGAGAAATAGAAATGTACCCAACAGTGACACCTTACATAACTGAACTTACTAAACCTCTCCACATGTTGATCAGTCATATTTTGCATTGTTTAAAGCCGTGGTCCCTAACCTTTTTGGCACCAGGGAACAGTTTTGTGGAAGACAATTTTTCCACAGACCTGGAGTGGGGGAGAGGGTTTTAGGATGAATCAACCACATTACATGTATTGTGCACTTTATTTCTATTATCACATTGTAATAAGAAATGAAATAATTATACAACTCACCATAATGTAGAATCAGTGGGAGCCCTGAGCTTGTTTTCCTGCAACTAGGCAGTCCATCTGGGGGTGATGGGAGACAGTGACAGATCTTCAGGCATTAGATTCTCAAAAGCAGCATGCAACCTAGATCCCTCACATGGACAGTTCACAGTGGGGTTCATGCTCCTATGAGAATCTAATGCTATCACTGATCTGACAGGATGTGGAGCACAGGCAGTAATAATGCAAGCCATGGGGAGCAGCTGTAAATACAGATGAAGCTTTGTTTGCCCACCTCATGCTCCGTGGCCTAGTTCCTAACCAATCTGTGGTTGGGGGCCCCTGGCTTAAAGGGTACTGGCCATACCTTTCCAGTGTCTGTACTATATGGAGGAGAGTTCAAATCCACAGTAGCAAGGCCACCTCTGAACTGTTTTCCTTTTTTCCACTTGCCCCTGTCTTAATAGTCATGTCATTCTTCTATCTTTTATTGTGGAAAAATTTACATAACATAAAATTTACTGTTTTAGCCATTTTTAAGTGTATAGCTCATCAGCATTAAGTACATCCACCTTGTTGTGCAACCATTACCACTATCCATCTCCAAAACTCTTTTCATCTTGCAAAACTGAAACTCTATACCCATTAAACAATAACTCCCTATTTTCCCTTTCCCCAACACCAAGCAACCAGTATTCTACTTTCTACCTCTCCAGATTTGACTACTCTAGCTACTCATATAAGTGGAGTCATATAGAATTTGTCCTATTGTGACTGGAATACTTCACTTAGCATAATGTCTTCAAGGTTCATCCATATTGTAGCATATGTTAGAATGTCCTTCTTTTTAAGGGCTGAATGATATTCAATTGTATGTATACATCACATTTTTAAAATTCACCTTTTTGTTATTGTAAATAGTGCTGCTATGAACAAAGGTGTACAAATACATGTTCTTGCTTTCAATTCTTGGGGTATATGTCCAGAAGTGGAATTGCTGGATCATATGGTAATTCTATGTTTAATTTTTTTGAGGATCTGCCATGTGAATTTCCGTAGTGGCCTTACCATTTTACATTCCCTCCAGCAATGCACAAAGATTCCAATTTCTCCACTATAGTCATGTGGCTTTTTTAGTGCTACTTCCCTTTCCTGCAGCAGAAACTTCTTTCTGTGTGGTAAGTTTGAGGTCTATCTCAAGATATGGTGCAACCAAAAAAGAATATTAAGGTGGGTGTCAGAGTGAGATTCAACTTGAGAATTCTATAGGACTAGGAAAATATCTCTGTAATATATGCTTTTGCTAGGCATGTGGAAAGCCCTAATCCTCCTTCTTCCAAGGAAAATAAGTTTGATCCCTTCTAACTGAAAAGATTTAATAGGTGTTAAAATGATTGAGACTTGAGCTTGAGGAATTGCAGAATTTTAATACCTAGCATAAAACATCCAACAGAAGCATACTTAAAAATTCTATATAATACAGGAGGAGGAAATTGGAAATAAAGAACCATTAAAATGAATTTCTTGTGTGGCATTAAAAGGAGGCCTGGGGAACTATCTTCATGGCTATATTTTCCAAATTACACAGTAAATATATTAATCGAAATGGTGCTAGATATAGCTTTTAGATACAGCTTTTAATTCATATCTATTTGCACCTGTAGTTGAGAAAGTTGGGGAATCTAAAACCATTAAGAGAATGTAACTGCTCTTGGAGAAGACAAGGTTTGGGGACTTGATGATATACTCAGCCTGGGGACTATGACAATGGGGAAAGTGTTTGCACCTGTTTACACAGGTGTCCTACTTTAAAAGTCCTCCTCCTCCTACTACAATAAAACCAAGTATTCTGGAGATAGAGAAGTGGCTCTGTATTAAGGAGTAGGCTGATGCCAAAAAAAATTTCCTAATTTCAGATCAGGTAGAGTGGAACCCATTCTATTTCCGCAGCTTCAAGATAGAGGGCCTAAAATGTCGAGATGCACCTTGTAGGTATTTTCACTGACTGAACTTGCACCAGAGCGTTTTCCAAGTGTTTATGTCCTAGTATTGAAAGACAGAATGCTCTGATGTTAAAAGCCCTACCTCATGGAGTTGGAGTCTGTAGAATCACCAAGAAAAAGCTGGTGACTGGTATCCACACAGCAAGCCTCACACCACGGGATCACTTGTGTCCCTGCTGCGGGAAGCAGAAGAATGGTGATCTTTAAGATCCTTCTGCTCTAGCATTTTTAAGTCTCCTTTAGCATTGCCCAAGCATGGTTCAGCTTCCTTTAAATTGCTATATGTACTGTTTTACTACCTGTGGTTTGAGATGGCTCAGTGACTCGTCACTGCTATGTTTACATTTATTTATTCCAGTTAAATCTTTATATATCCTAATCAGTTTTTATTTCTATGCATAGATTTTAATACTTCACTTTTTAAACACTTGATTGATCCAATTACTATAATGTTACCTCATCACTTTCATTTGTCTTTTGTGCTTTTTTAAGGAGGTAGCATCCATCTAGTTTAGTTGTAAGATGAAGTATCCTTGCTCATAGGAGACAATTAATTTGTGAACCCTCACAATACCTGTTATTTAACCCAAGAAATTAACCTTTGGAACGAAATGTGTTTTCTTCCATCAGCAGGTCCCTTTAGTGTTCCCAAGCCACACATGAGCCACACTTTAAAAGCAGATTAGAACTGACAACAATTAGTCACATGTCTGAATTTTTGACGGAAAATAAAAATGAGCTGTTGTGCACAGAAGTCCAAAATTCATCTCTCTTTTGCCTAAGGTTTTCTTTCCTCAATATCCCTTCCCAGTTTAATATAAGACTGTTGACTTAACAATGATGTATTTCAAGCTGAAGGCAGAAATGAATTTTGCATTAATAAATTGTTTTGAGATGGACTCAAAGAGTATTTCATTATATAGGAAAGGTAGCTATAAAACATGTTTGGTGGTCTTTCCATCATTACTACCTGTGGCCCATTTGTGGAGATGACATTTATCAGTGTGACAGAGAATATTAAGCAAGTGATAGACAGTTATTAGCTGAAGTCCTGATATATTTACACCATGGGAAAATGCACTTGGTATTTTCTTTCTGGCAACTGGTCTGCTGTTCATAATTTGATGGAAAATTGATTAATCACACATTTAACTCAATGCAAGATCTTCTACACTGTAATAAATTATGGCCATTAATCAATAACTACAAAGTAATTCCAGGAGTCTGGAGACATGCTGGTTTCTAATAGAAAAACTTGCACTTAGGCCTTCCTGCCAGTGACCACTTCATCTGAGGTATTTTGCACCTGCCTCAAACCAATTAGATGACATAATTAATGAACCTCAATACTCTTGATAATTTGTTATACAAAAGAAAGAATGTTTTGGCACATTCATTAAAACCTGATGTACAACACTTTGCAGAAAAGTAAAAAGAAAATAAAAAAAGATGAACCAAAACAAGAGAGGGGCTTATGCTGGGAATCTTGGGGTTTAAGCGTATATGTGGGAAGGCACATTCTTACTTCACGTTTGGTGAAGATTCAGTTGCATTTGTTAAAACAATCCAACAGAGTCTCTTTTCGTTAGAAAAGTGAACTCAGCCTGTATACAAAGTTTCATGCCATCTTGTTTCTTTTATGACAAATTAAATGGTGTGATTAGAATAAGTATTCAGGAAGCATTGTTTCAGAGGCATTCTAATAAATGTTTCCTTGGTTAAGTATCAGTTACAGTTTTACATATCACAGTCATTTTGCACCTGTTCTATGCAGCTAACAATAGGCTCTCAATATATTTTAGTGAGAGAAAGCCTGGGAAGATAAAAAGAAAGCCAGTTTGCAGCTAATTCTGTCACTAGGAAACGGCAGGAGTAGATTGTGTTTAGAGACTTTGAAAAACAATTAGCTATGGATTATGGGTCTAAAAGGCCTTTCCTAACTGTACCTGGAAAATACTTTGCCCGTTTAATGCCTTCTAAGCTGTCACTGAGCTTGAACTTCAGTCCCAGTGATTAATGAAAAGCTGCAGGGCACAGCTAGAAGCTAAAGTCTCAATTATGAAAAAGCAGTAACTAGTTTAATGTGCTGATGCTTTTATACTTAAAGTGACAGCTATGAAAAATGGCAATATTTCCAATCATGCTTTAATAATTTATCATTCATTTATTGGCATGTCCAATGTGCTTTACTCCCACTGTTCTTTTTCTCTTTTTAGGCTCCTGGTGTTATAATACTGAAGAACACAATATGATCTGGTTCCTTAAAAGGCAGATCTTTCTTTTCAGAAACTGGGCCCCAAAAATATATTTTCTGTCTCTCTCTCTCTTTCTCCCTCTTAATAGATATAAGTCTTCCATCTTTATATCATCATTTATCTACATAATTTCCAATAAGTGCCACCACGTAGCAATAGAGTTTTTGAAAAGAGCATAATCCAGTGACCCTGTCCACTTCCAGGTCACAAAATGTCACCTTAATTTCTGACAGACACCTTAAATTATATGCCTTTAGCTGATTACAAAAGAAACCAGACAAGGTTGGTGGGGGAATCAGTTTAAGTCCACTCTTGCCAAGGGGAAATAAATGCAGATGCACATATGGTAGGCAATATAATCAAATTTTAGAGCAGTAAATGATGTAGGGGAAGATAGACAAATTTTTGAGGTTAATGATAACAAGGTACCTTATAAAATTATTTAGGTTTAATTTTACATTTTTAATTTCAGTACTAAATTGGTTGGTCCATAGGTGTAATCATTTCCTTGATGTAGTTTATTAGATTATGTTAGACTTTGTTTACCATCAAAGGTACAGGGCTTGCTGTAGTACCTGGCACAGCACCTGAAGAGTATACAAATAAACAAGTGAATAAATTGAATCCGCAAAGCTGGGCTACTACTCAATTTCAGTTAAATTTCTCAAGTATTGCTTGAGTGCCCACTGTGTACTCAAACTTAAGTGTACAAAATGAGTGAGACTTCAAGGAACTCACAGGCCACAAGTATACTTTTAAGTATTTCAAATTGAGATTGTAACACAATATCATAAAGTTTTATATAAACTCAGACTTGATTGGGTGGTAAAATATTTTTCACTCTTCTTAAATGTAATGAAGGAACAAATAAATATATATTTAGCAGTTGTTAAATTGTAATTATCTAGCATTTTGCTAAATTTGGCTTTAAAAATAGAATAGAAAGTACATATGAAATTAAGTAGTATAGATAATATTTAAAAATTATCTTAATTCCATTTGTTGGCTAAATGTCTTTCTTTTTAAATTTTTTTGTAATTAAGCAACATATTTTCCTATTTTAAAGTAAAAAACATTTATATATCATGAAGTACGTTTAACTTCTCAGTAAAAGAAACTATTTTGGGAGTTACAGGAAGAAAATATATAATTAAAAATATCTTTCTTATAATCTGACAGTGGGCAACATATTTTGATTTTTTTAAAAATTACTACCATCAAAGGAGCTAGGTACCTGCCCCCAAGGCTTCAGATCACAAATTTGTAAATGAACATATCTACAAGTGAGGTCCTAAAACTTGTTTCAAAACAGGTGGCAGTTTTGCTGGTAAGACATTCACAGAACGGCTACAACATAACATAAGTTTAAAGCACTCCTGACTTGTTTGTCCCTGAGGAAGATCAGTTTTGAGCCATACAGCAGTGGTACTGCTTGCCAGACCACATGGATCTTGGTTTTTGATGAGCTATTAGAATATTGCATGAGTCCAATGACAAGAGTAGCACACATTGCCATTTCTTCGGTATGTGTTTGATCTGCTCCTATAAATCAAGCAGGTAGATGACAATCTGTTCATAGGGCTGAGCTTACCAAAATAGTAAAAATAAAACTGAAAACTGGAAACTAGATTAAATCCAACAAGCTATAGATTTTTCTTCCGATAAAAGTACAAAAAAATTGTTACTTTGGGGGCGGGCAAAGGTATTGAATGCATTTTGAAAAAAAAAAAACAACAGTATAATTACATGGAAAAATGATATCCTTTGGGGGCAATTATACTTAGTTACAGTAAGTAGTACATGGCGTTGGCTAATTTTCTTTCTGTTATTTTTTCTCTGTGAAAGGCTAGCTAAAAAAGTACAGGCCTATTGACTATTTTCTCTGGGTCTATGTAAATAGCTTGTTATTAAGACCATATTTATGTGCATTTAGTGTCTTAAACGGTACATTATCACTCTTACTTCAGCTATTCATATCAAGAAATATACCTGTTGATTTTTATTTTTTAATGACATTATTTTCTTCTCAATCTATTTAATTTATCCAATAACTTTCCTTTCAAACACTTCAAATCACTTTCCAGGATTATTCTTAAATTTGAAGCCAATCATATTCTATCTTTAGGACTTTATTAAGGTTCAGCCCTATTCTTTGAGCATGATCTGGATGGGATCTCTGATAAGTCATATTTTCCCATTCTTTTCTCCAAATGTCTGTGAATTTTCTAGCATACATTGAAATGTACCATAGGTGTTGCATTGTTCTCTGTAGACATTGATCCAGGTGTCTGTCCACAAATGTTTACTCAGATATGTGTACACACACACATGCACACACATCCTGCAGGTACACACAAATATACAAGTACACACACACACACAAAACCCATATTCTGTTTTGGGTGTGTATAGAATGTCAGTCCTTATTTAATAAGTATATCAAACTTTTCCCTTTAATCTAGTCTAGTCCTATACAGAATTTAAAGAAAAGGTGATAGTTTTCTAAATAACTTCATTGCTTCTCCTTTGAGGGAAGGGAAAAAAGAGGTTTAAACCCAGCTGCTTGAAGCACAGTGAAGAGAAAAAAATATCCCTTGGGTGGCAGAAAACAGCTTTAGGCTTTTTGGGTAAGGATGACATGATCCCATCATAGAATTTGGGAATTTTCAATTAAAATTCTCCATCTATGGGTAGTTTCCCCACAGTTATGGGTAGTTTGCTCAGATCTTTTTCCCACCAGGTCAGACAAGGTTAAGATGTGGGAGCCCTGCCAGAAGCTTGGGCTATTAGGTCCAGCTGTAGAATTTTATCTTCTGCCTCTGCATTGTGGTGTCACTCCATCGCTACTTATTTTGATAGATAGTTCCTAATATAGCAGAAAATTTTCTTCTGGGAACTATCTAAGCAGCCATTATAAGCTTCAGTTTTAGAACATTTTAAACTAACATCCTGTCAACATTTTAGGTAATCTATATATGTAAACTTATGGTCTTTTCATAATAATTATATGATAATAATAGTGATAATAATTATGATCATGGTGATTGTTGACATTACCGATATATTTTTATAAATTAATTTATTGAGAATAACACTAATTTGTTAAATTTTTACAACAACCCTATGAAGTAATTGTTATTATCCCCATTACATACATGACAAAACTGGTGCATAGTTTAAATATCTTGCCTAATTTTATATAACTAGTAAGTGAAAGAGTGGGAATTTGCACACAGACAGCCTTTCTTCAGAGTGTTCACTCTTAATTGCTATGCCATACATATTCTTACTAAGTGTGAATCACTTTCTATTTTATAACGTAGTTGAACCATGGGAGAAATGAAGTCATTACAAAGTAGCTGCTGTGATGAGGTCTCTAGCAATTGAGAAGTTCATACAAAACAATTTTTTAACCATAATATCTCCTTCCCACCCATAACTCATTTTGCACTGCTTCCTTGCCCTTTGATCATACAAATTGAATGGAGAGAGGAGACTTATCATAATATTCATGATGTTTCCTACCACCTGGTGGCAACCATGTTGTCATTTCTGTACCATCCATTGGGTTCCCCTTCTTTATCTTGCTTCTACTTCATTTCATTCTACATCAAAATTGAAAGTAATTTTGTGAATTACTTTCTTTGGAAAGTGAACATAATACTTTGGAAATTAGCTGTTTCTACCTGTGCAAAATAGTTCCTTCAAGATAACATACCTCAAATTTCTGATTGGATTCATATTCAACTTTCAGAAATGCTGTCATGTTTTAGTTTTATCTTTCTATTCTTGGTTCTAGTATAGTATATTTTACTTCTACATTTAGAACTCTGAACCAGATGCTAAATCTCCAAATTTCTGATACTGCCTATTAGTGTAGTATATAAATATAAGCTTTAATTATTGGCATTTTTGAGTATTTTATAGTCATTTCATCAGCTAATTTTATATGCTCCTTTCTTTAAAAGTTACTTGTCTTTATACTTTATGTCATTGTTTTCATTTATATTTCAGAAATTTAAGACTCTAGCATTTATAAAAATAACTTGTAAGTTTTAAATACAGTATGATAAGCTATTAGAAAAAGCTGCAATCCTGAGAAATCTCACATAAAAGATTATATCATAAATATTCATTCAGTCGAGAAAATAAAGTTAGAAAATTGAGGGCTTCAGACCTAGAATATGAAGTTTATATTTCCTGCATGACTTAAGATAGTAAAATAGTTTTTTTTAATTGAAAGCTCAAACAATGAATCAAAAAATCAAATCTAGCAACACTGAATTTGAAGCTGACCAAATTCAATGGGTTTATAGACATCAATGCAAACTCCTGCACACCTCACAGCTGTCACCAGTAGACCAAAAAAGGCAGAGTTGAGAAGATACCTACTATAATAAAATAGATGTCTATTTCTATAGTGAAGCAAAACAGCTTTAAAAAAATTTGCTGATTCCCATTATGCTAAAACTGATTGTGGTTCATATCCATGTTTTAAATTAATTGATAAAACACTTTTAGAAATACTAAATGATTGGTGTTGGCTTTTTAGTAGTGTAATAGAGCTGGCTTATACTAGCTTATAAGAACTATTGCTACAATTTCAGAAACTTTGAGAGTCAGTTATTTAAGATAGCCATTGGGTTAAGGGATGCCTACATAGCTGGTAAAACATTATTTCTAGGTGTGTTTATGAGGGTGATTCGAGAAGAGATTAATGTTTGAATCAGTGGACTGAGTAAAGAAGAGCCACCCTCACTAATGTGGCAGACATCACCCAATCCAGTGAGGGCCCAAATAGAACAAAAAGGCAGACGACAAATTCTCTCTTTTTTGAGCTGGGGCACCCATCCTCTGCTGTCCTTGGACATCTGAACCTCAAGTTCTTCCCTTTTTGGGCTCTGGGACTTATACCAGGGACCCCATCTTAGTTTATTTGTGCTACTACAAAAGCATACCTGAGACTGGGAAATTTATAAAGAAGAGAGATTTATTTCCTCATCATTCTGGAAGCTGGGAATTCTGAGATCAAGGAGCTAGCACCTGTCAAAGACCTTCTTGCTGTGTCCTTACATAGCAGAAGGTGAAGGACAAGAGAGAAAAAGAGAGCTCACTGCCTCAAGCCCTTTTTAAAAAGACATTAATCCATTGGTAAGGGTAGAGCTGGCATCACTTCAGCACTTCCCATTAGGCCCCACTTTGCAACACTATTGCATTGGCTATTAAGTTTCCAACACATGAATGTTTAGAAGAGATCTTCAAACCATAGCACTCCTCCCCCAACTACAAATCCTCAGGCCTTCCGACTTAGACTGAATTATACCACCAGTTTTTCTGTTCTCCAGCTTGCAGCCAGCCTGCTGTGGTCTCTATAATCGCATATGAGCCAATTCCCATAATAAATCACCTTTTATATATCTTTATATATCCTTCTTGTTCTGTTTATCTAGAGAACCCTGACTAATATGGTAACAAATCCTAAAAAATCATTGCTTCACAATTAGTAACATTTTTACTAATGTCTTTGTTTTTGGCATTATTTATATCTATGTATGGTGGAAATGCTATATGATGGTGTGCAATGGGATACCTCTTCTCCACTCTTCATTTAGACATATCACATTGCTAGCTTGAAATTGCCTAAGGAAGGAGGATTTACACCACAGAAATAGAAGAACTATACAAATTAAAGCCCTCCAATTTTCTCACCCACTATCATCTAGAACTGATTGTTAAACATTAGCCAGCATAGCTCTAGCTTTAATAGAAATTGTATTAATCTAATGAGATTTTACTTCAGTGTGAAATTAATATTTTCAACATTCATTATAAATATTCCCAGAAAGTTAGTTGGACTTTATGATAAATAAATTTTCCCCTTTTAAAATCAGAAACAGTATTTAGACTTAATAAGTAAGCTTAATGCTTTCATCAATCAATTAACAGGTGGCCAGCCAGCAACCATTTTCAAGCTCCAATGATACTGGTTGCAGTGAATTGGTCCATTAGAAACAGCTGTATGGCAGTCTCCAGTTGTATTGAAGTATGCTTTTTAAGATATTGCTCACTAAATCACATAAAGAACCTATTTTGGAGGACCAAATGGGTCTAGAAAAATTTCTCTCAGATTTAAATGTCTGATAGAGTTTGCTGTTCCTTAGCTATCAGACAGTTTTATCTCATAGAAGTGGTGCATCTTGTAACTGATTATGTCTCATGCTTAGTTTGACTGTTAAGCTCAGAGATAAATATGCCACACCCTTTAACAATTGTGCAGGACATTCTGATATGCATTTTTCTGCAGCAACTTTAACACTGTCTTTATTTTACTAATCTATCTTTATCTTCTGTTTTGTATGTTTTTATCTATGTATAGATGATATATATCAAACTGTCTGACTGGTATTTCTTATTTGGGAATTTCCCCTTCCCCACAGCCTGACAGATCTTCTTAACCTGACCCTTGGCCACAGATGATTGGGTCCTGACCTAACCTGGGCCAAATGAAACTCTTTTCTTTGGTTTGGACTTGGCGCAGAGAGAGGCAAGTCAATCTCTCTTTAAGCATCTCTAATAAAATTAAAACTTGTGCTCTTGATGACCCCTCGCTACTGTGTGGACCAAGAACAAAGGAAGGCAGTCAGTAGTGACAAAGCAGGATGGAACAGATGTTGGGCACAGCTAAGAAAAACTTAGGGAATGTGCTGACCACATGTGATTCTCTATTCAGCTGATCCTGAGGCAGGGCTGCTTTCCTGTCCTTAATTCTCTGTCCTTGGATTTGATCCTCAAATCCTTATAATAAATTCTCTTTTAGGTTGTTACTTCTGGTTTCTTTCTGTTATTTGTAAGCAAAAGGTTCTTGGCAACCATACTAAATTGTATTTCATTGTCCATATTTTTGTTAAATAACTCTGTCTACTGGAAATGAGGCAGATGTAAATAAAATATTTATAATCAGTGCTATATTATTTGAATATTTTATATTAACGAAGATTTCCAAGTGCTAATAAATGCCTTATAAAGATGAACCTAGGTACTTCTCAATTAAGTACATGAAAACAAATTTTATATTGTATTGTTTACAAGGAAGAAGAAAATCATTTTGCAGTTTTGTTTTGTAGCTCAAAATTTTACTACCCCCACCTCAGGCCTTCTTCCTGTGATTCCTCCTAATTTTTTTTCTTTCTTCTTTTACTTATTCCTCTTCATTCCAACTTCATAGATTTTCTTTCCCATTGGCCATTATAATAAAAACTATGTAAACTTTTGACATATATACCTAATTCCTCTTCACATCTTGTTATCCAGTCTATGTTCTAACTTGGTGTATTAGTTATCTATGGCTACCATTTTCAAATACTGCCAACTTAATGCATTAAAACAACATAATTTATTATTAAAGTGAGTCCGAAGTCTGTTATGGATTCTGCCAGACTAAAATCAAGGTGTTGGTAAGCTCAATTCCTTTCTGGAGGCTCTAAGGGAGAGTCCGTTTCCTGTCCTTTCAGTTGGCGAAATTCAGTTCATTATGGAAATAGGACTGAAATCCCAGTTTCCTGGTAGGCTGTCAGTTGAGGAGTGTTTCCAGCTCCTAGAAGCCATCTGCATTCTTTGGCTCGTGGCCCCTTTCTTCCATCTTTAAAGCAAGCAATGATAATTGAAGTCCTTATGTCACATCTCTCTGACCCCCTCTCCTACCTTCCTCTTCTTTATTTTGAGGATGAGTGTGGTTAGATTGAGGCTGCCTGGGATCTCCCCATATCAAAATATGTTTTTTTGTTGTTTTGTTTTTGTTTTTTTGAGACATGGTCTTGCTCTGTCACCCACGCTGGAGTGCAGTGGCACGACCATAGCTCACTGCAGCCTTGGCTTTCTGGGCTCAATGGATCCTCCTGCCTCAGCCTCACAAGTAGCCAGGGCTAAAGGTGCTTACCACCATGCCTGATGAATTTTTGTATTTTTTGTAGAAACAGGGTTTTTTCATGTTACCCAGGCTGGTCTTAAATGCCCGGGTTCAAGCAATCCTCCTGGCTTAGGGATTACAGGTGTGAACCATGGCCATATCAAGGACTTTAACCTTAATTACATCTGCAAAATTCATACTGCTATGTAAAGTAGCGTATTCACAGGTTCCAGAGATTTGGGTAGAGACATCTTTGGTCAGGGGACATTATTCTGTCATACCGATAACTGAGTTTCAACCTTCTTATATGTATGGGTCATAGTGTGAATATTTTTTTCTATTTCAGCTATAGATATGTAAGAGTCTAATTATACTCAATCATGGCAGTCTGCTACTGACAAATGCATCATTTGGCCCAAAAAACTGATTCTCTATCTGCCTCTCTTTCTGTATTTTCAGCAATGGTAACTGGCACTAAAATCTACCTATTTACCGAACCTAGAGATCACCCTTGGCTTCACCCTCACTGTTACTTTCTATTTGCAACTTGATAAGTCCTTTTGATTCTTCATGTACCATCTCTTTCTCACTAGTTCTTTCCCTTTCATGCTCTCTCAGTTAATATCCTCATCACCTCTCCCCAGAAATACTGAAACATCTATAGTTGTTACCTTGGCCTCATTTCTTTCCTATTGTTCTTTCCCATCGTTCTCTAATACATTCCCAGCTATTTTTCTTGAATGCAATTCTGGCCACATCTCTTTCTTCTTACATTTAATATTTTGATGGTTCTGTATAAATAGTGAGAATTATCTATGACCTGACCTCTATATGTTTATCTTCATATTCTGTGTTCTTTTTCTCATATTCTCGAGCTATTCATACCCGTCTTTTGTAGTTCTCTGTTTCACCTGTGCACATAGTGTTCCTTTTCCCTTCAAATTATTATTTTTTCCTTCTTCTCCCTTCTGGGACCCTGCCATTTGCTTGGTAAACTGCTGTTCACTTGTTTGGACTTAACGTGAGCCTTCTCCGCATTCCTTGGCAGACTTGCTCATGCCCTCCAAACTATCACTGTATTTTGAAGGTACCTCTTTTTGAAATTCTTACTATGGCAAAAGATATTTGACTATCTTTTTACATGTTTGACTTTTCCTTTTGGATTTTACCTCCTTGAGGTCAGTCACCATCATATTTCTTTCATCTCTGGCTACCAAAGAGCCTAGAATTGTGCCTTACACAGAGACAGCACACAACAGTGCTGACTGAATTGACCTACCAAAAGGAAAAGATATAGAAAACAAATTCCTAAAGTACATACTTCAAATTTTTAATATAAGATCAGTGCTGGCTGGAACACTAAAAACAAACCAAAAATTTGTTTCTAACACTAGAAGTTTAGAAATTTGAAAGAGAGAATCTATTTTTTGGATAGGCTTTACCCACCAAATGATATCAGGTTTCCTGAAGATTTTTAAATTACTGAAGAAACAAGTTACTACCAGTAAAGGGTTTAGATACTCACAGGAATCCCATTTGGTAAGCTTGCTGCAAGATCATTTTAATGCTTTTTCATTATATCAGTTATAATTAAACTACTTCATATATGTAATTATGTGGCATAGTAATGGAGAAAATATATAACAGAACTGTGTAAAACAAGTCATACAGATTTGTACTTCTTTAGGGCTCTGTTAGTACTTAATCTGCTGCTGGCCACCCACTGTGCTGGCCTGGAAGAAGCTGCCTTTTGATCTCTTTTATGAAATGACCTTTGAGGGCAAAAATAGATGAGAATAAACCTTAAAAGGTTTTTATAAATATTCTGTTTGGCATCATGTATCTTTCCAAAATGCCAGAATAAAACACTTAACTAAAAAGGGTAACTTAAATGTCTTAGACAAATAAGACTAAACTCATTAGTGCAGGCTGCTTATAACGTGCTCTAGTAGACAAATTTGCCATAGAACCCCCTACAATTCCCTTGTCCAGGGGCTAGGGGCAAGCAAGTATGAAGAAACTTCCATGCTTACAATCCTGGAGCTGGTCTTTTATTATTTTTGCATCCCTTTTGCCCTATAATCCTCAGTCTTTGCAGTCTGTGTAACCAGCCAATGCTCCCATCTGTCATTAGGAGCAACATATGTACTCAAAAGGGAGGAACAGCTCATATTAATGATGCCAACCTGCTCTGTCCTTCTTTAATCACGGAAGTCTTATTTACAGCCTATATAAAGACTGCAGGTGAACACAGCTCATGACTACTAAATGCAATGGGTTCTGAGACTACTACAAAATATATAATTTATTAAGATTAGATATAAGAGCAAAGATTGTGATAAAATAATGTTAGATTTCTCTTGAAGAAATGATGAAAGACAGGCTGATGCCTTCTTTCAGTGTTTAAGTTTCTGAATAAGGTTAGCTGGTCATTCTCCATCACTTGTTTATTCATTCAGCAAATACTGATAACCCACTATGTGAGAGGTGCTAGGTGCTAGAAGTAGCTCAAGGGTCTAAAACTCTCCACACTAATGGATTTATGTTTTGTATAAATCTGGCTTCTATTTTACTCTATCATTGACCAAACTACCATCTGCCTTGGTATAAAGGACGCTACAAGATACAGTACCATCTCAGAGAAAACGATTTTTGCAGAAAGGATCAGATGGAACCCTAGCAATAATAGTTATCCCTGGTGAAATGAACAATGCAGAGAAATTGTGTTGGAATGTTTATGATGGGATGAAGAAAGCTTTGTTAGGCAAAAAGTTAACATTATGTTAAAGGGACAGTAGACATCAGAAATGTTTGAAGTCACTTTCAATTTTCTCAACAAGAAAAGGAAAAATGGTGCCATAGAAAAAGTTAATCACTCTGAATACAGAAGATAAATGGAAAGAGGAATTCTAAAGCAGAATGTAGATCTATGAATATAATTAAGAAATTTAATACCTGAGCTAAGAAAGATAACAGCAACAACAAGAAAAGTCATACACACACACATACCACCCCCAACCTTCCCTACCCTGTCTTTCTCTCTCTCTCTCTTAAGAGAAATATGCCAGGGAGGAAAGCTAATGTAATTAAAGAAATGAACAACTGATTAGAATGAAGAAGAAATAAAAATGGAGAGCACCAGTGAGGAGTATGAGAAAATAAACCTTACTATCATAGAAGAAGGAAATTTGAAGAAAGTCTATTTAAAATGTATTCTATGTTTTGGCTAACTTCTGAAACATTACCTTAATAAGTATATAAAATTTTAGAAATGGCTAAAATGTTATGAATTCAAATCTGTAATAACATTTAAAGTTCTGAAAAAAGAAAATAATTACTTATTATTTTTAATCTGCTGTTAATAAAAATGGCACAAATATGTCATCATAAATTTATTTATTTTTAAAATTATGGACATTTATTGTCTATTAAATGTCAAAGAACTTATTGACATGACTTCTGATAATAATCTATGATATCACTATTCTTTTATATGTATTTCATATACTTGAGTAATTTATGTCACTTAGAAAAGTTAAAAATGTATCTAGGCTTTAATTTTGTGTAACAGTAAGCATATGTTTCTACAGATGAATGAAATCAGACTGTAAGCATTTATTTATTCAATGTGTTTAATGGGTAGAAAGGAAGTATATTAGAATGTAAAAAAAGAAATCAGTATAGGCTATTTACTGCTTATACTATTTTACAGCAACAGCTATTGATAGTCTTTCAGTGTATATTCCTTATTCATATTCTTTTTTTTAAATGAATGAACATATTTATAAAATTGCACTCTAAAAAAACCACTGTACAATGTATGTTGTCTGGTAATTTACTTTTCTATTTGGTATGTTATGAACATCTTTCAACATTAGCAAATAATGATTGAATATATTCTATACTTTTAAATATATCATAATTTACTAAAGTATTGATGAGCATTATATTGTTACCAATTTTCTTCTCTCTAATCTACATCTTCTATATACATCCCTATATATGTATATACATCGTTAGGCATGTTGGGTCAATATCATGCATGTTTAAGATTTTAAATATTGCTCAAAGTTGCTAAAAAGATGATGCTAATTTATGAGCTTACAATCGATATAGAAGAATTTTATTTTTGTAAACTTTGGACAATAATATTTATTTCCATTATTTGTAATCTTTATCAACCTGATTTGAACAAAATGACATTTTGCATTAAAATTTCAAATTTGCATTTTTCACTAGTGGAGCGGTTAAACATTTTTCACATATTGATAGGCCTATTACATTTTTTCTTTTGCATGGTCTTTTCAATTCTATCCCCCTTTTCCTTTTTTATTGAGCTGTTTGCCTAGGTTTTTTTTACCTGCAAGAACCTTTACATATTAGGAATTTTGTCTTTAATATATTTCAAATGTCTTCCCCTAGTTCAGAAAAGAACAATTAAAATTTTTTGTTTCTTCATTAACAAAATAAGTCTAAGCACAGGATAATAAGGAAATTCTTATTTTTTACTTTAAGTGAAAGTAAAAGAAAATGATGTTGGGGTAGCTGTTTCTGCATTTTTTTTAAATAAATTTCTATAATAATTTGAGTTAATTTATTATTTCTAAGATACATTACCCACTAGAGGAGGTTTAAAGTGCAGTATTAATTACTTCTGCCATTATTAAAAAATAAACTGTTTAAAATATTGACTATTTTAGAAGAATTATTGAAATAAGAGATGTAACAGAAATGACTGAAATTTAACCTTTGAAAAACTTAATTTTTAACTTCCTATTGTACCCTGTCTGATCTTGGATACAGAAAGAAAACCTTGATCCTTAGAGAGCTACCCACAAGTGGAAATGGCTACCAGTTATCCTTTCCCCAGAACACCCATAATGCATATCAATCAGATCATTGACATCTGTGTGATTCCTATGCAAGATTTTGTTTTACTTCTTTCAATGAATTGAGTCTTTTTACTCTGTTTTTATTTGCTGACAGTAGAAAATATGTCTACACTTAATTCACACAATGAATAGGGTGGGAAATTAATTCTATGGGGACTAAGATTGTTTGGTTTGTCATGAGACATACTCGACATTTACAGCTTTTTCCCTTTTGTGCTATTGGAGTACACTGTTAGATGATTGTGCCATAAATCCAAAAGCGTGTTTTACAAAGTTCATATCTGCTTTTGCTACCTTTAATATTAATAGGAGTGTATCTTTAAAGTGAGTAAATTGAGAAAGTGGCTGAAACTATAGTTTATAATAGAAGATTAGTGGGTTTAATATGCACTGGAGAGTAAAAGAAAAATCTTATTACTGTGTGGAGAAATTACCTCATAAAGAAGCTAATACAGCAGGCTGGGGAATAATTTTTAACAAGGTTTTTATGATGCGCAAGTGTAGGCAAGTTAATGAACTTATCTTTCTAGTTATTTTCAGATTGTAACGATGCCTTTCTTTTCTGGTTCTTGTGCTTTAAAAAGTAAAATACATTTAATCACCTACAATAAAACTAATTTATTACTTTAATAAATCAAGTACAATCTTATACTGTACACTTAAATGTTGTTGCAATAATGCTGGAAACCAAATCAGGTACTAATGTTTAGCATGGATCAGAGCAAAAGGTAACCATGGAGCTTATTTATTATTTAAATTAAAGCATCTCATTTTGACAGTGCATAGTCATTTTGGGAAGATTTGACTCCCTTTTCAGCTATTGGATGCAGGAAGTGAAGACAAAGGAATGAGAAAATACTTAATTTTCATAATCACACGCTTTTTTAAAGCATGAACATGTAGTCTTTGAAATTCACATAAAAATGCTGAAAAATTGTACATTCTACAGCAAAAATAATTTGGGGGAAGCTAGTAAATCCAGAATGCCCATCTGCCAGCATCTTGTTTGGAATAGTTAGGGATTATTTAGGAAAAGCATGTCTGCATTTTTCTCCTCAAAGACAAAAGACAAACTGCTGAAACATCATACTAATTGCTGAGATACTTTCTATACTGAAAATGTGATGATTTATTAAGAAAAAGTGAGGGAAAAAGTAAATGGATAAAGAAGTAATGTGAAAAGTAAATCCCACTATAAACCTAATCTAAATTGTATTTATAACAGAGTCACCACTCACCACTTCAAACTGTAATATGTTTGTAATACGTAAGGTACAAACATACATGTGTACACACATTCCCCCACACCTTCAACCCCTCCCCATACACAATAACTTATTTTAATCTTAACTTTTCTTCAATCTTGGAATACCAAAAAAAATTTGAATTAGAGTGGTCAGTGTAAGATTGTACATATATGCCATCTTAGAACCAGTACGAGACTTAGATAAACTTGTAAGGTAGGTGCCCACTGTCTCCTGATTTTATCAACCTGACCACACAGCCTTTCACAGCCCCGTTTAGTGTCCAAATTGGCCTGCAGCTAAACAATAATTGGTCAAGGTCCATTGATGTATTATCTATGCTGAATGTTAGTCTGTCTGTTGGACTCTTCTTACCTTCTTTTACCCTCTACCTGTCTCCAAATCAATACTTTACAGTGTTACAGTACTCCCTTGGCACCTTCTTTGCTAAATCACAGTAGGTCAAAGTGAGTTTAAGTAATTCATGTTAAAGTGCTAACTAGCTGATAGAATACCATTTGCAGATGGTAAAATGCCTATTTCTTCATGCACTCTTGTATGATGCTGATCATAGTAAAATTCAGGCATGGTGGAAGTCTCGTGAAGAAGGTACTATATTTTCCTCATTGTTATTTTAGGTGTCTTTCAATTACTCCATACAAGTAGTGGCCTACTCTGAGTTTCCATGAGGTTGACATTGCCTGATAATTGATGTTAGATAATGATAAAGTACACTCATATTTGAAAAAAGGTGTTTGCTCCACACAAAGTAATTTACAAAATACTTTGTATAATTGAATATATATTGCTAATATGCATTGCATGTACATATGCATGAAATAAACATAAGGAGAACAAAAATAAACATATTTATTAAATCTAAGAATTCACTGTATGTTTTGTGCCTAGGAGTTGGTTCCTGAGTTGCCGAAATTAGATCTCTTAATAACATCCAAATAATGGCAACCCTACCAACCAAGTTTTCAAAGGTAATAAAGTAGTACAAGGGTAAAATTTCTTTATTTCAAAATATTTTTCTTATGCTGAAGTAAGTACACGTTGGTATGTTTTTCCATATTGAGGGATTTGATTCCCAAAGCAATTTTTGGTTGTTGAAGAGTTTGGTAGATTATATGTTTCTCCTCCTATAGACTTGGCAGATCATTTATTGGTGGGGAAATTGTCAAAACCACCCAGAAGGAAGTCTAAAAGGCTTAATCTCTCTCTGAAGATATGGTTGTATTATAGGATAGGATCTCACAGTCATCATTGAACTGAGATGTTCCTATGTAGTGCCTATCTTTATGCTGTAAATCATTCATCTTGTCTTTTTGTTTCCCAAGTTACCCCCTGCCAAATCTTCAAGAGTATTGTTGTTCTTGTTCTTGTGTTTTAAGGAAAAGAGCACCTCTGGAATGTTCTCCTGAGCCAATGTCGGAAAACTCATCCTAGGAGATAAGATGTGTACAATAAGACACTGAGAAGAAAGCAGGCAGGACATTGAAGAGTTGGTAGATGTTTGCTCCAGACCTAAGCATCAGTGCATTGAAAATGGAGTTGATCATTGTGGGTTTGGCAGTGAGGGTAGGGCCAAGATACATATTGGCCTGAATAGGTGAGGGCACTAGGTAGTGAGATTTAATAGAGACATTCTGGAGCCAGGCCAGCTAGGAGGAACTGTCTAAAGCCTCCCTAAATCAGAGAGGTGACAACTTGGCAGATACCCAAATGCCTAATGCAACAATGGAACCAACTCAGTAAAAATATTATTTTTATATAAAATAATAACTTTCATTGATTTTTTTTCTTAATACAAGATAAATTAATTCCCTGATTTGGGGTGTTTAGGCTTTTAAATTTTTTCTTCTATTTCTTCTCTTTTTCTACTTCCTTTCTCCCTCCTTCCTTCCTTCCTTCCTTCTTTTCTTCTTTCCCTTTTGCCTTCTTTCCTTTTTCTTTCTTCCTTCCTTTCTTTTTCTTTCTGATTATAAGCAGTATCACAATTGCTGCCTAGGATAAGTTCTAGAAATAGAACTGTTGGATCAAATATATTAAAAAATCAGAGGCATTTAAAAGTATTTTCAAAAGTGTCCTTCATAAAAATTTCACCATTTTACCTTTTCTTCAGCAATACATGACTTCCTATTTCTCCATCCCCTTACCTACAGTGAATATTATCATTTAACAGTACTTTAGGGAATTTGATAGAAATAAGCTTTGTATGTGGAATAGTACTCATCAAAACTCAGTATCTCCTAGAAAATGGACTAGAACTTCCTATGATAAGTTACAAGATGAGCAATGCTTTCTCTAAATTATAATTTTATATTCTACATTGTTGAATTATCCCTTAATACCAGGACAGTTGATTGAGATTTCCCCTTCCTTCCTTTCTTTCTTCTTTCTTTCTCTTTTTCTTTCTTTCTTTCTTTCTTTCTTTCTTTCTTTCTTTCTTTCTTTCTTTCTTTCTTTCTTTCTTTCTTTCTTCTCTTTCTTTCTTTCTTTCCTTTTCTTTCTTTCTTCTCTTTCTTTCTTTCTTTCCTTTTCTTTCTTTCTCTTTCTTTCTTTCTTTCTCTTTCTTTCTTTCTTTCTCCTCTCCCTCCCCTCCTCTCCCCTCCTCTCCCCTCCCCTCCCCTCCCTTCCCCTTCCTTTCCTTTCCCTTCCCTTCCCTTCCCTTCCCTTTCCTTCCCTTCCCTTTCCGTCCCCTCCCCTCCCCTCCCCTCCCCTCCCCTCCCTTTCCCTCCCTTCCCCTCCCCTCCCCTCCCCTCCCCTCCCCTCCCCTCCCCTCCCCTTCCCTTCCCTTCCCTTCCCTTCCCTTCCCCTCTTTCAAGATCGAGGCTTGCTCTATTGCCCAGGCTGGAGTGCAGCGGTGCTATCATAGCTCACTGCAACCTCCAGCTTTTGGGCTCAAGTAATTCTCCCACCTCAGCCTCTCAAGTAGCTGGGACTGGATGTGTGCACCACCACGTTCAGCTAAGTTTTTAAACTTTTTTTGTCTCTCTATGTTGCCCAGGTTGATCTCAAACTACGGGCCTCAACCAATCATTCTGCTTTGGCATCCCAAAGTGTTGGGATTACAGGTATAGGCCACTGTGCCTGACCAAGATTTCTTATTTCTTAATGTGACCAAAAAATCTCAATATGATCATTTTATTGTGCTGGTTCCCTAGTTGTTAAAAAATTCCTAATCTATGAATATATTCTGGCCTTACAACTAACTGATTTGTTTCAGAAATTTCTTTTTTATTTATGTCCTTTCCTAGTACAAGAGAATAATCAGTGACCTTCAGACATTTTGTTGTCCTTATTTTTCTTGATAATGTTCTATAGGCAGACAATTTAAAAGTTGGTCACAAGTGCAACTGGGTGTAAGGTATGTGGTCAGCTATGTTATCATTAGTGATTGTTCACAAAGAAAGCAAATATCTCAGAAGTAGTCTGCTTGTAATAATGACATTCAGGGCCAAACTGCATGGATGTGTGTATGTATATGTGTATTTCTTCTGGGAATAGAGGTGAGACAATAGTAACTAAATGTGAATAAATGATTGTGTAAATGAAAGATTAATCATGATGTATTTTTTTCCCTTGAAAAATAGTGTATGCTATTACTTTATTTGTGATATTAGAAAATATATTAAGCAAAATCTCATCTATGGTATTTTTCCATTCTTTGGAAATATAACTTTAGAGATTCCATAACTTCATCAACTAGTCCTGTTTAACAAATATACCATAATGTCCTATGCTTCTCCAGCTCTACAAAGTCCATACCCTTCTTTAGTCCCTTTTTGGCCAAAAGCTCTTAAGAGCCTGCTGAACATATTGGCTCATGAACGTGTGGTATATGTTACATATCTTGTTTTCATTAGTGTATTCCACATGCCCCTGGTCCATCTTATGAAATAGTTTACTTTATTTACTCCATTTGTTTCTCTGTCCTACTGTTCTGCCATTCTCTTTCATATTATTTACCACTAAGAATATTTAATATAAATGTTTTGCATTCATGAATTTGTTTTACAGATAAATAATGATGTATTCAATATATTTCAGGACCACAGAGGGCTAATCTCCGCTAAACCATATGTTATAAATATTTTAACTTAAAATACAGGCTTAAAGACAAGAATGCAGTGGGGAAACAGTCTAAAATTGGTTACTCATATAGACATCAAGTAGTCTCACACATTCTCATTTGCTATTAGCTGTTTGTTATTTCAAAAAACCTTTTACATGGATAATCAACCATGTAAAAATTACAAAGCACTTTACAAATCCATTTATTAAAGCAGATTGGCCTAGAGTGTCTCTGGACAGAAGGCAAATGGAGGGTGGATGTATTCATACACAAAAATGGAGACACTGAGCCCCTGAGTGTAATACAGACTGGAGCACACCTTTTATCTGATAAATGAATGAGTTATGCTAATCTAAGTGCCCTCCTGATTCATTATCAGGCCCACAACATAATACAGTCTCTTCAGATGTACAGGGACTAAACACTCTCCCACCATACCCTTCCTAAAATCAGAGGTTTATTTGTAATTAGGGCCGAGAATCACTCAGCCAGA
Source organism: Homo sapiens (assembly GCF_000001405.40). NCBI lineage: Eukaryota > Metazoa > Chordata > Mammalia > Primates > Hominidae > Homo > Homo sapiens. Next base: position 147,681,218 of record NC_000003.12, read on the forward strand.
GCTGTCAGCCTCCACGGTCACTGACTGGAGCAGTTTCCCAAGCAGCTTTCAACACTGCTGCGAAATGTGTCAGTGACGATGCAGCTGGGGAGACTTCACACACGGGCCAGGCTGGCCTTGCCTAGCTCAAGACCAGTCACATGAGTGTGTTTCCGTTTCTGGGTTTGGCTCCTAACACCAAGGGATACCTATTCCTTTTCTACTATTTGTGGGTGACAGTATGATACAGAAAGATTTTTGGCCTAGGAATTAGATGGGACTCAGAGCAGCCATGAACTAAAGGCAACTCACTTCATTCTCATTTTCTACAATAGCTAAATAGACAATATTCTGTATCTTACCTTAACTATAAGGTTATTGTGGGGATAAAATTAGATGATGAGCATAAAAATATTTCACTGGTTTAGCTGTTATTCAGCTTTGTTATCTATTTACATTTTTCAGCAATAAACATGCATTACTTTTTTAATGTAAAAGAACCAACACATTCTATTTTTGAAAAAGCTGTACCTACATGGGGTAAGAAAATGTTCTAGAGAGTGTTTGCTGGCAAATCAAAAAAGCAATAATTAATAGCAGTGGAAAAGGGCAACTTGGTTACAAATATGTGTAGAGTAGTACCCCAGCATGAAGTAAGTTTATTTTTAAAGGGTTGAGAAATAAATCTGTGCCAACATATACTTTTGAATCCTGACCACACTGTCAAAACAATCTAATATAATAGTGCGTTTGCCATTATTCAGATGCTTGTATTGTCTCCCCACCTCAGTGTTATTTAGGAATCAACTGCAGCAATGGGACAATTAGGCATTTGAGAGGCTAAGGAAAAGCTTCAACAAGGTCTTCTTTTGAGATGATGAACTCTTTACCAGTAGCGTAACATGATCCTGGCACATTTAGGTCTTCTTGCATTATTCTTGTTTTGGCCAGTAAAAAATGAAAGAACAGAAAATAAGAGCTGTCTCTTCTTCTAATAACTTGCTTTCCAGCCCTACAAATAGTTAATCCCTTCATTAGTTGATCTCCAGCCTTTTCCTGGGCATGATAGCACCAGTTCTTTCCTTAAATTGTCCATGACATAGTTTATTTGCATATTTTGCTTTCTCTACACTCTAAACATTTCTAAAATCACAGTGCTATCTCATCTGGAAATGGCATCTTCTTATTAGTAGGGTATAGACACTTGAAAATAATTACCTGCATATCTATATTTCTTACAGAAATTACAGGAAACTAGTGGCTGCTAGAATGCATATATAGGAGAAGAAAGAACCTGTCATCCTCTGGCCAAATGATGAACCTATTTAAGTGACATGTTGGTTACATTTCTAATGATGTGTTAAATTGGCCTTAGGTAACCAGGTCATAAGGTTAGTAGAGAGCAATATTAGTAAGGGAAGAGTTTTGAATCTCCTGAAGTGATAATTTCCTTCTTTCCCTTTAAAGGAAGCCAAAAAAGGCACATATATCAACTGTGCAATTTTTTTTATTATTGTACTTTAAGTTCTAGGGTACATGAGCACAACATGCAGGTTAGTTACATATGTATACGTGTGCCGTGTTGGTGTGCTGCACCCATTAACTCGTCATTTACATTAGGTATATCTCCTAATGCTATCCCTCCCCCCTCCCGCCATCCCACGAGAGGCCCCAGTGTGTGATGTTCCCCTTCCTGTGTCCAAGAGTTCTCATTGTTCAATTCCCACCTATGAGTGAGAACATACGGTGTTTGGTTTTTTGTCCTTGCAATAGTTTGCTGAGAATGATGGTTTCTAGCTTCATCCATGTCCCTACAAAGGACATTAACTCATCCTTTTTTATGGCTGCATAGTATTCCATGGTATATATGTGCCACATTTTCTTAATCCAGTCTATCATTGATGGACATTTGCATTGGTTCCAAGTCTTTGCTATTGTGAATAGCGCCACAATAAACATACGTGTGCATGTGTCTTTATAGCAGCATGATTTATAATCCTTTGGGTATATACCCAGTAATGGGATGGCTGGGTCAAATGGTATTTCTAGTCCTAGATCCCTGAGGAATTGCCACACTGTCTTCCACAATGGTTGAACTAGTTTACAGTTCCAACAATGGTGTAAAAGTGTTCCTATTTCTCCACATCCTCTCCAGCACCTGTTGCTTCCTAACTTTTTAATGATCGCCATTCTAACTGGTGTGAGATGGTATCTCATTGTGGTTTCGATTTGCATTTCTCTGATGGCCAGTGATGATGAACATTTTTTCACGTGTCTGTTGGCTGCATAAATGTCTTCTTTTGAGAAGTGTCTGTTCATATCCTTCAGCCACTTTTTGATGGGGCTGTTTGTTTTTTTCTTGTAAATTTGTTTGAGTTCTTTGTAGATTCTGGAAATTAGCCCTTTGTCACATGAGTAGATTGTAAAAATTTTCTCCCATTCTGTAGGTTGCCTGTTCACTCTGATGCTGGTTTCATTTGCTGTGCAGAAGCTCTTTAGTTTAATTAGATCTCATTTGTCAATTTTGGCTTTTGTTGCCATTGCTTTTGGTGTTTTAGACATGAAGTCCTTGCCCATGCCTATGTCCTGAATGGTATTGCCTAGGTTTTCTTCTAGGGTTTTCATGGTTTTTAGTCTAACATTTAAGTCTTTAATCCATCTTGAATTAATTTTTTATAAGGTGTAAGGAAGGGATCCAGTTTCAGCTTTCTACATATGGCTAGCCAGTTTTCCCAGCACCATTTATTAAATAGGGAATCCTTTCCCCATTTCTTGTTTTTGTCAGGTTTGTCAAAGATCAGATGGTTGTAGATGTGTGGTGTTATTTCTGAGGGCTCTGTTCTGTTCCACTAGTGTATATCTCCATTTTGGTACCAGTACCATGCTGTTTTGGTTCCTGTAGCCTTGTAGTATAGTTTGAAGTCAGGTAGCATGATGCCTCCAGCTTTGTTCTTTTGGCTTAGGTTGTCTTGGCTACGCAGCCTCTTTTTTGGTTCCATGTGAACTTTAAAGTAGTTTTTTCTAATTCTGTGAAGAAAGTCATTGATAGCTTGACGGGGATGGCATTGAATCTATAAATTACCTTGGGCAGTATGGCCATTTTCACAATATTGATTCTTCCCATCCATGAGCATGGTATGTTCTTCCATTTGTTTGTGTCCTCTTTTATTTCGTTAAGCAGTGGTTTGTAGTTCTCCTTGAAGAGGTCCTTCACATCCCTTGTAAGTTGGATTCCTAGGTATTTTATTCTCTTTGAAGCAATTGTGAATGGGAGTTCCCTCATGATTTGGCTCTCTGTTTGTCTGTTGTTGGTGTATAAGAATGCTTGTGATTTTTGCACATTGATTTTGTATCCTGAGACTTTGCTGAAGTTGCTTATCAGCTTAAGGAGATTTTGGGCTGAGACGATGGGGTTTTCTAGATATACAATCATGTCATCTGCAAACAGGGACAATTTGACTTCCTCTTTCACTAATTGAATACCCTTTATTTCTTTCTCCTGCCTTATTGCCCTGGCCAGAACTTCCAACACTATGTTGAATAGGAGTGGTGAGAGAGGGCATCTCTGTCTTGTGCCAGTTTTCAAAGGGAATGCTTCTAGTTTTTGCCCATTCAGTACGATATTGGCTGTGGGTTTGTCATAGATAGCTGTTATTATTTTGAGATACATCCCATCAATACCTAATTTATTGAGAATTTTTAGCATGAAGGGCTGTTGGATTTTGTCAAAGGCCTTTTCTGTATCTATTGAGATAATCATGTGGTTTTTGTCTTTGGTTCTGTTTATATGCTGGATTATGTTTATTGATTTGCATATGTTGAAACAGTCAACTTTATAATTTTTAAAACATCTAGAATTTAAGATTTGCTTATGCATTTTAGCCTCATTTTGTGGCCTATGACAGTCTCCTTACATTTTCACTTCAAGATTTACCTCAAATTCTGTTCATTTATGAACTTAAAACTACCATAGTTCTTAATGACATTAGAATAAACAAAACACATTTTCTTTCATAGAGCCTTATAATTTTTCCTTCTGGAAAGTAAATGGAGAGATGGATATCACTTTCCCTTGAGACACAGGGAAAAATTTAATTTGGGAGTAAAATAATGAGAGCAATCCCACAAGTAATGCAGGTAAATACATTTTACTACTTAAAGGTCACCTTGAATTTTAGGTAATGACAGACGATATGTTCATTTCCCAGTCTTCAAATCAAGATACCCGGCACCAAACCTGAAATTTACTAGGAGTCTTGAAACAAAATACCTGCTCCCATTTCCTGCAATTCTCATATGTTTTCTCCTATTTGAACCCTGATTCAAAACATCAGCAAAATTTCTGATTTATGTTTTATCTTCTCTCCACAACCAGTTAGTTATTAAATAATCTTGAATTTTCTTTTGAAATGTGTTCATATTTATTCTGTATCCTTCACTGGCATTGACATGTCACTGTAGACTAAACCCTTCTCATTTCAACTGTTAATTAACTGAAGTATTCTATTTGATTAAACATAAATAATAATCAATAGAATATTTAACAAATATTCTATTTATTAAACCACATGATGGTAGATAGACTATTGCTCTATCATGGATTAAAAATAGCAAACATCACAAACCATAAAAAATAATGTAATTGTGACAGAAAAGCTGAAGCAAATGGAAATCTTTCAAAATAAAACTACTTATTTCAGCAACTGCAATGTTTTCAAATATATTAATAGGAGAGCTTACAAAACTCAGATTGATCTTTTCATAGTAGTCCAGAAAGTAGTACTTGCAGGCACTTTCCATGTCAATTATGATAAATTTTGTGGTCAATTGGTATCAATTTGGGCCTGTAGAGTATTGATTATTTAATACATTTTATTTGTTATAAATATCAATACTACTAATGTTACTACTAACAATATAGTTTTATTTTGTGGAGCCTGTAATTCGGTTTTAGTTAATCCATCATCTTTTTCCATACTGCCTAGTGCTGCCATTTTACCATTAGAGTAGAAGTGTCCAAAGTGTTTGCATGAATTTGAAGGAGGTGTAGTGTTTAGGGGTGTGTGTGAGTGTGTGTGTGTGTGTGTATTCTGTTAGTGGTTTTATCAAAAAGGTAGACTTGGGAGAAGATGAAGAAATAAATAAGAAAATAAGTTGAGGAGAAATTAGGTGAATTCCTATGTATTGGATATTGACTATATTATTAGAAGGAGGAGCATTTGAAAATTATAAACTATTATTTTATTTTGCTTTTTCTAAATTCATGGCATCACTCTACTTGGTTATGCATCCATCTGCCAGAGATCATGTATGTGTAGAGATTAGACATGTTACAGAAGGCATTTAAATAGAAAGAAAAAATGCAAAAACGATTATGTATCAAGACAATAGCTTCATCAACCAGGCTATTGCCTTGAGAAAGGATTTTCCAAATTTCTCATTTTCCTCTTTTAGCATATTAAAAGCTTAGCATTGAGCTCCTGAAATTGAGCTCCTGGTATAGAAAAGGTTCTTGTTAGGCTTGCCACTGTTGGTCTGCAGAAGGCTATGATTTAGCACAACTTAAGAACTAGTCTACCTTGGAATAATAGAAGGAAGACAGAGAAGGAAAAAAGTCAGGTAGTCATGAATCTAGGGCTTTGGCCCAGAAGAGAAAAGTATGTTAAATTAAGCAGGTTAACTGCAACGGAGGAAGTATGCTGGGAAGACAATCTTGGCGGTATCCCAGTTTATTTAATCCCGTGCAAAGAAAATATTGCCACCATATTTTGTTTACCTCAGTAGGACTTTATATGGCATAGAGATGTGTATGTAGACTTTAGTACATAGTACCGTGCTTAGTGTGTGGTAGATGCCCAAAAAAGTTTGATTAATTAAGAAATATTTGGATAATCTCTCCCTTTGGGACTTAACTTTTCATTGGTATTACTGGTACTTTTCATAAATCACCAAAGAGAAACTGTAATGTATCTTTTTGTTATGTTGGCTTGGTAATATTTGCTCTTTGAACAAAAACTTTTATAATATAAAGTATATTTATGTATCACCTTTAAAAATTAAATGTGATGAAAATGCCAGTTTTAGAAATAAATATTCTATAGGAAATATTTAAAATTATTTTTTAGAAAAAAGGAGGATCTTTTTTCTTTACACACAGGAAGCATAAGAAGAAAACACCAACCGGTAATATTTTGTTACTATTCTCAACTGATGCCAATTTCTAAGCCACTGCATTCACATCCTTGCCAGAAGCTGTGAGCCGCACACATGTGGGGGATTCTGTGAACAATATATGGGTGTCTCATGAGCCTTTACAGCCAGCTTCCCCAAATGCAGGAAAAGACCATACAGAATTATAATGCAATTTAGTGGTGTCATGAATTGCACCTTTTTAAATTCATTTGCTCGTTTTTTATTTTGTTCTTATGAAAGATTTTGTAAAATGAAATAAAATCTTTCATAAGAACAAAATAAGAAACAAGCAAAAGAACCAGAAAGGAGATTTTCAGGGTTTTACTTAATGATAATGTACAAGATGATACTAGAAGTATGAGTGCACTTTGTCTACAAATTTACCTTGGTATGTTTTTTTCTGCTCCTACTCTCTTCTTTCTTTTGCCCACTTCTGCTGAAGCAGGACATAGGCAGCAAATGACACCATGAACTGCACTGCAAAGTGAAGTACAGCTAGAACAGAATGTAGTGTTAAGAGTTTCTTTTTAAAATTCATTGGGCATTCACACCCAACTTTACAAATCAATGATCAGTGTATGCAGTACTTCAATCAAAGAAGTGAGGAAATGAATTAATGGGTGTCAGAAAACAGATTACTAGGGCATCACTCCAGAGCCAATAGTCCTGTGAAATGGCAAAATTCAACTGTGAAAAATAGTTCTTGGAGACTTGTGGTGTCTGCTTCTAAATATTTTTTTAATTGCAAACTACTACATAAAATACTTGGCATCATTCCTGATTTTTCAATGCTGAATATGTAATTGCTGTTATTATTATTTGTGATAGATCCAGAAACAAATACTGAGAAAAAGGAAAATTTGGTTTTTGTTTCTGATTGTTCCTCTTTTAAGTTCAAGGTTTGATTTGTAGTTGGAAGGAATTAATGACATTGGAATAAATCAAATCTGTTTAACACAAGGTATGTTAAATTTGTATTACATATAGGTTTTCCAAACAGGAGAAAAAGAAGCTAGAGGGCAGGAGAAGTATGGCAAAATTATAGACACTGAATTAAACCCAGACACCACACCATAAATTGCATGTTCAGGTCCCTACCCACTTCTCCATCATCATCTCCTCCACCGCAGGGCTACCATTTTAAGATTGTAACTTGTAGCATAGCTGACCTAGTTAGTTTGGGCTGTGCATTAGTCCATTTTCATACTGCTATGAAGAAATACCCAAGATTGAGTAATTTATAAAGAAAAAGAGGTTTAATGGACTCACAGTTCCACATGGCGGGGAGGTCTCACAATCGTGGCGGAAGGTGAAGAAGGAGCAAAGACACATTTTACATGGTGGCAGGCAAGAGAATGTGTGCAGGGGAACCATCAGATCTCATGAGACTTATTCACTATCATGAGAACACCATGGGAAAACCCATCCCATGATTCAATTACCTCCCACAGTGTCCCTCCCATGACACATGGGAATTATTACAATTCAAGGTGAGATTCAGGTGGGGACACAGCCAAACCATACTAGGCTGCTATAACAAATTAAAATAGACTGGGTGGCTTAAACAACAAACATTTATTTTTTACAGTTCTGGAGGCTGGGATGTCCAAGGTGAAGGTGCCGGCAGCTCTGATGTCTGGTGAGTGCCCCTTCCTGGTGTGCAGATGGCTGCTTTGTCATTATAGCCTCACCTGGTGGAGAGAAGAGAGAGAGAAAAAAACAAGTTGTTTCCTGTCTCTTTTTATAAGGCCATTAATCCTATCATGACAGCTCCATCTTCACAACCTAACTACCTCCCATAGACCCTAACTCCAAACACTATCACATTGGATATTAGGACTCCAACATATAAAATTTTGAGGGCAAAATCATTAAGTCCATAGCAGTCACACAGGGCTTCATGGATGGTTTAATGTTCTGACATTACAATTCTAAATTCTTACCTTCTATTATTCTTTTATCTTTGAATTTGTGTTTTGTAAGTTAAGTCCAAGGAAAAAATGAAGCATACCCACGAACAGAAGAAATGCATGCCATGAGTGAATCCACTGTTTTTTGGTGTTCCAGTTTGCTGTGCCCCATAAGCACAAAATATTGCTGAATTCACCATTATATGGGTGCCCAGGGAGACTCAAAGAGAGTACAAGTGAAGTGTAATGTCTACAACTAGTAGGTGGGGGTGGGGTGAGGGGCTGCTGACAGCTCTTGGACACCATCTTTTCCTATTGAATCAGATCTTGCTTCTAGTGACAAAAGAAGTTAATAACATTCTAGGAGACTCAAAGAGCCAAGAAACTCTATCATATCTTTTCTTACCCAAAGTTCTCTGTATTTGCCAATCATGTACACTGAAAGGAATGATATAGAAGGAAAGGGAAAGATAGAGCAGCCTGTAGTTCCTTTTCTACTTGGTTCTTTCTCCTTATCAGTTAGCTGAAGGTTGAGAGAGGTGGTAGAATGCATTTGTATCAGGAAGTGAAATAAAAACATTTCAGTTAGTTTTGTGTAGCATTTTTACGGTTCTAAGAATGGAATACATATGTATATATGAGTGATGGAATACAAATTGTGTAATTTCAGTGATTTGCATACAAGATAAACATTCATATTTGCATTTAAAAATTGAATTGCCCAATATAAAAATAAATGTTAAAATTCATGCTAATAATTTGAATTTTAACTTTTTTTTTACTTAGAATATTAAATATCAAGCAAAAAACACCATGACAAATCAAAAGAGAGACAACAAAAAAGAAAATACTTTTTATTTTAGGAACTTTAATGCTGCTTTTATCCTGCTTTTTGCACAAGGGGCCATAATTTCATTATGCACTGGGCCCTGAAAATCATAAATTATGTAGCTGATTCTGTATCCAGTCTCTCCTTTCAACACTACATAAAATCTTTCTTTCTTCTTTCTCTTCCTTCCTTCCCTCCCTCCCTCCCTTCCTTCCTTTCTTTTCTTTCTTTCTTTTGACAGATTCTCACTCTGTCACCCAGGCTGGGGTGCAGTGGCATGATCTCGGCTCACTGCAACCTCCACCTCCTGGGTTCAAGCAATTCTCCTGCTTCAGCTTCCTAAGTAGCTGGGATTACAGGCGCATGCCACCATGCCTGGCTAATTTTTGTATTTTTAGTAGAGATGGGGTTTCACCATGTTAGCCAGGCTGGTCTCGAACTCCTGATCTGTGATCCACCCACCTCAGCTTTCCAAAGTTCCATTCCCTCCCTCCTTCCCTCCCTCTCTCCCTCCCTTCCTTCCTTCCTTCCTTCCTTTCCTTCCCTCCCTCCTCCCTTCCCTTCCCTTCCCTTTCTTTCTTCTCTCTCTTTTCTTCTTTCTTTCTTTCTCTCTTTCTTTTCTCTCTTTCTTTCTTTTCTCTCTTTCTTTCTTTCATCAACTCAGCAATTCTTTCCCACCTCCAGTCTTTCCATCAAAATCTTTCCTCTCCCTGGAACATGTTCCTCCCTGCCCTTCACCTGGCTTGGCTTTTTTCCCATTCTAATAAAAAGTCACATTGCTCTCTGTCACTACCCCTTGCTTGTCTCCTGGTACTCACTATTCATAATAATCTATTAATTCTCAATCTACTTTTTAAAAAAAAATATTACCCAATACATTGTTAGTGTCTCAGGAAAGGGGTATATATCTGTTTTCCACTAAATGTGTACTCAGTGGACAGATTAGGTAACCAATCAATATTTGTCGGGTGAACTAATTAATTAATGGAATTCAAATGGAAGAAAGTTCATATCCAGATAATGTACAATTCCAGAAAAACGTCACTTCCCAGCTTGAATGTCTTTAAGTAGGGATGCCAAATAAAAGTAAAGGATGCTCAGTTAAATATAATTTTTATTTTATTTTTAAGACAGAGTCTTTCTCTGTCGCCCAGGCTGGAGTGCAGTGGTGGGATGTGATCTCGGCTCACTGCAACCTCCACCTCCTGGGTTCAAGCAATTCTTCTGCCTCAGCCTCCCAAGCCCCTGGGACTACTGGTGTATGCCACCATGCCTGGCTAATTTTTATATTTTTAGTAGCTATGGGGTTTTGCCATGTTAACCAGGCTAGTCTTGAATCCCTGACTTCAGGTCATCCACCTGCCTTGGCCTCCCAAAGTGCTGGGATTACAGGCGTGAGCCACCGGGCCAGGCCTAAACGTAAATTTTTATTTGCTAAATCCTGCACTCCATTCTGTGTTTGTATTATTAATAGTTACATCTGGCAACCTTACCCGAATAAATAATTGTCAAAAGACACAAGTTTTTAAGTAAAGTGTGAGTATGAAAATTGTACAATACAATAATTTGAAACTTGTTTCAGTTATGAACCCATCTAGGGATCTGATAAAATCTATGTTATTTCCCCAGAAAATGTAAATAATCATATACATTTTCCTATCTGGGAGAAAGTTTATAGATTCTCGGAAGCCCATCCTTAATTCCTTCTATCTCATAATCCCACATGTAAATTGATCTTTAAATCTCCTTCGTTCATGTTTCCAGAATCACTTACTTCAAGCTATCATACGTCATCTGGATTAATAGTGTCTTAACTGGTTCTTCTTTTAGTCCTTATCCACCTTAATTCACTTTCACGTATCTTCTAAACTAAAATGTTTCTCCCTAAACATAAATTTTGTTACGCCTTTCTCCTATTTAATATTACTGCATTATCTACAGAAAAAGTGTTTACAATAGCATAGTAAATTTTGACTCTTACCTACTTGATGATAACTCCTGCCCTTCCACTTCATTAGTGCACAGTATTGGATTCTTTGCAGGTTCCCAATTCTACTATGCTGTTTACAACTCCATTAGTGTGCTTACTATTCCTTCAGCCTGAAATGTACTGTCACCCCATTTTCTGCCAAGCAGCTGCTCCTCTGTTGAAGGCTTGCATGGATCTCCTCCCACCCCTAACACTACTTAAGCCTGACTCTGTGATTCTGTTTCCCCTTGTTCCTCATTAATGCACCACAATCAAAAGAAATTGTTTATTTATTAGTGATTTCCAGTAGTCTCTGTAATTATCAGGGTAATGACTTTGTATTTGTATTTCCTGAACAGTGGCTGATATACAGTAGATATACAATAAAAGTTTTACAATTGAATCCACATGCTTATATATGTTTAATAATTTTTGTAATTACACACATGCACACATTCACTTGACATTTTTCGTCACCAAAAAACAAAAAAAGTGGTTCTTGGCAGTTCATTGAATTATTTTTGTAAGAGACATTGCAATGAATATAGTACAAGTATAATGCTTCTGAGTGCTTTGCTAAGCTCTAAGCTTAATTAATATCTGTGAATATCTGACAACTATGACCTGTCTTAGTCCTTTTGGACTGTTACCATAGACTAGGTTGCTTACAAATAACAGAAATGTATTCCTCACAGTTCTGAAAACTGAGACATCCAAGATCAAGGCACTGGCTGACTCGGTGTCTGGTGAGAGCCCATTTCCTGGTCTATACATGTTGCCTTCTTGCTGTGTTCTCACGTGGTGAAAAAGGCAAAGCAATTCTTGAGGATCTCTTTTATAAGGGCACTAATCCCACCCCAATCCTGTGACCTTATTACTTAACTGCTTTTCATAGACCCCATCACATTGGGGATTGGGTTACAACATATGAACCCATATGTTTTGGGGAGATAGAAGCATTCACACCATAACATGATGAATGGCTTTCTCAGTGAAAATAAATAAGTAAATACAACTTCAGGAAACAAAATGTAAATGCTTGTATTGTATTTAAAAAAAAAAAAAAGGTAGGAGCCGGGCACAGTGGCTCACACCTGTAATCCCAGCACTTTGAGAGGCCGAGGTGGGTGGATCACGAGGTCAGGCGATCCAGAGCATCCTGGCTAATATGGTGAAACCTCGTCTCTACTAAATATACAAAAAATTAGCTGGGCATGGTGGCCATAGTCCCAGCTACTCGGGAGGCTGAGGCAGGAGAATCACTTGAACCCAGGAGGCGGGGGTTGCAGTGAGCCGAGATCGCACCACTGCACTCCAGCCTGGGCAACAGAGTGAGACTCCATCTCAAAAAAAAAAAAAAGTAAATGCATATTTTTCTTTCTTTTTGTTTTCTAAATGCTAAATTCTGCAAGAAACATGCTTATCTAATAATATAGGGTGTATTTGACTTATTACAAAAGTAAATATGACTCAAATAAACTGGAAGTATATGTGAAGAGTTACTTTCAACAATAGGAGGGTGAAGTATGAATGCAATGACATCCTGTCAATATTGCTTGCCATATTCAAGACCACTGTTCATTAAATCAAGCTATAAACTTTCTGTTATAAGGAATAAGTATTGTTTTCTAATGAAAAATTGTTTTTAGTAACAAATTACTTTGGACTACATATTTATTACAAAATCCAAGCAGTACATAGGTATGTAAAGTTAAACGTGAACCATCTCCTCTTAGTGGAATCCCCTCACACTCTACATTTTTACTGCCTTCCCACAATGCATAATGGTAGCACTGCTAGCATTGCATTATGCTGTCTAACTTGAAGACCTTCTGTTTTGCATATATATTTATGTCTCTCTAAATATGGTTTCTTACACAAATAAAATTATACTACACATCTATTTATAAAACTCTTAATGAAATCTTCAGTGAACACTTGTAGCATTACATTTGGAATATACTCTGTCTTTTCCTGGTTTAAAGCAACCTAATGGTCTCGGGGAATCCACTCCAGTTTCCTTCCCACCCCCCAACACTCTTGATAAGATTGACTCACCTGTGCTTCCTGGGTGGACCTTGATTATTTTATCCAATGAGCATATCTCTCCTCCAAGCCACAGTGACTGGCTTCTAGATGGGTTCTAAACCCATCTGATCCAGTGAGAAAGGGGTGACGTGATCAAGAATCGTGAGAAGCTGTAATAGGCTCTTTGCAAAGTCAGAGGGTGAGGCCTTTCCCAAACTAGATCTGATGTTTATCTCTTCAAAAATAAGCGATGAGGCAGAGATTTTAGAACTTCACTTTTATGACATTACCTAGTCAAAGTAATGTCACACACACTAAGATATTATACTCTAGATTCAGTGTGTTACCTGTGAAATTTCTAATTTTTCATATTTCCAAGCATACCTGGCTACTTATTTCCAACACACATGTACACTTTTTGGCAGGCAGCCTGGGATTTTACTTCAAAGGAAGAAGAACATTCAACCCTTTTACAATGATAAGAAAAAAAAATGACTGGCAGGGTTACATTTAATCAAACTTTCGTTACCTAATTTGAGATGGGTTTAATGAGTCAGGTCCTTCTCTAACCTTTCCGACCAATACCAAGCAACAAATTGAGGCAATTATTACCTGAATGTTTCAGATAAGAAATACAGGTTTGATTTTTTGTAAGCTTATGAATTGATTTTTTTTTTCAGAAAAGTATCTATAGATCTTGGGGTGACTTTCTTGAGAGTTCCATTCTCCTCCCACCTTCTAACCTATAGAGAAGAAAATCATTATTAAATACAGAGTTTAAAGGCAACTCCAGGCTTACAAATAAGATGACCAAGTATCTCTCAGAAAAGATAGAAAAATCAACTATTTCACGAGAGCTACCAGAAGGAACTCCTTTTTTTCAGAGGAAATGATCAAGGTGAGGGAGCATGAGGTCTTATTGCTCTTGGAGTTACATAAGAGAAACCCACCTCAATGCTCAACTGGCTTTAAAATCTTTTTTTATTTAAATAGTTTGAAATGAGTTTTTATCAATTGCAGTCAGAGTACTTACTAATGGAGAGCCTGTGATACAAAGATAAGACATGGCTTCTTATCTTCAAGGAGTTTGTAATATAATAATGGAGACAGACAATGGGAAGGAGGACTGGAATGCAGGGTTTGGGTGGTGCAGAACAGACCCTAAAAGATTCACAAAGTTATCACAAATGAGCTAATGCCTGAAACTGAACCTTAAATAGACACTGGGGTTATGTGAATCAAAAGGAATAGAGAGGTTGAGGTACAGAGCAGGTTGTGAAAATGCATGGGAACGAGACAGAATAGTGAGTTCATGGATATTCAGAGAGTTCTTCATTCAAAATACATTGATTGAGTTCATACCTCTACAGGGATCTCATGATTAAAACAGATAAAGCTCTTGCCCTAGAGAATTTCACATTATAGTGTTGGGACCCAGAAAATAAATCAGCAAATAAGCATGATATGTAAGTAATTATAAGTCCTGTAAGCAAAAATAAAGGAGATTAAAGACTATTGTAGAGTAAGGTGGGAAAAAAGCCTCTGTGATAAGATAATGTGACAAAAGCTGCCAATGATCTTCCAATAAGCATGTTTCCATTTACCTTTAGACATAAGACATATGAGTTTTAGCTGGCCACATAGCCACACAGCCTAGATTACATTTCCCAGCCTTCCTTGCAGTTGGTGATTAAGCTGTAGCGAAGTAAGATGTAAGTAGAAGTGACACATGCACCTGAGTACTCCCTTCCTTGCCTTTTCTTCTTCCCCAATGTCCAGAAGGTGAACATGGTGATGGGAGATGTAGTAGCTGTCCAGACCTCATGATGGAAGCTGCATTTTGAGGATGGCTAAGCAACATGATTGAAGATGTCTGAGTCCCTGATACTATGGAGCATCAACAACAGCTTTGGACCACTAATACTCTCAGATTCATATGTCAAAGAGAAATAAACTTTTATCTTGTTTCATTTACTATTATTTTGATCTTTGTTAACAGTGACCAGATTTATATTCAACTGAATAAAGGTAACATCTAAGCAGTGCCTGAAATAAATGAGGAATCATGAGGTTTTATGGACAAAATCATTCCCATTAAGGGAATAGCAAAAGCAAAGGCCCTCGAATGAATAATGCTTACGAAGTTTCAATTATAGCAAAGAAGCCAGTGTAAAAGGAGGGAGTCAACAAGAAGAAGAGTCAATTGATGAAGTCAAGAGACTTACAGAAAGCCAAATCACTTAAGGTCTCCTATTTCATGGTTATAAACTTTAGATTTTGCTCTGAGTGACACCAGAAGGCACTGAGGGATTTTGAGCAATTAGTACCATGATCTAATTTGTTTTACAAAGTCATTCTGACTGCAAGGTGAAGAATATTTTTGGGGGCAAGAATGGAAGTAGTGAGATCAGTTCAGAGGTTACACCAACATCCAGTGTGTGCTAATGTGGCTTGGACAGGATAGGGAGCTAGGGATGATGTAACTTAAACTAAAAGAAAATAGTCAATAGGGTCTCGGAAAAAAAAAAAAGTCAATAGAATTTGTTGCTGGTTTGATACTAAGAAAAGAAAAAGGTAAAAAACACTAAGGCTTGAGTTTTGGAAAAATGTAGGTGCGATTTATGTATATGAAAAGTCAGAGAGTAGGCAGTTTTGGAAGCTTGGATACCAAAAGCTTAATTTTGGCATATTGCATTTGAGGTGCCTCTTAGTCAACCAAATAGAGATGAGAGTAGGCATTTGGGGTGAAAAAGGAAATCTGGAGTTTGAAAGAAAAGGTCTCAGCTCCTGAGATATATTTGGGAAACATTAGCATATAGATGGGTTTTAAAGGTATGAGGCATGAGATCTCCAAGAGACTGAGTGCAGACAAAGAGTTCTGGGGATAGTGCCCTGGAACACTGTGACATTTAGGAATTGGGAAAATGAATAGAAATCAGCAAATGAAACTGAGAAGGTGCAGCCAAATCGGGAGGAGGAGAAGCAGGAGAGAGTGGGCTCCAATAAGCCAAGGAAAGGAAGGGTTTTGAGAAAGAGTAAGTTATCAACAGTGCCAAATACTGCAAACAGGTCAGGTAGTACTGAACATTGGCTACTGGATTTAACATGTAGAGGTCTTTAAAGATCTTGATAAGAGAAATTTGGATGCAGTGAAGACAAAAACTTAAATGAAGTGAGTTCAAGCAACAATAAGCAAGCTGAAGGAGAATTAAAGTTTTGGTTCTCTTTTTTTTTTGGATGGGCATTATTAGAAATTATTTTTGATGGCAATTAATAAAGGAATTATTATTAGCTCTTGATTTTTATGCTAATTAAAAAACAATCTAATAGTGAGGAAATGCAAATGATTTGGGAAAAAGAGGAGACAACTGTAGGAGTGAGGTCCTTTATTAGGGGAGAGATTTTAGTTTACATGTGGTAGAGTTGACTTTGGAACAAAGATGTTATCTATTATGACAGGAGGAAAAACAAAATATATGGGTACTGATATATATAGGTTTGTTGACTTGGTGATGAGGTCTGAATTTCTTGTTTACCCAGAAATGGAGCAAATCAAAGAGGACATGAGCCTTAAAATGCAGCAAAACCAAGAATTCAATGGAAATGGCAACTTAGAACCAAAAGTGAACATGAGATTCCCCCAAGATTACATAGAAACACTGGGGAAGCCATTGGATTTCTTTATCTGAAATCTGAATTGTTTTAAACACACAGATTCTCTCTCTCTCTCACTCACACACACACCCCTTATTATGTAAAAATAAATATTTGATCTAAAGTCAGATAATCTGATACCAGTTTTATTTTTATTTTATTTTATTTTTTTTTTTGAGACGGAGTCTCGCTCTGTCGTCCAGGCTGGAGTGCAGTGGCGTGATCTCGACTCACTGCAAGTTCCGCCTCCCGGGTTCATGCCATTCTCCTGCCTCAGCCTTCCAAGTAGCTGGGACTACAGGAGACTGTCACCATGCCTGGCTAATTTTTTGTATTTTTAGTAGAGACGGGGTGATACCAGTATTTTTTAACTGTAATACCTTGTAGAAAACTTTATATTCTTTCTGAGCTTTATTTTCATCAACAAAATAGAGGTAATATTACATTTGCTTATAACTTATAAACACAGGTCTATCTATCAAAATCACTTCTGCATATTGCCATTTGATTTCCCATAGACATTCCAGACATTCAAAATTGAAATCATTTCTGCTCTAATTTGTCTGCCATATTTGAATGAACAGACACTGTCATGGATCAAGTTTCTCAACTCTTTCACCCCACAACATTTAACTTAGACCTCTCCTCCACTCTCCCACTGTCTCAAGTTTGATTAACAAGTCCTGAAAATTCCATTTTCTAAATACATCACTTTGCCATAACTTATATTTTAGATATCTGAAGTCTAGGTCTTTGTAGGAAAATAACATGAGTGCATATACTTTTCCTTGGATTTTGTTTTAATTTGGTCCTTACTGTTTTCTTTTTTTTGAGACAGTCTCACTCTGCCACTCAGGCTGCAGTGCAGTAGCACAGTCTCGGCTCACAGCAACCTCTGCCTCCTAGGTTCAAGCAATTCTCCTGCCTTAGCCTCTGGAGTAGCTGGGATTACAGGTGCCTGCCAACACGCCCAGCTAATGTTTTTGTATTTTTAGTAGAGACCAGGTTTTGCCATTTTGGCCAGGCTGGTCTCAAACTCCTGAGAGGTGATCCACCCACCTGGGCCTCCCAAAGTGCTGGGATTACAGGCGTGAGCCACCATGTCTAGCTGGTTCTTATGGTTTTCTAAATGTGTTTGCTGTTGTCATGCTCTTTTCCTTCTTCCACAAAGTTTTGCTTTTGTTTTCTTACACTTAAAATCCTCAACTATTTCAGCATTTTATTTCATTTTTTGTATATAGTTTCTAACCCTTTACTTAAAATATTTATCTACTAAATATGTGCTAATATATACTAACGTATACTAAATGTCAAACATCTTAGGTTTTGTTAGAGTTGTAGAGTATTGACCTTCAACTTTGGAAATGTGTTTTTGCATCTGGATTTCCTACTTGTACCTGCTTTTGAATAAGGAGTCACATAGCCTTATGAGTAATTGGATCTTTTGTGCAATTAGAACTTTTCCCTGCATTATAATTTATAGCATGGTTGAATTGAGCAATGTGTAATGAGTCATTTTTCTGAGGCTTTTAAGGAAGTTATTTCTGAAGGTCTGCCTAAGAGGCTAAAATATGTCTGAATTAAAAGGAATGACAGGCTGCAATCAGGACTGTAAAATAAAGGTGCTCAGTAAGCAGCCCTATTACAATCAGAAAGTGAAGGAAACGGATCTCTGTCTTGTGTGCAGAGGCAGAGGAAATGATGAATACCTTAGGTAACTCATTCTGTGCAAAATCAATCTTTCACTGTCAATTTTAAATGAACTAATTTGTTCACAAATCTGCTCAGTCAGTTTGGAAGCATACTCTGTTCCTTCATATTAGCAAATCCTTTAATCTTGACTAGTCCACTGAGTAAGAAATCTAGAAATGTGTTAATATGATTGGACGTATGTAGTAGGATAAGAATTGATTCTTTTAATTAGTGTCTGCTCAAGTTAGAGTCCCTTTCTTGGCTGAACTATTGACCCACTAATATATCAAGAGATTATGTTATGACTAACATATATCCAAAGTTCAATTTAACTCTTTCTTTACTGGCCAATATTGCAGTAAACTTTCTAGGACTAAATCCTTTACTTCTTTTTCAAGGACTGGTTAGCTTTAGATGTTATATGAAAAGTAGCAAATGCATAAATGTCTGAACATTGTTTATACATCATAACATATCTACAAATTGTGCAATAATGTAGCACTCATTGTTTTGGAAATGCAAATTATCATAGATTTAATTGTCATCTATTAAAATGAAATGATGTCCCATATAATTTCTTACATGAGCTTCAATTTTAAATACTTTGAATTTGTATGCAAATTCCTTCCATGGTGTTATTGAATAATATGAGAAAGAAATTCAAGAAATACTGTATAATATAAGATTTCGTTATGAGATATGGAAATAAGGTATTCTAAGTATTATGAGTCTTTTTGTTATTTTACATATACTGGTAGTTACTGAAAAGTTATGTGCATTTTGATTCAGAAAAAGAACAATATGAAAAGTCTGTGTAAAATAGATGGCTATAAAACCTAAGGATACATTTCAAATCTGTTTTTTTTTTGCTTAAATACATTCATAACAATGTATTCTTAAGTGAATAACATCTGACTATGTCTTTTAAAAGAAAATGTAGAATTATATACACAAACACACATTGTACAGTATGTTAAAAAATCTGTATTAAAGAGATAATCCCTTATAAATATTATCAGTTTGGCTATTTTGCCAGTTTTAAAAATATTTTCTATCACTTTAAACACTTAGAGTATTAACATAGTATTTAGCAATGCATTTGCTCATATATTTCACCCACACTATGGGGAAAAAGATTGAAGGTGTGAGTACCTTTTAACTTATTCAACAAATATTTATTTAACAAATATTTATTTTACATCTTCTGAGTGTGGTGTCCAGTACCAGGTATTTTGTGGAATTCCAAAAGTTGTCTAATATAGTACCTGACTTAAAGGAAGTTATAATTTGAACTTTAATTTCAGAGTCTATGCATTATCTTAATGTGAATATTGAGTTTAGGCTTTGCTCCATTCTGATATCCTTATCTTCTTCCTCAAAACTACTGTAATCATAGTCTTTTCTCCTTCCACTTGTGACAATTATATTCTTCCAGTTGATCAAACCAAAAACTTTTAGAATCATCTTTAACCTCTCCCATTCCCTCTCACTCCAACCCAGTTTGGTAATAAGTACAATTACCACTATCTTAAATTATCAAAGGGTTGTACAAATGGGTAATTAAGAAAGTGCCGGTAGGAGACAAAGCTAAGGGAGTAAGCCTAGGGAAGAAGATGCCCTGAAAGTGTTCAGCTTCAGGGAGAGTCTCAGGAAGAAGCTTGTGCCTGATTTCATAAGGTTGCCTCTGGCATAGGTGCTGGGCTTTCACATGTTGATACCCATCCATCCTTTTCTAAACTTATCCTGGAAGAGTGTAAATTCCTCAGCACTTCCAGCAATCTGAGTATGCAAGAGAGAACTGCTCCAGTATCCTGAGGGCAGTCTTCCAGCTACAGCTGCAGGCCATTAGAAAGGAAGACTCACAGGGCTGAGAGCGGAGTGCACAGAAGAGGGAAGAAGGTAGATCCTGAGGGAGCACAAAGTGTGCCTGTTATACTCAGCAATCCCATCTCTATTCCAAAGACATCCTGGCAAAAATACAAAATAAAAACTTCACAAGACTATTTATAGTGGTATGATCTCTTAGACCTAAGAATGAAATCAACCCCAATGTCTATCAATAGGAGAATGTGTGTCTGCGTATTTGAGAGCCTTACAAATGCAAAATGAGTGAGGAAGATATCTGTCTTCCTTATGATGTAGAGTTTTATCCAGGGTCTATGTAAAGTGAAAAAAACAAGGATGCCAATTTTAGTCTAAGAAAGTGGTGAAAATATGATTATTCATATGGACTACTTGCTTATATTAAAAAACAAGTAATAGAAAAAAACCCTCCAAATTAATAATATGGTTACTTTTACGGGAAGCAAAAAACCAGAATGGATGGAACAGGGATGGAAGTAAAACCTCTGTTAGCCCACATTATCATAGAACTGTGTAACTGTTTAACATTATTGCAATACAAATTTAAATGTAGAAATTCCCTAAAAGATTAAAAATGACTAAAACAAGTAAACCTAACTTTATATCACATGGAAGAATAACCAGAAAGAGAAAATACTTTGAAATACAGTACTTTGACTGGATATCCATGGTATACTATATTCAAAGGATAAAAAAGCAAATAAACTTTATGCAATATTATTAATGGTAATATTCTTTTATTTATTTATTTTGAGACAGGGTCTTGCCCTGTCACCCAGCTTTGAGTGCAGTGACATGATCATGGCTCATTGCAGCCTTGACATCTTGGGTTCAAGCAATCCTCCCATTTCAGCCTCCCAAGTATCTGGGACTACAGGTTTGTGCCACCACACCTGGTTAATTTTTGTGGTTTTTATAGAGGTGGGGTCTCACTATGTTGCCCAGGCTTGTCTTGAACTTCTGGTGTCAGGTGATTCTCTTGCTTTGGCCTCCCAAAGTGCTGAGATTACAGTTATATTTTAGTTTTGAACTTAAAGGTATATTTTAAAATAAAGAAAAATAATTGTGTTAATAACATTGGAAACCATATATATTTTTCATGTTAAAAAAGATAAAATTATAAAACAGGGAAGTTAAATAAATTTCTATAACTTTAAAACATCGGTATTAGTTAAAATTTATCTTTATTGTGTGTGTATGTATTTTTTTCCCTTGCTTTGTCACTAGAAAACAAGCTGTAAAAACTCTACAGCAATGATCATTCCTAGCATCCAGATTGTGGTCTTTACATATAATTTGCCACCAAAAGGAGCCAAGGTCCAAGGTTGCTTGGAGAAATGACTAACTCTGGGGCTGAGCTAGGGGATGTCCAAACAAGGACTGAACATTTGTTATACCAGGAAGAAAGGAAGCCCTCAAAGATTATTAAGCAAACATATGCCAAAAGGATAAGGAGCCAATTTGAAAGTGCTCCCACTGGCCTAAAATAGAACAATTTGAATGCCAAAATAAATTATGATTAAAATAGATAGAAATAAACACATATAGAAATATCTTTAAACTCTCAATGCAATTCTTATCAAAATCCCAGCTGACATTTTTTTTGCAGAAATTTGCAAACTAATTCTAAATATCTGAATTCATCAGAGATAAAAACCTTTTGTGCTTCAAATGACATCATCAAAAAAGTGAACAGAAAAACTACCCCCAACTGGAAGAAAATACTTGAAAATCGTGCATCTGACAAAGAATTATTATCTAGAATATACAAAGAACTTTTATAACAATAATAAAAAGACAACCCAATTATGAAAATGGGAAAAATATTTTAATAGACATTTCTCCAAAGAAAGTATATTAATTGGTAATAAGTGCCTAAAATGACATTCAACATCATTAGGCATTTGGAAGGTAAATTAAAACCACAAAGAGATATCACTTCTACCCAGTGAAGTGGCTATAATAGTAAGGCAGGCAATAATAAGTGTTAGCATAGACGTGGACAAATTGGGAACTTAATCCATTGCTGGTGGGAATGTAAAATGAGCAGCCACTTTGGAAAAAAGTCTTTAGTAGATCCTCAAAATATTAAACACAGAGTTCCCATGTGACATAGGAATATCACAACTAGTTATGTACCCAAAATAAATGAAAATATATGTCAACACAATAACTTGTACATGGATGGTGACATGGTGACAGTAGCATTATTTATAATAGCCAAAAAGCAGAAACAGTCAAATTGACAATCAACAGATGAAGGAATGCAAAAATAGTATATATTTATATAATAGAATATTATTTGTCAATAAAAAGGAATGAAGCACTAATACATGCTACAATATAGATAAACTTCAAAAACATTATGCTAAGTGAAAGAAGCAAGTTGCAAAAGACAATCTATTGCATAGTATTATTTATATGAGATGTCCAGAATAGGCAAATCTATAGAGACAGAAAGTTAATTAGTCATGGCCTAGGCTGAGGGTAGGGGGAGGGAGAATGGGGAATGAGTGCTAATGAGTAAAGATTTCTTTCCGAAATTATGAAAATGTTCTAGAATTAGATTATATAGTTGAACAACTGTAAAGATAGTGGGATCCATTGAACTATGTACTTTAAAATATGTATTTCCCACACCAGTCAGAATGGCTATTATTAAAAAGTCAAAAAACAACAGATGCTGATGAGGTTGTAAAGAAAAAGGAACACTTTTACACTCGTGGTGGGAGTGTAAATTAGTTCAACCATTGTGGAAGACAGTGTGGCAATTCCTCAAAGACATAGAGGTAGTAATAGCTTTCAACCCAGCAATCCCATTTTTGGGTATATACCCCCAAAATATAAATTGTTCTATTATAAAGACACATGCACGCATATGTTCATTGCAGCTTTCTTCACGATAGCAAAGACATGGAGTCAATCTAAATGCCCATCAATGATAGACTTGGTTAAAAAAAAATGTGGTACATGTGCACCACGGAATACTATGCATCCACAAAAAGGAATGAGATTATGTTCTTTGCAGGGACATGGATGGGGCTCGAGGCCATTATTCTTAGCAAACCAATGCAGGAACAGAAAACCAAATACCTCATGTTCTCACTTACAAGTGGGAGCTAAATGATGAGAACACATGGACACATGGTGGAGAACAACACACACTGGGGCCTGTTGGAGGGCAGGGGCTGGGAGGAAGGAGAGGATCAGGAAGAATAGCTGATGAATGCTTGGCTTAATAACTGGGTGATGGGATGATCTGTGCAGCAAACCACCATGGCACACATCTTACCCATGTAACAAACCTGCACATGTACCCCTGAACTTAAAAGCTGGAAAAATGTATCTATGAGCTCATAATAATTCCTAAAACACACACATGCACACACATACACAAAATTAGTTACCATTGGTAGTTGCTAAGGTGCCAGTTTAACATTCTGAAAATTTATTAAAAAAATATAAAATTACATTTGTGAAATTTTATATTTAGTGTAAGCAATATTTATTTGTCATACTATTTCAGTGAGCAGTAACTTGAAAATATTTTATACCAAGCCTAAAATATGTAAGAAGTTGTAGGTTATAAATTTGACAGTGTTCTTCACAGTGCATACAGTTAAAAAACAAGTCAATAAAATTTGTTTTATTTATGATATGGATTCTAATATTGCAAATAATATTTATTTTGTTTTCTTCATAAGTTTCTTTCCCTCTCTGAACTTTCTTCTTTGGCTTATTTGGTTTATACTTCATGAATTCAATCAATCTTAGGAAACAGACCTGCTGAAAAAAAATTTCAGTGCTAACTAGAGACCAATTTACTTACACACTCATGCGCACAAACAATTCGTGGAACAGTTTATTTCCCTATAAATAGCATTAATTTTCAACCTGAAGTTTTCAGCAAGATACTTTCTAATGGACGTGAAAGTCAATCCACATCAGCAACATAACATTATGTAATTAACATAGATATATATTAGATAGAAGCAAAAATAAATTTCAATCCAGAAAACTGAAAAAATAAACTTAATGAATGATGTTGAATAAAAATGAACAGGACTTAACCCTCTATGGAACTTCTCTTAAATTTTTCTCAGAGATATTATAGCTTTAACAATGTAATATCTTTTTGCAAGACAGTGTGTGTGTGTATATATGTAAATATGTGTGTACATATGTATATATGTGT
The DNA here is from genome assembly GCF_000001405.40 of Homo sapiens. Taxonomy (NCBI): domain Eukaryota; kingdom Metazoa; phylum Chordata; class Mammalia; order Primates; family Hominidae; genus Homo; species Homo sapiens. The sequence continues at coordinate 147,705,529 of NC_000003.12, forward strand.
GTATATATGTGTCTGTGTCTCTGTGTGTGTTTGTGTGTGCGTGTATGTGTGCGTGTATGTGTTAAGCTGTATTTCAGGCCTCTATTTGACTTCCAGAACCAGATCTAAAATCTGCACCCTGAGGCTGCAAAAACTCAGTTTCCGTTTTGTTGCTACAGGAAAACAGCACAAGGGAAGTACTGGCAAGAAGTGAAACTGGTCAGTGCATCTGCCATCCCTGGGTGCTGTCTTGGTGAGACCCCATCAGTCCTCTCCACCTTGTGCACTGATGCTGAAGACTCCCCCCTGACCAGATCCTAGTCATTTGCCAGGCTCTCTCTGTCATGAGAAGTTACACTGGCAACTGATCCTCATGCTCAGTCTGCTGTCAAAGCATTCCAATTTTTAATCGCTACATGACTTGTCACATTGAATATGAACCACATGCCTACAATGCAATCTCTCTAATAATGAGAATGCCAAAAAAAAGGGGAACTCTGGGCAGGTCTCCTGTCACTGTTGACATTCTAAAACTAAGTTTGAGAAAGCTCCACAACTGAAAATTATGTTTGCACCTTGAGAAACTAAATTATTAATTTACACAATAACGCATTATATTGTCAAAAGCATGTGCCTGCACTTACTGAACGTTTCTAAGGTTCTGGCTAACCCTCATAGACCATATTTCCACTGTGGAAAAGAATTCATCTCCCACGATCAGCAAAGAAAGCAGCCAAACTTCAGTCCCAGATCTGTACACCACATCTGTCATTTCCTTACCTACTGGGAGATAGTCTCATCTTGGCTAAATTTAGTTGGAAATGCTAAGGCATATTTTAAGAATTCTTCTTAAATTCTGAATGATGAACTTTATTTTTCAGAGAATGTTACCTGAATCATAGTCTCAGTTATTTCTTCCCTAGATTTTGAGATTTGTTACTTCCACAGGATTGAGAATTAAGACGAAAATGGAAGAAAATTTTTTTATTAATTAAAAATTGAAATTAGTTTACTTGCATTTATGTTTAGATATTGATCCTATGTTTTGAATGTGTTTAAAAGAGATGTGCCAAATACTATTATTTACTGGATTTCTGTACAGATGAAAGCCACATCAGCCAAAAGATCCTGTCCACAGAACCTAATGTGTATGTATTATAACTATAGGCAGTCAATTTTAATTCAACAGCACGTCCTCAGCATTATACTGAAATCAGGTAAAATAGCCTTGTAGACCCTATGTGGAGTGAATACCTTGGTAATAAGACATTTCTTCTTCTTTCATTTGTTTTTTGAGTCTGCTCATTATTTATTCAGTAGTCTAGTGGATTTCTTTCTTTTTTTTATTATTATACTTTAAGTTCTGGGATACATGTGCAGAACGTGCAGGTTTGTTACATAGGCATACATATGCCATTGTGGTTTGCTGCACCCATCAACCCATCATCAACATTAGGTATTTCTCCTAATGCTATCCCTCCCTTTGCCCCCAACCCCGACAAGCCCCAGTGTGTGATGTGCCATTCTCAGTGTCCATATGTTCTCATTGTTCAACTTCCACTTAGGAGAACATGAGGCTTTGGTTTTCTGTTCCTGTGTTAGTTTCCTGAGAATGATAGTTTCCAACTTCATCCATGTCCCTGCAAAGGACATGAACTCATCCCTTTTTATGGATGCATAGTATTCCATGGTGTATATGTGCCACATTTTCTTTACCCAGTCTATCTTTGATGGGCATTTGGGTTGGTTCCAAGTCTTTGCTATTGCTGCAGTAAACATACATGTGCCTGTGTCTTTATAATAGAATGATTTATAATCCTTGGGGTATACATCCAATAATGGGATTGCTGAGACAAATGGTATTTCTGGTTCTACATCCTTGAGGAATTGCCACACTGTATTCCACAATGGTTGAACTAATTTACACTCCCACCAACAGTGTAAAAGCGTTCCTATTTCTCCACATCCTCTCCAGCAACTGTTGCTTCCTGACTTTTATTTTTTGAGACAGAATCTCACTCTGTCACCCAGGCTGGAGTGCAGTGGCACGATCTCGGCTCACTGCAACCTCCACCTCCCAGGTTTAAGTGATTCTCGTGCCTCAGCCTCCTGAATAGCTGGGATTACAGGCACATGCCATCGTGCCTGGCTACTTTTTGTATTTTTTTAAGTGGAGACGGGGTTTCACCATGTTGGTCAGGCTGGTCTCAGACTCCTAATCTTGTGATCTGCATGCCTCAGCCTCCCAAAGTGCTGGGATTACAGGCATGAGACACCGTGCCCAGCCGTTTCTGACTTTTTAATGATCGCCATTCTACCTGGCATGAGATGGTACCTCATTGTGGTTTTGATTTGCATTTCTCTAATGACAGTGATGATGAGCTTTTTTTCATATGTTTGTTGGCCATATAAATATCTTCTTTTAAGAAGTGTCTGTTCATATCCTTTGCCCACTTTTTGATGGGGTTTTTTTTTTCCTGTAAATTTGTTTAAGTTCCTTGTAAATTCTGGATATTAGACTTTTGTCAGATGGATAGATTGCAAAAATTTTCTCCCAATCTGTAGGTTGCCTGTTCACTCTGATGACAGTTTCTTTTGCTGTGCAGAAGCTCTTTAGTTTAATTAGATCCCATTTGTCAATTTTGGCTTTTGTTGCCATTGCTTTTGGTGTTTTAATCATGAAGTCTTTGCCCATGCCTGTGTTCTGAATTGTACTGCCTAGGTTTTCTTCTAGGGATTTTATGGTTTTAGGCCTTACTTTTGAGTCTTTAATCCATCTCGAGTTAATTTTTGTATAAGGTGTAAGGAAGGGGTTCTGTTTCAGTTTTCTGCATGTGGCTACCAGTTTTCCCGACACTATTTATTAAATAGGGAATCCTTTCCCCATTGATTGTTTTTGTCAGGTTTGTCAAAGATCAGATGGTTATAGATGTGTGGTGTTATTTCTGAGGCCTCTGTTCTGTTCCATTGGTCTATATATCTGTTTTGGTACCAGTACCATGCTGTTTTGGATACTGTGGCCTTATAGTATAGTTTGAAGTCAGGTAGTGTGATGCTTCCAGCTTTGTTCTTTTCGCTTAGGATTTTCTTGGCTATACAGGCTTGTTTTTGGTTCCATATGAAATTTAAAATAGTTTTTTCTAATTCTGTGAAGAAACTCAATGGTAGCTTGATGGGGATGGTATTGAATCTATAAATTACTTTGGGCAATATGGCCATTTTCACGATATTGATTCTTCCTATCCATGAGTATGGAATGTTTTTCCATTTGTTTATGTCCTCTTATTTCCTTTAACAGTAGTTTGTAGTTCTTCTTAAAGAGCTCCTTCACATCCCTTGTAAGTTGTATTCCCAGGTATTTTATTCTCTTTGTAGCAATTGTGAATGGGAGTTCACTCATGATTTGGCTCTCTGTCTATTGTTGGTGTATAGTAATGCCTGTAATTTTTGCACATTGATTTTGTATCTGGAGACTTTGCTGAAGTTGCTTATCAGCTTAAGGAGTTTTGGGGCTGAGATGATAGGGTTTTCTAAATGTACAATCATGTCCTCTGCAAACAGATACAATTTGACTTCCTCTCTTTCTATTTGAATATGCTTTATTTATTTCTCTTGCCCGATTGCTTGGCCAGAACTTCCAATACTATGTTGAATAGCAGTGGTGAGAGAGGGCATTTTTCTCTTTTGCCAGTTTTCAAGGGGAATGCTTCCATCTTGTGCCCACTCAGTATGATATTGGCTGTGGGTTCATCATAAATAGATCTTATTATTTTGAGATATGTTCCTTCAATACCTAGTTTATTGAATGTTTTTAGCACGAAGGGGTGTTGAATTTTATCGAAGGCCTTTCCTACATCTATTGAGATAATCATGTGGTTTTTGTCATTGGTTCTATTTATGTGATGGATTATGTTTATTGATTTGCCTATGTTGAACCAGCCTTGCATCCCAGTGATGAAGCCAACTTGATCGTGGTGGATGAGGTTTTTGATGTGCTGCTGGATTCGGTTTGCCAGTACTTTATTGAGGATTTTTGCATTGATGTTCATCAGGGATTTTGGCCTGAAATTTCCTTTTTTTGTTGTGTCTTTGCCAGGTTTTGGTATCAGGATGATGTTGGTCTCATACAATGAGTTAGGGAGGAGTCCCTCTTTTTCTATTGTTTAGAATAGTTTCAGGAGGAATGGTACCAGTTCCTCTTTGTACCTCTGGTAGAATTCAGCTGTGAATCTGTCTGGTCCTGGGCATTTTTTGGTTGGTAGGCTGTTAATTATTGCCTCAATTTCAGAACTTGTTATTGGTACACTCAGGGATTAGACTTCTTCCTGGTTTAGCCTTGGGAGGGTGTATGTGTCCAGGAATTTATCCATTTCTTCTAGATTTTCTAGTTTATTTGCATAGAGGTGATTATAGTATTCTCTGATGGTAGTTTGTATTTCTGTGGGGTCAGTGGTGACATACCATTTATCATTTTTTATTGGGTCTATTTGATTCTTCTCTCTTTTCTTCTTTATTAGTCTGGCTAGCGGTCTATCTATTTTGTTAATCATTTCCAAAGACCAACTCCTGGATTCATTGATTTTTTGAAGCTTTTTTCGTGCCTTTATCTCCAACAATTGTGCTCTGATCTTAGTTATTTCGTGTCTTCTGCTAGCTTTTGAATTTGTTTGCTCTTGCTTCTCTAGTTCTTTTAATTATGATGTTAGATATTTCCCACTTTCTCATGTTGGCATTTAGTACTATAAATTTCCCTTTAAACACTGCTTTAGCTGTGATTCTGGTACCTTTAAACACTGCTTTAGACACTGCTGGTACTTTAAACACTGCTTTAGCAGAGATTCTGGTACCTTTTGTCTTTGTTCTCATTGGGTTCAAAGAACATATTTATTTCTGCCTTAATTTCGTTGTTTACCCTGTAGTCATTCAGGAGCAGGTTGTTCAGTTTCCATGTAGTTGTGTGGTTTTGAGTGAGTTTCTTAATCCTGAGTTCTAATTTGATTGCAGTGTGGTCTGAGAGACCGTTATGATTTCTGTTGTTTCGCATTTGCTGAGAAGTGTTTTACTTCCATTTATGTGGTCAGTTTTAGAATAAGTGCTATGTGGTGCTGAGAAGAATTTATATTCTGTTGATTTGGGATGGAGTGTTCTGTAGATGTTAATTAGGTCTGCATGGTCCAGAGCTGAGTTCAAGTCCTAAATATCCTTGTGAATTTTCTGTCTCATGGATCTATCTAATATTGACGGTGGGGTGGTAAAGTCTTCCACCATTATTGTGTGGGAGTCTAAGTCTCTTTGTAGGTGTCTAAGAACTTGTTTTATGAATCTGGGTGCTCCTGTATTGAGTGCATATATATTTAAGATAGTTAGCTCTTCTTATTGCATTGATCCCTTTACCATCTTACAATGCCCTTCTTTGTCTTTTATGATCTTTGTTGGTTTAAAGTCTGTTTTGTCAGAGACTAGGATTGCAACACCTGCTTTTTTTTTTGCTTTCCATTTGCTTAGTAAATATTCCTCCATCCCTTTATTTTGAGCCTATTTGTGTCTTTGCACGTGAGATGGGTCCCCTGAATACAGCACAGTGATGAGTCTTGACTCTTTATCCAATTTGCCAGTCTGTGTCTTTAAATTGGGGCATTTACCCCGTTTACATTTAAGGTTAATATTGTTATGTGTGAATCTAATCCTGTCATTATGATGCTAGCTGGTTCTTTTGCCCATTAGTTGATGCAGTTTCTTCACAGTGTTGATGGTCTTCACAATTTGGTATGTTTTCACAGTGGCTGGTACCCATTTTTCCTTTCTATATTTAGTGCTTCCTTCAGGAGCTCTTGTAAGGCAGGCCTGGTGGAGACAAAATCTCTCAGCATTTGCTTGCCTATAAAGGATTTTATTTCTCCTTCACTTATGAAGCTTAATTTGGCTAGATATGAAATTCTGGGTTGAAAATTCTTTTCTTTAAGAATGCTGAATATTGGCCTCCACTCTTCTGGCTTGCAAGGTTTCTGCAGAGAGATCTGCTGTTAGTCTGATGGGCTTCCCTTTGTGGGTAACCTGACCTTTTTCTCTGGCTGCCCTTAACAATTTTTCCTTCATTTCAACCTGGGTGAATCTGATGATTGTGTGCCTTGGGATTGCTCTTCTCAAGGAGTATCTTAGTGGTGTTCTCTGTATTTCCTGAATTCGAATGTTGGCCTATCTTGCTAGGTTGGGGAAGTTCTCCTGGATAATATCCTGAAGAGTGTTTTCCAACTTGGTTCCATTCTCCCCATCACTTTAAAGTACACTAATCACACGTAGGTTTAGTCTTTTCACATAGTCTCATATTTCTATGAGGCTTTGTTCATTCCTTTTCATTCTTTTTTCTCTAATCTTGTTTTCACACTTTATTTAATTAAGTTGATTTTCAATCTCTAATATCCTTTCTTCCACTTGATCAGTTTGGCTATTGATACTCGTGTATGCTTCACGAAGTTCTCGTGCTGTGCTTTTCAGCTCCATCAGGTCATTTATGTTCTTCTCTAAACTGGTTATTCTGGTTAGCAGTTCCTGTTACCTTTTATAAAGGTTCTTAGCTTCCTTGCACTGGGTTAGGACATGCTCCTTTAGCTTGGAGGAGTTTGTTATTACCCACCTTCTGAATGCTACTTCTGTCAATTCATCAAACTCATTCTCCACCCAGTTTTTTACCCTTACTGGTGAGTTGTGATCCTCTGGAGTGGAAGAGGCATTCTGATTTTTGGAATTTTCAGTCTCTTTGTGCTGGCTTTTCCTCATCTTCGTGGATTTAACTACTTTTGATCTTTGATGTTGATGACCTTTGGATGGGGTTTTGCGTGGAAGTCTTTTTTGTTGATGTTGATGCTATTCCTTTCTGTTTGTTAGTTTTCCTTCGAACAGTCAGGCTTCTCTTCTGCAGGTCTGCTGGAGCTTGCAGGAGATCCACCCCAGAGCCTGTTTGCCTGGGTGTCACCAGCAGGGGCTTCAGAACAGCAAAGATTGCTGCCTGCTTTTTCCTCTGGAAACTTCGTCCCAGAGGGGCACCCACCAGATGGCAGCCGGAGCTCTCCTGTATGAGGTGTCTGTCGACTCCTGCTGGGAGGTGTCTACCAGTCAGGAGGCACAGAGGTCAGGGACCCACTTGGGGAAGCAGTCTGTCCCTTAGCAGAGCTTGAGCGCTGTGCTGGAAGATCCACTGCTCTCTTCAGAGCCAGCAGGCAGGAACATTTAAGTGTGCTGAAGCTGTGCCCACAGCTGCCCCTTCCCCCAGGTGCTCTGTCCCAGGGAGATGGGAGTTTTATCTATAAGCTCCTGACTGGGACTGCTGCCTTTCTTTCAGAGATGCCCTGCCTAGAGAGGAGGAATCTAGAGAGGCAGTCTGGCTACAGCAGCTTTGCCGAGCTGCAGTGGTTTAAACCCAGTTTGAACTTCCTGGCAGTTTTGTTTACACTGTGAGGGGAAAACCGCCTACTCAAGCCTCAGTAATGGTAGACGGCCCTCCCCACACCAAGCTCAAGCGTCCCAGGTTCACTTCAGACTGCTGTGCTGGCAGCGAGAATTTCAAGCCAGTGGATCTTAGCTCACTGGGCTCCATGGAATTGGGATCCACTGAGCAAGACCACTTGGCTTCCTGGCTTCAGCCCCCTTTCCAGGGGAGTGAGCAGTTCAGTCTTGCTGGCGTTTCAGGTGCCACTGGAGTACAGAAAAAAAACTCCTGCAGTTAGCTTGGTGTCTGCCCAAATGGCCGCCCAGTTTTGTACTTGAAACCCAGGGCCCTGGTGGTGTAGGCACCTAAGGGAGTATCCTGGTCTGCGGGTTGTGAAAACCTTGGGAAAAATGTAGTATCTGGGCCGGATAGCACCATCCCTCAAGGCACAGTTCTTCACAGCTTTTGTTGGCTGGGGGAGGGAGTTCCCCAATCCCTTGTGCTTCGTGGGTGAGGTGATGCCCCACCCTGCTTCTGCTTGCCCTCTGTGGGCTGCGCCCACTGTCTAACCAGTTCCAATGAGATAAGCTGGGTACCTCAGTTGGAAACGCAGAAATCAACCACCTTCTGGCTGGGAGCTGCAGACCAGAGCTGTTCCTATTCAGCCATCTTGCCCTGGACCTGTCTAGTGGATTTCTACTGCTTGTGTCATGGGGCATTTGTTCATTTGCAGAGGTAAACAACACTCCACATTTCCTTGGCGAAGCCACCTCTGCTCTGTCAGTGTGTATAAGGTAGGCCTGGTAATAAGACATGTCTATATTTGGCTTAACTAATAAAAAACAATCAATTTCCATCCTGGTTTCTCAGAATATTTTTTTTTTCAAAGTATTCATTTGGCTGTTGTTTCAGGTCTTTGTTTTCTGAGTACCAACATGCAGGAAAAAGTTGTGATTAGTTAATCTATGGTTCTGTTCTTAAAATAGCAACCCCTCAAGAACTCTATTTTGGGAAGTGCAGGCTAAATAGTCAAGTCCTGGAGAAAGCACAACATGCATTAGATTTCTTATTACCAGATCTTCTGCATTGTTGCTAAGTGTTACTGTCCCTTAAACTGAAAAATGTTTTAATGATTTATGGAATTCAGACTTCCATTAATCTCCTTTGGAACTGCCAAGCATGTCTCATCTGAATACAAAAGCTCAGCTCTTCATTTATCTTTTGAAAAGAAAACCAAGAATAAATTCTACTTACTACTTCCTTTCTACTTGCTGTAAGCCAGTCCTGGACCAAGAAATATCTTGAAAGGAAAATGAAAGCACATTTTAAAAAATACTAAAATCCATTTACAACTTAGAAGTTTACTGAATAGAAGCATTTACAAAATCTTTATCTTGTTTACAGATGCAGGGCTATGGCTACACTCCTAGACCTGGGCTGCTTGGGGGTATCATTATGTCATATTAGTCTTTATGTCCACTGTAAGAATACAATTCTTAGTCATAAATAAAGCAGATACAAACTACATGTTTTGTAAATTAAACTTCTTACAAAGATAAAAACTAGTTTCTATTAAGTCAATGGAGAGTCCTCCTCCCTACAAATTATTATCCATAGCTTTCTAATTACATATATTGAAAGAATCATATCCCTAGAGTTTTTGTTGTTCATTTTTTCTATTATTTTTCTCTATTATTTATTAATTCTATTATTTTTATTCTTTGTTATAAACACTGGAATCGAATACTATATAACATTCTGACCCTTAAATTTCCTACCCATTACATTAGTACAAATCTTACAAATTTACAAGGCCTAGTCAGCTTATCGAGAGAGTGGAAATATCCCATGCCTAGTGAACCAAGAACCTAGAATATTTCTCGTTAAAAGGAACTCTGCAATTCATACCCTTAAAGCTGCATTTCTTTTCTTTTTAATTCAATTCAAAGTACACACCAATAAAAAATAGAGTTTCATAGGATTACACTGATAATCCCAATTTTGGTTAAGTATGACCATTAAAATCTTATTTGCATTTGAATTAATTGCCCATTTTTCTCCACTTTGGTAATAAAACAAACGAATTGAGGTATCACACAATTAATCTACACTATCTACCTCAACCATTTTTATGTTTACTTCAAAAATTCAAATACTAGAGTTGGTAGTGATATATTGAAGGATCTAAATTACATCCATTGTAGTTTCCATTTTTTGTCTTTCAGCATGGTTTTCCCATTTACCTTGAAGAGTTTTCTGTTCTGTGCAAACCTTTCTATGTACTTTGGAAGCAAAGTTCTTCCCTGAGGGAGTGCTGATTTTTTGCATTGATGATCACTTAAGGGGATCCTGCATGAATTGCATTGCATCCTCTGGAAATCTTATTTTGCTTTACATCATGTGGCGCAACTCATTTAACTCATCCTTGAAAATGATGAGCATAGCTATAACCATGTTTAAATGTATTTGTATATACTTGTAAAACTCTTTTAAATTTAAACTAAATTTTAAGTGAGAGGTATATCCACAAAATGTCCAAAGTATGATAGCTGGAAATATAAAGTCTTTTTTTCCTCATCCTTTTATGTAATGACATTTGATATACTTTCAATGCAATTTTACTTTTAGTTCTAGATAATATGAGGGTGCCATAACCATTTCACAGGTTATATGCTATTGAAGAGAAATGTTTATAATATACTGATAGGGCTGCTAGATTTAGCAATAAAAAAATAGGACGTCACTCAAATTTAAATTTCAGGTAAACAATGAAATTTTAAAACTTAGTTGAGACGTACTTTCCTAAACATTATTCATTGCGTACCTGAAATTCACAGTTGGCTTAGTGTCCTGTACTTTATCTGGCAATCCTATTTGTTGATCTTGATGAGGAATCTGTTAAAAATTTATAGTAAAAATACTTCTAGGAATAAGAAGGTACCACAATAGGAACACTTTCTTACATAATAAACTATTACATATGTCAGATATACGAAGGTGAAATAATATCTGTCAAAAGTAGACTATGCACAGAGTAAAAGCACAATTTGGGGTGATTTAATCTCTATTTCATTGTCATAAAAGTGTTCATTTATTGACTACCTATGGTATTTCAGGAACTAGCTTTACTAATTCTAAGTGTAACCAAGGCAGCCAAAGTCACTATGAAGTTGGCGAGGAAGCTCTGACACTTAAAAGAAAGATACAGCCATAAAAGGGATGAACTTATTTAGAAATTATTAGTACTAAGAGAAGGAGCCTGGGGCAGATACTTAAAGATCCCTGCATATAAAGGCTACCAGAAGAAGAGTCTATAAAAAGGCTGAGTATTTCCCACCCAAATAAACCAGAGTCCCTTGGAAAAATGGCTGACTTCAAGGCAAGGGAAGATCAAAGATGAGCCTGAAGTATCTGTGATACCAGAAAGAAGTACTGAAAAATTGATGTGGAAATGTCACAAGGATACAGGAGACAACTTGAAGGAAATATCTCATAACTCATTAAATACAACTAGATTTCATGAGTTCCTATTGGTAATAACAGATAAATAGATAGGGAGAGAAGAGAAATTTGTTCCTTGTAGTGAAGTTCTGAGTAATAAATATAGAAAGAATGATGGAGTTTGAAATCACATTTGCAACCATCATTGCAAAAATGGATTAAGGAAAGAAATGGATGGCAAATCTAGGGTGGGCAGGGAGGTTAAATGAGGTTGAGAATACTTACATAATATTAAGAATCTCCCACAAATTACTTATTACAGTTGATCTTTATTAGTCACAGATCCTATACTTGCAAATTCACCCTCCTGTTAAAAGTTATTTGTAGTCAGGCACAGTGGCTCACACCTGTAATCCCAGCACTTTGAGAGGCTGAGGTAGGCGGACCATTTGAGGTCAGGAGTTCTTGATCAGCCTGGCTAACATGGTGAAATCCTGTCTCTACTAAAAATGCAAAATGATAATAATAATAATAATATTAATGAGCTGGGTGTGGTGGCGTGGACCTGTAATCCCAGCTACTGGGGAGGCTGAGGAACGAAAATTGCTTGAACCCGGGAGTCAGAGGTTCCAGTGAGCCAAGATCATGCCACTGAACTTTAGCCTGGGTGACAGAGTGAGACCCTGTCTCCAAAAAAAAAAAAAGTTATTTGTAAACCCTAAAACAATATTCATGGCTGTTGGAATTCCTTATGATATGCAAAAGCAGTGAAAAATTTGAATTGCCTAATGCACATATTTTCATTTGAGGTGGAACGAGGTGGTTCTGTCTTATTTCAGCTCTCTTACTGTAAACAAGCACTCTGTGGTTTAGTTATTGTCAGGTTTTTTGCATTTTTGTGCTTTTTTGGGGGTTATTTTGCTGCTTAAAATATCCCCAAAATGTAGTGATGAAGTCTCTTTGTTGTGTTCCTAAGTGTGAGAGGGTTGTGATGTGCCTTACGGTCAAAATACATGTGTTAGATAAACGTTCAGGCATGAGTTACAAAGCTATTGGTTGTGAGTTTAATGCTAATTAATGGTCTATATTAAATAAGGTATCTCTAAACAAAAACACATGCAGAACAAAGTTATGTATTTATTGGCTGATGGAAATGTTGTGATTAGAGGCTTGCAATAAATTGACCTTGATTTCCTCTGGAAGCAATGCTTCAGTATTTGCTAGTTCAGTATTCACAGCAACTATATAGAACATAACTACCACGAATTATGACACTTGAGTGTAATTACAAAAGGATAAATAATAAATACACTTTGGAGAAATTGGACACAGCTTTAACTAAGTGATCTAAATTAATGTCACTAATATGGGGCAAGTGAACATCATGGTCCACCAGATTTGATACCCTGAAAAGCATATAACCTTCTTTATGTAGGATTCCAGCCCCAAAAAATAAAAAGTTGAATTTAATATTGAGGAAATGCAAGAGAACCCAAATTAAAGGACATTATATAAAACATTTGTCTCATTCTTTAAAAATGTCAATGGAATGAAACCCAAGAAAGACTGAGGAACTGGTCCAGATTAATAGACTAAAGAGATGTACAACAAAATGTATTGGGCGATACTGTACCAGGAGATTCTTTCCTAGAAAAATATGCTATAAAAGATATTAGGAAAATGTACTGTAATAGATTGCAATCTAATATAAATATTAATTGTCATGAATTGATAATCGTACTGTGAATATGGAAGAGAACATTCTTAGTCTTAAGAAATACGCATGGAAGTGTCATGGGGTAAAGAGGAACAATGTACGTAACCTAGGCTCAAAAGGTTCAGAAAAAAGTTAGCAAATCTATATCTACATCTATAGCTATATCTACCTGTCTGATTTATCTGTCCGTTGGTCTATTTGGAAAGAGAGAAAAAGAGAAATGCGCATGCAAAATGAGCAAAACATAGCAAATATGTGAATCTAGGTAAAGAGAAGTATTTGTATTATTCTTGCAACTTTTGTGTGTTTGAAAGTATTTCAAAATATAAAGCTTTATTGAAAAAGTAGGAGGAGGAAGTTCAGGAGGATATGCAATCAAAAGTGGCCATAGAAGTTGTTAGCCATGTCAAATGCTAAGGGGGTAAGTAAGGTTTTGGATTTAGATTAGACTTAGCAACAAGAACTGGTGATCCCAGTTTTAATGGCTTTGTCAAGATGGAAGCCTGATTGTCATGGGTGTGAATGAAGTGGTATGTGGAAATATAGACACCAAATTCCGTAATTTTAACCTTAAAGGAAAGGAGATAAATATGGTACAAAAAGAAACAAGAAAGGGAATTGTTATATTTTTGTTTGTTTGTTTTTGTTTTTGTTTTTGAGACAGAGTCTCGCTCTGTTGCCCAGGCTGGATTGCAGTGGCTCAGTCTTGGCTCATTGCAACCTCAGCCTGCTGGGTTCAGGCAATTCTCCTGCCTCAGCCTCCCAAGTAACTGGGACTACAGGAGCATGACACTGCACCCAGCTAATTTTTGTATTTTTAGTAGAGATGTGGTTTTGCCATGTTGGCCAGGCTGGTCTCGAACTCCTGGCCTCAGATGATCCACCCACCTCGGCCTCCCAAAGTATTGCAAATATAGGCATGAGCCGCCACATCCAGCGTATTTGTTTCTTTTTAAATTGGAGATATGTGAGCATTTAAAGATGCTCACATGCTGATAAGGACCCTTCTTTCTCTGGTGAGAGAGAGAAGGAAGAGTTGAAGGCAAATGGCAAGGAAGTAATGATTGAGAGAGGGAGAGGTCAAATAGAAAGGAGAGAAGGAATGGAAAGTACAGGAAACATAAAAAGGACAATTTTGAATTCAACTTATTTAGCTGGAAAAATGGATCTTTTTAAAATATTTAAATATTTAAAATATTTTTTAAAAATATTGAAATGGTATTATTGACATCTTTTGGATTTTCTTAAGAAGAGTCTTTCAATTTAAGAAATCTTTTGCATTATATTAAAGGAAGTAGTATATTTGAGTAGAGAACATGTTTAAAGCTAAAGGACGTTTCCAAATCTGGCAAAAGCAATGATTTATCTTTAATATTGGGATATCTCAAAAAATAAAGAAATATTAATTATAGTCTGTGACAGTTAATACTGAGAGTCAATTCAATTGGACTGAAGGATACAAAGTATTGATCCTGGGTGTGTCTGTGAAGGTGTTGCCAAAAGAGATTAACATTTGTGTCAGTGGGCTGGGGAAGGCAGATCCACCCTTAAGCTGGTGGGCACAATCTAATCAGCTTCCAGCGAATATAAAGCAGGCAGAAAAACATGAAAAAGAGAGATGGACCTAGCTTCCAGCCTACATCTACCTCCCAAGCTGGATGCTTCCTGCCCTCGAATATAAGACTCCAAGTTCTTCAGTTCTGGGACTCAGACTGGCTCTCCTTACTCCTCAGCTTGCAGACAGCCTATTGTGGGAACTTGTTGGTTGTGTAAGTTAATAATAAACTTATATATATATATATTCCATTAGTTATGTCCCTCTAGAGAACCCTGACTAATACAGATTTTGGCACCAGGAGTGGGGTCTAGAGGAACATGACATTAAGGATGGAGTTATTTTGTTGGTTTTGCGGTTTCTGGAGTTGCTACTTAATATGATTAGACCCCAAAATGGTAAGGACTCTACTTCTAATAGTACGGAGAACACTGATCATCCTTGGTGGAAACCGTTTAGAGAGTTATGCAAAATTAATGCATTTGACGCTCCTGATTCACCACTCGTGAGAGGCAAGGGGTTTAGTGACTCTATACATAATATCTTTGACCATATGTGGAAAACCAAGGAACATAATGAAGCTGGTTGGTTGCTCTTAAATTCAGTGGACAAAGTGATGAAAGAAAATAATGAAATCAGGGATTCTGTCTCTCCTGGTTTCAGAAGCAGATACTGAGCCTCAAATCTGCTAGAATTTCCCTGAGTGAGTCTTATCTCCTGTAGAGAAAGAGCTGCAATTGTGGAAAAACAGACACAAATTTTTATCATGCAAGTGGCTGACCTGCAATGAAAGGTGCATGCACAGCCTTGCCAGGTGTCTACTGTTAAAGTGAGAGCATTTATTGGAAAAGAATAGGACCCTGCAACTTGGAATGGGAATGTGTGTGTGTGTGTGGGAGGACCCCGATGAAGATGGGGACACTGAGTTTGTGAACTCGGATGAACCTTTTTTTTTTTTTGTCAGAATGAACAGCTTCCCCATCCCCAGCAGTGGCAACATCTTCTACCTGACCCATGCTGCCATCACCCTTTCCACCTGTGTCTGAAGAGATAAACCCTGAGCTGCCTGGGTTTATCAACAGTGATGGCCTCCCCAGAGGCAGTTGCCAGGCAAGATAATATTGATTCTCCTCTACCCCAAACACCTCTGTTTGCTTCTAGACCTATAGCAAGACTAAAGTCCCAGCAGATCCCTAGAGGTGAGGTTGAGACTGTGACCCATGAGGAGGTGCACTACACTCAGAAAGAACTGTTTGAGTTCTCTAATTTATATAAACAGCAATCTGTAGAACAGGCATGGGAATGGATACTAAGGGTATGGGATAATGGTGGAAGGAACATGGAGTTGGGTCAGGCTGAATTTATTGATTTGGGCCCACTAAGTAGGGACTCTGCATTTAATGTTGCAGCTTGGAGAGATAAAAAAGGTTCTAACAGTTAATTTGCTTCGTTAGCTGAAATATGGATTAAAAGATGGCCCACTGTGAGCAAGCTGGAAATGCCTGATCTCCCTCGGTTTATGTAAAGGAAGGGATCCAAAGGCTTAGGGAGATTGGGATGGTGGAGTGGATTAGTAACTTTAGACTTATTCATCCCAGCTGGGAGGGTCCAGAAGATATATCCTTGACCAGTGCCTTGCAAAATAGATTTGTGAAAGCAGCACCTGCATCACTGGAGAGTCCTGTAATTGCTCTTCTCTGTATGTCAGATTTAACAGTGGGAACCTCAGTCACTCAGCTCCAAAATTTAAATACAATGGGAACAACTGGATCCCAAGGTGGAAGGGGCCAAGTGGCAGCACTCAGCCATCAAAGGCAAGGTGGGTGTAGCGACCGTAATGGACAGCAGAGGCAAAGTGGCAATCAGAATAGTCTGACTCATATAGAGCTCTGGCATTGGCTTATTAATCACAGTGTTCCTAGAAGTGAAATTGATAGGAAGCCTACTGCATTCCTACTTAAAGTATACAAACAGAAACTTATAGATAGAATGGACAAAAGACTAATTTGAATTATAAAAACAGAGAATCAGAGCCCCTCAATCAATTTCCAGACTTGAGCCAGTTTACAGACCCAGAACCCCTTGAATGAAGGGGAAGCTGAGTCCCCTTGAGGAAGGACCCCATTACATTACCGACAATTTATACAATGAAGCTTTCTCCCACCCATCCCCAGGGAAACCTCCTGCCTTTTCCAGGGTAACTGTGCATTGGGAAAAGGGAAATGACCAGACATTCTGGGGACTACTGGACACCGGCTCTGCGCTGACATTGATTCCAGGGGACCCAAAATGTCACTCTTGTCCTCCAGTTAAAGTAGGGGTTTATGGCAGTCAGGTAATTAATGGAATTTTAGTTCAGATCTGACTTACAGTGGGTCCAGTGGGTCCCCGGACTCATCCTGTGGTCATTTCCCCAGTGCCAGAATGCATAATTGGCATAGCATGCTTAAGCAGCTGGCAGAGGCCCCACATTGGCTCCCTGACTGCTAAGGTAAGGGCTATTATGGTGGGAAAGGCCAAATGAAAGCCATTAGACCTGCCTCTCCCTAGAAAAGTAGTAAATCAAAAACAATATCTCATCCCTGGAGGGACTGCAGAGATTAGTGTTATCATCAAGGACTTGAAAGACACAGGGGTGGTGATTCCCATCACTACCCCTTTCAGCTCTCCCATTTTCCTGTGCAGAAGACAGATGGATCTTGGAGAATGACAGTGGATTATTATAAGCTTAACCCAGTGGTGACTTCAATTTCAGCTTCTGTATCAGATGTGGTTTAATTGCTTGAGCAAATTAATACATCTCCTGGTACTGGTATGCAGCCACTGACTTGGCAAATGCCTATTTCTCCATTCCCATCCATAAGGCCTGCCAGAAACAGTTGTCTTTCAGCTGGCAAGGCCAGGAATATATGTTTACTGTCTTACCTCAGGGGTATATCAACTCTCCAGCTTTGTGTCATAATCTTATTCGGAGAGACCTTGATTGCTTTTTGCTTCTGCAAGATGTCACACTGGTCCATTACATTGATGACATTATGCTGATTGGATCCAGTGAGCAAGAAGTAGCAAACACACTGGACTTATTGGTTAGACATTTGCACTCCAGTGGACGGGAAATAAATCCAACTAAATTTCAGGGTCCTTCTATCTTAGTGAAATGCCTGGAGGTCTTGTGATGTGGGGCCTGTCAAGATATTCCTTCTAAGGTGAAGAATAAATGGCTGCATTTGGCCCCTCCTACAACCAAGAAAGAGGCATGCCTAGTAAGCCTAGTTAGATTTTGGAGGCAAAACATTCTCATTTGGGTGTGTTACTCCAGTCCATTTATTGAGTGACCTGAAAGGCTGCCAGTTTTGAATGGGGTCCAGAATAAGAGAAGGCTCTACAACAGGTCTAGGGTGCTGTGCAAGCTGCTCTGCCAGTTGTGCCATATGACCCAGTAGATCCAATGGTGCTTGAGGTGTCAGTGGCAGATAGGGTTGCTTTCTGGAGCCTTTGATAGGAAGAATTACAGTGGAGGCTTCTAGGATTTTGGAGCAATGCCCTGTAATCTTCTGCAGATAACTACTTTCCTTTTGAGAGACATCTTCTGGTCTGTTACTGGGCTTTGGTGGAAACTGAATGTTTGACTATGGGTCATCAAGTCACCATGCAACTTGAACTGCCTATCATGAACAAGTTGCTTTCTGACCCAGCTAACCATGACAGCACCATTCCATCATCAAATGGAAGTGGTATATATGTAATCAGGCTCAAGCAGGTCCTGAAGGCACAAGTAAGTTACATGAGGAAGTGGCTCAAATGCCCATGGTCTCCACTCCTTCCACCCTGCCTTCTCTTTCCCAGCCTGCACTGATGGTTTCATTGGAAGTTCCCTATGATCAACTGACAGAGGAAGAGAATACTAGGGCCTGGTTTCACAGATGGTTCTGCACGATATGCAGGTACCACCCAAAAGTAGAAAACTGTAGCACTACAGCCCCTTTCTAAGATATCCCTGAAGGACAGTGGTGAAAGTAAATCTTCCCAGTGTGCAGAACTTTGAGAACTTCCCAGGCAGAATCTTCCCTGGTTGTGCACTTTGCATGGAAGGAGAAATGGCCAGGTGTGCAATTGTATACTGATTCATGGGGTGTAGCCAATGGTTTGGCTGGATGGTCAGGGACTTGGAAAAAGCCTGATTGGAAAATTGGTGACAAAGAAATTTGCGGAAGAGTTATGTGGATGGGCCTCTCTGAGTGGTCAAAAACTATGAAGGTATTTGTATCCCATGTGAGTGCTCCCCAACAGCTGACCTCAGCAGAGAAGGAGTTTAATCAAGTGGATAGGATAACCTGTTCTGTGGGCACCACTTAGTCTTTTTCCCCAGCCACCCCTGTCATTGCCCAGTGGGCCCATGAACAAAATGGTCATGGTAGCAGGGATGGAGATTACACATAGGCTCAGCAACATGGACTTCCACTCACCAAGGCTGACCTGGATACAGCCACTACTGAGTGCCCAATTTGCCAGCAGCACAGACCAAAAATGAGCCTTCGATATGGCACAATTCTTCTGGGTGATCAGCCAGCTACCTGGTGGCAGGTTGATTATATTGGACCTCTCCATCATAGAAAGGGCAGAGCTTTGTCCTCACTGGAATAGACATTCCGGATATAGGTTTGCCTATCCTGCACACAATGCTTCTGCCAAGACTACCATCCATGGACTCATGGAATGCCTTATCCACCATCATGGTATTCCACACAGCATTGCCTCTGACCAAGGCTCTCACTTTAGTGCTAAAGAAGTGCAGCAGTGGGCTCGTGCTCATGGAATTCACTAGTCTTACCATCTTCCCCATCATCCTGAAGCAGTTGGATTGATAGGATGGTGGAATGGCCTTTTGAAGTCACAATTACAATGCCAACTAGGTGCAATACTTTGCAGGGCTGAGGCAAAGTTCTCCAGAAGGGCGTGCATGCTCTGAATCAGTGTCCAATATATTGTACTCTTTCTCTCCTAGCCAGGATTCACAGGTACAGGAATCAAGGTGTGAAAGTGGAAGTGGCACCTCTTACCATCACCCCTAGTGATCCACCAGCAAAATTTTTCCTTCCTGTTCCAACAACATTATGTTCTGCTGGCCTAGAGGTCTTAGTTCCAGAGGAAGGAATGCTGCCACCAGGAGACACAATAACGATCCCATTAAAGTGGAAATTAAGATTGCCACCTGGACACTTTGGGTTCCTCCTACCTTTAAGTCAACAGGCTAAGAAGGGAGTTACACTGTTGGCTGGGGTGATTGACCCTGACTATTAAGATGAAATCAGTCTTCTACTCCACAGTGGAGGTAAGGAAGAGTATGCGTGGAATACAGGAGATCCATTAGGGTGTCTCTTAGTATTACTGTGTCCTGCGATTAAGGATAATGGGTAACTACAACAGCCCAATGCAGGAAGGACTACAAAAGACCCAGATCCTTTAGGAATGAGGGTTTGTGTCACTCCACCAGGAAAACAAAACAAAACAAAACAAAACACTATCTGCTGAGGTGCTTGCTGAAGGCAAAGGGAATACAGAACAAATAGCAGAAGAAGGTAGTCAATAATACCAGCTATAACCACATGACCAGCTACAGAAACAAAGACCTTAATTATCATGAGTATTTTCTCATTCTTTTTTTAAAAACATGTTTGTGCATATATATACTGGTCCAAAAAAAAACTTCATTTTATTTCCTTTCTTCATCATGTGATATAAAATTTATTGACTTAATATCAATATTTAAGTATTGTTAACTTTATGTAATAGTATTTGGGTTGGAGATTGGTGCTTTTCTGGTTGTATGAAGGATAGTTGTATTATGTTAGCTGTAGTTATGACCTCATTATTGTCTTTATTTGAAGATTATGTATGATCTCAGGAGATGTGTATGGGTTCCGGTTGACAAGGGGTGGGCTTCTGATGGTTAATACTGAGTGTCAACTTGATTGGATTGAGGCATACAAAGTATTAATCCTGAGTATGTCTTCGTGGGTGTTGCCAAAAGAGATTAACATTTGAGTCAGTGGGATGGGGAAGGCAGATCCAACTTTAATCTGGTGGGCACAATCTAACCAGGTTCCAGTGAATATAAAGCAGGCATAAAAATGTGAAAAAGAGAGATGGGCCTATCTTTCCAGCCTACTAAGAGAACTCTGTCCCTGACTAATACATAGTCATATGTCTTAGACACCTTTTCTTTCTTTTCCAATATATCTCCCTTGCAAACGTCCTTTCTCCTAACTTCGGCTCTCATTTTTGGAGGGATAACTGCCTATATTTCTATAGTTCAAGACCTTCACTTCAAATCGTTCTCAGGAGTTCTGCATTTGGAGGTTTCACCATGAAGTCCACAATCCTCTCCCCTAAATATGCTTTTTTACATTTTCTTATATATTTAATTGAGGTGAAAGATAACATGGCATATTTTAAAATATTTTGATAGGCAAGATTTGTTTCCCGTGAATGAGAAACTGCATAATTCAGTCTTCTACTCTTCCAGGAGGCTGAGGCAAGCAGTCATGCATCCCAAGGAGAAGAAAAATACACTGGTACCAAAACAGAGATATAGATCAATGGAACAGAACAGAGCCCTCAGAAATAACGCCGCATATCTACAACTATCTGATCTTTGACAAACCTCAGAAAAACAAGCAATGGGGAAAGGATTCCCTATTTAATAAATGGTGCTGGGAAAACTGGCTAGCCATATGTAGAAAGCTGAAACTGGATCCCTTCCTTACACCTTATACAAAAATCAATTCAAGATGGATTAAAGACTTAAACGTTAGACTGAAAACCATAAAAACCCTAGAAGAAAACCTAGGCATTACCATTCACAACATAGGCACGGGAAAGGACTTCATGTCTAAAACAGCAAAAGCAATGGCAACAAAAGCCAAAATTGACAAATGGGATCTAATTAAACTAAAGAGCTTCTGCACAGCAAAAGAAACTACCATCAGAGTGAACAGGCAACCCACAAAATGGGAGAAAATTTTCGCAACCTACTCATCTGACAAAGGGCTGATATCCAGAATCTACAATGAACTCAAACAAATTTACAAGAAAAAAACAAACAACCCCATCAAAAAGTGGGTGAAGGACATGAACAGACACTTCTCAAAAGAAGACATTTATGCAGCCAAAAAACACATGAAAAAATGCTCACCATCACTGTCCATCAGAGAAATGCAAATCAAAACCACAATGAAATATCATCTCACACCAGTTAGAATGGCGATCATTAAAAAGTCAGGAAACAACAGGTGCTGGAGAGGATGTGGAGAAATAGGAACACTTTTACACTGTTGGTGGGACTGTAAACTAGTTCAACCATTGTGGAAGTCAGTGTGGCGATTCCTCAGGGATCTAGAACTAGAAATACCATTTGACCCAGCCATCCCATTACTGGGTATATACCCAAAGGACTATAAATCATGCTGTTATAAAGACACATGCACACGTATGTTTACTGCAGCACTATTCACAATAGCAAAGACTTGGAACCAACCCAAATGTCCAACAATGATAGACTGGATTAAGAAAATGTGGCACATATACACCATGGAATACTATGCAGCCATAAAAAATGATGAGTTCATGTCCTTTGTAGGGACATGGATGAAATTGGAAATCATCATTCTCAGTAAACTATCACAAGAACAAAAAACCAAACACCGCATATTCTCACTCATAGGTGGGAATTGAACAATGAGAACACATGGACACAGGAAGGGGAACATCACACTCTGGGGACTGTTGTGGGGTGGGGGGAGGGGGGAGGGATAGCATTAGGAGATATACCTAATGCTAGATGACAAGTTAGTGGGTGCAGCGCACCAGCATACCACATGTATACACATGTAACTAACCTGCACGTTGTGCACATGTACCCTAAAACTTAAAGTATAATAATAAAAAGAAAGAAAAATATCACATTCAATTTATTTTTTGACTATATAATGAATTAAAGAAGTAGAGACTTAACAATTATGGAGTAGCCTAAAAAACAAAACAACACTATTGTAATTAAAATTCAACCAGATAAAACGCTATTGTAAAGTAGTTAAAATTCAACCATATAATTAAAATATTCAACTTTGGTGCTTTTGTTTGAACTTGAGCTGAAATCAAACAAATAAAAAAGTCTTGGCTGCATCAATCCTAAGCCAAAAGAACAAAGCTGGAGGCATCATGCTACCTGACTTCAAACTATACTACAAGGCTACAGTACCAAAACAGCATGGTACTGGTACCAAAACAGAGATATAGACCAATGGAACAGAACAGAGCCCTCAGAAATAATACCACACATCTACAACCATCTGATCTTTGACAAACCTGACAAAAACAAGAAATGGGGAAAGGATTCCCTATTTAATAAATGGTGCTGGGAAAACTGGCTAGCCATATGTAGAAAGCTGAAACTGGATCCCTTCCTTACACCTTATACAAAAATTAATTCAAGATGGATTAAAGACGTAAATGTTAGACTAAAAACCATAAAAACCCTAGAAGAAAACCTATGCAATACCATTCAGGACATAGGCATGGGCAAGGACTTCATGTCTAAAACACCAAAAGCAATGGCAACAAAAGTCAAAATTGACAAATGGGATCTAATTTAACTAAAGAGCTTCTGCACAGCAAAAGAAACTACCATCAGAGTGAACAGGCAACCTATAGAATGGGAGAAAATTTTTGCAATCTACTCATCTGACAAAGGGCTAATATCCAGAATCTACAAAGAACTTAAACAAATTTACAAGAAAAAAACAAACAACTCCATCAATAAGTGGGCAAATGATATGAGCAGACACTTCTCAAAAGAAGACATTTATGCAGCCAACAGACACATGAAAAAATGCTTATCATCACTGGCCATCAGAGAACTGCAAATCAAAACCACAGTGAGATACCATCTCACACCATTTAGAATGGTGATCATTAAAAAGTCAGGAAACAACAGGTGCTGGAGAGGATGTGGAGAAATAGGAACACTTTTACACTGTTGGTGGGACTGTAAACTAGTTCAACCATTGTGGAAGAAAGTGTCGCGATTCCTCAAGGATCTAGAACTAGAAATACCATTTGACCCAGCCATCCCATTACTGGGTATATACCCAAAGGATTATAAATCATGCTGCTATAAAGACACATGCACACATATGTTTATTGCGGCACTATTCACAATAGCAAAGACTTGGAACTAATGCAAATGTCCATCAGTGATAGACTGGATTAAGAAAATGTGGCACATATACACCATGGAATACTATACAGCCATAAAAAATGATGAGTTCATGTCCTTTGTAGGGACATGGATGAAGCTGGAAACCATCATTCTCAGCAAACTATCACGAGGACAAAAAACCAAACACCGTATGGTCTCACTCATAGGTGGGAATTGAACAATGAGAACTCTTGGGCACAGGAAGGGGAACATCACACACTGGGGCCTCTTGTGGGATGGGGGAAGGGGGGAGGGATAGCATTAGGAGATATATCTAATGTATATGACGAGTTAATGGGTGCAGCACACCAACATGGCACATGTATACATATGTAACAAACAAATGTCTTGGCTACATCTGACACTAGATTTTCCAGCCCCAGCACCATAATAACCCCAAGTAATTTTTTTTTTATTATTATACTTTAAGTTTTAGGGTACATGTGTACAACGTGCAGGTTTGTTACATATATATACATGTGCCATGTTGGTGTGCTGCACCCATTAACTAGTCATTTGACAATAGATATATCTCCTAATGCTATCCCTTCTCCCTCCCCCTACCCCACAACAGGCCCCGGTGTGTGATGTTCCCCTTCCTGTGTCCAAGCCCCAAGTAATATTTTTAAAAGTTTAAAGGGATTATGGGATGTGACTACTAACCATTAAGACAACCTGAAAAATAGGGTAAAATTGAGTTCAATATTTTTGTTTGTGTGAAAACAGGAGGAAGTGGTAGAGGAAAACAGGAAAAAGAGAGGGAGGCAGGGACAAGCATTTCTCTAGGAATAATGAAAATTCTCGATTTTTTTTCCTGGTATTATGTACCAGAATGTTAGTTGACTATCAGCTCTCTGTATATTCTTTGAATTTTTGGAACCAAAGCCATGTGACATTTGCTCCACAGCTTCTTTGCATGTCATGTTTTTTATTTTCTTTGGACAAAAGTCCATGGTAACTTACTTGGGTCAATAAATACACAAGCTTTTAGAATCTCAGAAACTATCAAATGTAAATGGACCCGATCATTTTAGCATTAAATTAGAATAATGTGTGTTTTCATAAGAAGCACTATTTAAAATTTTTTACTGTAAGGTTATGTTTGGATAGATAGTTCTATGAAAAATTATTATAGTTTTGTTGTTATTGTTATTTCTCCAAGATTGTGAACACACATATGGATAATATTCATCTTGTTCTTCCAGAGCCGTGGCATCCCTTTTTAACATCCTTTCATGATCTGTAACCACTAACATTTGTGAAATCACTTAAAAAAGACATTAACTGTAGGGGACAAAACAAATACAATTTAAAATATCTAAACAGATCCACCAAAAAAAAAAAAAATCCCATTCACACACAAAAAACTAATAATGGCCCCTTGAAAGTTATGCTCATTTGGCTATGGAAATTTTAGAAATATATTATTGCTTGGGTCTTTTTAAAAACCATTATTTAAAAAAATGTGGCATGAGTTGTAATTCTAATTAAAAACCAGGCAAGCCCTTAGGTGGGAGTCACAGTGAGCTGCCCTGAGTTTTTCCCAAGCCTAACAAAAGAGAGAAGGACTTGCCACTGCTTGTGTCTGCCAAACGTGTATTGTTAAAGGAATCAAAATAAAGAGGCAAAGAGGTCAAGGGTTAGGAGCTCATATTTCCACCCTTCATGACCCCGTCTCGAGGCTGGGGTGCTCTTGTCATCTGTTTCTGAAGGTCTCTCAACACAAGACTTTCCTCTACTTCTTTCAGGAGACTCCCGTGTAGACTACACTGGTGATTAATGAAAAGGGCTCACAGGAGACCTTCTTAAAATGCTTTGGACAAAAGGGTCCACAGCATGAAGGCTTTAGAAGAATACCTGCAGACAGTACTGTCTTGAGAATGTAGTGGAAATAGCTATGTTTTCCACCAATTCCACCTTTTTATGACATATCAGATAACTTGATTAATGGTATGCCACTTTCTATTTCTGTTGCAAGCTGTCACCAGAATACTTACTTAAACTTTCACACTCCATGAGTTGTAGAGTAGCTGGTTAATATTTTTAATGTTGTTTTCATTATTCCAAAGTAGAATAAGGTGACCATTGGACTGAATCCTGAAATTTCATTTAGTTTACAAATAGTATAAAATTATAATTATGTTCTAGCAAATAAAATTAAGATGTATAAAATAATTTTTATCAAAATTTGACAAACTAGAGCAAAAAATATTAATATTTTCCTTGTGACATTGCAGATATCTGAATAAAAAGCATACAAAATATACTTCTATAAAATCAAGTTTGCAATCATCACATTTTCATTGGCTGCCTTGCTAGAGATTTCCCAAGAGATTATTAGACATATTAATTAAAATCTAAAAGTGATTTAAAAATATTTTTTCCTCAACACTTATAGCTCAGTGAAATTAAACATGCTGTGGCTGTTATATTTTTCAGTGGTTTAGGACAGTGAAATAAGACATAGGCTCTAGCTCTAAGAGCTATCAGGGGTCCAATTTCTGGAAACCCTAATGCCTAATGCCTACCCTACAACTGTACTGATTAGGACGGTGGCTCGCCAATTCCACACTGTTTGCGCTAATGAGCCTACAGAAAACTAGGAATTATCAGTTAAAGCTGCTGTTAAGCTGCTCCCATCGCAGTATATCAGCTACATGACTTTTCTTACTATCCTACAATTCAATATAGCATCTCTCAAAATAGTTGACTTCCAGTCAACATAGAATTTTGTGGTGGAGGAAGAAAGGAAAGGAAAAGAGGCCATATATGCCTATAACTGAGTTTAAAATGTCCCCATTCCAAAGTCATAATTTTAAATAGTGTGTTCTATCAAATACCATCCCTTTACACTGTCTACATGGAATTTTCTAGAAATATACCTTAGCAAATACATCCTTGCCTCTCACTTTCTGTGCTTACCAGCTTTCCAAAGCAAAAGGAGTTCAGACTTCTCTAACCACTGAAGTGCAAACCAAAACTATGAGACCGTGAGGCAGTTCTGACCAAACTGAAGAGAACAAGAAGAATAAAAAAGAAAACCTTTTTTTAAATTAAATTTACCCAAATAACTAGGAACAAAGCAGTTTCCCCCTGTTTTAGCAAAGCATTTAACTAACATCCAAAATAATTATTGCTATGTAGAATTAGTGTACATATTTTAGGGAGTACAATAACATTTTCCAGATAAAATGAATTGTAATTACAGATTAGCCTTAGTTTTACAGAGATGTAGTATGAATTTCGGGTTGCAGAAAAACTCATGCAAAGGCAAGGGTTAACACACACATATATACAAGTAAATGAAAATAAATGAAAGAAAATTTTCCAAATTGCCTAGAAGGATTCTTTAATTATTTCTGGGGATCATTACTCAAACTTAAAGTTCCAACTCACATTCTCCTTTTTCCTCTGAAATGGTTCTTTGATTGTATCCGGATAAATACATCTTCCGCCTTCTCTTCCACCTATTCCCATTATTCCTGCCTCCTTCCTCCCCACCTGCATCTCTTTCTCTCCAGTGTTCTATTGTAGAATAATTGAGTGTGGTATGATGGGAAAGAACCTGGATGCTGAAGCCAAACTTCCTATATTTGGATCTGAAACTTGACTCTCTTTTATCAGCTGTTTGAACTCAGGCAAATTACTTAACCTCTCTATGCTCCATTTCTTCATATGTAAAATGGAGAACATAATAGTATTTACACTATAGGATTGATAAAAGGGATGTTAATTCATGTAAAGCACTAAAAACAATGCATAGAACATAGTAAACACATACTATTATTAGAGTCATTTGCTTGCAAGTGTTTGCCATACAAGTTCCTTGAAGGCAGGGACCAGGTTTTCTTTTTCCTTAAAAAAAAAAAAAAAAAATTCTGAATAATCTTGTTCAGTATCCAGAAATATTAGGCCTTAAGTGAATACTGAATGAAGGAATCAAAGTGAATATACTGCTCTGGTTTGAAGTTTTGTCATTTGACAATCTGTGTTAGTTGGTCTGCTCTTTTTTTTTTTTTTTTTTTGGTTTAGTTTTTTCATGGCTTCCACCTAGACTGAGGTCAGCAATCTGTCTGCAGCCGAAACCTGAAGCTAGAACACAACTTTTGAACTGATAGGTCCTTCACCAGAGAAAAAAAGAATAAGACATTCACATCAGCAATATATGTCCTAGTACACAGTATGAATTGCAATATGAAACCCTGTATGTTTTCATGATCTTAGAACTGATTACCTGTGAAAAGCCTGTTACTTTAAAACTTTAAATTTGGAAACTAAATCACTTGTTTCTTAAGGAGAAGATGCTAAAGATTTACAGGGAGAGAGGACCAGCTGCTTTTGACCTCTAGAAATGATCTCTAATAATGCCAGGGCAACGATTCTACAAATAGGTTTAAATTTTAATATAGCTATATTATCAGGCCTAGATATTCTTTGGTGGATGCCTCTGTTGGCAGTTACTCACATTGCCTTTATCAGTGAACGCTGTCATATTTGTGTGTTATAATCACTGCCTTGACAGAATCAGATAAGCACCTATAAAGTCTTTTAAAAGAAATTTACTTCCTCTATCTACAAACTGTCAGCACCTTTGCTTTTAAACACTCTCACTTTGCACAATATAGGTTATTAGTTTGAAGATTTGAATTAATGGGATGTTAAAAAATGTGGGGTTAGAGAACTAGATGCCAGTAACCAAAGTGAAAAAAAAGGAACCATTTTTTCTGTACAAGGGGGAGCTGTCACCGGCTTGTCATAGGAGTTAATAAATGAATATGTTCCTAGAGATTGTCTTCCCATTTAAAATGTTGACCCAGCAAAATTCCTAATTTTATGTATTAATGACAACTGATACCAACAATTAAGGAAGACGATGTTAATTATTTGACCAGCTACTTGGCTTATGTGCTGTATGAACAAAATACCTTTCAGGAACTCCGGATTGACTTTCTGCTTTGTAAACATTAGCTCCTGTTTACTTGTTAGCCTTTAAGACATAAACATTGCTGTACCACACTATATAAAGAAGCTTCCCACTTAGGAAACCCAAGGTAATATCATCTAGCATTTTGGCATTCTCACGAAGAATTAGTGCCTAGGGGAGGCAAAACAGAACATTAGTGAGGATTAATAGAATTTTTGAGTAGGCCTTCTTTTTTCTCTTCTCTCTGTCTCAGTTTTTATGTATTAACCTTCAAATTATTTTAGGATGCTTTTTTTCGGTGCTGAATTATTAAAAGTGGTATATTTTTCAATATCTAGCTAGTAGATTGTTTATGATGGTTTTACATTTTTTCCCATAAGGCACATCTTATTTAAATTTCTACATTTTAATATTTTTGTGGTTCAAGTTGCAAGCAGATAACAGATGATAGAACTCTAATTTTGTATTTTCAATAGGCACATTGATTTAGTAGCTTTGCTAACCACATCAGAGGGCTCTGAAACCATTCTCAAACATTTCTTGGAGTTGATAAGAGATAAATTAAGAAACATAAAGATTTCTGTCGCTCACAAACTATATGATGTTTTGTGAGTCACTTAGTCTCTGCGCTTCCATGTCTGCATCTAAAAATCTATGAGCTTGAACCAAATGATTTTGCCAGTTGTTTCCACATTGGAGTCATGTTAAACACTGTTGATGGACAGGAAATTTAAGGTCCTAGCTCTTGTGGTTTGACTGGAAGTCCAAAATTGAAATAGAAAGAAAGATGGGCTTGGGAATGAAGCACTTGGTAAGACGTAAGAATTTGCATAAAGGGCATCAAGTATAAAATAAATCCTGTAAACCACAGTCTCCAATGGAGTTTTATCTCCAGCAATATGTCTATTTTTAAAACTGCAATCTGTAGCCTCAAGCACTCCAATTCACTAAGAATGCACACAAAGCGGCCATAAAATGGATTGAATAAACACGCTTCCAGAATCTTTCTTTTTTTTTTCTGAGATGGAGTCTTGCTGTGTCACCCAGGTACAGTGGCACGATCTCGACTCACTGCAACCTTCATATTGGCCAGGCTGATCTCAAACTCCTGATCTCGTTATCTGCCTGCCTCGGCCTCCCAAAGTGCTGGGATTATAGACGTGAGCCGCTGCACCTGGCCTCTGGAATCATTTTAAGGATTAGGTAGGATGAAATAATTGTCAGAACCTGTACTTTTATTACAATAAAAAATATTTATTTTTTGCTTGTTAATATGATCAGATTCTGAAGGTACTTTCTTTGGTTGCAAATTGCTTAGAAAACCAGCAATCTTACAAAATAATAATTAAGAAAATCTATCTAAATATGTCATTGATTACCCTTAGTTAACAGTTCTATCAGTTTCATCACTATTTTCTCTAACACTAATAATCTTAGTGAAATCTTTTTTCCTAATTTAGTTCAACCAAGTCACCCAATGCAACTGTCTGATTCCCAAGTCTTTCAGCTAGCTGCAGAACTAAATTTCTTGGTTAAGTCAGAACTATTATACACATAAGTTGTCATAAATAACAATTCGTTGAGAAAGATGTGGGTCATAAACATAAAGAATATAATATCAGAGACAGTTTTGAACATATGTTGCTTCATTTCTGTTCAAATAGTCTGGATAGCCTGTTAAGATGCTCCAACTTCCTGTAATAGAGAGTGAAATGAACATTTTTCTTAAAAATGTGTCCCTCTTGGTTATTTAATGTAGCAGAACAATAGCACAATAAAATACCAGCAGAATATCTGATAATTTTTTATTGAGGAAACAGGGAAGTTAGGATGAAATGTAGTACTCTTCAAGTTAACAGGAAAATACACTTACAGCTTTCAGGCCCACCTAAAGATCCTCTACCATTTATCAGAAAATCTCTTCAATTTTCAAAAGCCCTCTAAAGAACTCCTGGGACTATAAACAAAGGCCATATTGTTTCCTTTGCTGACGCTTGTTAAGTGGCTCATGAATAATACTAAATGCATCCTCTCCATAAATCTCCTTGATGTAGGACTACTGTTATCCAGCCACAAACTTCACTGACATCCATCATAAAGTCGGAGATGGGAGATTTGCAACATGCATCCAAATAACTGCTTCCATTGTCCCATCGATGTGATTCTCTTGAACACTTGAAGTCAGAAGAAAGAGAAATTCTAGCACTTTTATTTATTTTTATTTTTTTAATGGAGTATGTTGAAAACACTTTTAATATTCTTTGGGCTGATCTTTCAGAACAATAATTTAAGGTTATGCATTACTGGAACTTATATTTACAATAACATTTCATACAGAGTAACTGGAAAAAACTGGGTGTTGTGTAGACTTATTTCAGAGATTCTGGGCTTTTAGTTTCTTAACCTTCTTCTTTTTCTTTTTTTGTTAAGAGGAAACCACATATAATGTCTTTAGGTGCCAACATAGGTTGGCAATAGCTTGGACGTGTTCCTTCTAATGAACAATCTATTTTGATGCTCTATTTGTGGCAAAAAGAAGAAATGGATGGCAAATAGGACCTGGTGTAACTCAGTGATGTTTCCTGTAAAGAGAAAAGGGAAGTTTAAGGAGAAATTACACATTTAGAGTCCCTCTGTGATTAGGCAAATTTGGAGGCATTTTCAGTGTCACTTGAAGAAAGCATTACACGTCTTTTTTTCTTTGAAGTATATTTATCACTTAAAACTGTACAATGTCAACAGGGAAAGGATTTATTTAACATCTCACAATGGACTTTCAAAATAAGCAACATAGGACACTTTCATAGGTCAAAGAAGTAAAAGGCCATATAAAATGGTCTTCATTCACTGTCCTGTGATTTAGATCTACTAGGAGAATATTTTAATACCTACAGTAATAATTCAGTTGCATCGTTGTTCTTACCAGGAACTATGGTTAAAGTTAAATTTGCTTTTCAGTTTGTTAATGCTTGCATAGAGAATGTGATTTAACGAATGCCTCAGTCTTAGTACCTCTTTGGAGAGAATATAAATCAAGCTACGGCTATTTATTTAGACAGGTGCATATCAGGCTCTAGTTATAAATATGAATATAAATTTTGTTTAATTCTTCTAGTAGTAGGAAAATATAGCTTGTCTGCTTGTGAATGTACTATAGGCCAACTATAATATTTCGGAGTAAAACAAAGAGGAGTTCAAAATGTAGCATGTTCTTCTTATAGTAACTTAAAATGACAAGGTATTTGCTAGTATAGATAAAAAATATTGGATTAACTGAGGGTTACTTTGTTGCTGGTGTTTTTAGATGTGGAGTTGAGAGGGTTGAGTGGAATTATTTAAGAGGACATTGGAAAATGGGAACACTATTTTTATTACATTTATGTAATTAGACAACTTATGAATGCTAAAATCTAATAGTGTTTATTTGAATAAATGGTTGTGTAGAGGAAAGTTCTTAATTCAACAGAAAATAATCCTCCAGCATTTTTTTCTCATATTGGCCATGGGTACTTTAGTAGTAATTCGAATTACAAAACTTTAGGCTTACATGAATCTATATAAGAAAAATATGCTTTAGAAGATTGAACACTCTTGTGTTCAGTCAAACATCAAATACTTTATAGAATCATAAATAAAAGAAGCATAATTATGCCCTTCAGCCTACTCCCCTTCCCCCAGAAAAATTTTGTTCAGGGGAAATTTTCTAAGCTTATGGTCATAGGCAATGGAGGTCATATTTTGCATCATTGGCCAAGTATGTCAAACTTGACATGCAATGTCAGCTGCATTCCAAAAGAAAAGAATATTCTGTTGATACAGCTGTAGCAGGATATGCTTGTCTTTGTACAGAGGCAATTATTTCTTTATCGAAAATAACCAAACTGGGAGGGATAATCTTCTCCAACAAAGTTGAGGTATATCCAGCATATATTTAAATATTAATAAGACAAAAATGAATTATTTGCTTACTGTATTTTAAACAATATTTTGTACGAATGCATGTACATCCATGAGTATATGTATGTGTGTGTCTATCTTCATTATAACCTCTAGTAAGTTATTTGCCTGGATACGGTAATGATGTCATTAGAGCTCTATGATAGGACAGTGTTAATTTTCCACTACTAGTAGATGATAATTGACACAGAAAGTTTTCCTTGCCCTACAGCAGGAGATTGCAATTTTTTTTCTGTCAATGTCCAGATAGTAAATAGTAGGCTTTGAGGCTTTGAGGGCCTGTTGAAACTCTAACTCTGTTGTTGCAGCACAAAGGCAGTGACAGACAGTACATAAAAGAATGAACAGGACTCTGTTCCAATAAAACTTTACTTATGGACACTATAACTTAAATTTCATAAAACCTCCACATGTCACAGAATATTATTCTTCTTTCAATTTTTTTCAGTCACTTGAAAATGTAAAACTATTCTTAGCTTATGGGACTTACAAAACAGGTGGATTTGGCCAGTGGGTCATAGTTTGCCAAACTCTGTCTTAAAATAATGTTTGAACAGATATTTATTCCATAATTTGGCTCATCAGGTATATTCATTTTGGTGTACTATTCTGTTTCTCTTAAAGAATCAGATGAGGACATGTCTGGAAATGTGTACACATATTATATAATTTCACATATATCTCTTCATTTTTTTTTTGAAAGGTCAATAATAAGATTAGCTCAGCTTTCCTTTTTAGTCTTATTGAGGCAGATTAGTTTACTGAGATACTGATTTGTGTTTTCTCTCAGTGCAGTGGGTACTCCCCTGCCCATATCCCTTCATCTAAAGAAGACAGCCAACATTTCAACATTGTAGCTTATTTTGACACAAAATTATTGATATCATCAGGCAACATTTTTCCTAATGAGATATTTGTGTTTGATTGTCTGGTAAAAGGGGACTCTAGGGTTAGAAAGAGTAGAAATGGACTCATCAGATTGATCTCAAGGAAGATGCTGAGGAATTTCCAAACTTGGAGCAGATCAGGCAAGGAAAATTTGTCAGGACATTCAGGCACTTTGACCAAGGATTGCTAGAGGCTGGAAGTGGCACTCTGACCTTCACCCTCTGTAGTCTGGTAGTTACTCAGGTAAACCACTGCAGGTTGTCTGAGTTAGCCCAGACAAGAGTGCTCAAATCTGGGTAGCAGAAAGAGCAATGTTGTGATGGTCACCACTGTGTACTTGAGCCCAGGATCCCCTCACTGGTTCTTGAGAGCACCAAGATGAGCCCCATTTTATAATTCTGGCAAGATTCTAAAAAGGAAGTAAGTTCCTTTCAAGTATAGTCATTACTTAATTTTCTTCCATCCATGCACTGGAGAATATTTAACTGATTTAGAGAATGAAAAGTTATATTTGTTTGATTCAAATTGCATAGACAATTTTATAACAGCTACTAAGGGTTTACATGATATAATTATTATATGTTAAATAGATAAATATGTACTGTATTTAGAGGTTTTTTTTTGTAATAGTTACTTTTTTTTTTCTTCAGAAGAGTTGGTTTGTCAAAGTGGTTAAGAGTATGGGGTTGGAAGATGGATATATCTATTCCTTACCATTTCTGTGGCCTTAGGAAAGTTACTCAGCTTCATTAAGCCTCAGTTTTCTCCAGTGGAAAATGAATATAGGTTTACTTCCTCATAGAGTTTTATGAATATTTAATCAGATAGTGAAGTTTAAAAGTTTAGTACAGTAGTAACATAAAATAATACTCAGTAAATGTAAGTATTATGAATACAAATGTTATTACTTTTTTATTATTTAGCACTGCATTTGAAAAATAGTTAATGAGCATAATTAAACACAGTATTATATTTGACCACCATTCTCCACACCATCTTCGTTTGCAGATAAACCCACTTATAATAATAATAACCATTTTTTACTGATTAATTCTTGTATCCTAAATTATATAACTATATTTTATTGATTTATTAATTTTATACAATATATGTTGACTTCATATTAAAATAATAATTTAGTTCATTTAAACCACTCTTCCACCTCACCTCTTCTCTTCCTGATTTTGATGTAGATATGCATAAAACTACTGTTCTTTTTTCTATTTGTTACTTTTGTAACCTTAAGTACTTCTGTTACATTTTATTTCTTGTTCAATCAATTTTAGACACTGTCTCTTACTCTTCACTTTGTGAACTCTTACAAAGAGTTCCTCATCTGTTCTATAGCTGTCATTTAATCTTTTGTTCTGTTTTTATTGTTTTACCTATCAGTCTAGACCCTCAAAAGTACAAAATATTTGATTCTTTCTCCCCACCCTTACATATTTCAGGAACATGAGCTTCATTTGTGGTTTAAAAAGGCAATTGACTCAAGATGAATTTCTGATCCTATATCCGTAGAACAAAGGATGTACAAATAATTATACACACTCACACATACATATAAGAGACAAATATATAAAAGTAAAATCTGTTGTGTCTTAAAAAGAGCATCATGCAATTAAAGACTTTTTTAAAGAATTTGAAATTTTTATTTATTTTACAACATTATTAATAATAATTGCTTATGGTGGATGCTCTGAATTTAATTTTACTTTTTGTTTACCAGAACTTTTACAGTACAGCTTCTCAGTCTTGAGTTTTAATTTTTATTCATCTATTTATTGTCTGGAATGGCATCTCTGAGTTCTCTTAGGAAAAATAGATGTGTGTATCTTAAAATCTAGCATACTTAAATCTAACAAATTTCTGTTTTAAATAAGAAAACTAACTTACTGTTTTAAATAAGACAAATTGAAATATACTGACAAATATATGGATAGATACATAAAATTCCCAACCCCTTTTAACTAAAGGCATGGTAGACACTACTTTACTGTCTTGTGGCACTTACTGTTTAAGTATATTTATATTGAAGAATAATGTAAGTACAGAAAAATACACAAATTATGAGCATATAACTAGATAAGTTTTCACAAACATTTTGTATTTTACTATTTAAAAATGGAATTATACAGTACTTATTCTTTTGTGTTTGTTTTCTTTTAACTTAATAGCCTATTTTTGAGATTATTCCATGCTGTTATGGTAGCTGTAGTTCATTTATTCTTGTTACTGTGTGACATTCCATTGTACGAATGAAATGTATTATCATTTATGTAACCATTTTATTGTTAATGAACATGAGCTGTTTACAGTTACACACAATGCTACTTTGAACATTCTTGAACACCTTTGGTGCCCATATGCAAATATTTCTGTTGTATAATACACTAAAGAGTACAATTTCTGTGTCATAGGATATATGTGTGTTCAGCTCTAATAAATGCTGCCTAGACATTTTACCAATTTATATTCCCATTAGCAGTGTATAGGAGTTGCAGTTCTTCCACATTTGATCCATACTTGCTATTGACAGTCTTTTTAATTTTAACTATTTAGGTAGGTATGTGGTGGCATCTCACTGATTTTTGTGTAAAGTGAGCTTTATATTTTTATTTTTCTATTAGAGCAATCTTTCTTTTTTTCTACCCAGACATTCTTTCTTTCTTAAGAATATTCTAATCTGAAGAATATAGATCTTTTCTCTGTTTTTAAGTTTTACTTCTTGCTTGTTTTTTCTCCTTCTTTTCCTCTTCTTCCTCCTTCTTGTTACTTAGAAAGTGGGTATACACTTATTCTTTTACGTAAAACGTATACTTAGAAGAATCTTTCTCAATCTATAAATGTTCATCAGAATCCCTTGTGAAAAAATTTGAAAATGTAGTTATCAAGGTACCATTCCATTCTCAGTAAGTCAGAATTTTCAGGGATTTGCAGTCAGGTATGTGTACATTTTTTTTAAGTTACACACTTGATTATACATCATTGTTTTTAAACTTACTTATTACCTTTAATATGTAGGGTGAAGTATTTGTGTAGCTCAGAAAAGTTTTCTTTTATTACATCATAAATTATTTTGCTTGTTTCCATATTTTTTTTCACTCTGGAATACCAATAATTTTAAGGTTGGTCTTCCATTCTCTGCAAAATTCATGTCTTCTTCCTCAGTGTTCTAATTTCTGTACTTTTTCTTTGTTTTAGTGATGTTAGTGTACTAAATTCTCTACCTTTTAACATGAAAATGATGATCCAAATAGGATTATTTTCTTGTTATGAAAAGATAGTTAAAAATTCCCAATACATAATCAATATCAAATTATACCTGAGATTTGTTATGTCACTGTAGCTGCCACATAATAATCCTATATTTGGATGAGACTCTATGAATGAAACCTGTAGTATCTGAAACTTTTTTTACATGAATGGTTAAAGGTGCTGTGATGATGTCTTATTTCTTAACTTGAGCTAATGTGTACAGCAGTAACTGGGGAGACTTAAGGGCGGGACTTCCAAGGGGTTAAACTTTATAGAGAGTTTTGAAGCCCCTTTAGAAGGAATTCATCCTGTGGGAAGAAAGGGATCAAGCACACAATGGATTAGTGATTCCCTGACACAGAAGGCAGTGAAAAAATGAAGCTATTTAGTTTATAACATCTTTCTTTATTGACAATCCCAAATAGTTTCTTCATTTGTTTTCTTCTGTTCCAAAATGCACACCATTCACCACTAAGGCATATGAGCCAGAACTATAACAAATGGAGGTTGTAACTGAAAAGTCAAGATTTTGAGAGCAAAAATCTCAAAACTGAAAGGATTCAGAACAGTGAAGTTCAAAAGGTGGAGAGTGATACATACCACTTTGGAATGTAACACATCAGTGTTTTAGAACAAGGAAGGTTACAGAATATATAATGTGGCCTTGCCAAATGCATGACTTATTAGCAGCTTCTATGCATGTAGGAAGCAGTGCTTAAGGCTCCCAGTGGTGACAATCAGTGCCCATACTATAGCTATTTTAGCTTTTGCAGAAACAGAACTCTTGGCAATACATATTAGCAGTATTGAAGTAGACCTTGGTGAGCACCACCAACTTCTGGAGCAGCTTTGTTACCTTCAGCATCCTTGGCAACAGATTATGAAACAGCATTCAAGTTTAAGCAAGAATGGATCACAAAGCCAGCTGGCACCTAGCAGATACCCCTTGGAGAACTCCACAAATAAGTCAATAGAGATTTTTAGGGGAGCTGAGAAATTCATTAAAAGATAGAACGCAAAGTCAGAGCTATAGATTACAGAGCTGTAAACATTTATTAAATGTAAAAAATTAAATGTTAAATGTGTATCATTTTTTAATTTAATAAATTAAATTATCATTTACATTTTTATTATTAAAATTTTATTAGTATAATCTATATATTTGTAACCCCTGGCTGGTAGAGCCTCAAGAAACACAAATCATACTTTGTAAAGACCCCATTTCTTTGTATTTAGAATTGAGCTTACCTAATGTAAGCAGAAGATGTCATATTTGTAACACTTCTATTTTAAGTTTTTTTCACTATTTTAAAAATGTATCTGTACTCCATTTGGGGGTCTCTCTACTTCTGTGGACTAGGTCAATCTGCATACATATGAAGTTGTGTGTGACAACTGCAGTAGATTCAAGTTTCATAACCACACAGACCATTGGCTATTTCATTAACATGGTTCAAATGTTTAAGATTAGATGATGCAGAACATTGACCAAAGACTGTTCCCTATTTCATATGACGCCATTACGTCAAAAATATCACATAAATCCAGATTGAGTTTTTATTTCATCATGAAACACAGCAAACTTTCAGAAATAAAGTAATGGTTTACTATAAGTGAAAACTTACTAGCTGTGGCTGATACACAGAACTATTTAACCACTGACTTTTTTAATGTAAAAGAATTTTTGTGTATTGTATTTTTTATATGTGGTGGTTTAAAATGGAGTAAGGACATTAAAGATGAAATAAAGCACAAACATGAAATTCATGAGGCTTTCTAGGAAAATAGTCATCAATAATTAACATGTCAATTTTCCAGAAATAAACACAGCGCTAACCACATCTTATGAAAACAACCAAAAATTTCCACAGTTCAGACTTCAGAGCATAATTCTGTATATGCCAGAGAAAGACAGGTAAATGCTCCAGGAAACCTGGGGACTGGTGGTCCATCAAGGTTTTTTCTGGTTTTGATGAAAATTAGTGTGATATGATGCACAGATGAAAGAGCAAATGGGTTTTCTTGATGAAAGCAGTGAATTCTGAAATTATGCACAGCAGGTACAGATGGGGAAGATACTGCACAGATTTCAAAAGATATCTCACATAGTTTTAATGCTGAAACATTTACTTTATCCTTTCACTTCATAGCCTCATTGTGGGTGAGCATATTTGTCTAAATAAGGAGATCTTCTTTTATAGGGAAGGGTAAATGATAAAAAGACAATCATAAATCATTTTATGATTTATGAATCTTCTTTTATTGATTCATTAAACAAATATTTATTGAGTCCCTACTATGTGCTGGGCACTGTGTCACAGAAGATTCTGGTGTTTTTTACTTGACTGAAATATAATTGTGTAATCAGTCATTTATAGGCAATATTGTGAAGCAAGCAAATTTTCTATAGATCTTGCTGTGCCCTCTTGAGATTCTGCCTCTTCCGTTTCCAGACTTATCATTCATTGATTCTTCCTGCTAGCATGTTGCTCTCTATCACAGTTTTTTTTAAGTATCAGCTTATAAAGGCTTAAGTGGTCTGAATTCAGTGCTAATGTAAAGCAAGGAGAGAAGTGTAGTTTGAACATGTGTGCTTGTGTGTGTGTGTCTAGAAAGGCATTTTAAAGGGAGAATTATACTTGGAGGCCTGCAAATCACACTCTATTGACACCATCTTATTACCTCCAAAATCAAAACTGTGGACTGAAATTCTTAGGGGCAAAAATCTCTTATAGTTCTTTGAACTCTTCATGGATGATTTTAAAGAAATGTTTTCTACCATGGGTTAGAAATGTTATTCATTCATTCACTCAGTGTTTGAGTACTGGCTCTATGTTGTTCTAGGGATTTGGGGTACAGGAATGAACAAACTAGCCAAAAAAAAAAAAAATCCCTGCCCTCCTGGAGCATACATTTTAGTGACTGTAAGGTAACAATAAGAATAAACATCATAAACAACTAAATTCTACAATCTGTAAGAATAGGTGATAACTTACAAGAGAAAAAAAAAATAGAGCAGCCCAGCAAAAGGGAATTTGGAAGTGTTGAAAAGTAGGGAAATTTAATTTTAAGTAGGATGGCCAGGGCAGACCTCATTGAAAAGGTGACATTTGAGCAAATACTTGAGGGAGGTGAAGATAACTAGTTGCTTGACTATTTGGGAAAGAAGAGTATTCTCAGCAGAGGCAAAGTCTGTGCAATGTGACTGTTTGGCATGCTCCAGTAAGAGCAAAGAGGCTGATAGAACTGGAGCACAGTAAGCAAGGGAAAAGAAGTAGGTGATAGGTCAGAGGGACCATGTTTTGTGAGACCTTGTAAGACTTTGTAAAAATTTCGGCTTTACTTCAATTAAAATGGAGAGTCATTTCTGGGCTTTGAGCAAAGGAAGGTCGTGATCTGATATGGCTGCTGTGTGGTGTGTGGAGATGGCAGGAGTGAAAGCAAAGAGACCTGTGTGAAGACAAATTCAGTAACAGAAGAGAATGTCGTTTCTTTGTTTTGTTCACTTTAAATGAATAATTCTAATTCTCTCAAAAGAATCTTTCATCTCAACTAGGCTCCACAGGCAGAAAATTTTTACTTATTTGTAAATAATTGTACTGGCATAAACTTGATAAATCTCGGTCTTGAAGACAGTGTAGCTTCCATCTCAGGAGAAAGGATGAACAAGGAAGGGCAATTCAGGTTGTAAACACTGCCTGCATTGGACTCTGTTCGAGTTCTCACCTTAGAAACACTGCAAAATGTCCTCACTCATAGGTGGGAATTGAACAGTGAGAACACTTGGACACAGGAAGGGGAACATCACACACCGGGGCCTGTCATAGGGTGGAGGGAGGGGGGAGGGATAGCATTAGGAGATATATCTAATGCTAAATGACGAGTTAATGGGTGCAGCACACCAACATGGCACATGTATACATATGTAACAAACTTGCACGTTGTGCACATGTACCCTAGAACTTAAAGTATAATAAAAAAAAAAAAAGAAAAGAAACACTGCAGAATCTGCAACAACACAGTAATGATAAATCCTGGGACCCAAACCAAACCAATTAAATCAGAATCTTGTGATTGATGCTTAGCTGCTAGTACATTTTAGAAGCTCAGTGAGTGATTCTAATGTGTAGTGATGGATGCAAGTCAACAGGCTACCCTTTTTCTTTTAAATTTATTTTAGGTTCAGGGGTACATGTGAGGATTTTTGTTGCAGAGGTAATAAACTCATGTCACAGGGATTTGTTGTACAGATTATTTCATCACTCAAGTATTAAACCCAGTACCCAATAGTTATCTTTTCTGCTCCTCTCCCTCCTCCCACTCTCCACCCTTCAATACATGCCAGTGTCTGTTGTTTCCTTCTCGGTGTTCGTAAGTTCTCATCATTTAGCTCCCACCTATAATGAGAATGTATGGTATTTGGTTTTCTGTTCCTGCATTAGTTTGCTAAGGATAATAGTCTCCAGTTCTATCCATGCTCTCACAAAAGACATAATCTCATTCTTTTTAATGGCTGCATAGTATTTCATGGACTATATGTACCATATTTTCTTTATCTGATCTGTCATTGATGGGCATTTAGGTTGATTACATGTTTTTGCTATTGTGAATAATGCTGCAATAAATGCTCATGTGTATGTTTCTTTGTGGTAGAATAATTTACATTCCTCTGGGTATATACCCAGTAATGGGATTGCTGGGTTGAATGGTAGTTCTGCTTTTAGCTCTTTGAGGAATTGCCATACTGCTTTCCACAATGGTTGAACTAATTTACACTCCCACCAACAGTGTATAGGTAGTGTTCCCTTTTCTCTGTAACCTCTCCACATCTGTTATATTTTGACTTTTTTTTTTTTTTTTTTGAGGCTGAGTCCTGCTCTACTGCCCAGGCTGGAGTGCGGTGGCATGATCTCCATTTACTCCAACATGCACCTCCCAGGTTCAAGCAATTCTACTGCCTCATCCTCTCGAGTAGCTGGGATTACAGGTGCCCACCACCAGGCCTGGCTAATTTTTGTATTTTCAGTAGAGACAGAGTTTCACCATATTGGCCAGGCTGGTCTCAAACTCCTGACCTCAAGTGATCCACCCCCCTGGGTCTCCCAAAGTGCTGGTATTACAGCCATGAGCCACTGGGCCTGGCCATTTTTTTCTTTTTAATAGCCATTCTGACTAGTATAAGATGGTATCTCATTGTGGTTTTGACTTGCATGTCTCTAATGATCAATGATATTGAGCTTTTCTTCATATGCTTGTTGTTTGCATATATTTATTTAAAGTTTTATTTATTTGTTTGCATATATTTGTTTAAAGTTTCTGTTCATGCCCTTTGCACACTATTTAACAGGGTTGTTTGTTTTCCTTTTATAAATTTGTTTAAGTTTGTTACAGATGTTGGATATTAGACCTTTGACAGATTCATAGTTTGCAAATATTTTCTTTCATTTTGTAGATTATCTGTTTACTCTGTTGATAATTCTTTCTCTCTTTCTTTCATCTTTCTTTTTTTGGAATCTTGCTCTGTTGCCCAGGCTGGAGTGCAATGGTGCAATCTCAGCTCACTGTAACCTCTGCCTCCCGGGTTCAAGTGATTCTCCTGCCTCAGCCTCCCAAGCAGCTGGGATTGCAGGCATGTGCCACCACACCTGGCTAATTTTTGTATTTTTAGAAGAGACGGGGTTTCACCATGTTGGCCAGGCTGGTCTTAAACTCCTGACCTCAGATGATCCACCTACCTCAGCCTCCCAAGATAGCTTCTTTTGCTGTGCAGAAACTCAAGTTTAATTAGATCTCATTTGTCAATTTTTGCCACTGTTGTGATTGCTTTTGGTATCTTTGTCATGAAATCTTTGCCCATTCCAGTGTCTGGTATGGTATGGCCTAGGTTGTCTTCCAGGGCTTTTATAGATTTGGGTATTATATTTAAGTATTTAATCTATTTTGAGTTGATTTTTGTATATTGCATAAGGAAGGGGTTCAGCTTCAATCTTCTGCATATGGCTAGCACTTATCACAGCATCATTTATTGAATAGGGAGTCTTTTCCCCATTGCTTGTTTTTGTCAGCTTTGTCAAAGATTAGGTGGTCATAGGTGTGTGACCTTATTTCTGGGCACTGTATTCTGTTCCATTTGTTTATGTGCCTATTTTTGTACAAGTACCATGCTGTTTTGGGTACTGTAACCCTATAGTTTGAAGTCAGGTCACATGACGCCTCTAGCTTTGTTCTTTTTGCTTAGGGTTGCCTTGGCTATTCAGGCTCTTTTTTGATTCCATAGAATTTTAAAATAGCTTTTTTTCTAGTTCTGTGAAAAATGTGATTGTAGTTTGATAACAGTAACATTGAATTTGTAAATTGCTTTGCAAGGTATGGTCATTTTAATGATATTGATTCTTCCTATCCAAGAGCATGGGATGTTTTTCCATTTGTTTATGTCTTTGATTTTTTTGAGCAGTGTTTTGTAATTCTACTTGTAGAGCTATTTTACCTCCATTGGTTAGCTGTATTCCTAGGTATTTTATTCTTTTTGTGGCAATTGTGAATGAGTGTTTGTTCCTGATTTGGCTCTTGGCTTGGCTGTTGTTGGTGTTTAGAAATGCTAGCGATTTTTGTACTTTGATTTTGTATCCTGAAACTTTGCTAAAGTTGTTTATCAGCTGAAGGAGCTTTTGAGCAAGGCTGGGTTTTCTAGATACAGAATCATGTCTTCTGCAAACACAGATAGTTTGACTTCTTCTCTTCCTATTTGGATGCCCTTTATTTCTTTCTCTTGCCTAATTGCTCTGGCTAAGGCTTCCAATACTTTGTTGAATAGGAGTGGTGAGAGAGGGCATCCTTGTCTTGTGCTGGTTTTTTAGGGAAAAGCAGCTATTCCCCATTCAGTATAATGTTGGCTGTGGGTTTATCATAGACAGCTCTTATTATTTTGAGGTATTTTCCTTCAATACCTAGTTTATTGAGAGTTTTTAACGTGCAGTGGTGTTGAATTTTAAGGAAAGTATTTTCTGCATCTATTGAGATAATCACGTGGTTTTTATCTTTAGCTCTGTTTATGTAATAAATCACATTTATTGATTTGCATATTTTGAACCAACCTTGCATCCCAGGGATGAAGTCTACTTGATCATGGTGGATTAGCTTTTTGATGTGCTCCTGGATTGGGTTCACAAAAGAATTTTGTTGAAGATTTTTGCATCCATGTTCATCAAGGATATTGGCCTGAAGAGTGTGTGTGTGTGTGTGTGTGTGTGTGTGTGTGTGTGTGTGTGTGTTTGTGTCTGTGTGTGTGCATGTGCCAGATTTGGGTATCAGGATAATGCTGGCCTCATAGAATGAGTTGGGGAGGTGTCCCTCCTCCTCAATTTTTTGGAATAGTTTTAGTAGGAATGGTACCACTTTTCTTTGTACATCTAGCAGCATTCAGCTGTGAATACATCAGATCCTGGGCTTTTTCGATTGGCATGCTATTCGTTACTGATTCAGTTTTGGTGCTTGTTATTGGTCTGTTTGGGGAATCAATTTCTTCCTAGTTCAGGGTCGGGAGGATGAATGTGTCAAAAAAGTATCCATCTCTTCTAGGTTTTCTAGTTTGTGTGCATAGAAGTGTTCATAGTAATTTCTGTTGGTTATTTTTATTTCTGTGGGGTCAGTGGTAACATTTCCTCCATCATTTCTAATTATGTCTATTTGGATCTTCTCTCTTTTCTTCTTTATTAGTCTACAAGCTACATTTTTGAAGCTCTAGGAATCTGTTTTCTACATATGATTTCCAGGACTACCCAAGACATTTCCATTTATTTATTAACCAAATGGGAAGACTAAGAGAACAGTATGACCATGGCTAATGTATTTTAAATAAATGGCAGAAGTTGCACACTTCACTTCTTTGTATAGTCACTGATGAGAAATAAACTTTTTGTCCATAACTAGTAACAGAGGGACTGG
Organism: Homo sapiens; assembly: GCF_000001405.40. Classification (NCBI taxonomy): domain Eukaryota; kingdom Metazoa; phylum Chordata; class Mammalia; order Primates; family Hominidae; genus Homo; species Homo sapiens. The sequence goes on from NC_000003.12 coordinate 147,749,877, forward strand.
GAAATAAGCTGAGCAGGATATCAATGTGGAGACTATGTGTTTTATGGGAAGGGAAGGGCAAACAGAGGTGTTTGCCATATTTTCTCAATATTGGAAAGGGGAAGATAAATTTGGAGATGACTTGGTAATAGACCAGTTTTGTTTTTTATTTTTTGGTCAGGGCAAAACTATAATTCAGCCACTTATAGTTGAATACTGAAGTCTGAAAAAGCTTAGAAGTGGAAGAACTTGAATTATGAAAGGTTTTACTTTCTCATGTGCCCTGCGTCAAAGTCACATTTGAAGGGAACTGAGTTTGCTGTGAACATAAGGATAACATCATAAGATTTGCCTCAATTGTTTGTTTCCATAGCGTCTCTCCTGACACTGACACAGAAAACCTGGAGTATGAGACAGAATAAGGAAGGCACCTGTATTAGTCTGTTCTCACGCTGCTGATAAAAACATACCCAAGACTGGGAAATTTACAAAAGAAAGAAATTTAATGGACTTGCAGTTCCACGTGGCTGGGGAGGCCCCACAATCATGGTGAAAGGCAAGGAGGAGCAAGTCACGTCTTACATGGATGGCAGCAGGCAAAAAGAGAGAGAGAGTTTGTGCAGGAAAACTCCCATTTTTAAAACCATCAGATCTCATAAGACTCATTCACTACCATGAAAACAGCACAGGAAAGACTTGCCCCATAATTCAATTACTTCCCACCAGGTTCCTTCCACAACATGGGGAACCCAAGGTGATATTTGGGTGGCTTCACAAGCTATTGTCCCATTATAGTGATAACTTGGCTTCTGAAGTGATAACTTGGCTTCTTAACTACATAGCCCAGTCAGCTGCCATTTTTCTGGACTAGAGAACCACCATTGTAGACGTTCTGAAATGTTGTGAGTTGAAAATAGAGCATCAGGGTCTGAATCTGCTCTCTGGATTGTCTATTACAAACAGTAATTGTTATTCAAGAGGGCTGGAAATTTCATGCATGATCATTGGGTGACCTGGAAATCAGTGGTATCAAGAGAATTGGATGCTGGCACAGGGAAATGCCATGCTGAATGAATAATGGCATGCTCTAAGTTTGTCCTGCACATATCAAGCACAAAGTAACACTCTGTAGAAATGAGTGAAGGAGGAGAGAAAGAGAAAAATAAATTTTCATCTTAAGATAGTTAACTGGAGACGCCACCATATGAAAAAGCCCACTCATATCAGCTCAGGCTTATTATATAGTTAAGAGCAAACAAATCCCAAAATCCAAAATTCACAGCTGCTTCTTTTGAACCTATCGTTATAACAATTATTCTCTTAATCAGAGAGATTAATTAACTTTTACAGGGTCACAAAGATTCATATCCAAGTCTGGCAACTTCATCAGATTTTGGCTTTTAATCTTGCCTGATTGGTTTTAACTTTTTTTTAAATCTAACTTTCCACAGGTTTCTAAGGTCTCTTTCCACCAGACAGTAAGTTATTTGACTGTAAGGACTCTGAGCATTACTGCTCAAAGGTCTTTCCATATAATCTGCTCAAAGAATGTTTATTAAATAACTGCATGCAAATGAAAGACATAAAGAAGTTCCATTCATTTACATACTAACCAGAATATATACTTTTTTAAAACTCTCACTGTTTTACAGACTAGCATATCAAATTGTGGGAACTTATAAGAACTATTTCCCCCAGGGGTGGTCAGGTTATCTCTCTTGGGTTCTTTGCTTAAGCAAGTATTTTCCCATTGATTCAGAACCCTCTAAAAGTGACATATCTTCAGCTGGGTGAAAAATTGGCTTGATTAGAACTAAAGGGGTGCAATTCTCTTAATGTAACCATGGGTAACATCTGCTATCATTTATTTTTCTTATTAAATTGTAACAGGTGAGCCAGGCTGGCAGCTTGGTGATAGTATTACTGCAAACAGGCAGGGCATTTCCCAGTCTAAATGCCAAACTACATACAGTGTAAAAGTTAAGTTAGGCTTTAGGATATTTAATGGATATTATGGTAGCCTATGACACCAATCATCTCAAGTAAGAGTGATACATAGCTGTGGTGTTTTGGAATATTTTCTGAAATTCAAGTAATAGACTTTTATGGGAAGCTGTTCTAGTCTCAAATGGAATAAGAGTATATTAAAAGGGAAGAGTAGATAATGAGGGGAGAAGAAGGGCTTTGTCTATTCTTTTTTCACTGATATAGCTTTAACAGCATAGTGCTTAGAACACAATAGGTGCCCAATAAATATCTATTGTCTTAATATCCAAATCATATGTGGATCCCTTCTGTTTCCATGGAAGGGTCTCAGAAGGTGAAGGTAGAAATGGGCAGCAAGGTTATCGGCAGTTTAGCTTGGGACCTGGAATTTAATCAGGCCCAGGGCATACCATCTATCTGAAATTAATGTCCTCTTTTAACACATACCCTCTTCTAATCCCAGTGACACCTATCCATCCTTATAGGTCCCACATTTCTTCTGGTGCCCTGCCTAATTTCTTCAACAGAATGAAACTTTGTTCTTTCTTAGTTCCTTCAGGAGTTATGCTCTGTGGGGAACATAGCATTTAGCACCTTTTATTCTTGGCTTCATTTTCTTTTAGCCTCATTTCTCCAGCTTGATGCAATGTCCATACTCATTAAACTTGTTTCTTCATTTGGGGGCAGGAGAATATATGTAACAGAATAATGAAAATACCAGGGGTTTTAAAACTCAATAATATTGTTCTAATAAAAAAAAGACAGACTAATCTATCATGTAAAAGAAATTTCTCAGAGAAAAGAGACTATAGTTTCAAGAAGAAAATGTTGGAAAAGAAAACATTATCTTATATCCGATATTCAGTGTTCTGACGGAGAAAACCAGTGAGGGGAAGATAAGAAGAAAGAGGGAGAAACCTGAAGAGGAAACAGAAGGAAAGGGGAGGGGGAGAAGGTAAAACTACTGTGGTATTTTTGGAATAAGGAGGGAAGCTGCTCTAATAACACATAAATTTTGTAAAATTTTCTTATTTTAAGTAGTAGAGCAAAGAGGCTTGTGAATTTTATTAAGACAGTTGATATGTTTTTAAAGGAGAAACAATATCATCTTGTAACAGCAGAGCATTTCAATAATTTTATCTTCTAGTCTCTTTGAAAGTGAAAAGGAAATCACCTTTTACTCACAAATCTAGCTGGATAGCATGTTTATTTTAAAATAACCTTTGGCATTCTGTTTATATCAAAATTCATTTGCAAATTTGGAGCAATACAATATGATTTCTTGAAGATACAAAGATAAAACGTTAAATGACGCTTACCAAGTCCCAGTGCTTCTGGATTAGGCGAGGCCTTTCTCATTGACATGCTTACTCTACATTTAACACCTTTTGTTGCTACATAACAGGATGAGGGAGTATTCAATCAGAAAGTTATTAGTCATATTTAGATGTATTTGAATGTAAAATTATTAGTTAACAGCCATATATGTAAAGCCAGTTTTCTATAGCAAAGCTTTCATCTAATTTCAGAGATAAAGTACTTTGTACAAAAAACCAAACAACTCGGGTTCTCACTCATAAGTAGGAGTTGAACAATGAGAACACATGGACACAGGGAGGGGAACATCACACAGCAGGGCCTGTAGGGGAGGTAGGGGGAAAGGGGAGGGAGAGTGTTAGGACAAATACCTAATGCATGTGGGGCTTAAAACCTAGATGACAGATGGACAGGTGCAGCAAACCACTATGGCATATATATACCTATGTAACAATGTAACAAACTAGTACGTTTAGCACCTGTATCCCAGAACTTAAAGTAAAATTAGAAAAAAAAAACTGGAGAGAAAAAAAGAAATAAAATACTGCATTAAAAAAAAATAGGGCATCTGAGAAGCGTGTCCATTAGAATAGTTTTAGTTTCTTAGTGATGTTATGCTGAACCCCTGACAAAAGTGTTAATATTTGATGCCAATATTTTTCCCACTGACAAACTAAATATACCTATTCTGTAATAATATTAAACTAGATCTTGTATTTGGCTATTTAAAAAAGTATAACAAATATATCAAGCTTTGCATATATCTGGGCTAGTGATTTGTAAGTATTTTCATTTGTGCATCCTTTCCATTATAAACATTTAAGTATACATTACCAAAATATCTATTTTTAAAAAATTAAAAACATATATTTTATATGTAATATACCATATATTTATGAAGCACAAACTAACAGAATTGACTTGAACAGTTGCTAAGTTGCATATATTCTGCCTTGGAAACCACTGATCTGAAGAGTATGTCATAGTCCTAAAAGTAAATATATGTAAGCAACAAAAGATACAGCTCAGTAACTATAGTGAAAAAAAAGGGGGTGGGTTTCTCAGCAATATCAATGAAGAAAACACTAAATACTTTAATGAGGAATTAAAGTAAATGGCAGAAACAGCTCCAGATGAATGGAAATATAACAGTGGTGTAATCATTAACGTTTCATGAGACCGAGAAGTAGTATCAAGATTTCTTGTAATGCCTCATTAAAATGATAACCTATTGATATGGTGGTGTCTGTTTACCCCATACATCTGATTATATGGGGTGTATGAACATATGTGTTCATGTATGTTTGCATAATTGTAGAGTAAATAAAAGGCCATTATATAATGAATTTTTAAAGTTCACCTAAGGTGAAATTTTAATTCAAAAAGAGTGGCCAAATTCTCATAGCAAAGAATGATTCTTTTCCAATACGATGAGAAGCACAATGAGTTAAGGCCTGCCAGTTTCATTTTGCCTTTGTGAATTTCTAGTGCTTTATGCTGTATCACCACACCATAATTTAAGTACAGCCTTAGCTGAGAATTTCCTCATTTATTTTTCAAAAGTAATGCTGTAAAAACACTTTCAGGAACGTTATAAATCACATATTACTATACTAAGATACTTAACTAAATCCAGAGGCATTCTTGTTTTTCAAGTAAATATGAATTCTTTCTTGTTTCAGTATGTACCCAGAATTAGTACAATAAATTATTTTTGCATTTTGTCACTAAAAACACACACACACACACTCTCTCTCTGTCACACACACACACACACACAAATATTTCCATATGAGTATTGTATTAGAAATTGATTATAACTAATTACTTAGGCACTTTAAAAGGAGATTTTTTTTTAAAAAAAGGAATGTCATATGAATTTGTTTCAAGCCATTAAAGTTCACACTGTCAATACAGTGCCAAGTGGGAAATTGAGGCCCAACAGCAGATGTAAGTGACTATTTGGATATCTCACATTTAATTATCTTCAGGGGTAGCACATTATTGCTCCTGAGAAGAGAGTTCTGAAGCAGGTCAATCCCCAGCAGGCACCTGGGCATTATGGGGGTACCCGAGTGTCACTCCATCACTGAAAAATGTCCTAGGAATATCTGAACACCAGGGGAGAGAGATTTTTTAATGTGACTTAAAAAATATTCCTCTTCTTAAGCTTCCTGATCCTCCTATATCATCATCCCAATGACATGACCAGTTGTCATTTTACTTTCTGTCTACGTAACCTCATGCACAGCTAGGAAATAATGATTTAGGTCTTGAAATTCAAAACATAATGGTGTTCCTTTTTTTTCATTTCTCATTTTACTCAACATCCCTGCAGAGTTGATGCAAGTACTGAGCTGCCTTTGAAGTCAGCTTGCATCATCTTTGATGGAGTATAAAGCAATAGGAGATACTGACTGCAGTTTTGAGCATCTCAATTCTCATCTTAGATGATGCCGATACATTTGTCATTAAATACGTGGCATGAGTAAATTCTTGGGAAAATTGCCAAGCAGTTAAAATTGGCAGGTATAGTGTACATATTTCCACCATAAAAGAATAGAAAAGAAAAATATTAACCTGTTTTGAAAGCAATTTAGCCCATGTTTCACTTAGGCTATTCTTATTTGTGAGTAATTTTGTAGCGTATTCTTGTTACATGGGCTCCTTTTTCCTAATACTTTGGATGCTTTGTGAAAGGTTACATTAAACAGATATATATGGTTTCTAAAAACATTTGACACCTTGAAGAATGATATTCTTTGTTTATATAACAGCAATATAAATTAGTGTGTTTGTTCGTTTTCTGTTGCCATAACAGAATATCACAGACTGAATAGTTTAAAAATCACAGGTTCATTTTTCTGGTGGCTGGGAAGTCTTAGATCATGCTGCAGGCCTCTGGCAAGGAGTATCCCACCGTGGAAAACATCACATGATGAGTGAGCAAGCAAGAAAGAAAATGGTGGACAAAATCTTTTTATTAAGAACCCACTCCAGCAACAATAGCACTAATTAATGTATGAGGGTGGAGTCCACATGACCTAATCACCTTTTAAAGGGCCCACCCCTTAGTACCACTAAAATGGCAATTAAATTTCAACATGAGCTTTGGCAGGGACATTCACACCATAGCAATCAGTATGTGTGGATGAACTCCAGTAGAGTTGGCTTTTTAATATATTTTGCTCTTAACAATAATGATATGGCCCCTAGTAAATAGGAGCATGATTGGAGGTGAAAGAATAAATGAAACTAATTTGATTGTAAAATTCTGTCTTCATTCATTGATAGGCATTACTGCTGATTACCAATCTCTTGACCTTATCTTCTGTGAGGTCCATGGGAAAACTGCACTTTTCTGCCACATTGATGTTGGGTTTTAACCATGTGGCAAGTTTGGGCCAATGAAATTTGAGCATAAGGGCTATGTGAAGCCTTTAATTACGTGAACTCTCTTCTTGTTCTTCTTCTGCAGAGGTGACCATGGAAGCATGTGTGTTGAAAGAGGAAAGCAAGCTGGAATGCAGCGTGAACACATGGAGTACAGCTGCTATAAAGAGTGACTGAGGAGACTGCAGTAGACTTGCCTGATTGAAAATTTAACTTTTTTTGTGTTAAATCATTGAGATTTTAGGGTTGCTTATTACCACGGCACAACCTAGCCTATCATGACTGGTGTGTGTATGTGTATATATATATATGTGTGTGTGTGTGTATAATGTGTATGTGTGTGTATATATAATATAGGAGCTTTTAAAGGAAAATAAATTTAGTAATTAAAATAGGACAAAATGAAAGATACCAAATATCTGTTTGTGCAATATCACACGACATTTTTGTGATTTGCATTGATCTCAGTAGAATATATCATAGAATATGTAGAATATATAATACTCAGTAGATTATATATATATGATATATATATGATGTATATATATCATAATACATCACTTACTCAGCTCTGCAGTAAGTATCTCTAAGCCTTCTCTAAATGCTCACATTCTGCTGTTATTAGGATAATCACATTAATTTCTATTGCCTTATACCCCTCTAAAATTAGTCTTCAATATCACATTTTTATAACTATTTAGAATAAATGTTAATGGTTGGGGAAAGGAATGTCAAAGGAGAGATGTTCTTTTGAGATAAGCACTTTAAAAATCACAGAAGTTTATTGGCTTCATTTTTCATAGGAGTTTTAAAGAACATAGTTCATTTTAGAGAATGTCTAGTTGCTCTGGATGGCTGTATCATAAGGTCACAAGGAGAGGAGAATTGTGACAAAAAATGTACATGGATAATTCTTTCCTGTGTTGCCTTACATCTATATATCACAACAAGAGATTACAGTCCATTAAGTTCTACAACATTTTCATTAAAAATACAATCTGAATCCTAAGAGGAAAATACTAGCTACCAGAAACATAAGATTCTCAGAGAGCTTAGTGTGCTGCATGTTAAGTTGCAGACAGACATGCTAGTTTTCTTTGAATCAGTATCTTAAATCTATCCCCTTATTTTTCCATCTAATTTTCAGCAGGTCACTCTCAAGTCAAAATTTAATTTTATGTGGTTGAAGTTGTGGAGCCAAAATGAAATTGCATGCTGTAGGGGGAAAAAATTTAACCTACTTTTAATAGCCCCTTTGAAAGATACTTTGAAGACATGACTTACTCTCGTAGTATGTTGACTATCTGAAGAATGAATTATTATATCCTTGTCAAATTTTAAATATCACGCTGTTAAAAATATTAGTCACACAGGGGGCTGCTTGACAGTAATGTCACAGAAAAGCTCTGGTCTATATGAACAGGCAGAGTCTGAAACTTAATACCATGGTTCCATGGAGCTCTGTCTTCCATGGGCAACTGCTGAGGGGTGGGGATGGGGGTGGGAAACTGCTTCAAGTTTCCTTGGAACATTGGCAGGACTCTGCCAACTGCATTCTACTTACTGTTCCAGCCAGCTGAGGGAGACTTGTGTCTTTCTCCGGCCGTCCTCTCCCAGCAGAGCTTTAGAGGAGAGTCTAAAAGAAATAAAAAAGCTATCATTTCAAGTGAGGAAGATTTAAAAAAAAAATACATCCAAGAAATGTGAGTTGAGATCTAGACTAGAGGTTGTAAAGAAAATGATCCAAAGAATTTCTTTTAAAAGGCAGGGCATTTTTTTTTTTAAGCCTGAAAAATAAGATTAGAAACTGGCTTGGATGAGCCCAACTGTGATTAAAAAAATAAACCTTTTATAGTTAAGTCAAGATTTTTTTTCCTCTTTTTGTTCTTTGACTTTTCCTTGCAGGGAAAGGGGCAATCTTTACCTAATCAGAGCGAAGCAAGAATCACTGAGGCAGCGGAAGCATCCTGTAGGTGAAGGTCAGGCCAATTTTCACCCAAGTAATGCTGTTTTATCAGTCATCGAACAAAGATTGGGGCCTTCCTTTTCTTGATCCTTTTGTGCTTTCCCCTATTACTTTAACAGATCTGAACAAACCAGGGATTCTTCATCCAAAAGTTCCATTTAGCTGCATTTATTTCGAATCCTCCAAATTTCACATCTCAATGTTACAGCAACTTAAGAATGATACAAAACCTACATGTTTTTAGGCAGGAAGACAAAGTTAACTAAAAACAGAATTAACACAGGACACAGTGGTTGTTTTCATGGGAACTTGGCCATTTATTTAGTGCTGAATCTCATGTCAGCCCTATTAATCCTGACACTTTTTAGTTTCAAGGGTTTCTATTTTCTGTATGTCTACAAAACATGAACACTGTTGATGAAACATTGAGTTACAAATTGGATGATGTTACACTTGGCAACTTGGATAAGAGTCAGGCTGAGAAGCCAAGACTATAAAACAAATACTCACCCTAGTGATGTGTGGTATCCAAAATAAACGTATTATGCAGTTGCCTCCGAATAACTGCTCCAATGCTGTAATATTCTAGGTCACATTATGTCAGGTCCATTTATTCTCATGTATACATTTGGTGTTTTCAAAATGGGAGATATCAACATGAAAAAATGGGGAAAATGTCATTTTATAAAGATGAAGTTAAGAATTAGTTTAATAATTTCAAAAAATCATCTTATTTTAAAGCATAGCATTTTGATTTATAAGCTGCAGCATGGAACCTCTTCATAGTCCTGACAGCTTTGACTCAATTTTCCTATATCTGAATAACTATAAACTATATTTGCTTGTTTACCCTTGTCCTGTCTTCTACCTTTCTCTTCTTTATTGATCTTTTCTTACATTTTTACTTGCCAATTATTTCTGTCTCCTTTTTTCCACCCTTCCTTCCCCAGAGCCCAGATTAGAAGTTGGCTGCCTTTAGATGGAGGGATTCATTTGGATACTATTTTCCTCTTTAAGGGGCTTGGATTTTTTATGTTACAAATTGCATAGCTTTGTGGCCATATAGAAAATGTTACTTTTGAGATTATTGTAATGAATCTGTAAATACTAGTGATTTGATTTATTCAGAGATAAGTAGATTAGGGACTCTACCTTTTTTATTGCTGAAAATGTGCCCAAACTTGACCTATTTTCTGTTACTAAAATACAGAAGGGAAGACACTGTATCATTCAATCATTTTAATGCTTTGAACCATGGAAAAAAATATAAAAGGCTACCCCTGCTCCCCATTTGTCTTTTCATTTTGATTAATAAATACATGATATTCTAACATACTGAGGAAGAAAGTGGAGTGAAGATAGGACATGCACACAGCTGTAGACAGGAGAAAACTATACTGCCCTTGCTTAGGAGCTTTATATAATCCATCAACCAGCTCTGCAAATCCTTGCCACAGAGCGTCTCTCAGCACGACATTTTCCTGTTCATTGGACCAGCAACCCTCACTAAGGTCCAAACCACCTAACACTCTGTTATCCATCAAAGCCTCCTTACTGGTCTCCCTGCCTTCATACTCTCCCCTCACCACTTCATACACCTGAAAGGGAGTGAAGTCTGAACTACCATCCTTAAATTCATTCTTGGACACTCCGAAGACCAGAATTTCATATTTACTTACTGAACTGTCAGGGTTGGAAGAACTAGCAGAACTAGCTGAAGGATTATAGAACCATCAACAGCAAGAACAGTATCTTCTTTCTCTTGTCCACAGCTGTGTAAATGGTTTATCCTTTACTTGTTTTCATTCTTCAGACCCTTGTGACACTGCACATTCATCCTGCTGAAGTGAAACAATGAATTGGGGTGGGAGTTGGTTGGGGTTGTTTGGGATGTGGGGAAAGGCCAAAGAGTAGTGCAAATAAAAGCAGTAAAGGAGTAGAGCAAAGAGGTTTACCATATAAGAAAAAAAATTCTGTTAAAGTTTTTTTTTTCTGGGAATGATAAGCACTGAGAAGATCAACATTCATATTTAATTATAAGCACGTCATATTGGTCACAAAAGACTCAGAATTATATTTGGCAGTATTTTATTAATAAGTCATTCATATTACTCTCTATCTTGAAAGAAAAATAATTTAAAATATAATGAGTTTTTCCTTTATTTTGGAATATACTTTCTACCGTTCATTTTAAATCAGTGAACTTTCACTCCAAGTTTGCTTCCCATTCTCCAGAGTGCCATTAATCTTCAAATGGAGCAATTTCAAACCACAATTTTATTATTATTATTAAAAGAATTCAGTAACTTCCAATTTTATTACAAATAGGACTAAAATGAAAATGCTTACTTGGTAGCTTTTTGTTTGATTCTCAACACAGTTTTCAGAAACCAGAACCATACAATTCCCTGTCTGGTACAGTGAGCAACAGTTTGTATCTGCTTAGCTGGTGTTTGTATGCTCAGTTAACCAGCCCTTGTATGTTCTGTCTCTTCTAAGGGCTGTGGAAATTTAAATACGGTAAATGCTCTGTGACAGTGCTGCTGTTGTTTAGTCAATTCATTTCCTTGAGTAGAAGATCAGTTCACAATTACTTCAGGGCAGTCCATACAGGCCATCTTAGCTGGCCATTAATTAAGCAATAAGACATGACAGGCAATGTATTTCTGGGCCATTTAACGTATCTCTTGAGGGATTTTTAAAGCCAGAGGCTAAAGGTCAAGTGACTTTAGACTTTAACCACTTGAGAAGTTCACTGCCAGGAATTTTCCATTACCACAGGGGAAATCTGAATATGAATTATTGAAACTAAGAAACACAAGACTTTGTTAGTTTATAATTGGGAGATCAAGCCAAAATTTTTAAAAATAAATTTACAGAGTGCCATATGTTGTACCATAATCTGCCATGTATTATCTCATCTAATTTTTCCAACAATCTTGTGAAGTGTTCATTATCCCCATTATACAGTAAAAGCACATGAAACTCAGAGAAATTTGATAGCTAAAATCCTTTGCACTATGGTTTAGAATTCTGAAATTAAATAATTATTAAATTACAAGCTCTTGAGTTAGCCAGACTTAAAGCATTGTTCTCTCCCACCCAAACTCTAGTTTCTTGGAATAAGAGCAAAGATTAATTTAGAAAACATGGCTGTGCCATGGGCTATTGGGAAACCGCTTCTCTAGACTTTATGGCTCCTTTGAGTGAGTCGTACAAAAATTAATAATAACATCGTTTATTAGTAATTGACTGCTTAAATGTAACAGAAACTTTTGGGCTTTACTGGAAAATATTTAAGATTTCTCAAGAAACTGCCCCACAACTCAGAGATTCTTTCTTGACAACATTGTCATTTTTATGTACCTTATTCCATCTCTCTTGGCCCAGATACTCATTGTCTACGTTTGCCTCCTAAATGCCCACTTTTGCTTTATATATAAGCATACTCTCTATTAATTTCTTACTGTGAAAAGAGCATGGTACGCTCTTGGCCAGGTACGGTGACTCATGCCTATAATCCCAGAACTTTGGGAGGATGAGGCAGGTGGATCACCTGAGGTCAGGAGTTTGAGACCAGCCTGACCAACATGGAGAAAACTCGTCTCAACTAAAAATACAAAATTAGCCTGGTATGGTGGCACATGCCTGTAATCCCAGCTACTCGGGAGGCTTAGGCAGGAGAATCACTTGAATCCGGGAGGCAGAGGTTGCGGTGAGCCGAGATCACGCCATTGCACTCCAGCCTGGGCAACAAGAGCAAAACTCTGTCTCAAAAAAAAAAAAAAAAAGAACATGGTGTGCTCTCTAACATTAGGATAATATTCTTTAAGTTATTTCTGTCCCCACGCATAATGTTCAGGATGCACCTAAATTCTACTTATCTTTTTTTTTTAACTTTACTTATTCCTACCTCTCCCTGTTCATTGATTTTAGTAGAGATACCCTGACAAGCAGACACCTAACTTTTTATTATATTCCATGTGCTTAGACACATATGTAAAGTAAATAATTATTTTATTAGCTAAATTGATATATAAATAACTTTATAAAATCCAAAACCAGCACAGAAAATTCTTTAATACTAACGAATTTAACTTTATCCAGCTTTTTTTCAGCTTCCTGAACTTACCTTCACTTCTAATGTACTCAGAGTATTAACTAGATTTTATTTTTTGTTTTTATTGAAGCAGTTTCTTGTCAGTTTCCATAATAAAATATTATTTTTGTTCTGTCTAATGACTTCACTCACCAATTTATTCAATATTTATTGAAGATTGACTATTCTTCTATTTTTTTCATATTATCAAAGTTAGAGCATTAGCAGAAATCAATCCAACTTCAGTGGCTTCATACTTAGTTAAAATTGTTCCCTGATTTTAATTCTACATCATGTCTGTTTAGTTTCCAAAATTGTAAGATTTTGGTGTGTGTGTGTGTGTGTGTGTGTGTGAGTGTGTATGTGTGTCCACACATACATTTGACATTTCTTGTCATCTCCATTGACTAAAATCAAAGAAAATCCTTGGAAATCTGACCATGTACACTTTGTCATTTAAATCTAAGCCGATTTAAATCTAGGTCAATTTAGTTGAAACAATAATTGAGGCTCTCTTGAGCTCTTGTTCAGAAATTTTGCTTTGAAATGTTGTTGAAGGGAGTAGCTCTTTCCACAGGACATGCATTTGTGAGGATGTGTGCAATGCCAGAGCTACTGGAAGCTTTCTTGTGGGGCTAACAGGGGTGCCTATCTGAGAGAAAAGCCAACGTAAAGAGAAGAGGACCTGAGAGGCAGAGAGAAGGAGATGGACTTCTGAAGTCATCCTTTGCACTTTGAGATTCACTTTTGCCCCCATACCGGTTACTATCAGTTGTGTGAAACAACATTGACTCTGTCCACACCCTTTCTTTCAACCAGTTTGAGCTTTTAAATTTTATTTCATTGTTTTTCAGCTGAAACTAATATGATACTGAGAAGATGTTTGTAAAATTTTTGGTATAGTGTGGATAAATTATAGGTCTCAAATACATTACTTTCTGTAAAATCTATTACTACCTAAAATATTGACCGAGTACTCAGATTTATTCTGCAAGAAACACATTTTACTTTTGAAAGTACTTTTTATATGTTCGTATAATCCACATTTTTGAATCTTGGCCTATATTTGCAATCATTTAGCCTCTAGTTAGGTCCCAGAGAATTATGTACGGTGAAGCTGGTGAAAAAGACTTTTTCAACATTTAATATTATTCTATCTTCAATGATGTTCCCAGGGAGAGTGATATAAATTACCCCAAATATGTTGAACCTAGATCAACTATAGCTCTCCAAATATAAATTTATTGCAGAAGTAGACTTCTAGCAGTTTCCTCAGGGTTCTTTTATAAGGTGGATTAGGTAGAATGTTTACCACATGTCTGTCATGGTTTCACTACTGAGGAAGACTTTCAGCAGTCAAATTAGAGTATCTTATAAAACTGTACTCAGTAAAGTCTTCTTGTGGAAATCTCAGACAAAAGTGTTCTTATGATGAACTATGTGAGTGCTACTTCTTGCTTAAGTGAAGTTCCATGAAGACCATGCATTTTGAGGTCCAACATTGAGGCCATACTTCAAGGAATATTTTATTAATCTTTTTCTAGGCATCTGGGGTCCGTGCAAGAATTAAGCTTTTATCTTTAGAATGCTTTTTCAGACCATTGCCAGGAAGACCTGATCTGCTATATTACTGCAGATGGCTGTCTCTAATACACCAGTAGTTATTAAAGGCTCAAATAATGGGTTCTTAGATTTTTCCCCAATTTTTCCCTTTTTATTTGTAAAAGGCTTCTGTAAGAATTACTGTACATGCACAAAAAGGCCCCATTTAGAAAATAGTGTGTGAATTCCCATTCTGTACAGTAATGGTCCATATAACTGTATTAAGTCAGTTCCTTTAATAGGGAGAGTGCCTTTTTAGTTTGTGAGAAATCTGCCCCTGCTGAGATTTGAACCAGGTACCCTTGGATCTAAAAGCATTTGCTTTACTCTTTAGATAAAGTGAAATCTTCTTAAGGTGGGGGTGGGGTAGTTCTCTTTGACTTTGGAGACATATCTTTGACAATTTTATTTTTCTTTCTGAATTACTTTCTCAGTCTCTTTCCTCTACTCTTTGTTTTATCTGTTCTAGGGTGCTTTTTTTTCCATTTGATCCTTTGGCTAGCACTGGTCTTTAACAATATGAATAAAAACCTCTGTATCTAAGACCAGCATTTAATACTTAACTATGGCAACATTGTTAAATAATCAATAAATACCAGATTTCAGGATTGAACTGCAGAGTCTCTAATAACTCCTAGCTCTAAGAATTGATAAATCTAAGTTATTTGTGTCATTTTTAAAAAATGATTTTTTTTTTGCTTGGAGGAAAAATACTTGAATTGGATGCTCTTTGTGTATTGTTTGATGAAGACCATTCTGCCAACAAGTCTTCTTGAATCTGCTTCTTAAAAATACATTGTGGTAATTAAATAAAAATTAATTTCCTGTATACTCTTAGAGTCTCATTATATATCCACTAGCTAAATTCTAATGGATGTGCAATTTGTGATGTAATATTCCATCATTCTTTGCAAACTTTATCATATTCTGTAAGATTTAACGAAAGAATTATAAACACTTGTGAGCTTTTATAAGATGAACTTGTTCTATACTCAAACGTGGATTGTCTTCCACGTGTTTTCTAAACAAAACAGTGTAGGATGGGATAATAAGCTACAATATTACAATAACCAGGGTGATTTTTCCTCCTCCTTTGTCCATTCAGATTACAGTAGCCACAGGAAACAAGGGTTTAGATCTTTAGTTCCCATTATTTCATCATTAAGCACGTCTGAAATGCTCACGATATGCCAGGTGCTTTACGGAACATAAAAAGACTTATTCTTACATAGGATAAAAAAGTTTATTCAAGTATAACATTAGACACATTGTAATTACTCCCACTGGAAACATAGTATAGCAAAAAAGGTTTTCGGTACAAAAAAGGAAATTTAACAAGGCATGTTTTCTTTTTATTGCAATTCCAGCCCTAATTCTTCACCCATAGCTCTCTGAGGCCAAACATAACAATCTAGATCTGGATTTGGTAATTTACTCAAGATTAGAATGTAACAAAAATTTATTATGTAATAGGACCTTTGAAAAACATGGAAGCTTGTATGAGTTCTTTCTTAGACAGTCAATTGTAATTCAGCCCTAAATTCCTGAAGTCACCTTGCATTTGCCCTTGAATTGAGTCTTCAGTAATAGCTACAACTTTGAAGTTATCAAAGGTGACCTGAAATCAGGCTGAGCACACTGGAGAATCTTTGTGTCATAGAGTAATGTCAGTTCTGTACTAGATCAGGAGATAAAACCAGAAAACCAATGCTGTTTATTTACCCACAATCTGTTTAGTGCCAGACCTAGTTAACTACACAACATGTATATGAAAGTTCGGCAAAATGCTTGCAACAGAGCTATCATTCAATAAATATTTGTGGAACAAAGAAAGTTTCAAGAACTGTGATAAGAAAAGATAAATCATAATCTCTGACCACAAGAAAATGAAATTATCATTTGAAAACCAATTAGATTTATAATTGGGAAGTGCAGGGTCTCAATTTCTGTTTCCCTGACCTAGCTTTTACACACTATAAAATGTTAAAAATAGGGTTTTTTTCAAGACTAATATTAGGCATTTTTAAGCTTCAAGAGCAGTAAGAAGTTTCTACTGAACCCTCCCCCAGATGATTTCTCCCTTCTCAACTGTTCTCTGGAAAAAAAAATTAAGAGATAGTTCACAGTTTTAGTGTTAAAGATGAAGGGCTTACATGCTTTGTTTCACTAATTGGAAAAGTCAAGATAAAAAGGCTTTCTAGACTCTTTCTTGTTTCTCTGGGACATGGATATTAGAAAGCAGGAAGTCATCAGGTGCATGAAGAAGGTAAAATAAATATCATTGAAATGATGCTGGAATGCAGAAAAAGATCATTGGATTTTAAACTTCTTACTTCTGCTTTAAAAAGAAATGTAAATGTTGTATACCGCAATTTCAAAAATTCTGGTTGTTTTTATATAGTTTTCCTGGTGGTATGTAGCATGAACATTAAGAGAACAATTGTCTCCAGGTAATGATTATTGCTTCCCCAAACATGACTCTATGTACTTAACACCTTTTCTTTAGACTAAAATTCTTTCTTAAAAAGAATAATTATGTGGAAATTAATTATTTAATAATTATTTGGAAACATGAATTATCATTTAAAATCATATAGATGATTGCTTCTACTGTATCTTTCCCTAATTAATTGCACTGTCATCTCCAGCAGA
Source organism: Homo sapiens (assembly GCF_000001405.40). Taxonomy (NCBI): domain Eukaryota; kingdom Metazoa; phylum Chordata; class Mammalia; order Primates; family Hominidae; genus Homo; species Homo sapiens. Next base: position 147,766,871 of record NC_000003.12, read on the forward strand.
ATAACTAGCACCTTGAAAGAAGGAGAATCAGTAGAGTACAACCTAAATGCAGGTACAGACTGTATCTCCCTTCTATGTTACCTCCACTGTTTGCCATCCTCACCTCCATCATTCAAATCTCTTTTCTGGAGTTCTCCACTCCTTGAATTGATATTAATATCAGGTTAAGCACTGTAATATTTTTCCTAGCCACTTTTAGATAGTGAGATTTACAGGTAATTTGGCAAAAACAAGTTTTCATAAGTGTTATGAAAATGTCATGCTAAGTATAATGTTTAAAAATACCCTGAACTTCACATAAAGTCAAAGCTTCTCCCCCTTTCCAGCTTGGCAGCTGCTTTAGGCACAGGACAGAGGAGAAGGCTTTGTTTGCCTTCATCTTTGTTCCTTATTTTTGACTCTTCTATCCTGCACTCCTCTTGCTAGATGAGGTTTCTAACCTTTTCAGAAATGGAGTGAAGAAAAGAAGTTAGAAAAACTAAAGATCTTATAGGATGACATAAATTTGATTCAATGGCTGCTCTTCTTAGGAAGGATATCCGAGATTCCTAATTCTGATTCTGCCTGAGAGTAATTTTATGGATTTATTGGAGACAAACTTGTTGATATCCTCCAATACAGTGATCTCACATGGTGAGGTTTTCTATTTAGCTAGCTGCTTACAACTTCAATTCTCACGGCATGGGCAGCCCAGGCCACATAGACTCTTACTGATGAGGCTTCATTATCACTCCAGGAATCTCTCTTGCAAAAGTCCTTTTCAGATGGATTGAATTCGGCTTCCTTCCACATGGTCCACATTCATCCATGGACACCTTATGTCTTTACGTCTTTGCTTCTGCCAAATAAAGGTTATTCCCAATGTCATTTTCTCTCTCTATCCTCCTGTTATTCAGGCACCTCTGGTCATAGTTTTTAGCCTTTTAATTTTTATAGTACAGGTCAAAAGCCACCTGATTCTGAAAGACACATATAAAGCTTTCTCCAAGTGGACCTGTCACATTGCCTCTATCCCCACTCTTTCCCCATGGCAAGGGAAAACTCAATAATTTTATTTAAAGAAAGTATTTCTCCATAAACAGCCATTTTTCTTTGCTCCTCTAACCTTTACATATCCTCAAGGAAAGTATTAAGGGAAAAACTAGGAAACTAGTTAACTACTGACATAGTTTGGGTATTTGTTCCCTGCACAAATCTCATGTTGAATTGTAATCCCCAATGCAGGGCCTGGTGGGAGGTGTTTGGATCATGGAGGTGGATACCTCATGGCTTGGTGCTGTCTTCGTGATAGTGAGTTCTCATGATATCTGGTCATCTAAAAGTATGTGGCATCCCCAGCCCCACTCTCTCTTGATTGCTGCTGCTTTTGCCATTAAACATTTATAAATGCAAATGCCCCTTTGCCTTCTGCCATCACTGCAAGCTTCCTGAGGCCTCCCATAGAAACCAAGGAGATGACTGCTCCATGCTTCCTATAAAGCCTGCAGAACTGTGAGCCAATTAAGCCTCCTTTCTTTATCACTTACTCAGTCTCAGGTATTTCTTTATAGCAATGCAAGAATGCCCTAATACAACCACCTTTTTTTTTCAAGTATTTCATAAGTAGTCTTGTTTCTTATTTTGGGGTTCCTTGGCATTTTTAATACTCGTTCTCTATATTTGGGACTTGGCTAAGACAAAGAAGTAAAACCTTACTTTAACATCCTCTTATGACAGTTGATTATTAACTTACCCAACCTTCTTTTAAGTTATTAACTAAAGAAGGTTAACTTACTAACCTTATTTTCCTATTGGAGACATCTATCACAAAACCGAAGCTCTTGCCTCTCTGAGTTTGAAAGCTTCTAAGGGAAATAATAAGGCCAATTAGGTAAAGAAATATTACCATACATAGTGTATTTATATGTATTCATATTTCTAAATAAAGACTCTCTTCAGTTAAGACAATGTTACCCCATTATTTCTTCTCCTCCTAATTTTACATAAATTCAGAGACAAAGACCATGCTATTATCCAGCCCTGTGTTTCTGTGCCTGGCCTTTGCCCGGTCAGAGGGCCTGCCTTGTATATGGCCCAAGTGTGGGTATACAATATTCAACATCTCTTCCACATATTCTTAATTTCTGACTAAGCCATTTTCTTTGAGGCAAAGCAATGCCTCATCTCTCTTTTTGGTCAGTTCTTATCAATTTAACTCACTTTGCATGTTATTTTGAGTTGTTTGGTTATCCTTTCTACTTCTACAAGGGAATACTACTTAAAAAATAATTAATTACTATAAATTAATACTTTAATAATCCATTCAACAATTCTTTAGTTTTATTTCTGAGAAATGTTGGGGACTTCAAGGTGAATAAGGAGAAATAAGACATGCACAAAAATGTAATGTAATATATAATCTGCTGAGTGTGATTAAGACATTTAAGAAAAATGCCATGAATATTGAGAAGAAAGATTTATTTTTGGCTAAGAGGTGTGAGACACCAGGAAAGACTTCTGAGAAGGAGTTCTACCTCATGTGGACCTTGAATATATGGTAGGCGATTTCCATAACAGAGATATTATGCCAGACTGAGAAAATAGCATGGACACAGTGAAAAAATATTTGGCCACTTTTGGTCAAAACTTTTTATTGTATATTATATATCTAACAGAAAAAAAACTGAAAAGGAAGACTTCAGCCAGACTTAGGAGGGTCATTAATGCCAGGATTAGAGAGATTGGACATTATTCAATAAAGAAAGAATGTGAGGATGGTACTGAAATTTCTGAGGAAGAAAATTAACTGATTGGAACAGTTACTTGGAAACATTAAATTGGTGGCAGAAAAAGTGAAACAATTATAAATGCAATGATCAAAAACAGAAAATAAAAAGTAAACATGAATTTAAGACAATGATCTAATCAAGAAGCAATGAATTCCTGAGTGAATGAGTATAGTGGGAAAAAACAGAGAGGAGTAAATATGGGAGCTATTTCTATGGTAGAATGGAAGACTTGAATTGGACATGGAGATTAGAAATGAAGAGTAATCACTATGGCTTCAAAGTGTGTACCCTCAAGGTACAATTAAGCAAAATAGGGAAAAAGAAGTTCCAGTATGAAAAATACCTGATGATGTAAAAGCAAGTGTTATTTGATGTTCAGAGAAGAGAGCAATCGGGGTTGGAGTAGTTAAGAAAAGGCTTCATTTGAAGCTTTGAAAGTTGAATAAGAATTCTCAATAAAAATGCAAGATAGGAAAGAAAGGTAATGTGCAAATAAAAGACCCTAACTCTTTTCAATTTGGGTCTAGATTTTCTAATAAAAAATGTTATTATAGATTATTCTGTCCTTCAGATAGTACCCAAGATGATCAAGAATACTAATAACTGAGGTTTAGATTTACTTAGGATGTTACGTAAGATAGCTCAGTTTTACTAGAGACTTTTTTGAATTTGATTTTTTTCTTTGTTTCCACTTATTTTTAAATTAACAAACAGTAAAACTGTTTTTTTATGTACAGTTCTAGGAGTATTGACCAGTGCGTAAAGTCCCTAGCACCACAAAAATCAAGTTATGGAACATTTCTATCACTCCAAGAAATTCTCTCTTGCAGTCCCTTTGTAGTTAGCCCCTCCTCCTACATCTAATTATTGGTAACCACAGATCCATTCTCCTTCCCTATATTTTTGCCTTTTTCAGAAAGTTATTTTGGTAGACACAATTTTAAGATGTCATGCATCGCTTGTTATAATAACTCTTGTCATTATGCTACATTATATACGTGGGCCTGATATAATCACACAAGCTCCTTAAGAACATAGGGTGTTGGACAGCTGGTAACAGGAAAGGAAGTCAGAGATCTGAAGCAGATTCTATGTACCATTGCTGGCTTGTAGATAAGGAGGGACATGTGGAAAAGACCTGAAAGTGGCCTCTGGGAGCTGAGCGGCAACAAGGCAATGAGCACCTGCGTCCTACAATCATTAAGAACTGCATTCTGCCAAGAAACTGGGTAAGCATGGAAGTTGCCTCTTCCACTAGAAACTTGAGTTATAAGCCCAGCCCAGTGACATATTGACTTTGACCTCGTAAGAATCTATGCAGAGAACCCAACACAGCCTACCCCAGACTTTTGACATATAGAAATGTGAGCTAATATATTAATGCTGTTTTAAGCTGTTGAGTTTGTGGTAATTTGTTCTGCAGCAATAGAAAATATATACAGTAATATAAATGGAATCATAGAGTATGCAGCCTTTTGAGACTGGCTACTTTCATTCAACATAACACATTTGAGATTCACCTGAATTATGTGAATGACTGAGTATTATTCCTGTGGATGAATGTACCACAATTTGTTTATCCATTCACCACTTGAAAGACATTTGAGTTGTTGCAAGCTTTTGGAGATTAGAAAAGAAGGCTGCTCTCATCATTAGTGTACCAATTTTGTGTGAAAATAAGTTTTCTCTTGTATACCTACCTAGGAGTGGTATTTCTGCATTATATAAATATATGTTAAAACATGTAAGAAACACCAGACTTTTCTCTGAAGTAGCTGTATCATTTTGCATTTACATCAGCAAACTATGAGAATCCCAGTAGGTATTGTCAGTCTTATTTATTTTAGCCATTCTAATAGGTATATAGTAGTATAGCATTGTTAAATTTGATTTTAAACATATTTATCACAAACTTTAACGATTCTGCACAAGTTATAATTTTTATAAAATTGTGCTCTAAACATTAACATGTTTTAGCTGTTTCACTGAAAATATGCCTTTGACCAAGAGTATCACATTTATATGACTGTATTTATTTTTTACTGTTTTATAACAAATTTTCGCAAGCTCAGCAGCTTAAAACAACATTCATTTATTAGCTCAAATTCTATATGTCAAAAGCCCATGGCAGGCTCAGTTGGGTTCTCTGCTTAGGTTCTTAAAAGGTAAAAGTCAGGGAATCACTGTATTCTCCACTGAGATACTAAGAAAGCATATCTGGGCCAAGGTTTATTCATATATTCAGCATTTACTGATATCTGCTATCAGCTATGTACTAGAAATGATGCTAGGTACTAGGGATAAAAGATGATAAATATATGGCCCTGTCCTCAACAAGTTCATGCTCTCTGAAGAGTCAGATCACATAATGTGTATTTGTAATGTAGTCTGGTAGTTGTCACGAGGGAGGTATGTGAACAGTGCTATTAGGTCACAGTTGAGGAAGCAAAGGATTCTGCTTGAGGGAGCCAGTTAGTGAAGTGATGAGATATGACTATAGATATACAATGATTGAGACTGAAGACTTAAATTAGCACTGAGGATTTATGTAAAGTTGACTAGGGATGTCCAACTGGACTCACTTTGTATAATCTAATGACTAAGATATTTTCTCTCAGCTTCTTTAAAATTTTTGGAATCCTCCCCAAATAACTGTGTTGGCTATATTGTTAAGGATAAAATATGACGTGATTTTGTAGATTGCCAATGGGAAAGATTCTAATTCTTACAGATGTGGTTTTTTTTTTGGTAGAAACACAAAACTGGGCATAACAAAGATGTCTTGGAATTTTATTTTTTTGAGAAACACCAATAAATACTGTTAAACAGGGTTTCTTGGCAGAGTTTTGTTAGTTTGATGTTTTCTTTCTCTAGAAGTTAGTCAATGATTTATGCAGTACATATATTTGTGAGTATGTGTGTGTGTATGTTACAACTAATGAGCATGTAAGTGGCTACCTCTGGTAGAGCTACGATCTTGGAATCTCATATTCAAGAACTATTTACCCATATTCTATTGTGAATAATGCACTGTGTTTTATATGTAGTAAAAGAGATATTTGCAGTTCTGTTTTTCAAGTACATCCAGTATTTCCCATATCCAGGGCCAGAGTATACATGGCAAGACTGTATGTGTGAAGAGCAAATGAGAGTAAATAAAATTGTGCCAAACAAGAGATTGTGCATAATTGAATAAATGTACAGTTAATCATCCAATAATTGCAAAAGCATTAAAAAAATTCTCACACACTATGCCTGAGTTCTAAAGAAAACATTTGGACATTTTGAGTTTTATTTGATTTTAAATTTCAGAAGAGTTTTCATTGAGGTAACATTTACTTTTGAGGTGTGTAATCTGGACTCAGCAGGTTGTAATGCTATAGCCTTTGATGTTCACCAAGTTTGTTTATGAACTGTGCTAGAGATGGCAATCCAATATCTTCAACAACAAAAATTCAGAGACAAACACAGGACATCTTTTTCTGTTTTGTTCATAACAATGTCTTTACTGCCAGAATGTAACCAAGGATCTGTTAGAAATGTAAACAAGATTGCTTTTGTGCACCAAAGAGAATGTGAACCAATTTCAAAAGCTAGCACATTTTAGGTGATGTGAAATGTGTTACAATGCGTGCAGTATCCTAAAGCATTTATAAAGCTGCCTAAAGCAGAACATAAGCACTGAGTCCACAGAATTTTGAGTGATTTGTACATACCAACATGTTTTCAAAATATTAAGTATGTTTTCTTTTGTCTCTTTTTGGCTTTTGGCAGCCCACCAGCTTAAACTAGGTTTACAAGAGCCAGTGAAACACCATATTGCAATTTTTGAGTGCTCTGATGTTGATGGCTTGCAATAAACCACATAGGATATTCCCATCGGGGGAAAAGAAGTTATAAACTGTCATGAATATTACAATTTACATGATTTGGAGCTTGGGGATCTCTTGTTTAGATTTTTAACTCCAGCTAATCACAGATTTTCTGTTTTGAAAACAATGATTTGAATATAAACCAACCCAAAGAGAACAATAAGACAATTTCAACAAGCTAATTAATTTCTATAAAAAAGAGAAAGAAATTTCACATGTTCTGAATTTGCTTCTGAGAATGACTCAGAACATACGCTTCACTTGCAGAATCAGTCAAAACCAGTTTTACTGATAAACAGAGTAGAACTCAACTGTCTGGGTCTAAAGATGACACCTAGCCAGGTAGCACTGTGAAAATACATTAACACTCATCCAAAAGAGGTAATTAGAAAGTGTCAGATGAAAACACTTTAAAAAATTAAAAAGAAAACTCTACTACAGAAAAGAAAAGGATTTTCATTTTTATAAAACTACTAATTTAGAATTTTAAGTGATAGACTTATCATTTCCATTGTGTTCAAAGCAGGCAGAATGATGGCAGATCTCAAGTTCTTTTTATTTGTTCCCCAAAAAACATAGCTATTCTTAAATTTTCTACAAATGCTACCATCTTATCAGAATTACTTTCAAGAGAAATATAGGTCTCAAGAATAAATAAATCAGATGAATAACCCACTTGGGCATCTTGTAAAAATAAATGTAACCTATCTATCAATGAACGTTTTATGAATTTTATTAAGAAACCACTTTTTGACTTTTAAATAATTTAGTTACTGATCTAATTTCAAAAATCATTGTACATATGTTTTGTTCAGTTTATAAATGGGCTACATTATATGTTTAAATAAAATGTAAACCATCACTGTTCAGTAGGAAACTCTTTACTACTTATTCGTTTAACAAATATTTATCAAGGACCAGAAACCACAACTTTAGCTCATGTTGATGCTACTATTCCAGTTGGAGCCACCATAGTCTCTCACCTGAGTCATGGTGATAACTCTTAATCTCTTTGTTTCTGTTTTTTTTTTTTCTTATAGCCCATTCTGAAAAAGAAACTGGAATGATTCTGTTAAAATATAAGTCATTTTATGGCTCTTCTCTATCCAAAATCTCCCAGTCACTTCTCATTTTATTAAGAGTAAAATCCAAAGCCTAAATCATTCTACTGGCCTCAAAGACTGCAAATGATCCTCTGTTGCCATCTTCTCCTTCTGACTGCATCTCCCACCTTTTTTCCACTTGCTTATGCCATCACAGACCCTTAGCAAATTGGGTTATCCCTAGAGTGTGGTGGGGAATGTTAATTGCTATAGCCGTTTTAGAGGGTGATCTGGCAATATCTAATAAAATACACAATGCATATTCCACATGCCATGTTTGTATATACATGCTGTCTCTGAAAGCATATCCAAAAAATTGGCAACAGTGATCAGTCACCTCTGGTAAGGGGAACCATGTATTGGAAAACAGGGATGGGAGGGCACTTTCCTGCCTCAGCATATGTGCATTTGCTGTTCCCTCTGTCTGGAAGGTCTTTATCAGCTCCCGGCAAGACACGCCCTCTCATGTTCTTCCGATTTTGACTCAAATGTCACCTTTTCATCAAGGACTTCCTTGGCCATCGTAAAATTCTACAGATATACCACCCCTCCACAAATATACTGATCCTATCTGCCTTTTCTTGCTTGATTTTTTTTCCCCTTCCAGCACTTATCACTAAACAATAGACTATGTGTTTACTTATTAATCTTACTTATTGTCTATATCTCCTACCAGAATATAAATTTCATAGAGGTAAAGAGTTTTGTTGTTTTTATTTCTTTATTCTTAGCCTCTAGGACAGTGCTTGGCATAAAATATGAAACTGTAAGACAAGTACTGCTGTAAGTGCTGAGATCCAGAAGTGAACAAGATAGACAAGTTCTGCTCTTTTGTCACTAACTTTCTAGTAGGGAAAAGAGATAATAAACAAGTAAACAGGCAAATAAGATCACACCAGATTAGGGATAAATGCTATGAAGAATAATATACCAAGGAAACACGATAGAGAGTGGCCAGTGGCTGTAAGTAGGGGTATTTTGGCTTGAGTCCTCAGAGAAGGCATTCCTGGGAAGTAACAGCTGAGCTGGAGCCTGAAGGACAAGAAATAAGGCAAAGAAAGATGTGTCAAAGGCTAAGTGGAATAACACATAGAAGAGCAGAATTTTATATTTAATCACAGATTACATTAATTTTTTTTTTTTTTTGAGATCTTGCTCTGTTGCCCAGACTGGAGTGCAATGGCACGATCTTGGCTCACTGCAACCTCTGCCTCCCAGGTTCAAGCGATTCTCCTGCCTCACCCTCCTGAGTAGCTGGGATTACAGGCATCTGCCACCACACCCAGCTAATTTTTGTATTTTTAGTAGAGACAGATTTCATCATGTTGGCCAGGCTGGTCTCCAACTCCTGACCTCAAGTGATCTGCCCATCTCAGCTTCCCAAAGTTCAGGAATTACAAGCATGAGCTACTGCACCGGGCCAATCACATTCATTATTAATCAGCAAGAGTTTATTTTTCATCTGTGGTTACATGGTAGACACTTCCTAAAGAAATTAAGATATGATGCTTACTATAAATGTTCTAATTATATACCTGGGGACACAACTTCACTGATATGAAGCAACAAATAATACAAGATAGAATTTCAATTAGGAGACAAAAGATATGATTGAGGCAACCCTCATTTGTTACAGCTAATGATCTGGGCTAGAGAATGTGTAAGAGTAAAGTCTAGAAAATGTCTGGGCAAAAGGATAGAAATGGGAATGAGTAATGTGTGTGGAAAGAATGATGAGGAAATGTGCTTTACTGCAATCAAGATACTGCGGTGGAGAGAGGAACTCAGGATCATTGAAAGCAAGAAAAGTTAGGACTCGTTTGCTAAAAACCACAGGAGCCATGCTGGGTTCTTCCATTTTGCTTATACCTACATTCAACTCATCTGCAAGACAGATAGGCTCTGCCCCCAAAATATATCCCAAAGAGTCCTCCTCCTTTCCATCTACTACTTTATCTAACCCACTGTCTTCACTTGCTTGGAGTAGAGTTCTAACCATTCTCCCTATTTCTACTCTGTGCCCCAACATCACATTCTTCTCACAACCCTTGGGTAGTCCTTTATAAATATAAATCAGATATTGTCACACCCACCTCTGCTTCAAAACATTCAGTAACTCCCTATTGAACTTACAATAAAATTCAAACTCCTTTCCATGACCTACACATCTTTCTAACCTATCCTTGCCCTTCTCTCCATCTCATTCCTTTATGAAGATTCCTCTGTCTCATTATGCTTTAACCACACCTACTTTATGATCCTCATTTTCTAGTAACTATGAGGAATTAATAGGCTTTAGAAACTTAGTTCTTTGTATGCCCTCTGAGTTAAATATTTTTCACTCATCTTTACATAGCTTTCTCCTTTTCATTATTCAGGACTCACCTTAAATGTCAAGTCCATATGGAGGCCCTCCCTGACCATCTGATATGGTCTGGCTGTGTCCCCACCAAAATCCCATTTTGAATTGTAGCTCCCATAATTCCCACATGTTGTGGGAGGGACACCGTGGGAGATAATTGAATCATGGGGGGCGGTTTCCCCCCATACTCTTCTCATGGTAGTGAATAAGTCTCATGAGATCTGATGATTTTATAAGGGGTTTCCCCTTTCACTTGGCTCTCATTCTCTCTTGTCTGCCACGTGTAAGATGTGCCTTTCACCTTCCACCATGATCGTGAGGCCTCCCCACCCACATGGAACTGTGAGTCCATTAAAGCTCTTTTTCTTTATAAATTACCCAGTCTGGGGTATGTCTTTATCAGCAGCGGGAAAATGGACTAATACACCATCTTATCCAAAACACCACTGCCTATCATTCTGTATAACTTACCCAGTTTCATTGTCTTCCTAGGTTTTAACCATTATGTGAAAATACTTCGTTTATGTCTCAACCTATTTATCATTTGTCTCTCTCTACCAGAATGTAAGCTCTGTGAGAGCAGAGATACTGTTTGTCTTCTTACCATGAACCCAGAGCCTAAAAATCATTTTTATAGGCATATCTGAAACACGGTTGGTAGATAATAAATTTTGTCCAATGAATGAATGAAAACAGAAAATCATTTAAAGTGATTTTTATGAAACAGGAAAAGCATATGTTAGAGTAGGTTGGCAAGGAGATCCTGAAGTATCTGCACTGAGAGAGGAATTGAGAGGTTTCACAAAAGAAATAAGTGGGGCCCACTCACTGACAAGAGATAGAGAATTGCAATAAAAGGAGAAAACATCCAAGAAGATTCATTCTGTAATCATCAGTGAATGAGCCAAAAATAATGTTTAGAAAAATTCTGGCGGATACATTAGTTATTGTGGGATGTTAGTAAGCAGCAAAGGTTGGGATGTTAGTAAGTAGCAAAGGTTGCTCTTTTATTGCAGATAATTCTGTGCACAAGTTTGTTTCTTTTTTATCCTGTATATTTTTTGCAATATTATGGTTATTCATATTATTGTACATTTATTTGCAGTTGTGGGCCCATAATGAGGTGTGAACTGCTCCCTTTGAGTAAATTAGGTACTTCTGGGAAGTTCCTATCATATCAGTGGAGCCATCAGGGTACTATTGAGTAAGCAACTATTCCCCCGACCCCCAACCTGTTTCTCCACAGAAGCCTTCCTCATGAACCTCTAGCCTCAGAGAAAAATCTTAATAAATCTTCCAACTGTATTTCTCTTTCCCAGCTTCTTTCTATCAGAATAGCTTTTAGCCCCTGTTTTATCTTGAATGATTTGTCTGGAGAATTGACTTATTGCATGCCTCAGGAACATTTTATGTTCTTAAGAATCAAGGACCCCAAAGAAATTTTGTTTATGGTGTTTAGCCGTCAATACTTGCCATATTAGAAATGTAAACTGTATGCTTGCAAGAGAATGAGAGTGAAAAACTAAATATTGCTATTAAATAATATTCTTATGAAATATTGTAATACTTTTTAATACTACTTATCATTAAAGGATAAATACTATCTTTTAAGAAGAGATTGTAGGCTGAAGGAAGAGTTGTTTGCTGAAGCAAACGAAAAATTGGATCTTCCCTCTTTTTCTCTTTGTGCCTAACATTTTTATCTTTATTGATCTATACTTTTCATCTTCCCTTTACTTCCTTAAATCATCACTATATGGAGATGAATATAACAGAAATGTATTATTTTAAAATGCGTTGTTATAATATGTTATCAGGTTATATTTTCTTTTTTTTTAATTAAAGAAATCTCTGAGACAAGTTGGATCTAATTCTGTTTTTAAAATGCATTGTTATAGTATGTTATCAGGTTATATTTTCTTTTTTTTTTAATTAAAGAAATCTCTGAGACAAGTTGGATCTAATTCTGTAAGCCAATGTCTGTGTTAAACAAATTTTGGGTTGAGGTGTTTAAATGATATTTTCTTCTTTGAGTCAGTAATTTTTAGTAATAACAAAAAACAAACAAAAGTTGAGTGTTCACTTGCCTCCTTTTAAAACACTTAAGGTCTTTATTTGATATAAATGTTATTTTGGAAATGCAACACATTAAGCTAAATGATTTGGCATGACTCTCTTTAATCAATTAATTATATTGTTAGGTCCTGGGGACACAGAATACATAAATTTTGGTTAACAAAAAGAAAAGGAAAAAAAATGCAAAGACAAAGGAGAAAAGCGTATAATGAGGATCCTGGGAAGACAAGGTGAGTACTTTTGCTGGTGAGTAATTTGAAAGTTATTTAATCTCTCTATACCATGATTTCCTCATCTGTAATATGGGAATCATAATGGCATCCTATTTTTTTGTTTGTTTGTTTGTTTTGTTTTGAGACAAAGTCTCACTCCTGTTTCCTCCAGCTGGAGTGCAAAGGCGCGATCTTGGCTCATTGCAACCTCCGCCTCCCGGATTCAAGTGATTCTCCTGCCTCAGCCTCCCGAGTAGCTAGGATTACAGGTGCCTGCCACCACGCCCAGCTACTTTTTATATTTTTAGTAGAGATGGGGTTTCACCATGTTGGCCAGGCTGGTCTCGAACTCCTGACCTCAGGTGATCTGCCAGCCTCGGCCTCCCAAAGTGCTAGGATTACAGGTGTGAGCCACCGCGCCCAGCCATGGTATCCTATTTTTAAGAGGTGCTGTGAAAATTAAATTACTTGAGTTTTGTAAAGTGCTTACAACTTTGCTTAGAGTTTTAATATATTCAACTTACCCATTTTAATATGTGCAGTTATTATAATTATAATTGTTATTGTTACTAAGAAGATAGCCCTTGACAAAGAATAAAAGAGTGAAAAGGGTTAGAAGAAAAAAACATTCTATGCCTTATTCACAGTATTCTCTATAGTTGGGTCTGATTAAACATTTAGACTGTTGAAATTTCTGTATTGCTATTAAAATGAAAGAACTACTTTCCAGATGTTTCCTTCTTTCTGTAAAGTAACATATCTATACATACACAGATATCTATTTATTCTAAAGTAAAGAAGCTTCTAGTTGAACCCAAGCCCTCCTATAACCACTCTGTTGTTCTCCGTGTAACTTTTGATGCCAATGGCCCTGCCTAGAGGTGGCTCTTACTGCCTTCCTGTCCTCACCACCTACTCTCTTCTCAACAACCTAGCTTAATTGCTATAACAACAATATCAGTGCTTTTATCACCATCAAACCCTTCTCAAAATGGGACTACATTTGGAAATATTGGCAAAATAGGGATAAACTCTGGAATCCACAAAGACTTATGTTAAACTCTTTTCCAGTTACTTAATCCAAATTTGCCTCACTTCCTTAACTCTAAAGTAGGAATAATCAGGGATGAAGAGTCTGCAACACAGTTCCTGCCACATAATCTCAGACAGTGAATGGTTTATTGTATAATTCATTTTATGTGCATTTTGAAATAATTTTTAAAAAACTGAAAAATTTCACTCTCATATTTGAGTATCAAATTTGAAAGTGGTCAAGAATTGTATTGTTTTAAACGAGCAGGTGGAGTTAACTGAAAATTGTGTTTGTAGTACTGCCATTTGGCAGCAACATTTTCTGGCAAACAGAAATACAAAATAGACAACATCATCATTCATGCTCTACATATATCAGAATTTTCTGAGTAATTTGGTAATAATTGTAGTATCCATTTTTATATTACCAATATTAACAAATTTTAAATTTTATAACAATATTGCTCAAGTTCTTCTTAAGTTGTGGTGTGAACACTATTGTCGAAAATATAAAAAAATTTGGAAAGATATTTAGATGTGATTAAAAATAATTTGAAGAGGATTTAAAATTCCCACAACATCCTGTGCTATTATTTTAGATGAGGGAATTTTAGAAATGGTGTTAAGAAAAATAGGCATGGCGCGGTGGCTCATATCTGTAATTCCAGCACTTTGGGAGGCCAAAGCAGGCAGATCACGAGGTCAGGAGTTTGAGAGCAGCCTGGTCAACATTGGTGAAACCCCATCTCTACTAAAAACACAAAAAATTAGACGGGCATGGTGGCGCGCGTCTGTAATCCCAGCTACTTGTGAGGCTGAGGCAGGATAATTGCTTGAACCCAGGAGGCAGAGGTTGCAGTGAACTGAGATCATGCCATTGCACTCCAACCTGGGCGACAGAGCAAGACTCTATCTTGAAGAAAAAAAGAAAAAGAAAAAGAAAAAGAAAAAGCACCTTTTTATTCACACACTTCATTATAGAAGTAGGCAACACATTCTGAAAAAAAAAAAAAGAGGAAAACAGAATGTGTGAAATGACATGGCTGCAAAATTAAAAACCAAGGTCAAATGCCCCTAAGCCACGTTGGCTAGGGATTAATGCATATCAGAAACACAACATTCTGGAACAAGACAAGGATGCCCACTCTCACCACCCTTATTCAATGTAGTACTGTAAGTCTTAGCCAGAGCAGTTCATCAAAAGAAAGAAATAAAGGGCATCCAAATGTAAAGGAAGTCAAATCGTCCTGTTTGCAGATGACCTAAACTTATATATAGAAACACCTAAAGACTCTAAAAAAAAAAAAAAAAAACCTCTTAGAACTGATGAATGTAAAGTTGCAGGGTACAGAATTAATACACAAAAATCAGCAGCATTTTTTTTCTGAGATTTTAGTGTACCCATCACCCAAGCAGTGTACTCTGTACCCAATGTGTAGTCTTTTATCCCTCATTCCTCTTCCAACATTCCCCCGAGCCCCCAAAGCCCATCATATCATTTTTATACTTTGTATCCACATAGCTTAGCTCCCACTTATAAATGAGAACATAAGATATTTGGTTTTCCACTCCTGAGTTACTGAGTTAATTCACTTAGAATAATGGTCTCCAGCTTCATCCAGGTTACTGTGAATGCCCTTATTTCGTTCCTTCTTATGGTTGAGTAATATGCCATGATACGTATATACCACATTTTCCTTATCCACTTGTTGGTCGATGGGCATTTATTCTGGCTTCATATTTTTGCAGTTGCGTACTGTGTTGCTATAAACATGCATGTGCAAATGTCTTTTTCAGATAATGACTTCTTTTCCTCTGGGTAGATACCCAGTGGTAGGATTGCTGGGTAAATTGGAGTTCTTTAAGGAATCTCCATACTGTTTTCTACAGTGGTTGTACTAGTTTGCATTTCCACTAGCAGTGTAAAAGTGTTCCCTTTTCACGAAATCCATGCCAACATCTATTATTTTTGATTTTTAAATTATGGTCGTTTTTGCAAGAGTAACGTTTTGTGGTTTTGATTTGCGTCTCCCTGATAATTTGTGATATCGAGCATTTTTTCCATGTTGGTTGGCCATTTGTATATCTTCTTTTGAGAATTGTCTATTCATGTCTTTTGCCCAATTTCTGATGGGATTATTTGATTGTTGTTGCTGATTTGTTTGAGTTCATTGTAGATTCTGGATATTAGTCCGTTGTCAGATGCATAGTTTGCAAATATTTTCTCCCATTCTGTGGGTTGTCTATTTACTCTGCTGATTCTTTCTTTGCTGTGCAAAAGCTTTCAGTTTAATTAGGTCTCTTCTATTGGTTTTTGTTTTGGTTGCATTTGCTTTTGGGTTCTTGGTCATGAACTCTTTTACTGAGCCAATGTCTAGAAGAGTTTTTCAAAGCTATCTTCAAGAATTTTTATGGTTTCACGTCTCAGATTCAAATCTATGGTCCATCTTGAGTTGATTTTTGTGTAAGGTGAGAGATGAGGATCCAGTTTCATTCTTCTACATGTGGCTTGACTATTATCCCAGCACCATTTGTTGAACAGGGTGTCCTTTTCCCACTTTATGTTTTTGTTTGCTTTCCCAAAGATCAGTTGACTGTAAGTATTTGGTTTGATTTCTGGGTTCTCTGTTCTGTTCCATTGGTCTATCTCCCTATTTTTATACCAGTACCATGCTGTTTTGGTAACTGTAGCCTTTTAGGATAGTATGAAGATAGGTAATGTGATGCCTCCAGATTTGTTCTTTTTTCTTAGTACAGCTTTGGCTATGTGTACTCTTTTTTGGTTCCATAAGAATTTAGGGTTTTTTTTGTTTTTTGTTTTGTTTTTGTTTTTGTTTTCGTTTTTGTTTTTGTTTTCTAGTTCTGATGGTACTTTGATGGGAATTGCACTGAATCTGTAGATTGCTTTTGTCAGTATGGTCATTTTCACAATATTGATTCTACCCATTCATGAGAATGGGATGTGTTTCCATTTTTTCGTGTTATGGATGATTTCTTTCAGCAGTGTTTTGTAGTTCTCCTTGTAGAGATCTTTCACTTCCTTGGTTAGGTATATTCCCAAGTATTTTATTTTCTTGCAGCTGTTGTAAAAAGGATTGAGTTCTTGATTTGTTTCTCAGCTTTGTTGTTGTTAGTGTATAGGAGTGCTGCTGATTTGCATACATTGATTTTGTACCCTGAAACTTTACTGAATTTATTTATCAGACTAGGAGCTTTTTGGATGAGTCTTTAGGGTTTTCTAGATATACAATCATATCATCAGTGAACAGCAACAGTTTAACTTGCTCTTTACTGATTTGGATACCCATGCTTTCTTTGTCTTGACTAATTGCTCTGGCTAGGACTTCCAGCACTATGTTGAATAGAAGTGGGGGAAGTAGGCATCCTTGTCTTGTTCCAGTTCTCAAGAGGAATGTTTTCAACTTTTCCCCATTCAGTGTAATGATGGCTGTGGGTCTTTCATAGATGGCTTTTATTACCTTGAGGTATGTCCCTTCTATGCCAATTTTCCTGAGGGTTTTAATCATGAAGAGATGCTGGATTTTGTCAAATGCTTTTCCTGTGTCTATTGAAATGAGCATATAATTTTTCTTTTTAATTCTGTTTATGTGATGTATCACATTTATTGACCTGCATATGTTAAACCATCCCTGTTATGAAACCCACTTGATATGGTGTGTCATCTTTTTGATATGCTGTTGGATTCAGTTAGCTATTACTTTGTTGAGAATTTTTGCATCTGTGATCATCAGGGATATAGGTCTGTAGTTTTATTTTTTGTTATGTCCTTTCACGGTTTTGGTATTAGGGTGATACCAGCTTTATAGAATGACTTAGGGAGGATTCCCTCTTTCTCAGTCTTTTGGAATGGCTTCAGTAAGATCGGTAACAATTTTCTGAATGTCTGCAAGAATTCAGCTGTGAATCCATCTGGTCCTGGACTTTTTCTTGTTAACAATTATTTGTATTAATCTTTCAGTCTTGCTACTTGTTATTGGCCTGTTCAGAGTTTCTACTTCTTCATGGTTTAATCTAGGAGGGTTGCATATTTCCAGGAATTTATCTATCGCCTCTAGATTTTTAGTTTGTGTGCATATAGGTGTTCACAGTAGCCTTGAATGATCTTTTGTATTTCTGCAGTATCAGATGTAATATCTCCCCTTTTGTTTCTAATTGAGCTTATTTGGATCTCTCTTCTTTTCTTGGTTAATTTCATTAATGATCTATCGATTTTGTTGATCTTTTCAAAGAACCAGCTTTTTCTTTCATTTATCTTTTGTATTATATTGTTTGTTTGTTTCAATTTCCTTTAGTTCTGCTCTGATCTTTGCCATTTATTTGATTATTTATTTATTTATTTATTTATTTACTTAAGATGGAGTCTCTGTCGTCCAGGCTGGAGTGCAGTGGTGTTATCTGAGCTCACTGCAACCTCTCCTTCCTGGGTTCAAGTGATTCTCCTGCCTCAACCTCCCAATTAGCTGGGATTACAGGTGCGTGCCACCATGCCTGGCTAATTTTTTTGTATTTTTAGTACAGACGGGGTTTCAGTGTGTTAGCCAGGATGGTCTTGATCTCCAGGACCTCGTGATCTGCCCACCTTGGCCCCCCAAAGGGCTGGGATTACAGGCGTGAGCCACCGTGCCCGACCCTGTCATTTATTTTCTTCTGCTGGGCTTGGGTTTGGTTTGTTCTTGTTTCTCTAGTTACTTGAGGTGTGACCTCAGATTGTCTACCTGCATTCTTTCAAATGCTCTGAACTTTCCTCTTAGCACCACTTTTGCTGTCCCAGGGTTTTGATAAGTTGTGTCACTATTATTGTTCAGCTGAAAGAATTTTTATATTTCCATCTTGATTTCATTGTTGACCCAAAGATCATTCAAGAGCATATTACTTAATTTTAATGTATTTGTGTAGTTCTGAGGGTTTATTTTGGTGTCAATTTCTAGTTCTATTCCACTGTGGTCAGAGAGGGTATTTGATATAATTTTGATTTTCTTAAAATTATTGAGACTTGTTTTGTATCCTATCGTAAGGCCTGTCTTGAAGAATTTCCATGTGCTGATGAATGAGTATTTCTATACATGAAAAATACTCATAATCAAAAGAATTAATATTGTTAAAATTATGATACCATTCAAAGCAATCTACAGATTCAATGCAGTTCCTATCAAAATACCAATGACACTTTTCACAGAAATAGAAAACAATCTTAAAATATTTATGGAACCCTAGGAGACCCTGAATAGCCAAAGCAATCCTAAGTGAAAAGAACAAAGTCAGGGGTATCACAGCACTAGACCTCACAATGTGTTACAAAACTGTAGTGACCAATATAGCATGGTACTGGCATAGAAACAGACACATAGACAAATGGAATAGAATGAACAACCCAACCCAGAAATTAATCCACATATCTATAGCCAGCTGTTTTATGTCAAAGGTGCCAACACTCACTGGGGAAAGGACAATCTTTTCAACAAATGGTCCCTAGAAAACTAGATATCTATATATATGCCAAAGAATGAAACTAGATTATTCACCTGTCACCCTATCCAAAAATCAACTCAGGATGGATTAAAGACATAAACATAGGACCCAATACTGTAAAACAACTAGAAGATAGCACAGGAAAAATGCTTCAGGACATTGGTCTGGAAAAATATTTTATGAATTAGACCTCAAAAACACAGAAAACAAATGCAAAAATAAACAAATAAGATTATATCAAAACTGAAAAAACTTATGCACAGCAAAGGAAACAGTAGAGTAAAAAGACAGTCTACAGAATTAGAGAAATATTTGCAAACACTCCTCCAACAGGATATTAATATCCAGAATATCCAAGGAACCCAAATATCTCAACAGCAGACAAAACAAAACAAACAACCTAAATAAAAAAATGGGCAAATGATCTGAACAGACATTTATTGAAAGAAGACATATAAATCTCTAACAAATACGTAAAAATACTCAACATTACTAATCATTAGGGAAACACAAATGAAAATTACAATGAGGTATCACCTCACCCTAGTTAAGATGGCTATTATCAAAAAGGGAAAAAAATAACAAATCCTGTTGAGAATGCAGAAAAAAAGGGAACTTCCTTAAAAAACTACAAATACAATTGCCACATGATCCAGCAATCCCACTACCTGGAATTTATCAATAGAAAAGAAAAACATTATACAGAAGAGACATTTGCACCCTTATGTTTATTATGGCATTATTCACAATAGCCAAGATATGAAATCTACCTAGATGTCCAGTAACAGATGAATAGATAAAGAAAATGTGGTATATATTCACAACAGAATGCTATACAGCCATAAAAAAGAATGAAAGCCTACACTCATGGCAACATGGATAGAACTGGAGGACATTAGGCTAACTGAAATAAGCCAGGAAAAGAAAGTTAAACACCACATGTTCTCATTCTTATGCAGAAGCTTAAAAAAGTTAATCTCACAGAAGTAAAAAGTAGAACAGAAGGTATTAGAGGTTGGGAGTGGTAGGGGGAAGGGAGGGCTAGGGAGAGATTTGTTAAGGGATATAAAATTCTGTCTAGATAAGAGGAATAAATTACAGTGTTTTATACCACTGTAATATGACTCTAGTTAATAAGATATTATATAGTTTTAAATAACTAGAAAGAAAATTTTGAATGCTCTCAAACACAAAAAAAGGATAAATGTTTGAAATGATAAATATATTAATTATCCTGATCTGATCACTATACACTATACATATTGAAACACTGTTTTGTACCCCATGAATTTGTACAATTATTATCAATTAAAAACTAAAAACTAAAAAATAACCTTTACATTTATTCCTATGGGAATATTCATCTTAAATTATATTTATTTTGAGTTATGTGAGGTGTTCAGGAAGGCATCCCTTTCAAAATATTAGACCACCCAATATCTTCAAGTTCAAATATTATTTCAGCCCCTGTGTGCTGGTGCAATGCTTAAACAATTTGTTTAAATAAATGCTCCTTATAAAGCTTACATTTATAAATTGATAAAATTTTTAAAAATACCTCTGATATGCCTTTCTAAATGAATGAAAAAATGTATCCTGCAGTGAAGAAGCACATTTCCCCCTCTGCAAGCTCCAGGATGGTCTTAGGCTGTATTTTCCTCGTAGAGCTCCAGGAAATTCCCTTACCTGTCCTTCACACATCTGGCCTGTGTTAGAGATGCTGATTTGGCAAAGTCCAGCAGCTTTTCTGATACTCCTGAGGTATATATAAGTTAACAGTCAGGGCCTGCATATCCAACTCAGCTGTGACAATTGTGAAGTCAAGACCAAGTTGCTTCTTGTTTCCTGAAGCCTGCTGATGACTATTCCTAATCCCAGTTCTCCACATTTTGACCCCTGGATAACTACACCAGAGGTAGCAAACTGCCTTGTGCTTCCTAGAGACATGGGGGATGAAAAGTGTATCTGCGACATCATTGTACACTTGACAGCCCTTTGAGGTCCTCAGCATCATGTAACTGTCCTGGAATACCTTCTACTCATGGTCCCCAATGTTAGCAAGGGGTGAGAACCCTTGGTTAGGGCTAAGCAGAGCACGTGCCTGAAGTCCTAGAGATTGTCGGAGCCTATATATAGCTAATTCATTATTTCAGTATATTTATTGATGAAGACATGGCTCTGCCTAAAAAGAATTATGGTAATACATTCACAAAACAACACAAGAAGACAACAAACAAACACAACAAAAAATAAATCGTTTGGACCATAATTTGCTCTCACTTTAAAATGAGCTACAATTATTGAAAACTTAAAAACTAGAAATATTCCAAATGAAAGTTATTTCTGCTAAATACTACAGACAGAGTGTATGAGAAAGGTTTTCCCAAATTACACAGTATATGTGCTCAGCATATATTTTCTATTCTCAAGGCTTCCAATCTAACTGTTTAAAGAAATGCTGCTTGGAGAGCTTATGTGAATGAGAGCTTTATTATCTAAGCCGCTTATTTTATGAAGTCGTCTTTTTTCTCAAGGCTTCCTTCAAATATACACCTTCCCCGCATTCTACAACTCCTGCCATCAGGATTGTGAACCATATTTACAGACATAAAAATGCAAAACGGGTTTTATTATGCTTACTTTTACATTTTAGTTTATCAGATCCATTTGAGTCCACAAATAAATGAAAACTATAGAAATGTGAAAAACTATATCTCCACCTGATTTTCATATGCATTCATAGAATTATATGAAACATCCTTACAACAACAGTTTATTTTTCCCCTAACAGTATGCAGAATTGTTTTTAAAGTAAATTTAAAAAATTACTTACCAACTTTTTACTATAAGACTTCTAAATAGGAACTGATTTATGATGACAGTTTAATGTTCTTGTCATCCTGAGTGATATTAAAATATGTAATCAATATTAAGGGCATGGCTGCCAATCAAACAGAAGTAGTATTGACTAAATGGGGTTGTCCCTGACAAATAACTGTGAGATCAGCTCTTATATAGCCCTATTAGTTTCTCCTTTTTCTGTAATTTACATGGCTTTTTTTTCTAAAGGAGAAACACAGAAAATAAAGAGGTTGTTGGATAGTTTTTGCCATTCCATCTAGTCTCCGTAGGACAAAATGCTTAGTTGAAAAATTGGGGCCTGCAATGCAACTAAAAGGAACTTTAAGGAGTATCAATTTTATATTAATTCAACCAGGGGATTGTTGCTGAATATAAGAATTTGTTCAAATTCTTTCAGTGCATGAGATATCATTTATAAGTTATTTTGCTGGTCAGAACACAGTGACATCTAGGACAGTCTGAAAAGTGCAAAATTGCTCCAAGAAAGCACATTGTCTGAATTTAGATTGTGGCAGCTAGACATGCAAGCTTGGGATCCACCACTTTTTTTAATCAAAAAAATTGACTACTCATTTAGTCCATTTTATGGTCAAAATAGGCCCATTTAGCCTATTTTATGATCAAAATAATTATATAGATCATCTACTGACTGCCAGGTATTGCTGGGAACACTTTACTTACCTCAGATTAGAGCTGCATCTTCTGCAGGTTTACATTCTAAAGTTACCTTATAGAGCCAGATTCATTAATATCAAAATTATCCTTGGAAATATAACAGCATCGCCATGGAGACTGAAATCCCATCCCTCAATAAATATGGAACCAGTTTTTTTCCTTAGCTTTGAGACAGGTTGCCATTTCTTGCTTTAATTACAGATTAAATAATTATCTTGTACTTAAAGAGAAGTGCTTATTTTAAAACACTGTATAAATAATGTGAGATGGCAGGATGCTTACAACACAAGAGATGCATTGCACCTGAGACTAACTGGAGAATGAACACACACACCTCTCAGACTGGAACATAATTTCTTTGAGTATAGAAGTAAGTGTAATCTCCTACGTCTTTCAGAAGTGCTATTTCTTATTCTTTGTTTATCCACTGTACTTCTGCAGCCCAAGTGCGTAATGTTGAATATGTTTTACCACTAGTTGATGTGCATGTTGTGTCACTCCTCTGTATCTATAATACCTATAACAACCCTGAAAGGTAGAGTAATTATTTTCATTGAAAAGATTAAAAAAAAAAAAACCTGAGGCTGGGAGAGGATAAAGTACATGTTGCAGATTACATTCCTGGCAGAACTGAGTCCAAAAGAAGCACTGGCTTCAAGACATCAGGTTCCCATTGGTGCATACAATTCCTTGAGCTAGTGCTCTGATATCACATTGATTACAGAAGCTCTACCAAGGCCCTTTCTCTATCCAGTAAGGCCTCGTCTTCAGATGTCCTGTCTTTAGAAGCTCTATTTACAGACTGGAAATACCGCTTATGCATCTATTTCATCTGTGGGATGATAGGATTCTCATTCTGTCTCTAGACTAAGGGTCTGAAAAAAATGCTGAATGTTAAATATTCAAATACAGAGCAATCAAAAATTTGAAAATAAAAATGTAAAATAAGAATTCTAATCTTAAAATTATATCTACTATTAGTTCTTAGTGTTATCAGTTATCTGGCTGACCCATATGAAATTGCCATTTCCATGGGTGAAAAATGTTTATTATAAGCAATCTCTTAGGGTCCAAACCAAATTGATCACCATGACTTTTATAGTAGAAAATGGTCTGTGAATCAATGTCGTGTTTTCCGGACACCTTATGAAATACAGCCTTCTGATGACTATCAACCTAAGTGTGTTTTGTTTGTTTGGCTTTTTGTTTATTTATTTGTTTTTTTCTCCTCTCTCTTCAGAGCAGTTATCAAAATCTAGATTAGTTTTGTCTAGTTTTCTTTTTTTTTTTACTTATTTAACCTCTGACTTCTCCCAGTAGAATTTACTTTCACCACCTACGAAAGTACCTGGAGCATAGAAAGCATTCAATAAATATTTGTTAAATAAAATAAACTTGATGGGGTTGAAAGTATCTGCCTAAAATGTTGAATTATTAGGTATATTTTCTATTTGGAGTGATACTATAAAACATACATTTACAATTCCCCAATGTCCCTTTGAAAAAGATAAATTAATTCATTTCATTAGTGATATTGTATTGCCTGTGGCATGACTTGTCACTGTGGCTACAATAGACTAATGATTGGATAATGAGAGTTTATTTATCATGGAACCAATTTTTGCTATAGAACTGAAGTATAAATAATGGTATATCAGCATTCACATTATGAATACTGTTACAGAGTTTGTTAGTTGGTCATAAAAATTCTCCCTAGGCTGAAACAACTAGTGGGTAAACATTGCACATATCACATATAATATATCAAAATAAGAGTGCAGTGGTCCTTTCTTAATCAAAGAACAAACATTGCATACAAAATTCCTTTTGTACAATGAGTGTAAAGCTATTGAAGAACTCCAATCTGTCCTATCACTTATATTTCTTGATGACATTCAGCACCTTGGAAATAATGGTAGGTGTAAAATAATCATGATAAGATAATGTGTGTACTGATAGGAGAAATATAAAAGTCTACCAGAAAATTCATTCAGATGAGAAAATTAGATTTATCAGATAATATGAGTGCCAATATGGCTTAAAAATTCAGACCAAAAAAAGCCACCAAGAAATACAACTCTGGCTTCTGGTATTCACCATGCCAGCATTCTTGATGTTGAAATGCAATACTACTTTTCACAAATATAAGAGAGTGATTTTTACAAGCCTTCTGTATAAGTCATTATTTTTTGAGAAAATACAGTTTGGCTACAAAAATTCCTCTTATGCTTAAAAAATTAATTTGTAAAACATATTATTTTGTTTAACTGAGAATACTCAAAAACCCTTCCTCAGATCTTGGAGGTGCCAATCAAGTGACTTTTCCTAAGGGATTAATGTGGTTTAAAATGTCACCCATCACTGTAGTGAGCAGCCAAGGGATGGAAGGGGCATCCTGGAGCTTCTGGTTTTTCCAGTAGCTCAGAGTAGGCAGATTTTGCAGATATCCAGCCTTAGGAAATAGTGGTGACCTGTTTTGGAACCAGTAAGTATTAACAATTACTGTTCTAATGACTAAAATATTAAAAACTTCCTCTGAAGTGACAAGCTTTTTGCTGTCAGGGGTTTTGAATATTGTTTTAGTTCATTGGGGCTGCTATAAAAAATGCCATAAACTGAGTAGCTTTTATAAACAACAGAAGTTTGATTTTCACAATTCCAGAGAATGAGAAGTCCAAAGTCAAGACACTGGTAGACTTAAGGGCCTGCTTTCTCATTCATAGATGGTGCCTTCTCTCTGTGCTCTGATGTGGTGGAAACGGTGAGGGGGGTCTTTCTTGGGCCTTTTTTGTAAGGGCACTAATCCCTTTCCTGAGAGCTCTGCTCTCATGACCTAATTACTCCCAAAGGTTCTACCTCCCAATACCATCACATTCAGGGTTAGGATTTCAAAATATGAAGTTTAGGGAGACACACACCATCAGACTATAGCATACATTTTATCTGCCAAGAATATTCTTTTCTTGGTTAACACTGACTTATCCTTCCAGGATTCTCTTTATATATCACTGTCTAAGAAAAGCCTTCCTTACCTTCCTCCAATTACACCCTGATGGCTACACATACACACATACATATACATAGTTTCTATCACACTTTCTCATGGCTCCTTCAATATTTTTTCTTCATAGCACCTTAATATGTGTGTGACCATTAGTTTCATGAGGGAAGACACGTTCTTTCCTTTTATGCTACATCCCCAAGATCTAGCAGAGTATCTGGCATGTAGTGGAGGCTTAATACACATTGCTGAATGCTTGACTTTTTGAAGTTGTTTTTATTCTGCTCCTTTGTGTTTTTCTTTGAACTAGAATTTACAATAGATACAGACTGTATGTTCCTTTTCAGCACTGCCTTGTTTTGTTTCTAGCCTTAACCCTACACTTCTGTCAGATCAACCATTTGTCATCTTATAGATGGCTCAACGACTGCTCACTGCAGCTGCTGCTCTGGGATTGGCTCTCCTGTAAGATTCATGGCTAAGGCAAGTTTCTTCAGCTTCAAAGTTTTAGTTCTATTCAATGAGCATTTGTTGTGCCTCTGCAATTGGCTCAACACAATGCTCAGAGCTTAAATATAAAAATGAGGAAGATTAGGTTTTATGTTAGAGGATCTTTGAGTCAAGGGTTAGGGAGAGGTTTCTCTTGGATAGACCAATACAGTGAAATGTGCTAAGAGTCACATTCAGGATGCTATATAGGATTTGGCCTAAACTAGGGAAAGTGGTTTTCTCACTGCTTGTGACTTGCTGACATGCCAGAGTATCTGGTAGTTATATTCAGTGTATTCAGTGATTCTCTCAGAAAAGCAAGGGCTCTACAAGTTGAATTATTAGAATAACACGTTGGATTGTGATACAAGTTCTAAATACCCACATGCAAAATTTGTCTAGGGAAGAAACTTCATTGATCTCATTCTTAGTCTGGATTTCCTTTTAAATGCAGAATTCTAAGCTGTAATCTCTAATCTCTAATGAAAGATCCTGCTTCAGTAGGTTTCTTTTAATAAGTGTTCTAGGTATTTCTGATGCTGTCAGGCCCCCAGACCTTGCCCTTTTTTCACAAACATCAACATTATCATTAATCTGTTCAGGTTATAAAAATTGTATTCCACCAGCCACAACCTTGTCTTTCACCCCCTCTTCACTACGGGAAATTTAATCTATTTTCACAGAAATTATCTTTCTTTTGAAGATATTTTCACTTTAAACAACAGAAATAAATAATTATATTTGATTGAAAGTAGAGCTTCTAAGCAAAGATCTTCACTCTATTGTTCTGGCTGATGATTGGAAATGCAAAGCCAGAACAATACCAGAACTTACTAGGGGCCAGTAAGTTTCATCCTGGTGCCTCTGTCTTGAATGACCACTCCCTTTAAAATCCTTACACACAGTGGGTTGGGTTATTAATGGAAATGCTAGGAAACAGTGATCATTGGTTTTTTAGACATTAATAGCATTTGATCATGGGAATCTGTGCCACTTCCATTGAGCTTATTTGAGAAGCCTTCTGCTATACTATCCCAGTTGGGTTTGACTGTTTGTTTTTAAGGGTTTTATTTATTTGCTTTTTTTTTTTTTAAGTATTTCCCTATATCTATTATACTTACTTAATTCCTTCTTGAAATATAGTCTGTTGGAAGATAGAATCTGAGCTCTTAGAGGGACCTCATTTCTGGAAGGATGGATAGAGATCAAATTGGCAGTACTAGCTAGAAATCATGAGTCATATCTGCCTCCAGACAAATTATAGCTAACGTTTGTGTAGCACTTCACATGTTCCAAATGGATTTTTCAAAGGCTATCTCATTTAATTCTCACATCTTTCCTGTAAGTTAGTTCCTCATAACTCCATTTTATAGATAAGAACACAAGGTTTAGGAGAAGTCAAGTGATTGTTCAAAGATCTCGGAGTAAGTACAAGAAAATGAGGGTCAAGAGGGGGACTTTGACTTTCAAATTCCATTATCTTTATGCATCTTCTGAATGCAGTGCCACTTTTCATAGGCTGTATTAGTCTCCTCCAGGCCAATACATCATCTTTATATCCACACCCACTATGGCTACTCTACCTGGCACACCATGAATTTTAATGCGTACATTTCTTGCTTGGATTGAATTTGTTCTTTGGGCTAGAGTATGTTTATTAGTTATTCTATTTTCCTTATAGAAAAGAGAGTACTTTACCACCATATTTTTACAGTCCAGGAAAAAAAACAACAAAGCAAAACAACAATCACCACAAGAAGAAACTCACATTTCCTCAAAAAAGAATGCAATGACATCTAAGCTTCAGTTACACTTCTAGCTATGCTGTGAGCAGCCGCATCAGGGCCCAAGTCCTCTTGCTGATTGAGAGCATATTTGGAGTTTCCCCCATTGTTCCTGGCAACTCTGCTCCTGTGCAGCAAGCAGGATATTCAATTTGACAAGGTTCTTTCTTTCTGGATCAGAGAGGGAGTAAGGTTCTTGTCAGTTTGAATCATGAGCCCACACTTGGTAGAGCCGAGTGGACAGGCACAGTGGGGGAAGGTGCCATGTGCACACTATCCTGGCCCCGTTATGTGGGCCTCTTTCCCCATCTCCCAAATAACTCAACTGGATTCAAGTTATCCTTCTCTGAGAGGGCCTCTTTCCTACTAGGCCAGTTAATTTGCTTCTGACACTGAATCTCCTTGTTGTCAAGCTTCTAAAATTTTACTTTAAGTCTTCATCTCTTTATGCACATTTTTTTTTCCAGAGCTGCAGCCGAGAATATCCAATCCTGCAATTCTCAAGGTTTTAATGTTTTAAAATACATTTCTGAGGATGAAAATTCCTTTTTAGGAGTCCACATCAAAGGGCTTTTGGAAGCCATCAAAGAAAACTGAAAATCTAGTATATGTTGTCCTAAAAGTAATTTGTGTTTATTTTTTTTCTTAACTGAGCATTAAAAGAATGACAAATAGAATTAATAAAAAATGAAGTTTGGAAATTCTGCTTATGTAATAAAGAAAACAAAAGCATTTTATCATTTCATCTCTTCATCCCTAAGAGTTCACACTTCAGATGTTTTTTTTTTCTTAAGAAGAAAAAAGAACAACTTTTTATTGATTCAGGATCCTAACAGATGTCTGAAAAGTAAATAATCTGGCCCCATTACTTTCATAGGCATTGAGAACAATTTTTAAAATTATTTTTATACAAACATGAAGTTTTATCCATTGCTGTTTTTGTTTATTTTATGATGAAATAGCAGTAAAGATTTTTGGAATATGTATAACTCTTTCTTTAGAATATTTTTACAGCAACAGATTCTTATCACTAGCCTTTTGTGATGTAATTATAGGATTTTATGATGCTGCCTATTCAATCAACTTGCCAAGAATATCAACAAACCGGATAATTAAGAGAAGGAGAAAAAGAAAATGACTAATAATGTTAAATTTAGTCAAAACAGTTATCCTGGGCTTTCAACAATCTTTTTCAATAATGTTTCAGCTGAATTTAAAATTCAAATAATAAATGCAACACTTTGCATAACAAACTGAATTTTTTGTCTAGTTACCTAAATAGCAAACTACACTTCACTATACTTTTACATGTACATCTAGATTTTAGACTGCATTTAGAATTTCTATCATTCTCTGGGGTTGTTGATGATAAGTTGCTTTATTTATTTATTTATTTATTTATTTATTTATTTATTTATTTTTGTTTCCATGTCTTAGTTACATCTGCTGGCTTCCTTTACCAGAAAGTTAATACAGGCAATGAATTATTATTATTCTATTACTGACTTAGCCGCCTTTGGGATGTAGCTCTTTCCCACAGGGTTACCATTATGAATTACTCTAGTATATTAAATCATGATTGTTATCAATGAATGATAACTATTTTTGAGTATTTACCTAAATACAGTGGCACCTAATTAGGCCCTGTAATACTGGACATATTTTTAGTTATAGTTCCTGCCCCAAAATATTTTACAGTCTGTAAAACCAGTAATATAGACCAGCATCTAGGTTAGTGGTTATTCACAAAATTTGGAAAAGAACTCAAATATGTATATGTTTGTATATGCATTTTATCAGTTAAAGTTGAAGCTACTTAGTACTTAGGATAAAGGTGAGTTGAGATCTGAGTCAAAAGAAAAGATTCAGAGTATTCAAGCCTAGATTAAAGTGCAAAGTGGAAAAATTTAGAGGGTGGGAATTTGGGGCCTTCAGGGTAGTAAAGATTGCTTCTCATGTAAACAGATGTGCAGGGAAGTTGTTATTAAATTATTTAGGGTTGAGGCGGTATCTATATCCAGCAGATGGATGAAGCTTTCATATTAATTATGACAAGAATGTATTGCTTAAAGCCTATATGGGTCACTAATGCCAGAGTATGTAGTCTGAGGATTTGATAATCTTTCTGCGGCAGTCTCACCCTTTCAGCTTTTAAAAAAAGAACGAGAAAGGAAACTTATGGCAGATTCCTTTATGTCGCTATCATTTGGCACTACTGGAAATATGTTAGGAGGCAGAGACTACTAGCTTAGCAGGATCTTGAAGAGGCCCCACCTCATTGAATGGTAACAGTATGGCCAGGTGCAGGTGAGGGAGGCAGTGATGGGAAAGTGAGGGAGAGTCACTGAAATCTCATTTCCAATTCAGTTAATAGATTTCCCAAATGCAAATAATGTTGATGTAACACAAAGCAAAGTTTGGCTAAAAGTTTGATTTGACTTTCTTTCTGGTCGGTTTGTTTAGTTAAAAATGTAGCAATGTATTCTCATAAAAAATGTAAAATAAATGTTAAAATAGTTCAGAGATGATCAAATGAGCAGTTTGCAGTGGAGGTAATAAGCCATACCTTAAAATGGAATGTAAAATCACCTGTAGAAGGCTAGACTTTGAACTTACTGAGCATGTAACATGTGTTATAAGTTAGTGGTTTTGTGATTTTTGATTTATGCCACTGTACATAATAGAGCATTGTTTGATTGACCTCACTAAGTGGCTTGGCATTAAACCAGAACTGTCATCTAGAGGGGAGAAAGGCAACTCCAATTTCATCTAAATAAGCTCATATTAAATGAAGGAAAAGCAAATGTGACACAGCTGCTGTAGACTTGTGAAGTTAAAATGCTTACAAATATTTTATGTCTGCAATATAAGACTGCTTACTAATGGGAGAATCTTATTTGTGCCAGATTGCCTTTGATATAAGTTGGTAATAAAAATGCTATAGGGTTAGTATTTATAACCTCTATAGGTTATAATATCATGCTTCCTGTGTTATTACTTTCACAGACACTAAGAAAGAACTATATGATGTTGTCACTTTCCTTAAATAGCATGTACAACATGTGCACACTCAACTAGGATTTTGATCAGTAGTTTGTAGAACTTGTTTCATATCTTGGAAGTAATACTTTACATAAACATATTCTCAATTTCTGAAAAGATTGTGATATGTGCATGGGATCATGCCATTTTCCACTGCTATACAAATGTGATATATGTAAAATTAACAATTGTCATGTTTTAGTCAATACCACACAGTATTAATGTTTTTAGAGGGAGAGAAAGAATACAGATGAGTTAAAGAATATAATACATGGTTAAATTTTGAGATTGTTAAAGTAAGACACTTTGTTTACTATACAACATTAAGGAATTTCCTCCTGGGAAATGAAAATGAAACATTACTGATGCATTTGAAGCAAAAACTTAGCTACTAAAGAGAATGCTGAAATTCCTATCATTTCAATCTGCATTGGTAGTTAGGAAATATAAGAATGATATGAAGAAAAATAATTCCAACAGTATTGCAGATCACAGGCAAAGGGAAGATTATTGTGACATATTGGTTTTGAAATCAACATAGGATTGTAAGTGTGATTCCTTAATGAATATAATGAATATTACTGTAGGAGACATACATGTATAGATGCTTGCAATGTCAATCCAGTCATACCGAAAATTCCTATGAAAGAGTGATATCAACTTTGAATTTGAATTACTCCTTTTTAACTCATCTTAGCCAACTGATTAATCTGTTCACTATGAATTGGGTATATTTCTAAAGGTAAATGCCACAGAGTAAGTTGAAGCTAATGCCAGGTTTGATTGCAAACCCGGGAAGATATTTTTAAGCAGCTGTTGTCATATGGCATTGCTTCAACCACACTACATATGCAGCTATTACTCCTCCATGCGGGGTGGCACATGAGAAAATGTTCTGTAAACTTTCGAGAGAAATAAATGAGATTTTATCCTATCTCATATTTGGGGATAAACCCAATAATTAAATAGAAAGTGATATTATTTTAGGTCAGATAGGCAAATCTTGAGATAGGATGATAGGCAGAATTCCAAGATGGTCTCCAAGAGTCCTGCTTTCTCATGTACACGTCCTGCATAATCTTCTCTTCTTTAGTATGAGTGGTACCTGTGAATATCATAGAATATTACAGCCATTATTTTGTTACGTGGTTTGGAAAGAGTGGAGTAATTGCACAGGTGTAATTAGGGTCTTTAATCAGTTGATTTTGAATTAATCAAAAGATTAATTAAAATCATTTGGCCTTAACTAACCAAATGAACCATTTCAAAGAGGATCTAGAGGAAAGAGACAAGAAGTTGCAGAAGACTCCCTCTTGTTGGCCTTCGAGAAGCAAATTGCCATGGTGTGGAGAGGGCCATCTGGCCAGGAAGGGGTCTCAGTCCTCACAGTGGCAAGAAACTAAATTCTGCCAATAACCAGGAAGAGGACTGCAAGATAACAGGGAGTTGTACCTCTAGCCAACACCTTAATTTAAGCCTTAGGAGACAGGAACCCAGCTAGGCTATATGCTTAGACTCCTGACCCACAGGAAGTGTGGGATAAATAATAGGGAATAAATGTGTGTGTTTTAAGCTTCTAAGTTTAGAGTACAAACTAGTTACACAGTCAATACAGTTAGTCTACCATTTGCTTTATCAAGGCTTAGTTGCTCTTACTCCCAGGAAATGTCTCTTACTGAAAATTGAAGTTCATGGCCTTCAATTTTGTGTTCTAAAGACATAGAGATTAGATGGAAAATCCCCTATATGTAATAACTTAGTAACTTATCCCTCAACTCTCTATACATCAAAAAATCTAGATTCTTTTAACATTCACATGTAAACTTTTAAGCTCTACATTGTTTTAAAATTTCTACTTATATATTTTAAGTTCTTACAATGTTTTCTTCTGAATGCAGTTCAGTTTTCTCACATATACTGTGTTAACTTAAACTGATTCAAAATCCAATAAAGAATTTACCACTGATAATAGAATAGAGACATTAGTACTTGCCTTTCTATAACCTGTCTTTATATGTTATGTGTAGAAGAATACCCCACTAATCTGGCTTTTTTGTCCATTTGTTTATTTGTTACTATTTTAAAATACCAGCTGGAAATTGTTGATTCAAGTTCAATTTGGATGTCCATTCTGACTCATTTCTCCTCTCTGTGTCATTGAAGCTATAATAGATCTTTTGTAATTTTTAACTCTGCAGTTTGTTTTGGAACCAATAGAACTACGTAAGCATAGACAGCTTGTTGTTTTGTTTGGTTTGATTGTGGTAAAATGTAATGCAAAATTTACTCTTCTAGCGATTTCTAAATGTACAGTTCAATAGTGTTAAGTGCATTCATATTGTTGTATAACCAGAACTTTTTCATCTTACAAAACTGAAACTCTATGCTAATTAAACAACTCCACATTTTTCCCTACTCCAAGCCCCTGGCAACCAACACTCTGCTTTAGGTTTCTATGAATTTAACCACTCTAAATATCATGTATAAATGGAATCATACAGTTCTTATCTTTTTTGTGACTGGCTTATTTCATTTGACATATGTCCTGAAGTTTCATCCATGTATTTAGTCAAGGTTCTCCAGAGAAACAGAACAAAAAGTATGTATGTATAGTATATAGAAAGAAATTTAGCTAAAGGCATTTAAGAAATTTAGCTAAAGGCTCATGCAATTATGGAGAATGGTTAAGTCCAAATCTGCAGAGTGGGACAGGTAGGCTAAAGGTAGGGAATAGCCAATGTTGCAGTTCAAATTTGAAGGCTGTCTGCTGGCATAATTTTCTCCCTTTATAAGGCTAAATTATAATCTAGTGTATGCATATAAAACATTTTGTTTATTCATTCATCAGTTGATGACACTTGGGTTGTTTTTACCTATTGTCTATTGTGAATAGTGCTGCTATGAACACGGGTGTGCAAATTTATTGAGATTCTGCTTTCAATTATTTTTGGATACATACTCAGAAGTGAATTTTTTGGATCATATAGTAGTTTTATTTTAAATTAAAACGATCATACTGTTTTCCATAGTGGCTGCATCATTTTACATTGCCACCCAGAGTGCACAAAAATTCCTATTTCTCTACATTCTCAACACTTGTTATGTTCCATTTTGTTTTGGTTTTCAAATACAGCCATCTTAATGAGTGCTAGGTTATATCTTATAATGGTTTGATTTGTATTTCTCTAATGATTGGTGATGTTGAGCATCATTTCACGTGCTTATTGGCCATTTGTTTGTCCTCTGGAGGAATTCAATGTCCCTTGCCAATTTTTAAAATAAATGCATTGGGGGGGGTTTCATTGTTGAGTTGTAGGAGTTGATATATTCTGGATATTAACCTTTTGCTGTGAACTGTGAACTGATTAATTTTGCCTTCCCAAAATTCATATGGTGAAGCCCTAATTCCTAATGTGACAGTATTTGGATGTGGGGCCTGTGGGAGGTCAATAGGTCATGAAGATGGAGCCTTCATGAATGAGATTATTGTCTTTATAAAAAAAAAGAAGAGAGAGATGGTGTCTTTCCCATGTGAGGATATAGCAAACTAGGAAGACCCTTTCCAGAAATGGAATGGGCCAGCACCTCAGTCTTAGATTTCTCAGTCCCCAGAACTGTGAGAAATAAATTTCTGTTGTTTAAACTACCTAGTTCATGGTATTTGTTATGGCAACCCAAGCTGACAAAGATAGCCTTTATCAGATATGTGATTTGTAAATATTTTCTCCCATTCTGCAGGTTGACTTTTCACTCTGTTGATTGTTTCTTTCGATGTTTTTAAGTTTCATGTAGTCCCATTTGTCCGTTTGCTTTTGTTGCTTGGGCTTTTGGTGCCATATCCAAGTAATCTTTGGCAAATCTGATGTTACAAACTCTTTTCCTCATGTTTTCTTCTAAGAGTTTTATAGTTTTGGGTCTTACATTTAGGTCTGATCCACTTTAAGTTTGTTTTTGTATATGGTGTAAGGTAGGAGGCCAACTTTATTCTTTCACAGGTGGATATCCAGTTTTCCTAGTAGCATTTGTTGAAGAGACTGTTCTTTTTCCCATTGAATGGGTTTAGCACCCTTGTTGAAAATAATTTGACTATATATGTAAGTTTATTTTGAAACTCTCTCTCTATTTGGTTTCATTAGTCTCTATGTCTGTTGTTATGCTGATACCACAATGGTTTGATTAGCGTAGGTTTGTAATAAGTTTTGAAATTGAGAAGTGTGAGTTCTCTAACCTGTTCTTCTTTGTCAAGATTATTTTGCCTATTCAGGGTCCCTTGAGATTTCATATGAATTTTAGGATGCATTTTTCTATTTCTGCAACAAAACATCATTGTGATTTTGTTAGTTAGTGCATTAAATCTGTAAATCACTTTGAATAATATTGATATCATAATATTAAGTCTTCTAATCTACAAACACAGATGTATTTTTATTTATTTGTATCCTCTTTAATTTCTTTCAGCAATGTTTTGTGGTTTTCTGTGTGCAAGTCTTTTGCCTTTTTGGTTAAGTTTATCCCTAGGTATTATATTCTCTTTGGTGCTATTATAAACTAAATGCTTTTCTTAATTGCTTTTTGAATTGTCCATTGTCAGTATATAGAAACACAACTGATTTTCACTTGTTAATGTTGTATCCTGCAACTTTGCTGAATCCATTTATTAGTTCAGTTTTTAGTGAGTAATTATTATAGGGTTTTCTACAGGTAAGATCATTTTCTTTCCTGTGGAACCACAGCTTCTATAGTCAGGGGTCCATCATCAGATGCTATATTTACTGCCAGGCATATACTTCCTCTTATCTGGGTGAAAGAAATGAACTTGAAGTACCATACCTGCTGATACCTGTTGATCCATATCCCATCTATGTATACAAATGAGAGAAAGAAAAAATAGCACCAAGATATAAATAGGGAAAAACTAATCTGAATGGAAGAGAGTTTGTATGGGAAACAAGAAAATATTACAATAGGTATAATTAGTATCCTCATGGATATTTTAAATACTATTACGTCCATTAAAACAATTCAACAGCTAAAATAGGCAGTACTGAAAAAAATCCCTGGAAGTTAAACTTAATCTCTATGTGTCACTTCATTATTTCATTTATAAGCTGATTCTCCTAACCCAGTAGTTCTCACAGTGTGGTCCCCAGATCTGCAGCATTAGTGTCACCTGAGAACTTGCTAGAAGTGCAAATTCTTGAGGCCCAACACAGACTTACAGAATTAGAAACTTCGAGTATGGTGTCCAGTAGTCTGTTTTATTGAGCTCTGCAGTTGAGTCTGATGCATGCTAAAGTTTGAGAACTACTGCTTGACTGCACACTGGAATCACCTAAGGAACTAAAAAACATACTGGTGCCTGGCAATTCTGATTTACTGGACTTGGGGCACAACTTGGGCACTGAGAGTTTAAAAAGTGCGCATGCCATTCTAATGTGCAATTAAATATGAGAACCAATAATCTATATCTACAAGGCATTTTGATCCTTCTCCAGATACAAAGCAGTGGTTTTCAAACTTGTCTGTTCATTGGACTCACTTGGGGAGCTTCGCAAACACTGATATATGTAATATCCCCAACGATTTCAATTTAATTGGTCTGGGGTATGGCCTGATCTTTAAAAAGCAAAAACATAATTTTGATGTGTAGACAAGTTTAGGAAACACTTGGTTAAAGACTAAATTTGTAGTTCTAAAGGTAAATTCCTAGTTCTAAGAAGTAAATTCCTAGACCTAAAACAGACACAAAATTTATAAGCGTCATAAAGACTAACTAGATGTATGAGTATAACTAAAGTAAGATTTAGCTGCCTCCCAACATCTCTACACAAAATGGAGATTTTAAAACATGGTCCATAGCCCAAGGTAAGATAAAGTGAGCACTGTTTTTCAAGCTTGGCAGCACATTAGAACTCTACAGGAGCTTTTAGAAATTTCTCATGCCCAGGCCTTTCCCTAGACCAATTAAATCAGAACCTCTGGGTGTAACTGAGGTGTATTAGAATTGTTTAAATTAAATCAGAACATTGCAAAGCAATCAAGAGTTTAGTATGATGTAAATCTCCCCAGAAAGTTTCAAAGGGCATCTGAGGTTGAGAACCATGGGTTAGAGTGTATCATTACTTCAGGTGAGAAAGAGACTTACTAATTTCAGCTTTCTTATAGGTCATGAACAAGCTAGACACGCCTTGTGTGCTCAGGGGAGGAGTAACATCACCAGTACAGGTAATGACATTGGCACCAACTAATATCACAGACTACTTTGCAGAGGAACATGAGACCTTTTCTAATATGTAGCTATCCAGTACATTTTTGGCCCTTATTGTGAGTGACTTGGCATTTGGTCACTGGATGTCCCCTGCACAAGTTATTAACAGTTTTTTTAATATTATGTCATTACTAACAGTAAAACATTTGAGCTTAATTCAGACTGCTGCAGTTAAACTAAGTGGCAATAGTTAAGTTAGTGCAGTGATTTTCAACCAGTGATGATTTTGTTCACGATGGAATATTTTGTCTATGTCTGGAGACATTTAGATTGTCACGACTGCAGATGACTGGAGTGAGGGAGGTCTCCTACTTATCTAGCGGGTAAAAAGTTTAAGGATGATTCTAAACATCCTATAATGCACAGGGAAGCTCACCACCCCAACAAAGAATTATTGCATCTAAAATGTCAATAATGCTGAGGGTGAGAAGACCTGCTTTTGTGTAAAGGTGGCAGGCTTCAATAATTTTAGAAGATAAAGTAGATAAAAGGTAGAAAGTCCATTACTAAGAAGAATTTTGCTGGGGAAGAGTCCAGAGAATCTCCAGAACCTCTTGATAAAATCAAATACTTTAAAGACCATAACTTCATCTTAAGAATAGAAAAAAACCCAGCCAGGTAGTGATTTTGAATTGACAAATAACTTATCACAGCATTTAATTAAATTTTGCTCCTGTGCTTATCAAAGGAAATTTGAATTTGCAATGTGAAACTGGCAATATAACCACTTATTTGCAAATGTATTTAGACCAACCAAAAAATCACCTAGAGGATTGGTTACTGCCATACTTTTGCTCCCTCATCCCTGTGTTCCTTTCTCTGTCTTCTGTCCAGGCTAGCTCAGCTTTATTTATTTGAGTGACAGTTGAAGAATTAAATTTTCTAGTAAGCCTTGCTTGGCCTAAGACCACCATGCTAAGAACAGATGTCCATAATACTCTGTGTAGATTTCTATCATAATATTCACATAAATAAATGATTATTTTAAAATGTGCATCTGACTCCTCCAATAAGCTGTATTTCTTGAAGGTAGAGAGTTTGCTCTGTAGCTCCAGGACCCAAAAAACCCTATCAGATTTTTGTTAAATGAACAAATGAATGATGGTACATTGCATGTATAAATAAATGATGGCACATTAGTTGTTCCTTATTAGGAAAGCAATTATTTTGGATTAACTCTTAGGTAAGAAACATAGAGCTATCATATCAACACAGTTTTGAAGTCCATTCAACCACAAAAGTTCACATTTGTACTAACAATCATGTATCAGTATTACTTCTTGCCCCTCCTAGTCATTTTCAACCCTCAACTTTAGAGCTTAAGGTCATTCACCACAAACAGTAATGTATTTCTTCTTCCTCACATAAAATACTGTGTAAATCTAACTAAAAGCAAAAAGCTGTAGTTTGATGTGTTTTCAAGCTCACTATTTAAAATAATTTTTCATTAAAATTACATTTTGATTCTCTAAAAATATGTTGCAGAGAAAAAAGACAGCTTGAATCTTTGACTTTCTAACAATGTGCTTTGCAACTTCTTCTAGCTATATCTACCAAACTCCAAGTTATAGGCACTTGTAAGATTTTAAAAAATCATTTGTGCCTATTCATTTTGATTAAAGAAATTGGAAGAAAAAAGAAAGTGAGCCCTTCCAGAAAGAGTTGCAGAAAGTGTCACTACCATTTCTCTACCACCAAATTTAGCCATCAATTTAATTGCAGAGATTTAATTGTTCTCATGAGATTTTCACAGTGACTGCTTCATTGACCATCTTGTTCTACAAGGAAAATATAGATATAGATTTTAAACTTCCATATGTTATTTTTGGGGAAAGATCAGCATTGAGAGAGAAAGCAAATACTTTAGTTCAAAATATGAATTCATGAGAGTTTTAGAGAATCGTCACTGAAAATCTAAGAATACTTTCCATTTTCCCAGTATCTGACAGCTAAAGATTGCAATGCACCATTTAAGGCATATCAGAATCAGCAACTAGCCAACAAACCTCTAATAAAACCTTCTTTCTCTTCACTTATATTTAACAAAAATAGAAAGACCATTGAAATGCAGACTAAAGGAAAAACAACACTATAAACTAAGTCTGACTCACTAAGAACTTTTTATGTCTTCTCTGGTGCTGGATCTCAAATTTATGTAATTTTGCTGCATTTCTGTGAATTCTCTTCCTGTTGTGCCAAGATAATTTTATACCGAGGAGACGGAAGGGAGTTTTGTATTTTGGAGCAGAGAGACTGGAGTCCTATGTATATACTTTAACATTGCTACTAATTTGTACTGTACAATTAACATCTACATAACATTCTATTCTCTGCTCCCCAAAAATCATCACCAGATACTGGTTAATTCCAAGTAAAAGTCCTTAAATCTTATTTTATCTCATTATGCCCACCGTAGCTATATTTATGTGTGTGTATAAATATACATACTCAAGTGTATTGTTCTGAGGCAAAGTTTAGTGGTTCTAGAAACCACTAATTGTGTAATGTGATAGATATCATAGTACGAAAAATATAAGATGCATTTTTCAAAGTTATATATATATTTACACACACACATACACATCTGGGAATGTGCTTACTGGATATGGAAAAGTGGAAAGAATGAAGGCTTAGTTGGGAGTAACATTTGTCCAGGACACACAGGCATGAGGAAATACAAAAGTACACATATTAACCCCCTCCCCATAATGTAGGTGGATCAAACCTATAAACTAGGATGTTGAAGTAGAGTATGTAGATAATTTCTTATTTCTACAAAATTTTAGGATTCCATGTGTACTTTGAAAGTACACACATATTCACCAAATTTTTCACTTGATGGTGAAAGCTGGAATCTATGTCACTTTGGTCCTCCCAAAGGGTGTTCAGATTGGATTAAACATAGAATCAGCATCCTAGTCTTTTTCTTTTATCTCACCACTTGACAGTCTTTCTTCAAGTTCTCTATGAATTATCTGTTGAACCATTAGAGAGTCTGTTCAGAGGTTTAATAAGGGAAGAAAATTGTAGAGGCTATTTTACAAAGGAAGGATATTAAAAGCCAGTGATACCATAGAATATTACCCAACCATAAAATAGAACAAAATCATATTCTTTGCAGCAACATGGATGGAGTTGCAGAACATTATCTTAAGCAAATTAACATTGATTGGAACAGAAAACCAAATACTGCATGTTCTCACTTATAAGTGGGAGCTAAACGTTGATTACACATGGGTACAAAGAAGGGAACAGTAGACTCTGGGGCCTAGTTGAGGGTGAAGGGTGGGAGGAGGGTGAGGATTTAAAAACTGTCTACTGGGTAGGCTTATTACTTGGGTGAGAAAAATATCTGTACATTAAACCTCCACCACGCGAAATTTACCCATATAACAAACCAGCATATATACCCCCTTGAACCTAAAATAAAATTTGGAAAGAAAAAATACGCAATTGATTTTTCTATTTTTTAGAAAAGCTAGTGATGAAAGTTGCTTTATCTCTTTCCAAGAGCAGTACCAACAAATAACAATGTATTCTTCCAATTTACTAATTAGTAGCAAGCTTATATTAAAACATTTAATTACTTAAAATTATTTCATAGATACATATGCTTCATGAATGGAATAACTTGTCTAATCATTTTGATATTCATTCTAGCACTTAATGCTGTCCTGCATACAAAGTAGAAGTCAAGAAATATTGTTAGTCCATGGAAAAATGTTACCCCATGAAAGGTTTTCTGGAAAACAAAGTAGCAGCTGCTAGATGTATTACTTTTAAATTGTAATTCTGGATTTTACCATATAAATGATATAATCCGTGGTTCTTGGTTGCAGACAATAGAATCTACCATAATCAGTTTAAGTAGTAGGGAATTATTGAGAAATGTTAGAAATGTAGCAGAACTTTTGGAAAGCCTGAGGGAATAGATTCTAGGTTGAGGTTACAATAATAATTTCATTCATGACACTGCAGATATGCCACTGCCCACACCACAACCACAGTACTTTTACTGGAGTACTGTGGCTTGTTCAGGCTTTTTCTTTGCCAAGTACAGAATCATGCTTGGTTCCATGACAAGAAAACTGCCACAACAGCTGACAGTATCAGATGCATGCCCTCTCTGCCACTCCACGCCTGGTGCCCTGGCTCACTCTTTATGTCTTGCTTCTAAGTTAAAGTCCCATACAAATCCACCTGATGAGTGGAAATTGCACTCATCACAAAGGAGAAATGTGTAGATCTTTTGAAATTCTGCCTTTGAAAGGTCCACAATATAGGAATAAGGTTAAAAAGATTTGAGGCAGCCACAAATTACAGACACCTATTCTAAAACATTATTAAGCAAAACAAAACAAAGCAAATAAATAAATAAAAACCCACCAAAACCCTTAATACTGTGGTGTAGTAAGTTTAGGATGGTTTTACTGTTATTGTGGATATAATTTGAAGTCTGAAGATCAGAATAAGAAAAATCAGAAAGTTAAGTGTCTAGCGAGCATTAAAATAATACAACAAAAAAAGAACTTGTTGGTTACCTGGTGCTGAATTAATCCTTTTTTTTTTTCTTCTTTTTAAGATGGAGTTTCTTTCTTATGGCCCAGGTTGGAGTGCAATGGCGCGATCTTGGCTCACTGCAACCTCCGCCTCCCAGGTTCAAGCGACGCTCCTGCCTCAGCCCCTTGAGTAGCTGGGGTTACGGGAGCCCGCCACCACACCCAGCTAAATTTTTGTATTTTTAGTAGAGATGGGGTTTCGCCATGTTGGCCAGGCTGGTCTTGAACTCCTGACCTCAGGTGATCTACCCTCCTCGGCCTCCCAAAGTGCTAGGATTACAGGCGTGAGCCACTGCTCCCGGTCTGAATTAATCTAACTTAACAAATATTTTATACTTTCTTGATATGGCCTCTAATTCCACTCCAATATTAGAAGCCCAACTTAATCAGTTCAGGGGCATTAAAAAATCCTATCTGTAAGTTGCTAAGCAGTGGTTTAGACCACAAGGTCTGGAGCAAGCCAACAGAAATCCAAAGGTTTCAGCTCACATAGCTTTTAGGCAACGGAAATTTCCGATTTATTTTGACAAAATTCTCTACAGAGAGTACACGTTGGCATGGTTAAATGAGAATGGCTTCCTCATAGAACAGTCTTACTTTTCTCTAGAAAATGACTAACTGGATATTGTCTCCAAAACTAAGCAGCTTCTTCCATTATTCATGTTGGATATAGATGAATACAGAGTAATATAAAAAATAATAATAATACAAATAAAAATATGTATAAATAAACACTGCAAAGAATAATATAAAAATACAGAGAGGTTTTGTCTAAAGTAAAATTTATTTTTACGCTTCATAAATAACATATATCATTCACATTTGTGCTTCCCAGAGAATGAAAACATTGTAATGGAATATCTGAGGACCTAATTCAATTTTACCAGCTTACTTTCCTTTGGACCAAGGTAAACATTTTATACAGATAACAACATGTGCTCAAAGTTCAAGCAAGCACATAATTGT
Organism: Homo sapiens; assembly: GCF_000001405.40. Taxonomy (NCBI): domain Eukaryota; kingdom Metazoa; phylum Chordata; class Mammalia; order Primates; family Hominidae; genus Homo; species Homo sapiens. Next base: position 147,809,432 of record NC_000003.12, read on the forward strand.
TTAATGAAAACAATTAGTAGCATTAGAAAACACTTATCTTGATTTTTTTTCCATGCCTGTTAGTAGATGTATAGGAGAAGCTTTCACATAGACATTTATGGCTACTGCACTATTCCTTTCACAATTTATGTCTCTCAAAATATTTCCTACAGCTTATCTCATCTTTATTCTAAGCAAAATCTCTAGATTGGACCTGTTTCCCCAATGTCCATTCTAATCTCTTCTCTTTTCTTATTCCTTATGGCTATAGCCACTTTTTGTCTTTTGTTTTCTTTTGTTGCTTCTACCTCATCTTTCCCTGTTGTGCTTTCTCTTTCTTGCTGTTGCTCAATTTGTGTTTCTTTTGAAATAATTTTTATAAATTTTTTTGTAGATAGTACTCTCCCATGTAAATTCGGATAAGCTATTTGTCCAATAGACTTTTAGTACGGTCAGTCTGTTCAATGGTAATTGTCGCCAAAAGGGTGGTATCCAGAAAATGCTGGAGTGATGGACCTTGCATGACTGAAATGGACACATATTCTTATCTCATGGGCTGAAAAATTTGACTTGAAGGGTTAAGAGAGTAGGTTTTCAATTCTAAATTTTAGATTAGCATCTAATAATACTGAAAAAAAAAAGGAAGAAAACGATTTATGTTTAAGAAAGTTTTCAAAGCAAAGATATGATAAAGACTAAATAAAAATATGTTCAATCTCACACAAAGGCTTTTTTAGGAAAGAGTAGGGCTGAAGGATGGGAGTATGGCTAAAACAGTATGTAGGAGGTGGTAGCATGACATAAATACTGTGAAGATTGGTTTTAGCTAGAAAAAGAATGTTCATGCTCTTTAAGGATAATTACATTTTTTACCCATTTATATTTCCTTATTCTGGTAAATAAGGAAATACAAATGGGTAATTATCCTTAGAGAGAATGAACTCTGAAAACAAAATGATTTTCATTGATTGATTTTTGATATAGGATAGTTTCTGTTTAGCTTATCTGGCAAACAATGTAATATTGCTATTAGCTCCAGAGGGTTTCCTCAAAAGTTTCATTTGCAAGACAGAGGGGAGAGAGAGAGAGAGACAGAGACAGAGCACTTCATCATGAATTCTGCTGGATGTTGCAGATTTGTAGGGAAGAAAAAAGTAATATCTTTTCCTCATCCATCACAATGTTCATAGCTGAGACTCCTGTAAGAAAAGACAGATTAACAAGAGAAAATAATACACATTTATTCAATATAAATTTTATGTGACACAGGAGCTTTCAGAAATGAAGATCTAAAGAAACAGGGAGATCTGTGTATTTTTATGGACTGTCATGCAGAAGTGTGTTTGGAGGACAAAGGGTATGATCTAATGCTAATAAACTGATGGGGATGGGGAGATACTTAGCAAGGCCCCTTGGTTCAGTTTTTTCTTAGTATCCCTGTGTGACATTCCTTCCCTCCAGGAATAGGACAGGACAATTGTCACATAAGGGTCTTCAGGGGAAAGGGGTGGGAGAAGGTTAGAGAGTGACCTTCTTGGATTTTCTGGCCTCCTTCAGGAACGAAGGGGCAAGGAGAATTTTAATCTCTATATCCTACTTCAGGGGGAAAAGGGGTGAGAGAAGGTCGGGGAGACCTTGCTGCTTCTGTTTTCATGCCTAGGGGTGCCATTTTCTGCACCCCATCAGGTTGCAAAGACAAATACAGCATAGCTGTCTTTGGGCTTTTATTCTAGCAAAAAATCAACCCTCTGAGAGGGACTAACTTTATCCGTCTCAAGCATCAAGGAATTCTTCATGGAAGAATTACTGCCTGAACATGTTTTAAAGAAATGTTTCTTAATTCTTGTTGAATATTAGAAACAAATCGCCTGTGAAGTGTTTAAATTACACCAGTGTCTGAACATCTTATGAGCCTGCCCATCATCCTCTCCAAGATCCTATATTATTCTAATGGAATTATTCTAATTCCTACGTTATTCTACTGTAATGTAGGCTGGGTTGAGAACCACCAGTATAGTGTCCATTATTTGGACCAGAAATAGCTTGGTTCTCAGAATCTCAGAGCTTGGCATACTTTTGAACAAGTACCTCAAATGATGCTTGTATACCTGGAAGTTTGAAAACTTTAAATGATAGACAAACCTTTACTAGGTGGATTGAAGAAGGTAGAAGAAGGCATCCAAGGTAGGGGCAATAGCTTGTGCAAACCCACAGAGGTGTCAAACTGGATGGTGGATAATGAAGCTAAAGATTAAAAGAAGGGTCACTACTATGGAGAAGGTATTATGCCAACAAATGAACCTGACCCTTGCCAGGCAGATGAGTAGAGCCACTGACAGATTTAAAGGCCAGAGTAATATGCTCAGAGACAAATTTAGAAGGATCATTCTGGTGACAGTGTGTAGGAAGGACTGTAGAAAGGAAGACCAATATGGAGACTATTGAAAAATTCAGGTGGTAAATGAAACTATGATAAAAAAAAAAGTTCCATATACATTAAAGATGAAAGATGATAGAGTGTGGAGATTTATTGAGGAATATAATAATCTATGAGAACTTCCATGTTTGTTTGCCTGTTTGTTGCTTGGATGTCAACACCCGAGTTTTCTACTTTACATGTAACTAAAGAGAATAACACAAACTCAATCTATTTCCTCTATGAATGTTAAATAAATATATACGAATGCAAAATAATTCATTATATTGACATTGATAGGTAGAAAAATGGAGACACTATCAGTCACTTAATGAACTTTTAGGTGCTGGCAAGAAATCTAAGTCAATTGTTGGTTAATTGTAGGGTTAAGAGTCGCATGCAATCGACTAAATTGAAATTGAGCTTTGGGAATAGAGTTTTGAAAATTCAGATGCAGTGTGACAAGGCTGAAAGGTAAAATCAGTTATTTTCTGACCATTCTAGGTTTTATTAAACTGACCTAGAACTGCTTGGAAACAGCTGTGATTACGAACTGGATATCTCATGGCTTTTCTTATTATGTCAGATTTTCTCTACAGCTAGAACTGGAGGCAATTTCATTTCTGAGTGTTTTTTTTTGGTTGAATCATATTTCATAATTTAATAACAATATGTGAGAAATAACTAGTAAAATTGTTTTAAGGAATGCTGTGAATATAAAATATGTACAGACACATAATAATATACTTAATGAACTATAAAAATAAAAGGGTAGATTAATATCCTGTGAAACTCTAGTAAGTTAATTATGATACAAAGAGAGACAAAGGCATATGTATTTCACTTAGCTCTGTGTGGGAAGGAAATTTCTCATATCCTGGTTCATAGGTGATCACTGGCTGTGCTGAATCACAGGAAAAGAACGGCTGATGTTCATTAGGGACAGAGGGGGGAAATTAAAAATGAAGCAATTATGGCAAATGCATGTGTTGTTTTCATTCATTTATTTAAATATTTTAATGACTCCCAAGTGATATATATAGTATGAAATAAAATCATCTAAAATTGAGTAAAGTCATTTTTTGGAGAATTATATTTACATAAAATGATAGTCACTAGAAATTGGAAAATTTTCATGGATTGCCAAATAAAGTATGTAAGTCAATACATAATAGGAAGAGGATTAGTTCATTTGTTACTTTTTTATTTAAATAAAACTAGTTTAATGAAAATAGCCACATCATTTCTAAACATAAGAAAAATTCATACTCATTTCAAACTTTTCAGAAAATTATGAAGAAGAAAAGAATGGTCCTTTTTTTTTTTCTGTCTCTACCCAGAAATAATTACTAGTACTGTTTTAGCTATGCACCTGTAAAAAACAGTCTGGGAGGTTATCTGACTTTAGTTATTTGTATAGCCTGCTTTTTCTGTTACTAATGTGGTGTATAGACTTTTTAATGTTAACCATTTTTATTTTATTTTTTATTTTTCCCTCTATTTCCCAGTTCCACCAAGCACCTCAGCCTTTCCTAGTTAAGGATCCCAGAATATCCCATCACTCTCACATTCTCCTTTCCTTACTAAGGATCTTTCTCCCCACAGGCTTAATTCCCCCAGACACACACCCACACACACACACACACACACGCACACACAATGCAGGATCCCACAACGGCCACCTGCTTTCCATTTTTCTAAATTTGCCACTAACAAGATCTGTAACGTTAACCATTTTGTAAACCCCTTAATATTCCATTTTAAATGGTTGTAAGCCCCCTACTATTGGATATTGAGTTCTTACCATTTAAAAAAAACGTAAACAAAACTGCAATAACCACCACTGTGTATATACTGTCACAAACATCTAATTACTTACATAGGATAACTAATTTAGTAACATCTGATTATATTACTAAATTGACATTTAGAAAGGTGTCAGTATATAATTTACACCAATATTGATATGGAAAATGTTAAAGTCCTAACCAATTTCATAGCTGAAAAATATCTACTTAAATAGCTCTTAACAGGACTTTTTAGTATTTAAATACTTTTTATATGTGATCCTGCCCATCACTAGTTTCCATGGCTTTATTGTGCATTATAAATTTTTATGTAAATCAACGTGTCAATGTTTTCTACAGAAAGTTGTTCCCACCTTAAAATTATAAAAATTATTTCCCAAACTTTCTTTCGTTATATGATTCTTTGCAATTAAATCATCAACTCATTTGAGACTTTTGGTTTATGGTATGAGAAAAAAATACAATATTTGTAAACTGGAATAAAATGGTCCCAATGTCATTTATTCTTTAATTCATACTCTCTTCACTACTAAAGAAATTCAGTTTTATTACATATTAAATACTCATACATGCTTGAATCTGTTTCCGTAGCCGTTAGTATATTCCATTTTTTTCTTATTCCTGAATCAATAGCAGTTTAATTAATTATATTCTTATGTTTCTTATACTTGATAGACCAATCCTTTTCATTTTCTTTTATTTTAAATTATTTTCTGGTTATACTCACGTACTTAGTGTTCCAATGAATTTAAAATAATCTTATACTTTTTTTCTCCAGTTTAATTATGGAATTAATTAGTATTCATTATACTTATAGGTCAACTTGTAGAAAATTTGTATCTGTAAAATACATAGTGATACCATCCAAGAACATGGCCTGTGACTCTGCACATTAAGGTTCTAACTCTTAAATTAAATTTTTGAAGTTTAAGAAATCTGTACACCTGTACAACTTTTAAAACTTTACAACTGTAAAACTACATACAATAGTATGTTGTAAAGAACATCATTACTGCCTGCTTTTATTAGGTTTATTCCAAAGTGGGTTTTTTCCCATTTTTTTTTATTTTGTTGATATTGCTATTGTGGATAAATTTATTCTTCTAATATAATTAGAAAGTAATTTTTCAAATTAATTTGAAATTCACTATCCTACTGAATTCTTGGTGTTTCTGAAGACTTAATTTTTTTAGATTTATCTTGTATCAGATAACTTGTGAATTATACCACATTCACTCTATTCTTTCAATATTTATAAGTTCTATTACACAATTTGTTTTCTGAAGCAAAATTAAAACTAGTAGTGTTAGTATGTAAGCTCATTTGATCCTTGACTTTAATGGGATTGTCTGCTGTAATCTGCTACTGGGCATAAAGTTTGCTATACATACACATACATACACACCCAATGATGAATTTTATAATAAATTTTTTTCTGTAATTAATTGATGTGAAATTTTTTCAAGCCATTAATATGATGAACACCATAGATAACATATTCTCGTGTCTCCAATAGATAATTATAAAATTCCTGTGCATTCTCCACAACAATTTTGATCCTTTTTTGTCTAACTCAGTGATCTCCAAATTGGGATCATACACTCAGGTAAGTGAGAAAAAATATATTACAACTGTAAATTCAATTATCTATGTCTTTTTAAAACAACTGCCTGGATTTTTGTAGAGCATTACATCTATTTTCATATTAAATCATTTAAAATTTTATTTTAAATTGACTGATATATTAGTCTGTTTTCACACTGCTATAAACATACTACCTGAGACTGGATAATTTATTTTTAAAAAGGAGGTTTAATTGACTCAAAATGTGGCATGGCTGGGGATGGGGAAGGAAGACATGTCTTACATGGTGGCAGGAGAGAGAGAACATAGGAAAACTTGCCACTCTTGAAACCATCAGTTCTCATGAGAACTCCCTCACTATCATGAGAACAGCACTGGGGAAACCACCCCCATGATACAATTACCTTCTACCAGGTCCCTCCCTGGACATGTGAAGATTACAATTTGAGATGAGATTTGGTGGGTGGGGCGGTGGGGGCGGGGAGGACAGGACACATAGCCAAACATATCAAGTAATAATTATAAATATTTAGGTGGTACAATGTGATGCTTTGATATATGTTTACATTGTGAAATGCTTTTTAACTAAATAAGCAAATATTAGGTTTGCACACTCAATATTTTCATCTTGCGCTGGTCCCAGATAAGCAAGAAGAGATGCTGAACTTTCACTGTTTTCCTGAACAATGGAGAAATTATCTCCCTTCGTGAAATGTTACTTTCTGAGGTCAGTCTTCTCAACCTATAGTCGATTTTTACAATTATAATTTTTTTCTTTCAATCACATTGATTACATTGATGCTGTGACATTTGCTACATGAATATCTGTTTATAAAACTGAATTTCATACGACCTATAAAGAATAAAAATGCCCATATTTCAACTTAATGTTTTGACAGTACATATTTTCTGATATTAATACTGTGTATATTACTTTTATTTTTTAAATTTGCCTGTTTGGGGTTTTTTTTGTTTGTTTTTTGAGACAGAGTCTTGCTCGGTCACCCAGGCTGGAGTGCAGTGGCCACCTTGGCCGCTGCAGCCTCTGCCTCCAGATTTCAAGTGATTCTCCTGCCTCAGCCTCCTGAGTAACTGGGACTGCAGGCACACACCCCCACGCCCAGCTAATTTTTGTATTTTTAGTAGACATGGAGTTTCTCCATGTCGGCCAGGCTGGTCTCAAACTCCTGATCTCAGGTGATCCGCCCGCCTAGGCCTCCCAAAATACTGAGATCACAGGTGTGAGCCACCACACCCGGCTGCCTGTTGTATTTTTACCTGCTCATTTTTGAGGTACTTTAAGTTCTGCATTATGCTTAACAAAAAAATACTAAACATAATCCCAATGTTAGTGAATATACTGTCACAACTATTTTAAATATTATTTGAGAAGAGATACCCAATAATAGAATCAATAAATCTGAACAGGGTAAGGCACAAGTATTATTTACAGATTTTATGATTCATAAAGTCCATCTTCTCAAATTTGCTTAAGGCCCCAGAGGCACTTTTTTCTAAATGTGCCTTTTGTATTTTGGAGTAAGCATTCCAAATATCCTCTTCATTTTTCTTTTATATGTAACGTTGCTTTCTCCCCTTGGGTGATATTTTTCATTGACTCCATGGGCGTTTTATTTCCTGCTTCTTCCTCATAGCTGTAATGGAGCTGGGCATTTGGCCAGGATTTGGATGGGTGGACCCTCACTGAACTCTCTCCTAGCTAACCCGGTTCACCCTTAGACTTTCAGCTGGAAAACTGGCTGCAGTTTATTATTTGTGTTTAGTCATTTAGCTGTCACACGTGCTGAAGGAACATGTGCTGGGAGGTGGGGCCGCTTGAGTTAGAACAGCAGCAGGTCATGTTTTCTCTGATCACCCTCCTCTGTCTTTGACTGTGCGATTCCATCTGCACCTATGCCAGGTTAGGATTCTTCCTGATCTCTGTAGTTTGACAAGAACACCTCGGTCTAACTAGAAGCAGTGGGTGCAAAACTTGTGGCTCAAATCCTTTTCTTTATTGTTTCATTTACTTGCATATTAATGATTTTTTTGTTTTCCAAAGAAAATCCTTTGGGCAAATAGAAGTTGCCTAGTTTATCAATCGTTATAAAACCTTCTGTTTTAGCAGGATGTATCTCAATTATTTAATTTTAGCTAGGGGAATTAATTTGAATTAAATTAAATTAATTCCCCTCAAAAAAATTGTTTGAGGGAAGGATCTTAGCCTGAAATGACCATAGTCAATACTAAAAAGGTCTCATACACAGTTTCAGCACTTGTTTCCTGGAAAGTATGAGATATGTGGGCTGTCATTATAAATAAATCTTTTAATACTTGTAAGTTAACCTCAGAAAGCAATACAGAAGAAAAGAAGAAAGCAACTGAGTAAATAGTTACCTTTACAAATTATAAATATAAACCTACATATAAAAAGAATGAGAAAATAGTGACTACCCTAACGGTACTTGAATGGGTTCTATTAACAAGGCAAATTTTCCACTGGTAATACCTTAAATAGATTTAAAATATTCTGTCTCATTTAAAAAAATATGGAAGTAGAGATGATATTATTTGAAAAGTGGGTGACTTAAAACTATTAATAGCTCAATGATGAAGACATTGTTGATGATGCGAAAAGCTTGAAAACAATTGTTTAAGTTAAGATTTTAAAATATTTTTAAGTTACCATCTACTCATCATTTCTGCATGTATTCATGGAACTAACTCTACAGGGAAATTAACTTTAAAGTAGATATTTGACATTTTACTCATATATCTAAAAATTGCTAAAGTCAAGTTGGCTAGGAATTTTTGAATCTTCTGTTTTGGGTAGGAAAATATGAATGGCTTTGCTGAGATCTCCCTTAAAGACTTTACTTTGTTATTTCTTGAAACAGAGTAAGCAGCCCAGCTTCTAATATTGGTGGAACCCAATGGAAGAGAACAAAGGGAGTCCCACTGCCACATATAGTGATTATCTAAATTTATTTTTAAAATCTGACAATTAAATAAAATATATTACTCTCATTTTACATTGAAATATACCTTCACCCATTGTGGTGGCTCATGCCTGTAATCCCAGCACTTTGGGAGGCTGAGACGGGAAGATCACATGAGCTCAGGAGTTCAAGACTAGTCTGGGCAACATGATGAAACCCAGTCTCCACCAAAAATACAAAAAAATTAGCCAGGTATGATGGCACACCCCTGTGGTCCCAGCTACTCAGGAGGCTGAAGTGGGAGGACTGCTTGAGCCCAGGAGGTGGAGGCTGCAGTCAGCTGAGATTGAGCTACTGCACTCCATCCTAAGAGACAGAGTGAGATCCTGTCTCAAGAAAAAAAAAAAAAAAAACCCGCCAAAAATATACCTTCATAAAAACAAAAATTTAAAAAAATACTGCAAAGCAATTGTTTTCATGTGCCTGGAAAGTCAGCAAATACTAACAAATTATGATACTTTAATACTGTACATATTTGAGTGATCTGGTAGTAGGTCAGGAATGTTTAAATGAGTAATAAAATAAAGGCCAGCAGTGTTAATAAATTCTTATTGCTCTTATTTCAGCAAAATTCCCAGTTATCGTGTTAATATAATTGAGATGTTTTATGTAATTTGTGTTGTGAGTATAATGTTAAATTTGACAATCTTTCTGAAAGCATGGTAGGCCCTAGTTTTCATTAACTTTTTTATTTTGTTTTTGACATGGAATCTTGCTCTGTTGTCCAGGCTGGAGTGCAGTGGTGAGATCTTAGCTCACTGCAACCTCGGCCTCCTGGGTACAAGTGATTCTCTTACCTCAGCTTCAGCCTGCCTAGTAACTGGGATTACAAGCATGTGCCACCATGCTTGGTTTATTTTGTATTTTTAGTAAAGATGGGGTTTCACCATGTTGGCCAGGCTGGTCTCGAACTCCTGACCTCAAGTGACCCAGCTGCCTCAGCCTCCCAAAGTGCTGGCATTACAGGCATGAGCCACCAGACCTGGCCTTAATTTTGAAGAAACTTCACTTTGCTAAGCTTTACATACCATGCATTATAGGTTGAATCAAACTATAGTTTGTAGTACTTTGTTACGGCAGCCCTAGCAAACTAATACACCATGTTTAAGCTCTGTAATGAAGCCACATATAACTTGTTTCACTGATAAAATTTAAATATATTATAATGTTTTCTCCTAACAATCTACTTATTTCATGCTTTTACCATCTCTTAAAATAAATTCACAAATCATACAATTCTTCCTTAAAATACTTCAATATTGAGATATTTTAAAGTAAACAAGAAATAGCAATGTGCTGTTCAATTCTTTCAAGTTGCTTTTCAAATGAGAAAAAAACTTGATCTAGTGTGGCCAGCAACTTTTGTCTATAGAAATTAAATCTTAGTAAATATTTTATTAAAATAAAACTATTCACAATTCTAGCATTCAATATCCACATTGCTGCCAGTACAATGATCTGTATTTAGCTTCAAGCATGTTACATCTAGACCTACATTTATATAAATATAAGACGAATGTGAATTTTTTAATATTGTGAATTTTTTCTCAGCCACTGGGTGCAACTGTTATAAATACTGCAAATGTATTGTGAATACCTCTGGGTCCAATAATTAGAACATGAAGAAAAGCAAAAAAAAAATTAATGGTTGACATTATTGAGGAGTAAATCTTCATTGAGCACAAAATATTACATTCATACTATGTATGATGAAAGATTGTACTAGTTAATTAATTTGTATTTTTCTCTTCTCTGTATGCTTCAACTACAAAAATCTTCCTTGAACTGTGAAGCAGTACCCATCTCTAATGGCACAACCTGCAATTCCTGAAGATGTTCAAATGAATTCAGCGAGAGCTGTGGATGAGAGTTCCCTTGGAGTCTGAATGCTGTTAGTCCCAAGAGCCAGTGGGTAGTTGTTTGATACCAATGCTGAGCACTGAATTCTTTGTGACTTAGGGACCCATGTGTGTTTTAGTGAATTTGCTTTTGTTTGCTTCTGATAGACAAGACATAAAAGACCCTTTAAAATGTGGAGCGCAGTACAGGAATCCCTTTTCCCTGAGTCTTTACTGCTTTTTACTGAAGGGGGGTTAAGATCCCATAGAGTCTACTTTTCTCATGATTTTTTTCATGTCCCTTTCTAGGTCCTCATCTCTTCAACATGTTTGTAATTGAGCCATTGAGAATTGTTTCACTTGTTATCTACTAGACACAGAAAGATAAGAGAGAAAAAAAGAGAAAAAAAATCACGTAATGAAACTCTATGTGCTCTAATTGATTTGCTTCAGAGTTTGCTATGTCTGGCACATGTTCTTCAGATAATGTGTGTGTATCTGTATGTGTGTGTGTGCAATTACTGTCATTTTCAGCTTTTATTTAAAATGAAATAATGGAAAATACCCTATTTTTGGTTTTATTTATTTATTTATTTATTTTTGAGATGGAGTCTCACTATGTTGCCCAGGCTGGAGTGCAGTGGCACGGTCTCAACTCACTGCAACCTCCACCTTCTGGGTTCAAGTGATCTCCTGCCTCAGCCTCCCGAGTAGCTGGGACTACAGGCATGTGCCACGACACTGGGCTAATTTCTTGTATTTTTAGTAGAGACAGGGTTTCATCATGTTGGCCAGGCTGGTCTCAAACTCCTGACCTCAGGTGATCTGCCTGCTTTGGCCTCCCAAAGTGCCAGGATTACAGGTGTGAGCCACCATGCCTGGCCTATTTTGGTATGTTTTTGAGAGAAGAAAGAGAAAAGCACACAGTCTTTCTGCTTCCTGCTTTAACATTACTGATAATTTTTAAACCTAGAAATATTTATGGCTAAATTTATAAAATTCAGTACACTCAGCATAAAAACACAGATTCAAGTACCATAACTGGATTATAAACTTTACATAATAATGAAAAATAATAATGCATTTAGATTTTTCACAGAAAATTTATTTAGGGTTCCTATGTTTATTTTTTGTATGTTAGATTATGTTCTAAAGCATTTATGTAATTATTAAAAATTAATAATGTAATTAGAACTACAGAAATAAACTGGAAATGAAAGTGCATACCTTTGTCTATCAACTGGAAAGTCCCACTTGGAAACTGTTCAGATGTAATAATGGCACCATTATGACGAACACAACAGTGTCATCACACACGGAGTATTTCCGCAGGTCGAGGAGTAATAGTGTGCAAGTGACATATTAACAAAGACAAACTTGTTTCATTTAGGTAGTGTTAATTAGTGCCTCATATAATTATCGACATCTGGTCTGGTTTTCACCTGCTTTCCTTTTGCTGATAAATCCCATCTCCATTTAGGTGAAGTCAGCAGATTAGGCTTCAACATAAAGGACAATGTATCTAGAAAAGTATACAGGCTTTAAGGTAAATATCAAAAAGAATTGATAAATACTGAATAGAACCCCAAAAATGAGAATAATTAACATAAGAAAAAACAATACATGTATATTTATATCCAGCAGAATCTTTGTAAACCATGGACCCAGTAGTTCAGAAAAGACTCTGAAGACTGTACCTATAGATTCATCCTGTTTCAATACAGAAAATATTAATTATAACTTGCTTAATTGGAAACAAAAGAAGTATAACAATACTTGGAAAGCAGATAACAAGTTAATGGAATTTTCTGATTGGTTAAAAATTACTTTGAAATAGATTGTTCTTTCAATACTTATTGGTTATTGAAAGCCTATTTAGAAAGCCTTCTAAAACATGCAGTTAGTGACTTCCACCCTAGTAAATAGTATGCAAATGTTTTCTGGAGATTGAGGATTGTGCAATGTTTCAAACTTATGCTATAAAGTAAAAAATGTGGTACTGTACAGGCATATTCAATGGATTGAAACTTAATCCAGAGGGACTATAGCACAAACTCCAAAAGTTATTCTCTTGCACAAACTCCTCCTTGTTTTGCTGTCATTTACGTTTTTTTTTTTTTCTAAATCTGGTGTAGACAGTTGAAATATGCATTTTTCTAGTGAGCGATTTTGCCAGTAATTTCATTTTGTTTTACCTTATTAAGAAAATCCCTCTGACAGTTCTCATTCTGTTTATACAATCATTTATTTTTCCCTCTATTGGGTCATTTCCAGTAATATACAAACATGCTATATTTCTTTCATTTAAAAATATTTTATCTAACTAATTTTTTTGCCAGCTGCTTCTACAAGTCTCTCAATCTTTTCCACAAGTCTCCATAAAATAATGGTACATATCTGCTGCCATTTCCCTTTATCCCCTTTCCAATCATGCTTTTGTGTCCACTACATGACCAGAACTTAACTCTTCAGGCTCACGTTCATGTTGCTAACTCCAGTAGTTACATTCTCAGTCCTCTTCTTCCTAGACCCTTATCAGCATTTGTCCAACTGATCCTCGCCATCTCCTTGCTATGCTTTCTTTTCTTGGCTTTCCGAACACCATACTTTCTTACTTTCTTGGTTTTCCTCCTACCTCAGTGCTCACTCTTTCACAATCTTCTTTTTTTTTTTTTTTGAGATGGAATCTTGCTCTGTTGCCCAGGCTGGAGTGCAGAGGCACGATCTCGGCTCACTGCAACCTCCACCTCCCAGGTTCAAGCGATTCTCCTGTCTCAACCTCCCGAGTATCTGGGATTACAGGCCTGCACCACCACGCCTGGCTAATTTTTGTATTTTTAGTACAGATGGGGTTTCACCATGTTGGCCAGGCTGGTTTCGAACTCCTGACCTCATGATCCGCCCGCTTCGGCCTCCCAAAGTGCTGAGATTACAGGCCTGAGCCACTGCGCCCAGCCAATCTTCTTTTGTTCAATTATTTTCTTCTCTGAAACTCTAAATTTTGGGATTTTTCCCTATCTACATTTATTTTCTTGGTGACTTCATTCAGACTCAGGATACTAAACAATATTTTTAGGCCAAGAAATTCCAAATATATATCTCCAGTCCAGACCACTCTCCTGAACTCAACATGTACATTCAACTACCTGCTTACAATCTCCACTACTAGATAGAAACTCTAATAGATAACTCAAACTTAATACGTCCAGAACTGAATTCCTGGTCTTCCTTTAAAAATCTTACAGTCTCACTTACAACAATGCCTTTCTTTCAGTTCAAGGGTGGCCAACCATCCCAGTTCACCAGGAACCGAGTAAGTTCTCAAGACGAAGAATTTTCATTGTTAAAACTGGGAAATTTCTGAGCAAAATACAATAAGTTGGTCACCCTACCAGTTGCTCAGGACAAATATCTTAGTGTCATCCTTGATCTTTCTCTCACATCTCATATCTGGTATATTAAAACATCCTGTTGTCTTTACCTATTAACTGACTGATTCCCACCACCTCCGTTACTACCACCTAGTCAAACCACCATCTTCTCTCATCTGAATTACTGAAGAATCCTCCTGATTGTCCTACTTCCACCCTTCCATCTTTTATCATGAATTCTCAACGCAGCCACCAGAGTAATCTTTTAAAAGTATAAGCCAGGTCATGACGTTCCTTATTTTCCAAACCTTGCAGTCTCCTCCTATTTCAAAGTAAAAACCAAAATATCTACAATGGCATATAAACCCTACATAATGTAACCCTAGCTCCTGCTCCATATATAGTCCCACCAAGAGTTGATCATTTACCTCAACTCCTACAATTATTGTCCTTGCTCACTTTGTTTTGCCACATTAGTTCCCATGATATTTCTCTTTCCTGCACACAGACTACTGTCTTAGGGCCCTTGCACTGGAAGTTTCTTCTGCTTGAAACACTCTTCAGGTATTTCCATAATTAACACTTTCATCTGCTTCAGGTTTTGCCCCAAAATTCACCAACTGCATAATCATCTTACTATTAAAAATTGCAATCCCCTCCACTCCCCTGCTCCTTTCTGTGCCCTATCTTTCCCTATAATTCTTGTAATATTTAACATTCACATAATTAACATTTTATCGTATGTATTTTTGTTATCTTTCTACCCATGCTAAAATATAAGCTCCAGCAAAGTAGAGAATTCAAAAAATATTTCTCCGCTGATACACACAAAATTCCTAGAACAATACTTGACACATGAAGCACTCAATAAATATTTACTGAATGAACAAACATATTTATTTAACTTCACCTTAATAAGTACCTTCTAAATTCCCCTCACATTCCTAGCTCCATCCCAGGTGCTTATGGAAGACTTTAAAGATGAATGAAACATTGTCCTTAAATTTGACAAACTTACCATCCATTTGGAGAGTTGAGATATAATTATTAAGAAAGCAATTAAACATTACAACATGTAGTAATAGCTACAAACCTTGTGATCATGAGAAAATTTGAGTTTCCTTATTTGCATAATTAGTTGCTTACCTTGGGGTTGTCTAATACACTTTCAACTCTAAAATAATAACACTTTATGATTTTATAAATTATTAATGTAAAGGAATTACTGAAGAGAGTTAGGTGTGGTCAAACCACTAGAAGAAGCTACACGAATCAATAAGTATAGGAGAAACTGGGAGTCAAAAAGTATTAGAGCACACTCTACAAATCAGAAGGATAAAGAAGAGTAGTAGCAAATCTTTCCAAAGGGAGGAGAGCTTACCCTGATTAGAAATGACAGGGTAGGTCTGACAACAGGGGACCCTGGGCAAAATCTTCACTGCCTCCAAGATGAAAGTGAGTGCAAGAAAATTAGTGTGCACACCTGGGAGAAGTCACAGAATGCTGGGAAGTCTGGAACTTGGAAATCAGTGAAATAGGAAATCCCTCTCCAACCTCCTATGACTTTCCAGAACTGAGATATACATGCTGAGAAAACTGAAAAATACAAACATACTCGGAAACAAACAAAACTGAGCAGGACAGAAATGACTGGGAGAAATGGAGGCTGAAAAATCAGATAGTGGGACAATCCCAAAAGGAGGAAAGTTTTCAAAAGGTCCTTTAACAGCAAAATATAACGTCTAAAACATAAAGCACTGAGTAAATCAGGCTCCTAGGGCTCATGAGCTAAGCATAGGCTGGAGACTGAAAGTTGTCCTGAATACAGTTAGATCTACATGAAGAGAACACATTTTGAGCCTTTCTGGTAGTGACCTGTAAAAAAGTGGATACCTTTAATTAACAATATTGGGAAAGCTATGCTACTGCCCATTCCCCTTCTAAGAAGTCCCTGCCTCCTTCCCTCCCTCCCTCCTTCCCTTCCTCCCTTCCTCCCTTCCTTCCCCCCTTCTTTCCGTCCTTCCTTCCTTCTTTCCTTTCCTCTTTCTGAAAGGCCTCACTTCACTGCCCAGACTGCTTTTTAACTCCTGGCTTCAGGCAATCCTCCCGCCTCGGTCTACCAAATTACTGGGATTATAGGCACGAGCCACAGTGCCCAGCCCTAAAGAGCCTCTTTCTAATAGCTTAGGAAAACTCACTCCTTTATAAATGTGGGGGAAAATGCAGTCTAACTCCAATATAAGTTACTGCTAAAAAAAAAAAGTAATAAAAGTTAATATGATAATGTTTCAAAAGACAGTAAGAACACATAAGAAAAAAAATATGTGGTCTCAAAACAGAAACTCTGGCACAATATTTCAAAGTAAGGTACAGAAAATG
Organism: Homo sapiens; assembly: GCF_000001405.40. NCBI lineage: Eukaryota > Metazoa > Chordata > Mammalia > Primates > Hominidae > Homo > Homo sapiens. Next base: position 147,825,806 of record NC_000003.12, read on the forward strand.
CTAGAAGCTTTGAAATACTATTTCAACTAAGAAATTCAAAATCTGCCGGGCGCAGTAACTCACGCCTGTAATCCTAGCACTTTGGGAGGCCAAGGTGGGCGGATCATGAGGTCAGGAGATCGAAACCATCCTGGCTAACACGGTGAAACCCCCTCTCTACTAAAAAATACAAAAAAAAAAAAAAAAAAAAAATTAGCCGGGCGTGATGGCGGGAGACCATAGTCCCAGCTACTCGGGAGGCTGAGGCAGGAGAATGGCGTGAACCCGGAAGGTGGAGCTTGCAGTGAGCCGGGTTCATGCCACTGCACTCCAGCCTGGGCGACAGAGCGAGATGCCGTCTCAAAACAAAACAAAACAAAACAAAACAAAAAGAAATTCAAAATCTCAGAGCTTATATGGATAACTGATAAAAAGACAGGAGGGAGGGATTGACAATTATTAAAATTGAATTGGAAAAAGGGAAAAATATTCAGAAATAAAGCTAAAATAAGAATATAAGAGTAAATTCCTAGCCTGGCCAACATGGTGAAATCCCATCTATACTAAAAATACAAAAAAAAAAAAATAGCTGGGCGTGGGTGCGCGTCTATAATCCCAGCTACTCCAGAGGCTGAGGCGGGAGAATAACTGGAACCGGGGAGGCAGAGGTTGCACTGAGCAGAGATCATGCCATTACACTCCAGCCTGGTCAACAGAGCGAGATTCCATCTCAAAAAAAAAAAAAAAAGTAAATTGGCATTAGGAAAAACATTGTAAAGGAAGAGGGTAAATAGTTAACAAATAGAAAATCAAAACCAAACCAGTTAGACTTAAAAAAAGATATTAAAAAGATTTGAAAACCTGATGGAGAAAATCTGTAAAGCTGATTAAATATTCATTTAATAGTTGTTCCTGAAGATAGACATTGAAGCAACAAAACAGAAAAAATTATTTAAAATTACAATTATCAAAATATTCTGGAAAAACAAAAATTGATTCTATTGAAAATTCATACTCTCCTTGTACATGGAGTCAATACCAAGACAGATTAGACTATAAAGATAAGGAAAAATTGCCTTCAGAAATTCAGAACCACACGTCCTCCATCCTTACTCCATACCACCAACACATATACATAAATCAATTAACTAATTACAAAAATGAAAGTCATCCTAAATTTCTAAACAACAATGTTTTAAGCTACAAAACAATTAAGCAACATTTTTAAAGTATTGAAGGAAACCATATGTGAGCCAAGGTTTTTATACCTGGTCAAACATCCTTTGGTACAAAGGCTATAAAGAGTTATAAACAGGCACTACTTGAAAAAATACCATTTCCATAAACCTTTTCTAGGGAACTTATCACAGAAAGAGATTCAGAAAACTGTAACATCTGGAAAGCTCTTTCATATGGTCTAGTGGCCTGGCAGTAAGCATTTAAGGACCAGAAAATGAAAGATGATAAAATGCAATGTGCATATTACAGGCCCTGATGTTGGAGAACTAGTACAACTAATTACTAATTGGGATGGAAAGGGGTAAATAGAAATTAGAATACACTCGCTGATTGACTTACTGGTATTAGGAAGGGAAAGATATAATTTAAAACAAAAATTAAGAGCTTGAAGCTTAAGTATGTTTTGCTCTACAAACAACACTAAGATTATACTTATATCTAGCAAGAGAGGAAAAGAAGCAGTTTCTGGCTGACAATAATATTAATAATAGAAAGAAACTGTTTCAGAACAGAGTATGGTTAAATGCATTATAGATAGGTATTAGTGTAAAGCTAACCATTAGAAAGACTTCAAACGTTCCCAAATAGCAAAGGAAATAATGGGGGAGAAGGGCAAACAACTAAAATAATGGAACATGCACATGCATTCACATTTATATAACATAATACTTTATTATAGAACTGAGACCAAATATATCAGTTGTATCAATGCATGTTAGTGGACTTACATAAGAAAAAGATTTTCAGATTGGCTAAGAAAGCAAAATTCAACTTTATGCTGTATGCAAAAGATATACCTAAAATAAAGTGAATTGAAATGGGTAAAGATAAAAGCATGAACAAAAATACACCAGGCAAAGGCAAGAAAGAAGAAAGCAGGGGCCATGACCTTGATCTAAAACAAGGTAGAATTCAGGCCAAGAAGAATTAAACGATACAAAGTAGGACACACTATAATGCTAAAGAGTGCGATTCACAGTGAAGATATTAATATCTATTCACCAAATATCAGTAGCAACTTTCATAAAGCAGAAACTACAGGCGATGAAAGGAGAAATAGACACATATTAAAAATAGGAAACTTTAGCACACTTATCTCAGATCTAGACAGATCAAGGGGAAAAAATGTTAGTAAGGACATAGAAGGCCTAAAAACCATAAGATAGAGTCTATAAATATATAAGCACTTTATCCTGATAGCAGAAAATATACCTTTTTTTCAAGTATACATAAATCCTTATTAAAATTAACTATATATTAGGCCATAAATAACTCAAAAATAGAAATACAAACAACATTAAAAGGTAAGTCCTCAATTAGTAATAATAATAAAAAATGCACTTCTCACCAGGAAACTTTTTTAAAAAGTAAGCTCATATCAAAGAAAAAACTCAAACTAAAATTCTGAAATTCTAGAGAAGAATAATTTTATGAAATCATGATGAATTAGAATCTAATAAAAATGAAAATGCCATAAAACAGCTAGTAGCATCTTATGTTTGGGAAAGTCTTTCTAAGCATAAAGGACTGGAGAGAACGACCCTTTAAAATCAGTGATACTGCAGTGTGGAGGATGTATAGACGGAAAAAGGAAGCTCAGAGACCAGGTAGTTTCGATTAGCATGGTAGCAGTGGAGATGGAGACAAGTAGGGAGATTTTAGATTTTTTATGCATAATCTAGAGAATTTGAGCAACATTTGGATAAAATAGGAATGAAAAGTTAGATGCAAGAAAGAATCACAGTTCATTGTATAGGACGCAGGTGGGTTGCACTTGCCATTTACTGAGAGAAAAAGAATGAGAGAAGATTTTGGGTGGTGGAGGCAGTGTGGTCTATTTTGTAACTTACAAAATAAGTTACAAAATAGATAATTCTTAATAGAAGAAATTCAAAAGACCAATAAAATAAGATTAAGTTCAACTTTAGTTTTCATCAAAGAAATGTATTTTTAAACAAACAAAATGTTTAACTTTTCAAATTAACAAATTACTGATGAGAGTGGTGAAATGAACACTTTCCTATCCTGCCAATGTTTTATAAACTTTTAACTTTTCTAATTAGCAATATGGAAAGATATGACCTAGTAATTCCACTTCTCTTCTTTTTCTTTTTGTTTTTTTTATTTTGATGTGTGAGACAGGGAGACAGGGTCTCACTCTGTTGCCCAGGATGGAATGTAGTGGAGTGATCTCAACTTACTGCAACCTTGGCCTCCTGGGTTCTAAGAATCCTCCCACCTCAGCCTTCTTAGTACCTGAGATTACAGGCATGTGCCATGATGCCTAGCTAATTTTTGTATTTTATTTATTTATTTATTTTGTATCTTTTGGTGGATACAGGGTTTTGCCATGTTGCCCGAGCTGATCTTGAACTACTGGGCTCAAGTGATTGTGGGATTATAGGTGTGAGCTACCGCACCAGCCTAATTTCATTTCTAGAAATGTATACTGAAGAACTAATTAGTGATTTGGACTAATATCTATGCATAAGAATGGCAACCACAGTCTTATATATAACAGTAAAAAATACAGCCAATTACTCATTTTCATCATGTAAATTTAAAACAATGAATGTTAAATAAATTAATAGACTAATATATGATAAGCATCTATGTAGTTATTATCAATTATCATTCTGAAAGCATACTTTGGAAGGCAATTTTGGTTTACATCAATAGAAAGCACTTTGACGTTAGCACAACTATCTGCACCAAGCCTCATTCTAAAATAACTGAACAATTAACTTCACATAAAAATAAGCAATAGAAATATATCAAGATAAAGTTCCATACAAAGATACAATAAGAATGGTGAGAAGGAATAGCATAAAATTTTTGAAGATAGTGCAAGTATGCTATAATGACACACTTTAAAAAATCAAAGTTACCAGGACCTGTCCGGGGTGGGGGACAAGGGGAGGCAGAGCATTAGGACAAATACCTAATGCATGTGGGGTTTAAAACCTAGATGACGAGTTGATAGGTGCAGCAAACCACCATGGCACATGTATACCTATGTAACAAACCTGCACATTCAGCACATGTATCCCAGAAATTAAAGTAAAATAAAACAAAAATAAATACAAATAGAAAATAAAAATCAAAATTATTACATGTAATTTTCAAATAAATCATTAGGAAATGATTCAAGACATAAAGGAACAACATCAACATGAATTAGAAAACTCAGAAGGTAATGTCACATGACAAAGTATGAGCTGTGTAGAGTGATTTGAATTACAGGTTCTCGTGTGAATACAGAGAATCTACACTATGGATATTGCAGAACATACACACACACACCACAAAAGACAAGAAAAATATTCCAAAATATTCCCAGGGGTTATTTCTAAGTGGTAGAATTATAGATGGTTTAAATTTCTCAATCTTTCTTGTGTTTTCCATTTTTTATACAATAAGCATGCATTCTTTCCATAAACCTTTGGTGTCAGAGGACCTCAGGTGCAAAAGATGAAAATAATGATACTCCTCAGTTCATGACTTACCATCATCTTTTATCTACATGAAGTCTTTCACTCTTGCTTTATTTATTTGTTTATTCTTTTTGTTTCCCTATTCCCGATTCCCCCACCTTCGATAAACAACCATCCTTGTTTTTTTAATGCATACTACTTCGTTTATATGTCTTATTAATATATATACATATATGTGCATATATACATATATGTGCATATATATGCATATAAATATAAATATATTTATATTTATATGCATATATAAATATAAATATTTATATATATGCACCTATAAATATATACATATGCATACATAAATATATATTTATATGCATATATATTCATATGCATACATAAATATATATTTGTATATATTTGAGACGGCGTCTCGCTCTGTTGCCCAGGCTGGAGTGCCATGGCATGAACTTGGCTCACTGCAACCTCCGCCTCCTGGATTCAAGCAATTCTCCTACCTCGGCCTTCCGAGTAGCTGGGTCTTTCAGGCACATGCCACCACGCCCGGCTAATTTTCTTGTATTTTTAGTAGAGACCGGGTTTCACCGCATTGGCTAGGCTGGTGTGGAACTCCTGACCTCAAGTGATCCCCCCCATCCCCGCCTCCCAAAGTGCTGGGATTACAGGCGTGAGCCACTATGCCCAGCCCCATCTTATTAATATTTATATTTTGTGTGTATGCATTTTAGCGTACATCAATGGAGGGCTCTGGCTCTTTGAAGTTAGCAAAGCTCTCTGGATCAAGCCTCATTCTTAAAATAAAGATAAGCTAGATTCACATAAAAATATATAACAGAAATATATCAAGGTAAAACACCATATGAAGTTGCAATAAGAAAAATACAAAGGAGTAGCGTGACATTTTTAACGGCATGTTATTTTTATTTATGTGTACTTCCAAAAAACATGAAAAACGATTACATACTCTTTCAAAATAACTGAAAGGACATTAAGAAAATGATTCAAACTTTAGAGAACAAACACAAATTAGTAAACTCAGAAATCAGTGACAGATGTTACAGAAAATTAGGAATATTAGAAAAAGGTTATTTTAGAAATGAAGACTAAACTGGTAGAAATAGAAGAGTAAGTAAAGCAATAAGATATACCTTAAGACAATTAGAAGAAAAAAAGAATACTTTTTTAAATCAAAAGGACATGAGAAAAGAGATCAAAAGAAGGTAAAGGAAAGAGACAAATCACCAAGTTCAGCAAATAAATCCAACATATGAATATAGGAGTACCTGAAGAACAAAACCAAAACAAAAATCAAGCAACATTAAAAACTATAATTCAAATATTATTCTTGAAATAAACCAACAGATTTGAAACTATATATTGGAAAAGATAACTTTGTACTTGAAAATATCAATCTATGAAATCCAAAAACAAAACAAATTATTTTAAAGATATTGGACTTTAAAAAAGAAAACTATTTCATGGGTATTTAAGCTGAATAATTGAGACTTGTAAGTAAAATAAAATTAGATTATCGTTAGAACCTTTAATAACAACTCTGTAAACCCAAAGAAAACAGTAACAGTAACATATTAACAAAGTCAAAGGAAACAAAATGTAAACTAAAGATTTTGTGTTTGATGTAGCAAAATATATCTTCTAATATAGAGGGCAAGGCAAAAGGTTATCCAAATGGTAAACCTCAGGGAATATTTTCCCCTTGATCTTTCCTAAAGAATCTATTAAAGGATCAACTTTAGACAAACAAAATTATTAGAGAGACTTCTACATAATAACTAGTGGTGAACATTAAATACATCATTTTTATAAAACTAGGATTATAGAAAGATTAAAAGAAATAGATTATAATATGTAACAATATGATCTGGCAATGTAGTTATATTTATCAACCTAAAAAATGGGGAGAGAATGGGGACAGCATACACAAAACTCTTTTAACTATTCAATAATCATATTTTGCAGTAGTAGATTTGTATGGTGATTCTGAGACTATTGTATGTCTAAAATGATATAAAGTGGTTGGTATAAAGGAATGGATATAGAATACTCTAATTCTATTATATCCAGTGTCCTTGAGAACCAGAATTCCTAGTGGGGAAGACAGGAGATACTTATTTTATAGAAGAGATGAAGTACAACTCTTCATCTCTGAAGAGTTGAATTAGAACTGCAACTTTCAAGGTATCTTAGTTTTAAAAAGATGTATATGTAATGTAAATATTTGCTCTCCCAACCAAAGGCCTAGAAGCAATGTCTGATGACCAGCCCAGTAGCAATGAACAGCTATAATTTCCAGATACTGGTCTTGAAAGAGTGAAACATTTTTCTTGTTAGGATTTTTTTTTTCTTCTTGATGACAAGACTTGACATTTATAAGCAACTTCCTCCCTTTCCTTCCTTCTTTCCCCTCCCCTCCCCTCCCCTCCCTTCCCCTCCCCTCCCCTCCCCTTGCTTCCTTCCTTCCTTCCTTCTTCCTTCCTTCCTCTTCCTTTTTCTCTCCCTCCTGCTTTCTCTTATCACTCCTTCTCTCATCCTATCTCTTTTTCTCTCTTTCCTTCCATCTTGGAGAAAGCTTAACAAACTTTAAACAGCTTAGAATTCTGAAGACAGAAATTGTTTTTTACTCTTCTTTCCTCTAGACAATCATTTTGAAAAGATGTCTGTCTAAAAAACAAACTCTTTCAAAAATTGACACATAAATGTTTTTAGCCTGCAGTGTTGCCCACCACAAATTGCTAGAAACAAATAATATTTATTTGTTTAAATTGAATAAATATAACACAAAACATGCATTTGAAATAAATTATTTGGTAAAAGGGAAGTCTATGGACTACTTAAAATAATGTTGACAAAATTAAAAATTAAGAAATATTACATCAAAAGATTTTTTTACATTGTATAAATATACCACATTTTATTCATTATTTATTTATTTGGTATTCAGGGGGGTACAGGTTTGTTACATTGGTATGTTGTGTGATGTTGAGGTTTGGGATACAAAGGGTCCTATCACTCATGTAGTGAGCATAGTACCCGATGGTTTTTCAGCCCATACCCTCTCCCTTCCTTCCTGCTCTAGTAGCTCCCAATGTCTACACATTTTTGTGTCCATGTGTATTCAGTGTTTAACTCCCACTTATAAGTGAGAACATACAGTATTTGGTTTCCCGTTCTTATGTTAATTTGCTTAGGATAATGGCCTCCAGCTGCATTCAAGTTGCTGCAAAGGACATGATTTCATTCTTTTTTATAGCTACATAGTATTACATGATGTATATGTAACACATTTTCTTTATCTAATCCACCATTGATGGGCAGGAACCTAGGTTGATTCCATGTCTCTGCTATTGTGAATAGCACTGTAATGAACATACAAGAACATACAAGTGCATATGTCTTTTTGGTAGATTGATTTATTTTCCTTTGGTATGTACCCAGTAATGGGATTGCTGGGTCGAATGATAGTTCTGTTTTAAGTTCTTTGGGAAATCTCCAAATTGCTTTCCACAGTGGCTGAACTGATTTGTATTCCCACTAACGGTACATAAGTGTTGCCTTTTGTCTGCAGCCTCGACAGCATCTGCTGTTTTTTGACTTTTTAGTAATCACCATTCTGACTGGTGTGACATGGTATCTCATCGTGGCTTTGATTTGCATTTCTCTGACAAGTAGTGAATCTGACCATTTTGTCATGTTTGTTGTCCATTTGCATGCCTTCTTTTGAGACGTATCTTTTCATGTCATTTGCCCATTTTTTAATTGGATTATTTGGTTTTTGCTTCTTGATTTTATTGGTTCCTTGTAGATCCTGGATATTAGATGTTTGTCAGGTGCATAGTTTATGAATATTTTTTCCCATTCTGTAGGCTGTTTAATCTGTTGATAATTTCTTTTGCTGTGCAGAGGCTCTTCAGTTTTACTATGTCCCACTTATCAATTTTTGTTTCTGTTGCAGTTGCTTTTGGGAAATTAGCCATAAATTATTTGCTGAAGTCAATGTCAAGAAGGGTATTGCTTAGTTTTCTTCTAAGATTTTTATAGCTTGAGGTCTTACACTTAAATTTTTAATCCATATTAAATTGCTTTTTTGTACATAGTAAAATGTGGGGGCACAGTTTCATTCTCCTATCTATGGCTAGCCACTTATCCCAGCATCATTTATTGAATAGGGAGTCCTTTCTCCATTGCTTATTTTTGTTGACTTTGTTGAAAATCAGATTTTTTGTAGGTGTGCTGCTTTATTTCTGGCTGCTCTACTCTGTCCCAATGGGCTATGTGTCCTGTTTTTCTACAAGTACTGGGCAGTTTTGGTTACTGTGACTTTATAATATTATTGTTTGAAGTCAAATGATGTGATGCCTCTGGCTTTGTTCTTTTTGCTTAAGATTCCATTAGCTATTTGGGCTCTTTTTTGGTTCTATATGAATTTTAGAATAGTTCTTTCTTACGTAAAAGAAAATGGCATTGGTATTTTAGTGGGGATAGCATTGGATCTGTAAATTGCTTTGAGAGTATGGCCATTTTAACAACATTGGTTCTTCCAATCTGTGAGCATGAAATGTTTTTCCATTTACTTGTATCATCTGTGATTTCTTTCAGCAGTGTTTTTTACTTCTCTTTGGAGAGACCATTCACTTCCTTGGTTAGATGTATTTCTTTTCTTCGAGGATTCTTAAAACAGATCCCCAATCTCTTTGGGCTTGTAAGGATTTTGCAGAGAAGTCTGCTGCTAGCCTGATGAGGTTCACTTTGTAAGTGACTTGACCTTTTTGTCTAGCTGCAATTAAGAGTTTTTCTTTCTGTTGACCTTGGTGAATCTGATGGCTATGCACCTTGGGGATGGTCATCTTGTGGAGTATCTCACATGGGTTCTCTGTATTTCCTGAGTTTGCATGTCCATCTCTATAGCAAGATTGGGAAATTTTTCATGGACTATGTCCTCAAATATGTTTTTCAAGTTGCTTACTCTCTTTATTTCCCTCTCAGGAATGCCAATAAGTTATAGATTTGGTCTCTTTACATAATTTCAGATTTCTTGAAGGTTTTGCTCATTTTTAAAATTCTTTTTTAATATTCTCTCTGACTGCTGAGGTGATTTGAATAACCGGTCTTGGAGCTCTGAGTCTCTTTGGCTTGGTTTATTTTGCTGTTAATGTTTCTGACTGTATTATGAAATTTTTATAGCAAATTCTTCATTCTAGGAGTTCTTTTTGGTATTTTCTTAAAATGGCTATTTTATCTTTCAACTCTTGGATCAATTTTATTGGGTTCCTTGAATTGGGTTTCAACTTTCTCCTGGATCTTGACACACTTCTTAACATCCAGATTCTGAATTCTATGTCTGTCATTTCAGTCATTTTGGTCTGGTTAAAAATCATTGCTTGTGGGGGCTTGTGTGTTTGTTTGGAGGTAGGGAGCCACTTTGGCCTTTTGGATGGCCAGAATTATTGCACTGATTCTTTCTCATCTGAGAGGGCTAGTGTTCTTTTAACTGCGATATAAGATGAGTATAGTCAGTTGGCTTCATTTCCAGGTGCTTTCAAATGGCTAAGTTCTGTACAGGATTTTAATTTGTGGCTGGTTTTTTGCCTTAGGTTTCACAGGCACTGTATGCTGGCAAAATATTTTTGGTGTTGTAATTTTGGCTGGAATCCATTAGATGGAACTTAAGAGTGATGACTGGCAAATAGGCTTTACTTAGCTGTGTGGCTCTTTTGTATTTCAGCATGTTCTAAGTAGTGCTCTGTGGTCAGGTGGGGAGAGATGACCCTCTCGCCAGTTCTCCTGCGCCTTGGGAGAGCCTCCTCCAATCACTGGCACTGCACCTGTCTTTCGTTTGTTAGGTATTTCACACCCACAGGGTTCCCTTAGGCAGAAGCTATAGCTGGTAGACAGGCCACACCCCTTCTTGGACCAGCCTTGGGGAGGGAAGTATACCCTGCTCCCCTGCCAGCCCATGAACCCAGATATCTCACCCCTCTCAGTATTCAGAGAGTGGAGGCTCCTCCCCTGTTTGGGCTCCACCCATGCTGGTGAGTCTTGCATAGCTAAGAGCAGCAAATGTGGGAGGAGTAGCACAGATCACCATCCATGTGCTTCCTGGGGTAACACAGAGCTGTGCTTGGCTGCAGAGTTCAGGCAGTGGTGGGACCACTGTGCTAGAGGCAGGAGCCAAGCCTTGTCTGGCAAGAAGGAGTGAAGCAGCTTGACCATTCCCCAGAACCATGACCACAGCCTCTGTTGGTGTCATGGCAGCTGATGCTGAGCTGCTCATGGATCCAAGGCCTGTGGGGCTCCTTCCAGTCTTGAGTGGTACCTCTGCAAAAGCTCTGGATGACTCCCTGTATCAATTTGGAGGCCTGGGGGGGCAAGGAGTCAGGGAGGTTCTCCCTTTCCCAATACTGCACAGGTCCCTGTGGGAAATGTGGATCCCCTGGGGACTCTTATTCTCCCCCACTTTCCCCATCTCAGGGAGCTTCTCCTGGTTTTGCACTGGTCCCAGGTGGGCAGCTGTTTACCTTCACTCTTCTCTGTTCTCCATGTGTCCCCTGACTCCCTTAAAGGATGCTCACATGCTTTCTCAGATGATTCACTTGAAAAGTCAGTATTTACTCACCACTTTGTTTCCTCATTGGGAGAGCAGCACACACCAGCTGCTTCTTGAACCCTCTTACCTAGTGGAATATTTTCTGTACAAAAAATTATTCACAAAAGTTCTTTTAGCTTTATCAAATGCTGGTTTTGCTACTTTGAAGAAAATATTATTGATCTGTTCTAAGGCTTTCTGAAGAATAAAAATGATTTTTTTTTTGTTTTGACTTCTCAAGTGACTTCTTTCTTAGTCCGTTTGTGCTGCTACACCAGAATACCTGAGGCTGGGTAACTTGAAAAGAACAGGAATATTTCTCACAGTTTTGAAGGTTGGGAAGTGTAACATCAAGGCATCAACATTTGGTATCTTTTGAGGGCCTTCTTGCTGCATCCTAACATGGTGAATCTGGAAAGTCAAGAGAAGACAAATGCTGAGTAAAGTCTCTTTTATAGGTCCTTAATCCTGTTCATGAAAGAGAAGACCTTCTGGCCTAATCAGCTCTTAAAACATCTACCTCCTTAGTATAATAGTATAATATTACATTGGAAACACCTGAATTTTGAAGGCAATACATTTAAACCACACACCTCTTAACATAGGTCAGATTTTCATTTTATTCTTTCTTAACACAGTTTCTAATTCTCTTTTTTGATTCTCTTAGCCATCAGCTGATTTCCACTTTCAGGCATTATATGCCCACTAACCATTGCCTACTTTAGTTGAAAGCCTTAATAGAATTGTATTACTGAATATGTCATTAGCTTATATATGTCCTAGGTTCATTTGCAGCTGTTCCAAAAATTCTGAATTTTTTTTTATTTCAGTATCATTATGTATTGTTGAAGAAACTGATGCATTCCCTGAAAACACATGTAGAATTTTACAGTGTTTTTTTTTTGTTTACTTTAAGTTCTGGAATACATATGCAGAATGTGCAGGTTTGTTGCACAGGTATACATGTGCCATGGTGGTTTGCTGCACCTATCAACCTGTCACCTAGGTTTTAAGCCCTGTATGTATTAGCTACTTGTCCTGATGCCCTCCCTCCCCTCAACGCCCCCACTCCCTGACAGGCCCTGGTGTGTGTTGTTCCCCTCCCTGTGTCCATGTGTTCTCATTGCTCAACTCCCACTTATGAGGAGAACACGTGGTTTTGGCTTTTTATTCCTGTTGAGGATGATGGCTTCCAGCTTCATCTACATCCCTGCAAAAAACACGATCTCATGGCTTTTTGTGGCTGTATAGTATTCCATGGTGTATATGTACCACATTTTTTTTATCCAGTCTACCATTGATGGACATTTGGGTTGGTTTCATGTCTTTGCTATTGTGAATAATGTTGCAATAAACATACATGTGCATGCACCTTTATAATAGAATCATTTCTATTCCTTTTGGTATATGCCCAGTAATGGGGTTGCTGGGTCAAATGCTATTTCTGGTTCTAGATATTTATTTTATTAAATTAATCTTCAGTGAAAAGTATCAGCTCTTTTAAAAATAAATGTAAGTATTTAAAGGCAATACTACAATAAAATAATAATAATGATAATGCTTCAAATCCATCTTCTGTGGTTAAAATTTTTTTGTTGCCTCCAAAATGCGTGTTGAAATTTAATCCTTAATGTAGCAGTATTAGGAGGTATGGCAATTGGGAGATAATTGAGGCATGAGGGCTCCACCCTCATGAATGGGATTAGGCATACTTCTAAGAAAGCATGATGGAGGGAGTTCATCTCTTTTTGCACTTCAGCCTTTTGCCATGTGAGGGCACAGTGTTCCTCCCCTCCAGAGGGCAAAGTGTACAAGGCACCATCATGGAAGCAGAAAGTAGCCTTCACCAGACACAAAACCTGCTAGTGCCTTAATCTTGGACTTCCCAGCCTGAAGAACTGTGGGAAAATAAACGTATGTTCTTCATAAATTATCCAGCTGTGGTATTCTGCTATAGCAGCACAAACAGACTAAGACATTATCCTATGGGCATATGGGTGTGTATTAATAACCCAACATTCTCAATTTTTTTATCCATGAGAATGGTCATTTTATAACATCTTCCACTAGCAATCAAGTCATTCTATGCTATGAAGCCGAGGATTTTATGGTATTTCCCACTGAAAATAATTGTTTCTGGGAATACCAGGGGAGAGGGTTCATGTTCCACAAATCCATCCTGGTCATCACTTGTCAAGTCAACCAGTCAGCTCACTTTGGATCACTCTAGTAGTTATTATAAATAATCTTGTTTCTTTACAATAGCTTCTCCAGGTATAGGTATAAACAGGATATTTCTTAATTTCCTAAAACACGAGAATATACCATTTGCCTAAACCTCAATGAAATCGTGGCAATAACAAAAGGAAATTACAATGTGAAAAACAAAAACTTCAAAATAGGAACTGGGTGTCTTAGTCTGTTTGGGCTGCTATAACAAAAATACCATAAACTGGGTGGTATGTAAACAGCAAACACTTCTTTCTAGTAATTCTGGAAGCTGAGAAGTTCTAATGAGGGCCCATTCATCATAGATGGTGCCGTCTGCTATGCCCTCACATGGTGAAAGAGGTAAACCAGCCTCCTCGGGCCTCGTTTATAAAGGCACTAATTCTATTCATGACGGCTCCAGCCTTATGACCTAATCACTTCCCAAAGACCCCACTTCCTAATACTGTGGCACTAGGGATCAGGTTTCAAAGCATGAATTGGCGTGGAGAAGTGGGAAGGCAAACACTCAGACCACAGGACTGAGCACAACTTTTAGAGACTAAAACTAAAACATTTCTCAAAATATGCTGTCTCCTTAATCTGTCATTTGTCAGCAAACTACCTCTCTCTAACCAAACTGTCTTTGCCCATAAATAACCTCTCTCCAATTTTCTCTATCCCAGTGAGAATTCATCAGTTATAAAATAAATTCTGCTCTAACAGTAAACTCCCAAATAACTAATTAATTAATCAAGGTATAGTTCATTTCTCTCATGCAAAAATATTCAGGATGCAGCTTTCCAGGGCTGGAATGGGACTCAGAGGTCATGTTTTGCTCCTCTGCTATTTTAAGTATGCCCCCTCATGGTTCCAAGTTGGATATTTAAACTCCAGTGGCCACTTTCCTAGTCCACACAGAACGATGGAGAAAAAGGCCAGCTCATTCCTTTGGATGAAGATTTTCTTTGGTAGGGCTATGCAACTTGCCTGCTTACATCTCATTGGTCAGAACTTATTTAAATTACCCCTTTAACTACAGGCCATGTGTCTTTCTACATAAATTTCAAGTTGTTTTACTGAAGAGGAGGAAGAAAAACGTTTAGTAGGCAATAAGAAGTCTCTTTCAAAGGGAGGATAAAATCAAAATATGTTTCAAATTTGTCTCAAGCCTCTGGCCCACCTCTCCATTATAGTCTGAGATACAATGATGACCTCAGGAAAGAAAGATTTCTATATTATTATACAGAAAATTATAGCTCCTCATAATCTCAAATCTTCCATCCATACTAAGATTTTTTTTGTTTCTTTTTTTCATTTTCTTTTTTTATAATAGGATCTCACTCTGTCACTCAAGCTGTAGAGCAGTGGCACAAACACAGCTCACTGCAGCCTCAACAGCTCGGACTTAAGTGATCCTCCCACCTCACCTCCCAAGGAGCTGGTACCACAGGCGTGCACCACCACATTTGGTTAATTTATGATAATTATTATTATTCATAGAGATGGGAATTTGCCATATTGCCCAAGCTGATCACAAACTCCTGGGCTCAAGCTCTTTTCCTGCCTCGGCCTCCTAAAATGCTAGGATTATAGGCATGAATCACTGTGCCTGGCCCATAGTAAGATTTTTATCTGTACATACATAGAAGTTCATTGAGAGTTGAACCAAACAAAAGAGTTTTCTGTCTCCAAACACAAAATCTTTTTTCCTCTTTCAAATTTAATAGAACAAAAATGTTGACATCCATCAAAATAGGGTGCATCTGTGTATATATACATATGTATACAAATGAATGTGTGTTTATATAATATGAATATAAATATATATCTATGTGTACATGAGACAATGAGGATATGCAAATATAATTGTTATGCTCCCTGACTGGTGAGATTATGTGCAGATTTTAGGAGTTTTGTATTTGTAAAATTTCCTGTGATGAACTTTTATAAATTATATTAAGAAAAATTACACTTACAAATCTATATATTGATGTTAATATATATGTGTTAATGGAATATTTCTGGTTCAGAAAAAAATATCCAGTCGACAAATGGGAACTGTAAATTTTAGGTTTCTGATGAACAAACAATCATAACTGTAAGTAACAGCAGGGTGGGATTCCTAAATTGTATTTAAAAGTAAAGGATTTACCCTCGTTAGTATGCTTGTTTAATAAACTTGCAGCTTAGAGGCTTCTTAATTAAGTATCTCCTGGGTGTACCGGGCTCTGTAAGTTAACAAAATATGGAATTCTCCTTTTCTATATTACATGTTGTTAATGCTAAGATACGTACATTGCAGTGTCTTTGCAAATTTATTTTCAATCTTTTTATAATTGTGTTTCTTTTTTCTGTGAAAGCAGTCATGTTTAGAAGATAAAGTAAAAGAAATGTATATTTGTGTGCCAATATAGATGCATACTTATGTGCATATATAGTACATATAATCCATACATAAAATATATAAACTTTTCTATATACGTGTATGTGATTATATATTTATATACATGTATATGTGTTTGTGTGTGTATCATATAATCTTTAACATCCCTGTGTTTTCCTTCCATGTGTTTCCAAAAACTCATTGAATCCTAATTAAATATGTTAGGGATGCTGAAATGGCTATTGACACGATCATGTCAGTCAGAATATTTAGTTAATGGCTGAGAATAGAACCTCGCAGAAGCCACGGTCTATATGGTTACTTGCCTCCACTCAAGTGTGACATTGCAAACATTAAACATTCAGTGTGTCATGGCCACTGAACAATCAGAATAGACATCTATTCAATCAGAACAAACATCCAACCCTCTTGTATCCCCGCTAAATATCAAACCTTTTCCTAAAGTGTTTGGTTTACATGGCACAAGTCTGATATATATTTTAAAAAAGTTTGGAGTGGTTTTTAACAGTGAAATATAAATCTTGAAGTATTTCTTATTCCATGAGTGGCTGAGCCAATGGACAATGAATATCTAGTCTTTCTCTTTATATTCATTCACAGACTGTCCCTAGACATTAACAAGAGCTCTGTGAGGAATGGAGCAAAAGGAAGACCAGGAAATTCATAGACTTCCAAGCCTATGCAGCTAGTCACACAATAATCAGAAAGTTCTTTTCCTGTTTTGTTTATTTGTTTGTTTTTCCTCTTCCACAGATTTCTTGGCTGGGATTGAATAACCCAGAGGAGTGGGTTATAGAATCATTTCTAGGGGCAAATGGAGGCCAAACTGGCAAACATCATGATGAGCTATATGGTATTGCCTAACAGAATCTTGGTCATTTCTATTTTAAAATTTTCTTTTGTCTATATTTTAATCGTTTTAGAACTGTGATCATAGCAGAAGTGAAATTCGTGCTAGGGGCTTGTGAATCAATATTAATAGGTATGTTAGCTATAGACTTTATTTTTTTCTTTCACTTAAAATTAGCATGTGCTTATTACAAAATGTTATAAAAAGCATCAGGATATAAATAATAATTTTAGTATGTTTACAGGTTTCTTTTAATTTCAAGTGATCAGAAACTTAGAGGCAAAACAGGATTAAACAAAGAAGGAAATTGATTGGATCATATAATTTAAAAGTCTAGGGGAAAGACCTGGCTTCACACATTACTTGATCTGGGGGCACAAAAAGAGTCACAAGCAATGTTTCTTTTCACATTTCTACCCTGCTCTCTGGAGTATTGGCTTAATTACCAGCTAGCTTCTCTCCTTAAGATGGCAGTCATCTTTGGTTTCAATCCCCCTAGGGGCCTGGCACAGGCCTATAATCCCAACGCTTTGGGAGGCCAAGGAGGGAGGATCACTTGATGAAAGGAGTTCAAGACCAGCCTGCCCAACATAGTGAGACCTCATCTCTACAAATTAAAAACTTAGCCAGGTGTAGTGGTACTGCCTCTTGTCTTAGGCACTGAGGATGCTGCACCAAGAGGATTGCTTGAGCCCAGGAGTTCAAGTTTGCACTGAGCTATGATCACACCACTGTACTCCAGCCTGGGCAACAAAGTGAGAACGTGTCTCTAAAAAATAAATGAACAAATAAATCTTCCTAGAATTTGTCTCTTTCAATATTCCCATCAAAAGTGTCACTGCATCTTTTTTGGCACTGACAGGACACCTGACTACTCAGGAAAATGCAGTGCTCTAATTGGTCATGTTTGATTCCAACCCATCCCAAGAGTGGCTAAGGGTAGAGCATACATCCAGAGAGTAAGATCATCGTATGACCATATACCAGGTATGAGTCAATGAGCAGCAATGACACATTTTCTGATTCACATAGACTAAGAAAATTTACCACTCACAGGCCCTTATGAAAAGACCTACAGAAGTGTCTAATTCTGTGAGAAGGAAAGTAAACTCAGGAGGAAGGATGGAATACAAGAAATAACAGCATAAAAATGGATGAGGTATTTCAGCAAGTTTAAGAAACTGCTTCTGGTAGAGAGAGTCTTGTCTCCCACAAAATGTGAAAGTCTTAATTCCCAGAACCTGTGACTACGCTACCTTACACTCAAAAGGAATTTTGCAGATGTGATTAAATTAAGGGTCTTCAGATGGGATTGTCCTCAACTATTTGTGTGAACCCGATGATATCTCAAGGGCTTTTATAAAAGGGACACAGGAGGTCATAGAGGAGGGAAGGTGCTATGCCACTGGCTTTGAAGATTGAGGTAGGAACCATGAGCCAAGGAAAGCAGGTAACCACTAGAAGCCAGAAAAGGCAAGGAGATAATTGTCTCCTGAAGTCCCCAGAAGGAATACAGCCCTGCCAACACCTTCATTTTAGATTTCTGAGTTCCAGAACTGAAAGAGAATAAATTTGTATTGTTTTAAGACACAACGTTTATAGTAATTTATTATAGCAGCATTAGGAACCAACACATTACTGATTGCAAAAACTAAGTTTGCTAGATTGGCAAACAAAAGATGAGATATCCAGTTAAATAATTTTGTTTACGTGAAATTCAAGTTAAACTGGGTATTCTATATTTTGGATGGCAACACTGGTAAAACCCAATTTTTTTGTTTAATTTTGTTTTGTTATGATATTAAGAAAAGTAAATAAAACACACACACACACAGTAACAAAAAATAGTATAAAAAATAGAAAAGGTATTTAGTGGGTAGTTTAAATGACGACAAAAGTGTTGGTAGAATTCTTCCATGGCAAAAGTTACATTTCAAATGGGCTCAAGTGGCTTTGTGTAGAGAAGAGATACTCCTGTCTGAAACAGAAAGGCAGAAAAGGATTATTTCAAATAATGCATAATCTAATGAATGAAGGATGAGAATGATTTAGAGTTTATGTAAGGCAAATTACTTACCCTCTCTTAGTCTTGGTTTTCTCATCTGTAAAATAGAGAGACACATAGTACTTTCATTCCTTATTGGGGTGATCTGGGGATTAATGCAATAATATGTGTATAGTTTTTGAACTAGTATTAAGGAAATAATAATTAGTAAACAAATGTTTGGCTATTATTATCCTGACATCTACCAGTTGGCAGTGACATCATTATGTATATATACACAAAGTACCTTCTTTATTTGGGGCACTGATTATTCCAACTATATTCTAACCAATTATGTTTAATTGATATCTGTTTAGATGATATAGACAACTTTCCCTCAGTCTCGCTGTTCTTCCCACATTTTTTCTTAATTTCATTCTAAGATCATCTTGTATTTTAATGGTACTTTTTACACATCTAACATTAATTTCCATTCTTTCCTCCATTTCATCAATGAAAATCTAAGTTACCTGTGACCAGGATGTACTACATTGCAGACAACTCTATATCTAATTTTTAATTTTATTTAAGAGATGTATTTCCTAGTTTATTGACTAATAAGAATGAAGAGGCCTGGGGCCCAACTCAGTGGTAAGTGATAAGTGGCCATGTTTGATGAGAATGTGACCATAACTCACTTTATGATAGAGAATTAATTTTGCACATATTTTATTCTATCTTTTTATTTTTCCACTTTGGTGTTTCAACATGACACGACTATTTGAAAGGTGAAATAATTTTATTACTTTGCCCACATATTTCCAAAGGATTAGATTAGTGATTTTATTCAAAAATGGAAAGATTAAGCTGAACAAGTGTTAGTATCATAAACTTAGCCTTCAGTTTTCATTTTTTCTCATAAAATATTCAATTATTAATTTTAAGGTGACACTTATAATTTCATTGTAAGTAATATAGTACTTAACATCATGTAATGCAATTTTTAATAATCTGGTAAACTACCTGAGCTTGAACATTTTTCTTGAAGATGCTACTGCTATTTTTTATGATCTTACATATCCACTAACACAGTTTTGCAGAAACAAGGCTGCTGAGCTAAATGTTCACAGCTCCTAAAAATTTATCAAGTTATTTTAACAGCAGTTTTAACTGCCATAAAGTGTATTTGCTGCTAGGAGATTCATTAATTGATGTATCACTCTAATAACTAAAAGTGTAAATATCTAGAATGTATTTTTAATTCAAAACATACAGTGATCTTTCTATTTGAGAGTAATTTTAGAGTAAAAGGGGAATTAATAATTGGCCCAGTTCCCCCATTCTGCAGTTAAAGAAACTGAGTCTCAGTTACATGAAGAAATTTTTATCATTGAAAAGTGCGACTTTTGCTAAGTAATACTTAAGGAGATAGCATTATGATCTATATATTTCTATATGGCTTGACTTTTCTGTTTTGTAGATGGTTAATTTTTTTCAACAAATTTTGATGTCCTAAAATATCCAGCAAAACATGGATATTATTGTGCTCTTCAATCTCTCTCACATATTATTCATATTCCATTTCTCTGATTCCAGATGTAAAAACCAGGAGGTACACCACGAGACATATACAATGGCATTCCAATATTCTTAAATATATGTGAAACTTTCTGCTTCTTAAAATATCTATGCAAATTTCAAATGGAAAAGAAATAGCAATTCCATAGATTTTTATACAGACTTTACAGCCAAATGAATATTTCTATAGCCTTATCTGGCTTTAACTTTTTAAAAAAATATATCGAGACATTAGCAAACTCTGGAATCAGAAAGCTATATTAAAGTGAATTTGAGCCTGTGACTGTATTAAAGTACATTAAAGTGAAGTAAGCCTCTCTTATCAGTAAGGATAATCTAGCATCTGCGACACATAGGAAATGCGTGTGTGTGTATATACTCAACAAATGTGAAATATATGTGCACACAACAAATGCATATGCGCACACACTTTTTAAAAAGTGTAATGGTCCTGCAGAGCCAAGCTGAAGAAGATAGACTTACCTCATACTAATCCATGTTTTCTAGCTTCATGGGGGTTTAGAAAATTTTCTATTGGGCTTTCTTGTCCACTGCATTAAAAGAAAAAAATCAAGGACTAATTTGCTAAGCCACAAAGCCTGGCCCTCCTCAACCCATTATAAGCTGTGGATATGCTGAATATGAAAGAAAGACATGAATGAAAATGTGAACACTTTCTGTGGGTTACAAAATTCTGAATACAATGTAGAATCCTTTCTTGAAATGAATACTCTTTATGTGTGTAGGTGTATAAGCATTACATGCATAATATATATAGTAACATATATGTCTTAATGTGTTCATTTTAAAACAAATTTTTATATAGTCTGGCCGTAATACTTTCTATCATAAACTGTTATTATATTTGACATAATTATGTTGCTCAAGCACCTGGTTAATCTTTATCTTAAATTCTGTATCAGCCAGGTGTCCTCTTAGGGATCACATAAAGATTGGACTTCGCTTAAGTGTGAAATAATCCTGTTGCTTCTATCTGAGAGTGAATGAGCCCAGGATTAGATCAGATAAAACACACTCAAGCTAAAGTGCACAAGGTGGATTATGCAAGAAAAGAGGATTTAGTGAAGAACGGATCCACAACTTTTTGTTAACATAGAGAATGGTGGCTTTTGTAAGAAACATTTGTGGAAACTCAACTGGAGCTTTAAAAGCTGTGTCTTTTGTTGTACATTTCTCTGCATACATTTGCTTTGTAGTTGGGAATGCTAACTTTGGAAGCCATGCTGGGCCAGGACTCATGCTCATTTTGCCTAATGAAAGGCTAAGGATGTACTTTTACTCATACATTCTTGTTTTGTCTTCTTTGAAGTTTATTAAGCTCTCCTGAAAGATGTGAAGTTCATTAGGTTGTTATTATCATGGCCACAAATTAAATATCTGTTCCCTGGGGAGTCATAAGCTTCAAGAATAAGCTATACTTACTATAATATTTACTTAATTACTAACATACTGCTTTTTGTTCTTAATATAAAATCATAGCACACCTATAAAGGTCTATTCAGATATGTTCCGAATTTAATGATATACTTGTTTAATTATTAACATCCTATTGCACCTTCTCAAATTTACAAGTTATACATAGAGAAGACAGTTACAAAAGCAAGACATGTTTTAAGCATTTATGGTAAGGTTTTGCGCTAGAACGTCTAAATATCATAATTCTGTGTTACTCTCTGAGGTAGAGTTTTTCCTATATTAGGAATGTTCCCTCACCTTTGAACTGCCAGGCACAATGCTATAATGACATTATCTGTTTGTGTGTGACATCTTTAGTTCCAACATTTGTTTTAACATAGAAGTCATTCAAAGGGTAAGACAGACTTTCATTGCATCTATTGTTTTTAGTTTGTGATAGAACCAATCAGTGGCAGCTCTAACTTAGAGATTAAATGATTACCATGTCCATTCCACTCAATTATTTCCACCTTATTGAAATTAATTTGTTCAGTATCTATGTATTCTGTGATCAATCAAATGATTATCTATTGGAAGCCAGTGAATACTTCTTATACTTGCTTTTATAGTGAAGCACCATGTGTTAAGCAGTTAATGTGTGTTTCTTTTAATGTGTGTTTCTTTTAATATGTACTTAAAAGTAATAATGAAGTAGATATGATCAAAACACAGGTAATTCTTGAGGCCTGGCTATAAAAATCATTACATACAATAATCAATTTTTGATTGAGAGACTATTTTAATACAACTGAGTTCTCAAAAATAAGAACCATATCTTTTGCAGGAATTCATTTTGCTATAATTTATTCCTAATAATGAAGTATTAAGGCATAGTTACCATTCCACAGAAATATTGCGTGTTTGTGCTAAAAGAGGAGTAGCTCTACTTTCACTGTAATGGGATGTGATTCAAAATGAAAAAAAAAGTCTGTATACATCCAAATATGTCTCCCACCAGACCACCAAATACAGGTAATTTTTACCAAGATGATCTTTTATTATATATGTGTTTGTGAGATTTAACTTAAAATGGCCTAAATTTGAGTAATAAATTTAAAAATTAACACATTAAGCTAGTAGAAGGTGAATGACCATTCAGCATTTATTATTTATTAAATGTAATGTTGTATGATGCAATGAATGAATATAAAAATAGCTCAACTACTATAGGAAAACGTGAGAAAATTTCTATCTGTTGGACTTCAATAAGAGATGGGTGTCTGGCATCCTCATTTGGATAGTGAATGAGTTGGTAACTATTTTTCCAGAAAAATAATGTCATGATTTTGCTTTAACTATGAGAAAATTTGAGCCAAATGCATGGTCCAATTCTCTTACCTCTACAGGAATGCTTAGCATGCATTTTTGCATGCTAATTCCCCTCATAGATTATTTTTTCTTAATCACATTTTCTCTTCAATCAGATTCATTTACTTATTTGTATCATTATTTAGTATCAAAGATATTTGCATAGGTTTCTTTAAATCCTCTGTAGAATAGAACAGAAAATAGATACAAAAACAATCCTATGGATGATTAACTCTTTATTTATTTAATCTTAATTCTTACATTAAAGTTTTTATTATAGTTCACAAAGTGCAATTTGTATGCATACATTTTCTCACTTAATTTTGAAATATATGGTAGTTTAGCCAGAGTTGGATAAGATTTTATATAGCTTTTATATATTGCTGTAAATATTTTATATATTTACAATTGTGATTCTCAAAGAATGATCAATTAATCAAGTAGTACACAGATACTTTGTCAGTTTTGGAAGAAGAATTTATACAATTTTTTTTACACAAGTTTCAGAAATTTGAATTTTAAAAAACTAATTATTATTATTATAAAAATCTTAGCACTTGCTTAATCTTTATTATAGGTTGGGTTGTACTTCAAAGAATGCTCTTAGCAGTTTATCTCAGCTGCATGACAGCTTATGTTAGGTACCTTTTTATATCACTGTATATTATATTTTACATGCATTAAATCTGTATGTTTTATATAATTAGTAGGTTGTTAGTTCCCTTTAAAATTTTTAATTTCTAATGGCTCAAAAGTGGTCCATTGAAGATCCAAAGTCTTGAAAATTAAATGACTGTATTTAAAATAATGCCATAGTTTTAGATATTGAACAATTCTCCAATGAAATTATAAAATGTAAATTTATATGTGTTGGAATAAGAGACAATATCATGATGTCTTTGAAGAAAACTGGGACTGCAAATTGTAACATGCAATATCAGAAAACTTGGTTTTATTTGACCAACTAGGGGCCATCCTAATCTTCAGGATATTGTCTGTTATAAAGTATGATCTAATAGCAACACAAAGCTATGAAGACTAATGCCATTGTCAAATATCACAATAACCTCACTTGTAAAATAATCAGATTTTTTTCAGAACAATCACAAAATTATGATTTTTCAGTATGACATTGATGAACTGTTCTGCTAAAATAGAAGATGACCAAAATTTACTATTTTCCTTATAGCAAAACCATTTGCAAGTCACACATTGTCAGAAGCATATAAAACCATCTGCAAAGAGACAAATAGTATGCTCAGAAGCTAACAAGGCAAGCTGTTGGCAAAACTCTTTTATTGAATGCCTTTTTTTTGCTTTTGTTTATCAATAGCACACAATAAGAAGAGAAATACATTGTGTGGGCAAGAAAAGAGATTTTTGACTTATATTTGGATGAAATCTCTAGTTAAAAAGTGAGAATCGGCCGGGCGCGGTGGCTCACGCCTGTAATCCCAGCACTTTGGGAGGCCGAGGCGGGCGGATCACGAGGTCAGGAGATCGAGACCATCCCGGCTAAAACGGTGAAACCCCGTCTCTACTAAAAATACAAAAAATTAGCCGGGCGTAGTGGCGGGCGCCTGTAGTCCCAGCTACTTGGGAGGCTGAGGCAGGAGAATGGCGTGAACCCGGGAGGCGGAGCTTGCAGTGAGCCGAGATCCCGCCACTGCACTCCAGCCTGGGCGACAGAGCGAGACTCCGTCTCAAAAAAAAAAAAAAAAAAAAAAAAAAAAAAAGTGAGAATCTACTCTTAATATATGTTCAAGAAATTATATATACTCAATAAGTTACTATCATATTAATCTTTGAAGACCTAAATTACAGAAGAAACATACTTATTTTATGAGCCATGTTGTAGATTGGAGAAAATGCTCCAGGCTCATTTCTGAGTGAGCACAAGCAATGTGTGCATGGGGAAAGGTATTGCTGAATGAATTAAAATGGCACTGCCAATCCACACACTGCTTTGCCCACATACTGCTTTATTCACACAGACCAGTTGGTGGTTAACATAATGCCTTCTGACTTTGATTTAGTGCTGAAGGAAATGGTGAAAATTGTGGTCGAATGATGCTAAACATTTGAGAAACTGTGTTAAATGTCAGGCTCTTATACTGGCTTACTAGAATTATTGTCAGAAACTTTCTAATTACTTTTTGAAATCATTCTTGTGTCACTCTAATCTAAGGGTTGGCAAACCTACTATGTAAAGGATTCAATAGTAAACACTTTTAGCTTTACAGGACATATGGTCTCTGTTGCAACTACTCAACTCTGTCATTGTAGGAGGAAAGCAGCCATAAACAATATGTAAACAATAAGTGTGGCTGTACTTGGACAACAATTTATTTACACAAAAACAAGTAGTGGGCTGGATTTGGCCTATGAACTATAATTTGCTGACTCCTGCTAATCCATATCATACTTACTGCAGAGTGATTAATGTAGTGAGCATAGCACATCTTTACTTAAAAGCCTTCAAGCATCCTTTATTTTGTCCATTATAAGGCCTAAGTTCTTTTGTATGGTATTCAAGATCCTTCTTTATTTGACTCCTCTCTCCCTCTTCAATCTCATCTTTTCCTGTTCTTCCACATGCCCTTTACTGAATCAATCAAACTGTTTGTAATTTTTTCAGTGTGCCATGTTCTTTAGGCCTCTGTGCCTTAAAAGACTTGCAGAGTCTGAGGCAGCCTTGACCATAAAACTTAACAGTTGTACTGTTATTATTTGTTCATGTCTGGCTCCTGAATTATAGTGTGAGCCCCTTAGGGGACTAAAGAACATTATATTTATTTTTGTAAAGATAGTGCCTAGTATAATGCTTGGCCAATCCTAGATACTCAATAAATGGTTGTTGAAAAATAGTTGAGCAATTGAAGCTCATCCAACAATGAATGGATTAACTCTGAAAGTAGTAAATTATCTACTTAAGTAAAAATTGAGGCAGAAATCTGAAGACTAACCACATGGAAAAGAAGTTTTAGAGTACACATTAAACTTCAGTAAAGTTATTTATACTTTAAACTGAATTATTTTTAAAAGTCCAGTTGCATTAGAGTTGGTGGTTTCTTAATTCAAATTTAACTGATTACTTGACACACTTGCATTTTCTAAACTTTTTTTGCATTTTTAATTAAAATGCTAGTCATCATTTATATAGTGGGATTTATTAAAATATTCAAATTGAATGTGTTTTTCTTCCATACACAATCACTCAAGAGATAATTTTTGTAAAGTTTGAAAAAGGAAAAAAAATGTGTCTGGTTTCTGTTTCTAATGAGGATAGGATAGCAGGCACTGGATTTACCATTCCACCCAAAATAACTAAAAAACTGGACAATATATACATAAAAATGTTTTCAAAACATTGGATATTGGAAAACAGGGAACAATAATTTGTCTCTGAGAAATGAAAAACAAGTAAGTCAAGCATCACGACTTGCTATCTGGAAAATTCTTCCAGATTGCAGTGTGGAAAGTAGGAACACAGAGGGAGTTGGGACTCTCCCTGACTTCACAAGAGCTTGCTGGGAGTCCAGGAATTTCACAGCTACCTTAGGTGAGAAGACAGCTGTACATAGAGGGAGCTCCAGATATCTGCAGAGACTGTTCTTGAGGATTTCACTGAATACTGATCAGTACTTGTGTGTAAAGAAATGACCTGAGATGAGGGAAAGAATTACCCCAAAGAATTGGAGGAAACAATTCACAGAGATCACAAAGAAATGGAAATGATGTCCATGCCTATCAGAATTATGGGTGAAAAACTCAAAATTCACAGGGAAATAGGTGGAGTATTGAGAAGAGTTTGGCTTCAACTGTGAGCCTAAACTTAGCCCTAAACTTAACACTGTACTGGTCCTGTCTAATAAAGTTCAAAGAAAACCTGCAAGAATGAAACTATTTCTGACTAACTTGACTACTTCTCAGAATAAATCTTAACAAAAAGGTAATATTTACAATATCTGGCAAATAATAAAAATTATCAGTTATGGACGAAGCAGAGATGACCCATATTCAGGAGAAAAATCAATAAATTGAAATTAATGCAGAATTGACACAGAGAGTAGAATTAGTAGATAAAAACATTAAATCAATTGTTATAACTGAATTCTATATATTCAAACTGGTAGAAACATTTAAAGGGTTATGTGGAGAGACTGAAGAAATAAACAAGGCCTCAACTGATCTTCTAGGGATAAAAACCATAATGTCAGAGATGAAATCTACATTGAATAGGATTAGACACTACAGAGGAAAATATTGAACTTGAAGACATAACCACAGAAACTACTCAAAAATGAAGCACAGAAAGAAAAAAGACAGAACAATAAAACATGTTAAAAAGTTGGTGAGAAGTAACTTCAAGGGTCCTAATATACATGTAAATGAAGTGCTTGAAGAAAAGGAGAGGGAAAGAAAAGCAGGAAAAAAATTAGAGACATTAATGGCAGAAATTTTTCCAAATTTGGTGAAAACTATAAACACATAAGTCCAAAAAGCCCAATGAATCTTAAGTACAAGAAACAAGAAGAAAACTATATGAAACTACCTTATAACCATATTGCTTAAAACTAGCAATAAAAAATTTTAAAAGCAGAGAGTAAAAAGACACATGATATACAAAGGAACAAAGACAGATATGACAGTAGATGTTTCTCCATTGCTTTCTGTCTTACATTGTTTTAACTTGCAACAATGTAAGGCAGAAAACAATGGAGAAACATCTTCAACGTGCTGAAAGAAAAAACAAAAAGAAAACAAAATTGTAGACTTAGAATCTTTGCCTATTTAAACTATCTTTCAAAAATAAAGTTGAGTTTAGTGGTTTCTCAAAAAGTTAAACATATTTACCAAGACCCAGATATTCCACTCTTGGGTATACACCCCAAATAATTGGAAACTGCTGGGATTCAAACAGATACTTGTACAGCAATGTTAATAGCAGCATTTTTCAACACAGCCAAAATGTGAAAACAACCCAAGTCTCCATGAACAAATGAATGGCTAAACAAAATGTGTTATATACATGCAGTGGAATATTATTCAGCCATAAAAATGAGTAGAATTCTGATACATGCCATGACATGGATGAAACTTGAAAACATTATGATGAGTGAAATTAGTCAGACACAAAAGAACAAATATTATTTAGTTCCACTTATATGAAATATCTAGAATAGGAAAATTCGTAGAGCCAGAAATAGATTGAAGATTACCAGAGGCTGAGAAGAGGGGGCTTAGAGAGTTACTGTTTAATGGGTAAAAGGTTTCTGTTTGGTGTGATAAAAAAAACTTGGAAATGGGTAGTGGTGATAGTTGTGTAACATTGTTAATTTAATTAATTCAAATTTAACTTAAAAATAAAGGAAATTTTATGTTATATATATTACCCCAATAAAAATATTTTAAAACGTCATTGTTTAAAGAAATCCCCAAAGTTGTTTAAAATACTGTTTGGCAAACAGTGTGTATCAAAAAATGGAACAAACTACACCAAGCTGAGATTAAAGATTTTCTAAGACATACTAAAGCTGAAAGAGACCCTCTCCAGAAAACCTGCACTACAAAAAATGTTAAGGGAAATATGTTAGGCAGAAGGAAAATCATACCAGATAGAAATATGAATCTGGCTGGGAATGGTGGCTCATCTTTGTAAATCCCAGCACTTTGAGAGGCTGAGGTGGGAGGATCGCTTGAGCCCAGAAGTTCAAGACCAGCCTTGACAACATAGTGACACCCTGTCTCTACAAAAATAAATAAATACATAAATAAATAAGCCATGCATGGTGGCACACTCCTGTAGTCCCAGATATTCCACAGGCCGAGGCAGTGAGCTATGATCGCACCTCTGCCCTTTAGCCTGGGTGTCAGAGAGTGACAGAGTGAGACAGTGCCTCAAAACAAACAAATGAAATAAACAAACAAAAAAACCAGAAACTGAGAGGGCCAAAATGGTAACTACATGGGTAAATATAAATACTTTTTATCATTATTTAAATTATTTTCAAGATAACTTTAAGTGGCCGGGCTTAGTGGCTTATGTCTGTAATCCCAGCATTTTGGGAGCCCAAGGCTGGCAGATCACTTGAGCCCAGGAGTTGGAGACCAGCCAGGGCAACACAGTGAAATCTGTCTCTACAAAAACTACAAAAGTTATCTGGTTTGGTGACTTGTGCCTGTAGTCCCAGCTACTTGGGAGGCTGAGGTAGGAGAATCTCTTCAGCCTGGGAGGTTGAGGCTGCAGCGAGCTGTGATGGCATCACTGCACTCCATCCTGGGCAACAGAGCAAGACCCTGTCTCAAAAAGAAAAATTCTTTTAATGAATAACTTTAAGGAAAACATAATAAAGTATTTCCAGGCTTGTGACATATGTAGAAGCAATACTTATTACAGTAGTCTACCAAGAAATGTAAAAATACTTATTTTGTAAAATACTTTGTAAAAATATGTATTACAAAGTTTACAAAGGGAGAAATGGAGAAATACTGTTGCAAGGTTCTCAAAGAATACATAAAATAGTATTATATCACTTGAAAGTGTACCATAATAATTTAAAGATGTACACTACAAACCCTAAATTTACCACTAAATAACAAAGTTATAGCTAATGAACCATTGAAAGACATATAAGAATCATAAAAATAATAAAAAAGAAGCTACCCCAATAAAGGTAGAAAAATTAAAGAACATAGAGCATGAAAAGAAAATAGTAATTTTCTCAATAATCATCACATTAAAGGGCAGAGATTGTCAGATTATATTAAAAGAGCCATATACAACTATGTCTTGCCTATAAGAAAGTTACTTTAAATACTAAACACAAATAAATTATAAATAAAAACATGCTAAAAAATACACCCTGCTAAAGCAATAAAAATTAAACTAGAGTGATTATATTAAGATCAACCAAGTACATTTTGGAGCAAAGAATATTACCAGGGATTAAAGAGGAACTTTCATAATAACAAAGGGATCAATTCTTCAAGAGGACATAACAATCCAAAATGTTAATGCATCTAATAGTAGAGCTCCAGATACATGAAGTAAGTAGACAGAAAATTATGTAGGATAAGGAAAATATGAAAAACACTATCAACCAGCTTACCTTAATTGACACTAATACAACACTCCCTCCCTACCCCCAACACACTAATATGTCTTTTAAATACATATGAAACACTTCCCAAGATAGATTTAAGTTATACAAAGTATGCTGTCTTTCTCAATGGAACTAAATTGTAAGTCAGTAATAGGAAGATATCTGGAAAAACTCCCAAATATGTAGAAACTAAAGAGCATACTTTAAAATAAATTATACAACCAAAAAATTAGAAAAATGTTGAACTGAATTAAAATGAAAACACAGTATATCAAAATACTGCAGTGAAGCTAAATGTAGATTTATAGTACTAAACACCTATTATCGAAAATAAGAAATCTCTCAAATTGATAACCTTGACTTCTACCTTGCAAAATAGAAAAAGATCAAATGAAACAAAAAAAGCACAAGAAAAGAAAAATATACATCAAAGAGGAAATCAATGAAATTGATAACAATCAATGGAGATAATAAATAAAATGAAAAACTGCTTTTCTTAGATAATAAAATTTATAAATCCTCCAAAAAAGAGAGAAGACACAAATTAACAATATCAAGAACGAAAGTGGAGACATTACCAAAGATTCTAAAGATATTAAAATGATAATAAGAGAAAATTATGAACAACTTTATCCAATAAGTTTGACAATTTAGATTAAATAAATGCCTTCCTTGAAAGAGAAACTATAAAACTATCAAGGATCACTCAAAAAGTAAATAACGTGATAGCCTTATATCAGTTTTTAAAATTTTAGAAATTGAATTTATAGTTAAACCTGTTTACAAAGAAAACTCCAGGACCAGATGGATTCACTGGAAAGTGTTCCAAACATTTAAGGAAGAAATAACATCAATTATACACAACTCTTCTAGAAAACTGAAGAGGAGGGAATATTTCCCTACTCATTTTATGAGACTGACATTTCTCTGACACTAGAACTAGAAAAACATTTATAAGAAAAAAAACATACTTACCAATGTCCTTTATTGATAGAGATTTTTAAAAATCTTAACACAACTTGAGGAAATGGAATTCAACAATGTATGAAAAGATTTACTATACCATACCAATTGGGATTTATTCAAGGAATGGTTGAATATTCAAAATTCAATCAATATAGTTCACCATATTAACAGACAGAACCATAAGAAAACCATATAATCATCTTAATAGGCACACAGAAAGTATTTGACATAACACACATTTATTCCAAATTAAAAATAAAGACTTCCAGCAAAGCAGAAATGAAAGATATAGTAGTTCATTTTGCATTGCTATAAAGGAATACCTGAGACTGGGCAATTTACAAAGAAAAGAGGTTTATTTGGCTCATGATTCTGCAGGTTGTACAAGCATGAAACCTGCATCGGCTTGGTGTCTGGTGAAGCCTCAGGAAGCTATTATTTATGGTGGGAGGTGAAGGGGAAGCAGGAATTTGACACAGCAAGAAAGGGACCAAGAGAGAAAGAATGAGGTACCAGGCCTTTTTAAACAATTAGTTCTTCTGTAAAGTAATAGAGTGAGAATTCACAGGGGATGACACCAAGCCATTCATGAGGAATCCACCCCCATGACTCAAACCCTTTCCACTAGGCCCCCATCTCCAACATTCGGGATCACATTTCAACCTGAGATTTGGAAAAGACAAAGATCCAAACTATAACCTTCTGTCCCTGGCCCCCCAAATCTCATGTTCTCACATTGCAAAATGTAATTATTCCTTCCCGATAGTTCCCAAAAGTCTCAACTCATTCTGGTATCAACTCAGAAGTCCAAAGTTCAAAGCCTCATTTGAGACTCAAGGAACTATGAGTCCTCACCTATGAACATGTAAAATCAAACCTAAGTTATTTACTTCTGAGATACAATGGTAGTACAGGCATTGGGTAAACATTTCCATTCCAAAAGGAAGAAATCAGCCAAAAGAAAGGGGTAATAGGCTCCACACAAGTCCAAAACCCAGCAGGGAAGACATTAAACCTTAAAGCTTTGGCATTACCCTTACCTCCATGATCTGCATCCTGGGCACGCTGGTGCCAGGGCTGGGATCCCAAGGCCTTGAGCAGCTTCACTCCTGTTGCTTTTCTGGGTGCAGTCCATGTGGTTGCTGTCAAGGACTGGAATCACTTGTGGTGTTTCTAGGCTAAGGGTGCAAGCTGCAGGTGTCTCTACCATTCTAGGGTCTGGAAGGCGACAGCCCCATTCCCACAGCTCCACTAGGCAGTGCCCTACTGAGGTCTCTGTGTGGAGGCTCCAGCCTCACATTTCCCCTCAACACTGTAGTAGAAGCTCTTTGTTGGGACTCCACTCCTGTGGCATGCTTCTGCTTAGGCACCTAGGCTTTCCCAAACTTCATCTGAAATCTATGTGGAAGCTGGCAAGCCTCCTTTACTCTTGCATTCTGTACACCTGCAGGCTTAACACCACATGGAAGCCACCAAGGCTTATGGTGGCT
The DNA here is from genome assembly GCF_000001405.40 of Homo sapiens. NCBI lineage: Eukaryota > Metazoa > Chordata > Mammalia > Primates > Hominidae > Homo > Homo sapiens. Next base: position 147,858,453 of record NC_000003.12, read on the forward strand.
TGAGCTCTCCAAAGTGGCAGCCCAAGCTATACTTTGGGCCCTTTGAGCCGCAGCTGGAGCTGGGGCAGTCCAGATGCAGGGAGCAGCTTCTTGAAGTAGCACAGGCCAGTGGCATCCCAGGGCTTGCCCATTCTTTCTTCCTAAGCTTCTGTCTGGGCCCATTATGGGAGGGATTGTCCCAGAGGCTTCTGAAATGTCTTTGAAGCCTTTTCTCCATTGGCTTGGATATTAGCACCTGGCTTTCTTTCAGTCACGCAAGTTTCTCTAGCAGTGTTTGTTCCGTAGTCCATTTGTATTCCACTCCTGATGATGCGTTTGTCCTTCTCTGCCACACAGGATGGCTGCAATTATTTTAAATTGTTATGCACTGCTTCTCTTTTAATTATATGTTCCAACTTTAAGTCATTCCTGTGGTCTCACATCTGATGAGGGCTATTAGAAGCAAACATGTTATCTCTTGAACACTTTGCTACTTAGAAATTTCTTCCACCGGGTACTCTAGGCCATCAATCTTAAGTTCAACTTTCCACAAATCTCTAGGGCATGAATACAATGTAGCCAAGCTTTTTGCTAAGGCATAACAAGGGTTACCTTTACTTCATTTTCCAATAACTTCCTCATTTCCATCTGAGACTTCATAAGCCTAGCCTTCATTGTCCATATTTCTATCAGCATTTTGGACATAACCATTTAAGCAACCTCTAAGAAGTTTCAAACTTCCTCTCATCTTCCTGTTTTCTTCTGAGCCCTCCAAACTCTTCCAACCTCTGCCTGTTACCTAGTTCTGAAGTTGCTTTCATATTTTCAAGTATCTTTATAGCCATACCAAACTCCTGGTACCAATTTTCTATATTAGTCCAATTTCCATTGCTATAAAGGAATATCTGAGACTAAGTAATTTATAAAGTGTTTTTTGTTTTTTTTTTTTTTGGCGGGGGTGCTTATGTTTCTGTAGGCTGTAGAAGCATGAAACCAGCATCTTCTCAGTGTCTGGTGGGGCCTCAGGAAGCTATCACTCATGGTGGAAAGTGAAGAGGGAGCAGGCATATCACACAGAAAGACAGAACATGAGAGAGAAGAGGAGGTCCCAGGCTCTTTTCAATGAGTTCTTGTGTGAACTAATACAGTGATAATTCACCCATCACTCAGGGGATGGCACCAAGCCATCTATGTGGAATCTGTCCCCATGGCCCAAACCTCTTCCAGTAGGCGCAGCCTCCAACATTAGGGATCACATTTCAACGTGAGATTTTGAGAGGACAAACATCCAAACTATATCAGAAATAAACTTCCTCAACCTGATAAAGAAAATCTACACAAAAACCTACATTTAACATTATACTTAATGGTGAAAGGTCAAATGCTTTTTACCTAAAGTAAAGAACAAGTCAAGCATGTCCACTTTTACCAATTTTCTTTACAATTGTACTTGACCCACAGCAGTAAGTCAAGAAAAAAATCTAAAAGTACCCAGGTTGGAAAGGAAAAAACAAAACTGTAATTATTCATATATTGTATGATCAACTGTGTAGAAACTCTGATGGAATCTATAATACAAGCTACTGGAAGTAATAAGTTAGTACAGCAAGGTTAAGAGATACAAGACAGATATAAAAATTAATTTAACTTCTGCATACTACCAACAAAAGTTGAGATAGAAAGAATAATGTCATTTACAATAGCATCAAAAAATACTCAGTACTCAGGGATATGTCCGGGCGTGATGGCTCACGCCTGTAATCCCAGCACTTTCAGAGGCTGAGGTGGGCAGATCATGAGGTCAGGAGATCAAGACCATCCTGGCTAACACGGTGAAACCCCGTCTCTACTAAAAATACAAAAAATTAGCCTGGCATGGTGGCAGGCGCCTGTAGTCCCAGCTACTCAGGAGGCTGAGGCAGGAGAATGGCATGAACCCGGGAGGTGGAACTTGCAGTGAGCCGAGATCGCGCCACTGCACTCTAGCCTGGGTGACAGAGTGTGACACCGTCTCAAAAAAAAAAAAAAATACTCAGGAATAAATCTAACAAAGAGCTGAAGAAACCTATGTTCACTGAAAGCCACAAATTAGGCTAATTGTAATTAAAGATAGCTTAAATAAATGAAAAGTTATATTATGTTTATGAAGCAGAATACTCAGTAGTTAATAAGTTAATTTTTTCCGTATCTAGATTTACCAAAATATCAATGAAAAATCCCAGCATGAATATCTTGAAGAACTTGACAAGCTGATACTAAAATTCATATATAAATGGAAAGAATTTAGAATAGGGAAAACAACTGTTTAAAAAAAGTAAATTTGGAGTACTAACACTACCTGATTTTGAGGCTTGTTATACAGCTACAGATATTAAGCTTTTATGACAACATTAAAGTAGACAAATATATAAATGTAACAAAAAAGAGAGTCCAAAAATATCCCCACACATGTATGGTCAATTGGTGGTGCAAAAGCAATTCAGTAGAGAAAGGATTATCTTTTAACTAAGCTGAAACAATTGTATTTCCATAAATAAAAATGGAACTCAAATTCATATTTTATATAATATGGAAAGTTTAACTCAAAATTACTAATAGACCTAAATGCATAATTTAAAATTATAAAACATCTAGGAGAAGAAAAGAGAATACAAGTTGAATATATCTTATCTGAAATACTTGGGACCAAAAGTATTTTGGATTTAAATCGTTTTCAGATTTTGGATATTTGCGTATGCATAATAAGTTGCCTTAGATGAGACCCAAGTCTAAATGTGAAATACATTTATTTTTATTATTTACTTATTTATTTTTCTTAGAGACAGAGTCTTACTCTGTTGCCTAGGCTGGAGTTCAGTGGTGCAACCTCAGCCTCCTGAGTAGCCAGGATTACAGGCATCTGCTTTCATGCCTAGATAATTTTTTTATTACTATTAATTTTTGTAGAGACAGAGTCTCACTATGTTGACCAGGCTGGTCTTAAACTCCTGGCCTCAGGCAACCTTTTCCTCTTGGCCTCCCAAAGTGCTGGCATCACAGGTATGAGCCACTGCACCTGACCAAACACATTTGTTTCATATACATCTTATACACATAGCTAGAGTGTAATTTTAAACAATATTTTAAATAATTTTTTGCACGAAACAAAGTTTGTGTACATGAGGTCACATATGGAATTTTCCACTTGTGTCATCATGTTAGCACCTCGATAAAATAGCATTACATGTACATTCACCAGCATGTTTAAAATTAAAGGAATAATCACACCATGTATTGGTGTAAGTGTGGAGAAACTGGAACTCTCATTCACTGCTAATAGGAATATAAAATGGCATAACCACTGTGTGCCAACCACATCTTAGAAATTTCTTAAAAGTTTAAACATACATCTGCTATATGACCCACCTTTCCATTCACATGTATTTACCTCCCCTCCAATGAAAACATGTGTGGATACAAAGACTTATACATGAATATTCATATCAGCTTTTTCTGGAGTAACCACACATTGGGAAAAAGAAGTGTCCACCAACAGGTAAAAGAGCTTGGCAGATGACAATGTGGTGTGAGGCTATTTGGAAGGCTGAGGTGGGAAGATCACTGGAACTTAGGAGTTTGAGGCAATAGTGAGCTATGATCACACCACTGCACTCCAGCTTGCATCACAGAGAGGGATCTTGTCTCTAAAAAGAAAACGACAACAACAACAACGAAAATACAGGTGAAAGGATAAGCAAGTTGGGACTTATCCATACAGTGAAATATTTTATAGTAATAAAAAGGAATGAACTATTGATATCATCAACATGAATGAGTTTCAAAATAATTAAAAACAGGAAATACTGTTTGGTTCCTGTGGAATCCTGATAAGTAAGCAACAGTGAGGAAGGGGTCCCAGATGGAGGAGGGTCCCAGGTAGGGGAGAACAATGAACAATTGTTCTGAGAAATGGCTAATCACAAACAACTGGCACAACCACTTTGCTCTGCCACATAGCCCCAGCAGCACAAACTCATTCCGCATTAGCCTCCTCCAGCACAACTCTATAAAACTTTCCTCCAGCCCCCATCTCTTGTCAGACAGGTCCTTCTCTGCTGTGCTGTCTATTGCACTCTGTGTATTAGTCTGTTCTCACACTGCTATAAAGAAATAGCTAAGACTGGGTAATGTATAAAGGAAAGAGGTTTAATTGACTCACAGTTCCACATGGCTGGGGAGGCATCAGGAAACTTACAATCATGGCAGAAGATGAAGGGGAAGCAAGCACCTTCTTCACATGGTAGCAGGAGAAAGAAGAGTGAGCAGAGGAAATGTCAGATGCTTATGAAACCATCAGATCTTGTGAGAACTCACTCACTATCACAAGAACAGCATGGGGCAACTACCCCCATGATTCAGTCACCTCCCACCAGGTGTCTTCCTCAACACCCGGAGATTATAATTCAAGATGAGATTTACGTGAGGACACAAAGCCAAACCATATCACCCTTGCAACATATTTTCATACTTTCTCTAATAAATCTGCCTTTCTTTACCTGAAACTGACCTGGTAAATTATTTACCACTGATGAGACCCGGCCCAGCTAGTAGCATCGGCAACATTTTGGTGGCCTGCTGGGGGACTTCTTCCCTGCTTTGGTCTCCTCCAACTCCAAATTTTAAGTGGACAGCATCCAAGCCTGAAGACAAATAAAGGTCCAGGCCACTCCTTGGTGGACCAGAAGGCCCTGGTGGAAAGATGCCTGATAACTACTGCCCCATTGAGTGAGAGTTCAGAATTTGCTTTCATTTTTAGTTTTCCAGTAGACAAATTCTAGTACCCCTTTGGCAATTGTTAGCAACTGGCCAGGGCCACTTGCTAGTGTAGCCTGAAGGCCAGGGGGTGAAAAAGTTTGGCTGCCTTGCCTGGAAGGGAGAAAGGCTCTCTCCTATTCTTTCTGGTCAAAAGTCCCCTGTCCCTAGGTATAGTGCAATTGGCAGTGGAAGCTTAATCAGGGCAAATCTACACACGTTTTGGGGGACTCAGAACCCCCCTTTCTCACTCTAAACTCTCCCAGAAAGACAGTCAGCCATCCTGCTCTGGATGTCTTAAGCCAGGTGATCCCAAACAGCATGATCTTTCCTCATGCTGAGGGAAGGTGATGAGTCTTCCCTCAGACTTCTCCCCTCATACCTGGATTGAGCACCCAGCATACTTTGTACCTGGACTGACCTGGTGTCTCTCACCCTCTGTTCATCTAGAGTAAGGTCCTAGTACTGGGAGATCCTTTCCAACAGGTGGGATGTCTCTTCAGAAAGTGCATCTCAAAGTTGCTCAGTGGACTATAGTGGAGCCCTCTTCCTTCAGTTAGAAGCCTTGAGAAAAATTGACAGGGCTAAGGAGAAAAAAAAACGTAGGGACAAGAGGCAGGCTCAATTGCTGGCTGCTTCACAAATGTCCAGCCCACTCCAGCTTGCCCTAAGGACACTCATCCAGGTAACTGACACAGGTTCAGACAGACACTGGAAGGCAAACTGTACCAATAGGACAAATGGGAAAAAGCCCTGCACAGCTAGCCTTATCTGCCACAAGCTCAGCCACTGGAAATGGAACTGCCCTGAGAACCAAAGGGTCCCTGAGACAGAATCCCAATCCCTCATGGCCTTGAGCTGAAGGGGCTTTCTGCTCTACTGGCTTCCAAATCAAACATTGTCATCAATATGAGAAAGCCAAGGTCAATACAGGAGGTAACAAGTAAGATTATAAATTTTCCTTTGGTCTCAAGAGGTGCCTACTCTGTACTGATTACCTTCTCTGAGTAACTATCCTCCAAATCCTGTCTAATAATGGAGGCAAATGGCACCCCTCCCTCTAAAAGAAAACATTCACACCCTTTTATATTACTTAAGGAACCAATTACCATTCTCCCACCAGTTCCTGGTAATGTCTAAGTACCCCACACACCTTTGGGGCAAAAATATAATTTCCAAGATGGGTGCCTGCTTAATATTCACCCAACATCTGAATTCATTTTTCCTTCTAATAGCCTTATTTCTCCTGGGAAAGCTACCTAAATCTTTAATGAATAACTTCAACCTAGATAGTCTTACCTCAAGGGATTAAAATAGGCCACACTTATTCAGACAAGCCTAGCAATAAATCAGAGCAATCTTCTGATGGGGGATAACTTCTACAATATGTATAAAATTTTATTTGCTTCCCCTTTACAGGGCTCACACAGCAACATGCAATACAAACTTTAACTTCCTAACAAAAGGAAGATAATTTTTGTCTAATTCAGAGGTTATTTTAAAGTTATATATAAAAACAAGGTAAAAGAAACCAGGAAATAAGAGAGACATAAAGAAGGTTATAAACATAAAGAGCTATTTTTAGAAAGGAAGGTTATAAAAAAGAGATTTTACATGAGAAAGGATCTTGTATGGTAAGTTCTTGTCCTAAAGTAAAATGACTAGTTGTTTAAGAAAGAGAGATGTTTAGGACAAGTCAGAAAATCCAAGCATGTCATGGATGGTCTGTGTAAGTAATGAGAAAATTCATGGAAGGAAATTTGTAAAAGGAGTATTGTACACAATTAAGGTATAATATTTTCTCTAAAACTGGTTCCACATTCTGTGTCTAATTAAATTCAAACACTTTTTCACCAAGTTTCACTTCCAGGTTATCTAAATGGGTTTCCAATAAAGAGAAATAGTCACACTGCAAAAGGTTTTTCTTTGCCTTTTCAGTAACTGGCTTAAGAAACAAAATTTTACTTTCTATAATTCAGCAGTTTCACCTTCAAAAGATGCTGTGAACAGGATATAAGTCTCTTCCCAGTGATGCCTGCTACCTTTACAAATCTCTCCTGGATTCACCTGGACACCAGTTTTGCCTTGACATGCTCCTCTGTCTCTGATGAGTCCTTTCCTCCAAGAAGATCCAATATCCTAAGTCCCACAATCTGAGACAGTGACGCACAGGACCTCCTGACAGACCAACACTCTTAGGTAGGGTCAACTCTATGGTCCAGGCCAGCAGGAAGTAGTTGGAAGATGAGACCTTTTCCCTGATGCAAAAGATTTGTCATTGTTGTTTTGTCAGAGGAGGAATGTGTTATTCTAATAAGTAAGTAACAATGAGGAAGGGGCCCCAGGTGAAGAAGGGCTACTGATGGGGGAGGGCTACAGGTGGGGGAGAAAGATGAACAATTATTCTGAAAAATGGCTAAATCACATGCATCCCTCTGACACAACTACATTGCTCTGCATGTAGCCCCCTCCAGCATGACCTTATAAAACTTCCCTCCAGACCCCACCTCTTAGCAGAGAGCTCCTTCTCTGCTGTGCTGCCTATTGCACCCTTGCAATGTACTTTCATACTTTCTCTTAAAAACCTGCCTTTTTTTTACCTACAACTGTCTTGGTAAATTCCTTTATTAGCCATGACTCCAGCCCCAGCTAATTGCACCCACAACAGTTCCACTTATATAAAAATCTTAAAAATGCAAACTAATTTATTGTAACAGGAAGCCAATCAGTTGCTGCCTGTGTATCATGTTGGCATGGAAAGGTGGAAGGGAGAAATTACCAAAGGGCAAGAGAAAATTTGGGGGGAATGAGAGATAAGTTAATTATTTTGATTGTGGTATTGGTTTTATGGGTGTATACATATGATAAAACTTTTCAAAGACTATTATATAAATATGCACATTTTACCATATGTCTGGTATATCTTTAAAAAGCAATTAAAATAAAAGAGAAAAACAGTCCTTGCTCTCAAGGAGCTTTCTTTTTTTCCCCCCCAGAGACAACAACTGCTCTGTTGCCCAGGTGGAGAGCAATGCAAGATCCTAGCTTACTGCATCCTCAAGCTCCAAGGGATACTTCCCACTTCAGCCTCCTGAGTAGCTGCAGCTGCAAACACACACCCCCACACTTAGTTAATACTTTCATTTTTTGTAAAGACGGGGTCTTGCAATGTTGCCCAGCCTGGTCTTGAATTCCTGGCTTCAAGCTGTCCTCACACCTTAGCCTCCTAAAGCACTGGGATAATGGTCACTACTTACAGCCTCAAGGAGCTTTCACTGTTGACTCTTTTGGGAGGGTTACATGGTTCTACAACAGCTTTTTAGCAAATACATTCCAATTTAAATACTATTGCATTTTATAGGGTAAATAAAAGCATTTGTCAATTTAACAAATAGAAATTCATTTTTCTTTATTTATGTACACAATCTGCCAGACTCTTTTGTATTTAGTATTCCTAATGAAAACATTGTTAGCCTTCTAAGAATCACAATGTGTATAAACATGATGTCTAAGAAATAATGCCCTGAGGCAGATTCTGACCTTTCTCTGGTAGATAAAATTCTATATGGCTTATGTTCTATGAATTTCACAGCCAGTATAAGAATTAGCCACTTGGGAATTTACTACAGAATCAAATGTGACATCATAGTGTGTTTAAATCAAGAAGTAGTTTATTTTTCAACTTCATAAGTCTTCCGAGTGAAAGATAAGTTTTATTTGAGTGTTATGGCTTTTATATGCTGTGTAGAAAGCTCAAATTTAACCCCATAAAGAATTGCAAGCTGCTAGTTCATTTTGCTTCTTTTTGTCATTCACACATTTATATCATCATTAATCTCAAAAGAAAGATTGTTCTTCCAATCATCCCATCTTCCTTTGCTGCTTTTACCCTTGCTGCTCCTTCTGTTCTGGCCCATAAGATGTTCTTTCCTATTTCCTCTCCCTTCTTAATCTGCCTCCCTAACTTTCCCCAACTCACTCCCATGTTCCCTCCTTATTCCCCATCAACCTTAGAACTAACCAACTTGGGAATGAATATTTGGGAAAAACCTATTCACACAAAGAAATAACTAGTTGTTATATACATATATTGAACAAACACAATTTCTCACATATTAAAGTACAACTTTATTTTAATATTTTATGAATTTTTTTCATTGAGATTAATATATCTCTCCCCAGATAGAAACAGTAAGATTTCATGAATTTTGTTCTCACTCTCATATACAAACTTAGTCCAATAATTAGTGTCTAGTAGAAGGTATTACTCAATACTTTGATTTTCTTCCAAAGTTAAACCGTTCATTTTCTTTACATAAGCTAAAACCTGTAGTTAGTGTTTACCTGCACCATCGTACAAGAATTATGATTCAATTTCTTTCCTTTTTTATAACAACTTCTTCATTTGATTGCTGCTATGTCAGACGATTTTAGGTTCGTGAATAGGAGAGGGAGAAAAGGTGAGAGACAGAGCTTTCTTTATGAGGCTGGGTGGTTTCCCACTCTATGGGTCTGACTGATGGTTAAAAGTCAACCCTCAGTGGGTATTTAAGGGTTCTTTTGAGATTCCTATCAATAGGCCCATTCTCAGGAAATTTCTCTGACTCCAGATGGAGACTATTCTATACTCAGTGGTCCATTGCAAATCATTCTGCTAACTCTAGGATCCAAATTCACCTTCAGCTTCATATTGCAACCCCTAGGTCCCCCTTTTGAAAATGATCCAAGGCAGTAGTATATGCGTTCTTTGTTCTTAGTGGTCCATTTGGAGTATGAGAAATTCTCATGTATTCCTTGCATCTACAAGGTGAATCTTCCTTGTAAAATCCTTATATAGGCTTTCTTTTCAAACCCAATTTGGAATCCAATATCTGTCATATTGGCTTTTAAGTTGAAACTTCAATTTTGACCTCTATTACATTAATTAGGCTTAAAGTCTTACATCTTTTATGCCCATTTGTACCTTAAAAACAATCACTCCTTAAGACATTCAAAGGAATCTCTATCTGTAGATTTTCAGATCTTACTGAGACTTTGCATTCTATATGCTCCCACATAGAAGGTGTTTAGAGAAACAAAAATTCTTCCTAGAAGTGTAGAAATTATTCCACAAAGGCCGCTGCAGTAAGCTTTAGCTTATCCTAAATTTTAACTAGAAAAAAAAAAAGAAATTGTAATTGCATTATAGAAGTGAAAAATCTATTTCCTTCCTTCCCTTTCCCCAGTGCATACTTGGCCTATAGGAATTATGCAAAATGGTGGCAAGCTCTGAGAGTTACTATTCTGTCTTCTTCATGGAAAAGATGGTTGTAAGGCAGAGGCATCCCAAGTAGAAACAAAACTCCAATGCCCAACCAGAAGATAGACTGTTTGCATAGCGGGACTATCATAACGCCAAGCATACACTAATTTGCCTATGGCTCGAACTACCCGAGTAGCCTAGATCAAGAGATAAGCCATGATCAGAGCCATATAGTGGGCATTGGTCACAACTCTGGGCAGGATCCTGGTGGCTACAAAAGTCAGAAAAATGATGAGCAGTTTGATCTAGGTAGAATATTATGGCATTCTTACCTCTCCATATGTAAATACAGAATGCAGCAGCTGGAAATGGATCATCAAAAGGGTTGGATCCAGGTGAAGGCAGACAGCTAGGAAAGAGGGTGCCAGAGAACTATGAGAGGGAATGGAAGTTCATAGAAGTTACTCAAAGTTCAAATTTCCTATTTAAACCATACAACACTGAGAAACTAATAAAAATGTATATTTAAGGTGATACTTCTAATGATAGCTTTTGTCTACATTCCTACTGGTAGAGAGAAAGGTCTCAAAATTTCCATCATTACTTTGGACCAACAGGTAAGTTTATCAATTTATTCACAACAAATTCAAGAAAGATTATTTTCTTGTATTCTTAGAATGATTTTTTAAAAATCCCTTTAAATTCTTCTGGATTACATTTATTTTTATTAAATCTTGTTGAAGATGAGAATGACTTTTGGCCCATGCAAAGCTGACAAAATGTTGGCACAAATCTGCAGGTCTGAACTCTAGTATGTAAAGTAGAACTGACATTCAAATTCCTACATATTTTAATAATACTCAACTGTTGTGCCCGAGTCATCTATATATGAATAAAAACAAGTGAGTAGAGAAATTGCAGAAAAATTAATTGTGTCTACATAGAAGTATCTGCTTATTTTTCTCTAATTAACCTAAGTGGAAGAGTTCTTGTTGTGACTGGTGCTATTTCACAGGAATTGACTTAATCTTTTGGAAAAATGAAGATGGAGGAGAAAAATTTGGAAATAGGGCTTTTACCTTCCAACGATGTAGACCTCACTTATTTAGAAAGCCTTCAACACTTTGCCAAAATTTATTTTGTTTGTTTTCTTTTGTTCTGGCTAAAAACTAACTAACTATCCTATGTACCTGTACAAAGTGTCTTATTTCCTCCCCTGTTCTTACGTTCAACTCAGGGATAGAAGTGTGCCAAATATACTATTGAGAAAGAGTTTGCTAAGTCTTTGGGAAGCTTCAGGATAAAAAGTATTAAATTACAAATACACATATTACTAAAATATCAAGCTTCAAGTTTGTGGTCCTCTCCTTCCCCAGCCATCACCTCCACCACCCATTTCCTCTATAGAATTTCTAATCAAGAGCAGCCAGCCAAAGAGTCATGGAAAAGGTGTTAAAGCCAAAGTTGAGTTCTAGGACCTCTGCTGTACACCCTGTTTCCTCTAAAAATGTACGGCTTGAATTCTTTGGTATAAGTAATGCATATTTTATGTGATAGATGAAATTTTGAAGCCTGGGAGTGATATACGTATCATAAGACAGTCAAAGTGTAAAAATGTTTTTGTGATTTCAAGTTGCTGATTTGTGTGTTCTGCACAGCATAAGATCATAGTTGGCCATCTCCCTATATGTGCATCATATTTCTATATGTTTGTAAAATATGAATCTGCATCTTCTCTCAGGATTAAAACTTTTTTAAAAAGCTTTTCTGTAACACCTATTTTCGATCAGACCTGACACATATATTTATCATAAATATTTCTGTAAAACGAATTTAATATTTAAAATGCAATTTTTAAAGGTTAAAAGCAAGTCACTGGATATTCAGTAACATATCCAAAATGATCTTAAGTATACATATACTTAGGCACCACATTTTAAACTCCTGTTATTACAGTAACTAGTCACAAAATGGCTCCCTATTTATGCAATATGTTAGCTGTAATGTTACTTAAATTGAACAGACGAGTGCCTTCTAATAATGTATGTTTACTTCATGAACTTGTGGGCAATTACATTATAATTATGTCTTTGTAGGTGCTTTTTACTGACATATAGAGCGCCAGTGCATTTTAAGTGTAATTGCAGTTCTCTGTACCATTTAGCAAAGCTGAAAATCGTTAAAGGTTTGTAAATTACCTACATTTAGACCATAGGCAACTAGGCAAATTAAGTGACACTGTCAGTAATGTTACAACATAAATTGGTACCAAGTATAAATTCAAGGTAGACTTTCTTTTCTAAATTAGAATGTTGTTTATAGAATGTATTCTAAAAAAAAAAAAGATAAGCAAAAAATAAAGAAAATGCATGTGGCTCATTGACAGGATAGGTCAGCCTTTTAAGACACACGAGAAACAATGACTGGTCTAAAATATTACAATTAAAATTGTAAAGCTGTTTAAAATTAGGAATTAGAGTTGGTTCTATGGTACCCAGAGAAAATAAGATATTTGCCTCCTGATGCCCATGATGGCTTTGGGAAAGATGCTACTATGTACACTTTTCATGAAACTATGCAGAAAAGTGGGAAAACCCCAGCATTTGGAGTTGAACAGGATTCTATCACTTTTAATTTGCATGGCCTGGTTCAAGTCACTTAATTCTTGAGCCTCAGGTTTTTAATCTTAAAAATGGGAATAATAATAGCCAGCTTCAAAGGGCTACTGTGAGGATAAGGACAAAATAATTTTTGTGGGCCCTCAAAAAATGTGAGTTCCCTTAGTCTTATCTTCTCCTGATAGGTGATTTGGTCTGTTATTTTTTTGTTGTTGTTAATTATTTTTTTCTTTATCTTTGCAAAATATAGGACTCTCTGAGACTGTGTTGATTCAGCCACAGAACTGCAACATTTATACAGATTTACTTCACCCCATGAGATTAAAGAAATCTAGCTACAATTGTATATTGAAAAATGTTCACTTTTGCTTCTGGAGCAATGTCCCATAGAGGAGAACAGTCTCCAAAGACCAGCAACGTCAGTTAAGGAAATTAATTTTGAAAGTATTACTCTGTCACTTTGTGCCTTCAGGCCAGTTACTTATTGATGGCAAGGGTTTACATTCGGATAAAACCATTTCACCCATGCAAGCCCTCTCCATTAAACGGGAAACAAGCATCTCGGCTTGACAGCTCAGAGGGCTCGGCTGCGCAGAAAGCCATTCTTAGAAGGTCATTTTACTTAAGCGTAAGATGAGAGAGAGTTCTTGCAAGATCATTTTCTTAAAGTACAAATAATGAATTAATAGCATGATAAAACTGCATGCATTTTTAAAAATCCCATATTCATATGATCTTTACATGATTAAAATTGATGTTTTAAAACCCTGTAGCTGTATAGAGAGTCACTGAACAAGTATCAGATGATGGATGCATAACAGAGGGTTTATTTCTCACCAAGTAACCACAGAAATGTCAATTAGCATTCTGAGTTACAATCTCCTTTTTAAAAAAGTAACAATAACTAACAGCTGCCCTTCTTCCTCACAGTTTTAAGTTTATGAATGAGAAAATGTGTGGGAAAAAATCTTTATCAAGTACTGTTGCTATATAGTAAAATATTTTATTATGTACTGATTGTTCTTAGACATTTGGCATAGAAACTTAAAATGTTGATATTATAATTCTCTTTCCCATATTCTTATTATTACATTTTTCCATCTTGTCTAGAGATATAATTGATCATTGGTCTTTGTAGCAGAAAGATCAAAGAAAAAGTCACCGCCACCTTCATACAAGCAAAGAAAGTGGCATGTGAGCCTGTAATGTGTGACACAGCAGAAACCAATAAAAGTCTCTTCATAGATAGAAATAAGCAAAACTTAGCTGTCGTTCAAGGGGCAGTAGTGTCCTGTGGAGGGAGGCAAGTTGAATTAAAGTTGGGAGGTAGAGGGAACCTCTTGGGAAGCAGAAGAGCTATTTAGAGCAGATTTGGAATTTCACAGATCTCAGAAGAGTCTGCCACATCAGGGAACATACAATAGCATGAAGTTGAGAAAACGTCAGCAGAAAGTTTAGTGGAGAAGCTTGAGGCGTAAGTGCGATGGGGATTAGTGACCCAGTGAAGAAACTGGCCTCAAGATTCCTGGCCAGTGAGAAGGCCTCAGGCCTTTTCAGGGGCCAAGCAAGGCCAGTAGTCTGTGTCCTGATCTGAAAAATATCTTTTGATCTTTTGCTCAAAATGCAGTACTGGTACAAGTTACTAGAGAAACCTCTGTCCAGGTGTTTGGTGGCGAGATTCAATTTTTCTGAAAATGGAATGGAAACAGAAAACCAGATACCACACGTTCTCACTTACAAGTGAGTGCTAAGTGATGAGAACTCACGGAACACAAAGAAGGAAAAAACAGACACTAAGGTCTACTTGAAGGGGAGAGTAACAGAAAAGGTAACTATTGGGTAGTGGGCTTAATACCCGGTTGATGAAATAATGTGTACAGGAAACCTCTGTGACACATGTTTATCTATGTAATAAACCTTCACAGGTACCCCGAACTCAAAATAAAGTTAAAAAAATAGTGACAACAAAAAAGAAATGGAAAGTTTCCATGAAAGTCTGACTCAAACAGAAGGCCTCCCATGCTGAAGAAGCAACACACTTGGAAGGGTAGACGCAGCCTATCAAGAAGTTCATCAGAGAACAGATGACTGTGCACTCAGGGAATTAAGACAGAGATGGTGTTCCTGCACACATATTGCTATTTCCCGTCCCTTCCCGTTACCTGCCATGGTAGGCTTTGTTTGATAAACTGTGAGAATGGAAGTGATTTTGTTGTAAGTGAATTCTGCTGTGTGTGAAGGGTAGACAATGGAGGTGATGATGTTAGTGACGAAAACAAAGTCCATTTGAACGGTGCTTTAAACTTTATAAAGCACTCGAATATATCTGATCCTCTGAACTTTGTGATAGTGAGATAAATTCAGCATGAATTTGGACCCACATTTTTCAGAAGGGTAAATCAAGACTGAGAAAGGATGAGTGACTAGAACATGGGCACAGACAGTTGGGGAGTATTGGGAGAGGTCCACCCTCCATGTTCCCACATCTCAATGTTGAATATCCTGAACCTCTGTGCAGTGGTGAGCCCAAGCAGCCCTTGTGGCTATGAGCTGGCCAGTACAAGCAAAGATACAGAGAAGACCCTGAAAGAACAAAGCAATTAAACCCAGAAAAAATGAATACATGAAGTAGAAAACAGGGTTTTTTTTGAATTTTTAAATTTTTTTATTTTTTGAAATAGGATCTCACTATGTTGCCCAAACTGGAGTGTAGTGGCACAATTTTGGCTCACTGCAGCCTCAGCCTTCAGAGCTCAAGTGATCCTCTGACTTCAGCCTCCCAAGTGGCTGGGACTGCAGGCATGTGCCACCACACCTCATTAAGGAGAAAAAAACAGTTTCAAAGACTTGAAAGAAGAGACTTTTTTCTTTCTCTTTTCTTATTGTAAACAACATTATTCCATATAGCTTGTCATACGAGTGCTATTTATTGAATAACACATTTTCCTCTATTGAACCAAATAGAAACCAGCTAATTTCAGAATAATGATAATACTAATATTTGTTGAACATTTGTATTCTTGAGCATTTTATTTTATTTTAATTTTTAAACAGGGTCACTCTGTTGCCCAGGCTGGAGTGCAGTGGCACAAACACAGTTTAGTGCAGCCCTGTCCTCCTGGGATCAAGTGATTCTCCCACCTCAGCCTCCCAAAGTGTTAGGATTACAGGTGTGAGCTACCACACCCCACCTTAAATTCTTTATATGCATAAACATATTAAATACTCAAATGGAAAAAGTGTTATTCCATTTTATATATGAGCAAACTGAGGCACACATAGTTTGAGCAATTTGTCCATGGTCATAGGGCTGATACTGAGAAAACGCAGGACTCAAAGCCATGTGGTCCAATTGTGGAGCCCGAACTCTTAACCACAATGTGATAAAAATAGAAATAACAAAAATAAGCAACGCATTTACCAAGAAAATTACAATTTTATATGAATAAAACAATAAAATCTGATGGATGGGCCTACAGAAATGTTAATTAGAAGTGCATATTATCTTATTAGGAGGGATTTCTTCATGAGGCTTATGGTGTCCTCAAGGCTCACTGGAGAGTCATTACAGCATTTTACCCAAAGCAGTAATAGTTTGTGGTAGGATGCTGGTCATGACTGGTTCCTGTCTTATCTTTTTAAGCATTGGTAAAGATTACTCACTAGTTGAAATATAGAAATACCTCTTGTATCCATGCCTTCTCATCTCTTTTCACTTGTACAGTGTGATTCAGGACTCTTGCCTCCTTGCTTCTGGGTTACTGTTGTGGTCTTTTGGCTAATCTCTTCAGGTAAAGGCTTTTCTGCAGTTTCTTTTATGCCGTACCCAAATATTCAAAGTGACTTGGGTGGCATACATTTTCATTAGCTCCCTACTTTCTCTCGTATTAAATCTAGTCTTTTCTGTGCGACTTGCCAGCCTCCTATCATTTTCTCCTATTATATGAACTGCCCAACTATATTCCTGACTTAAGAAAAATCAGTTATACTCTATTGTATAAAGTATGCCATCTTAATTCTCAACTTGATGGTTTTACTCTCTCTAAATTCCTTGACATCTTCTTTTTCTATGCAAATCTACCCATTACTTATGGGTTAGCTCATGTCTTCCCTTCATGATGAAGCCTTCTGTAATGACCAAGGCATCACTGAGTTTCCTCTCCTTTGAACTCCTATATGATATATTTTCTGTAGTGTGAAATTAAATAGGGGCTTAATTATATATTATTATATCATGTTCACTATTGTTTCAAGATAGAAGTCTTTTCTACCTAACTCAATTATAGCCCCCTGAGGACAAAGATGTTTTCTTTACTCTTGCCCGAAGGCATAGGTTAATCACAAGTCCTGTCTCTTGTCAGACCATTGGCTATCATTAGTAACTGTGTCTGACTGCAGGTATTAGAGATTCAACTATGGTGACTTCAACACTTAAGGGTTTATTATTATATTTTACATGTAATGACAAATCTGGAAGGAGGGGACAGCTGGCATCAGTTCAGTGGCTCGAGAGTATGCAATTTGAGCTCTTTGCAATTCTTCCTGGTCTTTTCCCCATAGACTAAAATGGGTCCTGGAACTCTAGCCATCATCTCTGAGCCCCAAGCAGGAAAAAGAAGGAGGGGCAAGTGAGTCACACTTTAAAGAGCTTTCCCTAAAGCACTGCCTAGCATATGCTTCTGTCTCATTCATCACCTCTTTCTTCACGGAAAGCCTCTTTCAAAAAGGGGACCAGTTATTAAAGAAAGAGAAGATGCTAGTAATAGATATCTAAAAGCAACCATCAGTTTCTTCCACACTCTATTTGACTCAAGATATTTTCCTTTCATCCAACTATAACACAACATTGCCATACATATTCTCTTTACGCATGGCTTTTTTCTTTCAAATCCAGATGGAGCTCCCAGTGTATTGCTACATTATTTGGAAAACCTCAGCCTGGATTTTAATGTTATTTCTTATTTGGTCCAGATATATCTGCCCTAATTGTAGCTACAAATACCTTTTTACGTACAGGTTTTTCTTTTTCATTATCTCTCTCATTTCTACTTCTGAGTCTGCCCTGAGGTACTGTTCTTTCTACCTGAAATGTTTTAATATTTGACCATCGCATCTTTCCTCTGATGGACACTTATTATGCCACCTTGTGGGAACCTAGAACTTATTCTCCCAGATGCTGTGAGTGCTGCTGGCAGACAGCCCTTAGATCTTAGCTCCATTCAGAAATTGCCTTAGCTGAAGAAAGAAAACTAGCCCAAAGCTGTTCCTCCTTCTCAGGGCAATCCACACTC
Organism: Homo sapiens; assembly: GCF_000001405.40. Classification (NCBI taxonomy): domain Eukaryota; kingdom Metazoa; phylum Chordata; class Mammalia; order Primates; family Hominidae; genus Homo; species Homo sapiens. Next base: position 147,876,374 of record NC_000003.12, read on the forward strand.
AATAATGGAAGTGAAGACATAAGGGTCTGGCCTTCTAGGCCCAGTTGGAACATCTGTAAAGGCCTGCTCCATTTGCAGTGCATCTCATAGATTTACAGTGAGACTGTCTTACCTCTCAGCTTGGCTTCGCCTCCTACCCACTTTTGTTTCCTTTTCTTCTTTCTTCCAGATATTGATTCCAAAAACATATCATAGTAAACTTCCTGGACACTTATCTCCTTCTCAGTTTCTACATCCTAGGAAATCCAACTCACAGCCTTTCTCTTTTCTGCTCCTCTAAAAAACTGCCACCTTCAGCCAGGTGTGGTGGCTCATGCCTGTACTGCCACTGTTACAGGATTCCTTTGGTGCCACTTCACCAGTCAGAAATCTCTGTGGCCACCGTGACCTCTGCCTGGGGCCTCACTGGGACCACTAAGCTTGCTCCACCCAGTCAGCCCAGCAGGCTGCACTGGGCTCATGCCCTGGCCTGCATCCTGTGCTGATGAGGGACTCCACGCCCAGCTCCTGGCTGGACCAGGCTTGTAGTGGGTGGTTTTCACATTGGGCACCAGAGTCTAGATGAGGGGAACATAGTGCCACCTGAAAACTCAGAGATACCAGCACTCACAGAGTCCCAAGGGGTGTTACACTTCTTGCCTGGAGAGTCCTGAGGTCTGAGCCCCTAAGAAATGCTGCTGCTTTTGAAGTTCAGTGAGCCAGCCAGGAGGGAATGGTTCCTCACTGCTTCACTTCTTTGGGCCCATGGCTAGGCAAACGGGAGAGTTGTTATAGCTCTCCCCACCACCCACAGCTTGGCAGACAGTAATGTGTTACAACTCTCCCTGCTGCCTGCAGCTCGGTGCATGGGGTGGGGGGCAGGGGATGGGGGTGGGTTACAGCTCATTCATTCCTGCCACCCAGCAGTTTTTTTCACTCCCATAGCTCAGTGAGCAAGAGTGCATGTTATAGCTCTTTTTGCACCCACCGTTCAGTGGATTCTCAGTTCTTGTCCATGACCAAGAAGAATGAGGTATGCAGACACTGGAGAGTGAGCAAGGCAGAGAAGAATTTTATTGAGTGACAGAAAAGCTCTCTACATGAGAGGAGACCCAAAATGGGCAACCCTCTGTATGAGAAGGGGCCCAAAAGTAGGTAGCTGTCTGTGAGGCTGAGTCTGGGGTTTTTATAGGCCCAGAATGGGGGAGTGTGTTCTAATTGGTCCATGGGTGGGCCTGGAGAAAGCACCATTTGATTGGCTAAAAGGCATCAAGGAAGTTCTCACTCTGGTTGTAGATTCCACCTGGAACTGGCAGCTCTATTTTCAGACTTCAGGCTGTCTTTGGTTTGAAGGTCAGGTTTTACCTAGGGCCTGTCCTGTCTGCCTAGGAATTTGTCTGCCTCCTTTCACTATCAATCTGCCTCTGAAGAGGTGCAGCTAACTGCTGTTAGGATAGGGAGGGTGACTGCTCTAACTGCTTCATGCTGACAAGAGACTTTATTTTGGGAAAATGGCAGTCAGATTTCTCTCAGAGGCCTATCTAAGGGTCCCCAGTAAAAGGGAGCCATTGCCCAAGCCTCCATTTGCATGACCATTTGGAGTTTGTTGGTCTCTAGGCAAGAAGAACAAATTTTACAAGGAAGTTAAGTATGCATGGACCAAATATGACTATTATACAAAAAGGAACTAAAAGGAAAAAATCTGGTGTCAAAGATAACAGAAATAAAAAGTAAAATACACTAACCATTCTGAAAACAATGTTGTGGCCAGAACTGTTTCACCTTAGTGTAATAAGTTAAGTCTTGTATAGGGGAGGGCAGTTAAACTTTAGAAAAAAGACAGCTGTTTAGGGGAGTAGATAATCCCATGGGTATTCAGGATCAAGGGGTCTTTGGCAAACATGCCTTATGGTGAGGAAGAGAAGAAGGCAAGTACAGCAAGCATAGGCAAGACTATAAAGAGAGTATCTATGGAAGATTAATTATTGACACTCATCTTTTATTTTTAGCTTGAGGTCTCCGATTTCTTCACACTGGTGCTTTGGGGGCTGTTCTGGGTCAACAGAGATAATTCCGTCAGTTTCTCAGGCCTTTATGTGACTATAATGAGTTCAATAATCAATTCTAGTGACTTTAATGCTGAAGGAATAGAAGTACAGTGTAAGGTTCCTTTCAATCCAGGCCTACAGAGGGAGAAAGAGAAGGAAGACCATTTACCAGTACTAAGTCCCCTGATTTGAACAGAGGTGGCCCTAGTTCATGGGGTTGGGCCACACAGTTGTTCCAGTTCTTGTTGGAAATGGGCCAAAGAAATTACACGTTTAATCACATCAGAGGTTTCTTGGTCTAGCAAGAAATCATTGGTGAGAAAACACCGTCCATACATCATTTTGAAGGGACTTAAACCCAGCTTTGAAGGGGTATTTCGAACATAGTAAGGCCATAAGAATAAGGGTAATCCAGGGGAGATGAGTCTCTTGAGACAGTTTTCTTAGTTGCCATTTGATAATATTATTTGTCTTTTCTACCTTTCCCGAGGGTTGTGGTCTCCAAACACAATGAAGATGGCATTTTATGCCTAGTGTCTTTGAGATTCCCTGGGTGACAGCTGCCTTGAATGAAGGGCTATTATCACATCACTCTGGAGGTATTTAGCAAGTCCAAAATGAGGAATTACCTCATTAATTAGTACTTTTATCACCTCAGAGGCTTTCTCTCTTCAACATGGAAATGCTTCTACCCAGTTAGTGAAGGTAAACCAGGGTAATACCGGAAGATACTGGATGCCCCTTATCTTTGGCATATGGGTGAAATACATCTGCCAGTCTTCTCCCAGGTAGCTTCCCATTCTTTGGGTTCCAGTGAGGAGAAGTCATTAATTGAGGGGATTATTTTTAAGGCAAGTCTCACAAGCATTACTGACCTGTTTGACTCTTTTAGCAGATTTTTTATGTGAGAACAACCTTTGGGACATTTGATAGGTTTTATCCTTACCTAGATGGAAGCCTTGGTGAATGATTTTAAGAACTTTCCATTGACTGGAAGCTGGTAGATGAAGCTTGCCATCCTCCAATTGTAGCCATCTTGAGGGCTGAAAGGTGTATCCCTGAGAGGTGGCCCATTCTATTTCCACAGGAAAATATTGAGGTTTTATTTATCTTACAAAGCTCTCCCAGATTGGAGGGGCCTCAAGAGGATCAGAAATCTGTGGCCCTCTCACTGCCGATTTAGCTGCTTGGTCTGCCAACTAATTTCCCTTGACTATTTCATCCCTCCCCTTTGGGTGGCCTTTGAAAGGTATTACTGTCCCTTCCTATGGAAAGAAAACTGAGGATAATAGTCTATTAATTTCCTGATGGTATTTAATGGGCAATTCATTAGCTGTGAGAAAGTCTCTTTCCAGATAGTGGCATTGGCATGGAGGACTAGGAAATCATACTTAGAATCAGTATAAATGTTGACTGCTTTCCCTTTGCTTAATTTGTGCACCCTTGTGATGGCAATTAGTTCAGCTAGTTGAGCAATTGTGCCTGAGAAGAGAGGCATGCTCTGAATAATGTCATTCAGGGTGATTATTGCATACCCTGCTTTATGAAACTCTTGTTCTACAAAAGAAATTCCATCCATAAAGAGAGTCCAGGCTGGGTTCTCTAAGGAGGTTAGTTTGAAGTCATCTCTGACCACATAGGTTTGCACTACTATGTGGTTGCAGTCATGTTCAAACTCCATGGCTTCCCCTGGGAGGAAGGTGGCTGGGTTTAGGGAGGGACAAGTTCTTAACTGGACTGCAGATTCCTCTAATAACAGAGCTTGATATTCCAGGATGTGGTTGTACATTAGCCCGAGACTCCCCTTAGAAGACAGCAGTCCTGCCACATTACATGGGGCATAAACAGTTAAGTTATTACCCACGGTTAACTTAGTAGCCTCTGATACCACCAAGGCTACTGCTGCAACTGCCTAGAGGCAGGCCAGCTATTCTTTAGCTACTAAATCAAGCTCTTTGCTTAGGTAGCCTACAGGCTGCTGGGCTGGACCTTGGGCCTGGGTTACAACTCCCAAGGTCATTTTCTTCCTTTATGTTACATAAAGATTGAACATCTTCCCTGTGGGAAGACTAAGGGCTGGTGCCTCAAGCAAGGCTTGTTTCAATTGGTCAAATGGCCTTTTAGCCTCTGGTTCCCAAATTAGGGAGTGAGTCTTAGCTGCCTGAGTTTCCTTTATTAGGTAACATAAGGGATGAGCTATCTCATTGTACCAAGGTATCCATAATCTGCAGAATCCTGTAATGCTTAAGAATCCCCTCAGTTGCTTGAGGGTTTGGGGGATGGGAAAGGAGGAGCTGGGCTTAATCCTTTCTTCGCCTAGTGTCCTGGTCCCCTCTAACAAGACTGGACTTAGATACTTGACTGAAGTCTGACAGAGCTGAGCCTTAGATTTTGAGACCTTATATCCTCTGTTAGCCAGAAAATTAGGAAGATTCTTACTGCCCTCCTGAGAGACTCAGCTGGAGCACAAAGGAGAATGTCATCTACATAGTGTAAAACTTTAACCTGAGGATAAAGGAACTCAGATCTTTTGACAGTGCCTGCCTGAACAGGTTGGGACTATCTTGGAATCCCTGAGGTCAACACTGTCCAGGTTAGCTAAGTGGTTTGGTTGTAGGGATCTTCAAATGTAAACAAATATTGGAGTTGGGGTGTAGTGGTATGCAGAAAAAAGACATCCTTTAGGTCCAGGACTGTGAACCATTTAATTCCCTCAGGTATTTGATTTAGCAAGTCATAGGGACTCAGAAACACTGGATGAATTGGAACCACGGCCTCATTAATGAGGTAGAGATCCTGGATGAGTCTCCATTCCCTGGTGAGTTTCTATACCTCCAATTTTGGAGTATTAAAAGGGCTGTTGCACAGTTTGATACAAAAGTAACATAATGTCCTTCCAGGAGAGTTCAGATACTTGGATTAAATTCTAGAAAGACTCAATATTCATGCCTGGGTCATCTGCAAATTTGAAAAAATCCCCCTTAATTTGCCTTAAGTCCTGTAGAGAAAAGGGGACCTGGACCTTAATGGATCCATATTCACCAGGTGTCTCTTGTAGCGGTAGGAGTGAGACTGGGATCTGCCTAAAACAAGGACTTCTAGGATAGGGCAAGCTTGAGAGAGAACTTTGATAGGGAGAATGTGGTGGACTAGGAGGAGCAGGACTGGAGGGAGCTGACTCCCTTGGTGGAGGCACCTGGGGGGTTCACTTTCCTATTCCCTTGGGATTGCCTTTTTCAGCCTCTCCTGAGATGGTCACTAGGAGGGCTGAATCAATCCTACAATGTCAGCAAAGTTTTGGATTACCCTGCAAGGCAAAGAAAGCCTGCACATATGGGACCTCAGACCATTTGCCCTGGCATTTAAAGAAAAGGTCCAACTACAGGATAGTATTGAAATTAATGCTTCCCTCTAGAGGCCAGGCTTGTCCTTCCTGCAAATCACAATCTGGCCAAACCCTCATGCAAAGAAATTTAAAGGGTTTTTTTTTCCAGAGTCTGAGGGTCAAAGGAGTCCCAGTGATTCAAGATTCACTCAAGAGGAGTGCAGGCTGAAGATGGTCTGTTACCCATCTGAAAGAGAGCGGAAAAGGCATCCTTTAGTTCCTGTCTCTCTTTCAGCAAAAACCTGGGGTATGTGAGGGGGAGAACAAAGGGTGTCATTTTTTTCTTACCCTCTTTTCCTTCCTCAAGTCCTGGCAGCCAGCAAGAAGCCACTCATGGATGTGAGTGCAACCTCCACCCATGAATTGGGAAGGCCTAGTTAGTAGGGATAGTCGTACTTACCTATGCTGTATCCTAGCCTTCTGCTGTCAGTAACCTTTGGGTTCCACAGACCTCATCTATGCCATGAATGCAAACAAGTTCTCCACCCATGAAGCAGAAAGGCCTAGTCATCAGGGATAGTCATGTTCACCTGTGTTGTAACCTAGCCTTCTGCTGTTGACTGGCTCTAGGTCCCTCAGATATAGTTCTCTTTTTAGGGTTCCAAACTGAAGCTTGAAAAATACATTGGAGTAATGCTAAGGTGAAGCTGTGGAACCAGATCCTCCTCAAACAAAAGGAGAAAGGGAGTCCTGGGAACTGGAGACCTGTCCTAATAATATGCCTCCCATGAGGAAAAAATTACTCCCTTGCATAGAAAATCTCCCTGTATTCTCAGGACTATGTTGACTCCTGACATGGTGGGAAAAAAGCAAACAACTTAAATGCAGAGGAGAGAAGGTGCCTGGGGGATATAGCCTCTTGCCTTATGCTAATAGGTTCCTTCAGCAGGGGGAAGAAAACTTTCTTAATCATTACATTCTACTTGCTTCTAAGAATAGACAGAAACCACATTGTTCCAAATTACACTCCCGATGACTGAGCCAAGTGCTCATTTTATCCAATTATATTACCTTTGTGGTTTACAACAGCACCTTTAACATTGTATATAAAGAAGAGATAGAAGCCATGACAGCTGTGAAAGAAAGAAAGAAAATACCATAGGAAAAACTGGAGGTCCTAGTGCTAACACCCTAGTGGGCTGTGGGGGACTAGAGTCAGTCTAGGGGCCTTTGATAAACAAAAATATGATATAGCCTCAGCCAGATACCCTCATTTGCCCAAGAACCTTCCAGTCCCACACAATAGCTAGACCTCCATAAAAGGAAACTTGATTGGAACAAAGCTAACATTCCCAACACCCAAGGGTGATGGAGGAGTTGACAAAGTCCTCCCCAGCAAGCCTGTCCTCTGCAGCTGTGCTATCCAAGTAGTAGGTCCACACTTACTCACCATTCTGATGATCCCAGTCAAGCCCCCAGAAATGTTACAGGATTCCTTTAGTGCCACTTCACCAGCCAGAAATCTCTTTAGCTGCTGTGACCTCTGGCTGGGGCCTCCCTCAGGCCTGCTGGACTCACTCTACTCACTTGGCCCAGCAGGCTGCACTAGGCTCACTTCCCAGCCTAGATCCTGTGCCTGAACAGGGACTCTGTGCCCAACCTCTGGCTAGACTGGGTGTGCCGTGAGTGGTTTTTGTCTTGGGCACCAGAGTCTAGATAAAAGGAACATGGTGACACCCAAAAAGTCAGAGATGCCAGCAGCCATTAAGCCCCAAGAGGTGTTAGAGCTCTTGCTTGGAGAATCCTGAGGTCTGAGCCCCCAATAAATGTTTTGGCTTTTATAGTTTGGTGAGTCAGTCAGAAGGGAATGGCACCTGACTGCTTCACTTCTTTGTGCCTGCAGCTCGACATGTGGAACATGTTACAGCTCTACTCACTGCATACAACTCAGGGATGGAGGTGTGTTTTAGCTCTCCCCCTGGCCTGTAGCTCAGTGGATGGGGGGGGCATGTTATAGCTCTCCCTGCCACCTGAAGCTTGGTGTACAGGAGGGTCTTACTGCTCATTCATGCCAGCTGCCCACAGCTCAACAAATGAGGGCATGTGGCACCCAGTGTTTTTTTTCCCCTCCCATAGCTCTGTGAGTAGGAGCACATGTTGCAGCTCTTTTTGTACCCACTGTTCAGCAGGTTCCAAGTTCTTGTCCTGCAACCAAGAGGAATAAGGCATGTGGACACCAGAGAGCAAGGCAGTGAAGAATTTTATTGAGCCACACAAAGGCTCTCGACATGAGAGTGGACCCGAAGAGGGTAGCCCTCTGTGTGGGGAGGGGGAGCCTGAAAGCAGGTAGCCAACTGTGAGGAAGAGTCTGGGGTTAATATGGGCCCAGAATGGGGGAGTGCATGCTGATTGGTCCATGGGTGGGCCTGGAAAAAGCACCATTCGGTTAGCTAAAAGATATCGATGAAGTTCCCACTCTGGTCATGGGCTGCACCTGGAACTGGCAGCTCTGTTTTCAGGCTTCAGTCTGTCTTTGGCTTGATGGTCAGGTTTCACGAGGAACCCATCCCTGTCTACCTAGGAATTTGTCTGCATCCTTTTGCTATCACCAGCACTTTGGGAGGCTGAGGCTGGCAAATTGCTTAAGGCCAGGAGTTTGAAACCAGCCTGGGCAACATGACAAAATCCCATCTCTACAAAAAATACAAAAATTAGCCGGGTGTGGTGGCACGTGCCTGTGGTCTTAGCTACTCAGGAGGCTGAAGTGTGAGGATCATTTGAGCCTGGGAGTTTGAGGCTGCAGAGAGCCAAGATCACACCATTGCACTCCAGCCTGGGTGACAGAGTGAGACCTTGTCTCAAAAACAAAAACAAAAACAAACAAAAAAAACCTGGCCACCTTCACTTCTCTTATGCCTGTTCTCTGAGAAACTCCTATCAAGACTGGGTGAAACACCATTTCTCACACAAAGCCCTCTCTGCTACTTCAGGTGACACAATTTCCTCCCAAACTGAAGTTTTAGTGTCTTTTTCCTAATGATGATGATGATAATCAGGGAAAAGAGGAGGTAATTACAATTATTAGTATTATATAACTTAGTGGCTATTTGATCCATTGATATTAACATTTAAGGTTTTATCTTTACAAAATACATGTAGATGGTTAATACAGCACATATTTCTGTGAAGCCACAGAAAAGCACGGAATATGATATCATTACTTTTTGTTTTCAAAGTAAAAAATACAGTGCTATCTACATTGTAGGAAAGGCACTTGCTGTTTAATAGGGAAACTAAAAAACCACTGGCTATTGAGTTTCAAATCTGAAACATCCTGCATTCATCAGGCTTCTCCGCATGTGGGACAGTAGTCACTAAACTAGATCAAGAAGAGAAAGTCTTTGCTCTTGGTGAACTACTGAATCCCATTGCTGTTCTTCTTTGTCCTTAATCTGTCTCTCTCCCTTCCTGAAACTTTGTTCCTCCAGCCTTTCTTGAGGTTGTGTAAGCTCTAATTCTCTATTCTAAATCCCTCATAATTGGCATTTCTAAAGTGGCTTCTGAGTTTGTTTTTACTGAATCCTAACTAATATAGAAGATAAATAACCAGTGTACACTACACTCACCTTCATGATCATCTTTACCACACAGAAAGTTTGTAATCCCATTTGTTTCCTTTTAAATCTGCTACTATTTCAACATTGGCAAACATTTCTTATCAACTATAAAAAAAAAAATGGCACTCCACAGTTCAACACATATTTTTTGAGAAATAGAATTTGAAAAAATGCATTAATGGCTACAAAGCAAAAAATTAAAGGCAATGGTGTTTAAATGTTGAGATCTACTTTTTCATGTAGATACAGAACAAAGAATAACCTACATTATAACTGCTCATAAAAAATGCCGTGCAGCAACATGGGTTTCCAACACATTTGATAACCTGTTTCTGTCTCCCCCTTCCTCCATTAAATTGAACTCTCTGAATTATTCATGAAGGCTATTTTAATGGGATAATTTTTTCTGGCGAACGCTGACACTGATACCAAAGAATATCTCTAGGTATTCATCTTGGATAAATAAGGCTCCTGGTAACTAGTTTTCTTGATGCTTCACCTTATTCAAATGAACATATATGGAAGTAACTAATGTAAACCATTTTTTAACCCTTAATGTTTTCAATATGTTTCTCTCCATGTATGTATAGTCAAACATATGTTTACACAGGAATTAGCCAGGGTGTTGAATTAAATGAAAGTAAAGCAGAAAGTTAAGCAATTCTCAGGTGAACTTGGGCAGGACATTAAGAAGAAATTTAAAGTCCACAGTTTCCAGCTGTGATGACAGTTCGGCATTGCTGTGGGAATAGCCCATCTCTCCACAGTACTTTGGCCATAGTCAGAACCAATCATTCACTTGAATGTGTTACATTAAGGGTTCTTAGCCCAGGATAGTAGGATTTTAGGGAGTTGATGAATCCTTTGAAATGGAATATCAAATTTTCTGTGTATTATTTTTCTTCTGAAAATAAAGTTTATGACATTCATCAGCTTCTCAGAGGTGTTCTTGACTACTCCACCACTGCCACTACTTCTAAATGGCAAGAATTCTTATTTCACACAGAAAAGACCTTCGGCAGCCAGGATTCTCTGGATTTCCCTGTTCATGTGTGTGTCAGAGGGATGGAGTGGGGAATGACTATTTGTCCCTCATTAAATTTAGTATTATAAAAATTCACATGCAAACCTTTCAAGACTTGGAAAAAATTGTACTTTGTGGGTTAATTATATATCATTACACTTATTACAGTTTAATTTTTACAAATATCTTTGAGTTTTTCCCCTTAGGTATCTACAAGTCTGCTCATATTTATCTTTCTTTAAATATTACCGCAATAATTTTATGATTTTTATACTAATGCACAATAAGAACTTAAGTTAGATACTGGAATGATCATCTTCAACCTATTTTATTAGAAAGGATGGTGCTGACCACATAGTTAGATTTTTTGAAGAGGCAATAGTACAAAAAGTGATGCTGTTGTGTAACAATGTTGAAGACCCTGTAGCTCCTGAAGCAATACAAATTTTATTTTAGTCACAATGTAAAATAAGGATTTATATTACCTTTAAAGAAGCAAAATTCTCAGAAAATACTGATTTCTTTTCTCCCAATACAGCTTTCCAACATTTCTAATCATTCTGTAATAAATCTGGCAATATTTTTTAAGACACTGAGGTGACTGTCACTGCTGGAATGTGTCCTGGGGGCTCTTTCTGTCAGAGGAGATGACAGTGACTCTTCCCATGCAGATTAAGCTGGTGTTTACAGATTTGCCCTGGGTGTGCATTTTTATCCCGCTGTGATCAAGTAACACCACCTGACGAGTGCCAGACAGATCTCTGGATAAGAAAGTCTTCACTATGCCCTCACTTTGCACAAGATGCAGCCCTAATCTGGAGCCCTTGACAAGAGTCTGTTTCTTGTTCTCTTTCTCAGTGATACTGTTATGTACACTTTACCTTTAGGTGAAGCATTAGGAATGAATCTGCAAACGGTTCAACAGTGATTTCTGTGCTGAAACTTAGATCATGAATTGAAATCAATGTACAATACATATTTTTAAAAAGACCAACATTAGGGTTTCTGGAGACATGAGAGGAGGCCTGTGTGACCAAGTGGAAAACATCTAAAAATATTTGAGTCCTTTACAGTAATTTCAAAAGTTTTGTGCATTTTCACACTGGAGAGTTTTCACAGACAAAACTAGTGACATAAGAAATCTTATTCTGGGCAAAAGCTAATCAGGCTCCAGATGCTGTGAGTGCAAAATCAGGGATGGTGGAGCTAAAGCTGCCAGTAAGCAAACACCACCACTCAGCCCCCAGGTCCTTTTACCTTTTCACCATTTTGGTCTTAAAGAAAGCATTTTTAATATCCATGAAACAAAACTGGCTGTTTTCTTCAGATACTGAAACTCAGCTCTCCATATTTCGATTTCTTACTTCATTTCTATAAAAACACTCCATGAGGAAATGTTAGGCTTTGAAGGGGATGTCTTCTTTGTAAGTATACTTCAGAGGAGATGACTTATGCTGAGTTGAAAAAATAACAAAATATCATGCTAACGATGAAAATATTTAAGATTGAAGCCTCAAGTTCCTGGATCTGCCATTATTTAGCTTTGAGAACTTCAGCAAGTTACTTACTTACTCTCTGTAAGCTTGGATTTCCTTATCTGTAAAACAGGGGCAATAAAACTTTTCTGTCTCTCATGACCCACTCACAGTAACCTATAGAGTAATCTACAAAGTGCAACAGTAAAAAAGATTTTATGTAGTGCTCTATAGCGTTCAACACACCTACCAATCCTAAGAAGCAATCAATCTTTATTTCATTGTTAATTTTAAAAAGCATATAATTTTAGTATGGTTAGTTGCAAAGAAGCTGATGTAATGTTTTGGATTTTTAAATCTATTTAAGACTTTGGAATAGATGTAAGATTTCCCATTACAACCAAAATACCTGTGGCTAAAACCTTCTCCCAGCAAATCATGCTGTTAAATAGATTTATGTTTATCATTTACTCTTTCAAATTGTTTTTGATCTGCACCTTTAAAATTATTAATTTTGACAATAATGTCACTAAGGATATAGAAAAAGTACAGTATCTATATAATATTTTATGATATTTTTCTTTATTACTAAAGATAGTTTAGCCATTAAGCAAATTAAAAATTCTAATAAATTTGATAAATTTCTGTGACTCCCAAGTATTAAGAAAAAATTTCTAAAAAATAAATAGCAATCCTAATATTTCTGAAAATACCTTCAGTCAAATGTCATCTCTGAAGGCCTGATAGTCTAGTCATTGATACAGTTTTTGTGTTAGACTCATCAGCTTCCAAAAAGAAGTCCAAACCAGAACACAATAGAGTATAACAAATTAAACTAACAGGAGGGGAACCGATGACTATCATATCACATCAGTGTCGCCATAGCCAACTCTCAGCACTTATTTTTCTTTACATAAATTATCTCAGTTAATCCTCAAAACAACCCTGATGAGCTTGTCATTACCATCTTCATTTAACAGGTGAGGAGGCTGCCTACACGTCCCAGGCCACACAACTGTTAAAAGAGGCAGGGTCATGAATCCAGGATTCCAAAACCTGTGTGTGTGTGTGTGTGTGTGTGTGTGTGTGTGTGTGTGTGTTTTGTTTGTTTGAGACGGAGTCTCGCTCTGTCGCCCAGGCTGGAGTGCAGTGGCGCGATCTTGGCTCACTGCAAGCTTTGCCTCCCGGGTTCACGCCATTCTCCTGCCTCGGCCTCCCGAGTAGCTGGGACTATAGGTGCCACCACGCCTGGCTAATTTTTTGTTTTTCTTTTTTTTTTTAGTAGAGACGGGGTTTCACTGTGTTAGCCAGGATGGTCTCGATCTCCTGACCTCGTGATCCTCCCACCTCGGCCTCCCAAAGTGCTGGGATTACAGGCGTGAGCCACTGCGCCCGGCCCTGTGTGTGTGTGTGTGTGTTTTAACTGTTCTTCATTCCTCAGAGATGCAAAGGCCAAAAGATTACAATATTTATCTTCAGATGTGATATTTTTGGAAGCAACATCTATTTTCATAATGTTATATATAATGTGTGTGTGTAAGAATTAGGTTATTTATTTTACCGAGCTGAATTTTTTGCCTAAGTAATTAATTTACTCAAGTTAATTCATTCTCTCTTACCTTCCCTCCCTCCCTCCCTTCCTTTCTTCCTTTTACTTTTTCTTTTTTAAAAACTTATGCACTAACTGGTACTGGGTTCCTCCAGATTCAGACCTCTCAACAAGGATTTGAGTATAAGTAATTTATTTGGAAAGTGATTGCAGAAAGCATGTGTGAGGTTGTAGGGACCTAACATAGGTAAGAGAAGGAGGTAATACCAGGTGCATTAATGAACAAGTTACGACTGTGGGTCCCTGGAGAAAAGACAGAACAGAACTTGTCTCAGAGTTGTCCCATCAGAAGTGGGAGAAAGCTGTGCTATTCATCTACCAACTCCTAAACCTCCTTGCTGACAACTGCTCCCAGGGGCTATTACCCCTTCCCCAGTGCTGCCTGACCCATACCCAGCTGCGCATGCTCCTGCCACCAGAGAAAGCCCAAGGGAGAGAATTGCAGGTATTTGCAGTAAGAAGCCATCAATATATTCAGGAAAGGCAAGTGTCCAGGCAATCTGGGTGGATTGTGGCTGCTGCCCACACTTTCTTAGATTCCATTCTACGGTGAGAGGAGACCATTATCTGTTCTACATTGTTTCAACAGATTTAGTTTAACAATGAAAATGAACAACAAATATGCCGCAGTCAGAGAACATCTGACCCTTCTCTGTAGAGAAAAATAAATGCCCAGTAGGCAGACAAAGAATAATGGGCCTGGCTTGACCTAGAATGGTAAAAATTTAGAAGTTTGTCCCCTGGGAAAAGAGGTCTTACAGTGCTCAGAGTAGCTAGGATGAACTGAGAAAGCTTTTTACCTCTTTAAAGAACAGTGTAAGATGGACTGTAGCCTTTGAAAAGTACCTGTGAGGCCAGAGTTAGCAAGATTTTTAAAGAGCCAAGTTATGAGGTAAATGATTAGCTAACTAGAGTTTGTCACAATTAGGAAGTGAGAATGAAATTCAATTTGTGTTTAGAAGTTTATTTTGCATTAAGCTCTTCTATCTAGGGTTTTAAACCACACAGAAAGCAAAATTTAAGCTTACACTTGTTAGGTGGTAGAGAATTATTTTTTATGAAAGTGAAAAAAAGTTGCATACATTGATATAAGTAATTCATCTTTGAATAAGCTCAAAACTTGGGTTCACATTTTCCTGATCCTTATATCTCTTATTTGAGACCTTACCTAATGAGGAACCTGACATTTAGAGGGTATTAATTCACCAAAAGCCACATTTCATGCACTGTTTTGATCAGTAATGGAAAAGTCACACTCCATCTATTTGGATAGTGTTTTGGAGTATACAGATCAATATGATTCAAAAAGTAATGTATAACTAAATACAACAAAATATCAGTGAATGCACTAATAAATATTTGACATGAGAATTCAAATCCAATCTCACAGGTGTTTTTTAAGCCTTGGCTTGAGTCAGGTCTGCTAATATCCCATTGGTCAAAGCAAGAATGAGCCAAGCCAAGAATCAAAAGAAGGGGAACCACTGCCCGTAGAAGTGAGGGAAAAGATGATGACTATATTGAACAACAATCAGCCACACAGGACAATGCAGAAGAAATATGTAACTGTTTTCTTGTTTCCTTTTAGGGAAATAAATTTTGTCTATTAAGGGAATATATATGCCTCCTTTTTCTTTCTTTCCTTTGAAATTGTCATTAATTTTATAATCAATTATTATAATTAACTAATTATTAATTTAAATCCTTTTCCACTGCAAGGTCTACTATAAAAAGAAATTCAGAGAGTAGACCTGGGATTCTAGTTGACATGTATTTGTTATCCTTGTTCTCCAAAAGGTTAAAGGGGGGTGGTAGTGTATAATCATTAACTAATAATAATTAGAACATAAGAATCTGAAAATCAATATTGAGGGGGATCTAATTATGCCCATGGCATTTTATTTTCTTAGTTTGAATAAATGAATGGTGTGACAGGTACGGATGAATCTGCAAACATTCCATAAGCTCCTCAACATTTCTCAGCTTCCCTGCAGTTAAGCAGGCTATGACTTACTCTAGCCAATGAAATGACTGTAGAAGTGGTATCTCTCTGACATTATGTCAGGGAAAGAAAGACTGTCACTTGTGGTTACCTTAGAAGAGACTTATATACATAATGAAGTTGTAGCTCTAGGGAAAGAGGTAGGAAAACAGAACATGAACAGTAAATGTTGATGGTTTTGGGGCTGTGTTTATCAAGTGTTACAAGAAAGAAATGAGCTCAAGGAAGAGTTGGCTGAATTTCACATAGAAGTGAAGGAATCTCATTTTGAGGGAATCTGTAAATTCAAGGCCTTGCAAGTTTAGAGAACACAACTGCACCTTGACTTTGGTAAAAATTATTTGGAAAAATAATTTAGTTTAAATGAATGGGCAAATATCCAATCTGGAGGCCTTCACAGAAGCCCAGAGGAAAAAATAAAAAGTTATATAGGTTAGTCCAAACACAGAGAAATATAAATTAACTCAAAAAAGGGCTTGTGATTTTTTTCTTTTATTCTTTCACAAAACATTGTTACTTTGGAGCATATGATTATTAGCACATAGAACTTCTTGGAATAAACAGGTAAAAGCCTATTTAGTTTTGAAAATATTTGGCTGTCAAAAACCATGACCCTGACAATTTCAAAATGTCGGAATTCCTCAGTACTTACTTCCAGGTCCTCTTTTCTTTTATCTTCCTACCTGATCTCCTGCTCTCATTCATTTTCGTGGCTTTCAATACTATCTATTGGCCCATTTGTATCAAATTTATTCTTCTCCCCAGACCTCAACTAAGCTTTAAAATTTTAACTCCTACTGTATATGTGATATTTCCAGTAAGATATCTCACAAGTGCTTTAAATCATTGTCTCTTGCCCAGTTCTTAACGGTAGCCTCCTAACTGGTCTTTCCACTTTTACTCCTACTCCCTTCAATTTATTCTTTATACAGCAACGAGAATGATCATTTTAAAAATATGAATTGGATCATGTCACTACCCTGTTTAAACTTCTTTAGAAGAATTCTCATTGAACTTAGACATGATAAATTCCTAAAAGGGCCTACATGGCCTGCAGGACCTGGCCTTTGCCTTCTCTTCAACTCACCTGTACGTTTGTTCTCCTCCAGGTGCACTGGACTTCACTTATTTTCTTGAATGCCTCACCCTTTCACATGTCTCAGAGCCTTTGAACTTGCTGTTCTCTCTGCCTGTAACTCCCCACTCTCACCCTCACAAATCCTCATGCACCTTCAGATCTCAGCCACAATGACCAAAGCTCAAAGAGCATTTTTAAAAGCATCCCTTCTTCCCAAGTAAATTAGGTCTGCCCTAGCTAGCATTCTCTGTCAAGGAACTCTGTTTACCTTTACAGTGCTTAACTATTATTTGTAATTTTACATGTATATATGTGTTTGGATTATCCACTAAAACATAACCTCCTATGAAGGGAGCTTGCTGACTACAGGCAGCTAGCAATCCACATCTATCCCTGTACCCTCTAGTTGCCGCCCTGAATTGTAGTGGTAGAAAGTTAACAGGCTTCTTTACATGTAGACTTTTGTATGTGAATTATGCTCTGCCTATGAAATACACCTTGTGAAATTTAAAAATGAGATGGAGTTCATCTATCTGCTGCTTTAGGCAGTTTTCTGCTCTCAAGCAAGATAATGGAGACAGGGGTTTTTCTGCAGCAATATCCAGTCTCCAGCCTTGTGGGTATCCAAAAGCAGGTGCAGCAGAGGTGGGGCCTGGATTCCACTCATCATTTCATAGAAGTTAAGAAGTAGTTGTGGCAGAGCTGCCAGTGGCTTCTTGCCTCCAATTCACAGTAACCTTGATGAATCATTGATCTCAATCACTCCTGGGTGGACTCCTCATGCCTCGCCTTTCTGAACTGTAGTTGTAACCGTCCTCAAAGGGTTAACAAGAATTACATGCTGGGCTCTGGGCAGAAATATAGTCATAATTAAGCATTAAACAGGCTACATTTTGGCCCACATCCTTGTAACCAAAAGTCATGTTGCTGTAGATGCTGAATGTTTGCATACCCATTGTTTTTATAGATAGAATTTCTGACATTGGAATCATAAGACTCTTGTTTAAGAATTGCTTAAAATGTTCTTTAGACTGTATGAAGTCATCGGCTCTTCTCTAAGCAAATGTATAGGCCATAAAATAAATCAAATCAGTATGCTTTACAACTTGTCAAAAATGCACTATTTTGCTAAACGTATGACTCTGCAATTTTATAATATGCTAAAGTATCTGGTTAGATATTTATATATTAAAATCTAAAAGTGATCTTTGCTAGCAATTTTACATTTTTGTTCAGAAAACCCACATGCATTTTTTTTTTTTAATAATAAATGCAGAGCCAGGCACAGCAGCTCATGCCTATAATCCCAGTACTTTGGAAGGCCGAGGTGGGCAGATCATTTGAGTCTGAGACCAGCCTGGCCAACATGGTGAAACCCCATCACTACTAAAAATACAAAAAAAAAAAAAAAAAAAAAATTAGCGGGGCATGGGGGTATATGCCTGTAATCCCAGCTACTCTAGAGGTTGAGGCAGGAGAATTGCTTGAACCCAGGAGGCAGAGGTTGCAGTGAGCCGAGATCACGCCACTGCACTCCAGACTGGAGAACAGAGCAAGACTTGGTCTCAAAAAAAAAGAAAGAAAAAAGGAAAGAAAAAGAAATTAAGTATCCACAAACTACAATCAAGGTAGCCTGAGTTGTAACATCATGGGTAAAGAGTTGTACCTGAAAGAAGAAAGTAGAGAGTTGAAGAGAAAGAAGTTTGAGGTGGCTGTCACATGAAAAAGATAACACCATTAAATGATCAAGTAAGTTGGGGAAACTACTTCTCTAAATCTGTTTCCTTATCTTTAGAAAAGGGATAATTATAATTCTCATTCAATTGTATTGTCATAGTGCATGTAACATTCAAAATATAACTATTGTTATTTGTTATTATTCTACTATTTATATAGCAATTTTTGTTTATAAATTTTTACATTTTTGTCATCCCCTAAAGCAAAATTAAGGTAATACACTAGAAAATGTATAAAGAATTTTTGATTTCCTTGACTTTAAAATCACTTTCTCAAAATGAAGACTCAGTTTTTTTGGAGAAAGCTATTAGAGAATTTGAATAATGAATTTTTCCTCTGAAAGGAACTGTACTTATTCATCATAAAAACCCAATATCACGTTTTTGAAGTGAGCATGTTATGTTTTACACTGTCAATCACATTTGGTTAAAATGTAAGCAATAGAAACTTGAAATTTCAGTCTGGGCTTGCTGGCTCACGCCTATAATTCCAGCCAAGGTGGAAGGATCGCTTGGAAGGCCAAGGTGGGAGGATCTCTTGAGTCCAGGAGTTTCAGATCAGCATGGTAAGACCCCATTTTTACAAAAAAATTTAAAAATTAGCCAGATGTGATGGTGAGTGCCTGTGGTCCCAGCTACTCAGGAGGCAGAGGAAGGAGGATCACTTGAGCCCAGGAGGTCAAGGCTGCAGTGACTCTTGTTTGCACCACTGCACTCTAGCCTGGGCAACACAGTGAGACTCTGTCTCAAAATAGGAAAAAAAGAGAAGAAACTAAAAATTTCAAAAAATAAACTACATGCTAATGAGGGAGGAGCTGAGTGCCCAATCGTATAAAGGGTTACCGCCTGCAAAAGGCTGTCCCGCAAGCTGGGAAACACAGCCTCCAGCTAAGACCAGAGACAGGCACTTTGATGGAGGAGGGGTTGGGGTAGGAGCTTTATGCTGAATAGGTTGGCTAAAGCTCCAACCCCAACACCGCCTCCTTCAAAGTGTGTGCCTTTGTGCCTGGAAAAAAACCTTTTGATTTATAGGGCCTAACTGTAACACATTTAAATGTGAAGTATCTGCACCAAAGTGAACATGGGTCATATGTAACATGCATGTTTGTTCAGTAGGCATGTGTCAGGACCAAAGGCACATGAGTGCAGAGTCTCTGTAAAACAGACAGAGCCAGTCCATGGTCAGTGGTCTTTTTATTGGGAGAAAATTATTGCAATTAGTTTCTTGTCCAGTCAAATCTGTAATTATGGCTTGTGGAACAGGGATTCAGTTAGTCAGCATCTATGAGGTGGATGAGTTGTGATTGTTTTAATACTGGTTATTTAAGGCCTGTGCTTGTTTAGTTGCTAGAGAAAAAGAAAAACTTTGTTTCAGTTAAAACATAGTTTATTCTTAAGTGCAGGTGTGTGTGACATAGCACTTGCCTAGCATGGCCTTAGGTCCTATTTATAATTTGGTTTCTTACTGTCACAGAGTCTGTTCTGTCAGTCTTATGGTCTATATTTTAACATTAATGCTGACCAGTTGTTGTGCCTAAACCCCAAAAGGGAGTGGGTAAAATGAGATGTGTCTGACCTCCTGTCCTAGCATGACGGGGAACTGAGTTTTAAGGTTTTTCTGGGGTCCCTTTGGCCACAAGGAGGTCTGTTCAGTCAGTGGAGGCTTAGGATTTTATTTTTTGTTTACATAGAGGAGAAAAAAATAATTTTCTCTCTACCCTTTATAGTTTTCAGTTGGGACAGATGGCTATAACAGATTAACAAGAGAAGAACAAACATTAGTTTATTAACATGTATATGGTTCATGTATATGTTGGGGGCTTAGAAAATGATACACCAAAGTGTGGTGCTATGACATGTTGAGTGTTTTGAACTAAAGAAGCAACCTCAAAACCAAGATCTCTCTGACCCTTCTCCTCCCCTTGCCAATCTTGCCCCTCTGTCTCTCCTGAAGCACAGGGAGGGGCTTTCTCTGAAGTTCACTTCTCTGACTAAGCGAAGCTCCCACAGAAGGAGTGTAATTGTGTTGAGCCTCCTCCCTGTAATCTCACCAATCAGGGAAGATTAAACTCCAAGAAAAGAAGACTAGAGTTGACACCACACCCAGAGCCCCAGGAGAACTATGTCCCAGGCCATTTTCTGTTCTGCCCCATTCTTCTCCCCTAAAATTATCTGTTCTTCCTCTAAATCTGCCTATGTCCCCCACTTCCCCCTCCCCTGTGAAGGAGAGTGTATAAGCTTCTAAATCTCACTGGGCTATTTGTTACTCACCTTCCTTTAATCTCCCTGCATGTAATACATTTATATGCCTCTTTTCCTGTTAATTGGTCTATTGTTCATTTCTTTTATATATACATATTTTTTTTTATTATACTTTAAGTTCTAGGGTACATGTGCACAACATGCAGGTTTGTTACATACGTATACATGTGCCATGTTGGTGTGCTGCACCCATTAACTCATCATTTACGTTAGGTATATCTCCTAATGCTATCTCTCCCCGCTCCCCCCAACCCCATGACAGGCCCCGGTGTGTGATGTTCCCCATCCTGTGTCCAAGTGTCCTAGATTCTCTCTTTTGTTACTGAATCTCTCTCTCAATTTTTTTTAAGACAGGGTCTTACTCTGTTGTCCCAAGCTGGAGTACAGTGGCACAATCATAGCTCACTGCATTCTTGACCCCCTGAGCTCAAGCAATCTTCCCACCGCAGCCTCCCAAATAGCTCGGACTACAGGTGCGTGCACCACCACACCTGGCTAATTTTTCTTTTTTTTTCTTTCTTTTTCTTTTTATTTTTTTGTAGAGATAAGGTCTCACTACATTACTCAGGCTGGTCTCAAACTCCTGGGCTCTAGCAATCCTTCTGCTTCAGCCTCCCAAAGTGCTGGGATTACAGGTGTGAGGCATTATAGCCAGCCTCAAATATTAAATCTCAACAGAGGAGAGAGAGGATTCTCTCGCTCTAACATATAAATGGGAGTTACCCAAAGAAAAACAGGTAAATCTTCAAGAGGTGGCTTTGAGTTCAGGCTTAAATACCATTATTTGCTGAAACAAACAAAGAAGGGTGCTGAAGGAGGTCAGTTAAGAGGAGATGCCCAGGAAAAGCGCAGTGAACAAGAGTGAGTTTTGTTCAACAGTATTATGTCAGTGCTCTCCATTGATGAGAGTCTCCAGTGAGTTACTGTTTCTTCTCTTCCTGCTACACAGAGGGAGACACCCATACAAATAGAGATTTCCTTTATAGATGTACATTTCCCTTATAAAAGGGTAATTTTTACTGTTTTCAGAGCTTCTCCCATGTTTGTAGTTTCTCAAAATAGCCAGTTCAAAATAATTCTTAATCCAAAGAGACACATTTTGGGGTGAACATATTCTGGTCTACTACAGGTCATATTTTGGGGTGGCATAGTCTCATCTCCTACTTGTTCAATTCAGTGTTATTAAGTGAAGGAGTGAATTATTATTATGACTTAACCTCTCATCTAAAACATGTCAAAAGGACCTTATTAATATAGATTTTTTGAATCTAGTGGTGAATCTTGGGCACAAATTGCTGTTCCTGTGATGAACAGCCAGAATCTGACCAAATAAACCATCACTATATTCCATTTAAAAAAAATTATATATTTTTTTCATGAAAAAGAAGTCACAGCATGTAGCACACTGCTCTTAAGTAAAAGTTAAATAAAATAGTTCAGCTGGTTAGAAAATAAGCTTCAAGTTTAAAACCACATATCATTCTTTATACAGATGATTATTTGGGACAGACTTCAATAGAATCATACTTTGCTAGCAAGGAAGGCAATTTTGGCAATAGCACACAGTGATCAGCAAGAGTGACTCATATTTTCCAACTGAGATCAATGGACCCTCATCCATTAACACAGACCTAAATATTACCTGATAGGAAGGGATGACAGTGGAAGTGCGAGTCAGAAAGGTATGGCATACTCAGATTTAAAGGTTTTTTTTCATGTTATAATCCCTTTTTGTACTCTACAGGAAAGCAGCATAATTTTAGATTTTCAATTAGTTTACCCTAGGTATTAAATGAAAAATGTCTTTTTGAGTAATGTAAATTATTTTTGTTCACCTACTTCAAGCTGCTCTTTGCAGGATTTGATTTTAAAAGTCCTTGGCAGCATTTTACCAATAAATCATTTTAAAATGTCAACAAATAGTTTCATTTTGGGGTGGATTATAAGCCTTTCAATAAATCAGATGCCTGCTAGATATTTAAATATTAAAAGGTAAGCCAGTGAATTGACCACAAAGCAATCAATAATTAACTATATTAAACTCAAACAATTCAAGTACGTAAAAAAATATCTAAGACATGATAACATCTTTAGTTTAAAAATGATGCTCAGAATTTGTTCTTTCCTTGTTCGTCACAGTATTTTTAGGTATGCATTTGCTAATAGAATTATTTTTATATTTAAATTTATTTATATAGCTCTTAATGAATTATAAATTATGTCGCATTGATGCAGATGTGAAAAGAATATAGGAGTTACTTTTGGGTCCACAACATGCAATCTGTGGTTTCTTTTTTTTTCCTTCTTCCTTCTTTCTTGATTATATTTTTCTTATATTTTCTTACTTTTTGAGTTTATTTATTTCTTCTTTCTACTTACTCTATTTTAGATTTATAAGCCTTTTGGGGATTGAAACTACATTTTATTTTTCTTTGCATCTCAGGGCTCCAAGTGTGAATTTGGTCCAAAATCAGTATTTCTTGAATTATTGAATTAATGACGATGAATGAAAGACTGATGGTCAGGGAGATAAGATAATTTCACATCTAACTGAAAAAGCTGGATGAACTTTAACTTAGAGAATAATTAGTCAAAGTAGATGAAATTGACATATCATATTTTTAACTACTAGCAATTTTTACATCTAATGCTTTTCTAAACAACACAATAATGACATGAAGGCAATTATACAACTTTGCAGAGGGCATTAAAGGGGATGAAAAATTGAGGATACACTTTTTTTTTGAATAAAAATATTAAATGTTGTAGAAAATGTCAATTCTTTACAAATTAATTCTATAAATGTAATGCATTTCTCAAAGTTTATAATAAGAAATTTAATTTTTGAAAATTGAAGGGCAAATTTTAAAGCTGAAAGAGAAACTCTAATTCCTAAGAATATTTTGAAAGAAAAAGTAGAACAGTGAGGAACACTTTAACTCTTGGATAGCATAACACATTCAGAAACGGTCAGTTAAAATGATGTAATATTGCCACAGGGTGGTCAAGAAGGAAGCAGGAAGACCACTGAAGGCATTAATACAACAGCCCATATTGGCAACCCCTTTTCTCAGCCCCCTTATCCTTGCTAATTTTCTTGATCTCCCAGTTTCTGCTAAGATGTGTAAAAATAATTCACTATAAATGTATTAATCTATTTCTTTTTGTACCTCTGTCAGTTATTGCTTTATATTTTGAAGCTATGTTATTAACTGCATACGAATTTGTGATTATGTTTTTTCTTTTTATTATAATGTAATTTTTCTCTTAATGCCCTTTCACTTAAATTCTATTTTATAATAATATTGCCGTAGTATTTTTAGTTAATAATTCTTTTTCCATCAGTTTATTCTCAGCCTTTCTGTATATTTTTGCTTTAGTATTTCTGATGAGCACAGCATAGTGGATTTTATTATTATTTTTTACATATTGATAATCTTTTTAATAGGTTGTTTTTACCCATTTAACTTTAGCTTGTTTACTGACAGAATTGGAGTTATTCCTGCCATTTTATTTTGTTACTGTATCTTGTTATTTACTTTACATATACATATAATATATAGTATTCAACATATATAAATATATAATATATATTTCCTTCTGTATATAGATTTGGAAACTATAGATTTTTTTTTTTTTTTTTTTTTGAGATGGAGTCTCGCTCTGTCACCCAGGGTGGAGTGCAGTGGCAGGATCTCGGCTCACTGCAAGCTCCACTTCCCGGGTTCATGCCATTCTCCTGCCTCAGCCTCCCTAGTAGCTGGGACTACAGGCAACTGCCACCATGCCCAGCTAATGTTTTGTATTTTTAGTAGAGACGGGGTTTCACCATGTTAGCCAGGATGGTTTCAATCTCCTGACTTTGTGATCCGCCCACTTCCTTACTTTTAGATTTTAAAATACATACAGATCTATATTCAATATTTTTCTATTCTTCCAACCATAAGAAGACATTTAGTGTGCCTTAACAATTCCCACTAAGCAACTTTTACCTACCTCCCCATCATATATTATTGTTGTGCATAATTCCAGTTTCACTTTCTTTTAATCAAACAAACAAAGCATTAAAGTTAGTTTTAGAAGTTAATACCTAATAAGCTTGAGGCATATTTTATCAATGATAATATATACCATAATCTCATGTTTAATACTTTTTATCTGTGCTTACTTTTATTTTTTCAGAAATACATTTTTTAATAATCCTTTGAGTGGCAGCCTGTAATCACTTGACAGGGTCTTCTTACCTGCTGCAGACAAAATCAGTTCACTGAGACCTCAGCACTGTAGTAGAGAAAGAGTTTAATTGGCACGAGGCCAGCCCATGCAAGAAAACTGGAGTTATCACTCAAATCTGTCTCCCTGAAGGCTTGGAGGTTAAGGTTTTCATAAACAATTTGTTGGGCAGGGGCTAGGGAATGGGTGCTGCTGATTGGTTGGGGATGAAATCATAGGGGTATGGGAAATGGCCCTCATGCACTGAGTCAGCCTCTAGGCGGGCCACAGGATCAGTTGAGCCATGGGTCATGAGTCCAGCTGGGGTCAATCTGAAAGATATCTTAAAAAAATTTCTTAGGTTTTACATAGTGATGTTATCTATAAGAGCAATCAGGAAAGTCACAAATCTTGCAACCTCTGGCCACATGACCCCTGAGGAATAAGGGATTATAGAAACTATGCCGATGTTATCAGAATTCTGGCCCTTCTCGTAATCCTAACCTTGTGGCTTTTCATTAGGTTTACAAAGGTCATTTAGTTTGAGGAAGGGCTATTATCATCTTTGCTTTAAGGTTAAACTATAATCTAAATTCCTCCTAAAGTTTGCTTGGCATATACCCAGGAAAGAGTAAGGACAGATTGGAGGTCAGAAACAAGATGGAGTCAACTATGTCAGATTTCTCTTACTGTCATAACTTTGCAAAGGCAGTTTCAGATGAGCTTCTTTATATATTTTTATAAGTTTGAAAACATCAGTTTTTCTTTGCTTTTAAAGGAAAATGTGGCTGAGAATAAAATTCTATTTTGACAGATTTTTTTCTTCTATTATTTAAGACACAATTTTACTAACTTCTGGCATAAATTGATACCAAGTAATTCTGGCAAAAAATTGTTGCTGTTAGTTTAAATGTCATTCCTTTGTAGGCAACATATATTTTTTCACCTGGTTGTTTTTTAAATGATATGTTTATAGTTGATGATCTGAGGTACAACTGTAATGAATCCAAATAATAATTATTTATTATTTTTTAATTCTGCTCATATTTGAAGCATAATTTTAATTCTGAAATGTTGTCAATAATTACCTCTCCAAATATGGATTTTTCTGCCATTCCTTCCAGTCTGTTCTTCTGGTGCTCTTATTAAATCAATATCAGAGCATTTCAATTTAATCTGTGATGTTTCTTAACTGGTCTTCACATCTTCATATCTTTAATATATAATGATGGCTGGGCACAGTGGCTCACGCCTGTAATTCCAGCACTTTGGGAGGCCGAGGCGGGTGGATCACAAGGTCAGGAGTTCGAGACCAAGTTGATCAACATGGTGAAACCCCGTGTCTACTAAAAATACAAAAATTAGCCAGGCGTGGTGGCACGCACCTGTAATCCCAGCTACTCAGGAGGCTGAGGCAGGAGAATCGCTTGAAACCAGGAGACGGAGGTTGCAGTGAGCCAAGATCATGCCACTGCACTCCAGCCTGGGTGACAGAGCAAGACTCTGACTCCATCTCAAAAAACAAAACAAAACAAAACAAAAAATATATATATATATAAAATATATATTTTATATATAATATATAGTATGTATTTAATATATTATACATATTTTATATATATAAAATATATCTTATGGTACCATATTCCAATTGACTCATTTTCTTTCTGAGCATATCCAGTCTTACATTGATCCCATATATTATTTTTCATTTTAATGATTATACTTTTTATTTTCAAGACTTTACACTTATTTTTTCTCATCTTCATTTTTTGTATTCTTTCTGAGCTTTTTTGTTTTATAAATTGTCTTTCTTTTTAAAGAAAGCAATACATTTTTACATTTCTTTTGAAATCAGTAGCATATTTAAAGTTTTTATCAGACTATTCTACAGGATCTGAACTTATCTGAAATAAATTTTTCTTCTAAAAGTTTATCTTGATTTGTCCTTCTTAGCATTTGATATTTTGTGTGTGCTTTGGAATTTATAGTTGCAGATTAATTTAATTAATTTATTTATGTATATTTCATACCTAGTCATGCAGACAGATAAATTTTAATTTGGAAAGATTTTATATTTGTTTCTTTCCATTAATTCTCATTTTTGCCTACCCTTCCCTGCCCTTGTAAGTTTTACACTTGCTTGTAAGTTTTGCGCTTGTAAGTTTTACACTACTCAGCCCACTGGGCCCCCAATCTAGAACCAGGTTTTTAAAGGCCACTCAGAGTGCACAATGACATTAAGGGTTTGCAGATCCAGCCTCTGATTCAACAAGCAATTTGCTTCAGCTCCAGATGGGAGGCTCTGCCTGTTTCCTCTGCATCTTTAGGCCTACTGCTTCCCCTAAACGAAAACCCTAGACAATAAGTGATAGTTGGTAGGAGAAATTTTCAGCCTTCTTTAAAACCAAAAGGGCTGTGCTGAGTTCTTGGCCACACACAGTGAGTTTGATTCCAGACGCCTGTGAAAGGTGAGCACTTTTGCTTCTTTTGTTCCATAGGGAACAATTGCCTGACCACTGCTTCCTCCTGCTGGACCCTGAGCCCAGCAAGCCCTGTTTGAGGCTTAAGTCAAACACGATGATCCGTTTCTTGTCTGAGAAAATGTTTGCCTTTATTCAAGCCCACTATGTCTTTAAAATTTTCTTTTCCTCCCTCTTTTAAAATATTATATCCATCACTGCTTTGTTTTGGGAAAAGATTTTTGAACTAGAATGTGTCACTCTTTCTTTAAATAACCCTGTTAGACAGATAGGTAGGTCTGAGAAAGTCAGAGATTGGTAGATGCCTCCTTTTGTTAATTTTACAGATAAGATATTGTAGCAACCAGGTCAGGTGGCTCACACCTGTAATCCCAGCATTTTAGGAAGCCAAGGCAGGAGGATCACTTGAGGCCAGGAGTTTGAGACCAAGTTGGGTAACATAGCAAGATTTCATCTCTACAAAAAAAATTTTTTTTAAATAGCTGGGCATGGTGGCTCTCAACTGTAGTCCCAGCTACCCTGGCAGCTAAGGAGAGGATCACTTGAGGCCAGGAGTTCGAGGCTGCAGTGAGCTATAATCACACCACTGCATTCCAGGCTGGGCGACAGCAAGACTCTGTCTCAAAAAAGAAAAAAAAAGAAAAAGAAAAGAAAAAAAAGATGTTATAGAAATGCAAGTAGCTTTCCAATATTTCAGAGTGAACTGACAGAACAGAGTTAGTCTTGGAGCTTTAGATTCCTATTCCAAAGCCTGTTTTTCTATAGCACTTTTTTAGTCTTACCCTCTTCTATTAAAAAAAAATTTGAAGTAAATGTTTATTTAAAAATAAAAGTAATATTTAAACTTTGAGAATGTTTTAATTTTAATTATTTTGTTTTACTTTATTTCTATTTTATTTATTTATTTATTGTTTTAGAGACAATGTCTCACTCTGTCACTGCACTCTATCAGTATAGTGGCATGATCATAGCTCACTGCAGCCCGAACTCCTGGCCTCAAGCAATCCACCCACCTCAGTGTCCAGAATAGCTAGTCAGGCAGGTGCCACCATACCTGGCCTATTTATTTTATTTTATTTTTTGTAGCGACAGGGTCTCACTTTGTTGCCCAGGCTGGTCTTGAACTCCTGGCTTTAACCTATCATTCTGCGTTGGCCTCCCCAAGTGGTGGGACTACAGCGTGACCCACCAAGCCTGGCCAGAGACTATTTCCAATGACTACATTCCAAGATAGCCTATGCTGCTGGATGATAGCTTAGGTGATTGCAGATCCTTTTCCTCAGAGTCTCAAGGCCAGCCCTAATGAAGAGGTAAAACCCACCACTTCAGATAAGCCAGTGGCTCAAGCCTATAATCCCAGCACTGTGGGAGGCCGAGGCAGGTGGACTGCTTGAGCCCAGGAGTTCGAGTCCAGGCTGGGCAACATGCCAAAACTCCATTCTACAAAAATGGCAAAAGATTAGCCAGGCATAGTGGTGCTCGCCTGTGGTCCCAGCTACTCAGGAGTCTGAGGTGGGAGGATCACTTGAGCTGGGGAGGCAGATGTTGCAGTGAGCCAAGATCACTCCACTGCACTCCATCCTGGATGACTGAGTGAGACCTTGTCTCAAACAAACAAACAAAAAAACCATAAAACATAAAACCCACCACTTCACAACTTCTATCCCTTGGATGGCTATCTAAATTAACCCAGAATGACTTCTTGACCTTTGTCATCCCTTAGATGACAAGCATATGATGGGCTACAGTCTTACTCATTTATTCCTTCATTCAGTGAATAACGAATGTCTACTCTGTGGCTGTCTTTAGTTTGCCAGGAGGACCCAGTGCTCAGTTCAATGCAGCAGTTGTCTCAGACAAAAACATTCCAGTTGGAATGATCAACTGTATAGTCTTCCTAATCATGTTGCTTGATCATGGATCTGGCTGCTCAAGTGCTCAGACAAAACCTCCTGCCTTTTCCTGTTGTGCACAGCTACCTTAACTCCACATGAAAGCTCACTCACTATAAATGGAGAGGTCAGAGGGCTCCTAGGTAAGAGTTTATGCTTTCCCTCTTCTGAGAGTTTAACAGGCATCTAGAGGCTAATAGATTGTGTACAGGAACAGAAACTACATTTCCTCCGTGAAAGGAAAGGAATCAAGGGGCTGAGTGATGGGACTGTTTGCATGGTGATGTCAATCCTTCCTCTAACTCCTTTTCTGCCTCTCTCCTTGGTCTCTTACCCCTTTTTACTAGGCCCATTAAAAATTAAAAAAATATTTTTTAAAAAAACCACAGTGACCATATTTTGGTGGGTTTGTGAACATGGAGAGAGATATACTTTCTGAGTCAAAGTGTAGAAAATCAGGCATTACATATTTAAGATACAACCAATATGCCTGTAATTAGAGTCTCAAAGCTTGATAAGTATTAGGGCCTTTCTAGTTCCAAGGCCTCCAGAAGGGTAAAAAGTAAAGAAATGCCAAGATAGGGTTTGAAATACTGTGATCTCTTAAATGCAAAAATTACAGATTGAACACCTCTCACCAAAGTCTTTTGTGCATGTCTTGGCTTCTCTATTTATATTTCTTTAAATATTTTGCTTTATCAAAAGTCTAAATGTGAGGAACTTCGGGCCCTGGGCTTTCTCTAAAGACACACACACACACACACACACACACACACACACCCACACACACACACACCGAAGTCTCTGCTTATAATCGCATATTTTAGCAATATGCATTATTTTGTTTTCTTTGTCTCCTTTTCTTAGGGCACCTAAATTTTACAGCAACTTCTTTATTGAAGCTTTTAGGTTGATTCAGAGTATAAAAATATTTATATATAAATATCCATATATAAAGAAAGGTGTGGCATTTTATAGACAAAATTGTTCATTAACCACTGGATTTTGGTATTCAAATTTCTAGCCAAGGAGGGAAATACATATATGCGGCAAGAAGAGATATGATTATCTTAGAAAAATAAGAAACTAGGAAAGGCTAGTTGCAAAAGGTTCTCTGTCAGAAAATTCAGAAAACAGTGCTCTCTCAGATGGGTACAGACACAGGCAGAAGAATGTGTCTTTTCCCACTGTGCATTCCAACCCTTCATTAAAGGACAAATCTAGGTTCATTGCTATGGGAGCCACACCAATTACAAGTGCATCTGTATCATCTCTGCCACTTCATTTCCTCGCACAATCATTGTGAAAATGCATTGCCTGAAAAAAAGTTGACATGTATGCCTACTGACTTTGTAAACTGAAACGGCTAACAAATCTTGGAAATGATTCAGAATTGCCTCTGGTAATAGTCATATTATTAGTTTATTTTGTCTCTTACTTGTTTCTTTATGATTCATGCCAACAACTTGGCTGAAAATCTTAATCAGAAATACAATTGCAAGCTGTTTTTCTTTTTGCTTTTAGATTTCACAAAATGCTTGGGTTGATTCTAGGGAAATGGGTAGAGAAGGAAGAATCTAAGAAATGTTGCATTTATATTTACTTTCTGAGGATTAACTGGTGAACAAGTGAAATAGCTTATAACAACATGCCTGTCTTTATTTATGAGGCAATTGTGCCTACACCTGATTCTTATTAAGAGCATCCAGACAATTAGGGGCTAGGCTGCCCAATACTTTAAAAATATATTACCAAAATCTAGGTGTAGTCTTATTTGAAACAACACTGCACGGGAATCATTTGCATTAATCAACTTTATAACCAAGACTGATAGAATGCAACTATATTAGGGTGGTGGCTAAAGGTAAAAGTTTAAAATATGGCATTGGTAGGTGTGGGATGTCACATGGAATGATCTTAAGGACCTCTTAAAATATATCTTTTATCACTATTACACATTGTGCCCACCACTCAATTTTCTCAGAGATTTCTGGTTATCTTCTCGCACATATGTCTCATATCACTAATTGGGTCTATAATACAAGTTCCTAACATGAAAATGTACTATATTACGTGTTTAAGGTTTGTCACTATTTTACCTCCAGAATAGAGGACAGCTCAGAACCTAGATGATCAAAGAAGTTTAGATTTTATCAAGACCTCAGACACCATTTAGTCAGTTGTCCTTCAAACCTTTTGCTTAAATATCTGAACCTATTCTTATAAAGAAGCCTAATGAGTAAAGGAGACATAAAAAAGGAGCTAGGAGGGCAGAAACTCGTGGATTGGACTTCTTCAGACCTCTAATTTCCCAGGTTGCTTCTGTACCCTAACCACTTTTTAAGAACGCTGTAGGTCCCCTTGAAGTAGGGTCTAAAAAGCACTAATTTCTTTAATTTAAAGATGAAAGAATTATGAGAGGTGTTGCCTTCAAAATTTTCAGATCACATATTTTATCAGTAAAAACATTTTGAAGGTATCCTCATATACCATATATAGTAACATAATATGCTGCTTATAAAACATACAGCAAAAAATGAAATATATACAACATAAAATATACAAATAATGACTTGAAAATATGAAAGTTATGTTTCTCTCTCATACCCCAATATATCAACTTGTATGTCCTATATTCTCCATATAAAGAACACAGCCTATAGATGTAGGCTGACATCCCCAAGCCTCATGATGGATTGCACTAAAACTAGGATGCAAAATGTGGCCATCTACTTAGCGGTGCAGTGCTCTACTTTGCAAATAAATGTTCACTCCAGTTTAGAGCTTAATGTTTTGAGTAATGTACAACCTTTTAAAAAATAATAGAGTGTGAATTTATTAGCCTTCTAGTTCTTATACAATAGTAAAACCATAGATTAATTTACAAATCAAATATGATATAAACTACAAAATTAATAAAGACTAAAGTTGCCAGAATGAATTGTTTGTGATGGATTATTTGCTTTGATGAAATTAAATTTCCAGTTGTATCACCAGGAATGATTCCACATGCATATAACAGCAAACAAGGTTTACAAAAGTTTAGAGAAATAGTAATTTA
Source organism: Homo sapiens (assembly GCF_000001405.40). Classification (NCBI taxonomy): domain Eukaryota; kingdom Metazoa; phylum Chordata; class Mammalia; order Primates; family Hominidae; genus Homo; species Homo sapiens. The sequence goes on from NC_000003.12 coordinate 147,908,177, forward strand.
TTGTTAACGCATGGTGTTGTGGTCTGAATGTGTTCCTCGAAACTTCATGTAGAAACCTAATTCCCATTGTAGTGGTATTAAGAGATGAGGCCTTTGTGGAAGTGATTAAGTCATGAGGGTTCTCCCTTCATGAATGGCACCAGAGTCCTTATCAAAAGGGTTGAAGGGAGCTACCTTGCCCCTTCCACCATGTGAGGACCCTTCCACCATGTGAGAACACAGCATTTGCCCCTTCCATCACAAGAGAACGCAGAAAGAAAATGCTATCTTTGAAGCAGAGAGTAAGCGCTTCCCAAATATCAAATCTGCCATTGCCTTGATCTTGGACTTCCCAACCTCCAAGACTGTGAGAAATGAATTTCTATTACTTATTAATTAGCCAGTCTAAAGTATTTTGTTATAACTAAAAGACCAAGACAGAAGTAGTAACAAATCTGTAGATAGGCAATTACTGGCATTAGTTTAGGGGTTCAACAATGTCAAGGCTGCTATATCTGGAAATCTTGTTGGCATTTTCTTCACTGCTGTAAGGTAACTTTTAGTTGTTTTTATTTTTAACAACACATTTCAACCATTGACTGGTTAATGAGCAACTCAATATAAGAGTGCACCATAATATACGAAATCAAAACAAAATTTAAGTTCTGTTTAACAAAAAGTTCTTTTCTTATAGCTACCTTACCTGATAATTAATTGATTCAAGCTAATGTATACTAGACACTCCACCACTAATATTCTTGTTATTTCAAACTGATGACCAAATTTATCATTAATTCAAGACTGGGCAGCTTGAGGAACAGGACTTTTGAGAGTAAACATAGGAAGCATTGAATACACACCCCTCTAGGTTAGAATTCATTATTTTTAAGTGTGTTTTCAGGGCCGACATACACCTGGTGCTATCTTCATATGTTAGTAGCAAATTAAATAAATATTTAGGAACCAATGCATAATTGTATATGGATGGGTTGGACTGTCACTGGAAAAGAAGGAAAGACACAGGTTCAAGGAAGAACACGTGCAAGTGCCTGAGGACACCAACATCGGTGAGAAATGAGAAGGAAAGGCCGTGGAGATGGTCAGGGGCACAATCATGTGAAACCCATGAATAATTTTATTAAGACTTTGAATTTTATTCTCAGTGGAAAGAAGAGCTTTTGAAGGATTTTAGAGACGACAGTGACATGAACTGAAACAGATTTGGAAAAATTAAGTAAATTCTCCAGGGTCAAACTGCTAGTTAGTGGTGAAGTTTTGATTCAAACCTCACCTCAGTAGGTGCGTTTTACTCCAAAGACTGAGCTTCTAACAATCTATACTTCCAAGTATTGCCTTACTTCTGATATTACCCAAATCAAATTCTAAACTCAAACTTTGAATTTTTATCAAAGTTTATTTTTACTTAAAGAGAGTCTGTTATATCACTAATAACATATTTTGACTCTCTGAAATATATTATGAAATATGAAGGCACAGAAAATAAGATATAATGAAAAACAATCTTCTATTAAAAAATTGAAAAACTTTACTATATTGAAAACATTAAAGCAAAATAACATGAAAGAATAGACAGTAATTTATGTTAGCTGCATTTATAAACTGTAAAATATAATGTGAATTGGTACAGAAAAGGAAATACTTTTATTTCAAAATTTTTGTATAAAATAAAAATGGAGCTGAGCATACTATGTACATGAGTTCTTTATGAATTTTTCATCTGTTTCTTCTCTTCCAGATTGCCAACAAGTATATGATTAGATATGTTGAAATCCATGAGAAAGTCTCATCTTATATTTTTCTTCTGATTAGAAGAAAACTCATGAGAGAAACTATTCTCTATTCCTGCACAATTTGCAGTCTCAAGAAGATTGGATATTTCAAAGCAAAGCCTCATTCTGTTTTGAAATTCTTCCATTATTTATTTATTCTGAAGTCATATTATTGCATTCTTCCTTTTCCCTTTCTTCTGAGGGAGCCAAGACAGGACACTTTTATGGAGGAAAGTAACTACCTCACAACAAAATTGCACATTTATTTATTCAGTCAAATTGTTTTTTGTATTGATGGTCCCTAATTTCCTGTGCTGCTTCATTTTTCTACGGAGCAATGAAAATAAAACTTCCTAAGTAGATCAGCTAGTACATCAGAGCTGCATAGACTATTAATTTGTTTTATGTTGCATTTGTTAAAAAGCAACAAATTAGCTTGATAACTACCAAAGGTATTCTCTCTTCCTATTTAGACCTACATTTGGCCAATGCGTTACGTAAGTAGATATATTTTGTCACGGATTCCATGCCAGTCTGAGGTTTTATTGTCAAAGGCTGCCTTCATTTACTGTATTGAGGACAATTCTTCACGCCAATGAATATTCTTCTGCAGAATTATCATTATTAACAACTTCAAAACATTGTACTGTATGAATGTACTAAAATCAATTTAAACAAACCAGTATTGTACCTTTAGGATATTTTTTATTTTTTATTACTATTAAAGTTACTTTGAAAAACAAAATTATAATTAATCTCATTCATTTAACAAATATTCTACAATTTATATCCCAGCACACAGTTGAAGTACTCTGTCCATATTAAAATTCCTTAAAAGTTTTAAAGAAAATGTTAGTTATTTGAGAAAAAAACAAAACTCTCACCAAAAAAAAGAGAGAGCTCTGGTGCTTTCTTTTTTTTTTTTTTGAGACGGAGTCTTGCTCTGTCGCCCAGGCCGGACTGCGGACTGCAGTGGCGCAATCTCGGCTCACTGCAAGCTCCGCTTCCCGGGTTCACGCCATTCTCCTGCCTCAGCCTCCCGAGTAGCTGGGACTACAGGCGCCCGCCACCGCGCCCGGCTAATTTTTTGTATTTTTAGTAGAGACGGGGTTTCACCTTTTTAGCCAGGATGGTCTCGATCTCCTGACCTCATGATCCACCCGCCTCGGCCTCCCAAAGTGCTGGGATTACAGGCGTGAGCCACCGCGCCCGGCCTCTGGTGCTTTCTTATGCCACCTTCATCACATACCACATTCCCCCTTTTCTTGCCATGGCAGTCACAATGGTTTCCCATCAAGTCTTGTATCCAGCATGTTTCTTCCCACCTCAGGACCTTTGCACATGCCACTTCTCTGTTTGAAACTTGCTTTTTCTGGTCTTCTAGTTAGCACCTGTCCATCATTCAGCTTTCAGCTTATAGGTGTTTTCTTGGGGGAAACCATTTTTGACCTCTTTGATCATGTTATTATGTTGATGCAAAAGCAATTGTGGGTTTTACCATAACTTTCAATGGCAAAAACCACAATTACTTTTGAACCAACCTAATAAATACCTCTGTTCGAAATTTTTTAAAATCCTAAAGTTTACATGGAGCTGCAAAAGACCCAGAATAGCCAAAGCCATCTGGAGCAACAAGAACAACACTGAAGGAATCACATTGCCTGACCTCAAGTTATACTACAGAGCTATAGTAATCAAAACAGCATGGTACTGGCATAAAAACAGACACGTAGACCTATGGAAAATAATAGATAACTCAGAAATAAATCCATACATCTACAGTAAACATTTTCAGCAAAGGTGCTAAGAACATACATTGGGGAAGGGACAGTCTCTTCAATAAATAGTGCTGGGAAAATTGAATATCCACATGCAGAAGAATGAAACTAGACCCTTATCTCTTGTCACATATAAAAAACAAATCCAAATCGATTAAAGAATTAAATCTAAGACCTCAAACTATTAAACAACAAAGAAAACATTGGGGAAGCTCTCAAAGAGTTTTGCCCCTTGGTCTGTGCAAAAATTTCTTAAGTAATACCTCAAAAGCAAAAACAGACAGAAATGGGAGAAAATATTTGCAAACTATCCATTTGATAAGGGATTAATAACCAGAATATATAAGAAGCTCAAACATCTCAATAGGAAAAAAACCTAACTAATAATATGATTTAAAAATAGGCAAAATGTCTGAATAGACATTTCTTAAAATAAGACATACAAAGGGGCAACAGGTATATGGGGAAAATGATCAACATCACTAATCATCAGAGAAATGCAAATACAAATCACAATAAGATATCACCTCACCCTGGTTAAAATGGCTTTCATCCAAAAGATAGGCAATCACAAATGCTGACAAGGATGTGGAGAAAGTGAACCTTCCATAGACTGTTGGTGGGAATGTAAATTAGTACAGCCACTATGAAGAACAGTGTGGAGGTTCCTTACAAAACTAAAATAGACCTATCATAGGATCCAGCAATCCTACCACTAGTTATATACCCAAAAGGGAGGGTGTATTGAAGAGATCTGTACTCCCATGTTTATTGTAGCACTATTCACAATAGCCAAGATTTGGAATCAATGTAACTATCCAAAAGATGAATGGATAAAGAAAATGTGGTACATATACACAATGATATGCTATTCAGCCATAAAATAGAATGAGATCCTGTCATTAGCAACAACATGGGTGGCACTGGAGGATATTTTGTTATGTGAAATAAGCCAGGCACAAAAAGAGAAGTTCTGCATGTTCTCACTCTTTTGTGGGAGCTAAATATTAAAAGTATTGAACTCATGGTAATAGATGGTAGGGTGACAGTTATCAGAGGCTGGGAAGGGTGTTGGTTGTGGGGAGAGGGGTGGGGAAAGGGGATGGTTAATCGGTACCAAAAGATAGTTGGATAAAATAAATAAGATCTGGTACTTGATAGCACAACAGGGTGGCTATAGTCAACAGCAATTTATTGCAAATTTTAAAATAACTAAAAGAATGGAATTGGAATGTTCCTAACACAAAGAAATAAACGTTTGAAGTGATGGATATCTCATTTGCCCTGATGTGTTCTATGTACACATTGTACTCCTGTATCAGAACGCCACATGTACCCAATAAATATATACACCTACTATGTACCAATAAAAATTACACATTTGGAAAAAAAAACCTCTCTTAAAGGCATCCACATCTCCTTTTCCCATGAAACGTGCCATAGTTGTTACATGTTTATGTAATTTTTAATTTATCTCCACAACTAAACTGTACTTTCTCGTCATTATTGTATGTCCAACACCTAGCATATTGACAGACATAAGTACAGGCATAGTATGTCTGTGTGTGTGTATGTAAATATTTATCGAGTGCATATTATGTGCCACTTACTATGTTAATTAATGTATCCATGTGAATTTTATTATGTTCTTATAATACATGTCTAGAAGTGGAAACAATTGAGTCAAGGGTATACATATTTTTATGTCTTTAATATACATGATCAATTTGCTTTCAAGAAATGTGAAACTTAATTAAAATCCCAAAGGCAGTGTATAAGGGTGACAATTCTTCTCCTTGAACCCTCCAAAATACTTATTATTGTCATCAGGTCTTATTTTCAGTCCCTTTTTTTTCCCCTAGTGAGAAAGAATAATTATGTTTATTGATCATTTGTACTTCTTATTGTATTAATTCTCAGGTTAAAATCCTTCAGTGACATTGTACAAACAAAGATTAATAGATGCCTGAGGTTCCAAAAATGTATTCTTAGAGATCTGGAACATTTTTCAAATATTGTGTTTTCATTTGGATAAAATGATACTAAAGAAATTAATATAGGCATATTCTGGCTAGCTGGAAAACCACTATAAAGTCAAGACCTACGAACTGATTTTAATACCAATGTTTTCATTATGATAAAAAAGGAACTACATAACACAACTTTACTCATCAATAATGAAAAAAAGAATGAAGGCAGACCTTATAATAAAACGATGTTTTCATACCAACTGAAGGCCAAAGGATGTGGTGATGATATGCTCTATGAATATTAATGCCATCATAATTTAAAAACAGAGAGTTGCTGGGAAAACTCAAACAACCTCCATAAGTACTATAGTCATATTCTGAAAAGAGATTTACTTTCTGCAAAAAGTAATAATTTTTCATCTTAAATCATTATTGTTATTTTAGATTTTATGGGTTTTGTAGGGATTTCGGACATTTAATTTAAAAATCTGGTTTTGTTATAGAAGATAATAAAACTTTTATATTGGGTTTCATGTTTGTTCCTAATTACCAATATATAATCAATTTTAATCAACATAAGGAGTCCTTAAGAACACTTCTTTTAAAAAAATGGCTTTGAATTACTCAACTGTGTAAGACAAAATTATAGGCCAACATAGTGTCAATTAAGACCAATAGCTGGTACTAACATAGTGAACTGTGAAGGAAAAGTATCTACTACTTAGAAAATAACCATAAAAGTTGTTGTTCAAACCCTCAGCACACTTTAGAGAGTGCAAGAGAGTGTTAATAATTATGCTGGGTGCTATTAATAATTACGCTAGGACAACGAGTGTAAACCTGAATAGTCCTGAGCAAACTGTGTTGTTTGGTGACCTAGATATATATTTGGCTTTGTAGTAACTTTTGTCATATAGCAAACAGGGCAGGGAGAAATGGAGATTTAGCTAGTTCAGTAGTTTTGTAACCTGGACCTTGTACAATAATTGCATTATTTTGGTTCTTGAAATTTGACTCACTGAACTTAAAAAAGAGAAGCAATAGGAGTATTTTACAGAAGGGCTATATCTAGAGGTAAGTAGAAGTGTAAAAATGAGTCATTATGTTCAAAACCAAGTAAGCTGAGAAAAGAGCAGACAAAACTTGGTGCTAATTTTTTTTTATTACATTAGACAACAAGCATAACTGGCCGATTCCATTTATTTCTCTACAAAGAATAATTATACCTGGAACACATAGTAGACTTATGCAATTTACCTTCAATTTGGCTTTAAATGTCACTGACGATTTCTGATGACTTCCAAATTCATATCAACAGTACCAACTCTCCCTGAACTCTGGAATTGTATATTCAACTTCCTTCTTGAGGTACAGAAGACATCTCAAAATTAACATAAGCTGTGTTAGTCTGCTTAGGCTACTATAACAAAATACCATTGATTGCGTGTTTTAAGCAACAGAAATTTATTTTCTCACAGTTCTGGAAGCAGAGTAGTCCAAGATCAAGGCTGATTCAGTTCCTGGAAAGGGCTCTCTTCGTGGCTTGCACAGTCACCGACTTGTGTGCTCCCACAGGCGAGTGGGAAAGTGAACATGCAAGCTCTCTAGTTTCTCTTTGAATCAGGGCAAAAATCCTATCATGATGTCCCCACCCTTATTACCTCATCTAACCTTAATTACCTCTCAAAGGCCCTATGTTCAAATACCATCAAATTAATAGTATGGTTTCAACATACAAATTGGGAGGGGACACAAACATTCGGGCTTTAACATATGCCAAACTGTTTATATTACCCCCAACCTCAACTGGCTTCTCTCCTAGGCTTCTGGTTTCCTCATTTTAGTAAGGGGCACTCCATTCCAAATTGTTCAGGCCAAACATTTGGAGTCATTCTTTTTTTCTTTTCTCTTTTTTTTGAGACAGGGTCTCACTCGCTCTGTAAGTTCTGTCACCCAGGCTGGGGTGCAATGGTGCAATCACAGCTCACTGCAGCCTCAACCTCCTGAGTTCAAGTGATCCTCCCACCTCAGCCTCCCAAGTAGCTGGGACTACAGGTGCTTGCCACCTCACCCAGCTCATTTGTGTGTGTGTGTGTGTGTGTGTGTTTTCTTTTGGAAATGGGGTTTCACCATGTTTCCCAGGCTGCTCTCCAACTCTTGGGCTCAAGTGATCCACCTGCCTTGGCCTCCCAAAATGCTGAGATTACAGCACTGTACCCGGCCTGGAGACATTTTTGATTCCTCTTTTTTGCCTATCTCTAATAATCTAAAAATTATTTTAGCTCCTACAGCAAAATATTGCCTTCCCTGGATGACAATGCCCTGTATGATCTGGGATCTGACTACCTCTCTGAAATTCTCATCATTTCTGGCTAGGCTTTCTTGGTTAAGATTAATCATATTTTATCCTATAATCAAAATTTCCCTGATTGCTTAGCTTTATTTCTATATTTTAGTGAATTCAATATTCATTTCCAAATGTTTTTTCCTGTTTTCTCTAGTGATATATTAAGTGACCAAATTTCATCATCCTGATGGTATCATCGTGCTGTGAGTTCTTGCATATTTGAAACTGCATGCTTTTTGCCTTTATTTTTGAGCAATGATTTCACTTAATATAAAATTCTCAAATCATATTTTCATTACTGAATATTGGTTTAACATTGTTTTATCATCTTCTGGTATTGAATGTTGATATTGAGAAATCCAAGAGCAGCTTAATTTTTAGGCTCAGTAGGCAGATTTTTTTTAATGAGTTTTTTTTACCCTTGAATTCCAGCAATTTTAAAAATACATAACTTGTCAATTATTCTGTATCAATTATTTCTCAGATATAATGTACCCTTTGGTATTCAGATTCTGTTGCAGCAAATATTTTCAGTACCAATTAGTTTTGTATTCTTCTTCAGTTACAATATATGAGTGTCTCTCATCCACTGTATCTGTCCTCCACACCTATTCTTCTTTTCTAATCACTTTAAACTTTTATAAACTTGGTACCTAATTTTGCTCGATTAACTTGTCTCTTTTTCATACCCCCAACTGTGTTTTCAGTAGTGTCTATTTTAATTTTGGGTTCTAGTTTTAATAACATAGGTAAGCTGAGTCTGACAGTTTACTTTCATCTCTTTATTTATTCTTACATATATATGTCTTTGACATCACTTTTCAAATAAACCATGCTTTAGTTAGTTCTTTCAGATCATGAATATGTCCTTGTTAAGTTGCCTGGTGTTATTATTTTGACACAGAGATTTTTTTCTCCTGACTTCATATATTAACTTCTTTTCCACCTCTTCCCTTTCTCCTTCTCCCTTCTTCTTCTCTTACTTTTTATTCATTTTTGGTTAGCTCCATGCCTGTTTTCATCTAGTTATTACTCATCCTTAAATGCGGTCAATTCTATCTGAATCAGCTTATTGTTTAAGAAAAGATGGAGGAGTAAAACAACGATTGAGCAGGAAAGTCAGGAAAATTTATTCCAGATATGGCATCTCTGAACCTTCATGCTAAATATTCCACAGCCTTTACCTTGGGAATATGTCTTTACTCGCTCTTCTGAGTAGCCGTTCAGAGAAAGTAGAGTATTTGCTAGGATCGCAGCAAAATCTCCAGTGTCACTCATTTTTGTGCAATGGCTTGACATTCAATCCTTTATTTTTAGCTGCCTATGATAAGCACCGATGGCATGTCTCTGCTGTTTCTCCCTCATCTCCCTTTTGTAAGGTATACTGGATTCAGAGATACTCCCTCAGACCACCCCTCCTCAAATCTTGCTGTACCAATTACATGGACACTGATTTTTTAGGAGAGGATCCCTTCTACATTAGGGGAATATTAAAATCTGCACTGTATCTTAGAAATATGTTTCCTACTTGTCATTCTACCTCTAGTTGATCTGGACTTCAAATTTCAATAGTTGTAATTACGAGTTGTGGCTTTTTCCTAGTTTTTTGAAGAAGGAGTTTATAATTATTTTTGTTCTTTGTAACATTTGGCTAGTTTTGGAAAAGAGGAGGAATAGAAATGACTTAAATCCTCCTCCATTAACTGATGTTAAAGTTTGGGTCACACCTTTAAGTGGTGTTCAAGTTTGGATTAAAGGATTCATAAATGAAAATATGAGCCCAGTCCTCAAGACACTCATAGTCTAGTAAGAGGAAATAATCTTTAAATGAACAATTCCTGTTTTATGTGCTATATGGTATAATATTCAGTAGCTGTCTTATTGTAATACCTTCATCAGTTCTCATCACAAAATAACTTTCAAGTGAACATCTACATGTAAGTGAAACTTACAATTTTATATGACATCAAGCAGATGATTTATATCTAATTTCTATTAATAGGAATTTTAGAATTTTTAATTAAAATAATGTGGTACTGGCCGGGTACGGTGGCTCACTCTTGTAATCTCAGGACTTTAGGAGGCCGAGGTGGGTGGATCACTTGAGATCAGGAGTTTGAGACCAGCCTGGTCAACATGGTGAAACCCCCGTCTCTACTAAAAAAAAAAAAAAATACAAAAATGACCTGGGTGTGGTGGCAGGTGCCTGTAATCCCAGCTACTTGGGAGGCTGAGGCAGGAGAACAGCTTGAACCCAGGAGGCAGAGATTGCAGTGAGCCAAGATCATGCCACTGTGCTCCAGCCTCGGCAACAGAGTGAGACTCCATCTCAAATAATAATAATAATAAGATAATGTGGTATTATTATTATTTTTATTTTTTGAGACGGAGTCTTGCTCTTTTGCCCAGGCCAGGGTGCAGTGGCACTATCTCGGCTCACAGCAAGTTCTGCCTCCCGGGTTCACGCCATTCTCCTACCTCAGCCTCCCGAGTAGCTGGGACTACAGGCGCCCACCACCACGCCCGGCTACTTTTTTGTATTTTTAGTAGAGACGGGGTTTCACCGTGTTAGCCAGGATGGTCTCGATCTCCTGACCTCGTGATCCGCCTGCCTCAGCCTCCCAAAGTTCTGGGATTACAGGCGTGAGCCACTGCGCCTGGCCAATAATGTGGTATTATTAAACATTTATTATGTTAACAAAACTTTAAAGTTCGACATTACTAGGCTTTAACGAGAATGTACAGGAAAAGGAATTTTCTTATACCATTGGAGTCGTCAATGCTACTCCTAATATAGAGCTCAAAAAAGTATTTTATGTATGAAGACGAGACACAGGATTTTCATTAGAACATTCGGAGTAATAGCAAAACTTCGAAAACCAACTAAATGTTCCTTAATAGGAAAATGGATAAATTATAATAAATAAAATATTAGCATATTACATATCAATTGAAGGGAATGAACTGAAACTATGTTAACATAAAAAAATAGGTATAGCCGGGCGCCGTGGCTCACGCCTGTAATCCCAGCACTTTGGGAGGCCGAGGCGGGCGGATCACGAGGTCAGGAGATCGAGACCATCCTGGCTAACACAGTGAAACCCCGTCTCTACTAAAAATACAAAAATTAGCCGGGCTTGGTGGCGGGTGCCTGTAGTCCAGCTACTTGGGAGGCTGAGGCAGGAGAATGGCGTGAACCCGGGAGGCGGAGCTTGCAATGAGCTGAGATCGCGCCACTGCACTCCAGCCTGGGCAACAGCGCAAGACTCCGTCTCAAAAAAAAAAAAAAAATAGGTATAGAAGTTTGCCATTTGTGTAAAGTTTAAAATCATATAGAACAATGCTTATTATTTCTATCAGTTGGTATCTGATTAGAAAATCAGAAGCCACATTATATTTCAAGTATGGACTTTGATACGAGAGATTAGAGTCATGTGCAATAATTAAAATGGCTGGGAGAGTATAATAAATAAGGGAATTTACTAGTGATAATCTTAATTGTAGCAATAGAGCTAGAAGTTTTCAGAAGGTTCTTCAGAAAGCACTGAGCCTAATATTATTTCAGCCAGCAGCCCTGGTTCTCAAGAAGTCATTACTTGCTTCCTTAACTGCCTGTGGCACTAAAGCAGGTGAGCTTGCCAGAAAGCTCTCGTGATTTTCTTGTTTGCAATCTGACCGGGGTCTGCCTGAAAGCACCTCCAGAACATCATAACCTTCCTTTCGTTTCTGCATTCCGATATCACTGGAGTACCTCTCACTGGCAAACTCTGACCAAGAACCATGTAGAAAAAGGGACTGAAATGTCATTGCAGAGGAGACCTTAAAAGGGATGGTAGCAATGTCATATTGACCACAATCCAGCCAAATATTGTTTCTGGACAAAATAATTTTTGTCCAGACAAAAACATTTCTAATAAATGCTTACAAATAAGCTTGGGAATGATAATCGCCACACACAAAATTGTGATTACTTCTGAGAAGAGAGATATTCAAAGTAAAAGTAATACAATGGTAAGAGGAACAACTACTAAAGTTTTAAAATAGAATTTGTGATATGATTGCAACCCCTAGTGAGTAGAGGTGTTAACTGAACCAATCATTATTTCAAGCACATGTATAAATATCAAAACTTGTCTGGATCATTTATTATCTAAGCCTAATTGAATTTGTTTTGTGCCTTGAGTTTAGCCAAGTCAAAAAAGTTTTCAAATTATCCAGATTCTCTTTTAAAGAATGTATAATTATCTATGATCTGAAGGACTTCACAACACTGACTCTGTCAACCTCACGGAGGTTCAACTAATTCTGTGGAAGATGAGAGTAAACACACAACTAAAAGGCTAGAGTGTGTGCACAAGGTGAGTAGCACTTTGGGAAGTTGTAGACAGATACATATGACCTTAGGTTGTATTTAAACAGGAATGCCTGACAATTTCCTACTTAAAAGTGATCAAGGGACAAAATTGCTCCACTTTTTCACGTTTCTTGTGTATATACAGTACTTACCTTATCTTATAGAAAGTTAAAAAAAAAAGGAAAGAAATTTAAGGAGCAATGTGGTGCTATTAGCCTGTGTGAAAATCTCAAGAGGACTTTTATCAATCACAAGGAAGTACATTTTATATTTTCTCTCAGAGGTTGTCTTTGTTCTCCATAATTATTATCACAGCTCCATTATATCTGGGTCTCTGATGTGAAGTACTTTTTTTCAAAAGAATAATGCTCACCTTTCTATAACTTTAAAAACATATTTAAAAGAATTTATATTGTATTTTAAACATTTTAAAGACATTGACATGTTTTAACATGATTAAAAACACACAAGTAAAATGTTTATGATGTAAACACGTGCTTTCATTTATGCATCTAAAGTAGTTTTGTGTTCTAAGAATTTATTCATTAATCTGTAAGACCACAAGAGTAAATTATAACATATAGTGTTCAGAAATGAAAATGTAGCAATGTTACAACTGTTCATTTTGTGCTAATGTGAATGTTCAAATAGATCCTGATGCAAAAAAAAAATGTTCAAAAGAAAGAAGTCATGTAAATACCAAGATGGGTTGAAAATCAGGAATCTTTAACAGAAGGCACGAGTAGTGAATCATTTCAGTTTTGTGTGAAATTGTTTTAGTTACAGATGCCAAGAGAAAAGCAAATGACTGCAAAACAGAGAGGGAAGGGTTCCTACTGTTGTTTAACAGACATGTGCTAGTTCTTCCTCTGTTAGACAAAAACAGTCACAGAAACTATGGAGCTGGGATGGCAGCCATATTTTTTTCAAAAAGTCTGTGGTTGTAGTTTGCAGTAAGTGAGAAGCTGAATGAAAAAATAGATCTGGCTGAAGATTTTTACTCAGAGGTGACAGTCGATATCTGAAGAAGTAAAGAGAAGTAAACTAGTTTATCTAATTAAAGCTTTTGATAACGTATATGGCTCACTTACTAATAACTAACCTGGGATTTACTGTTTGTGAAGTGTTTCACATTAAAATATTTCTAAAGAAAGTACTTGAACATGAACACTCAATTAGAATATTGTATCGAGCACTTAAAATTTACCATATGTGTTTTTTTCTAAAGCATGTTCTCTCCACTTCATTAAAAATGAAACAAAAAAACCAACACATAACATGACAACAACAGAAAACCTCACAATAAAAAACTGACTTTTAGTAACTAATAGAGAAAGAGACTCTAGGCCCAGTTGGATGAAACAGACTGACTTGAGAGCAACCATATTTTAAGACTGTAAGCTTAAATCTAAGAACCTTAAAGTTGGATTTGTTCAACTTCACAAAATGTCCCAGCTGCCTCAGTGTCCCCATATAATTCCAGTATTCTGTAGCAATTGGACAAAAAAAGATAGGCAGTAAAATAGTTAATTATAGCCATTTCTTTTTGCTGTATTAGGCAATTGACCATACATTTTATGTTGTCTTTTGATATTTAAACTGGTCTCTCTACCAGTTATGAAGATAAAGAAAACTCAATAGGTAGGTTAAAGAAATATATTTAGTGTGGCTCTGTTGAGCTGTGGTCCGAAAGTCAGAGACTTTTTTTCAATTAAAAAAAGGAAGACTTATGATTTTGGAATCATCATACCAAGCCTGATTTTCCTACCTCTATGTGGCACCAAAACAATATTTTTTTTTATTGTTTTTTTTTTTTAGTTGGAGTCTCGCTCTTGTCACCCAGGCTGGAGTGCAATGACATGATCTTGGCTCACTGCAACCTCTGTCTCCCGGGTTCAGGCAATTCTCCTACCTCAGCCTCCCAAGTAGCTGGAATTACAGGTGCCCGTCACCATGTCCAGTTGCTTTTTTGTGTTTTTAGTTCAGAGGGGGTTTCACCATGTTGGCCAGGCTGACCTCAGGTAACCTTCCCCCTCAGCCTCCCAAAGTGCTGGGATTACAGGTATGAGCCACAGTGTGCGGCCACGAAAACAAATTTTTACAATGTTTAATTCACGATTTTCCCCCATCAGAAGTTTCCCCCATCTGAATCTTTCCCAGCTGATTTAGAGATTCTGACTATCCATCTCCTTTTTCAAAGTTTGGAAGTAGTCATTAATATCTCCAGTACATCTCATTGTAAACACATGTTTACATGCAACTTGAAGGTTAATTCCTCAGAAGTAGCTTCTCCCTAGAATACTCTACTGGAAATGATAATGTACAATATAGTAAAAAACTCAGATAAATGTTTTAAAAGTAGGAAATAATATTAGGATTATGATTTTTGTAGATTGTAGTTTCTGCTTCTTAATTGTTAGTGTTTTAGTGTATCTTAGTTCAGGCTACTATCAGAGAATACCTGAGATGGCTTAAAAAGCAAAAGTATATCTCTAATAGTTCTGAAGGTGCCAGCAGATCTGGTGTCTACTGAGGACATACTTCCTGGTTTGCAGACAACTATCTTCTTGTACCATTACATGGCTGAGAGAAAAATCATCTTCCTCATGCTTCTTCTTATAAGTGCATTAATCCCATCAAGAGGAGTCCATCCTTATGACCTCCTACCTCCCAAAGTCCCCACCTCCTAAAACTGTCACCTTGGAGTTAGGATTTCAGCATGTGACTTTTGGGAGGACACAGACATTAGGTCCACAGCACAGGGGATTTGGGAGAAACACTCACTGCAAACTTCAACCTTAATAGCCATAGCACATTAATTCCAACTTTGCTTTAAGAATGCTATGGAAATTTTGCTTATAACTATGGACTGTTGTTTGTAGAGATCATAAAGTTGAAGTTATTTATATAAGAAATGCATACATATATACTTATATGTTATTTTCTGTAGACCATCTAAGATGTGGGAAAGGCTGTATTAAAACAGATTTTAAAGACCATGTTGGGGCAGCTGAGAGCATATCTCAGAAATTTATCTTCCATATTAAGAAGAAAATGCCTGTCAAGTTAGGGCTTGGATGGGCAGGGGACCCCATTCACAAAGAAGATGCCCTTTTTGAGAGGCTGACATGAGAAGCTGTGACTTCGCATGTCACAGCGAGACACCCCAAGAGGCAGAGCTGCACAAACAGCTTTTACATGAAAGTTCTGTGAGAATGGCATCTTTACTCCTGGCTGATTTGCCCAACATTTCAGAATATCCAGGACCTGTTCTCCATCCTACATTCACCTTCCTCCACAAAAATTAAGGCAGAAACTTTTGGAGGGAGACAGAATGAACCAGCCAACCATACCCTTTACTTTATTTATTTTTTGATACAGAGTCTCACTCAGTTGCCCAGGCTGGAGTGTAGTGGCCCGATCTTGGCTCACTATAACCTCTGCCTCCTGGATTCAAGTGATTCTCCTGCCTCATCCTCTCAAGTAGCTGGGATTACAGGCGCCTGCCCCCTTTCTGGCTAATTTTTGTATTTTTAGTACAGACAGGGTTTCACCATGTTGGCTAGGCTGATCTCGAACTCCTGACCTCATGTGATCCACCTGCCTCGGCCTCCCAAAGTGCTGGGATTACAGGCGTGAGCCATTGTGCCCAGCCATACTCCTTACTTTTCCTCTGCTTGCTGTCTCCTGTTTGTTATCTATGTGGAAAGGGACAAGAGAAATAGACACAGAAAGTGGCTTAGAGATAACTTAGATTTTTCTAACTGCCCTAGAGTTAAAGCAATTTACTAAAGATTAAATCTAAGAAACCTCAATTAAGGCTTTGAAATTCATACCTAATGCAGTATAAAATGGGTAGATTTTTAGTAAGGTATGATGCTGAGGAATTTCTTATTGCCCAAGGAGAACAAAGTTCATGTGAATCAAGCTAAGACCAAACAGAAAACTCTATTAATAACCTAGCTTCAAATATTAAAATATTCATAAAAGTTTCACAAAGAACAACATAGCTGGGGTAGGTCACAGATCTCATGAGTTTTATAAAGGATACTCAAGGTTTTTTAACAGCTTGAAACATTGTGCCACTTGATAAAAATCTTAAAAAGCAGAGAATTTTTATTTTACTTTTGTTGGTCCCATGATACTGTTTTGAAAATCAACAGCAATCAATTTATTTTATGAGTCAGGGTAGGCCTATAATACAAACCAGTAATTTGAGTAATTTTTGCAAGTCAACCAAAATTATGAAAATAAATTTCTTCTTAACCAAAAGATACATTTGCTCCAATCATCTGTGTATTTTAAACTGAACCTATGAAGTAGAAAGTTCTAAAAAGCAACCCTGAAAATTTGATGGTGCATTTGTTGTTGCTATATAATAATCTACCCCCAAATTAAGTAGCTTAAAACAATCATTTTATTTACTTCATATTTCTATGTGTCATTAATTTAGCTGGGCTCAGTTGTGCAATTCTTTTGCTGGTCTTGGCTTCTCTCAAGCAACTGAGGCCAATTAATGGGTCTGCTGGTAGATAGAAGATGTGTTTAGCTGGGTCAGCTGCTCCTGTGGTCTCTGACCATCTGGCAGACGAACTTGAGCTCTCCACATAGAGTCTCATGGTTCTAAAATGCAGTGAGAAGTGCAAGCTCCAATGCACCATAACTTTCAAGTCTCTACTTGTATCTTATTTGCTACATCCCATTGGCAAGGCAAGTCACAAAGCCAAGTACAGATTTAATTTTTTTAATTTTTATATATATATGTGAGTGTGTATATATATATGTGTGTGTGTATATATGTGTGTGTATATATATTTTTATATATATTTTTATATATATATATATATATATCTTTTTGGGTGGCAGCCCCCAGAATCACAGCAGATTCAGAGAGACTCCCCCAAGTACAGATTTAAGAATGGAGAGATAGATTTCACCTACTGGAGAAGGAGCTGGGAGCTGGAAAATAATGCTACCTTTTTTTTTTTTCAGTTTACAACACAAAACTTCATTTAAGCAAAACTGGATTGAAAGCAGGATATGTGTAAGACACTTCTATACAAAACAAAAAAATTGAATAAGACATCTTTGTCCTCAGGAAATCTGCAGGCTAGGAAAAGAGGTGCATATCTAAACACTTAATCATATCATGAGACTGAAAAATTATTTAGTGCTGTATCTAAGTACAAGCTATATTTTGTGGGAGCCCAAAGCCTCATTTATTCTGACTGTGGTAATTAAAGAAAATTTTGTGTAAGAAGTAACAAATTACTAGGCCTAAGTAGATGACATTTTTGCTAAGGAAGTAAAGAAAAGGCATTTAAGACAGCAGATATTCAACATACAAAATCAGAGATGTGTGAATGGTATATGGTGATTATTGAAATCATATTTCCCACTATTTTTCAACCCTTCACCAGGTTGATTTCTTTCTTATCTGCATTAGTTAAAAATAGATCTGGCTGCAAGTAAGGAAATAATTACAGTGGCTTAAACAAAAAGACACTTCTTTAACCCCTAAATATCTAGAAGGAGTTTGGTTTTGGATTTTTTCTTTCTGCTTCACCACTTTTAGAATATTGGTCATTTTCAGCCAGGTACAGTGGCTCACGCCTGTAATCCCAGCGCTTTGGGATGCTGAGACGGGCAGATCACTTGAGGTCAGGAGTTCGAGCACAGCCTGGCCAACATGGTGAAATTCCGTCTCTACTAAAAATACAAAAAAAAAAAAAAATCAGCCAGGTGCGGTGGCACGCACGTGTAGTCCCAGCTACTCCAGAGGCTGAGGCAGGAGAATCGCTTGAACCCGGGAGGCAGAGGTTGCTGTGAGCTGAGATCACACCACTGGACTCCAGCCTGGGCGACAGAGACAAAAATATATATATATATATAGACTTTTTCTTTCCAGGTTTGTTGTCTCATGGTTGAAGGTAGCTGCTATACCTTCAGAGACTGTATATATTTAAGGCAGAAAAAAAGAGAAAGCTGAAGCTAGCCACATTTGTTCCTTTACATTAGGAAAACAATAGCTTGCCCAAAACTTTGTCAAAGATTTCATTTATCTCATTAGCTATTTGGGTCACATGGACTCTTCTCCCCATACAGAAAGCCGGGAAATTAGATAACAAAATTTTGATGTTTGGCTTGAAACAATGATTACTCATCCCCTAAGCTTGGAAAATTGCTGTGCTCAACAGCAGCAAAAAGATTCTATTAGTGAAGAAGGGGAGGTAACATTTGTGATATATCTTATCATATGCTTGGTTCTGTCTCTAGATCTATTTCTATGTTATTTCTCTAGAATGGAATATCTTTCCTTTTTTCCATCACTTTTTAAAGACTGACCAATGTACCAGCTCTTTTGGGAGGACTTCCTATATAGTCCTTCCTAATAGACTGCTATTCTTTATAAGCCATATCACTTAAAGTAGCCATTAATTACCTTCTGTCTTAAGCTGTTTGCTAATTGTTGTGGGCATAAAATTTCTGTCCTCGACAAAACTGTAAGTCTTGTGAAGAGAAACTATAAATTATACTTTTATATTCCCTTTAATGCTCAGAATACTACTGGGAACATATAACATATGGCTAATTGATTAAAAAATAATTGCTACTTCAGTTATATTATTCCATTTCAATTTTGCTTCATAAATATTTAGTTTAGTTTTTGTTTTTTTGTTTTTTTTTTGAGATGGAATCTTGCTCTGTCGCCCAGGCTGGAATGCAGTGGCACAATCTCGGCTCACTGCAACCTCCACCTCCCGAGTTCAAGCAATTCTCCTAACTCAGCCTCCCGAGTAGCTGGGATTACAGGCATGCACCACCACACCACGCTAATTTTTGTATTTTTAATAGAGACAGGGTTTCGCAATGTTGGCCAGGCTGGTCTCGAGCTCCTGACCTCAGATGATCCATCCACCTCAGCTTCCCAAAGTGCTGGGATTACAAGTGTGAGCCAACACACCCAGCCTAGATTCTTAAAGGTAATGAGAGTTGATAAACCCATCCTTTTTCCACTTCCCTTATATAATAACAAAGTTCATTGAAAAAAGGAGCTTTTATTGATGTGGTGGACATTTACTGTCCATTCCATATTCTTAATCACAGGAAAGCCATCTTTCTCTTACCCATGTGTGGATGGTATTTTCTCCCCCTACCTGATTCCTGGAAATGACATAGATAGATCCAAATCATGGACAATCATTTTTTGACCTCAATTATTTCTTTAATTTGTATTTTTAATTAAAAATAATATTGTATGTATTTGTGTTCATGGACAATCATCTCTTGACCTCAATTATTTCTTTAATTTTTATTTTTAATTTAAAACAATATTGTATATATTTGGGTGGTATAATGTGATGTTTTATTATATTATACATTGTGGAATGATAATATCAAGCTAATTAAAACATCCATCCCCTTATGTACTTTAAAATATTTATTATTTATTTATGTATTATTTTAAAGATGGGGGTTTCCCACTCTGTTGCCCAGGCTGGAGTGCAATGGCACAGTCATGCCCACTGCAAACTCAGAATCCTGGGCTCAGCCTCCGGAGTAGCTGGGATTACACATGTGAGCCACTGCACCTGGCAAAAAGCTACTCTTTTAGCAATTTTGATTTTTCTTTTTCTTTACCATTCTTAGCAGATAAGAATGAAGCCATTCCAAAGTGTAGAAACAAGAGAGAAAAAGAAAAAAATTAAATCCTAACAATACCATTTGAATCCCAGGATCTAGTCACCCCCGAAGTCTGAATATTTCAATGAAGCAATAAATTTCCTTTTGACAACTAATTCCCATTTGACAATTTACGGTTTAACATAGCCTGACAGAATGAAAACAATATTGTCCTCAGAGATGAAAACCTACTCTAGCTTTGGTCCTTCTGTTTTCTTGGTATGTGACTTTAGACCAACCCATTGAAGTGTGTATTGTCAACTTGGCACTTCTACTCCTATGCAAGGATGGGAATTACATTTTCCAGAATCCCTTTCCCTGCATGGTTCTGAGTTAGAGTTGCCCAAGAAAGGAATTTACGTGAGATTTGGAAGATAGAAGTGAGGAAGCCATTACTCTTGGAAGGCCATGGTAGTCAGATGCTTTAAGGGACAGATACAAAAGTCCCCAGTGAGCCCCAGTTCATCATTGCTCTACTGTTGCTCCATGTCCAGCATGTCTTTCTGATTTCGGGCCCTGCCAACTCACCATGCCCTCAGGCGCAACATTACAGGCTTGGCTGTGAGATTATAGGTATGTCAGGGCTTAGAACAAAATACTGAAATTATCTGACTTACCTCACCTGAAAGTAGGTAATAAGACCCTCATTCCAGAGATGTCCTGTCCTGTCCCAGAGGCCAAAAAGGATCTAAACAGATAGACCTTGCTGGGCACCCCCTACACACACTAATTTATTACCATTAGATCATACACTTTTTGTCCAATCATGCTTTTACATAACTGTCTATTCTTCATTGAACCTAAGCGTAAAGATACAGTTTTCCTCTGGTCTTTGTGTCTTCATTTCTGAAGGATTCCATGTCACATAAAACTTCAAAAAGGTTCATACGTCAAATAAAACTTTGATAAATAAATTTGTTATGTTTTTCCTCTTGTTAATCTGTCTTTTGTTATAGGGGTGTCAGCCATGACCCTAGTAATGGGTGAAGAAAAGGTATTACTTTTTCTCCCCTGCAGAAGCAACATGTTCTCCAGAGAGGATAGTTTCCACAGACACCTCCATACATCATAGTGCAACTTTGCTATCAGATGAGCACAGTTTCTCATATTTTCCTACAAGCACTTACTTGTTCTCCTGGGCCACTGCTTCTTGTAAATCTGGCATTGATTATATCTCTGATTCTCTACTCCCTTCTTCCAGACTTTCACTTAAACAGCTCCCACCAACATTCATAGAAGATCTAATTCTTATACTAAATTTCTTATTGCCAAAGTACTTGCATTAGTTTTGTTTTCTTTATGGACCTCAACTTATAAGACCAGTTATTTACTCTCTTAAGCCCTATCCTCCTTGCCTATAAAAAATGAGTTGTCCTGCTTGATACACACAGCTGTAATGAGAATCTGGTGATAATGGGTCTGGTGTGTAAAGTGTAAATGGATGACCTTTTTGGAGCCTGAATGTTGGTCCTCTAGAGCAAATGCCTTTGCTTTAGCATGCAGGACATTACTACTTTTTTTTCTTATATAAGTAAACCCTCAAAAGTAAAAAAAAGGGTTTCTAACCTAAAGAAAATGAGTGTACATATGCTTTAGAAGTAAAAAACTAAAAGGCAAGTTCAGTTGAAATTTTATTTCAAGAATGTGCCTATTTCTTGATCCTTTAATTTTCTTTCTTCTTTTCATTCCTAGAGACAATATTGAAGTTTCATCATTAATCACTGATTCACCTTAAAATATAGCTTTTCCCTCATTATTACCGAGGAGATCTCACAACTTCACCTTCTTCCATTTCAAATCATTTTGACTCCAAGCCTATTTCTTTGCATGAAAGATAAAAAATAATGAATTGTCAAAACTTCAGTCAGATGGGATTCAATCTTGTTTTTATCTACACAAAGCTTCTCTATATAGTTACTTGAAGATTACACACACACACACACACACACAGACACACACACACACATATATATTTAAAGCTACTAACCAGTTTTATGTCTTAAAAGAACTCTATCATTAGGGCAGAAATATTAAACTGAACAGAAATGTTATGGAGAAAAATACATTTTAACTTGAGCTTTTGCTCGGTATAGAGAATTACTGTCCTGATTGTTCTGATGCAAGCACCTCTTTTTGTTTGTAATAAAGTATATAATGGGTATTCTACAGTGAATGCATCCTTCCTACACAGTGATTTCCATCAATGTATAATTAAAAGTGGATTTCCTTTTCCTTTTTGGATGGTGGGAGGGAGGGGCTGGTAAACCTGGTTAAAGAAGGGAGAACAAAGAGAACTTTCATGAGTTCCTCTGCAAACAGTCTATCAGTTACAATTCGTAGTGTTCGAATAGCAGCACTATTCTAAAGAAGTTCTGGAATTAAAAAAAAAAAAAGTCAAGCAGGGAGTCCGAGGAAAATTCAGCCCGCATGCCAACTAAGGGAAAGAAAGAAAAAGGCAGGGGGGGAAACCCTATCTTTTGTTGTAAAAAGAACTAATGAAGCTGCTGTTAAAACTGTCCACAGTGACACAACAAGGGTGTACACCCACACACATTGTTAAAATGCCAGTCATCCCTGGTAATGGGAAAAGGAAATGCTGTGATTTAAAGGAGGTGGTGGCACACACTGCTTTTAGAGTTTAACTTTGGAAATCTTAGTGAGGGCACACTTTGGCCAGTGTTGACTGCCAGAAGTTAGTACAAAGATGTGTAAAGTTGTCTACTTCTGTCTTAAAGAAGAGATGGACTAGTGGAGGGTAAAATCCCATTGTCATTATAAATTGCTAATTAAATAATTATCAATTAGTTGGGCAGACAGAACTCATTCCAGTGTATTCCTTAGAGAGCTGTCAATAAAGAAAAACTGTAATTTTGATTCTTTTCTTTTTACAATATTCTTGCCTAGAGGTGCTAAATAGAGGTAATATATGTTATGTTCTATGTTAGGTGTTTCACATAGGCTATAATGCATTATTGATCAAAGATGAATACCTATTATAGCCAGCAATCATTAATTTTTGTTATTCTAGTTGTATGGCATTATTTCAGTGTAATAACTAATCGGGCCATTTTTCAATGAACAACACAATATAGTATTTATTTTCCAGCAAAAAAAAAAATCCCAATACTACATTTTCTAAAATACTACAGAGAAAATATTTTAGGAAACAAAAATGTCAACCAGTATTTTTTTAAAAATCAAACTGTATCTGCATTCTTAATGGCAAAAGCGTTTTATTTAAAACTTTTAGTTATATACATTCACTAACATGATATTATAGATAATTTAAAAACAGCCAATCATTTTAAAAGTAATTAGGAGAAAGAAACATTCAGAAGTAAATAAATATATATAATGTATACACACATATACATATATTTATATATAATATATAAAGTAAATATACATAAATGTTTACATATTGTTATATTATATATTTACATAAAATATTATATATATTCATATATAATCTCTATTGTGAATTTAGGACTTTTGAGACTTAAAGATAAGTATTGATAAGATGCTTCAATTTTGCAAGTGTTAAAAGTTTTCAAAAGTGTTCGGTTTTCAGGGGATGAGATTTTTTTCTGAAACCCAGATCAGGGACTTGTGAATAAACAAAGCCCAAAGAATATAAAATCTGGAAAGATGGAAACTGAATTCCTAAGAAATCCAGTTGCATTTAAATATGAATGGGTTTGTTGCAGTCCTGTTATATATGTAGATCACTTCTGCCTTTGTAGAGAAATATGGAGCTCTGAACCTCTGCACTTGTCTTCTTTATTAACTATGAATTTGAAAAAGATTGCAAGTTTACTAACAACTTCAGAAAATTTGGTAGCATGTTATGGAAAACAAGTAGTAAGTACAATAAATTTATGTTAGTAGCTAGTGAGGAAAACATTTTTCTTTCTGTTAGGACATTTTCTACTGTGAATCTGCATAATGTTCAATTTTGTTATGAAAATAATAAAATTTTAAAATTTGACTTTACAACCACTTATTTACATAACAGCCATCTTGAATACACAAACCCAGCACTCCTTATTATATTCCATTAACTACCTCACAACAGATAAAAAGGCATCTCTTGAAATAGTCTGATGTCCCTTCTAGACAACAGTTTACTTTTGGGGACTTGGAATCAACTGGCATCTCAAAAATCTTAAAAGAGCTTCATTATGGCAAAGTTCTTAATTTGATTTACTTTAAGGAATACTTAATGGTTAAAGGTCTTTACTATGTTGTTTTATTGAATTCTTGTCCATGGTTCAGGATTGATCCACTTCAACCTTTCAGCAGGGAGTAGTTTTCCAGGGAGGCCCAGCAGGACTCCAAATCAATAAGGTTAATAGACATGGGGCCACGCAGTCAGAGGTGATATGGCTGGCATTTCTGATGCCAATGAAGACAAGTTCTGGTGTCACTTTTGTGCTGGCAACAATGTTACCCTGATTATCTGGAGCATAGGGTTGTTAAGTGTTAACAGGACTGTGAATGGCCCATTAATCCGAATTATTTTAAAGGAACTAGTTCAATTTTACTGTTCTTTAAATTATTGGTGTCCATTATTTTTGAAATATCAACTGCCCCCTTGCTGTAGAAAACATTGGCGTTCAGTTCTGTTTGTCTGAGTGCCCCCAGCAGCAGATTGTGACCATAAAATGTTAGCCAAAAAAACTAGAAGGCATTTTGTCTGAAAAAAGAAAGTATTTTATGAAAGGAACCCTATGTAAAGAGGAGGTTTTTAAATAACAAAATATGAACTCATTCTAGAAAACCTTGTTTATTTAGTAGTCTACATAGTAGTCTATATAAAGCAACATGAAATATAAACTAGTTAAGGAAAGAATGGATAGTCAAGTTCCCTTCCTACTGTAGATTAATAATTTGTCTTCTCTTTAAGAAACCAAAGTTAGCAACGCCTTCCAGAGTCTATGAAAGTGTACCATTTATAGTCATATCCCAGCAACTAAAGCACTGACTCCAAAGCAAACAGAGTCATCTCTTTCAGTACTTCACATGAATAAGTGTATGTAAATAAATAAATAAATGTAATATAGATATATTAGTAAGTAGTAGTTTGGAACACTTGCACTCATCCTTGAAAAAGGCTTGAAAGTGAATATTATTTCAAATAATTAATGCTGATTTTACTGTGCAAATTAAAGAAACATCCATGCCATGATATCATTTAAAGAAGGATCTGTTTGACTACATCCTACTTTTACAAACTCTTACTTATATTTTAAAGAAAACAACAAAAATCAATGAAAAATCTAAAGTTTTAACACTGTAAGAATTTTCTTGACAAACTCTATGGTGTTTATATATCCATCCTGGATGTATTCAACCTTGTTTTACCATTGGCTGATTTGCCATATTCTTAAAATAAAGATTGGTGATTGCTGAAAACTTAGGTACATCAGACAATAATCATTATTCTCCTTAGACAAATTTTGTCAGTGAAGACAGAATGTACCTTAGCAAAGTAAAGTAGCAGATTGAATCATGGTATTCTTTTTATCATCTCTCATATTCAGTAACCTATTAAATAGTAAAACATATTAGGTTAACTTGAAAATGCTTCAAGTTGGAAAGAAACTGAATTTTTAAAATCGCACTGGGAGAGTCATTGTTAATTGAGTTGTAATCACTGTTGGTCATTAGCTTTTTATTTTATGATAAGGATCTTAATGATGATGGTGGTAATGATTAGGTAATGTGCACACAAAGTGATGAAAATGTGTTCTATTAATCTGAACAGAATTCATTTTTATACCAAATGATGTACATGGGTTTACATGATTGCTTTGCAACAACCACGAAAAAAGTAAGAGCAAACATTCTGGACTTTAAACACCTAAAAGAGGGATTTTCTTTAATCTTAAATTACCTTTCTTATTTTTATTTTTGAAATGCTAGCCAACCTTGTTCTGAAATTTAAATTATTTGCCCACAATAAATATCATTTTTTTAAAAAAAGTGTCTATTTTACTTATCATTCAGGAGGAAAGCAGTTCTTTTGCCAGTTGGACATTTTTTTTAAAGCCTAATTTGAATAAATTAACATATTTTGTCTACAAAAATTAATTCTAAAAAGGAATGATAACTAGAAAAGCAATTTAAATTGTATATTTTATAAGAAAAGAAAAAAAAACTTTGTCATTCACAGGGCAGCTCAGTTAATTTGATGTGCTTTGATGTAAATTTAGGGGTTGTTTTAATTTCAAAACATATTTTTTCAGTTAATAAAGGAGACAAAAGAAACTTTCAACCAGCATCTCCAGTTTGTTATATTGGAATGTTTTGGCTTCTCAAATGTGAGAACATGATTGTTTTTATTTCCAGGAGGAGATAATAACACTGAAGCAATAAAAAAGAGTCAAGGCAGCTTGCACAGCACAGGAAGTTCACAGCCAGAGACTTAATTTCTCACACAATGTACTGTGCAATGGGCCCATTAACATAGATGAATAGGCTCTTTAGAGGTTTTTTTTTCTCTTCTTCTTCTTCTTCCAGATATGCAGCTGCCGCTGAATGGTGATATGTTAATAAGGTACTCACTTGCCTATTCTTCAGGTACTCTGGCATTCTCTACCTAGGTAATCTCTATATAGGAAAAGCTATTAGGGGGTTGTATCTGCTACCACACCTTCAATTATATTAACACCTGCACTGATAATCCACGTAAGGTAAACTAGTAGGGGGCCTATGGCCTTAGTCCACCCTTTTTTTCCCCCACAATGTTACATCTGAGGTTGGGGAGAAAGTAAGAAGCAGAAGAAAAAAAAGGAAAGTCACTTTTATTACACATCAGTGGGAACCTTCTGAAAAAGCTTTCATGCCTAGGAAATTGTTATTTCTTCAAACAGCTGACAGCCTGCAGAGGAAACTCTTAATGGAAACCCAGCTCCTGCATTGTTATGCATGGCCCTCATGTAGATTCGGGGGGTGGATTAAGTTAGCTTCCAAAGGGCCTATTGTGTGTAGCATTAATTTGCAGGGCTCTTGATATTTGAGTTGGAAGGTTTATAACCTCAGTGTTTACTTAGATGAACTACATCCTAGGTTTGTTTATTTCCGTCTGCAGTCTCTTATTTCCTAGTAAATGTTACATTTATATTTGTTAACAGCAAGAATGTTGTTATAAATCTGAAAGAAATAATTACACGTGCTTACAATCATTCACTCTAAAGCCTTGATCCTGGTTCTACAGGGTCACCCTTCCTGTTAGGTCTATAGAAGATTACATAGATAAATTCACTTCTCAAGAATATTTATGCCATCCAGTTACACATGTTTAATATAGCCTATCCCAAGTGTTAACTTTCTGTGAAATATGTAACTGCCCCTGTTTCTTTCACATGGCAATATTATAAACACATGCCCCTCTCTAAACCTGTGCCTTTCACATCCAGATGAACAAACTATAGAACTGAGCATTGCTTTCTTTTATTACTGTTTGAATGGTTACTTGCAAAGGGTCAGTTGCAATTTTTTAATAGTGAATTTTTAAAAAAGCCTCCAAATTGTTATTTGCAAACAACTCTGGTGTTGTAGATGCAGGAACTCCTAAAAAATCTCATCTTCTGAGATTAACTTGCAAATTTTCATTCAGAAACTTTTTCAACACCACCCCTCTCCCTATTCTCTCCTTTTCCTCCCTGGATTGTATAGGCAGTTGCTAACATGAATTTAAAATTCAATATGAATGGCTGGCGGCAGGAGGGTGCTGGGGGGAACATGCCCATTGGAACCAACTCTGGTCTTAATCTGGATTTAGGGGCTCAATTGAATAGAAGTACATTATGCTTGAACAACTGAAATTTCTATTATTTTGAAACCTTTTTTAATAGACAACAACACAAGCAGCATGTTGAGTATTTTATTGCACATTTTCTGCTTTTGGTTAGTATTTTTGAATGTCATACAGATAATTTTAAAATGTAGCTATTCATGGATTTATCTATGTTAGCATTTCTATTTAATAGGTTTTGTGATATAGTGGTGAGAATATAGATTATATATCTGTATCCTCAATACTTAATACAGTGTCTAGCATATGATAGGTACTCACGAAATGTTTGCTGAATCAATCAATTAAATTATATCTTTAGATGGATTGCTTTTCAGGATACATAGGAACAGCCTGAAGAAATGCATGATAAAAACAAAAACAACAAACAATCCAATGATAATAAGATCCATCTTTTCAATTACTTGTCAGGCTGTGAGTAATCAGATCTTGAAAGTTTATTTCAAGGTTTCACTACTGTGAGCCAGTATGTTTTCAATTGGATGTGTCAGAGTTTTCCTAACAAAAATGTTTCAAATCAACAGTTTTTCCTTGAAATAAAATTTAAAAGAGTGAACGGTAGGTGAAAAAATAGTGAAGGTTATAGTCAACTGTAATAAATATACAGCCCTTGCAATTATACAAAGTTTGGGAAATCTGATTATTAAGAGTAGAGGTGGTCCTGGTATACCAGCTTTACTGGGAGTTCTCTAAGAAAGAAATAGTGTATTTAGATAAGAATCGTAGGATGTTATTGCTTATAGACATTAGAAATCAGACTGTCCTTCTAATTTTCACAGATGAAAGTAAAGCTTATATATACAGATATATATATCTATGTATGTATGCTGTATATACATACACGCACACACACATACATGAAACAAATGGTTCCTGCCCATCGTAGCTTAATTTGGGGGCAGTCCCTATCATACAGTAGACATGTGATACATGAATAAAAGCATATATGTATGTACAGGAACACGAATGAAGCATACATTTAATGAATTTACGGTTTGCATTGGGCAAATACAATATATGGGTTCAATTCAGCTAGTTGTAACAGTAATTTATTGAACATCTTTTATGTGGCATTGTGTAGGCATTGAGCTTAGTCCTAGAAACTTTCTGCTACATGTGCTGAAGAGTTGATTCATGTATATTTCACTTGGTACAGATTTATGTTGATCTTAAAATTATTGCAGGAGTTGTATATAATAGTCGTTATAGTGTGGTGAGAACAACCAAAACAGGGAAATACTAGAAGCATAAATGCTACTCATAAGATGCATAAAAGACTCTATAGTTCAGTACATCATGACAAAAGAAGGAAAGAAAGAGAAATTCATTTTTAGTCATTGCATAGATGATAATAGTGACAATGATAACCATTGTCTTTTATACTGGACTTAGTAAATACCATTCTGTCTTGGATGCTTTATATTTATTAACTGGTAAATTTTCCCCAAACCCTTTGAGGTGGGCATTATCTCCATTTAAACAAAGAAATACTAGAAGAATATTTCTTATTAGAAGAATTAGGTAACTTGCCCAGGTCACAAAGGTAGCAAATTATAAGAGCTGAAGTTTGAAGTCAAGATTTCCTTACTCCTCAGTCTCTCCTCTTAGTCACTGCATTACTGTTATCCTATCCTTGTGGTCAAAGCCCTCTAGCTATTTTAGGCCTGCTAGTTGCTAACTTTGTTCCTCTGTAATTCCTTAGGAGACTGCTGGGTACAAGCATTAATTGCAGCTTAATACAAGAGCAACTTTCAGGACTGCAATCCATCAAAGAGAATTTTGTTAAGCTCTTTTCCAAAGTCTAGAAATACAACTTTCTTCACAGAAATAGCTGCAGCAATTTTAGAGACTTCTAATAGAATATCAAATATCCATCTGCTTCTCAAAAGTAAATATGTCTGTATGTATGTTCATATATGTACACATATACACATACATGTATATGTATTATCATTGCAATAATAAGGTGAAGAAAATGGTAGTGATTAAACAGTGGGTATATGAAACTTGCAAAGTGTCCTGTTTAGAGAATGACACCTGCATGTCATCATCATAGCAAGAAGAATAAGAGTTTTTAAACCTGAACAAGGAATATAAGGCAACACATAATTTTCTTATTTTCCCAAAAGGCAAATTTAATACAGTGAGGGAAGGATGAGGAAAAGCAGCTGCAAGCAGACTGGGATTAGATGTCTGATCCGCTACATTGACAACTGTAAAAACATATTTGATTACTGATGTCATTACTGGAAGGCTGATATAGTGTTGTGAGGTTTGCAGACAACACAGGCTATTTATTATTCTAGTGTTGTCTTTTCTTGTTTATTGTACTAGTAGGAACTTATTATTATAATTCATGTACATTTACAACCATATATTAGCAGATTGGTACGTATGCAAAGGAAAATTGGACCTACTCTTAGTCTCAAAAATGTTGTTGAAGATAGTAACTTGAGTTTAGAGGTTTCTTTTATCACAAATAAAACTAAAGTTGGTAAATGTTATCAAAAGGAAGGTATAAGGAGTAATTTGTATTGAATCATTTCAGGTATACATGCATACTAAGACTGAAATGAGTGAAGTTTAACAAGTGAGTATATTTTCCCCAATACATAACAAAATTTCAAAACCTAATTCTGATTTTGAGCCTCAATATGGTTTAGTTGAAAGAGGGGGTGATTTGGTGTCAGGTAGCTCTGGGAACAAATCATTGCTATCGTAGTTATTGTGTGGTCTTCAGACAGTACCTTAATCATTGGGCCTCTGTCTCCTCTTGTGTCAAATGAGAATGAGAATGTCTACCTTTCCGGATTGCAGTAAGAGTTCAAAAGAATAGACACGAAGCATTGAGCATAGTGCTTATACTAAGTGTTGAAAAAATGGTGGTCATGTTTTAGTAATGAAGAGATGCCTAGTAAATCAAGACATCAAGGGAAGAATTAAAAGAGAAGGCTATTAGTAATGGAAAAGTCAATGCAATAGATGAAAAGATAATTTAAAATGGCCAGAACTGGGAAAGAGAATAAACAAGTCAAAAAAACCAAAATATTAAAAGATAAGGACACTCAATAGAAAAGTTTGTTCACGTAGTACTATTGTGACTTTTGGAACTGTGTTTTCACAAATAAACACAATGCCCTAACAAAAACAACAAAAAAATTAATCATATAAAACTATAAGGGAAATGAAACAAAAACAAGAAAATTAAATTAAATATGGAATTTTTGTCAAAGAGCAGTTGAACAATGCAAAGAGAACAATATGATAAAACAAAAACCATGGGAAGTCTTGAGAAGAAGACAAAAGGAAAACAAAGAAACATGGGAAAGACAGAAAAAAGCAAACACAAGCAGAGACTAAAGGATACATCTAAATGTTCAAGCCAGTAGAATGAACACAACTCTGCTTTTAATTTTGACAGCAAAAAAGATATCTGAATCAAGAAAGGGCATTCACAATGTTAGAAAGCAATGATTTTTAAAATTCTCAAATTTAAACAGAATGCTTTGTTTAAGCATGATGTATGTGTTTGTGTTTTCAAATGCAAAAATGTTGGAAGTTTTTGCATGAAGAAATCATTTGATTTCATGATAAATTTACCCATCTGGGTGCTAGAAATGAAAACCTTGATTGTTTACTCAACTACCCAATCAGAGAAAGAAAATTTTCAAATTACAGTTATATCAACAGATACAGAAGAGATCTTAGCTAGTAAAAACATCCTTAAGCATTATTTTGCTGACGACAACAAAAATATTTCCAGCCACATATCAAACCACCTACAAATTCTTTGGGGATCAATTTCTTCATTTCTATAGCAAAGTAACATGTGCATGTCTACTACAAATCTTAAGGCAAATAGTCCTGTTCCTATTCACTTGTCATTGCAATGAAGCATCTGCCGCTCACTGTTTTTTTGTTATTTTTTTTCCTGATTACTCCAATTCAAAAACATCATCCTACCAGCTCTTTTAGTTGTTAAATATCCCTGTGCTT
Source organism: Homo sapiens (assembly GCF_000001405.40). Lineage (NCBI taxonomy): Eukaryota > Metazoa > Chordata > Mammalia > Primates > Hominidae > Homo > Homo sapiens. Next base: position 147,939,893 of record NC_000003.12, read on the forward strand.
GTGGCTACATTTCTTTGCACTGGAGAAATGATCTCATTAACAAACTAGTTCTGTGCGTCCTTAACACTGAGGCCCCTCGCCTGCAGCTGGAGGCAGCTCTCTGTTCAGCCCCAGTGCAGAGTGACACAGACAGGCGACAGCGTCGCTGAGCACCAACTTCTATTCCACGGAGGCAGACAGCGAAAACCATTTCATAACCATGGCAAGGCATGAGAGAAGCACAGGTAATCCTGTTTCTGTATTCAGTTTGTGCAAGAATCAAATATATTCATCTGGAAGAGACAACTGGGCAAAAAAAGGAGTTGGGGTGGGGGAGGTTCTGTGTTAGAACTGCTGAGCCAGGAAATAAAGTCACAAATTAGGAAATAGAGTATAAACACAAAAAGAAAAAAGCCTCTGAGATATATATATATATATATATATATATATAGATATATAGATATATATATGCACATACATATATTTGCGCATACATACATTTATAAGATATATATAAAAAAAGGGGATGTGTTGGTGAAGGTTTTGTTACATGGGAAGTAAGCTGTAGGCTAATACGTAGAAGTAAAAGGAGTAGTTTTTGTCCTGAAATCTCCAAGTTGGAAAGGACTTTAGAAAAAATCTAGTGTGTCATGAATGACCACATCTAATACTTTTCTTTTTTTAAAGGGTAGCTGCAAAGTTTTGGAAAAGACCTCTGCAACAACTGGAAGCACAGTGTACCCAAGTGGTGGGTCTCGTCTGTGGCAATATAATTTTCTATCTGTCCAATTGAATATGGCTGTAAAGGGAATAAAACCCCATGTAATCTCCAGCAGTGACAATTTAATCAGTTGTATAAGGGGGAAAAAAGCAGAGTCCCCTCATTTTCATATTTGCATATTTGATTTTTGCATTGGGGAATAGAGGTTTTGTTTTTCTATTACTTTGCATTCAATTTTAATATTTAATCTTTTTATGAGCAAATTTTTATAGTGGTATGTAATACTGAGTCAGACAGGTCTAAAATAGAAAGGAAAGATTCCATTTCTGAAATCAAGCCCCTGATCCAATATGCTTTGTGTAACATTTTTCCTTGTACAGAATCTATGTGCCTAACATGGCTTGCATGCTCCCAGCTTCTGCACGTGATGCATCTGCTATTAACATTCAGAGATTCACCCTGAAAATGAAGGCAACTGTTTGGAGAACAATGTAAAATGATGAGAATAGACCATCCTATGACCCCCTTTTTACATTAATATTTCTTAAAATGGTAAATCTTATTGATTGCATCTATTTCCAAGGAAGTAGGGTTTCTTAAATGCTTTATATACACAGGAGCCAGTTTTTATGAGGTTATAGAGGAGCAGTAAATACAGTAAGATTAATAAAACTTCGTTGTTTTCACAATTGACAGAATGATATTATTGCCTATAGGGTAATAACAGCTTATGGGATTGATTTTAAGATGAATAAGATGCAAGTAATTCGAACTTATCATCAATTACCCTTGGTTACTCCCATGAGTATGTATCTAGCCAAAATGGTGTTGGATTTGAATTACTGGGACATAGATAGCTGTTTCTTTATGCATCAATGCATTCTAGCCTCCACTTGCGAAAACTCCAAAAGTATGTTGGGTAATTTAAAAAAATAAGGATAGTACTCTACTTGCTTAATGATTTAGAATTTCTTTATAAAAAGTGAACTCTGAAGTCAATATTTCACTGGAGAGGGAAAGAATAATGATTTTAATTCTATGTAATTTTTTTAAAGCTTAAAAACAAGTTTTGAAATGTTTTATGTACTAAATTTAATCTATGTACATATTTACACACACATATATATACATGTGTATATGTGTGCCTGCATATATGTGTGTGTATGTGTGATGTGTGTGTGTATATAAATGTGGCCTAAATGTTGCCAACCAAATTTTATGAGCAATAACTACATTTGGAATTGTGAAAATATGAGCCATAGGATTTTATTCAAAAACAGAGCAGTGAGTCTTTTTAATGTACATCTATGAAAAGCATACCAGTAGCAGTATACAGGCATCATTAGATGACAGGTATAAAATCCTTTGGGCAAGCACTGATGCACATTAAATTCAAGTACATAATATGTCAAGTTTTGAGTATGTTCTTGTTTATTTAAATCTGCATTCTGATGATGATCTTTTCAAAGAGATTGCATATATATGAATATGTGATCTAGTGTTTACATATTCAAATTAACCTGTTTCTTTGAATATGGTCTAATGATTGAATGATCTCCCAAACATGGCAACTCCTCAGGGAAATATATTGATGCCTCAGCATATTTCCTCAAGGCCTGGAGAGTACTAGATATGACAAGGAGTGCCTTCAAGCATGGAAGCCCTGCTCTACCTAAACGAAAGTCCTAGGCTTTAATCACAAAGGCTAGGTTCACACTAATGCAATTAACCATATGATTGCTTTCGAAGGAGCCTAACCTCATCAGCATCTTTCCTTTAGGCAAACTGACAATGCTGGATCTAGTCAATGACTCAAGAGAATTTGATTAGCTAAGAGGTACAAGGCTCTGCATATGCAGTCACAAATGCACAGTAGGAATGTTCATCTCCAACCTATCATTTCACAATCAACTATAAATTTAAGCAATTAAGGTAAAATAATTGTTCCATGAAATAATTAAGAGTTGACAATTATCAGGATGAAGGTGAAGACTACATCCAAATGAAAATGATCTGTTTTATAGTTTGTTTGTTTGTTTGTTTATTTATTGGGTTGTGTGCTTGTTTTGTTTTGTTTGAGGGAGGATGGGAGAGGGCCATGATAGTTAAAACTAAAAATAAGATTTACTTGGAGAACTGATGAGGCACAGTGGCTCACTCCTGTAATCCCTGCATTTTGAGAGGCCAAGGCAGGTGGATCACCTGAGGTAAGGAGTTTGAGACCAGCCTGGCCAACATGATGAGACCCTGTCTCTATTAAAAATACAAAAAATTAGCCAGGCATGGTGGTGGGTGCCTGTAATCCTAGCTACTCTGGAGACTGAGGCAGGACAATAACTTGAACCCGGGAGGCGAAGGTTGCAGTGAGCCGAGATCACACCAATGCACTCCAGCCTGGTCAACAAGAGTAAAACTCAGTCTCAAAAAAAAAAAAAAAGAAAGAAAAAAAAAGATTTACTTGGAGAACTGAAAGAGGTAAAAATCCCTAAGGAATATAATTTGTAGTTGAATAGGTAACTTTAGATATGTGTGTGTGTGTGTTTGTGTGTGTGTACATACAGATACACCTATGTGTATGTGCGTGTGTACTTTTTTAACCTTATTTGACCTTGCGACTTTACAAATCATTGCTGGACTTGATAACATGTTGTAGGGCCAGAAAAGGTATGATATCTTTCCTCCCCATCATAATAATCACAGCTGACCCTCCTATCACAAAAGACAGGTTAATGAGAGAAAAGCGTAACACATTTATTTAATCAAAGTCTTATGAGTCATGAGAGCCTTCAGAAATGAAGCCCAGTCTCCCAAGGGAAAACTGTCCATTTTTATGCTTAGATTCAATGATGAGTGAACAGTCATATAAAAATATGATTGAACAAAGAGAGAAATGATCTAACAGAAATATACTGAGTGGGAAAAGCCAGCAAGGCTTGTCTGTTTGGATTCTACTTGGCCTGTCTGTTGTGGCATTTTTTCCTCCTGGATATAGGGCAGGACTCCTTCCAGAATAAGGTTCTTCTCATCTTCTTTGAGACAAATTAGGTCATATAATTTCTTATGGACAAGATTTTACACAAAAAGGCAGAGGAAAGTTAGGGTAATAATTCTAGGTTTTACGGCTTGGTTTGGGGAAAAAGAGTTCTAGTTTCTATGACTCACTTGGAAGAGGAATTCTGGTTTCTGTGACTCACTTCAGGGAAGAATGAGGGGCAAGAAACAGGAGGGCAGGAGAAGGTCAGAGGCATACATTAGTCCTGATGCTGCTTCTGAGGCCTTCCAATGTGCTTTAGTTCTAAGTAGTTGGTATGTCAAAGTGCTGTACTTTGGGTTATCTTTTTCTGAACCCCCCACAAAATCAAATCTGAACTAGAAGCTTTCTAGCATCTTCTTCTTAATGAATCCTAATAAAGACATTTCTACTGGCATATGGATATAATTTTTGGTTACTATCTATTAAAATTATTTCTCCAGGCCAGGAGCAGTGGCTCACACCTGTAATCCCAACGCACTGGAAGGCCGAGGTGGGCAGTTCACTTTAGCCCAAAACCTAGAGACCAGCCTGGGCAACATGGAGAAACCCCATCTTTTCCAAAAATGACACACACAAAAATTAGCTGGGCATGGTGATGAACACCTGTAGTCCTAGCTACTGGAAAGGCTGAGGTGGGAGGATGGCTTCAGCCAGAAAGGTGGAGGTTGCAGTGAGCCATGATCACACCACTGCCCTCCAGACTGGGGGACCGAGAAAGACTCTGTTCAAAAATATATATATTTCCCCAAAAGTGAGCAATTAAAGAATTTTCAATGTTTGCAAAGTTTAAAAGCCTAGTATGAATGCAAAATCTAGGTAATAGAAATTTTGCATGGGAATTATCATTTCTCAGCACTTTCTTGAAAGCAATAGACAACAACTGACATATCCCTTCAAATGCTAAGATATTTATGTTTCCAGAACGTATTGTCTAAAAATCTGAGAGACCGTGTGAGTCTGATGAGCTGGGCTGTATCCCATTCTGGAATGTCAATGTACATATTGCTATGAAAAACGTATTGAAATAATGAAATTGGCTTTCAAACAGATTTCCATGATTTGGAATTCAACAGTTATTTTTGTCATCTTCAATGAAAGAAATTGCACCAATGATATTTTACTCTTGATGATGTTGGGAGCCCCTGTATACATAAAGCACTTGCACAATTAAAATGGAGGCTTTATTTTTATTTATTATTATTTTTTTGAGACAGAGTCTCGCTCTTATTGCCCAGGCTGGAGTGCAATGGCACGATCTTTGCTCACTGCAACCTCCGCCTTCCGGGTTCAAGCGATTCTCCTGTCTCAGCCTGCCAAGTAGCTGAGATTACAGGCATGTGCCACCATGCCCGGCTAATTTTTCTATTTTCAGTAGAAGTGGGGTTTCCCCATGTTGGCCAGGCTGGTCTCGAACTCCTGACCTCAAGTGATCCACCCTCCTCGGCCTCCCAAAGTGCTGGGATTACAGGCGTAAGCCACCGCGCCCGACGGGAGGTTTTATTTTTAAAGGTGTTAGAATGATTGGTTTTTACTCAGAGACTTGTCACGAAGTTGGCCAAAATGTTAATCTGAAACTTTTTTTTAGGCATCAAAATCTGGTGCTTTAGGCAGGCACAGTGGCTCACGCCTGTAATCCCAGCACTTTTGGAGGCCAAGGTGGGCAGCTGCTCAGGAAGCTAAGGCAGGAGAATCACTTGAACCTAGGAGGCAGAGGTTGCAGTGAACCGAGATCGCGCCACTGCACTCCAGCCTAGCGACAGAGCTAGACTCTTGTCTCAAAAAAAAAAAGTAAAAATCCAGTTTTTTTTTTTTTATGTTCAAATATTCAGACGAATGACAAAACAGTTTATCCAGTGATTTGGCAAATGGTGTTTCAACCAAAGTTTACAATCATCGCAGCTCCTCATGTTCAAAGTAGAAGGTTCTGAGAATCCAGATCTGGTAAGGGTGTCTGCGACATAGGAAGCAAGGCACCTAGGAACCTGAGCGGAAAAATAATCCTGAGGGGACCAAATTCTCTCACTATCACTGGCAGAACAAACCTGGTGGAGAGCAAAACATGTTTGTCCTCCTGTTTTACAGAGCTGATCTTTCTTTTCTTTCTTTCTTTCCTTCCTTTCCTTTCTTTTTTCTCTTTCTTTCTTTCTTTCTTTCTTTCTTTCTTTCTTTCTTTCCTTCCTTCCTTCCTTCCTTCCTTCCTTCCTTCCTTCCTTCCTTCCTTCCTTCCTTCCTTCCTTTCTTCTTTCTCTTTTTCGCTCTTAAAAACAGACACATATAAATATATATAAAACCAGCAGTTACAAAGAAAACTTTTGGTACTATGGAGTATAACGGCAGCCTGTTGGAGGAATGGTAAAAAGATAAACTTGCCTGTACCATCCCCCCAGTCGCTGCTGGTTGCAGTAGATGAGTCTGTGTCTCCCCACAGCCCTATGCTCGCAGCTCACTCTCCTCCTCCAGTCTATTCTTGGCTGTGGATTCCCCTGTGCTCTTTGTGCACTTTAAGTTTAATTTTGCATTTAAAAACTCAATTGGCTCATCTGTTAAGCATTAAGCAGCTCCCTTTTGAGCCACAGGGGGAGCCCTGGGAAAACCCACAGCTGCTGGAACATGGAAAATGGGTTTAAAAAAACAAAACCATTTTGAAACTTTAAAGCATTTTAGCAGCCGTGGATTTCCCAATCCTTACCCCCCAAATGGTTCATCTGTTTAACTTTTATCTGGTATTGGAAAACGCAAACCAGAGCATTAAATAGCCCTCAAATGACTTTTTGTTTAATACAAAATGAAAGTAAAAGCTAAGCAAGCCATGTGGGAAGATCTTTGAGAGAACTATAGCCTGGAATACCTGCAAGCATATTCTCTCTCTAGTTACAGAAACAATTCTGGAATCTAGTCATGCTTGCTAGAAGCACAACCTTTCCCCTCTTCACTTACTCTCCCTCCCTTCCCCTTAAAACAAGGGAGAAAACCAGTCCAAACAAGTTCAAATCCCAGTTTTTAAAATGACAATAAAAACAATGAAAAAGTTAACAGGCAGGGGATATTAATCAAATGCTCACTCAAGGTTTTAAGTATCAAAATAATTTGTCATTGACTAAAAACTCATGTTTGATTATAGTTAGATAGGCTCTAGAAAACCTAAATTTTTTTTTCCATGTTTCCCAAATATTCCTCTAACTAGCCTGAAGCCTCTCTGTGGTAGGGCCCTCAGTCTCATTTTTAGATACCAATTCCTTTGAATAATGGTAAGACACTTCTATTGAAATAAAAAATATCCTTTGGAAGGGTGACAACTGTAAGCCTGTTGTTTACTATTAATATAAATAGAGGCACAAGTCCCACATGGTAAAACAAATTACCCTAACACCTAGTAAATAGAGCAGCTGAGAAAGAGATATTTGAATTTTAGGATCCTGCCCAAGGTAATTTCTTTGGCCTTGGTGGAGTTTACAACGGTGGAGTTTACAATGAGAAGCTCGGTGTAGCAAAGGGATAGAGGCACTAGAACATGGAAGTGAAGAAAAGACTTAACACGTACTGAGTCTCTACTAAGAGCTACCCTGGATGAAGACATCAAAGAGAAACCTATGTGACTGAAGAGGGAGTTGAAAAGACACAAAATAAATTCTTAACTTCTTTGCATGGTTTTGCCCTGATGAGACTCACTGGATTCTCATATACAATTTAAATTATTTTTAATGCACAGGCACTATAATAGTCCAAATCACATGAATAACCGAAGTCCAAAATATGATTTATCCAATATCATTCATTGTACTGGTCAATGTCAGATTCACGAGTAAAATTAAAATTCTTGACTCCAGTCAAAGCTTTTTTTTTTTTTTGAAACGGAGTCTCGCTCTGTCGCCCAGGCTGGAGTGCAGTGGCGCTATCTCGGCTCACTGCAAGCTCCGCCTTCCGGATTCACGCCATTCTCCTGCCTCAGCTTCCGGAGTAGCTGGGACTACAGGCGCCCCCCCCACGCCCGGCTAATTTTTTTGTATTTTTAGTAGAGACGGGGTTTCACCATGTCAGCCAGGATGGTCTAGATCGCCTGACCTTGTGTTCCACCCGCCTTGGCCTCCCAAAGTGCTGGGGTTACAGGTGTGAGCCCCTGCGCCCGGCCCCAACTCCAGTCAAATTTTAATCTTGGGATACCTTCTTTGAAATGGCAGATGTTGATTGGGGTGGGGGATAGAATGGTTAGTTTGTGAAGAACACATTCATGAAAAGTTTTGCACTATGTGCTTTTAAATAAACATTGTATTTTCAAAGCACTCAATTTGAATTTTATTTCATTTTATTTGTCTCTCTCATTCTATTTCTGTCTTCATTATATCTATGAATTTATACATAGAAATGGCATTATAGCGGGGTAAATATATTCTGTAGATTACTCAAACTTCATCATGTGGTACAATAGGATCCTAAATAATTAAAATAGACTGAGTATTAAAAAATAGTGAAATAAAACAATAATAGACAAGTAGTTACATAATATATCCTCAAACCAGATACATACACTGACAAATTCTGAAATTATGAAGAAACAGTTTAAGTAGCATCTAAACTTTTAAAAGGCCAGAAAAGATGTCAATTTTCCCTATCATTAAACATAAATATTAACGTTTCCAACTGAGGTAGAGACTAATGATAATAACATATCTGTTTATATATTGGAGAGGGAGACTATTTCTCTTTTATGTTATTTTCAAAACTTTTTACCAGGGAGAATAAATCTTTATGGAACCCCTACTATGTGACCAGCACAAAGCTAGTTGATTCATATGTAATCTTATGTGTCCATGGATAATGTCAACTAACTATTTTCATATGGCTTAATTTCAAATGTTCAATTCCTTCTACTTGGTTGATGTCCTTTAAGCTGTACCTGCTGTTTAAAGTTTGGAGAAGAGGTGTTCAAGACCCATACACTGATCAAAGAACTTCACTATAATGTCAGTTAGAGGCTAAAAACTATAGTTTGCAGTTAGCTTGTACCATGAGATATAGGGCTAAAGAGTACTATTCCCTGTAAACAAATAAAATCCATTTAAATCTAGCTCAAGCCAAAAAGAGGATATGCTGGCTCTTCTAACTGGGGAGGTAGAGCTGGACTCTAACAATGTGATCAAGACTCTCCATTTTTCTCTTCATGTCTCATTTTAGTTCTTCTCTGAATTATGGCCGCATTCCCCTTCAGGGGTAGAAAGTGGAGATGTGGTCATAGCATGGTTAGCATGGATCTTCCCTCTGGCTTTAATATAAAGGATGCTAGTAAAAGTTCTGATTACCCTGTCCCAAGTAACATGCCTTACTTCTGGACCAAGCACAATGGCCAGGGGCTGTGACATACTTATGGTCAGGCCAGGATTTCCTGCACACTGCTGTGTACTATGATTGAAACTTAACAAGAATCAGTTGACTGGGATAAAGAAAAATCAGTATCCCAAGGAAAGAAGATACATTAGTTTAAAAAGGAAGAAAAGTTTCTAAGTTGATGAAAATCAAAAAGGTCTATTATAAATTACTAGGTAGGCTGGGTGCAGTGACTCAGGCTTGTAATCACAGCACTTTGGGAGACCAATGAGGGCAGATGGCTTAAGCCCAGGAGTTCAAGACCAGCCAGGGCAACACAGAGAAACCCCATCTCTACAAAACATAGAAAAATTAGCAGGGCGTGGTGGTGCTTGCCTGTGGTCCCAGCTACTCGGAAGGCTAAGGTGGCAGTATTGCTGGAGGCCAGGAAGTCAAGGCTGCAGTGAGACGTGATTGTGCCACTGCAGTCCAGTCTGAGTAACAGATTAAGATCCTATCTCAAAAATAAATAATAAATTTAAAAAACAAAAAGTCCAAGGTATTTTGGGGTAGTCTCTCCATCCGTACCTTATATTCATACACCCACACATATACACACACATTCAGTTACTAAGAATCATAGACTTTTAAAGTTACTGACTAAGAATCATAGACTTTTAAAGTTAAAAATTGAGCCAGTTGCAGTGGCATACATCTGTAGTCCCAGCTACTCAGGAGGCTGAGGCAGGAGAATGACTTGAGCTCAGGAGCTGGAGGCTACAGTGCACTATGATCATACCTGTGAGTATCCACTGCACTCCAGCCTGAGCAACATAATGAGACCATGTCTCTAAAATAAATAAAATAAAAATAAAATAAACAAATTTGAAACAGACTATTTTATCTCATTGAAATTTCCCATTTACATATGAGAAGAACCCCAAGGACTAATACTACAATTTGTTCTGCAGTTCTGACCTCTGAGTGAATATTCTATTACTTTATGTGACCTCATATATATGATGCATATTCATACACACATATATGTATACTGTATATACATAAATATACTATATGTACATATATGTGTGTATGTATATATATCATCTGTTCTATGTATTTTCTATATTTCAAAATAAAACATTTAAAATTTCTCAAATATTGGAATGCATTTAACAAAATTTTCCAATAAATTGGAGATTTAAGGAAATTGAAATAAAATTATATTTTATCTGTCCATAACAAGGTTTTCATCATTTTATTTTTAACATTTTCACATTTAATTTTGAGATTTATTCTTTATTATTTTTTGCGATTTATTCATTTATTAACAAACATATATTTAATTCTGCAGTGTGTGTGCGTGGTGGAGTAAGGTGCTTTGTTGTTGCTGTTGTTGACTATCTAGTATTTATACCCTTTTCTTATGTTAGGGGAAACACCTACTGTGTAGATTAACAAGGGGCAAAAACCTGCTTCTTGCTATGAAAGATAAAGAGCAGTTTTCTCCATTCACATACTAGATTTTTAAAAAATCTAGTTTTCTGAAGTTAGAGTAGGAACGTGTGTCATAGTCTTGACCATTAAAAAATTTCTTTCTAAAACACAATGAGTCAACTTTGCATCCTTACTCAAGTACCTTTGGAATAGCATGTATGCTAGCTCTTTGAGATCTTTCTTAGGATCTACAATGACTAGAAAATAACACTGGATAATTTCAACAGAAAGGGAATATAGTGTCATTGAATGGACAAAAAGGCTCAGGAAACAGACTCTGGCAATGAGTGGAAAACAAGCAAATCCACACTTCTAAGAACGCAGCCAATGTCTCAGTGTCACATCAGTCTGATTAGAACATTACTGCTCTCCATGTGCCATTGACAGCACCACCAGCCATACCTTACCACCATGAATATTCTCTTTGCATTCTTGCCCTCAATTTTCTCTCTTTTTTTTTCCGGAAAGACTTTTAGTCGTATGATCATCTTTGTCCTTTTTCCTTTGGGCCTCATTGTTACTGGAGTCTACAATTTTGGGAAAATTCTTCAGTTTTGTTTTGTAATCATTCAGGTGCAGTTTTGTAAAGTCACAGTTTCAATATCCAAGAACTTTCTCGTTCTACATTCCCTTTTCATAGCATCTTGGTCTTGCTTTGTGCATATAAAATTATCTCAAATTTTGCTGAAGATACTAGTTAGCATACTATTTGCTCCAAATTATTTACTTGCTCTATGGCTGCTAGTATCTATTGATTTGTTTATTTTATGTTGCAAGCTTTCCTTTAGGTGGCAGGTAATCCATGGTTGCTGATTCATATTTAAATACAAGACAAGAAAGTTTAACTGAAAGCACGTTGAGTACATGGGTGGGACTTTGCAATGAGTGCTATTTATTTTTGGGTGAGTGGGCTGAGGACCTAGCAATTATGCTGTAGGACTCCTAAATCTCTTAGTTCACGTCAGATATTTTATTCAATTCCTTTACAAAGGAGCCTGAAATTTCCTTTTTATGTGGCAAGCATCTTATTGTTGAAGGGGAAAGATTACTAGGCATGCAGACTTCCCTGATTTCAGCCTTGTTTCTCACACCCTCACTAGGTGCTAGATTTATTTGAGCCTGATCCCCCTTTGGAATTCTATCAGGCCGATGTGCTCATTCTTGGTAATAGCCCCGACACATGTATTTTGCACTGTGTTTTGCTCTGATCTGGCTAATTAATTGGTAAACAACCCACCAACTGTCCATTTTCCAACAATTAATTAAAGGTTCTTATACGCCCTTTTCTTATATGCCGTTGTTTGTTTAATTCCTCACTCTTATTTGTATTGTTTTTAACATAATTAGAGTCTCACAAATAAGTTCCTAAAGAATATTTTCAAATGTTTAAAACATAAATTTTAAAATCTTTAAAAAATTCATGTATACAATTTACATGGCTTTAATGCAACTATTATTATCTTGTGATTTTTGGAAGATAATTATTACTTTGTATTTGTGACTTAAATCTAAGAATAAAATTATGTTTTAAGCACATATTTTTCATTTAATTACTTTTTTACTATGAAATGTGGTAAACATACAGGCAACAACAGAGAACAATAAAACAAACACCCATGTATCATCCACCCAATGCTACCAAATTCAAATATTTGAAAAATGTCTTTCAAATTATTTTAAAAAATAAAATAGTGTATATCCTGCTGAACTCCCAATTGAATTTCGACTCTAAACTCCCTCCCTCTCTAGAGATAACCACTTGTTTGAATCTGATGTTTACCATTCCCATTTATGTTTTTCTACAATTACTAAAAAGAGATCATAATAATGACATTACAAAATAAATATATAATCATAATGCATGTCATTTTGACATTTGCTTTTGTTTGAAATTACGGTTTCTTATATTCACCATGTGTCTCTAGCTAATTTATTTAGATCTTTATAATATTTTATTGCATAAGTAAACAAAAATATAATTTTAAAAAATTCATTTTATTTTTCTGATGCATATTCAGATTGTTTCCAGTTTTTACTATTATATAAACCTGGCAGTGAGTTTTTGTGCTTTTATATGAGAGTTTTTCTAGAGTAAATATGTAGAAGAGGAATTTCTTAGTGAACTTTGCAAATTTTCTAGAAAATAGTTCAGCAATTAAAAAAAACTAAAGATACATTTATTTTAAAAAGCAACAATTGCACTCCTAGGCATTTATTCCAGAGAACTGAAAATTTATATCCATACAAAAGCCTGTATATGAATGTTTGTAATAGCCAAAACTTGGAAACAACCAAAGTGTCTCTCTATAGGTAAATGGTTACACAGACTGTAATAATATATCCATGCTATAGAATACTACTCAGCAATAAAAAGGAACAAACTGTTGGCACATGCAACAACGTGAATGACTTTCAAGGACATTGTGCTGAGTGAAAAAAGCCAATCTCAAAAGGTCACATACACATCATTTTATTTATATAATGTTATCAAAATGACAGAATTATAGAGACAAACAATCGATTACAAATTTCCAGGGATTAGAGATGGTAGGTAGGAGGCAAGGTGTGAGTGTGAATATAGGATCACGGGAGATCTTTGTGATGGTGGAATAGCTCTGTGTCTTCATTGCAGTGGTGGTTACACAAACCTACACATGTGATAAAATAGCATAGAACTGAACACACATTATATTAATGTCAATTTCCTGGTTTTGATATTGTACTATAGTTTGTAAAATGTAGTCATTTGGGGGAAACTTGGTGAAGGATATAGGGAATTTCTCTGTACTATCTCTGCAATTTTCTGTGAGTCTATAATTATTTCAAAATAAAAAAGCTTAAAAAATAACATGGTGAGTGTTCTTGTGATGATATATGAGAGTTTCTCTAGAGCAAATATATAGAAGAGGAATTGTTTGGTCAGCTTTACAAATTCTCCAAAGTAGCCACATCATTTTATACTACCATCAGCAATGACTGACAAATTGCATTTCCACAGATTCTTCTCAAAACTTAGCCTTGTTAAACTTTTTTAATTTCTGGCAATCTGGAAGGTATTTGATTATATTTCATTATTGTTTTACTCGTGTTTTGTTAAGTGCTACTGAGTATGATCATATTTTCACGTTTATTAGCCATCTTAATTCCTAATTAATTTTCATGCCCTTTGACCAATTGTGTAATGGATTATTTGCTTTTTCTTATTGATGTGTACTAGTCTTTTTTTATTATTTATTTATTTATTTATTTATTTATTTATTTATTTATTTATTTATTTTTTGAGATAGAGTCTCACTCTGTTGCCCAAGCTGGAGTGCAGTGGCACGATCTTGGCTCACTGCAACCTCTGCCTCCCAGGTTCAAGCGATTCTCCTGCCTCAGCCTCCTGAGTACCTGGGATTACAGGCAAGTGCCACCATACCTGGCTAATTTTTGTATTATTAGTACAGATGAGGTTTCACCATGTTGGCCAGGCTGGTCTCAAACTCCTGACCTCAGGTGATCCACCCACCTCGGCCTCCCAAAGTGCTGGAATTACAGGTGTGAGCCACCGTGCCTGGCCTCTTTTTTTCGTTTTTGTGTGGTAAAAATATATTTTCCCTTCTGTGGTGTTGTTTTAAAAATCATTTTATACTTCTTGAACGTGAGTTTAATTTCATGTAAATGAGATTATCATTTTTACCTGTTTCTGTTAATATGAATATGTTTCTAAAATTCATTGGGTTTATTTTTGTTCTTTATTGTAGGTGGTTAATTATTTGTGTATGCTGTGATTGGGATTTAGATTTATATATCTAACTATGTCTATTATTCATCCAGTTGTCCCAGCAACTCTTTTTTTACTTGTACATATTTTCTCCTTTGATTTGTCATCTATAAAGTCCTTTATCACATGTAAATCTTTGCATGTTCAAATGTGCATTACTATATTCTCTGTTCTTTTCACTAGACTTGGTTATCATCCCTGTGCATGAATATCACACTATATTAGCTGCTTATTGGTAGCTAAGTAGGCAAGTCCTCCACTTTTTATTTTCAGATTTCTTTTGTCTCTTTTTTGTCCTCTACTTTGACAATATTACTATATGTTTGTCAAATTTCTTAATCTGTGTTAGAATTTTGATTGGAATTGTATCATATTTACAGATTACTTTTTGTAATAATTTGCCATCACGAAAGCAATAAACTTCTGCATTTTATTTTGCTATTAGGAAATGTTAGCAAATTTTATTTCTAAATAATTATAAAACTAGTAATACATTAAGATGCACAAAAAATATCATAAAAGATAGTAATAATGTTTGGCTGTGTCCCCACCTAAATCTCATCTTGAGTTGTAGTTCCCATAATCCCTACATGTAGTGGGAGGGACCTGGTGTGAGGTAATTGAATCATGGGGGTGTTACTTCCATGCTGTTCTCATGATAGTGAGTGAGTTCTCATGAGATCTGATGATTTTATAAGGGGCTTTCCCCGCTTTTGCTCATTCTTCTCCTTTCTGCCACCATTTAAGAAGGATGTTTGCTTCACATTTTGCCATAATTGCAAGTTTCCTGTGGCCTCCCCAGCCATGTCGAACTGTGAGTCAATGAAACCCTTTTCCTTTATAAACTACCCGATCTCAAGTACCTCTTTATCAGCAGCGTGATAATGAACTAATACAGATAGTGCTGATTTTGTAGTGTTGGTGTACAAATACCATAGATCAGATGAAAATACAACAATAATTTTGAAAATTTAATGATTTTTATGTAACTCTATTTACATCACAGATGATTTAAGATAAATGCAATCTACTGACAATTAATATCTTCTAACACACCTATAAATGTATATACATTTAAATAATTAAAAGTCAGCTCTGCAATAAAACAATTTGATAAAAGGGGTTTGAACTCCTTAAGAAAATCAGAAGATACATCAGAGTATATCTGTTATTTATGAGAAAGAGTGAGAAATAGTTATTAAAGCTTATTTGGATGATTCACCTTAGTTGAAATAATTTGCTTCATAAGTTTGCTTTAATCAAAGATGAACCTTTTATTATCGGAAGATTTATATTTTGGATTTAATATTTCCTTTTTCAAGGAGGGGACTTGTACTATTGTTTCCATAGCATCTTTCTGATATTGAGTCTTCTCATCCATGAACATGGTATATACTTGCAAATATTTACTGCTTCTTTTATGTCCTTCGATAATGTCTTGGAGTTTCTTCACAAGAGAATTGCACATTTGTTTAGATTTATTTCTAGGTAAGATTTGTTTTGTTTTTGTTTCTACAGAACGTGAAATCTATGCCTTTTCTGGCAATTATTAGTATAGGGATAATATTGATTTTTGTACATGAACCTTGCATCTAGAAAATTTGATGAATTAGTTTATTAGCATTAATAGAATGTATGCTCTCTAGAGTTATCTTGGTAGGCAATTAAGTAGTTTCCAAGTAGGGAGAGTGGCATAAATCTTTCATAGTTTATTTATTATGAAGGATTATTTTAATATTATCTTGAAGCTTTAATTATAAGCATATAATCTTATTATTTTTATATCTTCTCGGTATATTTTTGATTTTGTTGTTATGAAGTTTCCTTTTCATCCTTATTCATTGTTTCTGAGTTTATAATCAGACAACAACTATCATATACTAACTTCTTATCAGACATTGTTCTAAGTTCTACAAATGTACAAAACCACTTAATTCTCACACAGACCCATTAGACAAATACTATTATTATACTATGCTTATTAAAAAAAAAAAAATAGGGCTGGGTGCATTGGCTCACGCCTGTAATCCGAACACTTTGGGAGGCCAAGGCAGGTGTACCACCTGAGGTCAGGAGTTCTTGACCAGCCTGGCCAACATGGTGAAACCTCGTCTCTAGTAAAAATACCAAAATTAGCCAGCCATGGTGGCGGGTGCCTGTAATCCCAGCTACTCAGAAGGCTGAGGCAGGAGAATTGCTTGAACCTGAACCTGGGAGGCAGAGGTTGCAATGAGTGGAGACTGTACTACTGCACTCCAGCCTAGGCGACAGAGTGAGACTCGGTCTCCAAAAAAAAAAAAAAAAAAAAAAAAAAAGACAATGGAAGCACAAAGAGATTAAGTAATGTGCTCAAGATGACACAGCTAACATCTAGCAGGCTGAGGTTCAAACTGAGGAAGTCTTATTTCAGCATCTGTGCCAGTATACTTGATAGTAATATTGCTACAAAAGGTTTCTTTTGAATAGCATGTCAATGATATTTATTCTTTCATTTTTAAATTTTCTGTGTGACTTTGGAACAATGTCACTGTGATCACACATTTTTAGAACTGCACCAACCACCTTGAGCTTTTAAGAGGATGCACTGCCAAATGCTGAAGTATGGAAATCACTTATATAATGATGAGTAAGCCATTCTTGAAATTGCACATTTTTACTTCTTGTTATATGTGAAACTTCCTCATTGTTAAGCTACTTTGGTTAGTTGTTCTGTTAGTTCTAGCTGTAATTATTCTAACTGGAGAGAGGGTTATAAACTATTTTCTCTTAATGGTTGATCCAAGGTAAGTTCACGGCTTGTGGAGAAACTCAATAGATAGGGGTAGCATTCAGGGTGATAAGTGACCCTAGAAGAGGATATGTTTTAGGTGGAGGAGAAAGATGTGCAAAAGAGAACTATGAGTTCTCTTTTGACTTGGTAATACTCTTTATACATCTAAGTGGGAATATCACATAGGAAGCAGATATCTGAGTCTACTATTCAGAGGTGGTATCAGAGTTGAAGACATATATTTAGAAGTAATTTGCATATAGTGGATACATATTGATGTGGGAATGGATGCATTTATCTCAAGAGAAAGTCAAGCCACTGAAAATATTTTCAAAATGCCCCTATTCTTTACTTCCAAGTGTGTCAACAACTTTGAAGATACACAATTATCCAGCTAATATTAACCATTTAATAAAATTTCTCACTCTGTTCCATTTTCATCAAAGCCCATCTGCCGCAATGTCTTTTTCTTAAAACATATCAGTGGTTTTCTACCTTACTTAAAGAAAAAAAAAAAGTTTACTCTAAAGGATAAAACTATGCTGTTCACAAAGAAGGTTTTTGATTTTATTTTCCTTCATATCTACCTACTTAATACTGTACTAGCATTATTATGTAATTGCCACTCTTTTCTTCTGTAATAGTCTCCCTACTTTTTTTGTCCTCTTTGTTGTTTTTCTTCCCTTTCTACCAATTCTACATCTCAAAATCCTAAAGTACGGTATAGTAGAAGAGTCTAGGATTTCTCCTTTTGGGGAGAGAAAAATGAGAGAGAAGGGGAAGAACATGGGAGAGGTTGGGAGGGTGAGATCTTCAGGGATGATGATGATGTTAGTCATTTTTTTGCACCTTCATGTAGAATTATGATGCCTAGGATCAGAATGTTTTAAAGAAAGAAGGTGGGTCCTTCTCAGTTGACTGCTGCTGAGAGGGGCATTGAAAAATGGACCTCTGATTTGATGACTTCAGCAAGAGCTATTTCGGTAGCATGATGCTGATAGGAGCAGACTGTGTGGGCTAAGAAAGGAAGGTGAGGAAGTGGAGTGAGAAGAATAGGTCACCCACTAGAGAAGTTTAGCCTTGTGGGAAAGAAGAGAGTCAGGCCAGAGCTGTGGGTGCCTTGGAGATAGGACAAGATTGGTGATTGTTTTGAAATGGGTGAGACTAGTGTGTGTTTAAAAGCTGAAAAGAATCTACTTTGACTATGCAGAAGAAAAAAGGAGAAAATTGGCTGGGTGCAGTGGCTCATGCCCGTAATCCCAGCACTTTGGGAGGCTGAGGTGGGTGCATCACCTGAGGTCAAGAGATTGACACAATCCTGGTCAACATGGTGAAACCCCGTCTCTACTAAAAAATACAAAAATTAGCTGGGAGTGGTGGCAGGTGCCTGTAGTCCCAGCTACTCCGGAGGCTGAGGCAGGAGAATCACTTGAACCTGGTAGGAAGGAGGTTGCAGTGAGCCAAGATTGCGCCACTGCACTCCACTCTGGCAACAGAGCGAGACTCCATCTCAAAAAAAAAAAACAAAAAGAAGAAAATCCTCAGAGCATGTTTCCAGATGAAACAGCAGGGAATAGAATCTAAAACACAGGAGAAGAGACAGCCTTAGACACATTCTGGATCAAAATATTTAAGAAAGAAAGAGAGGGGCATGTACAAAGACGATGTGCTTTCTGTTTCCCAGATTTTAGAAATTTAAGCATATTACAATTCATTTTGATTACTGTGTTCCTATCATTTTTTTCCCTTATATCCCTTCTTATATATTAGAAAATCCTTTAAAATTGCAATCTATGATTAAAAAGAAGGAACTGTCATTCCAATGTTTTTATATGACACAGAAAATAATAGTTCAACTAACTATTTGCTGTAATAATAAAGACCAGAAGCAAAAACCAAAGGCCAGGATCCTAGAGTCTTTCATGTTGACCTCTGTTCTACTATGAACTTTAAAATCTGTTTTACATCAGACTCTGCAGGAAATAGGATAGGAGAACATGAGAAAGGAATATATCCTGCTAAGGTTGCCTAGATCCAAGCGGATTGGTGATGTTACTAAAGAGAAACAAACAGCAGTTGTTTAAAAACAGGGTTTTCAATATGAGTAAAAATGCTTTGATGTCAGTTGATTTTTTTAAAAGAGAGAGAGATGCAGATTTTAGCAAGAAAATATCAAAAGAAAACCCAGATTGACCGATAATGTCCAAGAAGGAAAACTGCGAGGAAGTGAGTATGGATAAAGCCACAGAGCACAAAAGCATCAGTCCTCTATTAGAATTTATGTTGATTATTTAAAAAATTTCTTTAGTCATATAAAAACTTTAATATCCTTTTTTAAAAAATAGAACATGTGTTAAATTTAGGAGAATAAGTTTTAAGTATGATAAATTATTCAGAATCTTTTGAGCGGATAGCATATATTTCATTAATTTTTCAAATAAAAAGTATATTGTCATAGCACTTCTAGTTTTTATCCTCCCTTTTACCTCATCATTGATTTCAAGACTATTATTAGTGTGATGTTATTTACCCTTTCCTGACAAGGTTAAAAGCATTATTAATTGACACTAGTTTCACTGGATGCGGTATGGTAATAATCACAGTAAATAAGTAAACAACTGTACAACTACAAGTATCATGTCCACAGAATCTATCTGGGTGAACCAACATTTTACATGCTCTAGAGAAAACTATTTCTTCATGTGATACTGCACTCAACATAAGGGTCATGTCTGGGAGTCCAAAGTACACGCTCAAAATAATTTACTCCATATAATATGTAGTTTTTCAATTTCTGTAATTTAATTACTCCCTCTTTAACTTGTAGGGGTAAAGTTAGTGAGAAGGAGCACAAAGTACATACAGTCTTATTGTCTACCTGGTAAGTATTGCCCCATCATTTGAGATTCAAGTCTCATGCATTCTATGTGGTCTTTCTGAACCTACTTCTCCCCAGTAAAACTAATATGTATATATCTCTCTTGTACTTCTAATCTGGGGAGAGGAAATAGAATAAATGCACGCTACTCTATTTATTCTTAATGCAATTCTTTGTTATATGTATGTATGATTTTAAAATATTTGTATTTTTACTCTTTGGCAGGATAAGACTCACTCGTTTGCATTGCAATGATATACTAATCAATGCATTTGAAAGGATATAAAAAACTCAATAATCAAAACCTGGATACAGTCTGACTGTATATTTTAAACTTGTGAGTAAGACGGAATTGAAATCAAAATAAAATAGACCTGAACATCTTTTAATAACTCAAAAATTAGCTTGATATGAATCTCAAAAAAGTATACATTGGCTTCACTTTCTTGAAATGATTCTAAATCTTCTACTCAGAGAAAAATAGGAAGAAGAAAAAATATTCTTGAGAAATTATTTCTTTAAACATACTTAAATCTTTAAAAAATTCCGATGCTGAGAAGATTATGAAAACTCATCATCTTTCATATTAGAAAAGTTTAAATTGCCAGTTTAAGCCTGCTAAAATATTTTTATTGCATTCTTGGTAATTTCCCTTGAAAGCATTTCTAAAGGCTCAGGAAAACATTTACAATTTTATAAAAACCTTTCAAATTAATTTATAAGTTAACTATGAGCTTCTTTTTGGGAGACTCAAAACAGTGGGTGACCTTATATCCATAATGTGTATGTTTAAATGTTTTATTACAACCAAGTGAATTAGAATTGAATTACTTAACTTCAGATACCCCATTTCATTTAACTGCAATCTGTTTGGCCTTTTAGTTAAACCAATTTAATTCCACTTTAAACAATCGCAAATTCACTTTTGTATGTTCTGTTTTACTTAATTTTCAGCTGTAGAGTGGCTTTGAGTAGGCAATATGAGAAAACACTGACCAAATTTGGTGTTTTCACTGGCGTTTTATCCCATCAGATGTTTAAGAAAATCAATATTTCATTGTCATCTTGATTAGTGAGATATAATGTCTTGAGCCCCTTGTGTCCCTAGTGTTGCATTCCCTTGGTTCACCTGTAAAAATAAAACAAAACTCACTGTTACTATGGCAACCGCGTGCAGGTGTAGCTTAACAGCGCATTGCCTCAGCCATATCTCTTATCTTCTGTCCCGGGGTGTCTTTACATTTATATTTGTTCTATTTGTTTTTTTAAATAAATGCTTTAAGGACTATACATTTCCCTCTGTGTAGCATGTCAATCACATTCGCATGATGAGCTAGTGTTCTCATTGTTGATTTCTCATTAGAATTTAATTTTAGCGTTGGTCTCCCAAACTTACCCAAGGGTTGCTTTAAAAAGTCTTCTTAATATCGGAGTGAACATTTGTCTTTATTTCAAAAGTTTATTGCCTGAAAATGTGGCCTGAGTGATTTCTGAATCTGGAGTTTTCATTGAGATTTTCATTGTACAAAGATAACATGATCCTTTTATGGAATGCCCATGGTTACTAAAAACTTTTATGTAACAGGATGTTACATTGAAACTCTTTCTATGTCAGGTTTGGCTGAGGTCACAAAAAATTAATGGCAAGCATTTTCACATTCCACTGTAAGGAGCTATACCAAGTTAGACAACTTTTTGCAAAGAAAATCCTAAAAAATCACTTTTGCAAACACCTTGCACATGTAAATTGCAGACCTAGACTTCAGCCAGAGATAAATTAATAAACCGAGAGAAAGAGGCCTTTTCTGGAAAGAATTACTGACGGACATTAAATACTACCCACCCCTCTGTGTCAGAATGAGGTATCCATTAAATTCACTTCAAGTATCTTATGGAAAAGACTTTACTGAGAACAGTCAGAGAGATTGATATGTGTCCCCTAGAGTATCAGACACACTGTTGAGAAATTTAAAAATGTAAACTGTACGAAGCTCCTATGGCATCAGAGTAGAGGGCTATAGTAAGAGCATTCCCACTGACAGTGGGCCAAAGATGTGCATTTCCCAGTGTTAAGGCTACATTGGTGGGTAGTGGTCTAAGCTTCACATTCACTCCACTGATTCTGTCACATGTGAAAGCTGATCAAAGGCAAGCTTTCCAAACTACTTGCACTTCGTATAGGATTATAAACTGAAAAAGAGATTACACGTAAGATTACCCAGTCAGTCCCAACTACATGTTCTTATTAATATACCTACTACACACATATTATTTGGGGTAGTAGTGATAAAGTTCCTTTAAAGGGATGCTTCCCTTCCCAGCAGCAGCATAAATCTTCATTGTAGATGGAGTCCAGTACAATGACTATTGTCAGAACCAGGTCTGTAGTGTCTAGTCAGATTCCTCAAGTGTTAGAACAGAAGAAAAGCTGGGACCCTGCAGTGGGAGAAAGTGCCTTTGAACTATGAATCTTAAGGCTTTCCTTATCTATAGCAAGAAACCCCTTTTCTGTGATTGATTCTCTGGGTGTATGATTCTTTTTTGAACATTTACTATGATTGGCTATGCGTAAATTAACTAATCCTAAAGTTTTAATCCCAGATAATATTAGCACACAGACACACAGATGTTGATTCTGCTGTCCCACTCATATTATCAAAGGTTTCATAGATTTGCAAAGTAAACAAGCCTCATTCATTGATGCAAACGAAATACTGTGGCCATAATTGGGGTTTAGCATCACAATTCATGTACTTATACTCTTTAAGCTGAGTGACTAGGTGTTACCCATAGGAAGAGATCAGCAGGGGTCATTTTAGAAACAGCTCAAGATGGCTATCTGGGGTGAGGGGAAGGCGACCTCTGTGAAAAGAGGAAAAAGGCATATCTGGACCTGAGTTACCAACAACAGGATATTTTTTTAAATGCCTCAAGGGAACCAATTTTTAGCTGTCTCCAAAGGAACCTATATACTCTTCAAAGAAAGAATAAGTTTTAACATCTGCCATAGCTTTAATTATATCAGCATCAATCAACAAAGCCTTTTTGTCCCTCCCTTTCCCTTCCTTCCCTGCTGTGGCATTGGAAGAGCCCAGTGAGTAGGAGGGAGAAGCAATAGACTCATAAGCAGGGAAAGTATTGCAGAAGTCACCTATGCTCCCCTCCTTTCCTTCCCACTGAAGGCTTCCTATCAAGACGGGAAATAGGCTGCCTGGAGTGAGGCTGAAACTCTAATGTAGAATAAGGCTCAGAGTTTCAACTATCGGATGGAGCTGGATATTTTAGCTACTGAATTAGGTGTGCATTGTGAGTCAACGTGATTGAAGAATTTGTTTAGTTTCTTAAAGTGATTATAAAAATCGTAGATTTCACCCAAGGAGAGGGAAAGAGTAGCTCCACAGTGTATTGATTTGGGGTGGAAGTAGCTGATTTCGAATTGTAACCTGTAAGTCTTATTTGTTTAATGATTGCCTTGTATATGATCAGGTTTTTTGTTTTGTTATTTAAATTATCTGTATCAGAGGTTAGCAAAGTACAGTGACAGGCCAAATATCATCTATCACCTGTAGCTATAAACTAAGTTTTATTGAAACACAGCTAAATCATATATATATATACTTTTTTTTTTTTGAGACAGAGTCTCACTATGTCACCCAGGCTGGAGTGCAGTGGTGCGATCTCAGCTCACTGCAACCTCTGCCTCCTGGGTTCAAGCGATTCTCCTGCCTCAGCCGCCCAAGTAGCTGGGACTACAGGCACGTGCCACCACACCTGGCTAGTTTTTGTATTTTTAGTAGAGACGGGGTTTCGCCATGTTGTCCAGGCTGGTATTGAACTCCTGACCTCAGGTGATCTGCCCGCCTGGGCCTCCCAAAGTGCTGGGCCTACATCATATTGTTAATGGTTGCTTTCACATTACAGTAGCAGGGTTCACTTGTGTGACAGAGACACATGGCCTTCAAGTCTAAAATATTTCTTATCTGGCTCTTTGCAGAAAAAGTTTGCTACCTTTGACTTACATCTTTCCTAACTTTTACTCACTTAATCACTTTCTAAAAGGCTTGCGTAAGTGTCTACCACTGTGAAATTCTCAATTGGTGAATGAAACACTCAACTGGTATTTATATCAGCTTTTACTTTAAAAGTTTCTAAAGCCATGTGGCAGTTTTATGACTGCTGTATCTTCTTATTGGCCTATAATGTTATCAGCATCCATTATCCCTTCTCCCCTTTTAATGTACTTCACCTTGAATTCTCTTTTGTCCATTCTCAGTATTGATATATCTGCTTTCTTTGAGTTACCATTTACCTAATACTTAATCATCATTACTTAATTTTCAGTCTTTCTACAACATCACTTTTATGGTACTTATCTTTAAATAAAAGATAACTGTATTTTTTTTTCAAACCTTTGACTTGGGGAATTTAATCCATTTATGTTTTGTGAATTCTAAAATGCATGAATATTTCCTTTCCATATTACTTTGTTTATCACTGATACTCTTCTGCTCTGTTACTGTGCTGTTCTTATCTGCTTTTAATTTGATTCATCAAGATTACTTGTTACTGGTTTTCTTTTTCCATTTATGGGTTGAAGTTACAAATTGTGTTTCTCCCTGCCTAGTGTATATCCTTTAAATCTTAACATACATATTCCAACTTATTTTTCAGTTGTTATGAAGGTTTAGCCATATCAATTTACTCTCTACGATAGACGGGAACCTTGCCCAACTCTCTTCATTTTTCTTACCTGTCACCACTGCCCTGTTGCAATAAGGGAAAATTATAAGTAATATTATGAGCATATTATTTTTAGAGTGTCATCAATTATTTAGATTCAGTTATTCATTTTATAGAATTATTTTTCTCTACTCTGTCTTGTTTCTTACATTTTTCCTTTTTGAGACTATTGCTTTGCTAATGTACATACTCCACTTTTTTCAGAAAGTGGTAATGGAAATAAACCTTTGCATATATGAAAATATTTATTTTAATCTCTTACTTGAAGGCTTCCCCTTCTCAACCATGTTTCTTTAAACCTGCTAGCTATTCTGTAAATAACCTGCTAAACTTTCTTTAGTGAAAAAGTGTGTTGATTGTTTTCTGTCAAGATCCTGAATGTGACAGATTTTATATCTTGAAAACCGAAGAAGCTACAATGCAAGCCATCTGCCATTATCATTTTAATAAATGTAAAAAAGGCTATGTGTATATACACATATATACACACAAATTATATATATATATATATATATATATGAAATATACCGAAATACATGTTTTACACACAGGCTAAAAAGCCCCAAAACACACAATAACTTGTTAGTACTTATGATAATTAACAAAATCTGTAACTTTCCTAAGAAATAAATTAACTGTGAAAAGAAAAAAACCTAGATGAAGAAAAGTATAAAATTCCATAAATAAACAAATAAATGAATTTTATTGGTGGATAAGAATCATGACCTTGACAACACACACACACACACACACACACACACACACACACACACACACACACACACTCCTGAATGGTACATCAGTTAGGATGCATTTGGTTGCAAGGATGGAAAAATGAAACTCAAACTAGCTGAAATAATGCTGGGCTCTGCTTCTCACAATGTGGTCAGTGGGAAACACCATTTGGGATCTTGTTGGAGATGCAAATTTCAGGCCCTATCCCAGAAATACTGAATCAGAATCTCTGGAGGTGCAGCCTAAGAATCTGTGTTTTAACATGCCTTATTCACACTGATGTTTAAGAAGCATACGTGAAAGAGATTTATCTGTTGACAAACTGGAAGTTTAAGGTTAGATTCAGTGTTTAATGCATCTTTTTGCTTTTTCTGTTCTGCCTTCCACTTGTCAGTTCCATCCTTATTCTGCTTCCTTTAGGGATCTCTAGGCACTGCCAACACTGTCAGGACTCTAGACTTCCTAACGACTAGAGGAAGAAAGACTAGTTTACATATGGGCGCTTCCTTATGGAGCTAAGGAAATTTCTTTCTCAAAAGCCCACAATCACTTTCTCGTTGTGTCTCATTGCCCAAATTGGGTCATAGGACTGTCTGTAAGCATGGGCTAGGAGATGGGATAATGCTGATTACTATATGCCACATTCCCCTACCCCTGGAGATACAGAGGATTCAACATCTCTCCAAGCTGATGAGATGCACTGGGGACATATGAATGGTTGAATTAAAATGAGAGATACCATGAGAAAGAATACCATGAGAAAGAATAGATAATACCATGAGAAAGAATAGATAATACCATGAGAAAGAATAGATAATGGGAACCAAACCACAGTGTCAACTCAATATCATTAAAATGTCAACATTACCAAATGATTATATAAAATTAATTTTAAAAGTCTATCAGAATCCTTACTAAATAGGTTAAATCTATTTGAAGATTTCGGGAGAAAATTACCAAAAACTTTAAAAAGTAGATGATTTATGAGGAAAGACTCACTCAACAAAATTTTAAATTTGCTGCAAAGCTATAGTAATCAAAATTGAATACCTAGTGTCTTAGTCAATTTGGGCTAATATAATAAAAATACCATATATTGTGTGGCTGAAACAACAAAAATATGTTTCTCACAATTCCGGGAACAGCAAAGTCCAAATTCAAGGTCCTGGACAATTAAGTTCCTTATGAGAGCCCTTTTTTTGGAAAATAGGTATTAATATATGAAAATATGTTAATTTCACTAGTAGGAAAATGGAAATGAAAACAATGATAACAGACTACTTTTTTAACCCATGAGGTTGGCAAAAATACGTGTGTGTGTCAGTGTGTGTGATAGATAATGCTGGGTCCCAATGAGGATGTGGGGAAATGGGAACTCATACATTCTAGAAGAAGTGTAAAGTGCTATGACCTCTTTGGAAAATATTGTGTAGTATCCATTAAAACAAAATATATATATATACACATAGATATTTGTGTATATACTTATATATACACACGCATACATACACTCATACACACACACATGCGCACATTCTTTAATCAAGCAATTTCTGTGTTTAGGGTATCTATCAGATAGAAATGACATCACAAATAAGTAAGGAAATATGTACAAGAATGTTACTGTAGCATTACATAAGTGGCAAAAATAAATCAGCAAACTATATTGTCAATTAATAGGAGACAGGTTGAATAAATTAAGGTATATTCATGCTGTGAAATGCTTTTCAACTATAAAAAAGAATGAGCTTATTAATTTTTCATTCAGGAAACATTTAACTTATCTCTACAATGTTCATGTCCTGTTTTAAGTGTGAACATTAGAGCAAGTACTGAAGGAAAGTGTATCTTTCATGACTGTTATATTCTAGTGAGGGTAGGAAATAAACAGGTAAACAAATAAAAATAATTTCAGAGAGTGGTTATGTACTAAGAATAAAATAAAACAAAGTTATATAATAGAAAATTACAGATATGATGTAAACTGGAACCTGAAGAAAATGAGAAAGACAGCTTCCCAAAGATAATGAAAAAGATTATTTTAAGCAGAATGAACAACTAATTTACAGCCCTATCAATGGCTCCAGAGGAATGCACAGAGTATATGTAAAAAGAAAAAGTATAAAAAAATATGGTATACTGTAATCTCACTTTTGTTATAAGAAAGGAAAAAGAATCACTCTTCAGGAAGGTATGCATATTTTTTAAGTGAATATAGAGAAAGTGTGGAAGAATACACATCACTTCAACACTAGTTAATGCAGGTGCTAGTATTGGACTGGGAAAGTATAGGCAGTTTACTTTTGCTTTGTAGATGTCTATATTTTGGTTCATAACAGCAAGCATATTTTGATTTTAGAGCCTGGGGGAAAAATCTTCAAACAAGCTTTTAAAATTATGGGTTTTTGAATATTTTTAGTATGAAGCTCATTTCAAATTTGAGATTCATTTCTTTGGCAATGAGAAATACCCTTATTTCTTTGATTATTCCCTCCCCATCATTTCTCTAGCAGTTCTTTATCGAACACACCTATGAATTGGTAATCAGAATCAAGAGGCTTGGCTATGTGGAATTTTGAGTAATTATTTTCAGTTATTATTAGAGACTCCACTAGTGCTGATTCCTGTTCACTGTTGTGTTGAGTATGGGTTCTAAACCCTGAGCCACTTCCACCTCCACAGCTCTTGTACAGATATTTTTGGCTGTAGTTTCTTCTGCTGTCTTTCAAGATTTTTCCTCAAAAGTCCTCCTAATCATTTATCCCCCTCCGTGTCCTATATCTGTTTATAAAGAACCTAAATAAAGTCTCCTAGAATTTTGTGCTGGGGAATTGTAGGTGTACCTACCCTTCTTGTGATAATGTCAGATGATAAAATGCTTGCATAATGAAACGAAGTCAGGTAAATGGCATAGAGTTTGGCTACTATTGACCTTAAATACAAGCACTGTGATATCAGGACAGTCAATCTAATAACCAAGAGGGCCACTATGTGACTAAGGGGCCAGTAGCATAGGCAGTGTAGCTATGCTAGACAAAGGGATGATTCAAAACCTGGATGGGGACAAGACAAGGCAAGATTCTGTCATGCTACTAAGATGGCTTACAATTTAAAATTTATAAATTGCTTTTTTCTGGAATTTGCCATTTAATATTTTCAGACCATTGTTGACCACGGATAATCGAAACCATGGATATGGGGGACTCCTCTATGCTCAGAAACCATGGATAAGGGGGACTCCTGTATGCTCAGTTCATCATCTTTATCCAACCTCCTCTCCTATTTTACCACCTTAGAATTTCTGTATCAGCCTTGAAGGGTAATCAGGCTAAGTGTAAGTACTTACAAAACTAAATGTTTTTAGAGCACAGATGACTCCTTACATTTCCTGAGTTCAGAATATTTATTCTAGTCCTCTGAGTTTCAGCCTATTGCCATCTTTCCTTTCCAGTTTTTATTTCTCTTTTAAAACCATTGTTTTTGAACATAGGCAGACATGATTGTTGAAGGCACAACTTCTACAGCTAGGGCATTGGGTTGCTTATTCTCATTTCTACCAGACCTATTTAATTTTTATCAATTTATACTTTATTTGTTTAAAGTCCTATCAATAAAAGGTGTGGGGTTGGGCAAGGTGGCTCAGGTCTGTAATCCCAGCACTTTGGGAGACCGAGGCAGCAAATTGCTTGAGCCCAGGAGTTCGATACCAGCCTGGCCAACATGGTGAAACCCCGTCTGTACTAAAAATACAAAAATTAGCCAGTCATGGTGGTGCATGCCTGTAATCTCTGTTACTCAGGAGGCTGAGATGGGAGGCTCTCTTATACCCCAGAGGCAGAGGTTGCAGTGAGCCGAGATCACACCGCTGCACTCCAGCCTGGGCAACAGGGCGAGACCCTGTCTCAAGAAAAGAAAAGAGGGGTGTTTTTTGTTTGTTTGTTTGTTTTTTGTTTTTTTTTTTTTAAGTTGGAACATCGTCTTTAGAAGAAAAACAAAAGCAGTCAGAATTTATGAGTTTATCTTTGGCTTTCTCCCAATATTTTCCTCAGTCTTTCCTCATTTTCAATTCTTCTTATGACCTGCCTTCCAGATGCCTACAACCACATGCTGTTCTCAGATCCTAAAACACATTCAGACTCAGCCTTCAGTAGTTATATTCCAAGCAATCCAAAATAACCTTTCCCTGTTCCCCCAATAAAAATGTAAATTCCACAAGTGTATCAGATCTTATCAAGATGTTACAGAATTATTTGATTAAAAATTCACATGTAGATATTAAAAGTGGATAGAAAATCCCCAGGAAGTATGTTGCATTTTAAAATTGGATTTTGTTATCGTACTTATCTTTTTGGTAGATGATATATGGGCATGTCTGTGTCTGTGTGTTCCATTCCTTCTCCTTGTCCACTCAGTGATGAGACGTATGCTTCCTTTTGAAAGAAGAGGGCACATAACACTGCAAACTCTTTTTATATGTCAAAGTTGGTGATTCTTAAATTAGTGGAGTTCTTGAATTTTTTACTGGTCTGTGACAAAATGAGAAAAATAAAGACATTATAGTGCATTTTGATGAAGCCAAATTGATTCAGTTTGCAGAACTGTAATTTATTCTGTAATTTTTGTCCTGTTTTAATGAAATAATTCTTATGGTAGGAAGTCTTATTTTGGGTCTCCTAATCGTGACAAAGCAGTACTCTCTGTTGAGAAACTCTCAATTTAAAAAATTCCATAAAATGCTAAAGCTTTGCAACACAATCTATTCTGACCTCTTCAGAAGAAAATACCTTGTCTTATTCTGTATTATCTCCCTACTGCATAGCAAAGTGTCTGTCATATTATAGTGCCCACAATTTGAAGAATTGAATTATGAGATATGTAAAATAAGCCAAGCCTTTTAATGCTGTCCTTAGAGTTTATGCTGTAGTAGAACTGTATTAGCAGAAATTCTATCTGTACTACTTCATATAAACCCAATGCTGCATTGTAGGTACACCAGTACTCTCTATTTTTTTTTCCTATTGGAATTTTGCAGGAAGTTTCTTTACTTGGTTCCCAGAGACTCAGAGTCTATCCATATCTTCTCCATATCTTCATTGCTAGAAAACTATCCCTTAAAGCATGTTTAAAACTTTCCCCCGTTATTCTGAAACAGGTTCCAAGCCATCAAAATTGTGTGTCCTCTTAATCGATTGGACTGTTTTCTTATTTATCTTTATATGTAAATTGTACTAAATTTAACTAAAAGACAGGGGGTCTCATTTAAAATTCCTGTGGCTCATTAGCCAGATCCCATAGTATTGGAGGTACTTTTCAGGCAAGGTCTTTTCAATCCTGGGGAAGTGGAAAATAGACAATGTGGCTGGGTGCAGTGGCTC
This sequence comes from Homo sapiens, assembly GCF_000001405.40. NCBI lineage: Eukaryota > Metazoa > Chordata > Mammalia > Primates > Hominidae > Homo > Homo sapiens. Next base: position 147,970,689 of record NC_000003.12, read on the forward strand.
AAGCCTGTAATCCCAGCACTTTGGGAGGCCAAGGCAGGAGGATCACGAGGTCAGGAGTTCGAGACCAGCCTGGCCAATGTGGTGAAACCCCATCTCTACTAAAAATACAAAAATTAGCTAGACATGGTGGCACGTGCCTGTAGTCCCAGCTACTCAGGAGGCTGAGGCAGGAGAATTGTTTGAACCTGGGAGGCGAAGGTTGCAGTGAATCGAGATTGCGCCACTGCACTCCAGCTTGTGCAATAGAGTGAGACTCCATCTCAAAAAAAAAAAAAAAATAGACAATGTGTCTTGTTAGCAATGACTCATTTTCCCCTGAAAAACAGCATATGATCTGAGGAAATATCGGGAGTACAGTATGTATCTTACTCTATTTATTAGACTATTGTGTTTTCTCTAACTTAATAATTATATCCATATAACTTAACTTTTGCCAGGCGAGCTTTCTTGATTATCCCCTCTAAAAGAAAGCTTTCTTCCTTGAGTAGAACCCTGACCCCATAATATACACATTTTTGTCTTTTGTGATCATTTAAATATTTGCTTTTTCTTCATTTCAGCTAGTTTTATCCTTCAACAGTGGAGCAAAAAGTTCTTGCTTATGTATTTCTCTTAATTTTATTATTTATCTTTGAATTCTGCTCAGTCTGTTTGTCACTTCCTCCTGGTAGGAACAAGATCTCCATCCTCCAGGTTTCCCCTACCTGACACCATGGAACTACATAACAGTGATTATATTTAATGTAAACTGTCAGTGTAGAGGGAGGGGATGGATAAGACTGTGATTATTAGAATAGTGGCACAGATATCTAGCTTATTTATAACAAAGTATGAATGAATAGCAAAGATATTTTGCATAGTTCACTATCAGTGACTATTGGAGGTTCAACTATGTCTTTTTTGTCAGTGTCAGTGAATTAAAAATGCATCTATGCAAAATTCTGCTTCTGGTATAGTTGGCCTTTGCTCATTAATGACAAAGAGGACAGAACTATAGCATGAGTGACCATGGGAAAGCATAGTGTCTCAGTGTCCTTAAAATACAGGAAAAAGACCTTGAAATTTGAGACCTTGAGTTTAATTGTCTTTCAGCCTCACAGGACCGCCTACTTTATCAACACAAGCTTCTTCATATCAGGCTCTTTATTGCTTCCATGCCATTGTAATATGTAGTCCTTGAAATTATTGATAAACTCTAGGACTATTATCTTACTCCCCTAGACCAGGAGATATAGTTCAGATTTATGCCCAAATAGACATATCTATGCTATCACAAACATCTGTAGCTGGCAGTATATCTTCATGGCTTCCTTTTAAGCATGTACCTTTTATTCTGTCTAATGCACTTTCTCTATTCATTAAGCATGTTTACCATTATTTTTTTCATTAGCCACTTGATAAATATTTTCTATACTCAAATTCTGATGTCATATCAATAGTATTTTAAGAATATCTGCTTTCTTATTATCAAATAGATTTGAGAGGCCTTCTCTGTACTCATGATGATGCACACTTGAAACTGTAAAAACCTGCACATTCACATAAATGGTGAAAATAATAAGTAATTTCAGAATCATGACAATAATGTGAAGCTAGTTTTCTTAACTTTCATTCATTATGTTGCTTTAGCAATAGATTGTTTACTGTTTCCAGTTTCCAAAAACTCAATAGATCATTTTCTTGAGTAGGAAATGTTAGAAGATAACTTTCTAACTAAAAGATAATATCATGACTCTCATATAATATAAATTTAGCATATGTCAAAGATTTTAACTTATTAATCAATGAGAGAATAACACAGGTGCAAAAATATTTAAATTTGTCTTTTTTTTTTTTTTTTTTTTTTTTTTGAGACGGAGTCTCGCTCTGTCGCCCAGGCTGGAGTGCAGTGGCGGGATCTCGGCTCACTGCAAGCTCCGCCTCCCGGGTTCACGCCATTCTCCTGCCTCAGCCTCCCAAGTAGCTGGGACTACAGGTGCCCGCCACTACGCCCGGCTAATTTTTTGTATTTTTAGTAGAGACGGGGTTTCACCGTTTTAGCCGGGATGGTCTCGATCTCCTGACCTCGTGATCCGCCCGCCTCGGCCTCCCAAAGTGCTGGGATTACAGGCGTGAGCCACCGCGCCCGGCCATATTTAAATTTTTCTAAGTTTATAATCAGATAAGAAATATTGAAATACATTTATGAATGAATTCAGAACTGGCAAAATTGGTCAATATGCATAAGTTAATATACACTGGTCACATGCATTTCACCAGACACAGTTTATATATTTATAGACAGAAATTAGTTGTAATACTATTAGTTTTAGACAAGTTAATGCCTATTTCTACAAAGTTGTAAAATAGCCTAGTTGAAGACAAAGAAAAGTGCACACTCCTACTGGATGAGTTAATCAGCAGATGCTATGGTGTTCTCCATTGAAAAGATAAGTAGTAGCAGTCTCTTTCCTCTACTTCAAAGTCTTTTTTCTTCTCTTTGAGACAGGATCTTGCTCTGTCACCCAGGCTGGAGTGCAGAAGCGTGATCACAGCTCACCACAGCCTCAATCTAATGGGCTCAAGCAATCGTCCCGCCTCAGCCTCCAGAGTAGCTGGAACTACAGGCATGAGCCACCATGCCTCGCTAACTTTTAAATTTTTTTGTAGAGAAAGGGTCTACCTATGTTGCCCAAGCTGGTCTTGAACTCCTAGGCTCACAGAATCCTCCACCTCATCCTACCAAAGTGCTAGGATTACAGGTGTCAGCCACTACACCCAGCCTCAAAGTCTTCAATAATTTTTCTCTTCATTGTGATCTTAATAAACTCAAAGAAAGATTATTCTTTATCACAAAATAAGAATTGTCTCATTATATTTAGCCTGATTATTTGCATATATGCAGCAAGAGTAAAGTCCACAGCCATAAAGTATTGAGCAATCAGAAGGTTAACTTATTTCTAGAAGTTGTCATAAAGAATATCAGGTTGGATTTTAATTTTAAAATCCTCTCTTACTTACTACCCTGAAGGTAGGAAACCAAGTCTCAAAAGACTATCTATACCAGATTTCACCTGTAGTACATGTACATGTGGATGAATTTTCTCTCCTCTTCCTCTTCAAGTCCCCAAAATATTTGTAGTTTTTTTTTTTCTCGCATGCCTGATATGACCTTTCTTACCATTTGTAAATGTGACTCTATAGCCAGGTACCGGGCAGTTTCCCTGGGAGGACTTTGTAGGCATCAGTTTCACAGGTAAAGTCAATTATAGTTCTGTAAAAGTTGCTTGTCAACCTGATTAAATGAGCATTATTCTCAATTATAACACTCCAGGTGAAGCCTTGGTTGCATAGTCAATACTAAAAATTATATCTTGGTAGAAATGAGAACAGATTCTTACTGAACATATGTAAGTAACTGAATTAACATGAAAAGTTAGAAGCTGAAGAATTTCTGGAGGGCCCAATGGAAATAGATATTATTTTAAAATGTTTCATTTCAGATAACAAAAACAGAATTGATTAAATTGGTATGTTTCATTAGATTTTGGGTTATAAGTCTTGCGAAGCTGTTTTGTTCTTGACTCAACCCAGTCTGAATGTTGTATAAGTGATGTCATCAGAAGCCTTTACCCAAGAGTCTTTTCTCTGAATTGCCAATAATGTGAAGAACCTGCAATAGCCCTTTTTCATGGTGTTCCAACACCGTGGAAAAGGACTTTCCTGTCCATGTCAAAGTCTTTTTTTGTCAAATACAAAATCAGATAAGCATCTGAGTAAAATAAAGACTATTTGTAGATTACAGAGACTTAATGGCTATTGCTAATCTATTACTGAAATTTTTCAAATGTGAAAGGACTAATGAGAGTTCATAAAGAGAATCTGTAAGTGACAACAAATGTTGGTTGTTTCTGCAGCCTACAAAGTATAAAAAGAAAGCCATTCCAAAAAAATTTTAGACAAACTATCTCTAGAGATAACTGATAAGCCCATTTTCAAAAATTCAATACGTGTTACACCTGATTTATAAAAATAAACGAACATAATTTTCACAATGAATAATTCTGAAACATTATATACATAATATACAAAAATATACATAGAATATGAAGCAAATAGATTCAGTAAGTAAAGAGTAAGGCCTAAACATCTATATCTTTACAAAACTCCGTGGGTAAGTCTACCTTGTATCAACAATTGAGAACCACTTTTCTTGAAGATAGATTGAAATGAAAAAAGCAAGATTGTGGCCTAGTAAACAATTTAAATAATTTCTAAAATTATGACCTATAACACCACACTATTAAGTAATATCTTTAGGCAAACCAACAAGGCTACAAAAAGTATAGAAAAAAATAAACTGAACTATTTTATAAGACTTCGTATTAATGTTTCTTTGAGCATAAAAATGTATTATGGGCAGTCACTGAGGTACAGCAGATTCTCATTATTCATTGATTCTATATTTGTGAATTTGCATACTTGAAAGAATTTATTTGTAACCCCAAAATTATTAGTTGTGGACATGGACATTCCCAACTGAGGTCAAACAAGGCAACACTCTGCTCTCTTGTTTCAGCTCTCATACTGAACCGAGTGTCCCTTTCAAGCTCAATTTAATGTGAATCTTCTACCCACTAGATACCAGTAGTACTCCCCATGTACTGACAACTAAAACCATTTCTGGACATTGCCAAATTTGTCCCCAGTGGAGAACCACTGGTCAAATACTTTGTTTCAAATCTCAGTTTCCACCAGTAACTAAGTAATCTTGAGCAGGATACTTAACCTCAATATCCTCAGCTGTAAAATGGTCATAATATTGCTCCTAATGCAAATAATTATTGAGTAGATAAATGAGCTAATACATTTCAAGCTTGGAGTCCAACATCTTTGACATAATGCTTAAATAAATGAAAACTCTTATTATTTTATTATTGATTGTAGCTACTTAAAGGAATAAGTAATAATCAAAACAAACATTTGCATGCTACTTTGAAACACAGTGTTACTCCATCAAAAGCTATTTAGAAGGACTAATTAAACAAAAGTAGTTTTTTCCCTAGAAGGCCTACTTCAATTATTTTATTGACTTAATTCATTAAAGTCCATAAAGTTATAATGTTTTCCAAAGACTTCTTCAGGTCTGCAGTCTAATATATAAGATGCTTTAATTTTATGTGCAGGGTTGTCACTAAAATAACTCTTGTGAACTGCTAAATGTCCAAGACACCATTGCCTATTTCCCCATAGTTACGTAGTCTTCCCTAATAATAGATGCAAATTCTCTAGAGCAGATGTTGTGTCCTATTTATTTTCTATACAGTATACAGAACACTATGCCTTTTCATGAGCTTAATTCTGGTAGTATACCATCTTCTGGGAGAATCTTTTAGAATTGACATTAGCTCTTGAAGAGTCTAATTTATTATTTAAGTTACCTTAGCTATCTAAAAAAAATAAAATCTCAACACACATAAAAGAAAGAACATATGAAATAAAGAATGCTGTAAGATCTTTTCATTTCAAATGCTGCTTCCAGAGCATCTCTGTTTAAATTAAAACATATTTTTCCATTAGTATATATTAATACATTAGCCTAGTAAGGAGTACAAGATCTGGCAGGTTGGTGATGATGGAGCCCAAAAGAGAGATAAATACATTTTTATTGTATTTTTATTGTATTTATCTCTAGGCTAGGAAGGGCAGATCTCAGTAATTCAAGTAGGACCAACTGTAAACTTGTTTTCAGTTATGTCTGTCTGATATTTCCTCTGGGCATGGTGGGAAGCCTGGAGGTGCCCTATTCCCTGGGGTACTAGAACCCAAGCTGGCTGGTGGGCACAACCTCTGGAGCCTTGAATTGTAGATAGATTCTGGGAGAAGAGGAGACATTTGTAAGAAGTGGTATTTCATAAGAATTTTTAGGTTAATATTAAAAATAAATGATATAAAAAGAAATTTCCAAAATCAAACAAAGAAAACAATGAAGGACCAGCCAAGTGGGGATATCAAGAATTTCAGAATCCAAAGAGGTTAGTGTGGAGGAGGATGGAAGTTGTGACCTGGAGCAATTCTTGCAAGAGTTGGGGTATTCGCTTTTTTAAAAAATGGAGAGCCATGCTTCCTGGTGGAAATAAGGGTTGAAGGTCTACTTTATTCAACATTCAACATATGCTTATTGACTAGGTTAATATCAGTACGGCAATTTGTTAGGCGATAGTGACATAATGGAAAGTGTATTTAAAATTGGTTCCTGCTCTCATAAAGCTCTCAAGTAAGTAAAAGATATTGTTACATATTGTCAGATCAATACTGTGAAAAGAAAATAAATCTCAAGACCCCAAACTCACTAAGTCAAAGGGAAAAGTCAAGCTGGAACTGGGTCATGCAAACCTGCTTCCCATTTTGGTTCCTAAAGAAGATGGTTACAAAGATAAAGAGCTACATACTTCCCTCACATTTTGCCCACAGGAATTTCCTGTGGATCCCAAGATCTTTACACTAAAGTGTTTCTGTTAAAGTTCACTGTGGCAATGTAAATTGATAGCTTCTTCACAGGTGCAGGGACATGAGACAGAACTCAAAGTCATCCCTGTGCCTGTCTGAGACAAATGCATATCTGATTGTTTCTTCTGCTGTATTGTCTGCCACCAGACAAAGCGATGAATGACTGTTTTCCCTAACCCCTCCTCACATGAAAATTGTGTATTTCTCAATAGCTTGCCCTGTCCCCTTTAAATACTGAAGCCCTCAACATCATCTTCAGAGAAAGGCATAGACCTGTATCCTGGGCACACATCCTTAACTTTGGCAAATAGACCTCCTAAAATGATTGAGGCTTCCCTTGGTCACTTTTCTTGATTAACAATACCATATATTAATAAAGTTAGCTGCTCATTATGAAAATAACATTATTCTATTACAGTGGATTATAAAGAAAACTCACCTACATTGTAGTGATGATGGTGGTGATGTAGGGACAGAAATTAGGGAGGCTTGCCCAAGGAAGTAATATTTTTTTCTGAGATTCCATTAATGTGTGGGAATGAGCAGCATTCCAAAGAGAATTTAAGAGCACAAAGGCTGAGTGGAGGAGGAATGAAAAAGTGCTCAATATGTGAAAGATGGCCAGAAAGTCTAGAACAAGGAGATCCAGGAGAACAGATCTGTGATATGTCAAAGTAAGCAGAGGCCAGTCCATGCAGGAAGTCACAGGTCACTGGAAGGACCAGAGCCAGTACCTGAAGCTTATGAAATAATTATTGAAATTATTTAAGCAGAGAGTGAATGATCAGATTTGTAGTGTAGAGGCATCTGTTTTACAACTCTATGGTGATTAGATTGTAGGTGATATGACAGTTAATTTTATAAGTCAGCGTGATTAGGCCAGGGCATATCCAGATATTTGGTGAAACATTATTCTGAGTGTTCCATGAAGGCCTTGTTGGATGAGATAACATTGAAATCAGTAGAATGAGTAAAGCAGACTGCCCTCCCTCATGTTGATGTCCCTCATCCAATCCCTTGATGTCCTGTATGGAACAAAAGGCTGAATAAGGTAGAATTTGCTCTCTCTGACTATCTGAGCTCGTACATGGGTCTGCACTCACACTGGAACTTACTCCATCTGCTACCCTGGTTCTCAGGCCTTCTGACTCAGATGGGAGCTATACCATTGACTTTTTTGGGTTTGCAGCTTGCAGATTGCAGATCTTGGATTCTCACTCTCCGAAATCACATGAGCCAATTCCTTATAGTAAATTTCCTTATTCATATAAGTATAAATATGAATATAGACATATATTTATATTCATATTTACATATATAGACACATGTTTATATTCATACTTATACATATATATAATGAATATAAATATACCTCCTTTCTATTTCTCTAGAGAACCCAGACTAAAACAGGCACAAAGACAGGATAAGGAAAATTCTTAGTAGGCTATTATAGGACTTCATTTATGAGATGATGATGACGTGGATTAGAGTGATAGAGTTTATATGAAAAGACATGTATGAATTGGGGAGATAGTTAGAAGGTGTAATTGACAGGATTTGATGATGAATTAGACTTGGGTGTGATAGAAAGGAAGGTGTCACAGTTGGCTCATGGGATGCTCACATTGGGACCTGAAAGGATGGGTGTCACTGGTTAGGTCTAATGGAGAAGATCGCAGCACAGTTTGAGGTATTGAGATACCAAATGAAGGCGTCTAAAAAATAGGTCTGGCCTGGACATATAAACTTGTGAATCTTTACAGATGTCAATTGAAACTATGGACTTAAATGAGATTTTTAGAGACAGACAATAGAATTTAAAAAAAAAAGAGGACTAAGACTGAGATTTGAGGAATTCCTAAATTTAATAACTGAGCTGAAGATAGGAAGCTACGAAAAGAGAAAGAAAATGGGTAGCCAGAGAGATAAGAGAAAGACAAGCAACGTTTGCCACCACATAAGAAAAAAGTATTTTGGATGAAGAGAGAATGTTGCCAGAACAAACTATGCTGAAAAGTTCGGTGAAGACAAAGATTTATTTTGATATTAAAGCTATTGTTATCCTCAGGGAGATCTTAGAAAGAGCTATTTTGCTGAAGGGAGAGGTCAGGTTTCTGAGGGTTTTTGAGTCAAAGGGAGCCAGAAACAGTTTCAGTCAGGAGTTTGGTTGTAAAGAGTGTTAGGGTCCTACTAGGAGAGGGATGTGGGTCATAAGAAATTTATTAAAAATTAGGCTAAAGACAGTGCAGCAATTCCTCAAGGATCTAGAACCAGAAATACCATTTGACCCAGCAATCCCATCACTGGGTATATACCCAAAGGATTATAAATCATTCTACTATAAAGACACATGCACACATATGTTTATTGAGGCACTATTTATAATAGCAAAAACTTGGAACCAATCTAAATGCCCATCAATAATAGACTGGATAAAGAAAATGTGGTACATATACACCATGGAATACTATGCAGCCATAAAAAAGGATGAGTTCATGTCCTTTGCAGGGACGTGGATGAAGCTGGAAACCATCATTTTCAGCAAACTAACACAAAAACAGAAAACCAAACACTGCATGTTCTCACTTATAAGTGGGAGTTGAACAATGAAAACACATGGACACAGGGAGGAGAACATCACACACCAGGGCCTATCGTGCGGTGGGGAGCTAGGGGAGGGATAACATTAGGAGAAATACCTAATGTAGATGACAGGTTGAAGGGTGCAGCAAACCACCACGGCACATGAATACCTATGTAACAAACCTGCACATTCTGCACAGGTACCCCAGAACTTAAAGTATAATAACAATAATAATAATAAGTTAGGTTAAAAGAGGCTTGAGTACATTTAAATATGAATAGAAAAGACTTGCTTGCAAGGAAAATCTAGAATACAAAAAGAATGTCACCGAGAATAGAGAATTACTTAGGATGCTCCTGGAGGATCTTTTGGAATCAGAAGTAGATTACTGAGATGCTATTGAAGCTTGCAGGCAGGTATATTTTTGGCCAGCTTTTGAAAATTTTAAATTTGTTGTTGTGATTTCATTTATTATTATTCATAAACATACAGTAGTTTTAAATTTTATATTCATAAGTTTGTGTGATTATTCTTAAAGAGGACGTCCCTAATTATATAATCATTAGACCACACATATGCTGGATCCACCCTTTTTGGCAATTCAATTTTTGATTACCTTAATCATGCTTCTCCACAGAACTTACTAAAATAGCAGAGTTTACAGTCTGAATGTGTTTCCTCTGCTTTGATTTCTAGAATCTACTTTCCTCATTCTAATGGTCTGTTATTTTTGCTTGGGTTACCTTCCCTTTAAGTAGAACTAAGTACAGTATTTTACAGGAATCCTCCAGAGAGCAGTTTTCCTGGAAGTTTTCTTTAACATACATTGACAATTCTGTAAGCTCAGCCAGAGCTTTGAAAGTGAAAGATCTTGGGCCCCAGTTCAGTAGTTTCAGAAGCAAGGCATCCATATAGTGTAATAATTTGCTGGTACCTGAGCAGTAGGAGGAATGGAAAGAGAAAGAACACTGGATGGGTTCATCACATAGGGAGGAGGAACCTGTAAGTCCAATCCAAAATGCTAGCTGATGTTTTCAAAGTGAGATGGCAGCAAAGAGATCTGCTTTATCATTGACATCTACTATTTTATTTGTAAATCTGATACTCTTATACTGAGAACTGAGATCAACAATCTGCAGAGTAATGTTAGCAAGTCCTTTAGCCCTTTATACAGGAGACAACATATATTTCCAGACACTTCAGACATCACAGAGGAATACTACTTCTATCTCCACGTGCCTTTCAGAATTGCAACAGTTCTTCCATGCGAAGCAGCAGCCAGGAATGGCCCAGGAAAACTTACAGGTTCACCTACCTCTCTACAGCTTCCCTTTCTCTATTCCTTATTCATCTGAGACCTTTCCTTTATCCAGTCAAAAAGAAGGAGCACATAAAGAGTGTTTTTCATGGGAACTTCACTTTGGAATGTTACAATATTTGAAAATAACTAAAAGCTCCACGTAAAGTACTATATATTTTAAAAAATACTTTTGAAGTGGAAAGAATTATTACTAGACTATCTAGGAGGGCAAACAGCAATGTATTTAAAAGTGTATGTATCAAATGGGCATAACTATTTTTTAAATCTATTTATCTATAATCTATCTTTTGATTTAATCTTTCTATCTATCTTTCTATCTTTCTACCTATCATAAGCAAGATGCCTGTTAGTGTCACGGTGTCAGATTTTGGGTGAGACTTTCTTGTTCTTTGACTTTTCCTTCCCTGTTTCTACCCCTCTAGGCTGTGCCTCTTCCTGTGCTGTCAAGTCTTTAATTTATCCTTGTACCTTCAGTGTCTACGGTGTCTGTCATACAGTAAATATTCAGTACATTGACTAAGTAAATTGATTTTTTTCTTTTTTTTTTTGAGACGGAGTCTTGCTCTGTTGCTAGGCTGGAGTGCAGTGGCGCAATCTCGACTCACTGCAACTTCTGCCTCCCGGGTTCAAGTGATTCTCCTGCCTCAGCCTCCTGAGTAGCTGGGACTACAGGCACATGCCACCATACCCAGCTAATTTTTATATTTTTAGTAGAGACCAGGTTTCACCATGTTGTCCAGGATGGTCTCAATCTCTTGATCTCGTGATCCGCCCACGTTGGCCTCCCAAAGTGCTGGGATTACAGGTGTGAGCCACTGTGCCAGGCCAAATTGATTATTTCTAAATGTTTTTTAATATCTAATGAACAACACTACTACATAAAATGCTTCTATTATATTTTTGATTAATCATTAAACATGTTCTTTAATATCATAATCCTAAAAGTATTGACTACATCTTTTTCATTTTGTTAAATGAAATAAATTCCTTTTTTCCTCTATAAGATGTACATACACACTGGAATCTCAAGACATTATGCAAGCATGAATACCCATGCTTTAAATTTTGAAGTATTGCATAGCTTATTTCTTTAGTTAATTACCTATTCATTGAGGTAATATCAGATGTATTAGTAAGGACTCTTTGGGGTCCTTAAATCAACTTAAGAAAACAACAAAAAAAAAGATTTATAGTTTCATGTAATTAAAATTCTAGGAGTAAATCAGGCATACTTCAGACACACTTGGATCCAGGGTGTCAAATTGTATCATTTACAATCACTTCTCACCACCCTGCCAACCCATCTTTTCTCTCTCTCTTTTTCTCCTCTCATCCTATTCCTTGTTCCTCAGCCTTTTTTATGTTGGTCTTGCTTCTCCTACCAAGTGTTTCCTTTAGGTATATAGCAATATGTAGTATTGTCTTGGAATCCTAATATATATATGAAATTTCTACCCAATCTATCCTTGTATTGTGAGCACAATTTAGTTAAAATTACATTATGAGAATTTCTTCATATCACTAAATATTCTGTAAAAATTTTAAAATTCAACTTTTATAAATTATTGCCTTTTAAATTTAATTGTTTAAAAACTCTTCCTTTTATATTGAAGAAGCATTACTTTTTAAATTACAATATACTGATTAATTTTTGGCTTCTTGTTGACTTACAGGCATTTTTTTTCAGTGAGGAATTTTAAGAAGAATATAAAAGCTGAAGAGTCATAATATGCTATTCTTTGTATATGAAAATGGCAGTCCTGACCTGCCATTAGTCGGGGCACTTATGGCTGTGATAGATTTTTTTGGGTCCATCTGCCTTTGTTTCCAGGCACCCCAGGCTTCTCAGGACGAAAAGCGTAATCGGTGACCTCAGAACAGAGCAACGCTAATGAGGATGACCCTGACCTCGGGAGAATAGTGTTCTGACCCTCTGACCCAAACAAAAATTAGAAAAGCTTGGGCAGTACATTTAAGAGTAACTTTGGGATTAGTTCTATGAGTATAAAGATAAATGAGAAAATAAATTCTACTCACAAGTAGAAAGACTTAGGTAATTGTGTAATATTTGAAACACAAAACTTAAACTGAAAACTATTACACTAGTAAATTGAATTACATTATCATTCCTTTTAACTAACATCAGAATTACCTCTCCTTTGATGTTTCCTTAGTTAATAAGAACCAAATCTTATTATAATAATTAAAGCTACTAGAAAATGCTTTAAGCCTTTTTCTTTTTCAAAGATGCATTTATTAGGTCTATTTGAAGAATATACTGAAATTGTACTCTCTTTAGAAATTTTGAAATATCATTTTTATCAATTGATGTATATTTAGATTATAACTGAGTAGAATCAAAGAATTCTTTTCACTACATGTTATGAAGAAGACCCTCTTCAATCGTAATTAGACACCTACCATGCAGCTTCTCTGTTAATGCTGGTAATTCTGAATTTATATCTTGAATTTGTATTACTACAATGCTTGCATAATAAATTCATTAACACATTAATTATTTGATGGTGTATGGAAGGTGTATTAATAGCAGAAATTGAAAATGTGCTATGCCTAGATACAAATTATGTGAAAACAGACAGAATAAAGTTATTGCTCAGGTTCGTTTTTACTTTGGTAAGAGGTAGGGTTAATTTTCATGATAAATCATAGGCAGTTACATGCAACGTATTTTTTGGCCATTGAGATAAGAAAGGGAGCTGTGAGTTGGTCTGAGGGGAAAAATCATGATCTGTATTTTTCTCTTTTAAAAAATAAAACAGGCCAGGCACGGTGGTTCATGCCTGTAATCCCAGCACTTGGGGAGGCTGAGGTGGGTAGATCATCTGAGGTCAGGAGTTCAAGACCAGCCTGGGCAACATGGTGAAACCCCGTCTCTACTGAAAATACAAAATTAGCCGGATGTGGTGATGTATGCCTGTAGTCCCAGCTACTTGGGAGGCTGAGGCAGGAGAATTGCTTGAACTCAGGAGGTGGAGGTTGCAGTGAGCCAAGGTTGGGACATTGCACTACAGCCTGGGCAACAAGAGCGAAACGCCATCACACAAAAAAATAAATTAATTAAATTAAATTTAAAAAATTAAAAAAAAAAACAATATGGGGGTGGTGAAGATGGTTAACGGGTACAAAATATAGTTAGAAAGAATGAATAGGACTTACAAATTTGATAGCACAATAGGGTGACTATTGTCAATAATAACTTAATTTTACATTTTAAAGTAACTTAAAGACTGTAATTGCATTGTTTGTAATTCAAAGGATAAATGCTTGAGGGGATGGATACTCCATTCACCATGCTGTGCTTATTTCACATTGCATGCCTGTATCAAAACATCTCATGTACCCCATAAATATACACACCTACTACGTACCCACAGAAATTTTAAAAATAAAATAAATAAATAAATAAAACAACTGCCCCAATGAATCCTGGTTGCACCGATCCACTATTTGTACAGATTTTTTTTTTTTTTTTTTTTTTTCCAAAAAATGGCCGCTTCAGTTCTGGGTTGCCTGACAGTATACGAATGCAAGGCACTTTTTGACAGCAGGCATCAACTTTCAGCTAAGACATAAAACCAGAGTCCTGGTACTTTCTGGAAGAGTGAAGGTGCTAGCTCCACTGTCTTGGACAAATTTCAATTTGGATAATTGCATTCTGTCCTTTAAAGGCCCCTGGTTGGTTCAGTTCAATGAGGAGGTCTTCGCTTCCTGCCTGAACAGTTACAGAATGTGGCTGTGCTCTGGGAAATGGTTGCTGGGTTTGTTCTTTAGATGAGTGAATGTCAACACTGCAACACACACACACACACAGACACACACACACACAAATATATGAGTGGTGAATTGAAATCTCCATATGAAAGACATGCTTCTGCACACTTTTACATTTTCATAAAACTAGATCCCATTGTGTCACTGATACGGAAAAGGATCTTTTTTTATTAGTATGCAAAAATATTCCAGTTATTGAAGTCAATTTTTTTTTTAATTTTAAGATTAAATTATAACTAAAGTCATAATACACAAAATAAAAGAATAACTTATTAGGAGAGAAGAAATGTGTTGGATGCCCCATCTTGTGGCTTTAGCAGTAGCCCAATTGATAAACACATTACTGTGACTTACATTAAGAAAGCTTCAACATATGTGCAGCAATTTTTAAAGGAGACTTCCAGTAACCTCTAACTACTCCAGGTTACTATTGACAATAAGAAGAGTAGGATTTTAGAAGTCTCCCTAAAGAGAGTAATAGCAGGATTTAGTTCCTAGTGGATTACAGCCCACATTATGAAACTGCTGCACATTTGGCACAATTATGCACCACTGGCAGCCTTTTCTCAAAGGAAGCCTCATGTTAAATGAACACTTAGAATCATTTTGGAACTCATGCATCTTGCAGCTAATACTGTGCTAAGTTAAGCAGCTAACACTATGCCCATCTGGAAGAGAGAGAATATTAGGGCTGCAATGTCATCAGTCCTTTCCCCTTAAAAGCTTTGATTTCATTAAAGGTGACCTGTCAAAGTGCTTTAGAAAATGACATACTCTAAAAAATGTGCTGAATAGGACAGAGGAGCATTCAGTACATAAATTACTGTCTTTCCTATAGTTGTTTTTAGAATTTCCCAGGATTATGCAGGTGGGCCATTTCTCTCTTTTGGGGTACTATGAAGACAGTCTAGAAGATATTCAGTGGTCACCAAAGGGTTGAGTAATGCACCTTTGCAATAGGATGTACTGGCCGTTACTCTCCAATGTGTGGTTGGGATGGTAAATTACCAGAGGAGAATTTGGAAACCTCAAAAACAAAATTAAGGCTTCAATTCTCTTCTAGAACTAAACATTTGGGAAACTGAATTTCAAAAAATAAGCATAGTTTTATTTCATAGTGTCGCTACTCTCACCACATAAAGGGGCTTTAAAAACTCTGCCACAAATATTTTACAAAAAAAAAAAAATGCAATCACACAACCATATGTCATGAATTCTAACATCAGCCACTTCACAATAATACCTGTTTGGAACATGGTACAACATGTGAATCAAGCAAATAAGACTCCTCCAAAGAAAACCAATTAGGAAAAGTTCAAATTGACTATTTCTTATCAAAAAGCCTCTGCTCAGGGATAATTTATTTAAGTTATTTTTAAAAATAATTTATTTTTACGTAATTCTCTGTGCCCTGGACTCAGTTATCCCTGAGTAAAATTTAGAAAGAGCAAATGACAACAAGGGCTGCCAGCACTAAGCCTATGAATATTAGTGAAAAAACTATAGCTTTCAAAATTTCAAAATCCACAGCTGCCTTTAAAATTTTTTTTCTTTTGCCATCAGTACATTTCAGATTTTATTTTATTTTATAAAGTAAAATAATGTTGACCACCATAGTTTGTTTTTTTCTTATGTTTGTGTATTAGTTTTACAAATACAGAGTTGGAATTGTCATGTAGGTTTAGGTATGTTATACACACAAGTTTCAAATACCCATGTAGACTATTAGTCTGTTCCTCAGTATACTTAACCATTCAAGAAGAATAGTGTTATTTCATAGGCATAGATAAAAAGCAAAGTTGAATTTCATACTTTGACACATTCTGAGTGTATCACTATTATTATTATTATTTTTCTGAGACAGTTGTTCTCTGTCACGCAGGCTGCAGCGCAGTGCATGATCACGGCTCACTGCAGCCTCAATCTCCCAGGCTCAAGTGATTATTCCAGCTCAGCCTTCTGAGTAGCTGGAACCACAGTTACTTTTATTTTGTATTTTATTTTTTTTTTTGTAGAGATGAGGTCTCCCTGTGTTGCCCAGGTTGGTCTCGAACTCCTGGGCTCAAGAGATCTTCTTGTCTCAGCTTCCCGAAGTGCTGGGATTATAAGCCTAAGCCACTGTGTCTGCCCTTACAATTCTTGTATAATAATACTTATTTTTATTTAACCGAGTAAAATAAAACAAATAATCTTAACTGAGCAAGACTATGTTTAGAAAGTCAAGAGATGGTTTTTATTTTAAAAATATTTTCATTTGAATTAATTAAATTTTAAACTGTTAACTTTATGGTGAATTTTCTGCTGTTCTGAAAATGAACCTACCAAGAACTTCATAATCAAGGGTTCTAGGTAGCTTGCATTATACTCCACAAAATATTTTTGCTAATTTCTGTCTTTTAATAGAACCTAGGATAGTATAAAGTTAAAAAAAAAAGCCATGACCACCATAGTTATTTGCTTTTCTCTTATACTCTATTAATTTTTAAAATACAGACTGAAAACTATAAGCAGGTTTTATGTTTTTAGATTTTTTCATAATTTATGAATATGTTCTCTTCATCATTTTGATTTGAAACCTTTATTTGTGTTTTAACTATCAATTTTATTTTTTTCTGATGCTTTCTTCATATAACCTCTTTCCAAATTATGACACAAATTTATATTATTGCAATTACAAAATTATTTCACAAATGCATGCTCATTGTAAACACTCTAAATATTAAGAAGTTAATAAAATAATAAATAAAAGTCCTTTTTTGTTTTTTTGAGACAAGGCTGCAGAGAACTGTGCTGGGACCACTGCATTCCAACCTCACTCTGCCACACAGGTTGGAATGCAGTGGTGTAAACACCATTTACTGCAACCTTGACCTCCTGAGCTCAAGTGATCTTCCTGCCTTGGCCTCCCAAGTAGCTGGGACCACAGATGCATGCCACTATGCCTGGCTAATTTTAAAATTTTTTGTAGAGACAGGGTCTCTCCATGTTGCCTAGGCCGGTCTTGAACTCCTGGGTTCAAGCAGTCCTACTGCCTCAGCCTCACAAAGTTTGGGATTATAGGTATGAGCCACTGTGCCTGGCCCAAAAGTCCATTTTTAATCCTTTTTACCCCTTTTTAATCTTTTTTCTATTATTAGGTTTTACAAGAATTCTCAAAGTGCAAAGATGACATGACACTAGCAAGGGGGGAAGATTAATTTGACTTCCACCAGATTAAAAAAAAGTTTAATGTTAGAAATTGAAAAAATATTAAAATAGAAAACATTAACAAAAGAGTGGATAAGGGCTAGGTATATACAATTAACATAAACATCAATATAAATATTTAATAAAGTATAAAAAAGTTTAACCTCACTAATAAAGAAGTGAATATCAAAATGCTCTCACTGAAACTATTGTATTGGAAAATTCCAATGTTGAATAGAGTTTGAAGATACTGAAGCTTTCTTATTTTCATGAAATAAGCACAAATTGGTGAAAACTTTCCAGACTCTAAACATATTCCAGAATCTAAAGACTAATTTGATAATATGTAAGCAAAACTGAAAAATACCACACGATTGATCCAGTTCCACTTGAAAGAATGTACTTTTATGGAATAATCAGAGACAGAAAATGATTTATATATAATTGTGTCCGGAATTGGTGGGTTCTTGGTCTCACTGACTTCAAGAATGAAGCCGCAGACCCTCGCAGTGAGTGTTACAGTTCTTAAAGGTGGCGTGTCCGGAGTTTCTTCCTTCTGATGCTCGGATGTGTTTGGAGTTTCTTCCTTCTGGTGGGGTTCGTAGTCTCCCTGGCTCAGGAGTGAAGCTGCAGACCTTCCTGGTGAGTGTTACAGCTCTTAAGGCGGCCTGTCTGGAGTTGTTCCTTCCTCCCGGTGGGTTCGTGGTCTCCCTGGCTTCAGGAGTGAAGCTGCAGACCTTCACGGTGAGTGTTGCAGCTCATAAAGGCAGTGTGGACCCCAAGAGTGAGCAGCAGCAAGATTTATTGCAAAGAGCGAAAGAACAAAGCTTCCACAGAGTGGAAGGGGACCCGAGCGGATTGCCACTGCTGTCTCAGGCAGCCTGCTTTTATTCTCTTATCTGGCCCCACCCACATCCTGCTGATTGGTCCATTTTACAGAGAGCCAGTGGTCTGTTTTGACAGGGCACTGATTGGTGTGTTTACAATCCCTGAGCTAGACACAAAGGTTCTCCACATCCCCACTAGATTAGCTAGATACAGAGTGTGGACACAAAGGTTCTCCAAGTCCCCACCAGAGTAGCTAGATACAGAGTGTTGATTGGTGCATTCACAAACCCTGAGCTAGACACAGGGTGCTGATTGGTGTGTTTACAAACCTAGATACAGAGTGCCGATTGGTGTATTTACAATCCCTTAGCTAGACACAAAGGTTCTCCAAGTCCCCACCAGACTCAGGAGCCCAGCTGGCTTCCCCCAGTGGATCCCGCACCAGGACTGCAGGTGGAACTACCTGCCAGTCCCGCGCCGTGCGCCTGCACTCCCCAGCCCTTGGGTGGTCGATGGGACTTGGTGCCTTACAGCAGAGGGCAGTGCTCGTCAGGGAGGCTCCGGCCGCACAGGAGCCCATGGAGGCGGTGGCTGGGAGGCTCAGGCATGGCGGGCTGCAGGTCCCGAGCCGTGCCCCGTGGGGAGGCAGCTAAGGCCCGGTGAGAAATCGAGTGCAGCGCCGGTGGGCTGGCACTGCTGGGGGACCCAGCACACCCTCCGAAGCCGCTGGCCCGCGTGCTAAGCCCCTCATTTCCTGGGGCCAGCAGGGCCAGCCGACCACTCCAAGTGTGGGGCTGCCGAGCCCACACCCACCCGGAACTCGAGCTGGCTCGCAAGCACTGCATGCAGCCCCGGTTCCTGCCTGCGCCTCTCCCTCCACACCTCCCTGCAAGCTGAGGGAGCCGGCTCTGGCCTTGGCCAGCCTAGAAAGGGGCTGCCACAGTGCAGCGCCAGGCTGAAGGGCTCCTCAAGTGCCGCCAAAGTGGGAGCCCAGGCAGAGGAGGTGCTGAGAGCCAGCGAGGGCTGTGAGGGCTGCCAGCACGCTGTCACCTCTCACAATGATTTTAAATTAAAAATAGTACAATAGTACATATTAACAATAGTACATTAATTCAAATTTATCACAAGTACATCAGTAATACTGATGTAACATTACATTGCCTTTACAAAATAGTATAATGATACAATAAATTATTAACCAGCAGATTTCTGAGAGACAGCATAAAGAGTAAAAGAAGGAAAAATAGGTCACCATCCCAAAATATGCAAGAAGAAAGAGACTGAAACAAAATATTACAAAATAATTGAGTGATGGATTTTTCGATCATTTTTTATTTTCTTTTTTAACTATTTTATAGTTGACAAACTTTTTACAAATAACATATTCACCAAGTCAGAAAAAGATTTAAATATTAGAATTAATAAACATGTTGGATTAGAACACAGGAGATAAAAATTTTAAATTTTCTGTTTCAAACTATCCTTCTATTCTGTATCTCCATGAGTTCAATTGTTTTGATTTTTGGATTCCACAAATAGGTGAGAACATGTGATGTTTGTCTTTCTGTGCCTGGCTTATTTCACTTAACATAATGACTCCAGTTCCATCCATGTTGTAGCAAATGACAGAAACTCATTCTTTTTTATGGTAAATAATACTCCATTGTGCATTTTCAAACACTTTGATTTACAGATTAAATTGTAATTTAAGTGTATTGAAAATTCTCAGCTGTGATAATTCAAAGTTTTGTTGTATAGTCCAAGTACCACAAGTAAAATTACAAATTGAGGAACCCAATTCTTAAATAAAAAATAAAAGGGGCATCAGCTGATAAATTTCTGCTGGCAATAAGAGAGAGACCTGACTTTTATTATCAAAGTATATCTGAAAACCGCAGAACTAAATGGTTACCTGAGTGGAAGTCAGAGTTTGAGAGCATTAATTTTGTTCCAGTTGCTAAGACAACCTTTTCTTTTCACTATATGCTCAGATGATGGCTCATGTAGAACCTGCCTTTTAGAATGCCTGGACTCCACTCCAACTTTCTGACACCCCATGGACAGAGGAATGGACAAAATAAGAGCAACAAAAATGGCAAATACAGCTATGTATATTTAAATGTAACCTCAACAAATTATAATATGGCAGAATATTGACATGTATCATCAAATCCATATTAAATAGCAGTATGTTAGATTTTATGTATATAAAATAGAAACTTTAATATTTACCTATATATGCAAAATCAAATTTCAAAAATATATTTTAAATCAAATTGTTATTTAAAGCACATGTATTTTAAATTTCCAAAATATCTTTTAGAAGATATTTCATTTAAAATGGTAAATGCATTTCATTAAAAATGTTCCATATAGTTTTTCATCTCATGGTCACCAAATAAAAACCTGAAATTAAACTTTTTAGAATTTTGAAGGTGAACACATTAATGTGGTCTGGATTACGTCAAAATGCATTTTACAATTACAGATAGTCTTAGTTACATATCTAATCTATATCTCTCTAGGCACAAAGCTGTAGTTTTTACTTTCTCACTTATGAAATTTTTGTGTGTGAGGTATCCAAGATATTACAGAATGTATAGAAAAATGTATTTGCAGGCCGGGCACGGTGGCTCATGCCTGTAACCTCAGCACTTTGGGAGGTGGGCAGATCATCTGACGTAAGAAGTTCGAGACCGGCCTGCTCAACATGGTGAAGCCCGTCTCAAATAAACATACAAAAAATTAGCGGGGCGTGGTGGTGGGCGCCTGTAATCCCAACTACACGGGAAGCTGAGGCAGGAGAATCGCTTGAATCCGGGAGGCACAGCTTGCAGTGAGCCAAGATAGTGCCACTGCACTCCAGCTTAGGCACCAACAGTGAAACTCCATCTCAAAAAAAAAAAACAACAAAAAAAAAGAAAAATGTATTTGCGAATAAATACTGCAACTTTGATGTGAGATCAATAAAATGTTATTTTGGGTTCCATTTATTGGAATTGTGATTCAGAAAAGGCCTCAGGATTGCTGGTATCTTTAGGAAGTCAGTAATTCTTCCTTATCCAACTTTACCAGAAAGGGAAAGCTAAGGCCAATTAGAGACCTTTAGTATTTATATACATAATATTAGAGAATGTAGTTTCTATCTGTAGGCAAATGAAATACCTAATGTCATACTCCAGAATTACACATATTTATCCATCCAAAGACATAATTAGTTCAAGGATAACTCTGCCCTATCTAAACTATATGGCTTAGAAGAGCAGAGCTAAATTTATTCTTACTGTGGGAAACTTTCTTACCTTTCCAAACTTGTTAATTTGGTAAGTCACTCCTTTATAAGAAGGGGAAGTGAATGGCAGGGAGTAGGGGAGATGGGCCAGTACTGTCACTTTAGTAGGCCCTCTTTCCCATGGATGAAAACATCAGGAGTGGGAAACAAGTTACCCTCCCTAACACTCCATAATATGAGTCTCACAGGATGAGATTTAAACCCAGTTTTTCTACTTCCTCCTGAGAGAACATGGAAAAATTATTTTTTCGCTCTATGCCTTATTTTTACATCCATATTGTAGAAATAAGAACAGTTCCAATTGTTATTAGAACAATTAAGGTTATATAAAAATATTTAGCATTACTTGACACTGGTATATTTAAAAGTTTTTATCTGTTTTATTATAACTACCACTACTAATGAGTAATTAAAAGCATTAGGCGAATTAATGTAGTTACAGATATTTTTTATTTACTTGTTCAAAGACTTTAGTAGCATGTATTTTAAATAATTAATAGTATAGTAATAAATGGTCCATATCTATTTATTATGGCCCATTGGGAAAAAACTGATTCTTAAGTGCACTTCATTAAAACTAGTTTGTATATCTAGAGTAGGAGGATTTTAACTGAGGTAGAAAAATATGTTCAAGGTCTTTACAAAAGAGAGGCTCATAACTGTGAGATATCACATTTCTGATACGGGGGTCCACGTTGTCCGTGTGTTAAGTTTACTACCATACTGATTTAAACACCTACTACTGAAAAAAAATACTGAAACAAATGTTTAAAACAGCAATTTTTGTAGTTACAGAAAATAGTAGGTTAAAAAAGTGATAAAATAGAGGTGTGATTGAACCTAGTAAAATGATTAAAGAGATTTAGGAGTCTTTTAATGCAATAATTCTGAGGGATTCTAGATTCTGTATTGATCACATAGTGTACATTGACCTTCTAGAACCCATGACCTCTGCTTTCTAAGAGAATTTCCTTTTCATCCTCCCTGTTCACTGCACCAGGTGTTCATCAACATTGATTTAACACACCACCATCTAAAAGATGTGATAAGTTGGTGTTTATACCTGTCAAGGGACCAAGGAGATAAAAACTAGGCATCACCAAAAGGTGTAATTTTAGATTGTTGGATACCCCTGCATTTTTCTTAATTATTTCTGACATTTTATCTATTTCACCACGAGCTTCCTTGGAGGATACAGATAAAGAAAAAAATGTTCTTCATGACCTAGAAGAAGAAATACATCTTCTCTTAATAAATCCCACCTGAAATCATGTAGGGGAAGGAAAGAAGGAACAACAGTTAACATTTATCACTCGTACTGTTTCATTTGCTAAATTCTTCTTGGAACCTGAAAGATGGTTTCTTTTCAGCCTGAAGGAGATTTCAGATAAAATGTGAGGGTTTGAGAAAAAGAGTTTTGGATAACTATATGAGAATCTGTGCAAGGGGATACTGAAATGTGGAAGCTGCATGCTCTGCCTGTCCTCATTCTAAGCTCTCTGAAGATAGAATAGTCTTATGTTAATTGGCATATCCCTAGCACTTAGCATGGTTTCTGGCACATAATAAGTATTCAGTAAGTATACCTTGAAATACTTTGAGTTTCAAATGACATTTTAATTAAGATACCATGAATTCTTCCAAATATTAATGTGCTGAACAAAAAGAATAATCAGCATAAATTAGGCATAAAGAGAGAGTGTCTATTGCATACCACTCATTTTTGTGCCTGGTGTGAAAGTTACTCTTTGTGATATGTAATAGAGAATGTTGTTGAAGCTGGTTCAAAAATTAAAAGTGTTAAGCAAATAGTCAAAGGCAAAGGCAGGCAGAGTGCAGTGGTTTCTGCCTGTAATCCCACTGCTTTGGGAGGCCAAGCTGAGAGGATCACTTGAGGCCAGAAGTTCAAGATCAGCCTGGCAACATAGCAAGATGCCATCTCTACAAAAAAATTAAAAAATTAGATGGGCAAGGTGGTGTACACCTATAGTCCTAGCTACTCAGGAGGCTGAGGCAGGAGGATCCCTTACGTCCAGGAGTTCAAGGCTATAGTGAGCTATGATTACACCACTGCACTACAGCCTGGGTAGCAGAGTGAGAACCTGTCTCCAAAAACAAACAAACAAACAAACAAACAAAAAAGAGGCAAAGGCAAAATACATGTCTTGTAGATTGTATTTGCTTTTCTTGGCTTGAGAGGGTATGAAAGATGGCATAAACTTTTCAAAGGTGGCCCCCAGAGAACTATGGCTCCTGGTATTAACATATTTGTGTAGTCTCCTCCTCCATTGCATCTAGGTAGACCAAATAAAATAAATAAAAGGCAGTAAAAGTAACTCGATGTGACTTTAAGGGTGGATCATAAGAAGCCTAGCAGTTTCCTTCTTGCTCTCTTAGAAGGAGCACTCTTGGGGAACCAGCCACCAGGCAAGAAGACTCACTATCTGAGACTGCCATACTGTAAATAAGTCCAAGCTAGCCACATGAAAAAGCTGCATGGGGAGATGGAGATGCCCAGTCTGTCTCCTAGTATTCTAGCCTTCTCAGCTGAAGCACTAGACATGTGAGAGAAGAAACCATCTCAGATATGCAGCCCAGTCAAGCTTTCAGATGACTCCTGTGCTGCCATCTGACTGTAACCACATGAGAGACCCCAAGCAAGATCCACATACTGAACTCAGTCAATTCATAGAATTAATTTTGGGGTGGGTTGTTACATAGCAACAGAAACTTGAATAATTTCTTATAAAATCATCGGAGTATAGTGGAGTTCAACCATATTCATGGATTATCATTTATTAGAAAGAATTCCGGATGATCGTAAAACAATCTTCTGAATTAAAACATAATGAATTAAACCAAATACGCGAGTAGTCATGCTCAAGCTTGGAAACCTTCTGCTGGAACTTGAAATGGGAAGGGTGAGTAGTAAAGGGATAGTTTAAGGAAGTTTCAATTACCATTAATCAGAATACACTCATACCATGCTTCTCCGGCCCAGTAGTACATAGCGGTACAATAGATCAGCAGGTTTTCACAAGCATAGGTTATAAGTGTAGGTGTAACTAAGGAAGTTTCATTTAATATTTAATTACATTTAATATCAAGATCATATTCAATATTAAACTGATATTAATTAAATACCTTAATTATAATTATTTTCTATTTCTATATGGCGTCTGGAGATTTCAGTATGTTCTACAGTTTTCAATTAATATGATTTTATACAGGTTTATGTTAAGAGTAGACGTCTGCTATTAAATATGGCTTTTTTCCTTCTCCTAGTGTGTATTGGGGAATACAGAGCAATTGAATGTAAAACTTCCCCTGCTCTGTCTGACAGGTTACATGAAGCAAGGAGACAAAAATGATGTCTTATATGTGAACAAATATTGTACTAATTACTTCTTTTGTAGAGGTCAGTACTGAACATGATGGCAAGTAGTCTCAGTAACAGATTTGAAATCATACAAGAACAAGAAAAAAAGAGAATAACTACTGGAGAATATATCGTCCCGACTAATTAATTTTACTAACTGATTCTTTTAAACAATGGATACTTATTATCCATTAGGCATGGTGCAGAGGGCAGAAAGAAGACAAAGAACGAAGATAAAAGAAGCCTTTTTCCTCAAGAAGATTGTAATCTAGTGGTGGAGCTGGAAAATAAAGGTAAATAAACAAACAAGCAGAAAGTCAACATAAATCTCCTTCAAGATGTCTAATTCTACAGCATGTTAGAAATTCTAGGTAATTCTCTCATACCTGTGGAGAATATAATCTTGGAAAAAATATTCCATATCAGTTGAGTTGTGAAGACAATTCATTCTTAAAAACAGACACTTTGGCATGTTTGTATATTTGCCTCTAAAATGCACATATGCATATACAGGCATGTAATATTTATGTATGCATATGTTCATATATGCTTATTTGATTAATGAATAATATCACACCTTTTCTAAGGCTTGACCTTCAGTTTGGATCTAGATTTTAGCTTAATTTTACTCATCCAAAAATACAGATACCAAAAGATAATAGTTTTGCTAATCATTTCTAATTTGCAAATTGACTTTTTAAGGCTTTACTAGAAAATCCTAAAAATCATTTTATAAAATATTGTACCTTATTCTCTATTTTAGTTTCTTTCATTGCCAGTTGTCCTTGTGACTCCCACTGTTTTCTCTGAATATTTAAAAATTCATCTGGATATCTCTAGATGGTACCACACTTTTAGGTTGTCCTAATCAATTTCATCAATTTTAGCTTTAAATTAAATGCTCATAATGATTTCTTTCTTTTAGTGAAAGTGGCACTACGTCCCCAATCTCGTAGACTTAAAAACTTCAAAGCTTTTTTTAATATTTTGTTCTTATATAAAATCATTTGCTAACTCCCAGGCACAATCAACCTCTGTCTCTTGAAGTTTTTCTGAAGTTCTTTCTGTGCTTAACACTATCTCCTAAATTCTGGTTTCATAATTATTCATCTGCACCCACCACCATTTTCCTGATACACTCCCAATTACTTTTACCTATACTATTTCTTTTTCAATTGCAGTCATCAGCTTCTAACATATGAGATTATTAACTGATTATGTATATGGATTATCTCATGTCTTTCCCTGCTGGAATGTGAGTTCTATAAAGGTGAGATCTTTAAATTATCCCAAACACTTAGGACATTACCTAGCACATAGTAGATCTCAATAAACAGTAGTTGAATGAATGCAAAATACTGTATCTAAGTCATGTTGCTTTCTGTAAGAATTTTAAAAATACTTTTAACATTTAATACTTCCTTCTTTTCTTTTCTCTCTCACACCATTTACAAAAAGATTTGTGCCCATGATGTGTTCAAGATATTTGCTTGAAATTAAAAGTATATACTTAGGCCTCTGGTTCATAGACGTACAAAGAACCAATAGTTTTAATCTAAAAGTGCAATTGTCTCCAGCTTTATTTCTTGTGTAAAAGACATCATTACAAATAACATATCAGAGCTACCTTCTTATTTGAAATTTTTGTTTTTTTAACATATCTTACAGGTTCTGTTTCTCACACAGTTCTTAGGTTTATCTAGCAGGTATTTCATTTAGCTATGATATTCTGACTTGGTCTCAGTTCTTGGTATTCCATTTTTAAAAATCTTTGCACGTCTTTGTATGTGCCTGTACTTAAGCCAGTAATCATATTACATTTGTTGTGTTTTTTTTCTTGAGTTGTATTACATTGTTCTTTGACCATGGAAGCCATTTGGCAATGGACAGTGAGGTAATTTTAAAAATTATAATAGCTTCAATAATTGGCCAAATAAAAACAAATTGGTATAAGAAAACATTGATTAAATCTGGTAATTTTTTTATTTGTAATCATTAATACAACAGTGCAGTACTTATTTTGTAGCTCAAATTGCTTCAGTTTTGACCACTAGGAACTCTTTTCAATCAGCCCCTGTGTCCTTTTTAAATGCTGTGTTTCTCTGGTTTTTGAACACTTTCTTACTTTCTGGCAAAGCAAGGTGCTCCACATTCAATATTCCCTGGCTCAGTCATGGAATCAGACATTTCTCTAAGAAGCTTTAGTTCCTATTATTGGAAAATGATATTTAGAACTAGTGCTGAGTGTGCGCTTTGCTACTCTTTTATTCATTTTATTTTTAATTTGTGTGACAATCTTTGGCTTGGAAATGGAAAATTTAGTTTATTATTTAAATCCAAATTAAATTTGGATTTAAATCTACTATTTGAATATTTATTTTGTATTTGTTCAACTTATTTTGTTTCTTTAATTTCTTATGTTATTTTCATCTGATTAAATCCTTGTTATTCTAAGTCTCATTCATTTGTAAGAAATACACTACTTAGACAATGCTAGTGTTTACACTAGAATTAAAGCATTCATTCTTGACTTATCAAAGTCTAATAAAACTATCTACCCTCTTTATGGACAATGCAAAAACCTTATATCCCTTTCACTCCATTTACTTCATATAAGTTTAAAAAGAAGTAGAAAAATAAAAAGAGGCTTAACTATTCCTATTACTGTTCATATTTAGTTGTATTTCTTTTAGTTTTAGTTTTCTTCTGTAGTTTTTTAAAAATAGCAGCTTGATTGAACATAATAAATCTCTTTCTGGACAGTGCAAAAACCTTATAATCTTTTCACTCCATTTATTTTTCTCCTAACTTGCACGCTATTCTTGTCATTTATTTTGACATTCTCTATATGCTATATATGTTTTAGACACTGTTTCTATTATTTTATATAATCTGTTTTAATTTAGATTTGTCCATACTTTTACCTCTTTCTTTGTTCTTTATTCCTTTCTGCATATCTAAGTTGCATCTGTAGTGAAATGATTACCTTTAGTGAAGATCTATTGGTGATGAATTTTTTCATATTTTCTCTTTGTGACAATGTCTATAATTCGTATATATTTTTGAAGGATATTTTCCACGGAAATAGAATTCTTGGCACATAGGTATATTCATCAGTACTTTAAAAATATTTTATTATCATCTGGCTTTATTGAGAAGTCAGATGTCAGTCTAATTGTTGCTCCTTTTTAGATATTGTCATCCCTCCTCCTTTCCCCCAGATAATTTGAATATTTTCTTTCTGTCATTGGTTTTCAGAACTTTTAATAGAATTATCCAAATCTCTCTGTGTGTGTGTGTGTGTGTGTGTGTGTGCGTGTGTATGCTCACATGCTGTTCTAGCTTTTTGGATTTCGTGTTTGTGAAGCTTTTTGAATCTGCGACTTGATGTTTTTTGGTCAATTTTTTGAAAATTCCCAATACCTGTAATTATCTTTTAAAGTATTGCTTCTATCCTTCCTCCTGTCTAGGTATGTCTCTCTCTCTCTCTCTCTCTTTTCCTTTTCTCTTTCTCTGTATCTATTCATATCTATATTTACATCTATCTCTTTCATTTTTTTGTTCTCTTTCTGTTAGGACTTCATTCCAGATATTTTCTTTTGATTTATCTTCCAGTTTATAAACACTCTCTCCAGTTTTGTTTTAGCCACTAATAAAACTTTCATTGAGTTCCAAGTATAATTTACTTACTATAATTTTCACATCTAAAATTTCAGTTTTGTTCTTTGTTGTGGTTTTAAGTTCCCTAACAAGCTTTTCAATTTTCTTATTTATCTTCTTAATTAAGTTTAGTTGATTTCCATTTTGTTTTTTCCCTGTATTCCATTATCTTGACATCCTGTAAAGCTGTTTCTATTGACTCTTTTTTCTCTTGGCTTTCATTCATTTGTTTTATCTCAGAGTATATAATTTAGTTTTCATTGAGAGTCAGTCATTTATATGAAACACCGTAGTGCTAATTGAATCTTCTACAAATAATTTACTCTTGATACTGGTGGGTGGTTAGGACATTTACAATTCCAGCTAACTTAATTACATTCAGAGTTTTTGATGCTTTCAAGCTAGGCTTTAGCAGCTCCAGTAGAGAGCCTACTTTGAGTTTCTCTTCATTCTTAGATAATAGCCTTTCAGAGTCCTATTTCAGAGTGTATTTTTGAGAATGTTTACCAAAATATTCTCTCTTGGTAGACGCTGGAATTCATCTTCCTAGTTTGGAAGCTAGTCAAAGTATTCATTAGGTTATTAACTTCTCAGTCATCAGCAGATGCCTCTAATGGAAAATGACATCTCCTCAACACAATGCTTATCAGTCTGGGGATCCTTCTTTTCCTGAATCTAAGTTTTGTGAACCTTCACTGTCTTCTTACTTCTCTGAGGTATTTCAGCAGATTTTTTAAAAGTGTTTTATCTAGTCTTTCTTGTGATTCTCAGTGCGAAGTTTCGTTCAAAATGCTTATTCTAATGTTATCAGAAGCAGAAGTTTGGCATCCATATTTCCTTGTGATCTTACGAAAATTTAAAGAAAATCCAAAATGTGGATAGATCACCACTCAAAATTTTTCATTCATATATATATATATATATGTGTGTGTGTGTGTGTGTGTGTGTGTGTGTGTGTGTGTTCGTTTTTGTAAACTACATATATAACTTTCTTTTTCATTAAAAAAAATGTTATTTTTACCTGATTGTCCACAGGCTTTGTGTCCAGATCCCAAAGATACAGATTACATTCTGATGGACACAACTTTCATGTGCAATAATCTGGTCTTTCTTGTATGTAAATCATTAGTTAGGTACAGAGTAAAATTATTTACAGAATTTTTTCTTAGTAAATTATATTTTAAAATTAAAGTTCAAGGTTCTTTGGTAACACACAACAGAAACAAACTATGATTGTCAAGAGCCTTGAGTAGTTCTGAGGATTTTAGAAGTAGGAGCTAATAGATAGACTTTTCAGAGGTATGCTCTGGGTTGAATAAACTCCAAACAGTTTTATGCATTGGGTCTCTGCTCAAAACACTTATTTTGCCTTGGAGCCCTATTAACAAGGAAAAGTACCACTCAACATTTAAAAAACATAACCATTTACGGAGAAATTTGTTTTTTCCAGACACTGTTATAGATCTCACTTGATTGCATATTCATAACAACTTTGCAAGATAAATATTACAATTATCATAGTATACAAATTTTAAATAACTTGCCTATTTATTTTCCTGGAGTCAGAGAATTATGAGTAATACTGATCTTACTTTGGAGGAAAAAATAGGCTTGAAGAGTTGAAATAATGTTCTTAAAAATATAGGATCAGTAAGTGACAAACCAGGATTTCCACTTTGATTTCAGTCTTTCTTCTGTACCACATTATATCTTTATATTTGAAAACTGCTCATTTTTATGAAATTCATAAGGAAAAGTTATGACAGAAAATTGGCTTTCTTTGCTGAACTTAAGAGAGTGATAAAAATTGCAAAATAATTTATATCACTCTCTTAAGGTCAGCAAGAAAGCCAATTTTTGGTTGTGTGTTCATTTTGTCACTACATCTTCAAGATTGTAATCTGTGTTGGGGTATAGCTACCTTACAACAATTATAATGTTTTAAAAAGATGACAAAAAATAAAATAGTATAAAATATGTATATTCCAGAATGGAGCTGGACATCATATTGCTGGACATCAAGAGAATAGGATCCAGTACTGATATGGAACAATATTACCATTGATTAGTTAATATAAGTCATTAGAAGCTCATCAATAAGACCAGGCTTATCTATACTAGAACAGGTCGCTTTAGAGAAATTTCTAGATTAAAAATACAATTTTATTATTTTAGCTGAGAGTAAGCCTTTCGAAAGTCAGAGGAATTATATAGCTTGTCATTAGTGTTAGAAATCCTCAAAATCCAAACTAATACTCTCTGGCAAAACTTGCAAGAATTTGAGGTATACTTGAAAGCTAGTTTTCTTTATGCCTAACTCCCAAACATTCTTTAAAAGCCACCTTATCCAGTAGCTTAGTATTCTTTTTATTTCACATAATTTTTTCTACATTTATGATAAGGTAAAAATTGATTACCTATAACTGAGCCATAATGTCAATAATTCATGTGTCACCTTATTTATGTGGCATCCCATTTGTAAACTGATGCCTGAAAATCACCTACTCAAAATCCTGAGCATGATAACCTGATTTGTTTTAGTTCCCTCCATGAAATTATACACACAAAACCTTCTAAAAAAGTTTCTAAGTCAGATGCTTTCTTTTGTCATGGTATCAAATTATAATAATTTAATTTTAGCCTATCTTTATTCATATTTTAAGGTCTCTCATGCTAATAGAATATTATGATATATTAAAATTATTATTTTATTTACAGCACAGTGGGACTCTATTGGATATTTATACTCATTAAATCTATTCTCAGAGTTTGCAAGTATAAATTATAGAATGGCAGTGTATAATTAGATGTAAGTACTTTTTTCAATGTAAATAACAAAATACGCCTAGACAGTTAAGGACATAAAACTAAACTATGGAATCTAGTACTTTGATAATAACGTATTAATTTAAATATTATTAATGAGGTTATTTTTGTTGTTATTAAATGAAACAACTGCTAGAAATGAAGACCAATTATTATGAAAAGATGAGATGGTACTTAACCAGAAGGTTCTCCTGGCAGGCTTGGTGCATCTTGGTGGGTATATCTGGTATGGATAGGTGCAGGATGGAAGTCAGCACAAGCAATAGATCCCAGAGAAAGAGGAACAGAATAGTATACAATGACCTTCCATGCCAGCTGGGAGGGGAATGCAACCTGCAGGTATGAGCATAAAATACAGGGACTTTACCTGCTGACATAACCTAGAATTCTCACTTTCTTTTATATAGTCCAAACACTATATATTTGCTTTTTGTGCTATATTGTGTTTCACATTCATTAAAGTTTTTTATTATGTCTTTATTACATCTTCCTAAGAGAGGTATTTTTCTATATTTTGAAGGTAGCAATTTTTCTATTTAGCAATATTACACAAAACTAATTACATGAAAATGTTAAGGCTTTCTTTCCCTGAGATAGTTATTTTATAATGTTATTACACTTAGGTTATCTTCTCACAACTGTTCCTCAAGGAATGTATTATTATTCTTCTTCTAAAGACTCCTATTTGGTGACGTGAAGTTCTCTCAGTCAATGTATTAGCAGAACCATTTTCTAAACCCAGATTTTTCTGGCTAACCCTTAATGCTTTCTGCAGTCCAGAATGATGCAAAAATTATTTGTTTCCCAAAAACCAAGACTATGTACACTTTCAAGTAATATATTCTCTTCTGTATATAAAGGTTGCGTAACAAACCCACCATCATTATAAAATGAATTCATCTGCAATTTTGTTTTTGTTTTTTAATTTTGTATTTCCTATGCATTTGCAAAATGGCTGAGTAGGCAGTTACACATGAGTGAAATTGTATGTCTTATAAGAGATCAAATCTGAAAGCTTAACATCAATAATATCATGCTCTGATCTTCGTGGTGATATTTTTGCACCAAAAATCATTATACATATTTTTGACTATCATAGGATGACTGAGTTTGAACGGCCCTTGCAAAAATGTATCTTTGGACTGCCATGTATTTTTTCAGTATTTTCTATACTCCTTTCTGTCTTTTTCACTCTTTTTCCCAGTCCATTTTATTTCATTTTGTATTTTTTCATAGGCTGGTTATCATTTTTTAAATATGTTAACCGATCATATTTAAAATAAAATATGGTTTCACATAAAGTTCTGAAGAATGGAACCATAACATTAAAATACCAAATGATAGAGTTTCTGTTTTAGATGTCTTCCTTTATGTCCTCCTCAAAGCACAGCATATGTGGTTGCCCAATCTACTAAACTGTAAATTGTAAAAAAAAAAAAAAAGAAAATTATGTGTATTTGTTTTGTACAAATCTCTCTGTGTGTGTACTCATATATGCATGAATAAATACTTAGAAAACTACCTTTATGCATATATATAGTATATATATATATATATATATATATACTAACAGGTGCTGGTAAATGTTTCTGCATAAAAATATAATCTATCTCCTCTGACCTCTCATAAGACAAGTTCTAATTTGAAACAATTTAAGGAGGACTTTGAGAATAGTTAAATATTTAATCCTTTTAATACACAAAAAGAAGAGCTAATTGAGGTAGAGAAATGTCAGAATAAAACTTATAGGAAAATATAACCATAATACCTTTCCGTCAGGTCCACACTAAAAATTAAAAAAAAAACCCTAGATTTTACTCAGGCATTGTTTTCTTGATATTATATCCAGTGTTAGTTGCAACATCTACATTAAAAATAATTAATTTTTTAACAATACCAATTTGTTAATAGCACTTATGAGTCAAAAAATTATGCCATTAAGTTGGTGCAAAAGTAATTGTCATTGAAAGTAATGGCAAAAACAGCAATTACTTTTGCACCAACTGAATAAACAAAAGTCAATGCTTTTTCTTCTTTTGAAGTTATTTGCCAACAGGTGGTTAAATAACACATGCAAATGGAAAAACTAAGCCAACTAACCACTATACTTAAATGACTATATTTAAGCAACCACTCTGTTTACCTTTTATCTAGTCTGAATAGATCCTTTTTAATTACTGCTAATTATTTAAGATATTTTTACATCCCCCAGAAGATTTAGTCTAAATAAATTTAATTTCTTTAAACTCTCCTCCAGTTATAGGCAAATACAGTAAGAAGCCCCATAGGTATGGCAGTAATGTAGTCATAAACGCAGATGCATTGAAATGAGTAGTGCAAGGAAGTCTTCCCCGAAAGAGGGGAAGAAAAAGCTGTATGGTTGGAGATGCAAGAAGCAAACATAAAGCACACAGTTGAAACATTTAGGATGACTGTGAAAAAGGTCTATGTTCACTTGTTAAAGAATGTGCTAGGGCAGACTAAAGCATGTGAATAGTTCTTTCACAGGTCACAGCATCCATTCAGCCCATGGACATTGTTATTACCCGACAGGAATAGATGGGCCTAATTAATATTCTGAACATACCTGAGAGAACATTCTTAAGGAAATCATCCTCTGGTGGTTTGGAAATTTAAAAAAAGAAAGGAAGAAAAAATAAGAAGAGAAAAGGAAAGAAAAGAAAAAAAGGAAGAGAAAGAAAAGAAAGAAAAAGAAAGGAGAAAGAAAGAAAGAGAGACTTAACAGCAAGCATTAAAAATTGGATCAAGATAACAAAGTCAATAGCTCTCGGTGTTTAATGCCAGCTATGAACAGGAGTCTTGTTTGAGTACATTTCTTAGTATTAAGAGTTGTGCTTTGTGAATTAAAGTTGAACAGTAGTTTAAATTTACTAGTAATTATATTCTTGACATTTTGTTGAATAACAGGCAAAAATCAGCTACAGAACGTTTGTCATAGGAAACTTGCAAATTCATATAGTAATGAATAATGAAGCAATTTATTAGTTAGATACTTATTAATGTAAAATGTATACACTGAAAATGCAATATCAGAACACACATTTGGCATTTAAATGGAAAAGTGGGAATGTCGTTGGAGAAACAACCACCTACAATGAATATTTTAAATATTTCAAAATGTGTTCTAGATAAATTGTTAAATATTAATTTCAGTATATGATTAAATCCACATATCTCATATGCAGCTAGCATATAGTCAGCAACGAACTTTTCAATTTTTTTATTTTGAACATTTATAATAGAATATCATTTATGCAAGATTACCTATAATTGTACTTATAAAAATATGTTGTTAATAGTGATTTAAAAGTGTGACAAATTTATAAATACAATAAAAATAAAAAATATTTGACTTAAAATAGAAGTTGAAATGCATACATATATACACATATTAGTGAAAGAAAAGGATAACACTATAAAATATTTTATACAATAAGATAAAAGTACTTACTGAAGAAATTCATTGTTAGAGTTTCTATTCTATTTAAATACCTGCATTTAACAAACTAATTCATTCTGAAATGGGAGTCAAGTGTTTAGTGCCCAAACCCAATACAGTACATATAAAACAAAATCCCTTTTGAAATGAATGGAGCCATTCATTTCCAACACACAAAAAGCTGCACTTCCTTTGTCATGCTTCTCTAAAGCCCCTTGATAGCATTATTCCTTTTTACGGTGCTTTAGTTATAGATGTTTCTCTGCTGAAAAATCACAAAAAAAAAACGACAAGTAGCAAATACCTAAATATGTAACAGATGTATAAGTGTTCCTTGGGATAAATAAGTTATGGACAATTAACTGTCATCATATCCCTGTCTCTGTTTCTACTTGCTCCTGTAGTGTACACCTGTGGCTTATTAGGAATATCACCAAAGTGGTGACACAAATTCCAGGTTCAAAGGTAACCTAGGAAAATCTGCTTTCTTACTCCTTGAGTGTTTCTTATAAAAAGAACAATAAACAGTGTAGAAACAAAGCAGTGTATGAATATCTTTTATCTTTGTCTGATTGTAAGTATATTTCAAATTGGCTAATCTAAGGAGGATTTGACACTACTTCAAAAGGTGCTAAATGCAACTGGTCTATTTTGAATTCTAACAAACCAAACCAATTGTTAAAAATTTTATGAAAAAAATCAGAGAAATTTGAATACTGGTTAGATTTTTGATGACACTGAGGAATAGTTACTTTTTTCATGATTTTGAGACACACATGATGAAGTATTCATGGGTGAAATAGTGTGCTTACCAGAATATTCTTCAAAATAGTTGGAATGGTGAGAGGGAAGTGGATGAAAGTATTGTGTTGATTTAAAAATTTGTCTAAAAATTATTTGATAATCCTCTTTTCAACAAGTGGAGACTAATTCCTCTCTTCTTGAATGTGAGCAATGTTTAGTGACTTACTCCTAATAAATAGAATGTGACAGAAGTGACAATGTGTGATCTCCAACACCAAGTCATTAAAAAGCATGGTGCCTTCCTCTTTGTCTTCTATCTTATCTCTCTTGCTCTGTAGGAAAGCAGTGGCCATGTATGTCATGAGGACATTCCAGTAACCCCATGTGGTAAGGAACCAAGTCAGCCTGCCAACAACCACTGAAAAACTGAGCCCTCCTGCTGACAGCCATGTGAGAGGAACACCTGGGAAGTGGATCCTCCAGGCCTGGTCATACTTCAGATGACTGCAGCCCAAGCCAACATCTTGCTTGAGTGGAGCCTCATGAGTGACTCAGTCAAAACCACACAGCTGAGATATTTCCAACCCACAGATACTGAGATAATAAATGTTTATTGCTACTAGGTTTCCTTCCTTCCTTCCTTCCTTCCTTTTTCTCTTCTCTTCTCCTTCCTTCCTTCCTCCCTCCCTCTCCTCCTCCTCCGTCTTCTTCCTCTTCCTCTTCTTCCTCTTCCCCTTCCCCTTCCTCTTCCTCCTTCTTTCTTTCTTACTTTCTTTCTCTTTCTTTCTTTCTTTCTCTATGAAAATATCAGGTGTACTATATTTTACCTGCCTTCATGTATATTTGAATAATTCCATAATAAAACTTTTTAAAATTCACTTGTATTTTTCTTTATTTTTCTAAGGATTTAATTTAAATAATAACTATTAATAATTTAGTTAAAATTTATTTTCTTTAAAAAGAGTCATGTTAAGCCCCTTCACAATTTTTCCCCAATAATATTTACATACATTTGAATTTTCCTCACCATCATCCAGCAACTTTCTAAAAAAATAAATCTTAATAGAAAGTTCACACTAATAAAAACATGTAGGATTATAAAATAGATGACCCTAAAAAGGAACTTGGAGAAGTGATTTTGTTACCTCCCCACACCATAATATTTATCATTCTCCCACAAATAAACATATTCTGTAAGTAAGACTGTTTTCTTGGCAAGCACAGCTTCCAGATAAAATCCTCGAGCTCATTGTAGCAAAAAAGAAACAAACAAAAAACTACAAATATTAAAAAATATTAGCTATAAATATTTAGTAGTCTTGAACTAAATGCTAAATGAAATTGAAATACATTTTATTCTTAAGGAAAACAAAGCTTTTGTTTTTTAATTTTCTCACAGAGTGAATTCCAAAGAAATTAATTTTTAAAATTGTGAGTCTTTTGAGCCTGAAAATGCAAATTCTGCGTATCATATTTTATAGAATGCATATGTAAATACTTTTCCTATCAATTATAATTAAACTTTGATAAAGGAAAATAATGTGTATTAGGCATATATGTTCCATGCATATATTGAGTTCTCCTATTGTCCCATGATGTATTCTTTTATTTTCTTACACATTTATAGAGAAAGAAAAATTTAGAGAGGCAAATTTTCTTGTTTAGAATTACACCATAAGAAATTAGTGGTTCCTGATTTCAGATTTGAATTTGCCTGAATCTAGTTCCCCAAATCATACGGAGCACCACTGTGTGCTTAGCACAGTGCCCTGTTGTGTGTAGACAGAAAAAAGGATTACAACACAGCCTCTACCCTGAATACACATTTAAATTTTGAGAAAATAAAACGTTAAATGAGAAATATTGGCTGGGCACTGTGGCTCATACCTGTAATCTCAGCACTTTGGGAGGCCGAGGTGGGCAGATCATTTGAGGTCAGGAGTTGGAGACCAGCTTGGCCAGTATGTTGAAACCCCGTCTCTACTGAAAATACAAAAAAAACAAACAAAAACAAAACAAAACAAAAAAAACTAGGCGAGCGTGGCATCACATACCTGTAGTCCCAGATACTCGAGAGGCTGAGGCAGGAGAATCACTTGAACTGGGGAGGGAGAGGTTGTAATGAGCCAAGATCATGCCATTGCACTCCAACCTGGGCAACAGAATGACACTATCTCCAAAAATTTTTTAAATAATAAAAAAATTATTAGAGCACAAAAATATTAGTGGTATATTGTATGGGACTTTTGTAGTTAAAATGAAAATCTACAAAGATTAGAGATATGTGTGGTCAGCTGCATTGAAGAAGTTTTCATAGAGGAGGTGAGATTTTAGGTAAGCTTTGAACAATCAGTAATATTCAGATATACAGAAAGAACAATATGGGTATGTTTGGTTGACTTAATCTTCATTCCCAGACAACTTTCAGTTGGAGAAACTTCACAGAAGAGTTCTGAATGATGACATGGAAGTGAAAGTCAGCTGTGTGATTCCTGGGAAGCCTGTTGCTTTCCTGAGACAGCACCCCCACCCACTGTTTTTGCTTCTTCTTGTTGGAATGCAGATGTGATAACTGGAGACTGCCAGGAGAACATCTGAAGCCTGGGGGTCACTTCACTATGTCACTCAACCAGCGCCAGTAACTGCTCTTCTCCAGACTTATTATACAACAAAAACAAACCCTTATTTGTTTAAGACTCCCTAGCTGGGTAGTTTATTACATATGGAAAGAAATTTCCTAATAGATATGGAAAAACATACAATATTGCAAGTAAGGGAAATACAACAGAAAATGCACTCGTCTTGGGAGTAAGAAAGTTTAAGCTTCCATAACTGGTAATACTTAAATATAATTTAGTCTGATACCAAAATTCAGTCTTTGACCAATAAATCATGATGGGTGCCTGAGACAATCAAGGTCATTGTTTCTTTTATGGTTCCATGTTTTAATCTTCTTCCTATAGGGGTATCTGAGATCATTCACTGAAAAATAGGGTAAAATGAAGACTTTGAAATTGTATGGAGAGAGAAAATTCTGAATAACCTATATGGGAATATGAGTATAACTCCTATAAAATGAAATAAAGGAGTAACTTGGAAGTTAGTAAACTAGTCTTTATTACATTTGGGAAGTTCTGTGCTCAACTGTGGTGATTTGGTTTAAATTAGATTGTGTGAATTTCCTTATTTCTGATATATTTGGATAGATGTCAATATTAAATTTAGTTTTAAATGAGAGATTTTAAAAAATGAGTTGATCTTTCTATTTTTAAGAGATTGATAATGCCAGTACCTTTGGCTGAAATGAAGCTGTCTGAAACAAGTGTATGTTTTGGAAGGAAAGTAGCATTTTTGGAAGGAAAGTAGTATCTGAGGGATACATTGAGTATGAGCTTCCTTTACATAGACTTGTTTTGTAAGCTGCTGAGAACAGGCACAGAGACAAAGCCAGTGGGTCACAAATGGTGTTCTACATTTAGAAATAATCAGAAAAAGAAGCAAAATCTATTAAAATGGATGATTTAATAAAACTGCTAAGCTAAAATTGTAGTTATCAAGAACAAAAACGTGAACTTCCGTAATGGGAAGGCAGCAGTCTAAGAAAAGAAAAACAAGAAGAGAGAGAAGATAGTTACGAAAGTGAAATATCAAGAAAGTTATGGTAGACTGCTTTGGAATTCAGGAACTCAACAAAGTGTAAGATTGGGATTCTGGAAAGACCTTTGTATAAAAATGCTCTGGTGAGTAGTTCTGGTAGTGCTGAGGTGGTGAAGAGATTGCATTTCAGGAGTTGGGTAATAAAGGGAAGGAGAGAAAACAGACAATGCTTAGCAGAAGTAGTGTGAATGAAAACTTTTAGCTCTGCTCCAAATAAAGAGCTGACCCTCCAAAAGCATGTGAGAGACTTACATGAAGTTTTAGGATAGTGGAAGAAGCTTTATTGTTACCTTGGTAGCTTCTGGAGAATACAGATACTGGAAGCATAAACTTTTTTTTGGCTTAACAATTTAAAATATTATCTTTAAAATCCTTTGTTTTGTTATATTATGATAATTGCTTTTAAACTTTTGAAAAAAATTATGTGAACATTTTGAGTTGTACAAACATTGTAAAAATTAGTTTCTCCAATTTATAATTGACAAATGTGCTAACACACAAAAAGTTGCAAGTATTCAGCTCTTAATGAAAAAGATTCTTTCTACTTTTAAAAATCAAAAAGTTTGTATAATACGCTTAGACAGAAAAATGTCTTTTCTTCACGAGAAAACTTTAAGTGAATTTTACTTACTTATGCTTTTGTATTCCTTTTTATAAAATATAATTATTCCTTGCTATATGCACTTTAATCATTATTGTATGGCAGCAGAAAGCTACAAACCTACATCTTAGTATCATGGCTCCCCACAAAATTGCCTTTATAGAATGATATACAACAATTTAGGAAAATTTAAAATTATGCCATTACTTTTATCTAGGAGCTATGTAGAAAATATGAACAAAATATCTACATTAAATATTAAAATATAAATGAACAAAAATGACTATAAAAGGATGGCATGCCTTATGTTATTCGTTTTCTTATATTTATGTGATTAATTATTTTTATGAGGGTCATGCTAAAAAAAAAGAAACAGATAAGAGGAAAAAGTAAAATCACAAAAACTTTGGTAAAACTTGTATGTTTTAGATTTGACTTTCCTAAGACAAAATAAAATGAGACATACTCTCTTTTTGTCAAATGAGAGCTCTATGAACCATCACATTTCTTGTTTCTTCTTGGCTCTCAGGAAGCTCAAATTAATATTTTGCTCAAATAACTTTAAATAAAGCATTTTCTTCTGGTATAATTATTTTTATATTTATCTTTAGTACTTGGACTTTCTGTTGTTTCTTGGAACTTACTGGTTTTACATTCCATGATATGTGTTTTTAAGGCCATCAATTTTCTTATGATTTTTTTTGGAAGTAGGCAGAACACAGACAATAAATAATAAGTTGTGTCATTATCAAATCCCATGAAAGGTCAATAAATAAATGCATTTTAGGAAAAATAGTAAGATAAATTGAAAAAGAATCAACTTGCCTTAACTTAAAAGTATGTTTTTAAATATCATAAATGTTGAAAATCAGCTTCATTGATGGAATTTTTATCACCATTAAAATAATCAATAAACAAAAAGAGGACAATAGAATAAACTACTAACTTGAAATGTTCTAGACTGTATAGGACATACAATAAAAATTAATAATATTGATTAAGGTTACCAAGAATCTCCCTGGTCTGGGAAATCTAAAATCCACTTCTTACCCTGACTATGTCATTGACAATTTAGCTGAACTTGACTAAGTATTTACCTTTTGGTACTTCAGTTGTCTCACTGATAAAATAAATAAATTTGACTTACTAATCAGTAAGCCTCCTTCCAACTGTAAAATTTATTTCCTAGAATGTCTTTTGAAGTCTTTATATTTTAGATGCACTATTTTTTGTTTTGTCTCATTTTACTGCTTATAACAATGGATTAAGGGAGGCAAAAAATTAAATATAAAAACCACACAGGAATAAATGAACATAGATTTATCTGCTTTTCCTACTTTTCTTTTGAAAGGGTATGGTTATTGCACTTTAGTGAACTTAAATTCTAAATATTTAACTTCTCAAAGTTTGTAACATTATAACCAACAGTAAGTAATACTTAAAACCAGTTGCATGTTGTCATAAAAGATGGAGACTGGGAGTTTTTTAAGAGGCTGTATGATTTTGACATCTTCCAAAGTTGCATTTTGGCTTGGAAAATTATGTCAACAATGTGTCATAAGAACACACTTTCTTTTAGAATTTCAACACATCTACCCCCAGTAGGAATTAGAAAAATAGAGTTCCATAAAAATGAAAACTATATATTTCAGTATAACCCTTCACTTTTCCTCTTTCAGTTTCCAAAAATGTTTTATTCTAATTTGATTCACATTTGGAGTAATTTGGGAATTAGTTTACTGGATTGTCCACCTCCATTTCAGATTGGCAGCAGGAAAGCATTTAACAACCACAGACTTAAGGCTGCAAAATGAACTATAATTGAAAGAAAACCGAGGATCTGCATCAGCAAAATTTCCATTTTGCTTTACCAGCTGCCTTGGTTTCTTGTTTATGTCCTTTTTTAAGTGTTTGAGTGGTTTTTCTCCTTTGCATTTTTATAAGCTTTGTGCATATTTATAATAATTTTGTCTACCTCTGGCAAAGGAATGGAATCTGAAAGAGCAAGACCATTTTGGCCAAATCACCAGAGAGCTGACAAAAATCACCAGTTTTTATATCTAACACCAGAGAGACTCTAAGTCGCCTTCTCAGTGATAATGTACATCTAATTATAATATCTAAGCTTCATTAACATTTTTAACTATCCTCTAACCTATTGATACAGTTGTAAAGAGGCTGACGGGTACTTATATAGAAAAAGAAAATTACTACTTACAAACACCAAGATGTTAGACCAGTTATTGAAGCAATTGATTTGGTCTCTACAGCTGCAAAATTGATAGTTTCCAAGTGTTAGATTAGTTTATGTAACAGTTGTACAAAAGTTCCTCTTGAGTTTTTCTTATCTTTCTGGGGAAAATATATAATACAACCAGCATCCCAGAGATAATTGTTTAATCGACTCAACAAAACCAAAATTCAAAGATCAACAAACTTGATGAGCCTGTAAACTAAGAAAAAAAGAGAGAAGATGAAAATTATTAAATTCAGAAATGGAAGTGGCACTTTACTTCAAATATTACATAAACTAAAATAATATTAATTGTACACTGACAAATTTAACAACCTTAATAAAATGGACAAATTTCTAGAAACACATAAATTACCAAACTAACTCAAGAACAAATAGAAAATTTAACAGACATATAACACCTAAAGAGATTAAAGCAGTAACCAAAAACTTCTTAACAAAGAAAAGTCCAAGACCAGAGGACTACACTGGTGACTTCTAACAAACATTTAATGAAGAATTTACACCAACCTTTTTCAAATTCTTGCATATAACAGAAGAGGAAAAGACACTTCCTAATATATTCCATGAGACCAACATTACCCTGTTACCAAAGATAGACAAATGTACCAAAATAAAAGAAAACTACAAACCAATATTGATTGTGAATATTGATGCAAAAGTCCTCAATAAAATGTTAGCAAACCAAACCCAACAGCATATTAAAAGGATTATACACCATGACCAAATGGGATTTATTCTAGAAGTGCAAACATGGTTCAACATAAGAAAACAAATTAACACATCATACAGATAGAACAATAACAACAAAAAACACATGATCATCTCAACAGACACAGAAAAACCATTTGAAAAATTGTAATACAGTTTTATGATAAAAGTATTCAACAAACTAGGCATAGAAGGGAATTTTTCAACATTGTGAAAAACTAACAGCTAGCATTATACTCAATAGTGAAAGGCAAAAAGCTTTTCCTCTAAAATCAAAAACAAGAAAAGGATGCCTGATTTTTGCTACCACTATTAAACATTGTGCTGGTAGATCTGGCCAGATCACTTAGAAAATAAAAATAATAATATCCAACCTTGCCCTACTCAGTAGCAGGACTGCAGCATTCTGCCTTGGGTCTGGAGATCACCCTGTCCCTGCCTACCATGGCCAGCCCCAAACATAACACCAGGGGCCCTGAGGACAGATCCACTAAACCTGGATGTTTCCCCCTCCTTACCCCAGTGCTAGAGCACACTATCTCAGGGCCTGGGAACCACGGTGCCCAGTGCACAACAATTGGCACCCAAGCACTCCTCTCAGGAGCCCAAGGTTGGGTCCATTTGATCTGCTGCTACCACCACAATGGGCACCCACCTAGATGTGCCACCTGTGGGCCTGCAGACTGGTCCACCTAGCCCATTACAGCAACTACCAACACCAACATGAACCACTTGAAACCCAGAGGCTAGTCCCACTGCTGCTACTGCTGTCAACCACACTATGCCCACTGCCCAGGACATCAAGAACTTGCCCATTCGCCCATCCCACTGCTGCCACTTCCAGCACCTTAGAAAGCCATGTGGAAGCCATGAATTGGCCCATCTGAACCTGCTAACACCAATGACAGTGTACAGTTTCCTGGGGCCCAACAACAGGCAC
Organism: Homo sapiens; assembly: GCF_000001405.40. Lineage (NCBI taxonomy): Eukaryota > Metazoa > Chordata > Mammalia > Primates > Hominidae > Homo > Homo sapiens. Next base: position 148,014,413 of record NC_000003.12, read on the forward strand.
ACTTGGTCCACTACTCCCACCACTGAGACATGAGGACAAGCAGACCTGGCATCTCCATCCTAAGAAAAACTTCACTATACCCTCCACTAACAACCACACTCAAAGCCACTGAGGAAATTGTAGAGAGCACTGACACAGTTTACAGCCAAATAATTCATATGGAGACTACACTACTGTACACATTCAGAATCACAGCCAAAGAGCTCTCTATTTACCCAACACCACAGATATATCTTCAGGAAAAAGTTCTCCCCTACAAAAGCAAATTCAAAAAATTGGAAAAAATAACTATTACACCAGATGTGCACATATTGTCATCAGAACACAAGAAACATGACAAGACAAAGAAATATAACACTTCGAAAGGGGCACCATAATTCTTCAGCAACAAATTTCAATGAAAAAGAGAGTCATGAAATCCTGAATAAATCATTCAAAATAGTGAAATGTAAAAATCTCTGACACAAGACAACAAAGATAAAAAATAAAAAGAAATCAGAAAAATAATTCAAGATATGAATGAGAAATTTAGCAAAAAGATATTATAAAAAACAATCAGGCCAAGTTCAGTGGCTCACATCTGTAATACCAGCACTTTGGGAGGCCACGGCAGGTGAATCATGAGGTCAGGAGTTTGAGACCAGCGTGGCCAAAATGGTGAAACCCCATCACTACTAAAAATACAAAAAATTAGCTGGGCGTGGTGGCGGGCACCTGTAATCCCAGCTACTCGGGAGGCTGAGGCAGGAGAATCGCTTGAACTTGGGAGGCAAAGGTTGTAGTTAGCTGAGATTGCACCACTGCACTCCAGTCTGGGTGACAGTGTGAGACCCCGTCTCAAAAACAAAGAAACAAACAAACAAACAAAAAACCAGAACCAACAAGAAATTCTGGAACTAGAGAATTCATTAAATGAAATACAAAATACATTTGGAAGCTTCAGCAATAGACTAGATCAAGCAGAAGAAAGAATTTCAGAACTTAAAGACAGGTCTTTTGAAATAACTCAATCAGCCTCCTATAAAGAAAAAATAATGAAAAAAAATGAACAAAGCTTACATTACACATGAGATGCTGTAAGCAACCAAATATTCAAATTTTCAGTGTCCCTGAAGGTGAAGAGGAAACAAAAAGTTTAGAAAATCTATTTAACAAAATGATAGCTGAAAACTTTCCAAGTCTAGCAAGAGATTTAGGCTTCCAGACACAGGAATCTGATAGATCTTCAAACAGATACAATGCAAAAAACCTCTTCTGCACAGCACATTTTAGTCAAACTGTCAAAAGTCAAAGACAAAGTGAAAATTCTGAAAACAGGCAGAGAAAAGTATCTAGTCACTTATAAGGAAACCCCCATCAGTAGAGAATGAAATTATATATTTGAAGTGCTGAAAGAAAAAATAAAACATTGCCAGGTAAGGATAATCAGCCCAGCAAAGTTATTTTCCAAAAGTGAAGGAGAAATAAAGGCTTTCCAGGACAAGCAAAAGTTGAGGAAATTCATCAGCACTAGACTCATCTTACAATAAATGCTTACAGTCCTTGCTCAGGCTTGGCCTGTAAAAACAAAGAAAAAAGAAAAAAAAAAAGAAAACTGCTTGGGGAAGTCCTGCACCTAGAAGCAAAGGAACACTATCTACCATTATGAAAACTCACGAATGTATAAAACCCACTTGTAGAGCAAATACACAAAATACAAAGAGAAAGAACTCAAATTATACCACTACAGAAAACCACCAAATCACAATAAGCTTAAGAGAGAAAAAAATGACCAATGCATACATGAAATAATCAGCAATCATTTAATAAAATGACAGAAATAAGCCTTCCATATCAACAACAATCTTGAGTGCAAATGGATTAAACTCTCCACTTAAAGATACAGGCTGGCTTAATGGATTAAAAAATGTGACCCAACTATATGTTGCTTATAAGAAACTCATTTCAACTGTAAAGACACATATAGGCTAAAAGTAAAAGTATTTTTTAAAAGATATTCTATGAAAATGGAAACTAAACATAGGCAGGAGTAGCTTTACTAATATCAGATAAAACAAACTTTAAGTTAAAAACATTAAAAAGAGACAAAGAAGGTTATTGTATAATGATAAAGAGATCAATTCAGCAAGAGGATATAATAATTCTAAACACATATGTACCCAACACTGGAACATTCAGATATATAAAAAAAATGATTAGATCTGAAGGAAGAGATATACTTCAAAACAATAATAGTTGAGGCCTTCAACACCTCACTTTCACCATTAGACAGATCATCTACACAGAAAATTCACAAAGAAACATTGGATTTGAACTGCATGTTAGACCAAATGGACTTAATAGACATTTACAGAACATTTTAACCAATAGCTGCATAATACACATTCTTCTCATCAGCATATAGAACATTTTCCAGAATAGACCATATGTTAGAAAATAAAACACATCTCAACAAATTTTTAAAAAATGAAATAATATAAGTATATTCTCAGACTATAATAAAAGTATATTCTCAGCATACAGAACATTTTCCAGAGTAGACCATATGTTAAAATGTAAAACACATCTCAACAAATTTTTAAAAAAATGAAATAAGTGTATTCTCAGACTATAACAGAATAAAACTAGAAATCAATAATAAGAGCAACAGGAAACTATAAAAATATATGGAAATTAAAAAAAAATGCTTCTAAATGACCCTAGGGTCAAGGAAGAAATTAAGGAGAAAATCAAAAAATTTATTGAAACAAATGAAAATGGAAACCCAACATACCAAAATCTTTGGGAAACTGCAAAAGCAGTGCTAAGAGGAAATTTTATAGGAATAAATGTCTACATCAAAAAAGTAGAAAAATTTCAAGCAAACAATATAACCGTGTACCTCAAAGAACCAACCAAAAACCAAAACAAGAAAAGCAAGAACAAACCAAACCCAAGATTAATAGGAGGAAAGAAATAATAAAGATTAGAGAAGAACTAAATGAAATAGAGACTAAAAAAACCGCAATGGATCAACAAAATGAAGTCTGATCTTTAAATAATAAACAAAATTGATAAACCACTACCTAGGCTAACAACAAGAAATAGAGAGAAGACCTAGATAAACAAAATCAGAAAAGAAAGAGAAGGCATTACAACACAGAAATACAAAAGATTATCAGAGACTATGATGAACACCAATACACTAACAAACTAAAAAACCTAGAATAAATGGATAAATTCATGGACACATACAACCAATAAAGATTAAATCAGGAAGAAATAAAAAACCTGAACAGACCAATAATAATAGGTAATAAGATTGAATCAGTAATGAAGAATTTCCCAACAATGAAAAGTCAAGAACTGGATGTCTTCACTGCCAAATTCTACCTAACTTTCAAAGAACTAACATCAATTCTCCTTAAACTAGTTCAAAAAATTGAAAAGCAAAGAATTCTCCCTAACTCATTCTATGAGGCCAGCATTATCCTGATACCAAAGCCAGACAAGGACACAACAGAAGAAGAAAACTGCAGACCAATATCCACAATAAACATAGATGCAAAAATCTTCAAAAAAGTTACTAGAAAACTGATTCCAGCAGCATGTCAAAAAGAAAATACATCATGATCAAGTGGGATTTATCCCAGGGATGCAAGGATGGTTCAACATATGCAAATCAATGTTTATGATATATTACATTGACAGAATGAAGGACAAAACCATATGACCATCTCAATAGATGCAGAAAAAGCTTTTGATAAAGTTCAACATTCCTTCCTAATAAAAACCCTCAACAAACTAAGCACTGAGGAAACATACCTCAACATAATAAAGGCTATATAAGACAGATTCACACCCAACATTATATTGAATGAAAAAAGCTGAAAGCCTTTTCTCTAAGAACTCAAACAAGACAAGAATACTCACTTTCATTACTCTTATTCAGCATAGTACTAGAAGTCCTAGCCAGAGCAATCAGGCAAGAGAAAGAAATAAAAGCCATCAAAATTGGAAAATAAAAAGTCAAATTAGCCCTCTTTGCAGATAGTATGATCTAAAATCTATAAAAACCTAAAGACTCCACTGCAAAACTTTGAGCTCTGAAAAATAAATTTAGTAATATTGCAGGATACAAAATCAACACACATTAGTACCATTTCTATACACCAATTAACTAGTTGAGAAAGAAATCAAGAAGACAATTCTATTTACAATAGCTACAAAAAAAAAAACGCTAGAAATAAATTTAAACAAGAAGTTAAAAGACCTTCTACAAGAAAAACTACAAAACACTGACGAAAGAAGTTGAGGCAGACACAAACAAATGGAAAGACATCTTATTCTCATGGATCAGAAGAATGAACATTGTTAAAATTATATATTGCGTAAAGCAACCTACAGATTGAATGCAATCTACAGATTCAATGCAATTCCTATCAAAACACCATTTTTCACCCTGTTGCAGTGGATCATGCCTGTAATCCCAGCACTTTGGGAGGCCGAGGCAGGTGGATCACCTGAGGTCAGGAGTTCAAGACCAGCCTGGCAAACATGGCAAAACCCCATCTCTATTAAAATATAAAAATTAGTTGGGTGTGGTGGCATGTGCTTGTAGTCCCAACTGCTCGGGAGGCTGAGGCACGAGAATCTCTTGAACCTGGGAGGTGGAGGTTGTGGTTAGCTGAAATTGTGCAGTTGCACTCCAGCCTGGGCAACAGAGCAAGACTCTGTCTCAAAAGAAAAAAAAAATACAATTTTTTATAGTAATTGGAAAAAATCCTAAAATATCTGTGGAATGACCAAAAAAAAACCTGAATAGCTGGAGAAATCTTGAACAAAAGTAACAGAGCTGGAGGTATCACATTACTAGATCTCAAAAAACAATACAAAGCTATAGTAACCAAAACAGCATTGTACTGGCAGAAAAACAGGCACATAGACCAGTGGAACAGAATAGAAAACCAATAAATTAATTCATATATCCACGATCCCAGAAATTCATTCATGTATCTACAGTCAACTGTTTTTCTGACAAAAATGCCAAGAGCAATCATTGGGGAAACACCAGTCTCTCCAACAAATGGTGCTGGAAAAATTGGATATCCATATGCGGAAGGATGAAACTGGACCCCTACCTCTCACCATATACAAAAATCAACTACAAATGGATTAAAGACTTAAACGTAGGGCCCAATTCTATAAAACTGCTAGAACAAAACATAGAGGAAACACTTTGAGACATGACTCATGGCGAAGATTTTATGGCTAAGACCTCAAAAGCATAGGCAACAAAAACAAGAGTAGACACATGAGAGTATATTAAACTATTATAAAAAGCTTGTGTACTATTATAAAAAGTTGTATAAAAAGCAAAGGAAACTATCAACATAGTGAAGAAACAACCTGTTGGATGGGAGAAAACATTCGAAAACTATACATCCAAGAAGGGACTCATAATTCAGACTATCCAAGTAAGCAGTACTAAATAAAAAATTTAAGAAATTCCATTGAAAAGTGGGGAAAGAACATAAACAAACATTTCTTAAAAGAAGATATATGAATAGCCAACAAGTACATGAAAAAATGCTCAATGTTAATAATCATCAGGGCAATGCAAATCAAAATCACAAATAGATATCATTTTACTCCAATTAGAATAGCTATATTAAAAAGACAAAATATAACAGATGCTGGCAAGGATGTGGAGAAAAAGCAACTCTTACACATTGTCGATGGGAATGTAAATTAGTACAGTCACTATGAAAAACAATATGAAGATTTCTTCACAAACTTAAAAATAGAACTATCATATGATCCAGCACTCCCACTACTGATATTTATCCACAGGAAAGGAGATAAGTATATCAACAGCCTGCATTCCCATTTTTATTACAGCACAATTCAGAGTAGCAAAGATGTGAAATCAACCTACATGTCCATCAGCAAATAAATGAATAAAGAAACTGTGGTATATAAACACAATGGAATACTATTCAACCACAAAAAAGAATAAAGTCATGTCATTTGCAGCAACATGGATAGAACTGGATGTCATCATGTTAAGTAAAATAAGCTAGGTGTAGAAAGACAAAGATTATGTATGTGGATATCGCTTATGTAGATATCTCACTCATATGTGGAAGCTAAAATAGTTGATCCCATAGAGGTAGAGATTATAAATATCAGAGGTTGGAAAGAGTGTGTGAGTTGAGGGTTAGGATAAAAAGAGGTTGTTTAAGGAGTACAAACATACAGTTAGATAGAAGGTATAAGCTCTAATGTTCAATAGCACAGTAGGACAACTATAGTTAACAGCAATGTATTGTATATTTCAAAATAGCTAGAAGAGAAGACTTAAAATGACCCAACACATGAAAATGATAAATACTTGAAGTAATGGACACCTTAAATATCCTTACCTGTTCATTACACAGTGTATGCATGTAACAAAATATCACATGTACCCCAGAAATATGTACAAGTATTTACATCAATATTTTTAAAAAAGAAACTGGTGAAAATAACAAGTAAGAAATATATAATTAATATGAAAATAAAAATAGCTGAATTTCATTATTACCTTTACATCCGAGATCTTATGCAATAGGAATGTCTTATCACTGCAAATAATCCAGTAGTGGCTGTAAAATGCCCACTGGGAATGACATCATCATTTAGCATAGAACTTTGGAACCAGCCAGGTCCAAACATACTAACTTAATCTGTGTGACCTTGGCTAATTTACATACCCCTTTAAGCATCCTTTTTTTTTTTTCCACTGTAAAGTTAGTAATAGTAATTCATGATAACTTTTAAAGCACCTATAAAAGAGAGTCTTGTGCTTGACATAATAATACTCAGGGTATATTAGCTACTGTTATTTCTTTTTTCTTTTCTTTTCCTTTTTTTTTTTTTTCTTTTGAGACAGAGTCTCACTCTGTCACCCAGTCTGGAGTGCAGTGTCGCGATCTCGGCTCACTGCAAACTCTGCCTCCTGGGTTCAAGTGATTCTCCCACCTCAGCCTCCTGAGTAGCTGGGATTACAGGCATGTGCCACGCTTGGCTAATTTTTGTGTCTTTTAGTAGAGACAGGGTTTTGCCTTTTTGGCCAGGCTTGTCTCAAACCCCTGACCTCAGGTGATCTGCCTGCCTCAGCTTCCCAAAGAGCTAGGATTACAGGCGTGAGTCACCGCGCCCAGCCAGCTACTGTTATTTCAATCTTGCGTATAATGACGGATCAGATTTTATCTAAGACTATCAGAACTGATGACACATTCAGACAATTGAAAGGATACCAAATTATTCTGTCAACAATAGCAGCCTGCTCTCATTTTTACTGGTTAATAGATTATTTGCATGCCTTGAATTATTTTGTTCAAGATCTTTTCCTTCAGAGAATGAGAACAAACAGAATTTACCTTGGTAGGTCCACTCCCAAATGGAGCAAAATCTGAACCACAGATTATTTAATCTTAATAATAGGTATGCAACTGCAAACATAAACCAATGTATTTTAAACATTGGTTTATGATTAACAATTTTGGCAGTCCTTCTTTGGCAGATACTCAACACTATGTCTTTAAATTTTCATCTTTCTAGTATTTGTTAAATGCAATTTTGACATTTGTAAAAGTCGATCAAGGAATTATCCTCAGATATTAACTGTGTGTATGCACTTGTAGGCTGTTGGAGTATTTTCAGACTTTCAAGAATCCCAGTAAAATTCCTACCGGTTTGTCAAGAGATGTCTTTAGCCTTTTTACCATATGCTTCTTATCGCTTTCTTCTCCTTTCCTTCTTTATTTTCTTGTCATTTCATCATCTAGACATTCTAGAACCTTTCAATGTGTTTGCTTTTATTTTTGACTTTGCTTTATGTTTCCTTAAGTTGAGTAGAGGATTCAGAAGAGAATATTGTCCTATTTCATTTGCTACTTATGTCATTACATTACATTGAAAGTAATGGCAAAAACCGCAGTTACTTTTGCACCAACCTAATATTTGTTTGTAAAGAATCTGGATGTCCTTGGAGAAAGGCACCCCACAAAGCATGCCCAGTATGTTATATCATCGTTTTTAAAGGCTAGTGATAGCTATATTGTCAAAAGAGATAAAGCAAAATATTATGAGCTCTACCAACGGAAAGATTTACCACAAAGTTCTGGGGAAGACTGAGGTCCCTATTTTGAGCATGAAATAGCCTGCTGTATGTGTGTGTGTGTGTGGCAATAATATGGGTTAGAGCAAGACACAAAGACGAGTACAGAGTTACCAGAGCCTGTGGATAGAGCTTATGGGGTTCTGTGGGGAGGGTGCTTCTACAGACAGGATGTCATTTTGTAATTCCTGGGAGGCATAAATTAAACCGGCCTCCCAGGATATGGACTAATGATCACGGAATCATGAGAAATTCTGTGTTACAAAGTCTCTATATTTTCATTGTTACACTCGTTTATATTGTTTTAATATAATAGGTTCTTAAATCCAAATTTTTTCATTCTTTTCCATATATATGACTTTCATCCTCTATTCTGGACAAGTGATGATGGGCAGATAAAGTCTCTATGCCAAATAATATTTATATCCCAGCACCTGCCACAATGACTGGGACATGATTATTATCCAAAACATATTAAGGAACCATTATTAAATATTAGATAGTTGTCTTGAACACATTCTCTTTTTTTAAGAATTGATTTCCAAACATATTACTAGTCCACAAATTAATGACTGTGCATACTGAACGAGATGTTCAGTTGATGCTGTATTTCAAAGTCATGCTTTCTCTTTCTTTAAGGAAATTGTTTAAAACAATACAGCTAAATCAAGAGATAAAATTTCATTTCCATTACTGCCGTGTCTTAATGCATTAAAACACAAACTGGGCCAATGCTGAAAAATATTGCATGAGGCCATTGTAGAATATAAGTAAAGTTCAAAAGTGAAGGGGCACTATTTTACTTGTTATGTAATATGATATAAGTGTGTAGTTAGTTAATAGTTATTGGAAGTGCAAGAAGGGAAACTACAGTTATAGGGACACTTCAAAGAGAACACCTGAGGCTTGAAAGAGTGGTATGTATAACATAAAACTGCAGAACTGGCAGAGCATTCCAGGTGAGTGAATGAGCAAAAGTTCTAAAGAGGTAACATAAATAATATATGCTTAGAAAATAGGACATAACAGAACAAATAAAGGATTCCTTGGAACTCTGTAAATTAGAAATATTCACTTGTTTGATTTCATTATGACAAAAATGGATGTATCAAGAGTTTTTGCATAGGAGGAGACCTTACCCTGACCTTCCTTGCTGAGAAATGAGCTGAGGAAACAACGTGACTAGTCAATTCGGACCAATGGGGAAAATAAAGATGGACAGCTTCTTCAATCTTTCCCCTTGTAGGAAGAAAACTTACTAGAGTGGTTGAATGAAGAAGGCAAGTTGTCCTCTTTATGAAAATCTTTCCCCAGTGAGTGTGGGTTATGGAGGAGGGGTTGGGCCCATGAAAATGTCTCACATCGGTGATGGTCACTCCTTCTTTAGGGCCCCAAAGAATCAATGATGGTTCCAGCTGATGCTTGGGGCGTAGTGAGCAGAAAGAAGTACCCTGCAGGGAGGACACAAAATATCTAAACAACCAGTCTGTGTTAGTCCATTTTGCATTGCTATAAAGGAATACTAGAGGCTGAGTAATTTATAAAGAGTTTTATTTGGCTCATGATATTGCAGGCTGCACAAGAATCATGACGCCAGCGTCTGCATCTGGTCAGGATCTCAGGAAGCTATTACTCATAGTGGAAGGCAAGGCAGAAGCAAGTGTGTCACACAGCAAGACGGGGGCAAGAGAGAAATGGGGGAGATATCAGGCTCTTTAAACAATCAGCTTTCACATAAACTAAGAGTGAGAGCTCACTCCTTCCGTCAAGGAAAGAACCAAGCCGTTCTTGAGAGACCTGCCCCCATGACCCAAATACCTCATACACGGCCCCACCTTCAACACTGGGGATCACATTACATCATGAGATTTGGAGAGGACAAACATCCAAACCATATCACAGGCAAGCATGAAAGCCGGTGTTATGGGATGGGAATTGTGTCCCACAAAATTTATATTTTGAGGTCCTAACCCCTAGTAGCTCAGAATATAACTGGATTTGAAAATAGGGTATTTAAAGAGGTAATGAAGTTAAAATGAGGTCATTGGGGTGGACCCTAACCCAATATGACTGGTGTTCTTACAAGAAGAGAAAATTAGGACTAACATACAGACAGAGGGAAGACTATATGAAGACAGAGGGAGAAGGTAGCCATCCATCGATAAGCCAAGGAAAGAGGCCTTATAAGAAATTAACCTTATTGACACCTTGATCTTGGACTTCTAGCCTTTAGAACTGGGGGAAAACAAATTTCTGTTGTTAAGACTCCTAGTCTATTGTATTTTGTTATGGCAATCCAAGCAAACTAATTCAGCAGGAACCCCAAAAAGGTCTTAGAGTAGAGTTTCACTAAACCCATTAGGAGAAAAGGAGATTGGTTGATCCATGACATTAATAAGGCCAGGTATCCCCCAGGAGTGATTTTGTCTAGCTACATTTACTCAAAGATTTTTGTGGAACAGTGGCAGATAATTTTCTAAGGGCAAACACTGCCCTTTAAGAAGGATAAGTTCTAGTGTCTTCTAATACTGGGTGTATAATGAGTAGTAGATATACAACTTTGGAGATAAAAGTTAGGTAGGAGCTAAATTGCTTTCTGTAAGAAAGGAACGAGCTATAAGAGGTCAGAAGACAAATTTTAATGGAGAGAGTCAGACATCTTGGGAGAGATAGACCAAAGGGAGGAGGGTAAGAAAGAGAAGACTCAGTGGTGAGAGGAGAGGAAGAGAGGTGGGATTTGCAGTTGACACTGCCCATAGCGTTTGTCCTAAGACATTTCTGTACTTCCCTTGATGGGAGCGGGTTTATTTTTGAGACTACAGAGAAGTATTGAACCAGTTGGAAAGTTTGATGCAGGCAAAAACAGAGTGCTCTAGGGAATGGCTTACACTTGGACCTCCATGGTCAGGATTACCTGGGAAGGAGAAAGGGATTATATAGGAGTTAAATGAGGCATTGGGTTGAACAGATGGGATTGACCAAAATTGTGGATGTCAGTCAAAAAGTAGACTTCACTGTGAAATGAGGTAAGATTCAGACTTGGGCTCTCTAGATGAGATTCAGACTCTGGCTTTAGATGTTGACAATGTAAACTGAAGAACTTCTTCAAAGAACTAATTTTGCAGTGTGAACCTTGATTGTGGGAGGATCTTAGTTAACAGAGGCAGTGGGTTGCCACTCCTAGAGCAGGTCTCAGAACTCACAGGCCAGTATCATGGGAAATAGCAGTTGATTAATATAAAACAAATGTTTTCCCCTCTTCCCATTTTTCCTGTCCTAAAAAATAAAAAGAAACAAAAAAGAAAGAAAGAAAACTTTGTACAACATTGGCAAAAAGGCAGTATTGCCAATAGCCCATACAAGGCTAAATACCATGTGCTGTTCTTTACTGTAAACCCCTCCACAGCCTTGGGCTAATGGCAGCTGTTGGAAATTGGTGGTGGTACCCAGAAAAGGCAGCGTCCAAAAGAGTAATGGTGGCATATGAACATCGGCAGTGTCTTCCTCCATAGCAGAAACTTCCATGTCCTTCAAAGCAGAAGTGGCCCCAGCATGAGAATAAGATGACAGGGCAGAGATGAGATAGCAGGGCTAATTTGAGAACGGGACTGTGGTTTACAGTTACAGCATCTGCCTTCATGCAGTGCCTAGAGGAAGCGTGAGCTTGCCCTGCCTATAGAGCCTGGGGGAAACAAGAGTGGTAGAATGGGAGAAATACAAATCGAAGCAGGGGAGCAACCATACCCAGTGGGAGTTTTCTTGTTTTGAGCAAGAGTGAAACACTCTCTGGGGACTTCTGGAACTACTTGGGTGGGATGTGTGCTTTGCAAGAGGGTTAGGTCCTGTGTAATGCTTGTGAGGGCACAAGGCAGTGAGATTCCAGTTATTAATGTTAATGTGATCTCATTTGCTTCCATAGGCTGGTGTGGCCTGGGGAAATTTTGGTTCTATTGTGTGTAATGGGGAGCTTCTGCTGACTTTTAAAAGAGGAGTGACGTAATGAAAGTAATGCTTTAGAAAGATTAAATTCAAATTTATGGGGAAAGAGAAATGACTTTAGCAGTAGGAAAACATTAGTTTCATTGCTTTAAAAATTGAGAAAATTCTTCTGTAAGTTTTAAACAAAGCTATGCCATTTAACATGCTGATTTACATACATACCTCAATGAAAAAACATGCCTCAAACTTTGGAATAACTCACAGAGGTCTACAAAACTACCGCTATTTATGGTCCTCAAAATTTCTTTAGCTTGAAACAAGGCTAACATCACTTGATTTTTAGTCTGGGCTGCCTAACACCTTTGAATAATTGTTAACATCTTATTTTCATGTATATTTTCAACATCATGGTCCCTGAGTTGATTCTGAATCTGTTTACATAAAACTTAAAAGGCTTCTCTATGGTCTATATAAGTAGAAAACAAAAAACATTGGACTGGCCCCCTCTGTTTGGATAGTACAGAACAAATATAACGATTGGTGACTAAATTATTTATCAGGCCTAAATACTTCTGTAAAACTATTGTAGATAAGTTACTAATGCTCTCATTTTCTCATGCTCATTATATGTAAAATTAAAATAACTAGATGATTTCTCTGTCCTTTTCCACCTTAAAACTATGTGATTCTATAGAAATAACTATATAGTTGCTCAAAAATAGCTTTATCTTCTCATGTTGACTAAATCTTCATTAACGTTTGTTTCTCTTGGTCAAAATTGAAAAGACAGAATTTTAATTTAATCTAAGCAAAATTATACTCTCCCGTCAAATTGGCAGACACCAGCCTTAGCTCTTAGAAAAGGGAGCAGGAAGGGGATGAGGAGGAGTAACTTCCACTTACATGAAAGCTTCACCAAGAAAAATATAATAGTGTCTTCTGAAGAAAATTCATCTATTCAGAAGGGCATAGCCTCTGCTGCTACACATACATAACATAATTTGTATTATTAAAATTACTATATAAATATATGTACATAACATATTTATATTTATATATGTAGAACACAGTTAATGGACTACATTTTACTACTTAGTATCATTTCTATCAGGAATAACTAGCTATTGTACATTACATTTGAATATAGATGAGATAAAATATTCCAGCCAATAGTATCTGTACTGTAGTACTGGGCATATGAAGCAAACATGTTGAGTAGAACCTTCTGCAAGGTTCCACATTCGGTACAAAGTTGAAAGATTAGTGTAAGTTTCATCCAAGAGCAATTATTTGTGTTTTTAAAATATTGACAAGACTTCCCTTCTTAGTTTAGACATACCAATGAAAAATCCAGAACACAGAAATATTAATTTGAAATATTTATGTATAATTATTCTTTCATCAAATACAAAAAATCAAACCTAAACAGCAGAGGATTGCACAGAATCTCAGAGCATAATTTTTTTTAACAAGAAAGAGAGAAAAGGGAAAAGGAAAGAAAAAAAGACGAGCAATTTTGAAAGATGTGGCTATGAAGAAAAGTCACAGAGTGGTGGTATAAAAGAGACAATGTAAGAACAGCTTAAATAAGTGATAGCATTTATTAACTGAAGAAAATAATTTTAAAGTGATTTCCTATCACTTTAAGGTAAAGGAAAAAAGGAAGCAAAAGAGTACTAGTATTTAATGAAATCCACTAAGGACTTGGCTCTGTTTATTTAACCCTCACAATTACCTAATGCCATCAGTATTATATTTGCATTTAAAATGAAACACAGTAGAAAATTACATGGGATAAAAATTCCAGAGAACCACACCTTAGGAACAGGGAGAGACACAGATACATGCGGACATAGGTTAAGAGCAAATTGCATATAAATTGTTGAAAAAAAATTAAAATCTTAGGTAAGATATTTTTTCTCCCATAATATTCAGAAGTATTATAGACAACTAAAAGCAAGCAAAGGAGGACAATGTTAAAAAAGATTTTTTGAAACAGCACTAAGCTATTATTAAAGAGAGAATATAATAAAATATCTGGAAAAAGATCATACAAATATCATTCAGTGGAAAGAGGGGGATTAATTTCCTCTAATGTTTTATATTCTCTTTTATTATTTTCTCTTTCTTTATTAAAGATAATCTTTTGTTCTCTGGATAATTAAGGGAAAATCAGTGCCAACATGGAAGCAAATAAACCAGATGCAGTGTCACAAAATTAAAAAAGAAATCAGAAACTTGAGGAACTGCTTCAAAAATCTTTAAACAATATTAATGCAGCAAATGTTTAGAGGCAATTATATCAATAATAGTGGAAGCAGAAACATGTAGTCACAGCAAGGTTTACATGGAACATAGTATTTATATTACACATACACACACACATACACACACAAAGAAGAAAAGTACAGGAGAAAATAAGAAGTGGTTTAACTCAAAAGTTTTTCTGATAATTAGATAATTTATTTTATTATACTATTTTAGAGTAACAATCTAGTTTGTTCTTAATATTTCTTTACTGATAGTAAAATTGTTTTCTTTTTTATATTATAAAATTGATTTTTGTTTATTTTATGGCAAATATTGTGTAAAACAGATAAGCAAAATGGCTATGTTTTAATCAGACTAGGCTAGATTGTGCCATGGCAACAAAAAAGTCCCTAAATCTCAGGGGCTTAAAATAAACTAACAAAAAACGTTTATTTTTCTCACTCATGCAATACTACCAATTGTGAGTTGTTGCATTAGTCTGCTTGGACTACCAGAGCAAAATACCACTCGCTGAGTGGCTTAAGCAACAGATACTTATTTTCCCAGTTCTGGAAGCTCAAAATCCAGGATGCTTTCAGTGTCGGTTTCTGGGAAAACCTCTAATTTGGATTTATAAACAGGTGACTTTGCATCTCGTCTTCACATGCATCGCCTTTCTTCTGCACAGAGAGACAGAGAGAGAGAGAGAGATCTAGTGACTCTTCCTCTTCTAAACTTCTAACCAGATAGAGTAGCATCTTGATGACCTAATTTAATTATTATTACCTCTCTATATGCCTAATATGCAAATATAGTAACTTTGGGGGCTAGGACTTCAACACATGAATTTTGGGGAGACATAATTCAGTTCATAATAGTTGCTTTGAAAGTCACACGACCATAAGTAACTTCAAAGGAGAGATGCAATCCTATGTATCATGATCCTTTCTATCCTATCATGATCCTTCAAAGGAGAGATGCAATCCTGTCTATCATGATCCTGAAAAGAGAAAAACTGGAATATTGATCAATATCTCAAATGCCTATTACAATAGTATAATGTTCTATTGCATTATTGTTTTTTATAACTAATCAATAATGCCCTGATTATTATTTTCCCATTATGAATTCCACACAAAAATTCTTAGAAGTGGAATAGATATATTAAACTATTTGGAACATTTTTAGCCTTTTATTATGTCTTGACAATTTTGCTCCAAAAAATATTGTGGAATCATCCCAATTTCTTAAATTCTTGCAAAAATTAGGCATTATTACTTAAGAAGAAGAGAAGGAGGACAAGAAGAAAGGAGAAAGCCTTTGCCAAGCATTGTGTCAAAAAACACTATTTAATTGCTTTAATAAACTTTAAAAAATGTTATTACTATACAGGCTTATTTTTATCTTTTTGTTTGTGTATATTTTTGATGATATGAAAAATTTAGTCACTATTTAAATTTAGTCACTATTTGGTTAATTTTTTTCTCAGAGAAACATTTGTCATTCAGTAATAGACATTTTACCTATCCTAAATTATTTACTACTTTGTAAAAGGACTCTAAATTCTAATTATATATAAAATATTTTACACACATACTGGCCAAAAATTCCAAATAAGGAATTGATATTTAGCAAGACCTTATACTGACAAATACCTCAAAGATAAAACTTTAAAAGTAGATGTAACTTTGCCTTTCGCTGAGCCTATTTTTATTATGAAGGCAAGAACTCATATGCCACAACTGAAAGCATATCTGTAATATCAGAAAGAAGACCACCTTTTTCCAAGAATAATATTAGAATCTGACAGCTGAATAAAACATCTCTAATCTTTACCATTGCCTCTTTATCTCTTTATCTCACCAGAAACCTGAATTAAAGGTTAGTGGCCCCTGAAGAAGATACAAGTCCATTGAATCCACTGAGTGCTGAACTTCCTCCTGGCCCTACTGAGCCTGGTAGTCTTCAGCTGGATGTGAGATCTTGCCTCAAGCTATTTACACCATGATCAGGCTAGTAATTAGCAAAATGTTTAATATAATATAGAAGCAATTAGGAGGTGATAACATGCAATTAAGATGTGTTTTCAGATTAAAGATTTTATAGTGCTCTTTTTCTTGAAAAGATAAAGTGCCTATCTCAAAATGTCAAACTGCAGTGATTTAATCTGAATTATTTTCAATTAATATGCATGTATGCTAGTGATGTGTTCACCGTTGTTATTGACATTGATAAATTAAGCTCATCCCAGCTGAATTTATCCTTGAGTCACTCTATATTTCCTGAATGTCAGCTCTTCATTCGTATTTTTTTTTCTTTGCCTACAAGCTGTGCGTGATCTAACTCTAAGTCCCTTGATTCATCCCTGGGATTACAGTGATGTGTCAGTCTAGAGGAACAATAATCTGAAAGGGCATTGTTATAAATAGAGTGTTAGAATATAATTGTTTGTCATGTCATTTCTCCCCTTTAAATTCCCTTGAGTCCTGTTGAAGTAATTTAGACAGCTAAGATGACAAGAGTCTTGAGACTGCACTTATAGAGTTGTCCAACACATCTTTAGCCTATTCTGCCTTTTGAGACCATCTCATCTATAAAGTAGGAAATGCAAACATCAAATGAGTTTTGACTACAGTGTGGGTTTAATTTGAGAGTTTACACAGGCTACTCTCTGTACAATAAAATCATTATGTCTCCTAATTCATCTGTACTTGTTGGAACAATGGCTATTAAATGGCATTTAAAATTAATTAGAAATAATCATGAATAAGCACAGCAGCTATTGAAGATAACTTAGGGAATAAAATATTTAACGTGTGGGGTACTTTTTTTCGTAAACAAAATGTGTAGATGAATAGTTAAGAGTAAAATATTTAATTTTTAACTAAAAGACCTGGGGAAAGCTATTATTTTATCTCAGCTGCACGATTTGGAAATTAAGAATAATATTCCTAATAATAATTATAGTAGTAATGTATATGCTATATAATAGTGATAAAATTAGAACAAGTTTACTATTTCTTTCCAACCAAGATGTATAGAAATGCCCCAAATTTGAGAATTATTAAGCACTTCAATTTATAATCAATTTAGCAATTAAAATCCTACTTTTACTAATTGTAAACAAGAGTAATTTAAGAAGTTAACAGTTCATAGGGAAATCAATATGTTTTATGCCGTGGTGGATTTATACATACATTTATTGGACATAGTAAATAGACATTTATTTTATTTTATTTTCTTATACTTTAAGTTCTGGGATACATGTGCAGAACGTGCAGGTCTGCTACATAGGTATACGTGTGCCATGGTGGTTTGCTGCACCCATCAACCCGTCGTCCAGGTTTTAAGCCTGCATGTATTAGGTATTTGTCCTAATGCTCTCCCTCCCCTTGCCTCCCATCACCCAACAGGCCCCCGTGTGTGATGTTCCCCTCCCTGAATAGACACTTATTTCAAAATTGAATGAATTTTTTTAAGCCTATCCAAATTCGCTAAAATGAATGAAGTAAATGCTTTGAGAAAAATTAGTATTTATAAAGGAAGAATTTAACATTTATTTGCTTGGTAGGCTTTGTGAGTTTGCCATTGTCAGTGATCGTGGCCCATGGCCTTTCAAGTGGGTTGTATGCACCTAGGTAAACTAGACAATTGCTTCAAGTGTGAAAACAAAATATTTGAACTTTAAGTTACATATTTACATTTTACCTGAAAAAGAAGTATATTATACTTTATTAATATTTAATATATAATTGACATCCCTGTCCTCACACTGTCCTGTGTCAAGAACCTTTGTGCAATGTGCCCTAGGGCAAGAGAGTAAGTTCACAGCATGAAGGTATCAATGGAGGAATCATCAAGACATCTTTTTACTTTGGATGTATTTCCATATAGTGTATAGTTAAGTGGCTTTGTTAACTATGTTACTTAGTTTTAATTAAACTAACCATCACAAAATTGACAAGTGACTTTACAGGTTTCCTGCAAAGAAAATGCAGCTGAACATACTCATCGTGCAAATTCAAGTGAATTTCAACAAAAATCTTTGCATAATTAGAGAAGAGATTTAAAAATTAGCATTCTGATTTAGTAAGAGAGACCAATAATACACTTCTTCCATTTGGGACTACTTGTCTTTGAGAAGTATCTGTTTCAGTGGTGACAGTAAGCAGGTATCAATACAAATTGAACTTAAAACTAGAACTTTGAATAAATGTCTACATTTCAAATTATGAAAGTAGCACATTTAAATCGCAAATACTAACAAATGGCATGACTTCCATCAAATATTGTTTGAGTAATAGAGTTGGCAACATTAATAAGTAAAGTAGATACTTTAACATTTTGTTTATTCTAGACCATTTCATTCTAACTTTTGGAGTATACTACATATATTAGTGTAATTAGAAATATATGTATTAAAACTAAAAATAGTCATTTTTTTTCAAGCATTTGGCTAAATCAAGCAAAGTTATCACCTGATCAAAAAGTGTCAAGACCCCTGTGGTAGACAATGAGTTATTTGGCACTCAATATACTGAAGTTTATGAAGAGTGTGTAAGTGTGACTATAAGCTGAAACACACACGTGGGTGTAAAAATGCACACTCCTAATATATAAGCACATGTAGACATATACATTCATTCAATATTCCTGTTGTATAGCTTGGAAATGATTCCAAACACTTCTATAATTGGCTACATGAATGATACATGTTTTGTTGTAATAAAAATTTGGAGTTTATTTTTCCTTTCTTCTAGAGGGTGACATTAGATTCCATGTGTGAGAACTTAGAGTGAACTCCCTCTTTCCTCAGGAATGTTACATCACATTTTGTCAGATTCCATATGTTACTTACTAGCCTCAACCCACTGGACTTCGAAATACATATAGATTCAAGATCTTGACAGACACTTTGAGATTTTAAACTGTGGCAGACTACATTTGTCAGCCTTTGAGCCATTCTCCAAAACTTTGCCCATTGACCCAGGCACTGGTTTCTAGCATGGAGAGAACCTTATGTATCATAGGTCTTCACTGTGTTGGAGAACTGCTCTATAAAGGTACACCTCAAACTTTAATCAGACTTTACTTCCCACAGAGGCCAGCTTCCATCCTAATTGAGCATCTAGACTTTAATAATTTTGGAACTCACTCACTTTGTGGTTAATGTACCTGATTTATCTAATGTATTCCCTGTGAGGTTTGTTCTCATTATTTTCCCCGTTTAAGCATTGTGAATGCAAGAAAAAATTATTTGTATGACAATAAACTGTGTGATTTGTGAAATCATATTTGATCATCTCCTTATTGTAACCATACAAAGCAACAACTTAATTAAACATTAAGATAGCATACTAAGTACAGGATAAAATATATGTGGGGATTTTTGCCTTCAAAGGATCATAGTGTAAAATTCCCATATGTTTGCCCCAAAATGATTTAAAAGGAGCATATAATGGAGAGGTCAGTAGAATACATGGTCAAATTATGTGTTAGAAAAAAGCCTGATAACTATCCTATGGTAGGAACAAAACACTTATTTTTTCTGTGTAAATTATAAGTAATTATTTATAAGTATAAAATACTTTTATGTCATAAACATAAAAGTATAAACACATATGCAGTTGAATTCCATGCAATTGGCATCTTTTTGGGTCAAAAGATGCCATATATTGGTGATTTATCTCCACCAAACATCACAGAAAAAATTAATCTTGATTTTATGCAGCTCCTATTACTTTCTAAATCTGCAGATGCCTAAAGGAATGCCTGATCCGTCGTAGCTGTGCAGTAAATATTTGCTGAGTAAACACTATTATTAGCACAGCATTTCTCACACATTATTGCCCACTCATGATAATAACCATCTCCCCACTCTCAACTTCTTTCTCGAAGACTCTATTCCTTGCTGTCCACAGCTAATGGACAAATACTATGTTAGGCCAATCTAATTCTCTCTCCTCAAAATGAGAAACTGGAAATCCAGAGTAGGCAGAAGCAAACCATCTAAATAAGTTGGTAAGGTTTCTTGAGACCCAGAACAGGCCAAAGCTGTGAGGCACTTGGTATATACACAGCATTAGGATGACTAAATATGCATTCTGAAGAATAGTTACCTGGGCAAACCAATTCACATAGACATTAGGTTCCTGTTTGCACTGGGCAACTGCAAGTCCAGAGACAGAGAACAGACATTATAAATCTGGCTATTTGATTTTTAAATTTCAGTGAATTATGTTCTACTATAAGGACAAATTTCTACATGGCTAACCAAATCAGACAATACCTAGAAATTTGATTGAGTTGTTTTTCTAGTTTCAGAAATTTTCTCAAACGATTTTTACTTCCCAAGGAAATGTGAATAAACACTGTGTTCAATATTAGATAAATCTAATTTTTCAGTGTTTTCTGATTCTACAATGTACTTAGAGATAGTCTTAGAAAGATTAATTAACAAATCATGTTGGCAAAATAATAAAAAATAATGATCCTTGTGGATGATATCACTTATGCAGATTTACTCACAAATCAAAGTTATTTAAATTAACTAATATTAAAATTTTAAATGTTAAAACTTTGTGAATTTGGTAAAATAATCTCTTGAAATCAATCAGATTAAGGAATTTTTACTTTGGAAATCTTATTTTATTTTCAGAATTGGCAAAATAAAATATTATTTTAAGGATTTTTATATCAATAGAACATAAACCTTTTATCTACACGTCTGTAAACATGAATACTTTATCTATAAATCATTTCATACATGTAGATGGGTTTTATTTAATACAGGGGCCTCAATAGAATATGTTTTTTCATATTATTATAAAACAAAGTTTAAGACTAATTTTTAAAAAATATCCCACAAAGTTTATTTTGAATAATCTAAACATATGATATTATAGGGAAATTGCTATTACTTTTCTCAGAGAAGTAACATCCATCAAAAACTAAAACCAAAGTTTCTAATATGTGTATAATTTAAAGTTAATTTCTCAGTGAGTCCCCTTTCTGGACATGATCACATAAAAAACACTTATCTCTTAATTAGTATTCTAATTAAGGAATATATATATATAGAGAGAGAGAGAGAGGGAGAGACAGAAATGTATGTCTTATAAACAATGTATATCTTACAAACATTGAGAACATAAAGTATATAATATGTATAATACAAATTTGAGAACATGCAGGCTTTTTAACTTACTGAAATATTTCATTTCATCAGTAACTAAGCTAAGAATCTGCAGTGCAGTCCTTTAAAATCTTCCTGATCAAATTTAATTTTACTGGGTGATATAAAGTATCTATTTACATTCCCAACCCATTAAAGAAAATTGTAAAAAGAGTTTTAACAACTGTGCAGTTTAGTTACAATTGTTTGCTAATAAAATACTAATTTTATTTCAGAGAAAGTAAAAATTACTGAGAGTAGCAAAGCCCAAACTAACACACAGACTTCATTATGTTCCACCTAGACGTATGCATGTGTTTATAAAATCTGGGCTCTCTGCTTTACAATACATAGAATAACTAACTAATTTTGAAAATCCGATCTTGAACCTAATTCAAGGGGTAAACCTCTCAACTTAACAAAAGGAATTATTGCCGGAGATTAAACTGCTTGATGTTCTTCATTGTTCTAGTTGAGTCAGGAGGGAATATTAATTGAGATGTGCCATAGATTCCGGTGTGTGTTCCACAGTGGTTCACAGGTTTCCTGGTGGTCCTTCCAACGGGAATAGCATAAATGAGTGGAATCAGAAGGATCATTCTGAACCACAGTAGTTAAACCATTGTTCTGTTTGGCACAAAGGTAATGGTTGGTTGATTTGCTTTATTTCTGTGCTGTTCTGATTTTTCCCCCCATACACCCTAATCTCTATCACTTCCTCTGTGAGTCATCAGCAGCTGGACCCAGAGAGAGACCACGGGAACTGGCTCCCGGAAAAGAGCTCTAATGGAGCTATTACTCAAGTTCAATTCTCTTTAAGTCTGGTAAGAACTGTGAGTTATAAGGAGATAGAGAAAAGAATTATTTTGCATTTTATGCTTTGAAGAGACTCCAAATCATGCTGACCTATTTGTATTTCTGTGCAGACACATGATACATATATTTCTCTCAATAGTTCTTAACAAACAATATAATTTAGATTTTAAAAAGTAAGTATTTTCATTGTTACTTACAATAATTTAATTATTCCTGCTGGATTGTTTTGTTTATTGGTTTTGATTCGGAGTAGTTTTTTGTTTGTTTGTTTTTGTTTTTACAAATTTGAGAAGCAAAATTTTAGCATCTTTTTCCCACACACAGTATATCCACAATTCCTGCTAGTCTACATCTGGTACAGTTACCATTATAACCTCCTTTAGATATAAACATCCTCATTTTCTCACAACACAAGGGGATCTTGAATTGGATTCACAAAGAACAGCTTGATTTATAGTTGTTTTCTCTCCATTCTATTTGGAAAAAACCTTAGCATGGCATCAGGCTTTGATACGAGGGAGTTCCCACAGTCTGCTGGCAAAATTTCGCGGATTGCATATCAACACCAGAGATTAGGCTGGAGTTTACATTTACTAAAGAGGGGGATGTTGCCTGCACCTGAAATTGGCTGTGGTGTTGGCTATTTAACAAGACTGAATCGAGAGCCCAAATTTCAGACTTCTCTTGTTATTTAATTCCTCATTTAGAATCTCTGATTACTTCAACTCAAGCAAGATATTTTAAAATTGTAAAAATATTATTAAAGAAAGCTTATTGATTAGTACATGTCTCTTACAGGTGGTATAAAGGAACTTTACAGAAAAGTGTAATCACAGATAATAGCGACTCTTTGTTGACTAACAGTATGAAGGAAATAAGATGAGATATCTGATAGCAATTATGCAAATAGAGAGTTTGTGGTGCGCAAGCCTCCCTTCCTCGTACAGTTTTTGTTTATTTGTTTGTTTTTGTCCATTAGCTGTCATCTTTCAGCACCCAGTGTCTCTTTGCTCTCAGTCCTCCATCTCTGTCTTCCTAGCATGTCATGTGTTGTCGAGGAGGCTCAAGCTACCAAACCCAATCTGTGCTTCATCCCTGAAGGGGCATGTCTCCTGAGACTCTTTAGGCATTCTTCCCTCCCATACATACTAAAATGCTGGAATGGTTAAAAAAGATCTAATGATTTGCCCTACTTAGAAATATTTTCAGCCAATTAAAGACTTCGGAAAAAGGCAGTACAAGTGTCTCATACATCTACATTTAAAGTCTATTTCCCCAGAAGGGGATTAAGTCTAAATTATTGTGTCAGTAAGAAAATTACTTTTTTAGCCTTGGTTATATTATGAATTGGGAAGTTTTAAATATTGCATCTGTTGGTATTCATTCATTCCAAAAATGTATTTTTGGTGTCACAGAAATGCCTGCCAAAAATGTAAAGTTACTTTTGTTAAGAGAATTTTAATTATCTCTATGTGAATTTAAAGAAAGTCTTTCAAGAGTTGAGAAATATTAGGAGATTTAGAGACTCACTGTTTGTAAATCCCACATAAGACTTCAGCAATAGATGGCTTTAAAAGTAACCACCTAAAGTCCTGAAACTAGCTTTTTATTTAAAAATTTGTATTGTATATTTCATGGCATTGCCAGGTATTTTAGAGTCATGATTCCATACCAGAAAATTTCAGCACGCCTATTCAACTAGTTTTTGCAAATGGGTAACATAGTAGACAAGCAAAGTTCTACCAGTTCAAATGTAAATTAATTTTTGGTTAAAAAAATTAAGATTTACTCACTCATCTTTTGGATAAATTTAATTACTCATCTCATGTTTTGGAGAAATTCTCTAAGTTTTATAGCATTCAACTGCGAATTAATCCCTGATTAATGCTCGTCTGCTTTCATGGATGATCTCTGTTACTAGGAACGTAATACTTTCTCCATATGTTTTAGGTTTTATTCATACAGCATGTATTAGTTTTACATAATAAGACATCTGACAGTTTTCTAATCTTTAGACATATAAAAGGTTGGGATAAACCTGAAGGCCTTTTGGTTATACCCAGTTGTAACACAGGTGTTTGTTTTGGAATGAAAATGTGTTTCTTCTCTAAATTTTTTGAACTATTTACAACTGCTTATTTTCTTATGCTACCAACAATATTCAGGATGACGCTTGAAATACTCTAAAAATATAAAGTAGCCTCAAGGACCTGTGTTGTATTTAAAAAATAAAACTGATTCCAATGAGAAATTCCAAAACAGATATAGATAGATAGATAGATAGATAGATAGATAGATAATGATCTGATGAGGCATGCTGATAGAAAACAACCTTGTATTGATTAATTTCCCCTTTATATTACTTTCTAATTTTCTCCTCAAAGATTTGTTAAGCATCTTTTATATATAAGGCATAGTGTTGGAAGTTTTTTTTTTATATATCACAAGTGTTACAAAGTCCTTCAGCGTTAAAAAAAATGATCAATAGTAAAACTATAGTCACCTTGATACTCGCTGTACAATTCTTTGTAAAATATCCTTTTTATCCTCTTGAATAAGTTTGCAAATACTTTATTTCATAAAGTCTCTGTATTCTAAGAAAACAGAAATGAAAACAACTCTTAGTTTCTTCTCTAAGATTTTCCAACTTATGCCTTACCCTTCTACCCATTACTGTACATCCTAGCAGCAGACAGCAAGAGAGAAACAGGTTACAGTCCTTCTAGTCAGTCATGATCAAAACTGTGCATAAACTAATAATAAAAAGTAGAAAGAACTCTGAGAAACCATCTCTTTCTCCTGACACTGTTGTGGATGAAGAGCTGCAGCGTGAGTTTTAGAATACCTGCTCTTCAGAGAAAGTATTCCCCTGAGAACCAGGCATTGGCTTCAGCCGTAGGCACCTGGTTTGAGAATGGACTCAGTGATGGCTTTAAGAGTAAGGTAGAAAACTAGAGCTGGAAAGTTGAATACTAGAAAGAAAAATGCTGGGAGTCTTTCAGGTTACCACTAACAGGACATTCTCACCATCACTGTCCCTAATAGCTTACTTTGCTTGGTACCAGTTGTATTTTTTGGATGCTCAGGCAGACTGCAGAAAATGTGACCTAAAGGATATTTCATCAAAAAGGGGTTTTGGGACTGTATAAATGTTGGAGGTCAGTCTTCATAAGGGAAATCTCGGGGCCAATAGCAACATGAGAATAAACTTGTGGGGAAATTATTTATTGCCTCTTAGGAGAAATAAGGCAGTTTTCCAAATACATTAAGATCTTTTGGTAGAAAAAATCATTCCAGACTGTGAAAGTGTTTCTTTCATTGCATTCACTGAACACTTGGAAACTAAATGAAAGAATTATATCTGAAGCACAGGTTGAGTATCCCTCATCCTAAATGCTTAGGATCAGAGGTGTTTTGGATTTGGGGATTTATTTTTTTTGATTTTGCAATATTTGCATATACATAATGAGAAATCTTTAGGATGGGATCCAAGTCTAAACATAAAATCCATTTATGTTTCATATATATCTTATACGCATAACCTTAAGTTAATGTTATATAATGTTTTTAGTAATTGTATACATGAATCAACATTTTGACTGTGTTTTGACTGTGATTTGTTGCATGAGGTCATGTATGGAATGTGGCGTCATGGTGGCACTCAAAAAGTTTCACATTGCAGAACATTTCAGATTTCAGGGTATTCAACTTGTACTATCTATTAATTTACAAGTTTCAATTTGTACCCATGTGTAAAAATATCACAGTGCATGAAATCATATCCTAAAATCAGGGAAATCAGAGAAGGCTTTGTTCAAAAAGGAGCAGTAAAGATGTGGATCAAAGCATGAATGCTGTAGTCAGGCAGATCTGGGTTCAAATTCTAACTCTACCTTCATTAGAAATGTTTTCTTGGGCAAGTTGCTTTACTTCTCTAAGTAGCCTCATCTGTGCAATGGAAACAATATGATTACCTGCCATATAAACTGATAGTGACTATTCACTGGATTAGCTCAGTGCCTTGAATATAGCAAGATGTCACTACAGACGAATTGTTATTTCATCTCAGCATTCCTATAGTAATTTACCAGTGGCATATCAACATCTACATTGGATTGTGATTATTTTTGTATTTAGCTATTGCTTCCATCAAGTTTTTGTTTCAGGTTTGATCTGCATCTATCTCTTCTTTGTACCACCACATTGCCTTTAAAATTATCTTCCAATGAAAATTTATTTGGCAATTTATTGAATTTTTAAATAATTTAACTCTTTTCAAAATGATTTGGAGATGACTCATGAAAAATGTTTACAATATGATTTAAAGAAAAATACACGTACTTATCATAAGGCCTAATCAATATTTATTTAATGAAATATTAATGAATTTTTGAATTAATTAATTAAAAAACTGTATTTATGTAAGAAAATAAAAGACTCAGATCAGAGCTGAGAACACCTAATTTTGGATGCAGGTGCTGCCCTTTATAACAGTTTTGGGGAAAGGCTTTATACTTTCCCTCAAATGAAATGCCTTATGTGAAAAGACCATCTCATAGTGCTTGGTAAATGAATGATACTCAAGAAAGTTTTAATGATACTGCCTTTAAATGGGCACACATACACAAATATGACTCAGAATTATTTTATTTTGCTCTTCAGATTTTTATGACTCCCTTACAAAATATGTATCCATGAAGTTATTTCATTTATGAAGCTGAATACAAATAATTTGAGATTATTTACTGAAGCATTATAGGAAAATGAAAATTCCTCTAGACACAAATGAAATGTTTTCTTAGATCCTTTCATTTCATCCAAAGTAGGTTTATTCTGTGTCCATTGATAACACCATTCTAATAAATTTTAAATGAAGGCTTAACATGAGAATGTAATTTACCTCATACTTCGCAAAACAACTATTTATTGGGCGCTGTGTTAGTTTCCTAGGACTGTCATGGCAAAGTACAACTGCTTTTCCTTCTGAGCATGTGGGTTCCAAACCCATGGATTCAATCAACTGTGAATTGAAAATATTTGAAAGAAAAATGGATAGTTGCATCAGTACTAAACATGAACAGTTTTTTTTCTTGTCATTATTCTCCAAATAGCACAGTGTAATAACTGTTCACATAGTATTTACATTGTATTAGGTATTACAGGTAATGTAGAGATGATTTAAAGTGTGCAGTAGGATGAGCATAAGTTGTATGCAAATATTATATACACCATTTTATATGAAGTACTTAAGCATCTGTGGATTTTAGTACCCATGGTGTGTCCTGGAACCAATTCCCACAGATACTGAGGGACTACTGTACCACAAACTGGGGAGCTTAAAATAAGAGAAATGTATTCTCTCAGTTCTGGGGACTAGAAGTCTGAAATCAAGGGATCAGCAGGGCCATTTATCCCCTAGACCCTGGGTAGAATCCTTTCTTACCTATTCCTATTTCTAGTGGTGGTCATCAATCCTGGGCATTCCTTGGCTTCAAGCTGCATCTCTTCAATTTCTGTCACATGACATTCTCTCTGTGTGTTTCTGTCTTCTTTTCTTAAGAGGACATCATCATCTTGGTTCAAGGCCCACAATAATAAATCTCATATGAACTTGGTTACAACTGCAAAAACTTTATTTTCAAATAAGTTCACACTCACAATTACTGGAATATGTTCAACGTATGTTTTTCAGGGACACAATTGAACTCATAATCGGCATCTATTATATTACAGGCCCTATTCAAGGTGTTGAGGACACAGCAGTAAGAAAAACAAAGAAAGGAAACCTTGTAATAAAAGACATAACATCCATCTTTGCTTTGGGAAATGTTTGGCTTCATATCTACACAGGAGTTTCTTCTTGCATAGTTTTTCCATCCCAACTATTTTACACTTTTCCAATCCATTAGTGCTGGACTCTTTACAAATTCAGCTTTTTACCAGATTTGTACACAATTTAGAAAAAATGTTTTCATTGCATGTCCAGGCTAGTAAGTTATTAATCCAATAGTAGATTAAAGCTAAACAGTATCAAGAAGACATATCCACAACATCCCCTTATATCTGTTTAACGGATGTGGAAACCTGACCCATCTTATCACTCTGATTATATCGCAACATTTGCTAGGCAGCAATAATGGTATGCACAGCCCTCCAATTACCAAATTAGACATGGTCCTGACTCAATTGGCATATTGTCAAATTGGACAAAGACACGAGGCAAACAAACATTAGAAGGATGTGAGTAACAATGAAGAAAACTGAGTATTTTCGTTGCTGTTTTTTTCTTTTATCATTTGTACTATAAATGTTGAAATTCTGAAAGCATTAAACGGAAAAAATAGAAAATCATATTTAAACTTTTGATGAAATTAAAACATGTTACTAGAACATTTCAGCAATTTGGAGGATACAGAGAGAAAGTTAATCCTCCCTGACTGCTTTTTATTTCTCTGCCCTTTGTAATGTATAATATGGTTTCACATGTGTATGTAAAGAAAAAATAGGATGGCTTATGCACATAGTTTGCAATTTACTTTCCTCCTCCCCCAACAGTTCTGCCACATACTGAGAGTGGTGTGCTGAAATATCCAGCAATTATGGATTTATCCATTTCTCCAATCAAAACTGTCAGGTTTTGTTTTTATACTTTGAGACTATGTTAGTAGGTACACGCATATTTAGGATTGTTATGCTTCTCAGTAGATTAACACTTTTATCACATAAAATGTCTATCTCTAGTTCTAATATGTCTTGCCTTAAAATTGACTTTGCCTAGTATAAGGAAACGGAACCAATTTTCTTTCAATTGGTGTTTCATGGTATAGCTTTTTTACCACCCTATTTCTTTCAAAAATTATGTTTTTTTCTATTTAAAGATATCTGTTGTAAGCAGTATATAAATTAGCTTTGCTCTTTATTTTATCCAGCTTCGCAGCCTTTGTTTTTTAAATGGAATATTATATATCAAATATAATGATTAATAATTTAGCATTAGTTCCACCATCTTAGTATTTGTTTTGCATTTGCTCCATCCACTTTTTTGAATTCTGCAATATTTTTTAATTAAACTTTTCCTTTTGAGGTAACTGTAGATTGACTTTCAGTGTAGGAAATAATACAGAGAGAGTCCTTATACTTTTTACCCAGTTTGCCTCACAGGTAACATCTTGCGAAACTGTAGTACAACATTAGAGTCAAGATAGTGGCTTGATTGTGGATTGATAGAGTCAAGACAGAAAACATTTTTCTCACCACTAGGATCCCTTGTGTTGCCCCTTTAGAGCCGCATCAACTTTCCTCATATTCCCACCCCGTCCTTAAACCTTGATATCCCTAATATGTTCTCTATTTTTATATTTTTGTCGTATCAAGAATTTTATGTAAATGGGATGATGTAATGTGATCATGTAATCTTCTAAGATTGGCTTTTTGCACTCAGCATAATTCTCCAGAGATTCATTCACATGAATGTGTTTATTTATAGTTTGTTCCTTTATATTGTTGATTAATATTCCATGATAGAGATGCACTGCAGTTTGTTTAGCCATTCATCTATTGCAGGACATCTGGGCTTCTTCCATTTGGGGGCTACAAATATTCATGTAGAAGTATTTGTGTAAACACATGTTTTTTCTTTGTCTGGGATAAATGCCCAGAAATGCATTTACTGAATTACAGAAATGTAGTTACATATTTAATTGTGTTCAGTTGTTTTAAAATTGCTATATTGTTTTTTAAAGTGGCTGTATGATTTTACAGTCTTTCTAGAAATCCAGTGATTCAGTTTCT
This sequence comes from Homo sapiens, assembly GCF_000001405.40. Classification (NCBI taxonomy): domain Eukaryota; kingdom Metazoa; phylum Chordata; class Mammalia; order Primates; family Hominidae; genus Homo; species Homo sapiens. Next base: position 148,044,526 of record NC_000003.12, read on the forward strand.
CTGCACCTTCACCAGCATTTCGTGTTGTCATTATTTCTTTTTTTATTTTATCCATTCTGCTAAGTGTGCGGAAATATCTCATTGTGGTTTTAAATTGCATTTCTCTAATACCTGTGAGTTTAAACATCATTTCATGTGCTTTTGTGCCATCCATACATCCTCAGTGAAATGGTCCTTCATGTTGATTGCTCATTTTAAAAATTGAAATACTTACGTATTTACTGTTGAGTTTTGAGAGTTCTAGATATTAATCTTTAGTTGGACATTTGGTTTGCAAATATTTTCTTCTGCTATGCAACTTCTCTTTTTATTCTCTTAAGTTGTTAGAGAGCAAAAGTTTTTAATTTTAATGAAGTTCAATTTATCCATTTTTCCTTTTATTGATTATGCTTTTGGTGTCAAGTGTAAAAACTCTGCTTAACCCTAGATTCTGAAGATTTCTCCTACATTTTTTCCTAAAACATTTATAATTTTACTTTTGACATTTAACTTTGTGATCCATTTTGAGTTAATTTTTACATAAGGTATGATGCTTACATTCATTATTTTGCCCATGGATGTCCAATATAAATTGTTCAAAAGTTACATTTTCTATAATTAATTGCTTTTTCACTTTTGTCAGAAACCAGTTACCTGTATCAATAAAAAATCAGTTACTTTTGTGGTTCTATTTCTGCGTATAATCTGTTCTATCAATGTGTCTCTCTGTCCACCAGTATCACACTTCCAATATCCCTGAAATTGAGTGGGCTAATTCCTCTGACTTTGTTGTTTTTCAGAATTATTTTCACTATTTTAGTTCTTTTGCCTTTCCATGTAAGTTTTAGAATAGTCATGTAAAAATATTTTTCTGAGATTCTAATAGGAATTATGTTAAACCTTTGTATCTGTTTGGGAGAATTGACGTCTTTCCTGTATTGAGTCTTATAATTGGTAAAAGAGTGTGTCTTTCATTTATTAGCTCATTGTTTCACTTCTGTAATCAGCATTGTGTAATTTTCCACATAAAAGTTCTATACATATTTTGATAGAGTAATACTTAAGTATTTCATATCCAGTATTTTTCAGTGATTTTACATGGTATTGCATTGCTAATTTTGGCCTTCATGTGTTTGTTGTTGTTACATAGAAAGGCATGTGATTTTCTTTTTTTTTATTTTTTATTTTATTTTATTATTATTATACTTTAAGTTTTAGGGTACATGTGCACAGTGTGCAGGCTAGTTACATATGTATACATGTGCCATGCTGGTGTGCTGCACCCATTAACTCATCATTTAGCATTAGGTATATCTCCTAATGCTATCCCTCCCCCCTCCCCCCACCTCACAACTGTCTGCAGAGTGTGATGTTCCCCTTCCTGTGTCGATGTGTTCTCATTGTTCAATTCCCACCTATGAGTGAGAACAAGGGCATGTGATTTTCACATTTTTATCTATTTTCTGCAAACTTACTAAGCTCACTTATAAGACTTAGAAATTTTTTGTAGAGTCCTTAGAATGTTCTACATAAACAATCATGTCATATGAAAATTGGGATTGTTTTATTTTTTCCTTTTCAATCAGTAGGTGTTTTGTTGTTGTTGTTGTTGTTGTTGTTTGTTTGTTTTTGTTTTCGTTTTGGCAACTGAGTCTTGCTCTGTTGCCCAGGCTGGAGTGCAGTGGCATGATCTCGGCTCACTGCAACCTCTGCCTCCTGGGTTCTAGCAATTCTCCTGCCTCAGTCTCCCTAGTAGCTGGGACTGCAGGCACGTGCCACCACGCCCTGCTAATTTTTTGCATTTTTAGTAGAGCAGGATTTCACCGTGTTAGCCAGGATGGTCCCGAGCGCGGTGGCTCACACCTGTAATCCCAGCACTTTGGGAGGCTGCAGTGGGAGGTGGGCGGATCACGAGGTCAGGCAATCAGTAGTTTTATAATTTCCAATACAGTGTTTGGTGAGAGCAGACATCATTGACTAATTCTTGATTGGTGGGGAGGAATTCAATCTTTCACCATTAAGTAGAATGTTAGTTGTAGGGTATTTTTGGTAGATTTTCTTTATCAGGTTAAGTAAGTCCCTCATTATTCCTGTTTTTCTGAGAGTTTTACCAAGAATGAGTGTTGGTATTGTATCAAATGCTCTTTCTACATTAATTGATATAATTAAGTGAATATTCTACATTCATCTTTTAATACGGTAGATTACTCTGCTTATTTTTCTTTTTTTTTTCTTTTTTTAAATAATAAACCAGTCTAGAATCCCTGGCATAAACATCCCTGGAATAAACCCCACTTGATCATGGCACATTATTCTTTATATACATTGTTGAATTCTATTTGCTAATATTCTGTTAAAGTTTTTATGCCTATAGTATTGAGATATTGATCTATAGTTTTCATTTTGGGCTTGTTTTGTATCAGAGTAATATTAGCTTCATAAAATTATCTGGGAAGTGTTTCCTCCTCTTCTATATTCTGGAAGAGATGGTGTAGAATCAGTTATTTAACATTTGGTAGATTTCTTCAATGAAACCATATGGGCCTGGAGATTTTCTTTTTTTTGAGGGGTCTAAAATCATGAATTCAATTTCCTTAAAAGAAGCTCCTCATGGAGCTAGACTAGTCATGTTATCTATTTCATATGGGTAATTGCGATAGTTGATTTTTTTTTGAGGAAGTGGTCCAGTAGTCTAAGCTGTCAAATGTATATATATTCCATTCCTGATATTAGTAATTTGTGTCCTCTCTCTCTTTTTTGTCAGTCTTGCCAGAAGTTTTTCAATGTTATCAATATTTTAAAATAAAACAGCTTTGGTTGATTGAAATTCATTACTGTTTTCCTGTCTTCAATTTCATTGAGTCTATGCTTTATGATTCCTCTGCTTTTGCTTGATTTGGTGTATTTTACTGTAATGTTTCTAGGTTCTTGAGGTGGAACTTGGATTATTAAAATGTCTTTTCTTTTTTTCTTATGTTTGTATAAATCACCCTCTCCATACTGAGCTGTGTCTCACAAATTTTGATATGTTGTATTTTAATTTTTATTCAATTCAATGTACTTTTAATATTTCCCTTAAACGTTTTCCTTAATCTATGGACTATGTAGAAATGTGTTGTCTACTATTGAAGTATTTGGAGGGTTTTTTCTTTTATCTCTGTGTGATTGATTTTTATTTTAATCCCCTTTTGGTCAAAGAACATAATCTGTATGATTTTAATTTTTTTAAACTTGTGACCCAGTGTAAGGTCTATCTTGGAATATTGTGCCTGGGAACTTGGAAAGAATGTGTACTATGTGGTCATTGAATGAAATATTATAAATGTTCAATCCTGTTAGCTGATAATGCTGCTGAGTTCTCCTATATCCTTTTTAACTTTGTGTCTAGTTATTCTATTAATTGTTGAGAAAGAGGTGTTTTAACTTCCATCTGTATTTGTCTATTTCTCCTATTGGTGCTATCAGATTTTGCTTCACGTATTTTGCAGCACTGTTTTCAGTACTGTTTTCAGCACTGTGATGCAAACACTTTTAGCATTGCTATGCAGTGATAGAGGGATGTTTTTATCATCACATAATGTCCTTATCTCTGGTAATTTTTCTTGCTCTGAAGTTTATTTTACGTAAATATAGCTATTTCTGCTTTCATTTGAGTATTCTTTGCATGTTATCTTTTTCCACCTTTTATCCTTCAAGTTTTTACTTTTTAGCTGGCTGTCTACGGTAAGTTTTTTTGTAGACAGTATGTAATTGGGTCACATTTTTAATCCAATTGCAAATTTCTGTATTTTAATTGGTGTGTTTAGCTCATTCACATTTAATGCACTTATTTGTAGGCTAGGGCTTAAGTCTGTCATTTTATTTTTTGTTTTCTGTTTTCTCTCTCTCTGATTTTTGTTTTCCTGTTTTCTTTTCCTGTAACTTATCATGGTCTACTGATGTCAATTCGCTGGTTCGTGTGAAGTGTAGAAACCTTAGCTTGTGTCTCTTTACTCCACGATTGCTCTACATACATGTAGAACTATGTGAGACTGTTAAAATTTTTGCTGCAACCATGAAACCTAATACAGAAAACTCAAAAGGTAAAGAAAAGACTATTGTATTTACCTATATTTTTCCTTACCATGTTTTTTCTTCCTTTGTAATGTTCTATAGTTGTTTCTCTTATTTTCTTTTTGTTTAGAGAACTTCCCTTAGCTATTCCTCTAAGACAGGTATCCTAGTGGCAAATTCTCTTCATTTTCCTTTATCTGAGAATGTCTTAATTTTGACATTTCATTTTTCTCACATTCAAAATGTGCTGCTTCCCTGTAGCCCCCATGGTTTCTAATGAAAAATCCACTGTCATTTGAACTGTTTTCCCCCTATAGATAGGGTATAGTTTCTCTCTTGATATTTTAAATATTTTTATCTTTTTCTTAAGTTTTCAAAAGCTTAATTACAATGTATTGTGACGTGAATTTCTTTAGTTTATCTTGTTTGGGATTTGCTCAACTTTTTCAATCTGTAGCTTTATGTCTCTTGCCAAATTTGGGGAATTTTCTGCCACTATTTCTTTGAGTACTTTTTCAGCCCTGTTCTTTTTTCCTGTCCTATAGGACTTCTGTGATAAGAATGCTAGATCTTTAGTTATTGTCCTATAGGTCCCTGAGACTCTGCCTCTCTTTGGCAATCTATTTTTATCTCTTTTGCTGATTGGGTAATTTCTATTTTTTTTTTTTTTAACCTGTTTCAGTCACTATTCTTTCCTATGTCTCCTTCATTCTGCTACTGATCCCATCCACTGAGATTTATTTTGTAAATTTTTGGTAAATTTTTATATTTTCTATGTTACTGAAAATTGGGGAAAAATAGCCTTTTTAAAAATAGTGATATGGACAGGAGGCAGAGAAATAGTGGGTAGAAGAAGGTGGTCCCTGGAGAGGGCCACACCCTCAAGCCTTGGACCGCAGTCCAAAGTGAGAACATGCATTCCAGTTTGCTGGTTCGAATGTTGCTTTTTGGCCTATCCTATCCCCCAATCCTGTACCTGTAAAAACCCAGGCCCCACTGGCAGAGGGGCATCAGAGTGGCAGAGCAGTTGAGTAGCAGAGCAGAATGGCAAAGAAGGAGACAAAAGAAGCAGCAGCCAGGCATCAGAGAGCAGTAGCTTGACTTTGGAGGGAGAGCTTGATGCTGAACTCTACAGGAAGACCACCTTCCCACTCCATCCCCTTTCTATCTCCCCATCCTCTGAGAGCCACTTCCACTGCTCAATAATATCCTCCACGTTCCCCAACCTTCAATTAATTCATGCAACCTGATTCTTACTGGATGCCAGACAAGAACTCAGGTACCAAGAGGGTGGGTGCAAAAGACTGCCGCCCTGACCTTCACTGAGCTGTTAAACACTTAAGCTGTCCGTGGACAGCAATGCTAAAGGAGTACACTGTAACACATGCCCTCTGGGGCTCCGGGGATCACAGGTAACCCCCAGATGCTGCCATGGGGCCGTATAGAGTTCTGTTCCTGCCAGCACCCAGAAGCACTTGTCTCTGCCCCTGCACTCACTCACCTGTGTGCTCCCCCTCCCATGAGGGGTTGAAAGCTGAAGGCTAAGTAAATGAACCAACCTCCTTGCAAGTCCTGTGAAGGGGTCAAGGGAACTATCCCGTTTCAATAGTTTCTATCTATTGCTATTATATGTATGTCATCTGTATGTATGGTTTCTAGTAATATTGCTAAGTTTTTAAATTAATTAAAACCATTTATGCGTAGCTTGTTTTGAATTTTTAAAAATGTAAACAATTGTATCATCTGAGAATAATGAGTCTTCAGTTTCTTCCTTTCTAGATCTTTCATTTTTTTCTCTTTGATCTTCTGCACTATCTAGGTATTCTGTAATTTGTAGGTAAAAGGTAATATTTCTAATCTTTAATAAATAAAACAATAAGAAATTAAGTGGTTTGTTTCCCCCAAGATTGCAAAAGTCATAAATGTATCTTTCCAGTGTTTTATACTATACTACATCAATTCTGTCAATCATGATTTTATTGCCACAAAAGTAGAAAGACCTGAAAATGAGCAGTTAACATACTGAATTGCAACACCTTTCAACCTCTACCACAACAACCATCACTATAGGGGAAATTAAGGATAAATTAATGCTATTTTCAGTAATTATATATTTTTGCTTTATTTCTCCCATCCTGAACTTTCTGAATATAGCTAGTTCAGCAAATTTGGAAATCCAAAAGTGTACCAGTGCTAAGACACATTCTGTTTGGACTTTATTCGTGTTAGAATTTATTTCAGTACAAATATTCTGTGTTTTCATCATTAACAGTTCAAAGATATCACTTTTATTAATTCAAATCTACCCTTAATACTTTTTTTTCTGAGAAAATGTCATGGTATAGAGAAAAAACTTGGTTTTTGGAATTAGACATTATACAGTTCTTTTTAAAACCTTCTAAATTTTGAGATAATTGCATATTTACATGTAATTATAAGAAATAGTATGGAGAGACAGAGAGATCCTGTGTACCCTTTAACATCTTTTCCCCAATAGTAACATCTTACTACTTATTGTCTGTATTTCCTTCTATAGGTAGTCTTCCTTTGGATAGTAATAACTATACAGTAGGCATATATTTTTAAACTGTTATAATGCAACCTTTAGGTCTTCTCAACAGTCGTAATTCCTTCAATTATTTATCATATGTCACAGTTACAAGGCCATGTTATCATTCTATTATCAGTCCAAGTACAGATATTTCATTTTATTGTTATTCTTTTACTGTTAATTTCATTGTAGTTAAAGAATGGTGTCTCTATGAATTATGCTTTTTGAAATTTGAGGTTTTATTTGTACTTGAAGATAATGTAAACTCTGTATTACATCAAGCTTATTATTTGCATTCCAGTTTTCAATGTTCTCATATGTTCTTGTTTATCTGGCAATTGCTGAGTAAAATGAATTTAGGTGTTGTGTTATGATGACAATTTGTTAATTTTTTACTTTTTTCTATTACCAGTTAAAGTTTATATTTTTGATTAGATATTAACATACACTTGATGCTTAATATAGTATTTGAAATATTTAATGAAGTAGTTTACATAAAGATACAGGATAATTGCATGGTTTTGTTAGGATGACTATCATGTTACATATACTTCATGTCTATCTAATGTTTTTTGCATAGTCTATTTTGAATAATTTTAATGTTGATATTTTAGCCTTTGTCAGTCTTTTCCAGATATCTCTCAAAAAAATTTTAAACCTTTATATGTAATGCTTTTTCAAGTTTGTTTTATATATGTGGCTGATTTAAAAAAATCAGAGAAACTTGAAGCTTTCCCTCTAGGATCAGGAATAAGGCAACGATGTCTTTTCTGATCAATGCTTTTTTAACACCACACTGAAAGTCTTAGCTAATGCAATAAGAAAAGAAAGAAAAGGAATACAGCTCAGGAAGGAAGAAATAAAACTGTCCTTTTTCCTGGATGGCATCATCATGTATATAGAAAATCCAAAGAACTGACAAAACAAAACAAACCTCCTGGAACTAATAAGCAATTATTGTAAGGTTATAGTTTAAAGGGTTAATATACAAAAGTCAATCGCTTTCCTACATAACAGGAATGAACAAATGAAATTTGAAATAAAAAATATGCCATACTATTTGCATTAGCATACAAAAGATGAAATACTTAGCTATAAATGTAACAAAATATGTCCACAATCTGTATGAGAAAAACTACAAAACTGATTTAAAAGAAAATACAGTTAAATAAATGGAAAGACTTTCTATGTTTATGGATAGGGCGGCTCAATATTGTCAAGATGCTGGTTCTTTCTTACTTGCAATCCCAATCAAAATCCTAGCAAGTTATTTTTGTGACTATTGAGGGGGTAAAAGATCCAAGATAACTAATACAATATTGACAAAGAACAAAGATCTAGGGCTGATACTACACAACTTTAAGACATGCTGTAGAGCCACAAAAATAAAGACAGTGTGGCATTGGTAAAAGAATAGGCAAATAGATTGATGGAACAGAAGAGAGAGCCCAGAAACAAACCCGCATAAATATAGTCAACTGATTTTTCACAGAGGAGTAAAAGCAATCTGGTTAAAAAACATAGTCTTTCCAACAAATGGTACTGCCACAACTAGACATTCATAATGCAAAAAAAAAAAAAAAAAAAAAAAAAAATCTAAACACAGACTTTATACCCTTCACAAAAATTAGCTCAAAATGGACCATAGACCTGAATGTAAAATACAAGATTATAAAATTCCTAGAACATAACAAGAGAAATCTAGATGACCTTGAGTTTAGTGATTACTGTTTAGACAAAAACCTAAGGCACAATCCATGAAACAAAGAATTGGTAAGCTGGGCTTTATTAAAATTAAAAATTTCTGCTCTGTGAAAAGCACTGCTAACAAAGTAAAAAGAAAACCCCAATGTTGGGAGAAAATATTTGTGAAAGACGTATCTGATAAAGGATTGCTATTCAAAATATGCAAAGAACTAAAAACTCAACAATAAGAAAACAAACAAGCCAGTTAAAAAAGAAAGAAAAAAGAACCATAGACCTTAATGAACACCTCACCTGAAAAAATCATACAGATGGCAAAGAGAACACAAAGAAATGCTCCACATTTTCTGTCATCAGGGAAACACAAATTAAAACAACAAAAGATATCACTACACATTTATTAAAATGGCCAAAAACCAAATGCTAACACCACCAAATGCTGAGAGGATGTGGAGCAACCGAAAAGAGAACTGTCATTCACTGCTGGTGAGAATGCAAAATGGTATAACCACTTCGGAAGATAGTTTGGCAGTTTCCTACCAAACTAAACATTCTTATAATACAAGTCCAGCAATTGCACTGTTTACTATTTACCCAAAAGGATTGAAAATTTATGTCCACACGAAAACCTGCACATGGATGTTTATAGCAGCTTTATTCATAATTGCCAAATCTTAGAAACAACAAGATGTCCTTCAGTAGGTGGATAAATAAATAAACTGCAGTACATCTAGACAATGAAATATTCACTGCCAAAAAAAAAATGTGTTATCAAGCCATGAAAAGAAATAGAGGAAACTTAAATGCATATTGCTGAGTGGAAAGACCCAATCTGAAAAGCCTCCATAGTGTATAATAAAAACTACATGACATTCTGGAAAAGGTAAAACTATGGAAATAGTAAAAATATCAGTGGTTGCCAAAGCTTAAGGGAGAGAGAGATGAATAGGCAAGCACAGAGGATTTTTAGGGCAGTAATACTACTCTGTATGATACCATAATTGTGGATACATGTTATTATAAATTTGTCTAAACACATAGAGTGTACGTCACCAAGAATGAACCCTACTGTAAACTATGGGCTCTGTATGATAATGATGTGTCAATGTAGGTTCATCAATTGCAACAAATGTACCCCTCTGGTGGGAGATGTTGATAATGAGGGGGTTTGCATGGAGTTGGGAGGCAGGAGATATATGGGAATTCTTTCTGTCTTCTGCTCAATTTTATGGTAAAACTAAAACTGCTTTAACAAATAAAATTCTATTTTAAAAAAATCTAGTCTAAAACACTTATATAAAGTGTTTTTGTTCATTTTTCAAGGTTACAATATATTGAAAAAATTATCAATAATATTAATTTCTTAATATTGAATCACTCTTGCATATTTTAAGTAAACTCAGCTTAATTATATTAAAGCAATGGTACTTTAATACATTGATGAATTCAGATTATTTCTTTAGTACCTGGTCAAGAACTGAATAATAGTTTTTTAGTAGATTAACTTTGTTTTCCTAGACAGAAAATACAATTATCGATCAATAAAAAGTATTGCTCTTCATTCTTTATATTCTTTATTTTCATAAATAATGTCATTAGCGTGACCCTTTAGAAATGTTACAAAATAGTAGCTATAATAGTGTTGGTTTCTTTATCATTCACTTTAGTAGAAATGCCTTCACGTTCATTAATATTTTATTTAATTTTTTACGACAATTCATACGTAAGATTGTGCGATAGTGTTTTTGAACTATACTCCTTATATTTTATCAGTTTAGCTTTGGAGTGATGATTTAATTCATAAAATAACATCTCAAGGAGTTTAACTAGATGAAAACATCTGTTTCTTGAAGATTTGGAAGAACAAACTTGTAAATCTGAGTCCAGTGCCTTATGGAGTGGTTTTTCGAGTAAATTTCTCCCATTAAGCCTTGTTTGTTGTTGTTGCTGTTGTTAATCTCTTATTAGATTTAGGGTACCTATATTTTGCTACAAATATGGTCCACTTTACCACAATCCTCACATGTATTTAGTATGTGCATGGTATTCCTCCCGAGGAATGAGGACACTACAGGGATGAGTAAGTGCCTCTTCCCTAGAACACAAAAAGAAGGTCCCATCTGCTGTCCTCTTCTTGGGAAGGTTATCTCACTGCTGTTCATGTATTTTCATTTGATAGCAATAGCTGAGGCAGCAAGAAAAAAGAAAGTAATATTGCACGAAATACAAAAAACAGGTAGCACCCCAGTGGAGGGCCCTACAACCAAAATTAGGACTAGTGGTAAAAGGTAGCATTGTTAGGCTAGACTTGAAATTGATTGATTGCAAAAGAACATTCACGTTTTAACTGACATATTTATTCCTTTGAGGTCTATTTTCCTTTAGTTTACTTGACATTCCACAATCCTAGCACTTAGGCACCAAATAAGTGCTTGTCTTTAAGGGCTTCTGCTGCATTTGGTCATATTTCAGAACCTATAATTTGACAAGCAACTTGCTTCTGAGTAGGTTTAATCATGGTGTCTATTTCATTATATAATAAAAGCAGTGATTTAATTATGTTTGCAATTCTTGTAAGATCTGTATTAACAGTAAGAGTGAGTACTGTTGCTTCTATTTCCCTCTCCTTTCTGTTGATGCATATTTTTTTTTAATTACTGGTAAAAGAAACCTGACAACTTGGAGCACAAGGCCCTTTAAGAGTTGCCACAACAGTATCTCTGGGTATCTGAGCCCTGAGTAATCAGCAGACTGAGTACATTGTAGGCTTTTCTCCAGGTATGGAAAACCTGAAAGTGACTAGATATTGAATGGAAAGAAACATTTTGAATCAAGTCCTAAGGGCTGAGGTTACCCTGGGTGAGTGTAAGTGCTAAGGGAACCCACCTCTGCGTATGTGAAAACTGTGGGTTCTCTGAGCCCCCAAATACTGTCCTCAAAATCTGAATACACTGGTTAACCAGAAAAGACAAAGTGCCACATATAGGTGCCATACATACACAGCAGCATATGCTACTGGGCCTTGGGTTAAGGGCAGTACACATGCTTACCATCTCAATTTATTTAACATTTACTTGAATACAAGCAGCATTTAACACCTATACTACTCTATTTATTCCCTTCAAACTTAGTCCATTATATGATAAAATGCACTGCTAATGTACCTTCTGATAATGACAGAAAAATATCGCTAGGAAGGAGAAGCCCAAAATTCAATTTTGAATTATAATTTAAACAAATCCTGTGGCAGGAAATCCCAGGGGTTAATACAGACAAGCAAGGATTCTGATTTTCCTAACCAAGAAATGACTGCTTATATAGGGGGACATGTCAACATATTCTTGCCAAATTAATAAATACAGAAATAAAAGTACATCTTTCTTTTTATCCAATTAAGATAAATTTATTTTATTTTAGCTAACATTTTGATATGATAATTGCAGCTAGAAGATAAGTAACAGACCAGACAGGGGAATCATTTCAGAAAAGCAGTTATTTTCTTAACTAGCAAAATAGTTCTGGAATTTTTGCTAGCTAGTTCCAAAGCAAATTTAACAAAGATCATGTTTATTAAATGTCCCTTTGGTTTATCCTAGATTACTTTTCAAGATCTACTACTTTACTATCCTTATTATTTCCTCTTCACCATGTTTTCCCTCATTTTAAATTCTCCATTGAGACTGCTTACCAAGTCGATTTTCCCCAAACTCTCATTTTATAAATAAAAAAATAGTATATTCAATAACCCTAGAACAAATATAATTTATAAAAAAATAATTTGCAGTGCCAGCTCTTTGGAGGGATTTTTTTTCCCCTCCTCTGTGTATGTGTCTAATAAGAGAATGTGTATCAGGAGGGGGATATACCATTTGGGTTCTCAGATTGCTTACCCTATTTAGCATTATTTTTTTTAAGTTGCAATTAGTATTAACCTTAAGAAATGAATGAAAGTTGACAATGAATGAAAAAGTTAATGTTAGTACTGTAATTAGCAAGGGTCTGATCTTGCAGGCATGGTTTTACGACTGCAGTCTTTGGAGAACATGCAAGTCTTCAGCCTGTCTGCCTGGAGCTTTGCATACAATGTGATAGAAGTGTTTCAGTGGAGAAAGGTTGAATTGCCCTCCTCTTGCTGCTATCCCATGATGATGGATATGGAAGGAAATGATATGAAGTCTGAGCTTCATTCAACCTAGCAGACATAGTCCATCTTTTCCCCAGACAAGTGAGAATAGAAAACCATAAAAGTTTAAATGGGTAGCAGAAGTAGGCATAATGTAATTGAAATGATGTTGTTATCTCACTAGAAAAAATGGGACTATTAGGTTGAAGAAGGGAAGTTCTAGAAATGTTGCTCGAAAACAGTATTCTTCCTCTTTCTAGGAGTAGCAACATGAGTTTCTCTTTGTGCAATTTGTCTACCATTTGCCCAGAGGTCACTTTTCTCCTTACAGTCAATCGTTTCTCTGAGTGACACAGAAAACAAAATAATTTTAGAGAAAGTTCTGCAAATGAAGTTGAAAGAAAAAAATACAAAAGACTGGGAATAAATAATGTAATTAATATTGGTTCTGAGGTAAATGTGAAAACAAAATTTTACAATTGAAAATATATTTAAAACTAACAACATTGAGCATTGGTAATGGTGTCAAGAAATGATATATCTCATATACTGCTTGTAAGCATGTAAATTGTTATGTTCATGAAGGGCCATTTGTCAAGGCTAGAAATGTAAAGTGTTAAAGATGAGAATGCTCATTGACCCTATAATTACAGTACAAAACAATCTACCATAAGGAAACAGACATGAGTAAAATAATGTATATAAAATATACAGATTTTTAAAAATAATATTACCTACAATTTTTTAAAAAAGAACCAAACTAAATAACCAATAATGCAAGCTAAACAAAAGAAATTATGCGATTGATACAAAGGGATGCTATGAATTATATTTAACAAATGTTGTTGAAATACAGAGAAAATTATAAAAAGTAAAAATAAAATTATAGTGTGGGAAAAACTTTCTAATTACATCACAAAGTAATTTTCACTACATTAAAATGTAAAAGTTTTGCCTGCAGAAATAGAAAGGAACGTTAAGAAAAGTATGACAATCTGGGAAAGACTAATTGTAACACATATGACATGCAAAAGATTATTTTAATTGCTATGTAAAGAGCTCTTTTAAATCAACAATAAAACAATAAATATCCAACAGCAAAATGAGATAAGTTCTAAACAGGCAATTTTTAAAGAAATGCCAGTGAACAGTAAGGATTCTCCATCTTAATCATGGTGTTAATCATGGTGTTTAAATTCCAGTTAAAACAATAATGAAGTACATCATCTTGTTCACTTATCATTGGTGGAGATTTTTTTTTAAGTAGTAGTATACAGCGTGGTGAGCGTGAAAGAATATAGTTACATTCTATCTTTCTGGGTATGGAAAATGGTAACATATATGGAGATCTATGGGAAAATAGCTGTAAAAAAATTAAATGCATTTATATTTTCACCTCACAATTGCACTTCTGATATTTATCTTTCAGATATACTAGGACATATTTGACATTTGTATACATGTGTATACAAGTATCCACTGCAACATAGTTGGTAAAGCTAAAGATTGAAAATAAGCACATGGTATACTTAGGTAAATTGTAGTACATCCTTTCAATGGGACGCTATATGGTTATCAAAAGGAATGAGGTAGATCTATATTGTTCATGTTGAAGGATATCTAAATAAGTGCATTATTATTATTATTATTATTATTATTATTATTATTATTATTTTGAGACGGAGTCTCACTCTGTCACCAGGCTGGAGTGCAGTGGTGTGATCTCGGGTCACTGCAACCTCCACCTCCCAGGTTCAAGCGATTCTCCTGCCTCAGCCTCCCGAGTAGCTGGGACTACAGGCACATGCCACCACACCCAGCTAACTTTTTGTATTTTTAATAGCGACCGGGTTTCACCATGTTTGCCAGGATGGTCTGGATCTCTTGACCTCATGATCTGCCCTCCTCAGCCTCCCCAAGTGCTGGGATTACAGACTTGAGCCACTGCGCCCCGGCAAATAAGTGCATTATTAATGGAAAAAAAGTCCAAAACCTTGTTTACGTACGTTCGCATTTGTGTTAAGACATGAAGCCTCTGGAAGATACACCAAAAAAGACCCTAAGATGGAAAGATGATGAACTCTTCATTCTATATAATTTTGTTCTATGTAATTTTTCTACCATGAGTATGAATGTATTTTTAACATAAAGTTTTATATTATTATCAATAACACATAAATACATGACAAAATATACTTGTGTATTTATTAAGCCACGTTTAAATATAGTTCTCTTTTCTTAAGCTGTATATTAAATATTATTTCGTTACATATTGTATTTTATATCATATTATATGCTTAAGTATAGAAAAATTGAGACAGACACACCAAATACTAATAATGATTAAAATCTTTGGTGCAGTTATATCTGAATTATTTTGTTTGTGGGCTGTTTATATTTTAAGTTTTTAAAAATAATTTTATAATCATATAAACATTTATATAGAAAAATTGGGTGTTTCATAACTAGTTGCAATGCTAAAAATTAAATTTTTTGACACTTTAATGTTAATTCAAGTCTTTTATTTCAGAATTTTTTTTTTTTTTTTTTGAGATGGAGTCTTGCTCTGTCGCTTAGGCTGGAGTGCAGTGGCACTATCTCCGCTCACTGCAACCTCCGCCTCCTGGGTTCAAGTGATTCTCCTGATTCAGCCTCTCAAGTAGCTGGGACTACAGGTGTGTGCCACCACGCCTGGCTAATTTTTTGTATTTTTAGTTGAGACGGGGTTTCACCGTGTTAGCCAGGATGGTCTCAATCTCCTGAACTCGTGATCCACCCGCCTCGGTCTCCCAAAGTGCTGGGATTATAGGCGTGAGCCACCGTGCCCAGCCAGGAAATTTCTAAAAATTATATACTTAAAGATTCTGTTCCATTATTGTGTATTATTTCCAATCTTTGTGTATAGGTTAATTCCCTTTGCTTCTCTTCTAATACTATTTTTTTCTTTTTCGCTCCTTTTCAATTTTTCCTTAAATTTGTTTGCTTTGTAAAATTTCTCTATTACTTTACTTTTTAAAACGATTTTCATTCTCCTTTATTTTTCTATATTTAAAAAATATTATTTATGAGTTCATTTTTAAAATTTTTCTTTGGAGAGTTCTAGCAGATCACATTTTATTTTATTTTATTTCATGTTATTTCCATTTTGTCCCTGAATTTTTGCATTTCTGCTTTGAGGTCTTCCTTCATTACAAAAATAAAACTGGACAATTATTTCTTACATTTTTTAAAGCAGAGTTGCAACATTTTCTGATAAGTATCCTTCATCTACTGGAAACTTATGCCACTTATTTATTTTATTTTATTTTTATGGTGATTTTTAAATCCAAGCTCTAATATTGATTTTTTTTATAAATCCATTGTTAAATTAGTTGGGTTTTCCTGGACCAGTTATTTGCAAGAGTTTCCTTTGGTCAGAAAGGCATTTTAGTAGTATTCCAGCTACTTGATTTTCATACTGCAAATCTAGATTTTTCTTGATTACCCCAAATTCTACGTCTCTGTGATTCTTCATATAACCCCACTTTCTCTGTTTCTATAAAACAAACCCAGTCCAGGATTCCTGCTGCTAGCAGTTCACCTCTGTTCCTGTTCCTGCTGTTCAAGAAAATATATAGATATTTCACCTTTGGTTGTGCCTCTCATCTTCCGAAAGGTACATTTGCTACTGCTTCTGAAATCTGCTGTGGCTGAGCCCTCTTGCCAAGTGCTTTCTCTGCTGCTTTTCTTCTCTTCTTCTTCTTCCCATGAAGCTCTTTTATTAGGGTTCTGGGCAGTCATATGTCTACTTTGCAGTATGTAGGCTATGGTTGCATCCATATTCTACAGCTTTTGAGTTTCAGTCTTTCATTATCCCTATTGCTTTAGGATAAGTGTAAGAAAAAGTCCTTACAGTGAGCTGCATAATTAGAAAAAAAAATGAAGTTAAATCTGTTAGTTGATTCATTTGTGCTTTCATTCTTAGGATACAGAAGTTTAGAAAACATTTTTATATCTCCCTGTTACACTCAGCTATATTTTCTTCTGGTACATCTTTAGAATCACTTTTTGATATAAATTTTTAATTCATCAAGTATTTATGTGAAACAAGATGTAATATTTTTTGCAAACAGCTACCTAGTGTTGCCAGCAACCTTCAATAAATAATTTGCTATTTCAACAACAGAAATGTCCTGTTCATCAAATATTAAATTGTTGTATGTAATTGGGTAAATTTATTAACTTACTTTATTAACCTATTTTGTTACCTATGTGACAACATATTAATTATTTAGTTTTATAAAACATTTAAAATCTATCATAGAGAAACTTTCCTTTTTTCTTTTCAAAATCACATTTTCAGATTTTCAAAATTGAGATCATTATTGGAATTGCAATAAACTAATATGCTAATGTAAACATAACTGACTTAAAAATGATTGAGTAAGCTTTAATACTCACCACCAATCTTTTCTAGCCAAGTTCATCTCAGGCAGCTAGGTCACCGTTTGGTTAATGTATCTTCAGGAAGATGCATGCTCTCTCAGACCCTGCATACTTAGCAATGTGTACATGGGTTTTACTAACAACCTGGCTTGCTATAGATTTATTGAGTAACAAAAATTTCTTCTCAAAAGATAGAAAGCAATCTCTGTTAACTTCTTGCACTCAAAATAATGAAAGAGACGTCTTAGTTAGACTCAAAGTTTCTTTATTTGTATGTAGCCTATTTTTTTCCCTGCTGACACTGCTATTTTATGGTAACTTCATTTAATATGATTCTATTAGTGCTGAATTCATGGAAGTTTGATTCAATTAGTGCTGAATTTATGAAAGTTTTATCAAAATTTCTTCACCAGTCCCCAAAACTTGCGCTGATTTAACGCTATCTTTAGAGCCTATTGTTTATATTGGTGGTGAAGTGAGCAAGAACCAGTTAAACGCCTGTGTTCATAATGTCATCCTGCCTGATATCTATAAATTTATTCAAATGAGGCTGCTAAACCTCAAAACATTTACGTAACTTCTAATTTAGAGTAACCTTCTGTTATGATAGTTGATCTATGCAAATAAGTTTTTTTTTTTTTTTTTTTTTTTTTGAGACGGAGTCTCGCTCTGTCCCCCAGGCTGGAGTGCAGTGGCGCTGTCTTGGCTCACTGCAAGCTCCACCTCCCGGGTTCACGCCATTCTCCTGCCTCAGCCTCCCGAGTAGCTGGGACTACAGGTGCCCGCCACCACGCCCGGCTAATATTTTGTATTTTTAGTAGAGACGGGGTTTCACCGTGTTAGTCAGGATGGTTTCGATCTGCTGACCTCGTGATCCGCCTGTCTCGGCCTTCCAAAGTGCTGGGATTACAGGCGTGAGCCACCGCGCCTGGCCAGTAAGTTTTTTTCTGAACAACTCTAAGTTATCCAATTTTAATAAGAAACCAAAAAACTTGGTGCAGAACCCAGGAAATCACATTTTAGCCTAGACAAAGGGGTTTATGATTAAAATGTCTGGAGAATTTCTTGTTTGACCAATAACCTTATTTTGAAGTTCATTCCAAAAGATGATTCCCAAGTTTTTTAAATTGCTGGAATCATTATTGGAGTAAACATATACTAGCTCAAGGTTATCTTTACAAATAGCAGTTATGGGAGTTTTTAATGTTCAAATGTGCAGATAAAACCAACCTCCATACTTTATAGTCACATCACAGGTAAAACTATATAGAGAATGAATTATTTAATACTTATTGAATCAGATTATTCCAGTTCATACACTATTCACTGTTTCAGCGAAATGAATAGAACTCTAGTTGCCCAAAAGAGTTATTCAGCTTCTAAAAGTGCTTGGCTTCCTCCCAGAAAGTAGTTTACATAGTGACACTTTATGAGTGATAAAGTGATATGAAGAGGTACTTACATACCTACAAGAGCATACATCTGCTAATAACTGGAATTGCCCTAAGAGCCAGCAGCAACTTCTTTTGAATCCCTTCAATAGTGGCAAATCATGTTTTTAGGGTAGAGGTGCTTTTGGTCTAATCAACTAAGAATTGTCCAGTGGTATTTTATCCATTTTAAAACTCACAGAAAATCTTCTGGTAACCAAAAGTAAATTTATTTTGTAGCAAAGTGTACTTGGTGACTTAATGTCATTATTAAAAATGAAAATTAAGAAACCGTAGATATTTTAGAATATAGAATGAATAATTGTTTGTGTTTAGATTTCCAAAGCATGATACAATATTTTAAATTGAGGCCCAAAAATAAAAAAATAAAAAATGAATATTTACCTGTATTTTGTATAATAGTGAGTTTTAATATCTTTTGAACATGTAACTATAATCAGCCACATTTAATATATAATTTAACTAAAGACAATTATGAAGAATACATATTCATGTTTAAATTTAACTCCTTTTTACTTTTTTGATTGGTTTACTAGAAATTATATCTTTTCTCTTCTGCACAATTATGCTGTACCTACTAACTCCTACTACTGAGATCTTGATTTTTCCATTACCAGCATTAATTTAAAGATCCTTTTAACTATTTCTCTCAACTGGCTCTTGTTTTTCTATATTTAGGCATGTATAGCTATACCCTATATATAGTTACAGTTTTCACTTGACTCACTACCCTGAATGCTATTGCCCTAGTCTCCTTTGGGAATATAGATGGATAGGCAATAGATAAATCATTCTGAGTCTTGTATGCTATATTAAATATTTTAGTCATTATTCTTAGAATAATTAAAGCACTTAAATTAAGAAAGAGGAGGTGTTGAGAGTGGAAGAAGTTTTATGATGAGTCTTGAATTTTGAACAAATCTTCCTATAGTATAGAGAATGAATTTGGTGGCAGGAATAGTGGTTTGAGAAATATTTATAAACTAAAAGTGACAGGAGTTAGTGATGGATTAAGGTGACTCAGGTTTCTGGCTCAGGAAACTGCATAGGTGTATCTGTTTCTGAAATGGGTACTCTAAGTATTTTGGAGGAAGGCTTCTGGAACATGTCATGAGTTAGAAGCACTTTGGAGACAGCTAGGTGGAGCTGCCAAGCAGGTAGCTGAGTTTATGGGCCTGAGACTAAAAGATAAAGCCTGGGATTGAAACAAACATTTGGGATTTATTTGGGATTAGTTAATCAATTAAACTATAGACATGGATAAGATTGCATGGGAAGATATTATAAAATGTGAGAATAAGGCCTAAGACCAAGCTTGGAATAATTATACAGTGAAGGGCAATATGGGAGAAAAAGTCTGTAACAGAAACTTATAAATAGCCAAACAGGAAAATAAAACTGTATTGTAAATCAAGCCTAGGGAAAATAATTTTCTAAAGATAAAGTGGTCAACAGTGCCAAATCTGGCTGAGAGTTGAAGTAAAGTAAAAAATGTTCATCGAATTTAGGAACATGGAGGTCCCTGTGGATCTCAGCCATAATTATTTTGGTAGAGAAATAGAATCTTTCTGAACATCCACTTTTTCTTTAATTCCTGTAGATGCGCTTAAATCACTATACAAAAATTATATTCATATGGGTCAACAATGACCTACTGTTGCTATCTTTAGTCTTCTTTCTCCTTGAACTCTGTTGATGATGTTGATTACCCTTCCTTCCTTGGTTATTATTTCTCTTTAGTGCCATAGCTCACTTCCTACTCTTCCTCCCTGGGTTCTTTTCTGGTTCCCACCTAGTGTTTGCTTCTCTATTTGGTTCTCTCTTCCACTTGTCTCTTTTTCAATTTTGCTTTGTATTTGTGACGATACCTTTCAGACCAGAAAACTGCTTATAGTAATACTGTCACTGCAGGAGGGGCACGCGTAAGTGGCAGGGCAGCCAATTTGATAATGTTCTGTGAAACATTCTGGAAGTTCTTATTTTACCCTGCAGGAAACAATTTTTTTATTGTATTTCTCATTAGTAAATAATTTACAGAAGAAACTGTAGAATGTCAGTTGTTCTTATAAAAATATTAACACCAGAGTCCAACTTTGAAAAGGCCCAGAGCATTCCAACAGACCAAGATAATCTACAAATTAGAACCACTGATTTGGGAAAAACTTTCCTTCAGATTTTCAATCATATGATGATAACAGCAAAGTTCAAAAGGAGATGTAATTTTGTAAATTCAAGGGAATATGAACACAGTGATATTGAGCTCCTAATCTATGGCAGATATTGTGCCAGCTATTCCATGTGTTTTCCAATGTAATCTTCACAAATCCTTTTTTAGGTAAATTTTATTATCCCTATTTTGTTTCAAGTCAGGAAATTGAAACTGTTTAATCACTTTAACTGGAGATATAAAGCTAATAAATGATAGAAACCGGATTCAAATTTAGGTTACTAAGCTTCTAATTACATGCTTTTCTCACTCTTATAACTAGTAGCATTTTTCAAAGTTGCACAATATCCCCGAAGAAAAGTTGTCATCACATTCAGATTTTGATACTTTATTCAAGAATTACATTATTTAAAATTTCCATGGATTGCAATTTTAAGTAACTTGATTTTGTCATATTTGGTAACCTGGTATCTGTGTATACTTTGAAATGAAAATTTATGACTTCCTTTTGAGAACACAACTAACCATGGGGTTCACTGAGCTTCAAATACAATAAAGTCATGCATTACACTGTAGATCTGAAATCACAATGCAAATTATCTTTTCTACCCACCAAATTCTAATCATCACTTTTTAACTTTTCAATTTCATTAATGACAGACCCTCTAAAGACAAACCCTCCTGTTGAGTCGTTAGAGTAGTTTGTGCATATATAGTAATTAATAATATGGCCCTTTAAAATACAGCACATAAAAGAAAGGCTCATGATGTTAAGTTTTTTATTTCAGGATGCTTTTGTTAAATCCAGATTCTGTACAAAAGGGAATCATTATTATTATGTCAAAGATTATTCTCAAAAAAAAAAAAAAAAAAAAAACAAGACAAATTCAGCTTACCTCCTTCACTAAGTTGGATGGGGAGGTACAAAACATGCCCAAACAGGTATGATTATTTTGGAGTTTTGAGTTCACTTAGATTGCCATATTGAGCTGATCCTCTTTGAATCTTCACACCAAGATTTTCAATTGTGATTATAAATGTGATTTTATGTTAAAAATTAAAACAAAAGAGACATAAACTTATATTGCTTTAGAAAAGACAGTAGGTGAAAATTAGGACTTTAAAAATTTTTCTCATAGGCTGTTGCCATTGTTTCAAAACTTTGATGACTCCTGAAGTAAAACATATTTTATATTTCCCATATTTGATAGAAAATAAGTGTTTCCTGAAACATACCAAATACTGAATTTAATATAGTTCATTTTTTTGGCCGGGTGAGGTGGCTCATGCCTGTAATCCCAGCATTTTGGGAGGCCAAGGTGGGTGGATCACCTGAGGTTAGGGGTTTGAGACTAGCCAGACTAACATAGTGAAACCCTGTCTCTACTAAAAATACAAAATTAGCTGGGTGTGGTGGTGAGCATTTGTAATCCCAGCTACTTGGGAGGCTGAGGCAGGAGAATCGCTTGAACCCAGGAGGCGGAGGCTGCAGTTAGCCAAGATTGTACCACTGCACTCCAGCCTGGGCAACAAGAGTGAAATTCTATCTCAAAAAGAAAGAAAAAAGAAAAAAAGAAAACAAATAAATAAAATATTCTTTTTTGTTTTAAAATTTAAAATGATAGGCTAAATACCGACTTCATAAACAATGCTTCCTATGTGAATGAAATCTATATTACATTCCTGATTCTAATACTGTTTTGATAGCAATAGGTCATTTAATTATTTCTTGTTTTGGAATTTCAAATAATTCATCATTTTTTGGTTACAGGCATAGATATCACTGAATGTTGTGTGATACATGCTGTTTCCTTAGTGATAAACATTATGTGTTTAAAATATACTGTAAATTATTAGGAAAGTGTTTAAAATATCCTTTGTTTTCATTTCTGCCATTTTAAAGTGAAACTAAATCTTTCAGGTTAAGGAATGGTTTTACATTTTAGGCCTACTACAATTTATGACTTCACCTCACTTCTTTGTTTTGCTTTCCTGTTCCTCAGTTACTTTAAGGAATGTGAATCTCAGTAAGTTACATTTATTTTGAAATAAAAATATAGTTCAAAACAAGTTCCGTTGCCAGTGGAATTTTTCTAAAGGTGTCTGTATTTTTTTAAGAAGCTGTGATTTATTTACACATTCCCTCTCTGTAAGCCACTCTGTTCTATCATAATAAAACCTACAAATAAAGGATCTGCTCTATGGAGCAATGTTGATGTAATATTAAGAGTACAAACACAGTAACTGTTTATCAAGAGAGTTTCCAAAGATTATTTCATCAAAGTAAAAATATAACACTTAATAGCTTTACTATTATGCACTTGAAACTTTGAAAATATTTATGAGAAATTACAATAATACACATTTTCTTTTATAACTAGTTAAGTATTGCTGTATTTATATCAGTCAGAAAAACTAATAATTTTTATTGTACATGATAATGAACTTGAAAAATAACCTGTCTTTTTACCTAAGCCTAAACATAATTATTTTTCAATTGAGTTGGCTTCTTAAATGATCCAGAATATTGTCATTTATCTGGAAGTTTGAATTTTATTTTCAGAATTTGGAGAGAAAATCATAGAGCCAATTTCTCTCTCAAGTGTAAGTCAAATAGACATAACAATATATATATGTATATATGTCTGCATTTAAGATATGAATAGTATAATATACTTTTTATTTTAACAAGAAAATTAATCTCTACTGTTTTTAATTTGGGGAATATGAAAAGTAATTTTTTCAGAGTTATTTATAAATACAATTTTCAGCTCAACAAGTTTAAATAATCATTTGTCTTTTTATGTCGATTAACACAACCAAGCTGATTTGGTTTTGCTGACTAAATTTATATCATTTTTCATGTAGCATTTGCACAAACATATTAGAAAAATCAAGGACTAGGTAGTGAGTAAAGGGACAAGTATATAAAATCTTCCATATTAACATAAACCATAGCAGAAATGTTAAAATATAAGTGAAATCTATTTTACAAAGTTTGTTTGGGGAGGTACAAAGTTTTAAATAGCCAAGATAAAATATCAACAAGGAGAAGCTGAGAACAAATATAACATTCAAAATCACCTGCATAAATATCTGGAATATAGTAAGTACTAAATAAAGTTTGTAAAACAATTGAAAGAATACACATTAATAATTAGAAAAAAAATTCATATGTATTTCGAATATAGAGTAAGTAGGTATCGTTTTAACATGTTTGCATTTTGAGAGTTTCAATGAAGGAGATTTACTTCATTTAATTTACTTAACTTTGGTTTAATTGATTTTACAGAGAATTCCTTATGGTGGCAATGATTCCCCAGGGTGCCAATTTTGAATCATGCTATGCTTAATTTTTAAAAAATCAACTAGCTTAGGCAAATGCATGAGTCTAGGAAGAAAAATATCTAAATATTTCCTTCAGAGTGGTATCTAAATGCTGTGACTTTTTATTGCTGATTTAAAACTAGGCACTTAAAAAACAGTTTTAGTATACTGCTGATAGCCTTTTTATCTCATAAAATCATTAAAGGTATAGTTTCAATTATTAATTAAGACAACACTGAGCACAGTTTATTGACATTGAAACATATTCTGACAGATTATACTGACTAAAACGTAATGTTTTCCAGTTTGGGTTGTGTTTAATAATGGGTTTCTTGTTTGTTTGTGTTGGTAGTCTTATCTACTTTCTTCATTTGACTCAGCCAAAAGCAATAATTCATCATATTGTGTGCAAAGAAACTTGGGTAAAACAATAGTGATAACAAATAAATATGTTTTATAGTTTAAAGAGTTTTCTTTAAAAACAAAAGGTATAGGGTCTTTCACAAACATTACTTAATTTGTCTCATATACACTGGTGAATTAGAGCTGGTGCCTCTTGGCCTAGAAAACATGATTGTTAAATTTTCAGGAAAGTTGCAAGCTGAGTTACTGAACACAACCATTGTTTTTATAAAAGCAAAGAAATTATAAATACTTATCATGAAATAAATTTTACTAAAAACAAAGATAATACTGAAAACTCACTAATTCTTAATTATTATCCTATATTTCACTAATATCTATGCTTTTGAAGTTTTTTACAATTATCAAATCTGTATGGTAGAAATAATATATAAAATAATATGATATGATAAAGTAAATTATATGAAATCAATCATTTTCCTTGAAACTCGCAGAATGCAAATATATTAAAACTATAACAACTTATTCTATATTAAAAAATAGAAATATTTTTTCTAATTACTAATGTGTATTCTTTCAATTGATCTACAAACTTTATTGAGTACCTACTATATTCCAGATATTTATACTAGGTGATGTTGAATATAACATTTGTTCTCAGCTTCTTCTTATTATTATTTTATCTTGGCTATTTAAAACTTTGTACCTCCCCAGCAAACTTTATAAAAGAGATTTCACTTGTACTTTCTACTTTTCTACTATGGTTTATCTTAATAAAATGGATTTTATTTGTATCATATATAATATAAAGATGTGCAACCATGCATCTCTGCCCAGCTGGTGTTGGCAGCTTGAAATTGGCCATGGTGAGAGGATTTACCACAAATGTCAGAAAATACTACAAATCAGAGAGTTGTAGGCATTTACTGGCATAACATAGATCTCACAGTCCACTCAAAGATATAGAATATTTTATAGAAGTGGAAATTTAAGCTCAGAGAAATTAATTGAATTGTCCTATGCTACTTATCTTATAAGGGTTACAATCAACATGTTCCCCTGACTCTATGCCAATATTTTTTTCTGTGACACTTTTTGGCTAGAAATACCAACAACATCACAAAGGCCAACTTTACTGAGGCATTCCTGAGTGTCAGGTTCTCTGATAAATACTTAAGGTACCTTATCTTGTCACAGAATAACTGTAACCTTTATCGTCATTTTACATACGAATGAAATATGTTGTTAAGAATTTACTTTCTTTTTCCAGAGTCAGGATTTGAACTCAGACCTCTCTGAGTCTGAAGCCAAAACTCTACTCATACTACTCACACAAATAACTTTCAAAGGGTTATTTAAAATTTAAAAAAGTAGGTGGAGAAATAACACACACACATAAATTTTCTAATATTAGCATCAGGCTTGGGAGTCTACTTTTATTTTGATTTCAATTCTTACCTATGTTTAAATACTATAAAGTTCTTGTAAATTATTTTATCCCCTTTGCTGCTTTTGAATGTCACTAAAAAATGGCTTCCCCTCAACCTGCACTCTGTAACTGCAAAGGCAAGTATTTTCTGACTTTAAGAAACGCTTTGAAGAAGAGGAAGCCAAATTATAATACGACTTCGGTCATTTTGATAAAGAGACTTGAGTCCTGTTTCAGGAAGCATTTACAGGAAGCAAAATATTATTTAAATAAAAAATACTATTTGTTTTAAAACTAACTTTTCTAAGCTACTTAAAGTACCATTAAATATCAAATCTAAATAATGAGAGACTAAAATGTGAAATGATTGATGTTACTAAAGGTTATTATTAAAGAAGTAAAATTCTTAACAAATTGTCAAGATTTTGGTAAAAGAGGGAACTAAGAGTGATAAAATGCAATGAAGAAAGGAGTACTAAATATCATAAACTACATATGGATGAGGAGGAAGAAAAAGGGAAATCAAAGAAAAAGAAACTCAGTCTGGTAATGGCAAACAAGTAAAGATATGTCTTTCGAGTTTCCAAAATGGCTACTACCCAATGAACATGTTGCCATTTCAGATTAACATGTTATTTTTTAAATTACATATAAGTTCATATACAGATGAACAATAGTCACATATTTTGTGAAAACAGATATTTCTTCTTCTGCTGTTACCACATTCCTTGGGTATTTTATTCTACTCTAATACTGAGTTGCATCAGCAATAACATTTTTATTTAAAGATAACTTAATACCAGAATTAACAATTTTTCACCTAATGACAGCCAGTATTTGAAAGCAATAGAATAATTATATTATGGGAACTATGTTTTGCTTATTGAATATCTCTGATATTACTAACTCCATGTTATTTTTTTCAGTTGAACTTCCAATAGTGGAATTCATTTTATTCCAATAATCAAATAATCATTTTATTATTAGGTGTCAGAAAGTATTTTTTAATCTGCTTTTTTTCATCAGAACTGACAGGATAAACCTTAAAAATGAACTGAAAAATATCTATGAATATTTCACTTTAGCCAAAGCTATACTAAAAATTGTATCTGCAAAGATATAAAATCCTTAAAACATTCAAAAACATAAGTATTGGTATTAAGAGAGAAACAAGCTGTCCTTTTATAGCGTGTACTGCAATTTTGTCATAAAAATGAATAGTATTGAAACTTCAAGCTTATAAAAAGATAGCTAATAAATTTTTATTCTTTTCATAGGTTGAAAATCTATTGTTCAGATACCACAATGATAATAATGAAAGAACTACATGCTTACCCAGGCTTCATGCATTAAACCGATTTATTTGTTTGTTTTTCAGATTGTACAAATTCAGGCAGAGTAATTAAGGACTCAAATATTTCAACTTGAAGTATTATTAAGAGGGTGGCCTTCAAGTAAAACTTAAATTACGATTATTTTTAACCAATTTTTGGTATATATTATGTGCATTTTAGCTTAGAATATTGACTCTAAAAACGGAGGAGATAATACATTCAGAAATAGAAAAATTTATTTGATTGGAAAGCTGATTTTATTAACATTTTCAAAGTTATAATTTTGTTTTAAAAACTTTTCCCTAAAAACATTTTTAAAATGTCAATATTGTGATAAAATAATTCTTAATATATATTATCTTCTCATTAGATTTTAAATTTATGTATCTTTTGGTGTACAAAACTTTTTTTTGTAAAATTGAATATCTGTTATATTAAAAATAGTAAGCTGTAATGGAGATTCAAATAACACATTTTATTTTAACTATATAATCATTTCATTATGTTTTCTCTTACATTGTGGCTTTAAAAATTTTGATGATGGTAATTATTAGTGTAATTTAAAATATAGAAAATTAAAAAAATTTATTAAATAATTAAGATTAGATAATTAGGAATTTTAATTACTTTATAATATACTACTCAATTTTTCAGTATTTTGAATGCATTGAAAAAAATAAGATGCACCAATATCTACTAAGAAAATATGATGAGGGTTATCTTTCCAAACATGCATTATCAGACTGATTCTATACTTTCTCAAACATTTTAGAATTTTTCTCCATATAACATAGTTATTATTGTTAATAAAAATGAGTTATTATTAACTTATCAAAAGCTGATTCTATTGAAGCATATATTTCAATTTTAATTAGTACCTGAATAAAATAAAATTTGGACAAATACATAATTTTATATTCACAAGTTGGAACAAAAATATTTAGTCTTTAATGAATAAGGTAGATAAGCAGGAGAAAGAATTATATATAACAACATTCATCCAATATTTTAATTAAGCTGCTCTACGTACATAGAGTACTTTGGCCGAAAACATTCCTGAGAAGTCAATGTTAGAATTCTTTACTCATATTATCATTGTAGATATACTTCAAGATGATCACAACTGATAAACAAATACCGTGCTCTGTAAGGTGGAAAGGAAATTTGATCATGTAGAAATTATCCACCAAAGTCAGCTATTTTATGATAAATTTAGATGTTGTATGATTGCTTTAAATAACAATAGAAAAAATGATTCAAAATTTTGGAAGCAGAATGGGAGAGCAGGAGGAAAGGAAACATTCTCAAGTGCTTCATTTGGTTCAAGTGACAATGACATATCAAGTAAGCGTATTATTCATCAAACATTTTTTTTGTTATAAAAAGTTCATTTCATTAATAAGTTTTCATTTGTTGTTTCACTATTTCCTGAATGCAAAGGCATGGTTAAAAATCCAGAATAATATGTAGCTTTGATGAATTAACTTAGAACCAATTTGATGAACTTTTTTGCTATGCATTTGTTAGAAATGAAAAGACTATAGTACTTACAGAATACAATTGCTGGATTCTTAATTTTGCACAGTAAATCTTAAACAGATCTGTTTTTTTTTTGAATATTATTCTTAACCATAGAGCTCTTGTCAATTCTGTTTTTTTCTTAATAAAAAGTTGCTTTCAAAACACTAAACATTTTTTAAAAACTGAAAACCTTATTATGAATTTGTTAACTGCATTTTAAAGTGCAAGAAGATTTAGAGGTTATCTAATCCCATCCCTATTATTTTCCTTGAGAGACAACTGAGGCTAGAGGAATTAAATAATTTGTTCAAATTGCATAGCTACTTAAAGGCACTTAGAGGATTTTCATCTCAAGAAATTTAGAAAAAGAATGATACCCTGTAGTATCCATTTCCTTCAACTTTTCTAATTAGAATTACTCTGAACTGTGAAGCTACAAAAGCTCTAAGAAAACATTGATGTCTTCTTGAAGACAAACTAGTAAAGCTTTATGTATATAAATCTGTGTGTGTGTGTGTGTGTGTGTGTGTGTGTGTGTGCGCGCGCGTGCGCGCGCGCTCGCGCTGTGTCCTGTGTATTTCTGGGGATGAGTGGACATATCCAATTTATTTTCTCAGTCAACTTGTTTTACCTATAAGTATAAATAACAAATATTTCATGTTGTTGGCCTATTTTGCAGCTTAATGCCCTTTTTTATTAGGAATTTGCTTTTTATTCTTTCAGAAAATGCCTCATCTGAAAAACCACAAGAAATGAGATTAAAAAGCAGAAAGAAAGCATATATCCAGTAACTTTAATAATAAAGCACCAGAACTGTATACTTCAGCTATTCTGATGATTGTTTTGAAAAATGAAAAATTATCTCAGAGCAACGTGGTAAAACTTCACTGTATATTGTGATTCCCCTGTTGTAACCATGGCTGATGCCAACACATGTTCTGCATAAGTAGAGAAACAAAAATTGAACTCAAAATGCCCCAAGAGTATTGTCCTTCATAACACCCTGGTGTCCCGTGTGTGGCTGAATGAATAACAAATGACTGAGCTATTAAGATACTAAACAAAAGTCATCTAGGCCCATAATATTGATGTAATAGCATCTCAATACTGTATTTGCTTTCAATAGTTTGTGTAGAATAAATTTTTCTATCTAAAAAAGAAATCAAACTGAGCTTGGTGGTAATTGCTTCAGGAATTTTATAAAAAGGGAGTCCAGCTGTAAGTCTTTTTCGTAGTTACACATGTTTAGTATGACAGGTATATTAACAACTATGTGATTGTGCAACTTCCTACTTTATTTTTTACAAGGTCTAGTTCTAGATGTTGATGTTAGTCTTTATGAGTTTAGCTTCTTCATCATTAACTACCAAATTTACAACTAATATGGAATCCATCCAATAGTTGATATATAAAGCATTTATGGCTGTACACCCAGATCTCTTTCAGCACGATTAAAATCAGATTTTCAAGTTGCTTTGAGAGAGCTTGAATTAAGAACACTCAAGTTTACTATATAAGCGTATATAAGTGTATATTTTCTTTCTCCACAGAGTCGTGATCATGAGGGAGTTTATCATTGTCATTCCTAATGTCAACTCTGGTCCAGGTGATGTGTTTGTTGTACACATAAGTGTGTTATATGTGGGGTTGTGCCCACAGGGATATAGTAAAATGAACCATACTACTCTGTTTTCATCATATTTCATAAATATCCAAATTATAGAGACATAATAAAAGGTAAACAAAGATTCTCCCATTGCTCAACATTTATAATAGTTCATCTATGTTTCAACATAGTGGCCCTCGCTACCATGAATATTTTCTATAATATAGTATTTGAGATGCATTGATGTACTCAGATTCTAGAAGTCCCAAGAAAGCTGCATCAATTTACATAGTGCAGGCAGATGTGATGTGAGCACCACATTATATGCATGTAATTTTGTATATTTCCAATCCCTCTTTATGTTAGAAAAAGCATCCTAGTTTAATGTTATTGAATTATTACTTAGGCTCCAGATTCACTTTAGAAATATTTTTATAGAGAGAAAATATTTTTTCACTCAAATTAACACATATAAAATAGAAAGAATAAGGCACATAAAGGCCATGGGCTGCATTTTGCAGGGGATAGGTTCTGGTTGAATGAGATCTGGGATGTGTGCCAAATTAATAGAAAAAATCCTGTTCTTCCTCTCCAATAGCCACAATGTTCATTATTAAAAAAAAAGCATACGAACCACAGGATTTGATTTTAATAACACCAATGTCTTCATTAATCTGTACGTTCCATTTAGCCTCATTATTGAGCAAATGTTGAATTAATGCAGTATACATTATTGTTGGATTTTCCTTGCAAAACCTCTTTTCTCTCTTTTATCATTCATTCAGAGACCATCATGCGTATGTCATGTTTTTACACAGGCCTGAAGCCCTCAGAAATTGAACTCAAAATTCTTCCATCTAGTCTAGGAGAAGACTTTAGGTTTGAGAAATCTACAAAGGGGTGTGAGAAACAGAACTGCAGATTCCCATTCAAAACCATAACTATTTTTCTGTCTTTTTAATGCTGTCATGTCAAGACACCTGCAACTGAGATGATATTTCCTCGATGGTCTCTGGGCCTCCTTCTAAATCAAGAGTGGTGATAGCCAACACTGCTTTGTATCTGCGAAACAAATAGTGGCCTTTGTCCAGCACAAGTCCCTAAACAAACTTAATCTCTCTAACACTGTGACAGATGACATTTAGATGTCCTTGTTACCCTTAAAATGAGTTTTATTGACAATCAGAGAACAAAAAGAAGGCCCAGATAAAGCCCAATGTTTTATAGGCTTGCTAACAACATCTTAGTCCAGAGGGTGAGGAGAAAGCCTGAAGTTGCCCCCATTTTCCCCTGCTTTGCTATATCACCATGACAACAGATATAGAAATCACTTAGTGACTCCTAGAAAGAAAACACAGTGACACAGTACCCCTTGTATGGCGAATCAAACTAAAGCCTTCATTCAAATGGCTATTCAGCTTGGGCATTCATGTAGAGGATAGGGTGGATTTTACACAGGTAACTACAAGAGAAAGGCCAGCAAGCCCTCCAGCCACAGCATATGGCAAAGTCTCTGTCTAATTAATGCATCCTCAATAGAATTTATCCATTTTAAATTTGTTTTCTTTTACTTGAAACATCATTAATGTAAAGGGCAACATTAATCAACATCATGGAACTTAAAAGGGCATTAAAGAGTGATCTTTTTCCCTATGCAACAAGAATCTTTTCAAGTAGTTGTGTTAACTGCAGCAGATTCAAGGCACATTCTGAGTTTGTAATCAGAAGGCAAATCTAGAGAGGCCTCTACTGGCGAATCTGTCTCTGTGCAGTTGTCCTTGCGGAACTGCCCTGGAAAAACAAGCAGGAGAATGACTTTCGGCTTTTTTTTATTGGAAAGTTGCACACCAGATGGATGACCAATGAATATACTGTATAAAACATTGAATAATGGCATTCACACTTTTGAAGCTGTCATATCTAACTGCTTATTCTCAGGTAATAAAAGGACCCTCAAGCTCTGATGTATGAGCTGCTTGGACTCAAAGAGATGTTTTAAGATTATTCAACAAAGAAATAACAGGTAATCTTTTTTTTCTTTGTACATAACGCTCCCATTCAAGTTTAAGATTTAAAACTATTTTGATATGAAATTGTATTTCTTGACATTGTTTGTTGGGGAGGCACACTGTTCACACACATATCCATATATCTCCCACAACCAACTAAAAACTGAAATAAAATCTTTAGATGAAACTAAAGTGCCCATGAAATATTTTGATTAATCAAAAAGCGAAAGTTTACTGCTAAGATTTCCTAGGAAATGTGAACAAAATATAGTCCCCTCAAGTGATATTTAACCTGAAAATATCATTGCACTATATTTTCATGAAATTAGGCTGAAAATAGCTTCACTGCTTTGTGAAGTCACTTTTGGGGGAAAAAAAGTAAAGATTTAATTTTTCCACGAGAAGTTGAAAGTTATTTAATATTTCCTAGGATGAAGATACTTATGATGTCTCTATATAAGGAAGCTCAGGGACTTTTCTCTTTGAAAAAAGAAAACCTGACTCCATAAATGTCTTTGTTCAAGTGTGGAATATTATGGTAACACTACATGCAATCTTGAAACTTTTCAAAAGGCAAAACCCTAATCCTCTTGTTTTACAACATTTTTATATCCAATATTTTTGAAATCTGATCATACCGAAATACTATTCAAATTACATTTATTCTCTTATATCTTTCAAAAATTCCATGAGTTATTTTTTGCTGTAATATCTGATATCTCAGGGTCCCTTGCCAGCATATTGTTAGTAGGGTCATTTCACATTTCAAATGTGTATTTCAAATGTTTAGTTGAGATTTTGAGATAAATTTGACCAAGTAACTTTTCACAGGGTGGTTTGGTTAGCATGGCTCAGTAAATTACCTTTGGATCATACAGGTAATTCTTGATCTTAAAATTAAATTCTGTTAGATGGCTTGAGATCACTACCTTTTAGTCCCAGTAGTGACACCTACTGGTAAAAAGAGAACAAAAAATAGTTTTAGCTTTCTTTCTGCTGTTTTAGAGAATCTTAACCAGGGACTCTGTTGTTAATAAATGTACCTTATTTACGATTTGTTTTCAGGTCTTTAAAATACAACTCTACATTACCAAAAACTAATTAGTGAGGGGGAAAACCCAAACAGAATAATGCAGGTATTTAATAAGGAAAAAGAAAAAAAACTTACTAGCAGAGGAGTATAGTAAAACTTAACACCAAATAGTGTAGAGAATATGTAATTACAATCTTTTGAGTTTTTATATATTGTAGAAAATGAGAAGCCAAGCTTTAGCAATAGTTTTTCTGAAAATGCCACATTTCCCAGTTAGAACTGGAAGATGAAAAGGTCAAAATGCTGTAAAAAAATTACTTAACATTTTTTTGTTTCCACAAATGTTTATTAAATGTTCTATATTTAAGAAAGAGCAAAGTCAATCCAGGAAAAAAAGAAGAATATATGCTTGATAGCAACCCAATTGTCAATAATCTTTGAGGATTTATGCTAATTTAACCAGAAATGCTCTTTCAGAACACGGATTTATCACATGTCATAGAACATTGAAGTCACATTAGAATGTGGTTAATTTCTCCACTGAGCTAGAAGCACATGGTTTGCAGAACATTGGCTACAGTAAGAACATACTCTGCATCAGAGAGGGTTCAACATTAACAACGTCTGTAAAAACAGAATCACAGCTGTCAAGAAGAGGTATGATCTTTATTTCTCCTAGAAGCTTCAGTGAAGCTCCTCTTTAAATTACATTTGCTCTTAATTTATAATATTATGACACTACACATTCCAGTTTTTCATAAAGCACATGAAGTCTTATTTAATAAGAAACTGTTTTAGATAATTATCTGAAGACCCATATAAAACTTGTATAGTCTTTTTTTGACTGCTAAGTAATTCACTTGTTAAACTATAAAACACAGCATCAATAATTTTAGAATTTTACAGTCATATGAGATAAAAATGGCAGACTGGAAAGAAATACATTTCAACCCAGGTTTAATTGGAATGAGCCTTTTTATCAAAATGCTCCTAATATTTCTTTTAGGAAACTCTAGGTCTTTGTTAATATTTCAGCTTACAAAGAAAATACAGCTATCAGTATCCCAAAATATTGTTTTGCCTTGGGGATTGTGGTCAGGTATATAGTAAGGCAGAGAATCATTTAATCCATGATACACACTTGTGACTACTTTTGTGATATCACTGAAAGGAAATGTGTGAAAATGTCACAAATTACTCAGCAGACAGTTAGCTATATTGGTGTCTTTGAAACCATGTTTGGCTCTGCTGTGTGCTTTTGTTTGTACAACTTGAGCACATGCTTCAAAATGTCATCCAAATTACAAGCATGCAAGGAATGAAGTATTACTTCTCTATCAATTTCAGAAGCATACTACTTTTATTTCATTAAATAGCTTATCAGCCAATCACACTTGGTAAAATCATGAAATTCCTTTCTTACATTTTTTGCAGGAGATATTCTATGTTGTTATTTATGATCTAAAATAAATCTTCAAATTTGTTTATGATGGTAAATATGGGAAAACAAAGGACTTTTAAAAATCATGTAAATTACAACATAAAAATCTGAAAGCACAACATTTATACAAAATCATTTGGCCAACTTGCTGGCAATTAAGTTGGGATACAATGTGCTCAGGGTGAAAACAAGATCAGAAATTAAAACAAAGTAGCCAGAAAAAATTGGAAAAGTTTTGGTTTTGGTTTTGGTTTTGGTTTTCCTGAGTACCTGGACCTGCAATTCAGCTGATCATTAAACACAACCAGAAAGAAAGGCTCTATTTTGCCTTTAGAGAGTTCATCCAGAGACTGCACAAGGGATTTGTACAGAATAAAGCCTCACAAAACCCAAGGGCTGTCAGAGGGAAATGGTATCCAGGAGGACAGGGCAGGCCAAGCATCCTCTCAACAGCAAAGCCACACAAGAGAGCCAGAGGCAGCACTGCGACTGCCAACACAACTGCCTATTACGTCTGCCAAGGAGCCAGAAGCCGCTTGTGGGAAAATATCACTTACCCTTAGCATCTGGGTCCTGTGATTGTTATCCAAAGAGACAGAGTGGTAAGATATAGTGGGATAAACAGCATCCCATTAAACACACACGTACACACACGTACACACACACACACACACACACACACACACATACACGTTATCTTTCTGGGTAAAGAGAGAGATAAGCCATACATGGATTTGGATTAGACTTTCTGTAGTTGGAATTCTTTTAAATCAGATTTATTCTATATATTCATATTTAGTTACATATTCAGTTATATACTCATATTTCATAATGAGATTGGCTTTAGTAATTACTTCTCACTAATAGTTTTGGTCGGTAAAAAACAAGATTTTAGTTGTATTTGTGGCTATTTGATGTGCATAGTCCACTATGAAATTTTTATTTTCTTGGAGTAATTGGTTATAGCTGGCTGATAGGATTATTCAAAAATTAAATATTGATTATGAATAAACTAAAACAAGCTATGCTTTGATGTTAAACTTTTTTTCTTTTTCTTTTCTGGTGTTGTGTCACTATTTTTAAGAGGCCAACTTCCAAAATATATACTCATAAAATAACTGATAAATTCTTATTAAACATGTGCTATACTATAAGCATGTGATATATATATATCATTATATAATAGATATAACTATGACATATATAACGTTACTTATGTATAGTATATTATATATATTTCAGTTTGATAAAGTCCCTTCTAAAATATACACTTTCAATTTACATCTGAATGAATCTTCTTGAAGTTTCCAAATGTGGCAATCTGATTGTATATATTCACTCTGCACCAAAAAATGAGGATGAAGGGGAGGGAAAATCTAGAGAATTACAGATTGGAGACACCTTGTGGTTAATGTAAAGGTTTTAATTCATTCTTATGTAGAGAATTTGAAGATCATTATTACTGCAGAAAGTAATAGCCTTCTGTTTTTGAGTCTTCAGTAAAAGGGTAAGAAAAGTAGTTTTCATTTTAAATATTCTGCTCTGATACCAAGAACAGAAAGTAATGCAGTTTTAAGTGTCAACAGCAATATAATGTACCCAAAGAGAAATTGTTTTATATTTTATTTTATAATGTCAATTCTATTGTACAGTTTAATGGAGAGCATTTGGAATAACAATCCCATTTATGTACACAGTGGATTTATTATTAAAACTCATGCTTTGCAGGAATAAAATTAAAATTTCAGTGGCATTTAGTGAGTAAAAAAATGTGTATTTCAAGGTCATAAAATCTATTATATTGGTGCAAAAGTAATTGCACTTTTTGCCATTACTTTTAATTGCCAAAATCGCAATTACTTTTGCACCAACCTAATAGTTGCTTATTTGTGCATGTTATGTGAGATAAGGCATATGGAGCAGTATATGCCATAATATGCATAATAACATGCACTTGATTACTTATAAACATGTTTCGCATGTGCATAAAATATATTACACGGACGTTTAATTTTTTAATTTATATAAATAGCAAAGTAACTTAGGTATGTTTATCATCGAATGCCAACATGAATACAATGTTCAAAAGAGATAAAAATTTTGTGGAAGTGCAAAACCACATGGTAAACAATTGATATGTTTTTGTTTATTTTTCTTGTTTGTCATTACCACACACACAAAGAAATTTGATTCTAATTGATAACCTTTTGACGAATAGATTATTTTCTGATACCAAATAATTCTCAAATTGATTCAAATTTAGTTCCATTTTTACAGCATTTTTATGTAAACTAGATAATAATGATGAAAAGTGTTTCTTTTATATTGCTTCTCTATGTAATGGTGGAAGAGCCTGTGAATTCAATTCAATGAGGCTCAATTATGGGAATGAGGAAGAAGATAAGGGAATAAATAGATTCTAAACATTTTATTTCATTTAAAAATTTAAAATGCTCAATTGAAATGTGAAATATTTCTCCAATATTTATAAATACATAAATAACTTATGAATATGTGCAAAAAATCAATAAGAA
Source organism: Homo sapiens (assembly GCF_000001405.40). NCBI lineage: Eukaryota > Metazoa > Chordata > Mammalia > Primates > Hominidae > Homo > Homo sapiens. The sequence continues at coordinate 148,081,576 of NC_000003.12, forward strand.
TTTATGAAAAGTTTTTGGGCTATGTGTTGTTTCATTTCCCACAAGGGAAACTAACAGCCCCAGAAAGATGTGAATAAAATCAGAACTACTTTCTCTAGGCCATTTAAATGATTACACTCTAAAACTAGAACCTGAAATGCAAATGTTTAATTTTATGACCAAACTACTTTTACATATTTGTTGCATTTGTTATATCTTTTCCTTGAAGCTCTTGTTTATTTCCTTATCTAGTTGCCTTTTTCCCATTTCATTTCTAATCCCGAAGGTTTGCAGTTTCAATTTTCATTATTTTATTATATTTATACCATGCCTTTAATCTTTAATAGTTTTTTTTTAAGTTTAGTTGGTTTATTAACCCACAAGTTTAATTAGGTATTCTGTAACACCACAAAATGTAGGCCTAGGATATACTATTATATACAAAAGCATTTCATGTAAGTCAGTGTATTAAGACTGTTAAATTTCAACTTATTATAATTACACATGGCAGAACCATTTAACCCTTTATGATCTTTACATATTAAATTGTGAAAAAAGAAACCGTACTCATTTATTAAAGCCAACAAGGTTTACAGCCTTAACTAAATGTTACATAGTCATGAGTCCCAGAGATTTATTTTTTCCATAAGATAGCAACTGAAGTTACAGAGGACAAGTTATCCTCTCATTCTCTGTGTTAATCCTGTGTTCTTTACAACTGTCCAAATTGTATAAGAATTTGCTTATAATGATGTTATATGATGTCCTTGTGATACCTGCATTTCTGGAGAACTTAATATTGATTTACTGTGTCTTTTGCCCATCTTTGAGCAGCCTAGATAGCAATTACAGCTGTTGGTGGTATCTATTTTGTCTTTTCATAATTGTCATTTCATGTTCTACTTAAGATTAAAATATGAAAATTGTACCACGTGCACATCAACAGTGCATTAACCAAGTTATCAGCGATATCTGTGAAACACTATGATTTAACCATGGTTCTTTACATTGCTCCTTCATTTTATTTACGAAAATTGCATGCTACAATATAAACTTGAACAAGAAATACATTCAAAGGTGAGCCTCCCTGACATCAAGTCCTCATCAGGATCATTACTATCTTCCTAAGAAATCCATGGGACTTTCCCAGTACCTGCTTGCCTCTGCCAAATGCTTTCTCCCCTTCAGACTGGGATTTCAGATAAGCAGGGGCTGCTTTGTTTTTCTTCAGCTCTTACTTTAAAAGAGCCTTCACAGTTTTTGAGCTTTCTCTACTATTCTAATTTCAATCCACATTTCACATAGAATATGGAATTTTATACAAGGAAAATCGTGTTTAAAAGTTATACAGCAGATTTGAAATTTCTTATTTATTACAAATAGGTCTACCAGGTATAGATTTCTTCAAAGCACTGTTAAGAGCTGTACCAAAATTGAAAACTGTCTTATTTGAAGACGAAATACACTTAATGTGGGGCACAGAGACAGAAGGAGATGACATTGCCTGGGCTCCTCTCATTAGGAAGTGTATCACACAGAAGCTGTAAAATAATTTTAAAATTTTAAGAGGAGAAATTATTTTGCAACTAATTTGGAATTTTTTTTCCTGGTCAATTTATATAAAACATGCAGTTGAAATCACTAAAACACATTATGATTCTATCTTGACTTAACAAGTTTGAACTGCTCAAGAAAGATTTTTTTGTGTTGCACAGTGAAAATAAATATTAAATATCAAGATGAAACTGAATATTTGAATACCCTCCCAAGCACATTCCCCCATACACACACACACACACACACACACACACACACACACACACACACAAATACACATATACTTTCCTACCAGCAGACTAAATCCAGCTAGTTCCTGAAAGGCGTTTATTTTGAGAATCACTATTGTTTTATTTTACTACATTTGTTTGGAGACTTTTTAAAAATGACTATATGCAAAGAAATAGCAACTGCATCTGCAATCTCTAGCAGCAGCCCTTCCTTACGAGACTGTGTAGGGCATTTGTGGGTGTTGTTATTGTTGTTGTTGCAATCTAGCTAATAAAGGCTTTCTCTTACACAAGAGAATTTTGACAGGGTTGACTCCAGACAGCTTTCCAGCTGAGGTCTGGGGCCTTGCTGAACTTTCAAAATTTTCCCATTTGAGCTGCATCAAAGTGAAGGAAATTCAAGGATCACTAACGTCTCAGATGGTAGCACTTGCCCTAACAACGAAGGTTCAGGAATTCTTTGGAGCAGGCTGAGGTCATTTTTCTCCCCTTTTCTCCTAATGCTTTTCTCTATTAATCAGAGCTCAGAGCTCAGATTGGTCTTCAACTTCCTCCCAATCCTTGCTAAGCCTGTCATTTCTAGCTATTATTTACTTTAATGGACTTTGGCTGATCCCTTATGAAGCTTTGGATCTGAGAATAATAAGGCTGGAGAGCAACGGGCATAGACATGGGTGTGGGTTTGCCTGCAGATTAACCGTGGCAGATGGGCTTTATTGCGGTTTCCTGTGTACTGAGCGTTGATTGAGAGGGTATAATGAGAGAGGTGGTGTCTACACAATGGTCACAGCCACTTCATTGCACTTTGCGTCTAAACAACCCCATTTTTCTAAATCTTTGGGTTGTGAAATTTTAGGAAGTCAGAGCACAAGAACAAGTACAAAAACAACTGTAAATAACCATGAATGTTAATCCAACACTAATTGGTCCCTTCTTTCAGTATGAGTCCATTTTGCTCAGTTTTTAAAATTCTGGGTAAATTAATGGCAAAGATAGTTAAAATGTTCTTGCATTAGGTGGTTTTGGATGAAATAGTGAGCAACATGCATTTTCTGTGTATGTGTTTTTTGAGTTTTTGGTTTGTTTGTTTAGTTAAATATATGCTATATTTGATTATTGCCACAGACAACAAATGCTTAAGCTGTAATTATTTCTATGCTTTGGGAGTTATGTTGGAGATACATTTTGAGGTAAATTATCAACTAGAGAATATTTTTAAAAATAACATCAGGGCAATTGTTTTCTTTCTGGCTTAGTAAAGAAAAATGTACTTTTCTTTATTTCTTGCATTTGATGCAAGTTTCTGCTCAGTTGCAACTCGCTATGCAATTAAAACATTTTTGTCACGGGTGCTATCTAAAGTTATTTTACATATTCTTAATTTTTAAGATTTTACTTAATTCCTCCTTTTCATCAATGGATTAAATCACAACTATTGATTCTTTTCTTCTTTTGGGGCTTTACCCATCTGTCTTAATGCTTTCATCCTACACCCCTTGGTCTCAGAGGGGTGTTCTGAAAGTGAACCGCCAAAACCTGGAGAAGACTCTAGGTCAAGTTTGTGTACAAGAGTTTAAATTTTTAGTGACAGTCCTCTCTCACGGCCGCCTGAAAGTTTCCACACAGAACTGCACAAGCGAGCACCACCAATTATCCTCCTCCTTTGAAAACCATTATCAAGTTTTTCAAAACTTCTTTCATTTCACTGTTGTCAGTCAGTGAAAAGGAAACTAACCACCATGTCAAGACAACTCAGCTGCCTAGCAACGCAGGGCCACATTTTAATTCTGACTTGCTTCTGGTCTTGACTAATAGAAAGTGACTATGTTAAGCCAGTCACAAGAGTTGTTTGTCACTTCTGAAATGCAAACAAAACTATATTGTTTTCCAAAGTATTGGGTGTGATTGATGTAAAGATTTACAGTAACATCATTCATTTTCTCTTGTGTTTTAGTAGGATTGATGTCATATCTTTTCATGCTTTATTAAATACTTTAAAAGAGCTCAAAAAACATGACGCTTTTTGTCCTTTAAAGAGTCTAAAGAGGGGTTTTTCTTTCCAGTGAACTAGGCTCTAACAACTTGTGAAATTTAATGAATCTATTCAACTAGTGTCAGTCACATCAATAAATAATTTAATAAGAAACCACCATCCGTGAAGGAGAATGCAATTTAAACAATCAGAGAGAAACAGACCAGACCAAGGTCAACATTATGGGGTGGGGGGAGGAAAAATTGAGCTTTTAAGTCATGAGTCTTAGAGTTTGGTTTATCAGATTTTCCCACAGCCCTGTATTCTTGCTTTTGGTAATAAAAGCTGCAAGTTTCTACTAGTGCAATTCCAATGTTAAATCTTTTCAGGCATAATGTGGAGATATATATAGCAAAAGCACAGTTTTTACATCCCCTAAATTCATATAAAATGGTTATTCAAATTGAGAAATTGTATCTGCGCTTGAATGTACTTCTGCTCCAGTTGACTGGGAGCCAATTAATAACGTGTAAGGTATCCACTATTTTAAATATTCCCTAAAATTGCTGATATGTCTAGTATTTTATATAAAAATATAGTGAAACTTCATTTAGTAGGAATGTGCCAATTTATATGATTTATATATATGTAAATGAGAAAACGGTAATGTTCTCCTCCAAAAGAATGTAAGATCTGAGTAGTAAAGAGAAATTACAAGCATTAATTATAATTTTCTTGTGATACAATATTCTAAGCAGTAACTCAATAATCATTTAACAAAATGTTTATTAAAAATTATAGCTTAAAAAGGTCAGAATGATAATAAAAATAAGCTGGGTGTCACCATCACGGAAAGGCAGTAGAAAGTTTTTTCTTTCAATTCTGAAAATAATTCAGAATTAAGAGATTGTCTGTTTTCTTAAAACATTACTCATATTCTAAATTGGGATCTAATGATTAAGTAGGACAGAAAAGAGATAGTTTAAAACTTGTTAAAACATAATAAATATATGTTTTAAGATGAATAACAAGCATTGCATATGAAGAAGAATGATTGATGTTAAGGAAAAGAGATTATTTTATCTTGAAATGAATAGAAATCTTAAAGAGCTTTAAAAGACTTAATTCATTAGCTATATTTTGTCTAATTAGCCTATATCAACACTGAATATAAACTCAAAGAATATGATTTTTATTCAAAACAGAAGTGGTTTAGGTTCCATTTAAGATTTTTTTTGAAATTATTACATTCTGGTAGCACTGTGATGTATTGAAATATGTCTAGCTTTGGATGTCAAATCTGGGATTGGGACCCATTTGCCCTGTCAAACAAGGGCAAATTATTACCATCCTGGAGCGTCACTTTTTTCACCTATGAATGAGGATAAGAACATGTTCTTCATGGGCTATTGGGGTGATGAGAATATCTGGCTCATCAAAGGACTCAATATAAGTATAGGTAGTAATAGGAATGGTAGAACATGTTGCTTAAACACTCACATTCACAAACTAAGCTGCCTTGGTACTAGCTGTGTGACCTTGAGCAAATGGCTTCCACTTTTTGGATCATCAGTAACTTCATCTGTAAAATGAGGCCAATAATAGTACCTATATCTTAAGGTAAGTGTAGATGTTAACCAATTTATGCCAAAATATTGCATATAAAGAAATTTAAAAGCACTTACTCATAATTGCAGGTGATCAAATAACCAATGCTAGTGTTCATATTATAATTATGCTTGTGTTAATGTTATTTTTCTCAGATGTTAAAAATAAATAATTTAGCTCCTCCCATTTTTTTTTAATGATAAACCAAAATTAAAGGCTTTGTTTCCAGATTGGTAAGTAGACTTAACTACCAAAGTCCATTCCATAACAGAAGAAATGGAAAGATATAAGTAAGCTTTTAAAATATGGATTATTTTATCTGAATTAGTTTTTAACCAGATATTGTCTTGAAATATAATGGAGCATTACTGTAGCATGTCTTGGCAAAACTTAAGATTTTCCAGCTCTACATCAAAGGTGCTTTGTCAACTAAGTCTAATTATTTTATAAAGTCAATTATTATGTGGTACCAGTAATTATTATGTGGTACCAAGAGACAATAGTAGGCACAAAATCTGAAAGCTTGAAGCCCAGTCTTAGTTTTCTCAGAATTTCCAGTAGAAGCACATATTTATGAGCTGAAAGCAGCCTATGGACATGTTTTGTTTGTGCTACACAGAGTTTTAAATTATGATTATTGAATTGACAACTTCTGAACTTTAGATTTTCCATTAAAATCCAGATTCCTAGGTGCTCTTTAAAAATCAGAAAGATGGCAAGAGTGAAACTGCTGTAGCAGTGTTGGGTAGCGGCTGAGTTGCTGTGGGTTTTTTTTTTTTATGAGGTCTGAATTCTCTACTTCATCTTTGTCAACAGTGCTTTCTCCATGTACTGTGAAACACATCCATCTGGATCCACCTATTTAAGCTACATGCCTAGCCTCCAGAGTCATCCAGACTTTTAGCATAAGAACTCAAATGAGAAATCATGAAGAATGCATTAACTGAATCCAATATCACCTACAGGACCCTGGGCCCATTGCACTTTGTAATTGTATTACTTTTCTTCTGGTTATCTTCATAGGATCTTAGGTATACTCTCTCTGAAAAGTGTTAAAGACAACTTCTCCCTGGGCCTGAGAATAAATTATCTTTTTCCTATCGCTGTATATTTTTGTTTGTTTGTCTCGTTTTTTTGTTTTTTGTTTTTTCCTGGCTGGATAGGGAAGTGATCAAGCCACAAGTGAGGAGCTGCAGTGGCCCATGAACAATACATAGGTCCATCTCCTGGAACTTGTGACCACTCGCCCAGGATCGCACTCATGGCCACAACAAAGATGATGGCTTTTCTGTTTCTCCGGCTGCACCACATCAGACACCTGTGGCAAATATTGAGGCAACACTATGTGAAGTCTGACTAGTGACTCTTAGAGACTCCAACTAATGGCTTCTCTGGGAGGGATAAAATAGGGCACATGAAATTATCTTGTTGAGAATACATAGGTATGTTTATAGACTCACATATATTTCATTTATAAATATAAAATTATTTTAGACTGAGTTACAATTTTTATGGTAAAAATAAGTAGAATAATAGCATTTAAATAATACTTTTAAACTTTTTCATATTCTTTCCTAAATACCTTGATTAACATTTATTTGGTAACATTATTTGTCCCATTCTTTAAAAAGAAGGAAAATAGGCTATGAGAAAGTAAGTACATTCAAGTTCCAATTATTCTTAATATGTTGTATCATAGTATGTCATTTGCATCAAAGTCAGTTACACAGCAAACTAACCAACTGCACAAACAAAAATAATAATATGAAAGTAGAAATTTACATTTGAAACTCTTAACTACCATCGGTACCAAATATACTTTTGGTTATCTTGTCAAATTATAGGGATGAGTGGCTGAGACCATGCAGGTATGTTCGGTAGGGTTGAATGGAGTGTTAGAGTGTTGCTATTGGCCTTGAAATAGATTGATTTTTTTTTCTTTTTTTTGCCTTCTACCTGGGATCATGGTCTCTGCCTTACTTGCACAGGGTCCTCATTATCAAAGCAGATTATCTGGCTCATATTACACAATATGTTAAATAGCTTACTTCTTTAAATATACACACTTTCACCATATTCAAATGTGAATACTCAGAGCTTAAAAACACTCATGAGATTTTATTAAAAACAATTTCAATTAAAAATAAAATTGTGTTTTAACCTTTATGTGTTTCCCAGGTCTTTTTTAAAAAATAAGTATTCTTATTTAACAGTATATAATACTATTAACCAATAAGTTTAAAGTAAGTATCTGTTTAAGGAAATTTCTTCATAAGAAAATATACTAAATTTTCATATGATGCCTAGCTGCACTTTTTTTTTTTTTTTTTTTTAGTGCTGTGTTCATTTCCTGTCACAAGATGTTAACCTCAAAGAAACATTTGGTATCACTGAAATGGCTTTAAACATCACTTTTCAAGCCACAGAAATTGTTTTTGTGATAGTATGCCTGTTGAATACCATTGCCAGAATATTTAATCACACTTGTCATGACAGATGCAAACACAGGAAAATAGTCTTGATATAAGAAAAAGATTTCTAAAGATTTCAATATCCACTCAATAGGTTAGCTTTTAAAGCTTATATCTACATCTAGATATAGAATCCCTATTCCCAAATTTAATCTAGACATTCTTTAAAATGAAACATAAAGGAGTCTGTCTAATTTCTCATTTGGAAAGAAAAATGTGAAATAAAAGACATGAAAATTATTTGTGAGTGGGATGATGATTCCGGATGGAGGCTTTTGTGCATAAATAGTTATAACCATTCATAGACTCTAGATTTGGAAGACATTTGGAAATCATGTAGTGCAACTTCACAAACAGTGGGGAGACAGCCCTCTAAGTCATCCCCCACCCCAGTGGGTTGCTCTTTCTGGCTCCTTCCAATAAGGGGAAGCTCTCTCTCTCTCTCTTTTTTTTTTTTTGGAATTATGTTTCCTTGAACTGCTTCAGATGGATTTTTGGGTGAGCCAAAGTTTCCTTTCTCTGGCTTCCTAAGTCTCTCTTTACAGCTATATGGCTTCAATACAAGGAAGGTGGAACAAAAAAATTTTCAGAGCCATCGGTCATGCCACCATTACGAAAATCTAATGTGATGTTTCACCAACAGCACACATTCAATAGTTACAAATGAATATTAATACATAAAGTTAAGATTGTTCTGCATCTAGGGCTTATTTGTTTAAAGGTAATTGTAATAATGTCATTTTCCTCCTTCACCTTGCCTAAAGAGTCCTGTTAATGGAAGGACAGGATAACAATCCCTAAGAATGTCAAATCCCTATTCAATCACTATTCTGCTTCTTCTTCCCTTTGCTTCAAAATCTAACCATATCTCCTTATGCTCACCAACAGATGGGGCCAAATTAGGGTTTTTTTGGGAGGTGGTGGTGAGTGCATACATACGTTTGAATCATTCACAGTGGTGAAAGGGAGAAGGAAACTCAAAGCTTCAAGCTCATTTTATCCTTTAAAATGACATTGAGGCCACCAGAGTTGGCTGAGCCCTGTGCAGCCCCAGTCAGGACCTGCTGAAGGTAGCTGTGCTTCTGTTTTCTGTCGTTTATAAAAAATTATCTTCTTGTCAAGATATCCTCAGGTCATTATTTAGTTTAATGAACATTTCAGAATGCCTAGTAGATGTTAGGCATTTCATCAAGTACTGGGAATAAAAAGTGAATGAGACATAAACCTCAACCTGAAGTTGTTCACAACCCATTGAAAAAGAAGAACATATAAACAAATACTTTTGATTTAAAAAAAAGACCTTAAATAGAGATTAGCACACGAGGTTATCTACAGGAACAGCACATGACTATCACAGATGGGGTTAAATGAGGGGTTCACAGGGTAGTTGATAATTTAGTACAGCAACTTGAGTGTAGTCCAAGGACATTAGGAGGAAACACATCTGTAAAGGTCTGATGGTATTTAAGAATAGAATGCATGCTGGAGGAATAGCAAATGATCAGCATGGCTGAAGCAACATAGAGAATGCTGATAGAAATTTGATTAGGTTGAAAAGGTTTATTTTAAGGTTATTAACATAAAGTAATAGTTTCCATTAGCAACAAGTTATTTTAGTCAGACTATAAATATACATTTTTTAAAAAATAGGTTGAGTTAAACAAAAGAGCTTGTTGAATGTTTTTTCTAGGAGTATACTTTGCCCAAGAAAATGTTTATTTACATGTGAAAGAGGATAATGCTAGAGGATCAGCTAATTGGTAACACATATATTACATACAAATTTTAGCTAAATAGATGAATTTTGTGATGTTTTTAATAGTAATAAAAAATTCCATCCTGTTTACCATAAATAGAGGGTTAGTAAAATGAATTTTTAATTATTCATACAATGGAATACTATGGATTCAGTAAAATAAGGATCTGGAAAAACATTGGATTCTATAGAACTGATAGTCATTACATAGACTGTTGGAAGAATAAAAGTAATAAAAGCAGATTCCATAATAAACAGTTAGATCACAACATTTTTTTTGTTTTTTTGTTTTTTTTTTTGAGATAGAGTCTCGCTCTGTCGCCCAGGCTGGAGTGTAATGGTCCAACCTCAGCTCGCCGCAACCTCTTCCTCCCCTCCCAGGTTCAAGAAATTCTCCTGCCTCAGCCTCCCGAGTAGCTGGGATTACAGGTGCACACCACCACACCCAGCTCATTTTTGTATTTTTAGTAGAGACAAGGTTTTACCATGTTGGCCAGGCTGGTCTCAAACTCCTGACCTCAGGTGATCCGCCTGCCTCGGCCTCCCAAAGTGCTGGGATTACAGGTGTGAGCCACCGTGCCCAGCTGGATCTCAATTTTTAAAAAATATACATTTATTTATATCAAAAATACCTTAAAATATGTATTAAAAGTATATTGGTGGTGGTCATCTCAGGGTAGTAGGATTGGGGATGATCTGAACTTTCTTATCTTTAGAGTATCTGTTTAATTTTTTTCTACAATAAATATAAAGTTTTTTAATATAAGAAAAAAATAATGGTTAACACTCAAGGGATAAAATAAACTCTCTAGTTGTAATAAAGACCGTTTTCAAACAGTGATTCCCAGTTCAGTCTTCAAAATGTAGATAAAGCAGTAGAATAATGTCAAGGTGTTTCAATTAGTCTTTGGACCCAACACTCAATGTGGCTGTCCTTATGGTGGTCTGACTAGGTATTATTCGGTCCATGTAATACCATAAGGACAATTCTGTCCAGAAAGTAGCTTCTGTGGTTAGATAAATTTGGCCAACAAGAAAGCATTGGTTGAAGTCCTCTGTAATCTTCTAACACTTATTGCATGTGTATAGTTTTAGGTACAACTTATTGTTCAATTATTTACTTTGGTTTAATAATTATAAATGATAAAAACATATACTTTATGCATTTATCACTGTAGCAATTATCTCAATGGATTCTATCATCCATGCTTTACTTGGAAGACTTGCCAAACATTTTTCTGATTTATTTTACTTTATTTTGTTTAGATTGAAAATTTTACTATTTCCACTGAGCAAATAAACAACAAATAGTTGTTTTTTGTCATTTAAGAGAAAATTATCTTCTTGTCAAGATGTCCTCAGGTCATCAGATAAATTCGAATGTGTTTTATAGTGATTTTGAAATATTATAATCAAAATAGTCCCTCTTTTAAACAGATTTAAATATATATGTGTGTGTGTGTGTGTGTGTGTATATATATATATATATATATTTGATTTTTAAATGGAATCCTTGCATCTACTTCCATGACAATTTTTGAAAAATAAGAATTTTCAAATATGATTTATCATATTCCACACGTGTCTCAAAAATGAGCATCAGTACTTGATAGAGCAAGTACTATTAAAATGTTACTTCACTTCTGAGTGCTTTTTTGGACATTTATCAAAAGGGCAGTCATAAATCATCATTATATTCCTTTTTAAGCAAAAAGAAGAAGCAATACATACAGTTTGTACACCAGCAGTTTCATCCTCTCTTCATGTTGTGGCAGATTAATATCAGCTTAGCCCAAACATCCAAAGTTATGCTGTTGGCAATGTAGCCATCTGTTTTTAATGAATATCTGGGGTCCATTTTTCAGTTAAGCTTCTCTTATTGTGTGTGTATGTTGCATTTTCAGCGCTATCTGCATAATTGCTTAAAGATTTTACTGCAAAATTAATATCCTTGCTGTGAACAAGGCGAAAACCAGGATGACAGAGCCTGAGATGAGGTGAAAAGCAAATCCAATTTTTCCTTGCACCATAGAAACCTCGTCAGGACTAGCTTTATCTGGTAATCCACATTTAAACTTTAACCTGTAGGGGGGCTCTTTGTGTTAGATAATGTAAGCATAAAAGGAGGCTGAATCGCTAATCAGATTAATCATATTTTGTAAGACTCAAAAGCTTCATTAAAAGGAACTGGTATCCAAGTTACACATTGTTGTTGTTGTTGTTGTTGGCAGAATAAGAGTTTATCATTAAAAAAAAAAAAGAATGACATGAAAATGCTCAAATGTCTGCAACTTTTAGTGAACCTATAGCAAACAAGACTAAAAGACCAAATCAAATCCTAATTCATAAAATTACTTTACATCCCAACAGAGTCAACACATAGATTACTTCAGTTTCTTCATATTTTAATCTTAGAAGACAATATTTTATAGAGGTTGTGACAGCTATTATAATTTTTCTGTATTTTGAGGAGTAATCTTCCTTTAATATCTTTATAATATATATATTTATAAATTATATATTATATATGAATTATATATAAATGTAACACATAAATGTATAAAGATACCAGTTGATGATTTATTATTCTAAACCATTTCTCAAAAGCCATTTCTCTCATTTTGTAAGTTGGTTGCTTAAAGGAAGAAAATTTTTTGGAAATAGAGAACTTTCTCAAGAGTAACATGGAAAAGAATGATTTTGTAGGTCCAATATTTTATAAAATATGAATCAAAGAAATGCAGTAATAAATTTGTTGAAAACGAGGGAAAGAAAAAATATTATTTTTGCAAGCAAAGCAAAACTTAAAAAAAAAATATGTAGTTGATAGTCTATAGCATGACTAGGTAATTGTGGGGAAAATGCAACTGTGGGGAAAATGCAATTCTGTGTATAACTTTATGCACACCAAAATCTCCCTTTTGAAAACTCAGCCCTTATACTTTAAATCAACAAATAGTTTTCAGCATATGGTATGTTGACAAATGCTTCTTAACAAAACTGCTCCAATAATAATCTTGGTGAAAGAGCATGCCAAGTAATAGCTATCAAAAATTGTTATTCTGATATCTACCATGTAATTCTGATATCTAGATAGACGCATAAAAACATTACATCAGTTCATTTTTATTAGTACAATAGATATCATTCTAAGGAAAGATCAATTTATAAGATTATATATTAACAGCTGTGGAACTCTAGATCTTAAAATCAACTATACAAAATTGCTAATCAAAATACATAGGTCTTTATAACCAAGTCATTTCAGATGAGGAAACTCAACCAAATGAAATAACAGTATGGTTTGTTAACAACAACAACAAAACAAATGAGAAATAGAAGCAATATCAACAGCTTGCTTAGCATGTGATGATACTACATATAATATCTAAATTAATGAATATTTTAAATTGTATTGTAAAAGATCCAAGTTTACTAACAAATCTGTAGCTTAAATATTAGCAATAATAGTTTCTGAATGAATCATCAATAAATTTAATGTATGCTCTGTCAGCCATATAGATGTATAATTATGTTTTATAACATCAGACTGGTCTAAATCAATAATTTCTGCATTTGTACACTTATGTGTCTATTATCTATTATCCATGATAATGAAAGTACATTTCTAATTTATCCCCAATATTCCAATAGTTTCTATTGCAATATCCTCAATATTCCAATAGTTTCTACTGCAATATCCTCAATATTCCAATAGTTCTATTGCCAATATAAATTCTACTTTTAACCATTGAGGCATAAGTTTTTTTTCTATAAAGTTTAATTTTCCTGGCTTGTGTTTTTCTACTTCTATCCCAACAAATTAAATAAAATGTTCAAAATAACCACTCTTAAAAACATTGGTATATAAATTTTGCTTTACATTTAAAAAATAACTTTACCTATGATTTTGAATTGTAAAGATCTCCACCGCTACATTAATTCCCAAAAGGAAATAAACTGTTTTATTATTCCTTAAATGCTCTACACAAGTGTTTTAACCATCTCCTACAAAAATAAAACAAAGCCAAAAACACACACAGCCAAAAAATAAGCAGTAAATCTCAATTTTGTAAAGATTCTAACATCAGAGATCTTTGGTAATTTTAACCTCTGATGAGTTTAAGCTAATGATGAACAATGAATGTGGTACTGATGACCTATTCATCAGAAAATTAGGCATCTAACTCTTACCTCAGACTGACTGTATGATTTTGTGTAAGTCATGTCATCATCCAGATTGTCAGCTCATAATCTATAAAATGAGAGAAATGACCTTAGTTCTCTCTAAGGCTGCTTACAAGTTGAACATTCAATGACACTTAATGTTGAATATAGGTGATGTTTGAAGGGAAGACCTTTCTTATACAAATATAAATATTCAGAGGTTTCTGGAGTAACATGGACAAAAATATAATTGATATAACCTCAAGTTTATTCTATTAAACTATGTAGTCATCCCTACCACACAAAGAAAATTATAAAGTTCATAAGCCCAGTAAATGCAGATAATATAGGCAGCAATTTGAATCATTTACTCCCCACAAGCCCCAAGCTATTCTCAAATTGGCAATTTTGCCTAAACTAGGCATTTGTTTGATTGTTTTTTTTCCTCTTCCTGCCCTGAATGAATTGTGATGTTTTTACTTTGCCTCAGCATATCAATTCAGTCATGGAAACAGGAGGCAAAAGATTCAACTTTTGGGTGATTATAATTCTTGGGCCTACAGTATGCAAAAACATTAAGCAGAATTTAAAGAATGAGCATAAATACAGATAGTGCTTTATTGTCATGTTTTCTTGATGCAAATCTCAAAGCCATCTTTTAGGTAAGATCCCCCCACCCCCACCAACCCCCGCCCCCACCGCCAAGTCGAGGGAAGGAAAAAGTCTTTACCACACTTTAAATAAAAATAAAAAATAAAAAAAAAAACAAAACAACAAAAACCTTACATGACTGCTTCCAAGGAAAAAAATTCCCCTTTGGAATAGAGAGCAGCTGTGGAGACATCTGTGGGCTGAACTGAGTCCTAGAAGAACAATTGCGCATACATCTGTGGAGATAAAATAAGTGATGGATAAAATGTGAATTAAGAGCTCACATTCTGTAGATACTATTATAAATGTATAAGAATAAAATGAGGCTCATAAAACATCTTTTTATACTTCACCATCAACTATCTGGTGAATTAAGACGTGACAATAAAAGAGCAAAGCAAGGTCAGCTGGAGGGTCACAACACTGTTCTATGGTTCTTTTTTTTTTTTTTTTTTTTTGCAGGGGAGACCTAAGGACACGTTTACCTTCTCTCAGCGAACACCACATATTTTCATTTGACCATCTGTACTGAGACAAATTTCAGTGGTATCGGCATACCACATGTGGCTTGTGCCACATGCATTTGTTCCTCAGTAACTTACAATATTTTTTCAAATCTTCACAACATAGTTTATTAAAATTTGAATTGGACTGCAAATAAAATACAGTTAAGACATGGAGCAAATATACTGTTCTGATGAATCGCAACAAAACACATGATCTTAGATGTCATCAGTTTCTACCTTACTTTCCAAATAAAATATTTGACTTCAGAGCAGCCAAGAGACTTAGCCAAAAATCATATAGTTAGAGACAGAATTTGAACAAAAACCTAGATATCCTGGTTTTCAATCTAAAGTTCTTTACATTATACTCCTTGTTAGTTCTCTTGGAAATATTTTACAAGTTTTCTGAAATAGCATTGTGTTTTGAAATAATTTGAATGCTAATTAGAGTATAAACATCTTGAGATCAGAGAATATGCACATATTATTGAGTATAGTTATATCAAATCTTAATATTTTGATAACTTATACAATTTAAATTATTCCAGGTTATAGAAAAAGATATAAATTTTGAAATATTTAGTGTTCTTTTAAACTCTTCCCGCCAATAACTAAACAAGATATTATGAAAACACAAAGAACATATATCAATCACATTTTTGAATAAGATTACAAAACTCTTTTATAAATCATTAGCAAATCAAATTGAGCAGTATTACATAAGCAAGGAAGTTTTACTTAAAGACTCTAAGGACAGTTAATTTGAGGGAGAAAAGTAATGTAGTCTTTGTATATTAAATTGATAAAATTTAATATTCTCTGTAAGACTGCTAAAAATGTGAAATGAAAAAATAGCTCTTTCACATGATAAAGACTGTCTTAAAACAGACCACATAATTTTTAATTATGGAGTCACTTCTACTTTCAACACTTAGGAATACTCTATTTAATTGCTATAAAATACATCATAGGCATAACTATTATCAAAAAAAGAGACAAAACAACACTACATATAGATTATATGCTCTGTACTTGGAAAGCCCAAGGTAATCACCTGAATCAATTGAAGTATGATAAGCAGTAATATAATAAGGAAAAGAGTCAATCACAAAATAATATTTAACAGCTATAGGCAACTTAGATTTAGAACCTGTAACAGTAAAAGAATTCAAAATAGTAAAGTGTCACATACAGTGAGAAAATATTTAACTGTAGTACTAACCTAAATAAAGAAAATTAAAAGATTAAGATAGTAAATGAAGACTCAAAGGTATGTACAGACTTATTATAGTACTGAATCAGAGGGTTTAATAACATAAAAATTTATTTCTTCAGAGTTAATCTATTAATTTAGTAAAATATTATTCAGTATAGCAAGGGATTTTTCTTAAGAATTTTGCCAAATGATTCATGAGTTAATTTGGAGTACAATAGAAAAATGTGAGAATTGTAAAAACATTTTTGGAAGGATAGTGACACAGCCTCATTGTACAAAATGTTAACTTACATTCTAAAGATATAGTAATTTAAACAGTATGATGTTGAAACAAGTATCAATGTAACAAAATATAAAAGTCAGAAACATGCCTAAGGACATGTAGTAAGTATATGATAAAGGAAGTATATCAGGTCAGTAAGGAAAGTAATAGAATTTTTAATAAATGGTATTGATATAGCATATCACAGTACATAATAAAATCGATTCCCGATGGATTAAAAATATACATTTTAAAATAAGCTGATGGGGTATTATAATAAAATATAGTTCAAGACGTATATAAACTTGGACTGTGGATTACTTTTTAAGCCTGCTACCGGATGTAGAGCTACAAAGGCAAAAATAGATATATCTCCTTCTCAACACTATACCGTTATTTCCTAGTTGCTAATCTTTTTCAACATGGATGCTGCTGCTAAAACCTTCTAGACAGACAAATTAGAAAAAGAGCACTGGGTTCCTGAGGACTTGAGAAAAAAAATAAGAAGAAGATGGTGTAGGTGTTTAGAAAAGATGATAGACATTTTCTAGTGAAATTATATCTTCATTGAGCATGTCTGTAAAATGCAAAGACAATGTAAAATGACAATTGTATAATACTATAATAATGATTTACATTTATTTGAAATCATCATTTTTTTTCTACATAGTGTTCTATTAATATCAGAATTTAGAATTTAAGCTGTTCATATTTTCATTCAGCTATATTATCAGTAAAATTGAGTTTTTCAAATGATCTGCAAACCTAATCGCTCTGCTAAATATATGAGTCTGTAGGAAAATACATTTTATTTTCAAGTGACTGACATTTAAATAGACCTTGGAAATACAAACAACTAATAAAGCAATGGATGCTTATATTTTTCTCTAGCTATTTATAATACAATTTAATATAATCACATCATTATATAATACAATAATATTAATTTATATATAATATAAATAAAATTTACCTGGCTGATTTTAAATTGTTTGGAACTAATGACTCCTTTTATTTCTTCAATTTTCTCCTCTTTGGGGTCAGAATGTCTGTATATAACTGGTATCCTTTTAAATTTTTTAACTCCAAACAGTTTTTTTTTTAATTTTTAATTTTTGTGGGTGTATATATATATATGGTATACATGAGATGTTTTGATACAGGCATACAATGTGAAATAAGCACATCATGAAAATGGGGTATGTATCTCCTCAAGCATTCATCCACTGATGTTCTCATTTATTTGTGGGATCAAAAAACTTTTTCAACTTTTTGACTCTTCTGTAAAAACATTTCACTTAAAACAGCAACACATTGTATAATGTACAAAAATATTTTCTGTCTGTATATCCTTATTCTATAAGGTTTATTCTATTTTTAAAATTTTAATTTTTTTTTCTTTTCTTTTTGTACTTTTCAAACCTTTTTGTTAAAAACTACTATGTAAACACATACAGTGGCCTAGGCCAACACAGAGTCAGGATCAATATCATTGGCTTCTACCTCCATGTTTTGTTCCGCTGGAAGGTCTTTAGAGACACTGACATGCATGGATCTGTTATCTTCTATAATAACAATGCCTTCTTTGGAATACCTCCTGAAGGACTACTTTACAATAGTGGGAAGTTTGATTCTACTGAAAGCCGCTATTTTACAATTAACTTCCTTTGTATATAAGTAGAAAAGGTACATTATAAAATAACAATACAAATTATAGTATAGTAAATAGATAAACCAGTAACATGGTCATTTATTATCATTATCGAGTATTATGTATTGTACATAATTGTATGTGCCATACTTTTAGATAAATGGCAATGCAGTAGGATTTTTAACATCAGCACCACCACAAACACATCAGTGACGTGTTGTGCTACAATGTTATGACAGCTATGATGTCACTGGGCAATAGGAATTTTTCAGCTTCATTATAATCTTATGAGACCACCATCATACATGTGATCCATCATTGACTAAAACGTTGTTATGTGGCACATGACTATTTGAATGGTTGTTTTTACTCAAACTTCATGAAGACGAAAGGATTTGTTAAGAACAAATGCATCTTTTCTGCAATGAGAATGAACTTAAATTTGCTATGTTTATTATGTAAATTTATTATATGAACACATACAAAATATACTCAGTGAATATTAATGCACATCAACAATGTGAAAGAGGTTTCCAGTCACACTAACAGGAAGAGTTTCTCCTTAATGTGGCCCCCAATTTACAATAGCTTCTTAACTTGGCCAGCAATGTAACCCTTCCTGTGGAACATCATTAACACCCAGATAAATATGGATTCAGATGCTGAGTTTGAATCATTTCACAAGAAACAGTTAAAGGCAGAATAAATGAATTATCCACCACTCATACTGGTGGCCAATAATCAAGACAGATGTGTTTCCTCTATTTGAAAAGAGGTTGCTTTTCTATCTTCAAGTTTCCTGAGACAGTCCTTAAGAGAACCAGAAAACATACGTAGAAATGGCTTTTTGCATAATCCCGAGGTCCTATCTTTGCCAATATGAAGGCAGTGACAGTTGCATCATTGGTCAGACTCACTGAGAAATAACAGATATATTCTGGGTGGCTTCTTTGTTCTAACAGCATCTCTCTTGTTCTCTTTTTACACTTCATGAATTGATACTTCTGAATTTCTGCCTCTTTGGCTTCTTGCCCTGAATTTCTATCTCTCATAGAAAAAAAAATACAACATGCTTGAAATACTTCACTTGTTAATGAAGCTACAGTGATGATCTTCTTAGAGTCATGCTATTTGTCCTAGCTCAAAGTTAACAGCTAAAAATCTAGAGGGGAGGCCAGTCAGATACCAAGTCCAGAGCCATATTTTAAGTAAGGATAACAACTGGATAAGTTAGGTAAGTGCTGAAATAGTCAAGAGTTCAGTTGGAATTAGCATGAAAAGACACATATTTTGTGTTTTGGGGAGAATTTCTGGCACAAGATTTGGAGTAAAAGATGGCAAATCAGGGTTAAAGTCTGGTCACAAAATTATACATATATTAGGTTGCATCAAAGACAAAGCGGCAAAAGCCTGATATATCATTTGGTCAACAGCCTTCAGATTTTTTCCCATTCTATGTCTCCTAATGGTCTTTCCTGAGAAGAGCTTATAGAGATGGCCTATGACAGGCCAGGCATGAAGAGGTAAGAACCAGGCACAAAATTAGTTTAATGCCCATGAGTCACAACCCCCTAGCCGCTTCAGCCTGCCACTAATCAGAGTGGTAAATGTAAGGAGTGTGTGGGAAGTTTGATTCTACCAAAAGCAAGATGATGTCAAATCAAAGCAATGTGTCACTACAAACACTAGGGAAAGAATAACAATTGCAAATGCCAGGAACATTGGATTACACTTAATTGAAACATTATAACTCTGTCCAGGGGGAGAGGGGAGTGGGAAGTGCTACTGTAGAGGCCACATTTGTTGTAAAAGAGTTGCTAGTAGTGTCTTCTGTAGCACAAAACTGTAAAGGAAAAGTCTGCTTAGTGAACCATTGGCTTTTTAAGCTCATAGAAGCAGTATGGCTGCAATGCCTCACTAAAGAAAACACAAAGCTGTAGAGAGGGAGAAAAAGTGGGGTGCTCACTTTGACCTGAACAGTGAGGATTATTAGTGTCATTATTAGTAGCTTGATTAAGAAACCTGTAGCTGACTGTGTGATAAATCGAGTATTTCAATGCAGAATGGCAGTGCTCAAATAAAGGCATCTCTCTCTCTCTCTCTGTCTCTCTCCCCCTTCTCTCTTTCTGTATGAGATATGACTTAGAACACATGGCAGAATGCTTAGTGTCATTCATGCGGGGAGCTAAAATAGAAATTCAAAATCTCAAAACCAATCTTAGAGACTTTGTTCAGAAATGGAGCAGATTGAAATGACCTCTCACAACAGATTGTGTCAGAAGAAAAGGGAAAGAGGCCATTTCTATAAGGCAGCAAAATAATATGAAATGACAGAACCTGATGCCTTACCAGTGTATGTATGTCACTGAAAAATTGCAATAGCAGAGGCATTTGTATTGATCAAGTAAACGAGTGGCAACAAATCAAATTAACCTATGTTAGTTTCAACAACCGAAAACAAAGGATAAAGAAAAATGTATTATGAAAATGAAGATTTAATCAAACCAGAAATTTAAAATCAAATGTTATATTTGCCCATTCCTCTTTCACAATATATGGCTTTTCTGGAAAAGCCTCTATGCAGGGTCTCTGAAAGCATTTCCTAGATTACTGGAAAATAAAATGGTGTCTTCTTGGGAGATTATTGTCTCCTATTGTCTCCGCTGAGGGCTTGAATCCTGTACATGGGGTTTCCCATCAGGATAAAATTATTAAATGTGTCATAGTTTACAATAAAATTCTTGGGCTTCTACTTCCTTATGTTTCTAATTAACATAAAATGTCCTTTTCACTTGCATAAGAGTATTGCTAAAGTTATATTTATCATTACTGAAATCTGGAAACTTTAGGCTCATAGAAGTTTAAAATTTCCTGCAGACTTCAAAATATCAGAACTGAATGAAAACTGAAAATCTGTTTATTCCAAAGGCTGCAGAAAAGAAAATTGAGTGCAGAGAAATGGAAGGGGTTACCTACTAGCCATAGGAATTAGGCATAAAATGAAGAAAATTGCAACAGAATGGGCTGCACTCAGATTTCCCGTTTTATCTGGAGATGCATATGAAAGAATTTATGTAAAAACAGGATGTTGGTATGAAGCGTCCACTTAAATCATTTTACTGAAATTAAAATAGTTACTTAAAGTGTTAGTAATAACAATGGAAACACATGTATTTCTAGCAATACATTCATTTTAAGATTTGAATTTATAAGAATATAAAATAGTGAATTAATAAAATGTAGTAGACTCACATTCTAAACAGGTAGATCACAGTTATCTGGAGGGGGTTACTTTAGTCTTCCTTCCCTTCTTCCTTTCCTTTTTTCTGCTTTTCTCCCTTTCTTCTTGTTCCTTCTTCTCCTTTTCCTCCTCCTAGTCCTCCTTCTTTTTCATTTAGTATTTTGGTGGTTTTTAAATATCCACAAAATGTTTGACACTCTTACCTT
This sequence comes from Homo sapiens, assembly GCF_000001405.40. NCBI lineage: Eukaryota > Metazoa > Chordata > Mammalia > Primates > Hominidae > Homo > Homo sapiens. The sequence goes on from NC_000003.12 coordinate 148,103,049, forward strand.
GTGTAGGTGGAGCTTAATATCCCAGTGGCCTGGTCTGAGTGACTCTTTTCTAATGCATAGAATATTGGGGAAGTAGCCATGTGTAACTTCTGACACCAAGTCATAAAAGACATTTGTAACATTCTTGGACCATTTGCTCTGAAAGTAGCCAGCTGCCATGTCAATAGGACATTCAAGCTATCTGGAGACCTCCATGTGGTGAGGAACTGAAGCCTCCTGCCCACACCCTTGTGAGTGAGCTATCTTGGAGATGGATCTTCTGGCCCCCACTTGAGCCATGAGATGACCCCAGCCTACTTCAATTTCACGAGAGATTCTGAGCCAAAACCATTCAGCTAAGCTGCTCATAAATTCTTGACCTACAGAACAGTAATATAATAATTATTTCTTTTTTGAAGTCTCTGAATTTAAGATAATTTGTAATGTAACATAGAAACTAATATAAATATGCTCCCTTTCTCATGTTAAACTTTGTAATATGCTTCCTAGTAATGAGAAAGCTTTCTTTTAAAATGTAATTATGCAAGTATCACATATTCTCCATGAAAATAGAGAATTCTGGCTGGGTGCAGTGGCTCACGCCTGTAATCCCAGCACATTGCGAGGCAGAGGCAGGAGGATCACGAGGTCAAGAGATCGAAACCATCCTGGCCAAAATGGTGAAACCCCATCTCTACTAAAAATACAAAAATTAGCTGGGCGTGGTGGCACGCGCCTGTAGTCCCAGCTCCTCAGGAGGCTGAGGCAGGAGAATTCCTTGAACCTGGGAGGCGGAGGTTGCAGTGAGCCGAGATGGCGCCATTGCACTCCAGCCTGGGCGACAGAGCCAGACTCCATTTCAAAAAAAAAAAAAAAGAGAGAGAGAGAGAAAAAAGAAAAACAGAGAATTCTTTTTTCTTTTCTTTTCTTTTTTTTTTTTTTGAGATGGAGTCTGGCTCTGTCACCCAGGCTGGAGTGCAGTGGCGCCATCTCAGCTCACTGCAAACTCCTCCTCCCAGATTCAAGCAATTTTTCTGTCTCAGCCTCCTGAATAGCTGGGACTACAAGCGCATGCCACCACATCCGGCTAATTTTTGTATTTTCAGTAGAGGCGGGGTTTCACCATATTAATCAGGCTGGTCTCAAACTCCTGACCTCAGGTGATCCACCTGGCTCGGCCTCCGAAAGCGCTGGGATTACAGGCGTGAGCCACCATGCCCAGCCAAAAATAGGGAATTCAAACAAATAAATATGAAGGGGAAGAAGAGGAGAATATGAGGTAACAGAGTTGGTTGGGAAGAGGCACAGCAGTTGTAGTATGAAATACTGTATCAGGGTAAGCACCTTTGAGATAGTGAGATTTGAGAAAATCTTAAAGACAGTGAGGAATGAAGTCATATTCCTATCTCAGGGAAGGCTTTGAGGCAGAGGGAATTGATAGTACAAAGACTGTAATGTTAGATCATGCCTGGCTGGTCAACAAACTGCAATAAGACCAGTGCTAATGAAACAAAGAACAGAAGATGAAGCCAGAGAAGGAAGCAGATAGGAGGAGAAAATCAAAAGGGAATCTGCAGGCCATTTTAAAGACCTGATTTTTAAAAACATTTTCTTATGTTCTACCTTGTTTATTATGCAAGTGTATTTGTTGGTAAAATTTAACAATTTGAGCAGCACATTTCTAGGCTCTTTTCATTAATTTTGTCTGGCACTAAATAAGAATATTAATCTACATGTTAACGGTGGTTTTTAAAATCTCATGAAAGAGTAATTTGGAATTTAATTCTTTTCTGTTATATTTCTCCATATTTATTAGGAATCCCAATTATCTATATCTTCGGTATACAAACTGGATTTTAAGCCACTGTGTTCCCTGTTATTGTTTTTGTCTTTTGTCCTTTTTCCTTTGTTTTCCAGAAAAATTCCTAAATTTACCTTCCACATCAGGACTTAGTTGTTTGAAATGTCAGCTCTCCCTTTTCCTACTTGAATCTACTTTGAGTACAAATCTCATATTGTGATAACATGGTATTAGTCACCTTTAGTTCTTTCTTTACTGCAGCCAGAGTCTTTTCATATCAATTAGCTATATTAAAATCTTCTTTCATTCCCCCAAAGGCATATTTTGATTGAGAAAGCAGCATAACTACTTTGTAAAGCTATTGTTTCCCATAATATTTTCTTAACATATATTCCTTTTTTTAGCTTCTTAAGTAATAGTTTAATTTTATGTCACATTATCATTTATTTGAATATGTTTGGTCTCTTTTGTCTGTCTTTGAACAAAGACCATTCTATCCATGTCTGATATTTAATAAAACTCCACTTGAACAGACTCCCCTCATTATTCTTCAATTAGAAATTAAATGTTGTAAAATATCCCCTCTATCATAACTGCCAGGGTTGGTAAACATGAGTGTCCATTACCAGGTCAATGATCTGCAATTGAATGGGAAGGGGACCCAAGAAGTCCAAGCAAGGAAACTTGTCATCTATAGTTCGTGTTCTGAGTGTGACAAAGTTGTGGTACCAAAAATTATTTATCTCCCATAGTTTTGTTTCTGGTTTAGCTTCTGCTTCAGGTTTTCTTTCTGGCCCAGCTTCTGCTCCAGTTTATTCCCTGGTAAATTCTATTCACCATACTTGGAACAGGTTCCACTGGGATAGGTAGAATCCCCCTAAATTTCTCACCAGGATGACTGGTACCTTGTGGCTCTTCTGGCCCAATGGTGGACTCACAGTGTCAGACTCACCAGCAAAGTGTATCTAGAGGCTTTCCACTGACATCAACCCTCCACGTTTTGGCTATTTCACCACAGGATCCTTGCCAGTTTCCCAGAAGGCGATATTACCTTTCATTTTTGAAGCTATCTATTCCTCTGGTCTCATACAGTGGACCTCCTTGCACTGTGTAATTAAAGTTCGATAGAAAAGAGACTTTGCTCCCAAATGTGTACATGTGAAGCAAATAAGGAGAGAGTACTGCACCAGCTCCTTTTCTCCACAATGTTCAAAATCTCTTGATAGAGGAAGACTAGAATGCTTTCTTCCTTGAACTTTGGTCTTTTCCCCAAACAGTGAGGTCAGGTTTAGAAAATTATTTATCCTTTTTATTCAATATGTCCAAAGAATCTAGGAAAACACCAAACGCAAACCTGTCATATGGATGAAAAATTTACTGTATCATTGGGAAATGAGTTATAATCCAACATTTTTTTTCAATACAATCATCCTCTGAGTCACTAAATCTGATTCAAGTTCAAAAGAAATGGTATCACTAACACTATTTTCTGGATATTTTAGCTCCTATATGTCACTGGAGATAAAAGGCAGGTCGATAAAATTCAAGCAGAAGTTAGGTTGAGATTTCTGCCAATAGACCTACAGACATAGCCTTAGTAATTTTTTCTCCAAACTTTCAATGTTTATTCTGTACATTTAAGATAAAAAGCAGGAAGAAGTTCATCCTAAAAATGTAATTAATATTAAAGCAAGAAGAAATTCATGCTATATGTTAAATTTAACTTAAATCAATTTGAAAGAATTGGAAACCAAATGAAAATAACACATTAAGAAGCTGGACTAATACAGGATCCCAAAGTCTCTCTAATTGCTTAGTATATTTTCAAATAATAATAAATTAATTACATTTAAATTTCTGTGAACTTCGTTTGATAATTGATACAGTTGAGTCCAGAAACGAATCATTTTGTCCACCTCAATTGCATTATATTTTTGTTCTTGATGGTTGTCAGCAGTTACAGCTTTGTGAAGAAAGTGCATCTTGTTTTACTTTAACTGTGTGTATGCAGTTTGTATAGACTGATAATATAATTGATGTCTATTTCAGCATTGATGATGGAACATCATCAAAGTCATATCCTTTTCTTTGTCACTGTCTTTAACCATAACACTGTAAGAAAAACACCCCTCTTCTTGTCTTCCTATTATACTGCATGCCATTAAAAGTGAAAGAAATGCTATATTTATCTTGATATATATTAAAAAATAATGAAGAGGATAATTATCATGGCTGCATTGTAATTTCATGGCACTGCTGTCAGTTACAAACTGCTCAATACGTACTCTTTTAGTTCATAATGCCAGAAATAAGTCTTGCGATTGAAATACAGTCATTTAATTAATTTTTCTCTATTATTACTTTCAGTGCTATGCTGGTGGTACAGGCTCAGTGATGGGAAATTCAAGTAAGGAAAATAGAAGACTATGAAAGTCGGTGAATTCACTTTTGTCTTCTCTGGATATTTAGTCCCTTAGCACTGAGTGGAAGGGGTAATGAAATGCTACAGTTTTCAAGATATTCAAGTTGTAGTTAGTTAGGTGTTAACCAGTGGCAAGATTGACAGGATGGTTTGCATTTGCTGACTATTAACTACAAAAGCTGTTTAGTTTAATGACACTCACTTGAATACCACGTGATAAATACTGGTGAGCAATAATGGATCCATGAGAAGACCACTTGACCATTTTTGAGACAGATTTTTTTTTAAACCAGTGGTTCTTATTACATATAAAACACAAAGCTGTCTTCCCTTTTTCCGTCATATATCAAAATAGTCACATGCCAGGAGAACTGACTTTTGGAAATATTAATCATAAGTGAGTGTGCTACTAGATTTATGAAGCAGTCTGATAGTGGTTTAAAATAAGTGCCAAACATAAATTCCTCTGACCTCTAGGATAATGAATTGTCCTCACAGCTGCTATTGTCAAATTTTAGGTACAACAAGACTTTTGTTTTATAGTCATGAAGTCTTGATCTGGTTGTTAACTGGTAAGAATACAGATGTAAATTGTTGGGCAGAAAGAAGTGTGAGGGTTTATATTCAAGAATCCATATAAAGAAGATAAAGGAAATAATTCAAGATAATAGAAATTTGTAAATGTATACTAAGTATGGATGAGTTGTATAATAGCATTTTCTTCTTTCCTTTCTATTGTTTTGCTGTGTCTAGCTGAAGTACAATTTACCTTCTATTTAAGTATTATATTTCTACAAATTATCATTAACATTATTTTTTTTCTCCTTAAGACAGGGTCTCACTCTGTCATCCAGGCTGGAGTGCAGTGGCATAATCACAGCTAACTGCAGCCTCGACCTCCCTGGCTCAAGCAGTTCTCCCACCTCAGCATCCCAAGTAGTGGGATGATTTTTTTTTTTTTTTTTATACAAACAAGGTCACACTACATTGCCCAGGCTGGTCTCGAACTCCTGGGCAGAAGCAATCCTCCTGCCTTAGCTTCTCAAAGTGCTGAGATTACAGGCATGAGCCATCACATCTGGCCTTAACATGATTTTTAAACTTAGCTTTCTTACAAGTATTATCACTGAGATATTTTTATTTTATATCTTGATTAACTTACGCATTAGATGGGAAGTGTCTTGAGGGCAGAGTTCATGCTTTGATCAACTTTGTATTTCCATCAACTAATATAACATACTTTGTAAGTTATTAGAAAATGAATGTTGTACAACAAAAAGGAAAAAATTTATAAAGTTAGCTTTTCATTTTTTTGTTTTCAGAGAATAATGCCATATTACAGTGTATATAGCTGTTTTCCACTATTCTATTAGTCTATTACTGTAATTTCTTATGTATTTTGGTATCAGAGAAATTTTAGAAACATAAAATTTTAAAAATGTACCTCCTTCTTCTCTCTGTCTTATGTTCTTCATTATTGTCTGTTTTGAAACCCTTAACTAATTCAACTTAAAAAAAAAAGCACCTCACTTTAAATCTTTTAAAATCTATAGCTGCAAATTGACCTAAAAGTTCTATAACAACGTTTTCAGGAAGGTTACCTTAAGTCTTCAAAGAATTTTGTCTTAATTGTTAGGCCATATCATTCTTTCGAGGCTTCATTTGATATTGGATGCTCTCTGAAAGCGAATGAAACATTTGGAATACGTGCACACTTCAATAGTATGACTGGTGAGAGTGGCAGATGAGTTGAAAAACAGAACATGTTCCACATGGAAATATGACATATTAGATATATTATGGTATATAAGGTTATTGATGAATAAAGTTAGAATAATAAGAGGAGGACAAAAGTAATAGAAAAAAAGAAGTAAACAGAAAATACTTACGTCATACATTATAAAAGGCTTAAAGAGAAGAACGGAGAACCCAACGGTATGATTTGACATGCCCAATTAACTGATTAATGGAAACTATGGAAAACTAAACATGATTCAAGAGTTTCCATGCAAAAGTGTTAATACAGAGAGCAGCTGGCATTATTGGATGTGATATTGGTTATTGTTGTTGTTTTATTAAGTCTTAGTCTGGAAGAGAGGAAGCTTCTATCCCTTTCATCTCATACTCTATTCCCTATCTATATTTATAAAACACCGCTAATTACCATTTTCTTACCTGTAAGATTAGGTATCATGCCTGTGGTACTAGAAGGCAAATATTTCAAGAATTATACAAACATTGTCACTGAACAATCCTCCTAAAAGTTTTAAAATGTAAAATAATTTCACACAGTTGCTTAACTTAAAACCTTCCAATATCAAATAGGATTATCATGAATTATGTTTTTGTCTAATGTTACACCCCATATGACATTTTGTTCCTGAATAAACCCATGTGGGTATAATTTTGAACATATCTGCAATAGTGTACTTGATTTTTTAAAAAAAGCAGACCTAGTTGCGTGAGCCCAGGAGTTCGAAGTTACAGTGAGCTATGATAGTGCCACTGCACTTCAGCCTGGGTGAGAGTGAGACCCTGCCTCTATTAAAAAAAAAAAAAAAAGCAGACCTATTTCTTCTCTAATACAAAGATATAAAGGAGAATATATTGTAGCAGGTATGGTGAAGCCAGGGAATCAAAAGTGCTGAAGGGAGAGAATAAGATTTTATTATTATGAAAACCCCACAGTAACCTCAAACATGCAGTAGAAATTATTTGAGACTTGAATTAGTCACAAAATCGACCCAGTTTTCTCAGAATCTTTTTTGACATAGGATTCATTCTTTCAACAAATATCTATTGAGTGAGCATTGTTGGGCAGGCACTATAATAGACACTAGAAATAAAATGATAAATTAAAACAGAAATAGCACCTGCTCTTGGGGAATTAACAATTTAGTTAGGGAGACAGATGTCAAATTACCACACAGATGATTGTGTAATTACATTTTGTGCTAAGTGATTCAAAGTAAAGTAACATGGTTCCATAAATATATATAAGAAAGAAATTTGTACTAGATAGGAGAGGCTCCTGAGGAAATAATGCTTAAGCCAGATGAGGTATGAAGTAGGTAGAAGTGGATGTTGAATAGGTAAAAAGGACATGGAAAGGTACATGCAAGTGGCCTATAATCGGAGTATTTCAAAAACTGTATGTAAATGGGAACTTGTTTTATAAAGATATTTGGCACCACACATCAAATAAGTAAAGACAGTATTGTCAGGGTCAGCATGCAAACTGATCCACAGACCAAATCCAGCTTTTCAACTGATTTTGTGAATAACATTTTTTCAAATTACAGTCGCTCCCTTTCATTTATATATTGTTTATGGCTGCTTTGGTGCTACCACATCAGAGGATGAGTTGTAGTGACAAAAATTATTGTCCCCAAAATCTAAAATATATCATTTTTGACACTTTGCTAGAAAAGTTTGCTCACCCCTAGTTCCATAGACAGTACTAATGAAACTGACTCACCATTTGTATAAAGGGGACGTACCGATGTCAATGGCACAATTAGTAATCTAAAGGGAAAAATATAGAATAGTTTTGTGTCTTAGATGTGAACAAAGACATTTTTAATAAATTCAGAAATTAAAAACCAAAGACAAATTTGATGGTTTTGGCCCTACCAAAATCAAAGATTTATATTCAACAGTGTATTTTTCAGAGAGGCTACCAAATAAGTAACTCGCTGGAGAAAATAGTGTAATCTCTGCCACCAAAAAGAGACTATATGTAGAATGTACAAGGAAATCCTTCAAGAAAAACATCAACACTCACTACAAAATTAAGCAAAAGATATAAATGGACAATTCACAGAAAAGGAGGCTAGGTAAAACGCATATGAAGATATACTTAAACTCAGCAGAAATCAGAGCAATACACAGTAAAAATAAAAACTCACGTTGGTGAAAATAAAAAATGGTACAATACCAGGTGTTTGCAAGGTTGTGAAGAGGCAGCGATGTGTACACAGTGTTGAGTGGTGAAGTTATTCAGAAAAGCAATCTGGCAATACTTATTAAAGTTAAATATACTACAGACATACTTGGATCATATATCTTAGAGAATTTATGACTGCTCCCTAGGAACAAAGATGCTCAAGAAAGTTCATTGCAGCATTGTTTGTAGTATTGAGAAAATGGGAGTAGCAGAAGTGCCTATTATTAGAAGAATCCATGAAAAACAGGAAGGATATATACTGAAATGCCATGTGGTGGTTAGAAATTGGTTAGATCTTAAAAAACATGGCATCAAGTAAAAAAGTAAAAGTGAATTCTATTGTAATTTATATTTATATATAAAATGATATTTTATATTTTATAATTAAAATATATTGAACACATCAGAGGCAGCAAGGAGAGTGAGAAATCAAAGATAGAAGGGAAAATAAAACTACAAAAATAGGCTTCACAGAGACCAATAATGATAGCATGTTGTAAATAAAAAAGCATTATTTATTTAGTCTCTTGCACTGGAGGCACAAAAAGTGCCACTTTTTGAAAAGTCACTGTGTTACGGGAAGTCAGGGACCCCAAACGGAGGGACCCGCTGAAGCCATGGCAGAAGAACTTGGATTGTGAAAATTTCATGGACATTTATTAGTTCCCCAAATTAATACTTTTATAATTTCTTATGCCTGTCTTTACTGCAATCTCTAAACATAAATTGTAAAGATTTCATGGACACTTATCACTTCCCCAATCAATACCCTTGTGATTTCCTATGCCTGTCTTTACTTTAATCTCTTAATCCTGTCAGCTAAGGAGGATGTATATTGCCTCAGGAACCTGTAATAATTGTATTAACTGCACAAATTGTACAGCATGTGTGTTTGAGCAATATGAAATGTGGGCACCTTGAAAAAAGAACAGGATAACAGCAATTGTTCAGGGAATAAGAGAGATAACCTTAAACTCTGACCGCCAGTGAGCCAGGCAGAACAGAGCCATATTTCTCTTCTTTCAGAAGCAAATGGGAGAAATATTGCTGAATTCTTTTTCTCAGCGTGGAACATCCCTGAGAAAGAGAATGTGCACTTGGGGGTGGGTCTCTGCCCCCCCCGGGCGTGGTCATCTCTTATGGTCGAGACTGCAGAGGTGAAATAGACTCCAGTCTCCCATAGCGCTCCCAGGCTTATTAGGAAGAGGAAATTCCCTCCTAATAAATTTTGGTCAGACCAGTTGATCTCAAAACTCTGTCTCCTGATAAGATGTTATCAATGACAATGGTGCCCGAAACTTCATTAGCAATTTTAATTTTGCCTCGGTCCTGTGGTCCTTGATCTTGCCCTGCCTCCACTTGCCTTGTGATATTCTATTACCTTGTAAAGTACTTGATGTCTGTGACCCACACCTATTCGCACACTCCCTCCCCTTTTGAAAATCCCTAATACAAACTTGCTGGTTTTTGTGGCTTGTGGGGCATCATGGAACCTATTGACATGTGATGTCTACCCTTGATGCTGGGCTTTAAAATTTCTCTCTTTCATACTCTGTCCCTTTATTTCTCAAGCTGGCCGATGCTTAGGGAAAATAGAAAAGAACCTATGTAAATATCGGGGCAGGTTCCCTGATATCACTGTGGTTACAATGCAATGTGCAGATAAGGATGGGCCACGAGAAGATACATGAACAAGAAAAGATAGAGTAAAAGATAAGAATAAAGTAGTGAAAAATTAGAAAAGGGTGATGACTATGGAGACAGACAATAAACAGAATTGAATGATAAATGGGAGGTAAAATATAAAAGATATGCTGGATATGGAGGTGAGATAGTTGCAAAGGATGGCTTTCAGGGTTTTTCTCTTATTCAATTAGAGACATTAGCTGTATTGCCCTAAAATATGGAACAAAGTAAGAGAACCTGATTTGTTAGAATCGGAAAAAGCATCAATTTAGATTTGTTTAGGTGAGTTTGAGGTGACTTTAAAGACATTCTAATGAAGATGTGGGATAGTCCATCATGTGGCAGAAGTTCAATGCCAAAATCTTTGATGAGACATACATTTGAATATTATCAGCATAGAAAAAAATCATGGAAGATGGATGAAACTTAGTAAAGAGGACATGAAGAGTTTTCAATAAGGAACTTCAACATGTGTGGCCAAATAGAGAGAATGATTCTGCAAAAAAGACTACAAAAAAGCAGCCAAAGGAAAACCAGTGAGTGTGGTATCACAGAAGTTAAAAAAAAAAAAAGGGTATTCAGAAAGATGAAGTTCTCAAAAGTGTCAAGTGATGTTGACGCCAAGCAAGATGACGACCCAAAAAGATACTTGTATGATTTATTCTCAAGAAGCCTTTTTGAGGCTTAATAAAATGATGAGTTTTGGGGTGAGTACTAAGTTAGAAAGTAGTAACTAATGTAAGGTTGCCAAAAGTTATTTTTAAAGACAAATGTGGAAACTAAAAGACTTCACAAATAGAAGGAGAGAGCAGAACAGTGGTCATTAGAAGCCGGGAGAAATGGGGAGATGTGGTCAAAGGGTACGAAGTTGCAACTAGACAGAAGGAAAAAATGGTGAGAATTTAAGGAAATTGATATGTTAATTAGTTTGATTCAATCATCCCACCTTATGTGCCTGTATCATAACATCACTGTGTACTGCATAATTATATATGATTATAATTTGTCAATAAAATAAAACAAAATAGAGAGGGAGTTGGGTATATTTAAATACAAATAAGAATTCCCCAATTAAGAAAGAGTGATTGAACAAACAAAAGCAAGAAAAGATAATAGTGTAAGGTTCCTAAGGGAGGAAAAGGGGGTATTATCCTTTATTCTTAGCCTGGAGTGTTTGCTCTTCTATAATATAACCTAAGGGGGAAAAAGGTGATAACAGACATTGATATAGAAAAGCTCAAAGTTTCCCTTATAATGGTTTCACTTTCTTTGGTAAGGTGTTTCCAGGATTACCTACTGGGCATGAGGATGGTAATGAGGGTTGAAAAGAGTGAAGAAAAAAGACTAAAAGAGGTGTCAATATTGCCCACAGACAAGGGATGGGACTGGGAAGCTCAAAAATGGCAATTAAGAGGAAGGCAACAGAGTGGTTTTCTAATAATACGTGCCTCAAAGGAATAGGTTGTTTTTTGTTTATTTTGTTGTGTTGTGTTATTGTTATTTTAAAAGAGGATGTAAAACATTGTTCGTGAACCCACAAAAGAGATTAAGGAGTTCATTAATCTCTCTTCCCACTCCCCAAGTACATAAGGTAAAGTCATCACTTGAGAGGGCTAGAAAAAAAAAATGGTGTCACAAAGGTTCAGTTAAGCCAAGAAAGTGAAGAGAATATTTCTATAAGGCATTGAAGATAATAAAAAATTTGCTAAATGTGATACAATATTTACAGAGGGTATCATGGAAGGATTTATGACTTGGGGAGAAGGAGGGATACTTTACTTTGAGGGTAAATACAGCATCTGGGAGAAAACGGTGTTGTAGATGATTAGGAACTAGAGGACTGACACTTTTGAGGAACTAGTAAAAATAGGGAAAAGATATATGAAGCTTTTGATGTCCCATAGGATATAGATCACTGGGACTGGGAATCAGATAGATCAAAGACCAGTATATGTAGTCACTCTGCCGGATAATCGTGGTCATAATAGAATAAATCACAACATTTTTTGAACAAATTATATTTGGGGTCCTTTATATGCATCATCTCCTTTAATCCTCTTGATTACCTCCTGAAGTAGCAGTATATACTTATGTTGAAGAAAGCAGATTGAAACGTTGATTAGCTGGCCCAATATGATTTTGGACACCTTTATTTATATTTACCCTATTAGAGCTCTTAGCGGTATATGAAGTCATGCTTGAATATGATACTACTACTACTTTTGATTAGGTTCAGCCACACTTAAAAATTGTGGTGAAGTATGTTTGTGTGGCTAGGTGACTGTTGGGTAAAAGTAAGGTTTCTAAAGATGCTGGTTATTGAGTCTTTATCAGGCTTTGTCTTACCCTTCTGGCTGCCCCCATCCCTTGCAAGATCAGATGCCAGTGAAAATAATAGCCATGAACTCATAGGATTGCAAATAGCCTCCGCAAAAAGGCCATGGGTCAAGGAAAATGTATATTTCTTCAGTTTCATTGCCATTAATTCTTTGAAGAATGGTTGTGTAGCTTTAAAATTTTTTAGCAGAGAAACTTTTTCTGCAAGATTGTATTTTAGAAAGTCAATATACAACCAGAGCTCATCTGATTGAGGAAGGGCTGAGGGGTCAGATCCAGCTCTTTTTTCTTTTTTTCTTCTTTTTCTCTTGTCCTGAAACAGCTTCACAGAATCCTTGGTTTTTCAAGAAAAGAGGAGAAAACTCTTCTATAGATTGAAAAATTATATGGGCAAGTGCTTTTTGTTTACTTCAAAAAAATATGTGGGTGCCACAAATAGCTTTTAATGTATCTTTTAAATTAGAGATGCTGAAGAATCAATATATGTGAAAACTAGGCAAAAGCCACAATAAACTATCAGAATAGCTAAGATAAAATATGATGATACCAAATGTTATGAGGATGTGACACACTGGAAATTTCATACATTAATGGTTAGAATGTAAATTAATACAATCTTAAAATTTAAGCACATACCTAACCTATAACTCAGCCATTTCACTTGTAGGTATATAATCAGCAGAAACAAGTGCCTATGCACATATGCACACAAAAAAACACAGGCAGGTATATTTATAACAGCAGTGTTTATAATAACACTAAATTAGAAATGATCAACATATCCATTAATTTTAGAAAGGATAGAAGAGAAAGTGTCACTGCCACCATAGACAATGTTAGCTGCTGAGGATCTCTGCAATCTTTATTAATACTGACGAAGCTTCACAGGGACTACACAGCTGGCACTCTCAGTGGTATCAGAACTGCTGTACCTTATCCAGCAAGTATGCTCATCCTCCACCCAGAGACAAGGATATTTCCACAAAAAAACTAGTCATTAAAGTCTACAAGAGAAGAGTACTCTACCAAATGTGCAGACATCAACATAAGGCAACAAGAAACATGAAAAACCAAGGAGATAATTACCATCAGAAGAACACCATAATCTTCCAATAGCTGACCCCACAGAAATGGAGGTAAGTGAACCAACTAAGAATTCCAAATAATTGTTCAAAGGAGCTCAATGAACTTCAAGAAAATACAAATAAACAATTTAATAAAATTAAAAAAATAAAAACCCAACCTGAAAAATTAACAAATAAATTGAAATTGTTTTATAAACATCAAACAGAAATTCTGGAACAGAAAAATAAAATAAATGGAATTTAAAAATGCAATAGAGAGCATCAACAGAAGAATTAATAAATCAGAGGAAAGAATTTCTGGACTTGAGGGCAAGTTATTTGAAAATATACAGTGAGAGGAGAAAAAATAATACAAAAGAATAAAGAAAACTTACAGGATTTATGGGACAGCATCAACAGAGCAAATATTCTAGTAATAAGAGATGAAGAAGAAGAGAGACAAAAGGGTAGGAAGCTTACTTAAAAGAATAATAGCAGAAAACTTTCTAATCTAGGGAAATATTTAGGTACAGGAAGGTCAAATAAGATTTAATCCAAACAAGATGATACCAAGACATATTATAACCAAAGTTTCAAATATCAAGGATAAAGCAAAGATCTTGGAATTAGCAAGAGAAAAAAAGCAAATCATATTTAGGGAATTCCAAGGCTCGCAACAGAATTCTCAGCAGAAACTTTATACACCAGAAGAGAGTGGGATCATGTGTTCGAAGGGCTAAAGGAAAAAAACAAAACAAAAACAAAACCACTTGGATACCAGGAATACTTGGCAAAGCTGTTCTTCAAAACTGAAGGAGTAATAAAGACTTTCCCCCACACAAAAGAATGCTGTGGGACCACCAGACCTATCTTACAAGAAATGCTAAAGAGAGTTCTTCAAGCTGAGAGAAAATGATGACAGTTAGTAACATGAACACATATGAAAGTATAAAAGTCACTGGCAAAAGTAAGTACACAATCAAATTCAGAATACTCTAAAATTGTAATAATAGTATGTAAATCACTATATCTTTTGTATGAAGGTTAAAAGACAAAACTCTTAAAATAATATAGCCATATTCACTTGTTAATGGTATACAATATAAAAAAGTATATTGTGACATCAAAAACATGAAATTGTGATGTATGTAGAGTAAAAGTCTATAGTGTTTTTTGTGCAAAGGTAAATTTTTTATCAACTTAAAATAGCCTGTTACAAATATAAGATATTTTTATGTAAGCCTCATGGTAACCACAAGGCAAAAACTTATAGTAGATATGTAAAAGATAAAAAATGAGGAATTAATGCATACCACTAGAGAAAATCATCTAATCAAAAAGGAAGACAAGAGAGGAGGAAAGAAACTAAATCCACAAAACAACTGGAAAACAATGAACAAAGTGGCAGTAGTAAGTCTTTATCTATCAATAAGTACCTTGAATGTAAATGTATTAAATCCTTCTATCAAAAGTCACAGAATGGCTGAAGGCACCCAATATATGCTGCCTATGAGAAACTCACTTTGTCTTTAAAAACACATATGAAAATGATAAGAGGAAAGAAGATATTCTATGCAAATGGAATCAAAAGAGAGAAGGGGTAGCTATACATATTCCAGACAAAATATAATTTATATAGAGAAATAAATCTTACAGAGAGAAAATGAAAATAAGAAATAGAGAAAACTCTAAAAATGCTACCAAGTCAAAAACTGTAAGATGAGACAAAGAAGGTTATATAATGATGTGGAAACAATTTGTCAAGAAGATACAACAATTATAAACACATATGTACCTAACATCAGAATACCTAAATATATAAAGCACATATCAATACATCTGAAGAGAGATAGAATGAAATACAATAATAATAGGGGACCTCAATACCCCACTTTCAACAGCGGACAGATTGTTTAGAAAGAAAATCAATAAAATTGATAAGGAACCATTGTTCTTTAACTGCAATGGGAATAAATGGACCTCTCAAACATGTATAAAACATGATACCAAACAGCAAAAAACTACACATTCTTCTCAAGCACACATGTAACATTCTCCAGGATAGACAACGCAGGCCACAAAACAAGTCCTCACAAATTTAAGTACGTTGAAATCATGTCAAGTATCTTTCCCAACCACACTAAATAGAATGAAACAAGAAATCAATAATAGAAGGGACCTCAAAAAAATTATAAAAATGAGAAAATTAAACAACATGCTTCTAAATAATCAATAGGCAAAAGATGAAATTAAAAGAGAAAGCTTAAAACTGTCTTTTGAGAAAAACAAAAATAGAAACATAACATACCAAAACAAGATACAGGAAAAGCAGTTCTAAGAAGGAAGTTTACAGCAATACATGCCTATCTCACAAAAAGAAGAAAGCTGAATTCTACTAAACAATAAAAAAGAATTCTTCTCAAACTCTTGCAAAAAAATTGAAGAGATGGGAAAACTTCTAAACTTATTATATGAAGCCACTATTACCCTGATACCAAAGCCAGACAAAGACACTACAAGAAAAGATAATTACAAGCCAATACCCCTGATAAATATAAACTAAAAAAATCTTCAACATAATATTAGCAAACTGAATTCAACAGCACATTGAAAGGATCATTCATCATGATTAAGAAGGATCTATCCCTTGGATGCAAGGATGATTCAATATATATAAATCAACAATTGCAATACACCACAAGAGCAGAATGAAGAATAAAAGTCATATGATCATTTCAGTAGATGCAGACACTACATTCAACAAAATTCAACATTATTTAACAATAAAATCTCTTAACAAAACAAAGGTCATGTATGATGAGCCTATAGCTAACATCAAACTTAATGATGAAAAGTGGAAAGCTTTTTTCCCGTAAGATAAGAAACAAAACAAGGATGCTCACTTTTGCCACTTCTTTTCAACATAGTACTAGAAGTCCAAATACAAGTTTCCAAGTTGTCAGGCTCAAGAAGACCTCATCAAAATGGATTTGAAAAGCTCCTCACCAAGGCAAATTATTAAATTTTAGAACACCAAAAACAGAACGAAGAGTTAAAATTTTTTGAACAAGAACACTTAGGCAAAAAAAAAATTATTTTAGTAATTAGGCAAATTTTAATTTGTAATTAATTTCAAATTTTAATTTGTAAGTAATTACTAAATTTTAATTTAGAAATTAGGCAAAATAAAATAAAAGGCATCCAAATAGGAAAGGAAAAAGTAACATTACTGCTGTTTGCTCACAACACGATCTTATATAGAGAAAACTCTAAAACTCTGCCAAAAAAACTCTTGGATATAACAAATAAATTCAGTAAAATTGCAGAAATCAAAATCAACATAGAAAAATCCATAGCATTTCTATACACTAACAAAAAAAATCCAAAAAAGAAACTGAGAAAACAATCCCATGTTTTTTTAAAAATTATTGTTTTTTAAAAATTTTGTGTGTACATGTTATATATATATATATATATTTATGGGGTACATGAGATGTTTTGATACAGACATGCAATGTGAAATAAGCACACCATGGAGAATGGGTATTCATCCCCTCAAGCATTTATGTTTTGAGTTACAAATAATCTGACTATATTCTTAAAGTTATTTTAAAATATACAATTATTATTGACTATAGTCACCCTACTGTGCTATCAAATAGTACATCTTATTCATTCTTCATATTTTTTAGCAACACAAAAAATAAAATAGGAGGAAATCAAGGAGTTAAAATACCTGTGCATAGAAAACCATAACACAATGATGAAAAAATTGAAGAAAACACAAATAAATGGGAAGATATTCTGTAACATAAATTGGAATAATTAATATTATTATAATGTCCACACCATCCAAAACAATCTACAGATTCAATGCAATCTCATCAAAATACATATGTCATTTTTTACCAAAATAGAATAAGCAATCCTAAAATTCATATGGAGCTACAAAAAACCCAAATAATGAAAGCAATCTTGAGCAAAAAGAACAAAGCCAGAGCCATCACATTACCTAATTTTAAAATCTAATGTAGGCCTACAGTAATCAAAACAGTATGATTCTGGCATAGAAACAGACACATAGACCAATAGAACAGAACAGAGAGCCCAAAAATAAATCCATAAATTTACAGTCAATTGATTTTCAACAAAGATGTCTTCATAAAATATTAAAAGAGCCAAACAAAAGCTCTTATTAAATAAAACTATGATAGCGGAAAAAAAAACTTCCTATAGAAAGTTTAGAAGATAAATTTGAGAAAACCTTCTACAAATAAAAAAAACTAAGCAGAAAATAGAAGAATATTACAGGATCAGTTGATAAAGTATAAACATCTGAATAGTAAGCAACCAGGTAAGACAAAAAGAAAAAATAAAAAGAGAAAAATATTTAAGAAATAATACAAGAAAACTTCCCTTATCTAAACACAAGTTTCCAACCTGACAGCCTCTGAAAAGACATCATCGAAATGGATTTGAAAAGCTCCCCAGCAAGGCAAATTATTAAACTTTAGAACACCAAAAACAGAATAAAGAGTTAAAATTTTTTGAATAGGAACAATCAGATCTCATGCAAAGAGAAATTAGAATGGCATCAAACTTTCGAAAAGCATAATTTAAAGCCCTCCAAATTCTAAGGAATATGGAAATGTATATACTCAAACTTTTAAACAAGTGATGATGATGATGATGATGATGACGATGATGAAAACACTTTCAGATAGTCAACATAGTAGCTTCTCAACTTCCTTTTTTTTTGATAATGTCCTGGAGAGAATCAACCAAGAAGTGAGAAGACAAAGGAGATAGAAAACGGATCTCCAACTCAAGAAAAAATCAGAAGAAAAGCTTGGAAAACCATATGGGGTATGCCATTGAACAGCCATTTAATACAGAGGGCAACCACTTCACATTGGATCAGGGGGACTTACATGTCCAGGAAATCTGTATTCAAAGAAAATATGATAGTGACTCATTAGAAGTATGATTAAATGTATAGAGAGGAGATTTCATATCAGAGGAGGGTTTGTGAATAAATTAGTTATAATTTCATAGAAAATTAAGCAAATGGAAAGAAAAACAATTATATCCAGGAAAGACCAAAAATTGTGTAAGAAATGAAGGATAGTGTTGTGATGTTTACATAGTCAATGTAATATTTAACCACAAAGTATTGGTTTAATATAAAATTAGATTACATTTATATATTGAGAAGATGAAAAAAAGATTTGTATATATGTGTGAATACATGTGTTGTGGGGAGCAAAATATGGTCGTGTTGGCAAGGATGTTGGTGCATGTAGGTGGGAGGTAGCAACATTTTTAAGGCAACTTTTGTAATAGGAAGACAAGAGTTAATGTATGAAAACAAAAATTCAAAAAATGAGGGTATAAGTATGCTATTTAGAAATATGAGTAAAAGTCCCAAGAGAAACAGCTAAAATGTTGAAACCAACTGCCTTTTGAAAAGCATCACCTCAAATGAGGTAGGGAAGTGGGTGAAACAAGGGAGTACTGTTTTTCTTGATAATCCTTGAAGATCTATTTGATTTTTTCCATTGTGTGCATACATTATTTAATTACACAATTTTTTAAAAAGTAAAATGAAAGAAATAAAACTCTATGACAAAGAAAAAAATTAGCTCAAGTTTGCTTGAATGAATGGGCAGCAAGACCCATTCAAGGGAGTATCTAGTCCATGTGTCTCTGAGGCTTCTACAGTGACTCTAACCTCAAACTGCCTCTGAATCCTGAAAGCACCTTATTATTCGACCTGCTAAGGTCAAAGTGACCTCTCATTCTACCAGTTGTGCTATACTAGGAAGTGGAAGAATCTGGCTCATTCTTTTTCCATAGTAGGAGTCAGAACACTTTCTCTACTGACTACAAAACGGATTAATTAAGGTCTAATAGAATGAGGCAGGGGTTGGGATTTGGATGCTGAGCAGGGAGAAGATAGTCAAACTTCCACTACAGTTATGGTGAATAATTATGTAAAAGAGTAATTGGGCTACCATGATTATTTTTATTTAAAAATTTACAAGATTTATTTCTGAAGATCTTTCGTAGTGCATTGGGTAAATAGTTACTTTGCTAATGAAGTGCCAGAGGCAGTACAATGCAGTGGGTAATAAGTTGGTCCTCTGCTACAAAGGAGCATGAGATAGAATTCTGGCTGGATCCTTCACTGCTGTGTAAGTGCATGTAAATTTCTTAAATGTCATGGTGCTTCAGTCTCTCCATCTTCAAAGCAGAGAGAACAAAATATCTACCTCATAAAGATGTTACAATGACAAAATGTTGGGAATATGTATTTTTTCAAAAAAGATAAATGCAGAAACAGAAAAATAATTTGAAAATGCAAAAACAAAATAAAGCATTAAAACTTTGAAAAGTATCTATACTGAAAACAGAAAAATAAATTGCATATAATCCCAGAAGCAAAAACTCATTAAAAGTATCATTTGAGAATGCATTTGCAAACCTGGATTAAATTGATGAATTTAAAAAAAATTACCAAAATTATGTTAAGAAAAGATGAACTCCTAGTCAAATCCATAATCAAAGAAGAACTAAAGAAATAGATCCATGACTATTACTGTCCATCTTCGAAACAGAACAAATCTATACAATTTCACAGATTATTTTCTTTTTACATCTTTGAGAAAAGTATAGTTTTGCTGTTACTAAAACTGACTCAATCATAACTCAAGAGAGAACACATTGAACTTATTTTTAAGAAACCAGAATTCTGAATAACACTAAAACAACATACACAAAGGAAAGTACAGGCTGTTATTATTTGTGAATACTGATGTAAAATAATTCAATTTTAAAAATGTAAATTAAAGGTAAAATATAAGAATAAATAAAATATATGAATAAATAAAGATCATGGCAAATATTACGGAAGGATGTGTGTTAACATAATTTAAGGTACGGTCATGCATTGCTTAAAAACAGATATATGTTCTGAGAAATGTGTCATTAAGCAATTTTATTGTTCTGAGAACATCACAGAGTGTACTTAGACAAACCTAAATGGTGTAGCATATTGTACATCTAGGCTGTAGCTGATTGCTCTTAGGCTATAAACATGTAAAGGATGCTACTGCACTGATTACTGTAGACAATTATAACAGAATGGTATTAGGTTGATGCAAAAATAATTGTGGTTTTTGCCATTAAAAGTAATATTTGTGTATCTAAACATAGGGAAGGTACAATAAAAATATGACTTAAAATATAAAAGATGGTACATCTGTATAGGGCATTTATCATGAATGAAACTTGCAGGACTGGAAGTTGCTCTAAGTGAATCAGTGAGTAAGTAGTAACAATGTAAAGGCCTGTACACTCATGTAGACTTCATAAGACCTGCGCACTAGGCTACACTAAATTTATTTAAAAATAACTACATTATGACACTTTGATGGCTACATCACTAGGTGATAGGAATTTTTCAGCTCATTACAATTCTATGGAATCACTGTCTTGCATGTGGTTGGTCCATTACTGACTGAAAGATCGTTATGCAGCTCATGATCGTATTACTAAATCAAAAGAGAAAATTCTGATTACCTTAAGAGATGCTAAAATAACACTTAATAAATATTGTCTATTTTTAGTTAAAAGCTTTCTTAGAAATGTATACATAGATTTATAAATATTTTTGTTTGCATATTTATACATAAATATATACATGTATTCTAATTCAGCATCATGACTAATGGTACAATATTACAGGCATAATAATAAATTGAGAAAGGCAAAAATACACACTACTATGGCTGTCATTGAATATTGCTCTAGATATGCTAGTTAATGCCATTAAACAAGAGGAAAAATAAAGTTATATTTATTTTGACAGCATGTTAGAGGGAACATAAATCAATGGACAGAATAGAGAGTTCAAAAATGGACTAAAGTTTACATTAAAATTTTGCATATAATAAAGGTAATATTTAAATCAATGCAGAAGGCCAGGCACAGTGGCTTACGCCTGTAATCCTAGCACTTTGGGAGGCCAGTGTGGGAGGATTGCTTGATCCAGGAGTTTGAGACCAGCCTGGGCAACATAGTGAAACTCCATCCCTACAAAAAATACAAAAAATGAGCTGGTCATGGTAGTGAGTGCCTGTAGTCCCAGCTACTCAGGAGGCTCTGGTGGGAGGATCACCTGAGCCCAGGAGGTGGAGGCTGCAATGAGCCATGATCACATCACTGCACTCCAGCCTGGGTAACAGTGAGACACTGACTCAAAAAAAAAAAAAAGTGAAAAAGAATTAAAATTAAATTAAATTAATAGAGAAAACATAGAATATTTATTATGTTATTGGAATAACTGGCTGACATTTTGAAAGAAAATAAAGAAAAAGCTTTACTCAGCTCCCCTAAAATGCATTCTGCCTCTATTAAATCTCAACTGTAAACAAGATAATAGTATAAATAGAAAAAATAGTATAAATAGAAAAATAAAGTATGGTTGATATTTTCATACCCTTAGAGTATAAATTATATTTCTACTCATGTACCTCAAATCATAGACTATAAAGAGATTTTAAAGTTTGACCATGTAAAGTTGAAAACATCTGAATAAAAACGAACAAGAAAGATTTAATGCTTAAACAGACAAACAGAAAAGTAAGAAAATTATTTTAAAATAATAAATGCAAAAGTTCATTAATATAATAAAAGTTTATAATACACTTTAAAAACAAACATGAAAAAGAGATCATACTAATAGCAAAATGGTCAAGGTATAAAGATACACAACTTACATAAGAGGAATATAAATAAAAGCATATGAAAAGATCTTCAAGCTTACTAATAACCAATTACATACAAATTAAAACAATTAATTTTCCTCTTATATAGGCAGAGTAAAACTGTTTCTTAATACTTAGAGGAATAAACATTCTCATGCTCACACCCTACTGATGGTGATATTAACTTTTACCTCTTTGGAAGGCAGTGTGTCAATGTGCATCAGAACCTAAATCGTGCATTTGCTTTGACTTGACAATCTCACTTCTAAGAATGAACCCTAGATTGAAATAATCATGAAAGCATGAACTCCTATATTCACAGGAGATTTAACTCATTATTTTCTATAATCTAGAAATTGAGTTATATATGTGACTTTATTTCCAAATATCTAGATATCCATTATAAAATGTCAAAATACTGTCATTAATCAAACTGTTATAATTCAAGTCGATTATAAATTTTCCTTTATTACTTATAGTTTTATATTTTAAAATTTTGTTTAGTTTATCTGGATTTTGTACTTGGAAGGTACTAATATCATATTAACTTAAAAACACTAAAATATTTTCTGTCCATACTGTCCATACATTAGGTGTCCAAGAAATGCTCCAAAAAAATAAAATAAAATAAAATGAAAATAAAAAATTTGAAGGATTTCTTACATTGACACACTTTGGTCTATACCTTTCGAGTTGTTAGCACTCTGGAAATAAAATCTTAGTCAATATTTTATCCAAAAGGCCATAACTAACTTTAAAGAAAAGATGTGTAATTTTGTTCAGTAACAATTTAGTAATTCTAAATCTTTATAATTAAATACTATAACAGTCTCTATACTCTATATCCTTGGTATCCTTGTGGGAAAATTTTTTTTTTCTTTTCTCCTTTTTTTTTTTTTTTTTGAGATGGAGTTTTACTCTGTCACCCAGGCTGGAGTGCAGTGGTGCAATCTCAGCTCACTGCAACCTCCGCCTCCCGAGTTCAAGTGATTCTCCCACCTCAGCCAGCTGGGATTACCGGCGTGTGTTACCACCCCAGCTAATTTTTTGTATTTTTTTAAGTAGAGATGGGGTTTCACCATGTTGGCCAGGCTGGTCTCGAACTCGTGACCTCAGGTGATCCACCTGCCTCGGCCTCCCAAAGTGCTGGGATTACAGGCGTAAGCCACTGCACCTGGCCGAAAATTTTTTACTTATCATTACAAATAAAATGGAGTTATTTTATCCTATCATCAGAGCTATTGATAGTATATTTTAAAACTAGTAATCTAAATATATTGAAAATTAATATATTTCATGAATGTTTTTATTTAGCAAGAGAAACAAACAGAATCAAACAAAAATAGAATGTGTAAAGAATGGTCATTTCTTTTCCTCATTCTATAATTGCACGAGACCTTTCAAGAAGGTCAGCTAATATTTTTTACTCGAATCTTATTTTTGTGGATGAAATTCAAGAATAGAAACTGCTCACACTTTTTCAAGAAGACGTTCTTTTAAATTAGGAGTAGTATGTACAAAATCTATAAAAAGGGAGAAAACATTCTGTAACGGTTTTGATAGTTGTGCAAAAAGCCATTTTCTTTATTCTAAAATCTTACTTTAAAGTCACTTTCCTGTGGAGTTGAAAGAGAGCATATACACACTAATTCTAGCATTGAGAGAATTCGTATTTTCATTCTATAAGTATAAGACACTTAGAATTTTTCTCTAATAAGGAATCAGACTAATGGATGCAATGATCATATACACAACATTTATTTTTTCTGGAGAACACACCCATTGTAATGTCCTATCTTGATAATAATATTTAACCATGAATATGCAATGGGAATGTGTATAGAGAATGTACTTACCAAACTATTTGCTTGAGTGTGTTTTAATCCAAATTATCTGTCTTTCTCTTTTCATTTTAGCACGTGGATTTTGAAGAAAGTATTTTCAAGGGTTAGATATCTCAGATTTCTGTTCTGTTGTCTCTTATCCTCCTCTTTCCACAACCTAATGGAAAAGCTATTCTTACTCTCCAGCTTCTCTACCTTTAGAACTGGGGAAACACCACCAGCATGACTCACTGGGGTGTGGTGACGGTTATTTTTTCTTAATTAGTCAAAATGTGCAATGTGCTAATTACTTGAATCATAAGAAAAAAATCATTAAATAAAAATCACATTTGACTGGCTTTAGCATATTGGGGCATATATTTTTATTTAAATGCAGAGAGTATCTGAATGTTAACTAAGCCACAAAATATGTTCATGGTGAAACTAATTAACACTACAACCATGAGCACAATTCCCTTATGGGTTAATTTCTCAATGAAACTCAAAGATACTTTTTGACCTACTATAATGTTCCTTCTGCCAAGGTTAAGAGAAAGATATCACCATAATTGGAGCATATGAGTCTGTATTAACCTGATTTAGGTTAGGGAATCAAAGATTTGCACAAGGAAGGAATTCATAATAATTAGCGTGTAAAACATGCAAGCATAGGGGCTTAAACACAGCATGAATTAATTATTCAGTGTTGTTCAGTCCATTTGGACTTATAAATTACAAAAGGTCATAGAGAGAAGATTGTAACCCTTATTCCCTTTCCAGTCTAACAGCCTTAAACTTCTCAAACCTCAGTGCTCGCATAGCACAAACAAGCATATATAACATTATGAAATAATAATGCACAAATAAAAAAGATAGGTAGGTACTTTAAACCTATGTAGGGACAAAGAAAAAGGAGGCACCCTTTGTTAGATAATCCTTGGAATCAAGAATGCTTAAATTTCACATATCACTCATATAGTTTTCATTTTCAGTTTTGTAGTCAATATTATTATAAATGTATGTTGCTTTGAATAACTTTACTTGATTGATGAAATTAGTATCATACTTATTTGGTGACATAGGCTTAAGTCAATGGATGATTTCATGATTTCAATGTGTAATTCTTAGTGGAGAAAATACAAACACCAAATAACAAAAACTAAAACAAAATTACCTTGGAGACTATGGTAAACTGAATAACAGTCTCCCAATGATATCCGCATTCTAATTCTAAAATCTGTGAATATATTGTCTTATATGGCAAAAGGAGTTTTGCAGAGTGATTAAGTTAATAATCTTAAAATGGGAAGATTATCCTGATTATCCTGGTGAGCTCAATGTAATCACAAGAGTTTTTATAATGGGTGAGAATGTTGAAGTCAGAGATGAAGTGATGCAAAGATAAAAGCAGAGGGAGGAAAAGTGACGTGATGCAGGGACAATGAGCCAAAGAATGTGAGCGCCCTCTAGAAGGTGGACATGGTGTGATGGTTAATACTGAGTGTCAACTTGATTGGACTGAAGGGTGCAAAGAACTGTTCTTCCGTGTTCTGTGAGGGTGCTGCCAAAGGAGATTAACATTTGAGTCAGTGAACTAGGAGAGGCAGAGCCTCCCTCAATGTGGATGGGCACCATCTAATCAGCTGTCAGCATGGCTATATTAAAGCAGGCAGAAGAACGTGGGAGGACTTGCTGAGTCTTCCAGCCTTCATCTTTCTCCTGTGCTGGATGCTTCCTGCCCTTGAACATCAGACTCCAAGTTCTTCAGCTTTTGGACTCTTGGTCTTACACCAGTGGTTTGCCAGTGGCTTTCAGGCCTTTGGCCACAGACTGAAGGCTGCACTGTCAGCTTTCCTACTTTTGAGGTTTTGGGACTCAGACTGATCCATTACTGGCTTCCTTGCTCCTCAACTTGCAGATGGCATATGGTGGGACTTCACCTTGTGATAGTGTGACTCAATTCTTCTTAATAAACTCCCTTTCATAGATACATATACCCTATTAGTTCTGTCCCTCCCGAGAACCCTGACTAATACAGATTTTGGTACCAGGAATGGTTCTAGAGGAACAGAATTTTAAGGATGGATTTCTTTAGTTGGTTTTGGGGTTTCTGGAGTTGGCTGCTTAATCTGATTAGACCCCAAAATGCTATGGACTCTCCTTCTAATAGTATGGAGAACACTGATAGTTCTTGGCATGAACTATTTAGAGAGTTATGCAAAATAAATGCATTTGATACTCCTGATTCACCACTCATGAGAGGCAAGTTTAGTGACTCTATACATAATACCTTTGACCATATGTGGAGAACCAAGGAATATAATGAAATTGGCTGTTGCTCCTAAGTTTGTTGGACAAAGTGATAAAAGGATGAGCTCAGGTATTCTAACTGCTGACAACAGAAGCATACTGAGCCTCAAGTCTTCTAAGCTTGCCCTGAGTGAGAGTCTTTAGCTCCTATAGACAAAGGGCTGAAATTGTGGAAAATTAGACACAAGCTCTTATCATGTGAGTGGCTGACCTGTAAGGAAAGGTGCATGTTCAGTCTCTCCAGGTGTCTACTGCTAAGGTGAGGGCATTGATTGGAAAAGAACGGGACCCTGAAACTTAGAATGGGGACATGTGGGAGGACCATGATGAATCTGGGGACACTGAGCTTGTAAACTCTGATGAGCCACTTTTGCCAGAGGAAACAACCTCTACTTCCACTGGGGGCAACCTCCCCTCCCTCACCCACACTGCCATCAGCCTTTCCACCTTTGTCTGAAGAGATTAACCATGAACTGCAAACAGGCAAAACAATGCTCCTCAGGACCCATCCCCAACACCCCTGTTTTCTTCTAGACCTGTAACTAGACTAAACACCCAGCAGGACTGTAGAGGTGAGGTTCAGAGTGTGACCCATGAGAAGTTGCTCTAGATTGCAAAAGAACTACTTGAGTTTTCTTATTTATATAAGCACAAATCCAGAGAACAGGCATGGGAATAGACATTAAGGGTGTGGGATAATGGTGGATGGAACATAAAATTGGATCAGGTTGAATGTATTGGTTTGGGCACACTAAGTAGGGATTCTGCATTTAATGTTGTAGCTTGGGGAGTTAAAAAAAAGTTCTAGTTGTTTATTTGCTTGGTTAGCTGAAATATGGATCAAAAGATGGCCCACTATGAGTGAGCTGTAAATGTCTGATCTCCCTTGGTCTAATGTACAGAAAGGGATTGGAAGGCTCAGGGAGATTGGGATGCTAGAGTAGATTAGTGACTTTAGACCTACTCATCTCAGCTGGGAGGGTCCGAAAGACATACCCTTCACCAATACCCTGTGAAATACAATTGTGAGGGGAGCACCCGCATCCTTGAAGAGCTCTATGATTACTCTTCTCTGCATGCCAGATCTTATAGTGGGAACCACAATAACTCAATTACAAAATTTAAATGCAATGGGAATAATTGGATCCCGAGGTGGCAGGGGCCAAGTCGCGGCACTCAACCATCAAAGGCAAGGAGGGTGTAGTGACTGTAATGGACAGCAGAGGCAAAGTGACAATCAGAATAATCTTGACTCATGTAGACCTCTGGCATTGGCTTATTATTCACCGTGTTCCTAGAAGTGAAATTGATAGGAAGCCTATTGCTTCTTACTTACTTTGTATAAGCAGAAAACTTCCAGGTCAAGTGGACAAAAGACTAATTTGAATTATTAAAACAGAGAATCACAGCCCCTCAATTTCCAGACTTAAACCAGTTTACAGACCCAGAACCCCTTAGATGAAGGGGTGGGACCAGGTCCCCTTGAAGAAGGACACCACTACACTGCCGAAAATTTATACTGTTATTCTTTCTCCCATCCTTCCCCAAGGAAAACTTCAGCCTTTTACCAGGGTAACTATGCACTGGGGAAAGGGAAATGACCAGATATTTCAGGGACTACTGGACACTGGCTCTGAGCTGACATTGATTCCAGAGGACACAAAACATCATTGTTGTCCTCCAGTTAAAGTAGGGGCTTTTGAAGGTCAGGTAATTAATGGAGTTTTAGCTTAGATCTAACTTACAGTGAGTCCAGTGGGTCCCTGGACTCATCCTGTGGTCATTTCCCCTGTGCCAGGATGCATAATTGGCATAGACACACTTAGCAGTTGGCAGAACCCCCATATTGGCTCCCTGACTGGTAGGGTGAGGGCTATTATGGTGGAAAAGGCCAAATGGAAGCCATTAGAGCTGCCTCTACTTAGAAAAATAGTAAAACAAAAATAACATCACATCTCTGGAGGGATTGAAGAGATTAATGCCACCATCAAGGACCTAAAAGATGCAGGGATGGTGATTCCCACCACATCCCCATTCAACTCTCCTATTTGGCCTGCACAGAAGACAGATGGATCTTAGAGAATAACGGTGGATTATCATATGCTTAACCAAGTGGTGACTCCAATTGCAGCTGCTGTACCAGATGTAGTTTCATTGCTTGAGCAAATTAACACATCTCCTGGTACCTGGTATGCAGCCATTGACTTGACAAATGCCTTTTTCTCCATTCCTGTCCATAAGACCCACCAGAAGCAATTTGTCTCCAGCTGGCAAGGCCAGAAATATATCGTTACTGTCCTAACTCAGGATTATATCAACTCTCCAGCTTTGTGTCATAATCTTGTTCAGAGATCTTGATCACTTTTCCTTTCCACAAGATATCACACTGGTCCATTATATTGTTGATATTATGCTGATTGGGCCCAGTGAGCGAGAAGTAGCAAACACTCTGGACTTACTGGTGAGACATTTGGATGCCACAGAATGGGAAATAAATCCAACTAAAATTCTGGGACCTTCTACATCAGTGAAATTTCTAGGGGTCCAGTGGTGTGGGGCCTATCAAGATATTCCTTCTAAGGTGAAGGATAAATTGTTGCATTTGCCCCGCCCCCTACAACTAAGAAAGAGGCACAATGCCTAGTGGGTCTATTTGGATTTTGGAGGCAACATATTCCTTATTTGGATGTGCTACTCCAGCCTATTTATGAATGACCTGAAAAACTATCATTTTGAGTGGGGTCCAGACCAGGAGAAGGCTCTGCAACAAGTCCAGGCTGCTATGCAAGCTGCTCTGCCACTTGGGCCATATGATCCAGCAGATCCTATGGTGCTGGAGGTGTCAGTGGCAGATAGGGATGCTGTTTGGAGCCTTTGACAGGCCCCTATAGGTGAATCACTGCAGAGGCCACTAGGATTTGGAGCAAAGCCCTGCCACCTTCTGCAGATAACTACTGTCCTTTTGAGAGACACCTCTTGACCTGTTACTGGGCTTTGGTGGAAACTGAACTTTAGATTATGAGTCATTAAGGCACCATGTGGCCTGAATTTCCTGTCTTGAACTGGATGCTTTCTGACCCATCTAGCCATAAAGTTAGGTGTGCACAGCAGCATTCCATCATCAAATGGAAGTGGTATATATGTGATCAGGCTCAAGCCAAGTCCTGAAGGTACAAGTAAGTTACAGGAGGAAATGGCTTAAATGCCTATGGTTTTTACTCTGCCTTCTCTCCCCCACCCTGTACCGATGACCTCATCAGGAGTTCCTTATGATCAACTGACAGAAGAAGAGAAAACTAGGGCCTGGTTTACAGATGGTTCAGCACAATAAGCAGGCGTCATCCGAAAGTGGACAGCTACAGCACTACAGCCCCTTTCCAGGACATCCCTGAAGGAAAGTGGCAAGGGGAAATCTTCCCAGTGGGCAGATCTTCAAGAGTGCACCTGGTTCTGCACTTTTCTTGGAAGGAGAAATGGCCAGATGTGCAATTATATACTAATTCATGGGCTGTAGCCAATGGTTTGGCTGGATGGTCAGGGACTTGGAAGAAGCATGTTTGGAAAATTGGTGACAAATAAATTTGGGGAAGAGGTATGTACATAGACCTCTCTAAGAGGTCCAAAACTGTGAAGATATTTGTTTCTCATGTGAGCACACACCAAAGGGTGACCTTGGCAGAGGAGGATTTTAATAATCAAGTAGATAGGATGACTCGTTCTGTGGACACCATTGAGCCTCTTTCCCCAACCATCCCTGTCACCACCCAATGGTTCCATGAATAAAGTGGCCATGCTGGCAGGGATGGAGGTTATGCATGGGCTCAGCAACATGGATTTCCACTCACCAAGGCTGACCTGGCTACAGCCACCACTGAGTGGCCAATTTGCTAGCAGCAGAGACCAACATTGAGCCCTCAATATGGCACTATTCTTTGGGGAAATCAGCCAGCAACTTTGTGGCTGGTTGATTATATTTGACCTCTTCCATCATGCACATGGCAGCGGTTTGTCCTCACTAGAATAGACACTCACCCCAGATGTGGGTGTGCCTACCCTGCACACAATGCTTCTGCCAAAGCTACCATCTGTGGACTCACGGAATGCCTTATCCACCATCATGGTATTCCACACAGCATTGCTTCTGACCAAGACACTCATTTGATAGCTAAAGAAGTGTGGCAGGCTGAGTGCTGTGGCTCAAGCCTGTAATCCAAGAACTGTGGGAGGCTGAGGTGGGCGGATCACGAGGTCAGGAGATAGAGACCATCCTAGCTAACACGTTGAAACCTTGTCTCTACTAAAAATACAAAAAATTAGCCAGGCATGGTGGCACGCACCTGTAGTCCCAGCTACTTGGGAGGCTGAGGCAGGAGAATCACTTGAACCTGGGAGGCGAAGGTTGCAGTGAGCTGAGATCATGCCACTGCACTACAGCCTGGGTGACAGAGTGAGACTCTGTCTCAAAAAAAAAAAAAAAAAAAGAGAGAGAAAAAAGAAAAAGGAAGTGTGGCAGTGGGCTCATGCTCATGGAATTCACTGGTCTTACCATGTTCCTTATCCTGAAGCAGCTGGATTGATACAACGGTGAAATGGCCTTTTGAAAGTCACAATTACAATGCCAACTAGGTGACAATACTTCACAAGGCTGAACAAAGTTCTCCAGAAGGCTGTGTATGCCATAAATCAGCATCCAATATATGGTACTGTTTCTCCCACAGCCAGGATTCATGGGTCCAGGAATCAAGAGGTGGAAGTGGCACCACTCACCATCACCCGCAGTGAACCACTAACAAAATTTTTGCTTCCTGTTCCCGTGACATTATGTTCTGCTGGCCTAGAGATCTCAGTTCCAGGAGACACAACAATAGTTCTATTAAACTGGAAGTTAAGATTGCCACTTGGCCACTTTTGGCTCCTCCTACCTCTAAGTCAACAGGCTAAAAAGGGAGTTATGGTATTGGCTGCAGTGATTGACCTGACTATGGAGATGAAATCGATCTACTACTTCACAATGGAGGTAAGCAAGAGTATGCATGGAATACAGGAGATCCTTTAGGGTGTCTTTTAGTATTACCATGCCATGTGATTGGGGTCCATGGGAAACTACAACAACTCAATCCAGGCAGGACTACAAATGACCCAGACCCTTCAGGAGTGAAGGTTTGGGTCACTCCACAAGGTAAAAAGCCACAATCCACTGAGATGTGTGCAGAAGGCAAAGGGAATACAGAATGGGTGGTAGAAGAAGGTAGTAATCAATACCAGCTATGACCATGCGACCAGTTGCAGAAATGAGGACTGTAATTGTCATAAGTGCTTCCTCCTTATTTTGTTAAGAACATGTTTGTGCATGGATACATTTGTATTAAGAAAATATCTTCATTTTATTTCCTTTCTTTTTCTTTTATCATGTGGCATAAGATTTATTGACTTCATATCAACACTTAAGTCTTGTTAACTTTAGGTGATAGAATTTAGGTTAAGAATCAGTGCATTTATGGTTGTATGAAGGATAGCTGTATTATGTTAGGTGTAATTAGGACCTTATTACTGTCTTTATTTGAAGATTTGTATGACTTCAGGTGATGTGTAATGGGTTCAAGTTGGGACAAAGGATGAACTTGTGATGGTTGAGTGTCAACTTGATTGGATTGAAGGATGCAAAGTACTATTCCTGGGTGTTCTCTGAGGGTGTTGCCAAAGGAGATTAACATTTGAGTCAGTGGATTAGGAGAGGCTGACCCACCCTCAATGTGGATGGGCACCATCTAATCAGCTGTCAGCATGGCTATATTAAAGCAGGCAGAAGAGCATGGAAGGACTTGACCTGCTGAGTCTTCCAAACTTCATCTTTCTCCTGTGCTGGATGCTTCCTGCCCTTGAACATCAGACTCCAAGTTCTTCAGCTTTTGGACTCCTGGTCTTAGACCAGTGGTTTGCCAGGGGCTCTCAGGCCTTTGGCCACAGAGTGAAGGCTGCACTGTCAGCTTTCCTACTTTTGAGGTTTTGGGACTCAGACTGATCCATTACTGGCTTTCTTGCTCCTCAACTTACAGATGACCTATCATGGGACTTGTGATCATGTGACTCAATTCTCCTTAATAAACTCTTTCGTAGATACATATATCCTATTAGTTCTGTCCCTCTAGAGAACCCTGACTAACACACATGGCAAGGAATTAATTGTCCCCTAGAGTTTGGAGAAGAAACTCAGCTCTACCAGCACCTTTGATTTTCATCCAGTGAAACTGATATCAGGCTTCTGATTTCCAGACTATGATAATAAATGTGTGCTATTCTAAGCCAGTAAGTTGGTAGTAATTTGTCGAGTAACAACAAGAAGCTAATAAAGAGACAACAAGAAGCCAACAAGATATAATGCATTCTGTAATAACTGAGAATGATGACATGGTCTGATGTGTTTCAAAAGCATCATTCTGGCTCCTATAGAGATTAGATTAGAAGAGAACAAGGGCAGAAGTGGAGAGATCATTTAGGATATAATTGCAGTAATCTTTAGGCAGGATTATGGTGACTCAGACCTGTGTGGAAGTGATATCATAGCAAGAACTGCTGATATTTTGGACATATTTTCAAGATAAAAGCCAGTAAGGTTTGCTGAACCAGAATTGGGGTGTGACAGAAGGCACAGAGTAAAGGAGGACTCCATATAAATTTTTCCTAAGCAGTTGAAAGAATTGATTTGCTCTGAATGACTGGATGTTCTTTCTGAACTCTGCATCTGACTAACTCTCACTTATGACTGAAGATCTTTAATGCCTCTCTATTGTGTCCATTCCAGTTTCCCTAGTTGGCACCCAAGCACTCTCCCACCCATCATGACATCACACTGGGCATTTGTCTACTTCTCTAGGGCTAGCCCTATACCTCCTTGAGCCTCTTCTTTTGTCATACATGCTGAAATATTTGAGAATCTATCAAAATGCTATGCTGCCTTAGGTCTTAGCATATTTAGATTACCATTTTTTTGTGTTTGTAATTATCTTTGTCCAATCTCTCAAATAGGTAACCTCTGATAATATTTAGAGATTCTGTTGAGATGTTACCTCTTCTAAAATAATCTGAAACCGTCCCCTTGTGCTTAACCTTCCCAACCTTGGGGAGGCTCCCTTTGTCTTAGTTGCTCCTGTAATCCTATGCTTGCTTCATGGTATTGCAAGTGTCAAGCTACATGGTAGCCTCCGCACATGGCTTTGACTATCTTTGGGCATTATGGTGAGCAGAAGCCATATGATATTTGTCTCTATGTGATGTCAGCTGTTGACACTCAATATTCATTAATGGGATAAAAACTTATAGTGCTTTTACAAACATTTTTGCCTATGTTGTTCTAAATTTTGTTTGGAAACCTCAAAAAGTTTTGAAAAGTGGCTTGTAGCATGTAATAAAAGTAATTTTATTATTTCATGGGAAAAATAAAGGTAAATAACTACACAGCATTCATTTGGCAACACATGTTGTTTGACAATTATAAAGGCAATTTCAATTTAGAAGAGAAAGAAAAACTCGTGTGCAGTTTTTGTTGAAGCTAAAATTTCAGATGTTTTTAGTAAATAAAAATCTGTAGACACATGTTCTACCACATTTTCCATTTTTTCCCCTAAATACTAATGGGACATTTTATTTTGGACAATTTATTGCATTGATGCTGCTTTTGCACCCATAGTTGAAGATAAATAGCCATAATCAATCCAAGTTTTCCCCTTAGGATAGCATATTTTAATGTTTTCCTTGGTATCAAATAATCCTATGAAACAATGGAGGATTGTATAGAAAGGCCAATAAAGACTGCTATGTATTCACTAAATAAAAGTGCAGTTCCATGACTCAGAGAAAGAGTGGCTATTAATAGACTTCTTTAACAATGTTCACTAATGAGAAAAATATAAGATAAAATTTGTCAACCAGACCACAATCTAGGAGAGGCTACACAAAAATTATGTTTAATTTTCAAAATAAAAGGTCTGGACACCAGCTGGCTGTCTAGGAATACAGTCCAAGACTCAGGAGTTGGAAATATGTTAAAATCCACCCCCTACAAAAGCTATCGATGTCAAAAATAGAGCAATTTTTAAATAAACTATATCTTAATAAAAAACCATGTTCCTGTATAATAAACATTAAGGCCAAATACGTTGCATCAATTTAATAAATATTAAGGCCAAATATCTAGAGTCTGTTCAATAGCTAGAGTCTGTTCTCTCATGAATGAGGGACACACACACACACATATGTATATATGTCTTTTATTTTCTTTATAGTTACAGGACTCCAGAAGAGAATCAATATATTAACATGCATTATACTATGTTCAAAATCAACTGGAATTTCAACGGTTCTGATTTTGTAATAAAATTTTAAGTATCAGGGCTTGAGATACTTTAAGAGTTGGAAAGATATATTTTCATGTAAGCAAGATTAAGAAAAGGAGAACTCTTTGACATAAAATATATATTTGAAAACCTGAACATTTTGATGTTACATGTACAACTCAGAAAATGTATTGCTCTATTTCCAATATTTCCAGTTGAGGAAGTGGAGAACAATTTGGTAGCCCTGGCACCACTATAGATTCTTGGGCAACTCTGGGGTTAGGGAGCCTTGGTGGGAGATTGGGTGGGTATAAACATACATGAGACTTTGCTTGGGAGACATTCTTGCCTCTGCCCGCTCATTATATATACTAGGGCAGACACCTTACATCTAAAGTATCTTTGGGGCAGTAATCTTGTTACTACCTGATCCAAAAGTGTAAAGCCATCTCCCTTTTGTACCCTTCTAATAATTTAATAAAATGTAGCACACTAGATTTCTTGACTAATGGGGAACTTGCAAAAAATTAAATACAGATTAAATTACTAACAGACAATCTCAATATTTGCATGTTTGGAATGAAATCTGGTGTATTAACTTGTTTAGAAGATGATTTATGAAATACGTATGTACTTAGTTTTACTTATTTATTTTAATTACACAAATAATATATGAATATATCCCTATTAAAGAAAGGATTTCACAAGAATATATAAATATATTTATATATTATTATAAATTTATTACACAAAGATTAATAATCAATTACATATTAATTAATTGAGATAAAGAGCCCCCACTGATTAGCACCCTCAAATGCAGGCTCAGAACACAGGCAGTGTTGTATTTCTTACACACATATATAAATACATATATTTTACACTTTGTGTATCTTATATTACCAGTCTCAGTCCATATTATTATTCAAGTTTTGCTTTTTTTCCTCTTTCCACATGGTTAAAAAATTTTTCATCTCTGGTCATATAGATAGTAGCTTATGGTTTTTTGTTTGTTTTTTGCTTAACTCCTGTGCAATATTTTGTGCAATAGAACATCTATAGTTCATTCAAACATTCCACTATTAGTGGATGTTTAGATATTTAAGTTAATTTTTTCCTTCTTTCCTTTCTTCCCTTCTATTTCTTTTCCTCATTTCTTTTTTTTTCCTATTAATACAATGCTACCACAAACATGATGCTTCTGCAAATTAAACTGAGAGGGAACATTTCTGGATTGAAGGATATACTCATTTACATTTTCATAAATAATTTCTAATCATATTCTGCAAATATATATCAAATTATACCTCCTCCAACAATGTATAAGAAATACTAATTCCTCCACAACCCTAACAGCATTTGATACTATTAAGATAATAACACTTGCTATTACTGGATAATGGATAAAATATGTACCTTATTGTTGTCTACATTTACTCTATATTGCCCTCATGAATAGTAAAGCTGAGTATCTTTTTATATGTTTATTGGCCTTTTATACTTCCTTGGCACTGTATAAATATCAAATAAATAAATGATTAAATTACTGAATGAAACAATACATTTAGAGTGCTAGGGAAATGAAAGTCAATCACTAACATCCAGGAAAATGAAAATGTTTCCCTGGCATTATGATTACAATCTTATTATGCCAAACACAGAAATTAAATAGAGCTACTTTATTTTTATTATGCACTGGGAGGTCATATATGATTCCTGGTTAACAACTGGACTACACTTAAATGAGTTTACCAGCCCACTAGGCATCAAAATTCATGCCAATTATATTTATTTTCTTTCTCTGTGTGTGGCATTTCTAGATTTGGCATCTGTAGTTTAGTTTGCATTCTACCACTATTTCCCATTTTTAGTTATGAAGCAGGCTTAGGGGTGATGTGTTTGTGTGTATCTATTTTCAACCTTTGAAAAAAAATTGTGTGAAAGTTCACATTTACCCCATTTTCTTTACCACCATTGCTCCCTCAATTTTCCCAGCTCCTTTTCTACTCTTGAGGACTGTTTCCTCCTTTTCTTGTTTGTCTGTATCACCACAACATGCTTTCAGAGTCTTCATTTACACTAGGATTTAAAGCATTACCTCTCCTAATAGTACTTTATTCTACCTGTGTCAGTAATCAAAATCTTAAGCTAAATGAGAGAAATTCCAAGAGGTAGAATTGCTGAAATCAGTTCATTAGAGGACGATAGTGTACTTCTGATCAGCAGGGACAGTCCTAAAGCTAATGCCTAAAACATTACATGGGCTGTTATCCAGTATCGAACTAATTGGATTTGGTCATTTAATTGCCACAAACATAGCTAACTTACTATGTGTGAGGCACTGTACTAAACTCCTAAAGTGCAGTTTTCAAATTTAATCCTCGTATCATCCTTATTCTCTTCAAGGCATTAGAAAACTGAGGTTTAAGCACATGTACAAAGAAAAATGTGTATGAAATTATGCATTTTATGACTAAGATAGAGCTACTTTTCAAACCTAACCTTTGTTGGTGCTAATGTATAACTTAAGAACACTAAAAATGGTCATGAGGTCCAGAAAACATTGCAAATTCTCCTAAACATTAAACATGTCCCAACTTTAAGTAAACTTATATAAATAATTGGAATAAAGGCTATTTCTAAATTATGCAAACCCTTTTCAAGCACACTTAGTTCGTTCTTGGGCATTATATTAAAAAAGGAACAAAAGCATAATATAAGAACCAACAACACACTAAATTGAGAGGATCTTGATCTTGAAGGATTCAGCAGAGAAAAGGAAAGTGTCATAAAGCATGTGGCATATCTGATGTCAAATTTATTCATATAAGGACATTGCTATAAAATGTAAATATCTTCAAAGGATTAACCCTTCAACATCATAAAAATATGCACATGTTCAAAGGGGGTGAAGCATTTTCTAATCTGAACATCTTTAAAGGGGGAAATCAATAAATGGCATGAAAAACTTCAAAGCAAGACCTCCTGTCAATGACAGAAGTTCCTCAGCAATGCAGAGGCTTTGAAGGAGGACTCCCAGTGCTGGGAAACCTTTGAAGTGACTGAAAACAGACATTTATAATTATGGAAAGGTGCAGTGTCCAGCAGGGATAGTACAAAGACACGTCTGAGGTAGGTACAGGCAGAGATTGGGAGGTGGCAGGGACACTGACCTTGCAGCCTCTCAACCCAAAAGCCTTTGGGGTCAACTCAGTAATCATATGTAAAACGGCAAGTGTGGAGTGAGAACAGTGGCAAGCAGCTAGAAACCAAATTATTTTAGATCTCATATTTCAAAAAAGAAAAAATCCTCAGCGCCCCCAAAGCTGATCTTAATACATTCCGCCTGTGCAGGGTTATTGTGTAGCTGCCCGATTTATTAAGCTGTTACTAATACTCAGCTTTCTGCAAAAAGTGTTCTATAAGTGTAAAAACATCTCAGGATGAGCTTTTTCAGGTCCCTTAGTTCCCAGATCAATGGAACTGAAATATTTTTAAATGTAGTTATTATATAAATCAGATGATGTACTAAAGGATGAAAAATGATTAAAATCTATAACTTAACTGCTGTTTAATTTAAATCAAAACGATTTTGAGCCAATGATTTGGTATCTAATTTCCAGAACTCAATTGAAGACCTTATTGCATGCCATAATATGTAGGACTAACACTCAATTAGGTATCAAAGGCAAACTAGATAAAGTCAAAAAAGGTCAGTTATAATGTTTATTCCTTAGACTTTCTGTCTTGTTTTGCCTGACACTCACAGGGGCTCAGTGAGCTAATGGCATCCTCTTGCTTCTTGGTGACGTTCATTATGGAGCCTGATTTCCCCAAATGGTTCTTTCATCAGTCAAATATTTATTGATCATAAAAATGTTCTAGGGTCTATTCTGGGTATTTGTGGTACAGTACTGTACACAGAAACTCCCTGATCTTACAGAGATTACAGGCTGGGGAGGGACACAGGCATTGACCAATAATCAAACAGAAAAATGTAAATTATACTATGATAGGGGCTTTAAGTAAAAGGTACTTGAAGGAGTTGGTATGTTCTGAAGAAGCAGGTAGGCTTCCCTGAGAAAATGACAGTTGGACTGAAAGCTAAAGGATTAG
Organism: Homo sapiens; assembly: GCF_000001405.40. NCBI lineage: Eukaryota > Metazoa > Chordata > Mammalia > Primates > Hominidae > Homo > Homo sapiens. The sequence continues at coordinate 148,141,634 of NC_000003.12, forward strand.
TAGTCATTACCCAGGAGAGCCAGGGTATGGATGATTGCATCAGGAGCATTAGGAGAGTAGGTCGGGTAGAGGGAGCAGCAAGTACAAAAGTCATGTGATAGGACAAGATAAATAACACTTTTATGAAGAAGGAGAAGGGTTAGTTATGGAGGGGCCAGATGATGCAGACTTTTATGGAGCAGAGTTAGGGAGAGACCAGATTATGCAGACCTTGTTAATGACTTTGATCCTAATCCCAAAATCAATCAAAATCCTTTGAAAGATTTTAAGCATATGTCTGACAAAATGAGATCTGCATATTGAATGATCATTTTTGTTTGAGTGTGGAGAATGCATTGAGAGGAAAGAAAGGAACAAGAGTGTCGCAAGAGTGTCGGAGAGGAAACTAGTTAGGAGGCCACTAGAATGATTAAGACAAGAGATGATGGTAGCTTGGACTAAGGTGGTGGCAGTAATAATGATGGAGACAAACGGGAATATTTGAAAGACATCTTTGGTGTAAAATTGATAAGACTCAATGTTGGAATGAGAACACCTGGACACAGGGAGGGCAAGGACATACACTGAGGCCTGTCAGAGAGCAGGGGGAGGAAGAACATCAAGCTAAGCAGCTAATGCATGTGGGGCTTAATACCTAGGTGATGGGTTGATAGGTGCATCACACCACCATGGCACATGTTTACCTACGTAACAAACCTGCATGTCCTGCACATGTAACCTGGAAATTAAAATTAAATTAAATTAAAAATAATAATAAAAAAATAAACATTCCATTCTGATACAGGAAAAAAAAGAATGTTGGAAATAATGGATAAGAGAGAGGGAAGGGTCAAGGATGATGTCCATATTTCTGCATGGTTGGTGGGCATATTCCCTGAGTAAGGAAATCCTGGAAAGGGATCTGTTTTGGGAATAGAATAGTGAGTTTAATTTTGGTTATGTTGCATTTGAGACACAGATACTTTTGAATCATCCAAGTGTACATGTCAAGGATTTTGAGGGATGCATCAGAGAAAAGGAAAGTGGCACAAAGCACATGGCATACTGATGTCAAATATATTCATATAAGGACATTATTATGTTCTTATATATACGTGATACTGTGTAATTATATATTTACATTTTATAAAATATATTGCTTCATATAAAGACACTTGTGTATATGAATCTAAAGGAGAGATCTTGGGTAGAGGTAAAGACATTTGAATCACTCATTTATAATGATCATTAAGAATAGATATAACTGCTTAGGCAGAAGTACTGAAAATGGGAAGAGGATTATAAAACATCCTTAAGTAAGAACTTCAACATTAAAGGCTATGTAGTTGTATTGGATAAATTGTAGTGGTTTCTTTTTCAAGATGTCCATAGGTTGTATAGTTTAAAAATCAGTATGATATTTCATACATTAAAATGTGATATTCTAATTTATGTTTCAGGCCTTGAAGATGAAGAGAAAAATACACCAGCCTTTTAATTATTCCATGTATCATCATAAATATATATTTTATTTATTATGGAATTCTACCTGTGTAATTAAATTTTCCACTGAGTTATAGGGGAGAAATTCATATATTTGTATCAGCTCTTAATTTTCACAATGAATTATTGCAGCTGTCCACTTATCAGTTGGCCTTGCTTTAGTCTGGACTCTTACAGTTTGTCCTCTTCTCTTCTGTAAGAGATATTTTCCTAACATTTGAATCTGATAATGTCACTTTCCTCCACAAAATTCTCCATTGTTTCTTCATTGTCTCCCCAGGGAAAAAATCTAGAACTTTTGCTGGTTTCCATGTATTATGGCTTACATGTTTTTCATGAGTTCTCCCTGACTCTTTTCCCACTTTTATCTCCAAATATTATTCTTTTCTCACTATGACTCTCTAGCAATGCTCAGCTGCTTGTGGTTCTAGAGCATAGCATATTCTAGAATCCTTCTGTGACTTTCCATGTGTACCTGAGTTGCCCTACACATAACAGTTCAATACTCATTTATTCTATAAATATGTAAGAAACTAACTATGGATGTGATAGGCACTTTTCTAGAAATTTGGGACCTGTGGATGAGCAAAGCGAAATTCTTGAAGTTTATATTCTAGTGAAGAAACAGGAGAAGCAGAAACCTTTTTTTAAATAGACATAATAAATAAATAAATTTTAGATTTTTATTGAGCATCTACTGTGGGCCAGACAGTTCTAGTGAAATAATTAGACAAAGCTCCCACAAATCCCTGCCTTCCTGGACCTTATATTTAATGGGGCAGGGGGACAGACACTAAGTAATTATATTACGTATTAGAAGGTGATGCACACTACAGAAAAAAAAAGCATGGTAAGTGGTATCAGAATTGTGTTATTGGGTATGGATTGCATTTTTTAAATATGATAATGATTGAGGTGACATTTGAACAAAGACTTGAAGGGAGTGAGGGAGCTGGCAAAGGGGCCATTAGGGAAAGAGTATTCCATCCAGGAATTTATTCAGGGTAAGGCTGTACCAAATGATCATTGAAGATCATGCCCAAAATATTAGAGGAACATCAAGTTTCCCAAGTTCAACAGAATAGTATGAAAAAAATAGTAGAACAGTAGAAAATAAGGTCAAAAGGGAAATTAATAGGCAGGTCATATGAATTCTTGTGGGCCTTATCATGGACTTTGTATTTTACTTATAAGGACTTTGTATTTTTACTTACTTATAAGGATTTTGTATTTTACTCAGTGTATATGGGGAATCACTGCGGTATTTTGATGAAGAAATAATCAGATTCACATTTTAAAAGGATCATTCTGGTTGCTGTATTGCAAATATAATACGGAGAGGGAGCGTGAGAAGAAGCAGAGAAAAAAACTAAGTAGGATACTCCTTTAATAACACAGATGAAAGAATATGATAGTGCAAATGAGACTGTAGCAATATAAATAATGAGAAACAGTGGGATTTCAGAGTATATTCTAAAGGCAGAGCTGAAAGATGGAACATGGGGTATGATAGAAAGAGAAGAGGCAACCGTGATCTCAGAGCTTCTGGTCTCCATTACCACATGTGGAAAGCTGCAGAAAGAGGGTTTGGGAAGGAAGACCAGATATTCCATTTCCAATATATTAAATTTAAGATGTCTATTAGATACCCAAAAGGAGATATCAACTACAGGATTTTGAACATAAGTCTGGAATTAGAGGTGTGTTTGCACATTGTTGTGTTTGTACATTGTTGGAAAAGAAGATGAGCCTGAATAACCACATACATACGGAAGAAAAAAGCATTTAGAGCAGAGTCCTCGGCATTCCAGAGGAGGAACCAACAAGTAAAACTGAGAAAGAACAATTGAAAAAGAGAGAGGAAAACCAGAAGAAGGTGTTTTACTGGAAGAAGGCAGTGAGGAAAGTCAATCAAAAGGCAAGGAATGATCAACGTGCCAAATACTTCATCTGATAAGCACCTGTCTCAACTCAAGTTTTGCCCTGGTGAAGCACCTCCTCCTCTTCAACACAGCACTGGGAATTCTGATGCTGACCTCTTGGTGCATTCACCTCTATCACAGGAGTTTCTTAGAAGGTAATCTGCAGATTCACAGAATCAAGCACTTTGATCTGTTCACCTTTCATGTCCATCACCAGGTCCTGGTAGTTTTATCTAATAATTTTACATTTGAATTTATCTGTTTCTCTCTAACTCCCTGTTTCTACCTTAAACCAAACCAAGCAATAGGCTCAAACCAGCTCCAGCTCCATCTCTCCCGTACACTACATCTGGATTGCTGTTTTCAAAATACAGCTTTCCTGATATCCCTGTGAATGTTTTAGGAAACTTTTAAAAATAAAAGCTTAACTCACAAACAGAAAATTGCATGTATTTACAGAAGTCTAAATTTTACAACATTCTTCTTGAATTTTGATTGGAATTACATTGCCCTGTGCATTTTTAAATACTTAAACTCTTCAGATTATTAGTTCCAAAAGTGGAGAACTGAATATACCCATGTAACCAGATCTAAAACAACATTAATAGGTTAACAGCTTCCTCAGAAGACCTTCTGTGCCCCCTCACTATCCCACATCCCCACTATCAACTGCTATTCCCATAGATTTTTCATGTTTTGAACTTATGTATATGAAGTTACACACTGCACACTTTTTAAATTCAACATGTTTGGGAGATTAATCTTTGTTTTCTGTGTAATTGTAGTTTTTGGCATTCTTACTGAGGTACAGTTTTACAGTGAACGGCTATACCACAATTTGTTTATCCATTATACTATATTGATGGGTCATTTCTACTTTGCTGATATTAAAAATACTGCTTTTATAAAAATTCTGGAACATATTTTTTGGTCATCAGGTGTTTGCATTTTTATTGGGTATATACCTAGGAGTAGGATAATAGCAATTTAAGAGTTTCGGTTGCTCCATATCGTCAGTCAACATGATATTTTTTCCTTTTCATTTTGACTCTATTCTACTGGGTGTATAGTGATGTCACATAATAATTTTAATTTGCATTTCACTGATAGCTAAGAAACTTGAGTACCTTCTCTTTCATATGTTTACTATGCAATTGGACATCAACTTTTGTGAAGTGCCTGTAAAAGCCTCCTGCTCATTTTTCTAAAGAGTTGTTTACTCTTTGCTATTCATTTGAGGGAGCTCTTAAACTATTGGATACAACTGGATAGAAGTCGTGTGTCAAATGCATGTATTGTAAATCCCTTCTGCCACTATATAGTTTGCCTTTCCATTCTCTTAATGGTGTGTTTTGATGAACAGAATCTCTTAATTTTAATAAAGGAATTATTTTCTCCTATAGTCAGCATTCTTTGTGTTTTATTTAAGAGATCTTTGTGTACACCAAATTCGTTAAGATATTTTTTCTGTTTTCACCTCAAATTTATTGTTTTATCTTTTATCTTAGTATATACAGTCCATCTATAATTGATTTATTTTGCCTGGAATGAGGTAAACATTCTCCCAACATGTACATCTAATTAACCCAGCACAACTTACTGGAAAGAACATATTTTTGCTGCCATATTTGTGTCAACTTTGTCATAAATTATATGACCACCTAGTGTGGGTCTCTCTTCTGCTCTATTTGTCTATTCTTGCCCCTCTACCACAGTGGCTTAATTACTATTGCTTTTAATAAGTCTTCATTTCTTGAAGTGTAAACAGTCCAGCCTTGTTTATTTGTGTGTGTGTGTGTGTGTGTGTGTGTGTGATTTCTTTTTATGTTTGCCTTGGCTGTTATTTGTCCTCTGAATTTTACGTATATTTTAGATTCAGTGTATCAATGTATAAAGAACATTCTTCCTGGATTTTGATTGGAATTGCATTGCTATGTGCATTTTTAAAGTCTTAAACAAACTCTTCAGTTCCAAAAGTGGAGAGCTACTGAACCAGTGGTTCTCAAACTTTAACACATATCAGGATTGTGTAAAAGACTTGTTAAAACATAGATATACAAGTTACTGGGCTCCACCCCCAGTATTTCTGATTCAGTAGGTCTGGGCTGGAGCCAAAGAATTTGTATTTCCTGCAGTGCCGAAATAACAGTGATGGTACTTGAATACTTTTAGAAACATTGCTGTAAGCTGCAGGTCATAGACCATAGCTTCACAAACTCTTGTATTTCCTGCTATTTATCAAATCAAGTCATGGTAAGCTGATATTCCCAAAAGCTGATGAGTATCATAAAAGCCTATATTGCAGTTCTTATAAGCACATAAGCTGCATGGGCTATAGAACACATAAGTAGTAATCATGTTCTGACGAGTATAATACAGTGGCCAAACTTGATTTCATTTACACTGAGGGAAAATAAAATTGTGGATAAAGAATGAGTTCTTCCATGGAAAAATATAAAACTCTTTGCTGACTCCAAGAGCATTATTTATTCTCTTCCCTTGAGTTGAATTAGTCTTTCTATGAGCATTTATTATTTTAAAAATCTGTAACCAGACTAATGGTATTTCAGTCCTTATGCATTCTTCTGCATTAATATCATTCCAATGTAGTAACTCATACAGTGGACTTCTCACATACTGTATATAATATATACATATTATATATTATATACATTCAGATTAGTCCTTTTTGTAATAAAAATATAATATCATCTCTTGGAAACTTTGCTATTTGCTTTCTTGCTTATGCCTTTATATAATTATATTTATAAATCTGGCAGAAGAATGCAAAATGAAAAAAGACCCACTCCTGTTTTCAGACTTACAGTTTGTCCCAAACACTCAGTATTTTCTTCCTAGTGTCCTTTAATGCACCATTCCAAATATACCTATGCTATTAATAATTAACACTGCATACAGGAGAAAAAGTGTTCTGAATGACATACAGCAGCAAATCAAACCTCAGTGCTTGCTCCTAAGATGAGCGTCATGGGTGCAGAATCATTAATGCCCTTGAAAAAGTAAAAATCAGAATGATTTCACAATCATATTTCACAGGCCAGTTCCCTGGCACTGTAAGTCATTTCTCAGCAGAATGAGGGTGGAGATACTTCTCTCTATGTGGGAAAAATGAAAGTGCCATTTCTGACATGTTTCTAAAAATTTTCTTCAAATCTCCGACTTGGCCAAGTCTGTAACCTGGAATGTCATTTAAACTTATAAATCTCTTAGTGCACCACATTCATTTGATACTTAATCTCAGAGAGTGTAAGTGACTTCTGCAAAGTCATGATACTACATGGTCATAGACCTGAGCCAGGGACCCAATCTGACTCCCAGCACAGTTATCTTACCACTCCATGGTGCTGACTCCTACTATTTCCCCAGCTCTAACAACTGACAACACTTAGTATCTTTTTCCCATAGTTTTGTCACCCCCAAACATTAAGTAAACGGACATTCGAGGCTGTGAGGGCAAAATTATGAGAAGTTGGAACTCGGAAGCTGGTTTTTTATGGGATTTTACTAATTTTCCCTCTCTATTTGACTTTTCAAGTGAATCACACTTTTCTTCCTGTAACCTTCCTATTCAGGTATGATATTTGAAGTGGGTCATGTTACATACCTCCCTGTCCCCCTCCATCGACAACTTAACCTTTTCATTATTCAACATGAGCCTAATATTACAGTCATGAGAAATATTTTCCCCAAAACAATAGGTGCTACATGTCATATTCCTTGACATTCCTGCAAAGTTTCTCTTAATCCTCAAGTGTACTTTCTTGAAAGCCCACTTCAATAAACATCCCACCCCATTAAATATCTTAGAAGTAACTCCACACATATGAAAATGCTACAGCTCTTGTAGTTATATTTTGGTTAAAATTCAATTGAAGATCATTACCAATAATAACAATGACACCAATAAAACAAGAAAAATAATGCATGTCAATCACATATGTAAACAGGGACAAAAGGTTTAGTTTAAGTGGAATGGCATGTATTTATTAAATACATAAGGATTTTGTTATTAGAGGACAGATTTCTGATATCAAATGCAAAATATCTGAAGTTCAAACTTGCTAGTGAAAAGCCACTCTTGGGGTGAATGTAAAGACTATAATTCTCATTAATAATGGCTTCAGTTAATTATAAACCTTTTAATTAATAAATAACTCAAAGTTATGATATCGGTGTAAATAGAAAACCAGTCATATTATTTGCTGATTCTTTTTTTAAAATTTAAATATCAACCAGAATTACGGTCCTTTGTAATGACATAGATAGTTTATGTTCACATACATTTATTCTTAATATTCTGATATGTTAAAAAGCAGAATAATGAACATAAAATAGAAAATACAAATAAAAAACTAGAGGAAGATAATCAGAGTTTTTGTTACATGATATTTTGCTCTTATTTATACATTATAATATTTTCTGTAGCTTGTTCACATGTTGCTCATGCAAGTAGAATGTGCATCTCCAAACATTAGAGATCAGAGCTCTGCACAAAGTTAGTGTTTGATATGTGAAATAAGAATATTAAAAGCTTTTCAAAAATTGTTAAGTAACTGTGACATTTCAGAATTTTCTGGGTTTTATTTGCTACCCAAGAAAGAGCTAGCAATTTGTTAGCATTAAGAAGCACTTATCACTAAAGAATTCTCTCTAGTATTTACATGAGAATGGCCGAAGAATGTGATGCCATCATTGTGACAGCCTGACTTCACACCTCCTACTGACAAGATCCCAATTTGAGTGTCTGCTTCAGCTTTTGGACTAGAAAAGTCCATAGTTTTCTGTGGTCATTTGTACCTCATCATTTCAACTGTGAGCAAAAGAGAGACATGAAAGGAAGCTGACATTTTCACAAGAGATCATCAGATTTAATGAATCAAATTTAACGCAATATCTCACTTTCTTAGGAATATTTAGTCATTTCCATGCTACAACAAATGCAATTGATTGGAAAGCAATGGAGAAATGAGACTAAACACATTTTCTGTGGAGTAAAATGTTTCTAAATATTCCATTTCACTGACACTGAAATGCTAAACAGCTAAAGTTTTTCTTAATCTGGATTAGAAAATAACTTTTGCATTTCCCCCAAATTTTTCCTAAGATGGTTGTTATTTTGTAATTTTAATAGTGATCTTTGCCAGTATATAGAGAAGGGCTCATTTTATAAGTTGTTTGAGCAAATATCAATATGTGTATTGCTCACTCTAGGCAAATTAGATGGATTATGAGATTCAAGATTAACAGTCAGATACATTATGGGTGATTAATGCATGACAAAGGGTTAATCACAAGATTTCTTTTAAAAGTATGCATGTATAATATGTTTTGATAGACAGCAATAACATTACACACACCTTCCAATGAGACAGAAACAACGTAAGAATGTGCCTATCCTGAAATGAAAAATAAAATGAGAGTTTAACAAGTATTTCAGAAAAGTACCTTTAGCGTCTTTTTCTTCTCTTTCATTGGTTGATCTCGTTTCAGGTATACAATTATCATATGAATGAAAACTCTAGTTCATGGCACATAGTAAATGTTCAGTAAACAAATGTTATTTTAAAAGTTGAATAAAGAAACTTGAAATAATTATTTATTTAAATAAGAAAATGTTTATAATCTAAGTGGTACTTGTGCTGTTATATAAAAATCATTTCCTCATTTTAAAACAGTTTTGTGGTGTGCTTAATATTATACACCTTTGCCTATATGTGACTGTCAAATAACAGCTCTTTACTTTAGAGGCATTCCAAAGCTGCAGTTTAAGTAAATATTACATATGCTTTGAAGAGAATCCATTTTTCATGTAAAAGCAACTTTACCAACAACACCCCTACCAACACCCTCATCAGCTTATTTCCTGAACCGTTGCAATAGCTCTTTACCTGATACCCTTCCCTGTAATCTCCCCATACTCCAATTCAACCTTCCACTCAATGCGTGGTTAATCTTCCCAAGATCCTTCACGTAATACATTTTAATACATTTTAAAATCAAAACCATCATATATATTGCTAGAGGGTATACATTATTTTTTATAGTCCCCTCAAACTCTAGGATGCAGGAATGTGAACCAATGAGGTACTCAATAAATGGTGAATAACAGAGTGCACACTATCTGGTTTCAGTCCTGACTGTCCCTTATTAGCTATGTGCCCTGACTACTTAAGTCATAGAAGCTTCCGTGTCCTCTTTCCATAAATGAAGACAATAACAATATTTACCTTATAAGGTTATTCTGAAAATCAACCTGATAATTTATGTGAAGGGCTCAGCACTGTAGCAGTCATATAATAAGTTCTTGAGAATATTGCTATAGACTAGTTGCTACTAGTGTTAACAGGAAATTTTCTCGCAACTCTTCCCTGCCATGACCCGATCAAAAAGCGCACATACTCCCTACTATTTGTCTAATGTGGGTGGTTCCTACTCAGCTCAGCCCATTTTACTGACAATACATACTTTTTTGTCAGGCCTCTGAGCCCAAGCCAAGCCATCACATCCCCTATGACTTGCACGTATACATCCAGATGGCCTGAAGTAACTGAAGATCCACAAAAGAAGTAAAAATAGCCTTAACTGATGACATTCCACCATTGTGATTTGTTTCTGCCCCACCCAAACTGATCAATGTACTTTGTAATCTCCCCCACCCTTAAGAAGGTTCTCTGTAATTCTCTCCACCCTTGAGAATGTACTTTGTGAGATCCACCCCTGCCCGCAAAACATTGCTCCTAACTCCACCACCTATCCCAAAACCTATAAGAACTAATGACAATCCACCACCTTTTGCTGACTTTCTTTTCCGACTAAGCCCGCCTGCACCCAGGTGAAATAAACAGCCATGCTGCTCACACAAAGCCTGTTTGGTGGTCTCTTCACATGGACGCGCATGAAATTTGGTGCCGTGACTCAGATCGGAGGACCTCCCTTGGGAGATCAATCCCCTGTCCTCCTGTTGTTTGCTCCATGAGAAAGATCCACCTACGACCTCAGGTCCTCAGACCAACCAGCCCAAGAAACATCTCACCAATTTTAAATCGGGTAAGTGGCCTCTTCTTACTCTCTTCTCCAACCTCTCTCACTGTCCCTCATCCACTTTCTCCTTTCCACTCTTCAATCTCTCCCTTCTCTTAATTTCAATTCCTTTCATTTTCTGGTAGAGACAAAGGAGACACGTTTTATTCGTGGACCCAAAACTCCGGCGCCGGTCACGGACTAGGGAAGGCAGGCTTCCCTTGGTGTTTAATCATTGCAGGGACGCCTCTCTGATTATTCACCCAGGTTTCAGAGGTGTCAGACCACGCAGGGACGCCTGCCTTGGTCCTTCACCCTTAGCGGCAAGTCCTGCTTTTCTGGGGAAGGGGCAAGTACCCCAACCCCTTCTCTCGTGTCTCTACCCCTTCTCCGCCTTTCTGGGGGGCAATAAATCCCCAACCCTTTCTCCTTCACCCTGAGTGGCAAGTCCCACTTTCCTAGAGGAGAGGCAAGTACCTCAACCTCGTATCTCTGTGCCCCAATCCCTTATTTCCCCGCCCCAACCTCTTATCTCTGCACCCAATCCCTTATTTCCGCGCCCCAACCTCTTATATCTCTGCGCCCCAATCCCTTATTTCCAGGCCCCAACCTCTTATCTCTGTGTCCCAATCCCTTATTTCCATACCCCAACCTCTTATCTCTGCGCCCCATCCCTTATTTCCACACCCCGACCTCTTACCTCTGCGCCCCAACCCCTTATTTCTGCGCCCCAACCCCTTTCCCACTTCTCTGGAAGGTAAGAACCCCCGAACCCCTTCCCTCCATTTCTCTACTCTCTCTTTTCTCTAGGCTTGCTTCCTTCACTATGGGCAACCTTCCACCCTCCATTCCTCCTTCTTCTCCCTTAGCCTGTGTCCTCAAAAACTTAAAACCTCTTCAACTCTCACCTGACATAAAATCTAAGCATCTTATTTTCTTCTGCAATGCCGCTTGACCCCAATACAAACTCGACAGTAGTTCCAAACAGCCGGAAAATGGCACTTTCAATTTTTCCATCCTACAAGATCTAAATAATTCTTGTTGTAAAATGGGCAAATGGTCTGAGGTGCCTGACGTCCAGGCATTCTTTTACACATCAGTCCCTTCCTAGTCTCTGTGCCCAGTGCAACTCGTCCCATATCTTCCTTCTTTCCCTCCCGTCTGTCCCCTCAGTACCAACCCCAAGCATCGCTGAGTCTTTCTAATCTTCCTTTTCTACAAACCCATCTGACCTCTCCCCTCCTCCCCAGGCTGCTCCTCGCCAGGCTGAGCTAGGTCCCAATTCTTCCTCAGCCTCTGCTCCCCCACCCTATACTCTTTTTATCACCTCCCCTCCTAACACCTGGTCCGGCTTACAGTTTCCTTCTCTGACTAGCCCTCCCCCTCCTGCCCAGCAATTTACTCTTAAAAAGGTGGCTGGACCTAAAGGCATAGTCAAGGTTAATGCTCCTTTTTCTTTATCCCAAATCAGATAGCGTTTAGGCTCTTTTTCATCAAATATAAAAATCCAGCCCAGTTCATGACTTGTTTGGCAGCAACCCTGAGACACTTTACAGCCCTATACCCTAAAAGGTCAAAAGGCCGTCTTATTCTCAAAATACATTTTATTACCCAATCTGCTCCCGACATTAAATAAAACTCCAAAAATTAAATTCCGGCCCTCAAACCCCACAACAGGATTTAATTAACCTCGCCTTCAAGGTGTACAATAATAGAAAAAAGTGGCAATTCCTTGCCTCCACTGTGAGACAAACCCCAGCCACATCTCCAGCACACAAGAACTTCCAAATGCCTGAACCGCAGTGGCCAGGCGTTCCTCCAGAACCTCCTCCCCCAGGAGCTTGCTACAAGTGCCAGAAATCTGGCCACCAGGCCAAGGAATGCCTGCAGCCCAGGATTCCTCATAAGCCATGTCCCATCTGTGTGGGACCCCACTGAATATCGGACTGTTCAACTCACCTGGCAGCCACTCCCAGAGCCCCTGGAACTCTGGCCCAAGGATCTCTGACTCCTTCCCAGATCTTCTCGGCTTAGCGGCTAAAGACTAACGCTGCCTGATCACCTCGGAAGCCCCAGAAACCATCACGGACGCCGAGCATCAGGTAACTCTCACAGTGGAAGGTAAGTCCATCCCCTTCTTAATCAATACGGAGGCTACCCACTCCACATTACCTTATTTTCAAGGGCCTGTTTCCCTTGCCTCCATAACTGTTGTGGGTATTGACAGCCAGGCTTCTAAACCTCTTAAAACTCCCCAACTCTGGTGCCAACTTAGACAATAGTCTTTTAAGCACTCCTTTTTAGTTATCCCCACCTGCCCAGTTCCCTTATTAGGGCGAGCCACTTTAACTAAATTATCTGCTTCCCTGACTATTCCTGGATTACAGCTACATCTCATTGCCGCCCTTCTTCCCAATCCAAAGCCTCCTTTGCTTCCTCCTCTTGTATTCCCCCACTTTAACCCACAAGTAAAAGGTACCTCTACTCCCTCCTTGGCGACTGATCACGCACCCCTTACCATCTCATTAAAACCTCATCACCCTTACCCCGATCAATGCCAATATCCCATCCCACAGCAAGCTTTGAAAGGGTTAAAGCCTGTTATCACTCACCTGCTACAGCATGGCCTTTTAAAGCCTATAAACTCTCCTTACAATTCCCCCATTTTACCTGTCCTAAAACCAGGCAAGCCTAACAAGTTAGTTCAGAATCTGCCCCTTATCAACCAAATTGTTTTGCCTATCCACCCCGTGGTGCCAAACCCATATCCTCTCCTATCCTCAATACCTCCCTCTACTACTCATTATTCTGTTCTGGATCTCAAACATGCTTTCTTTGCTATTCCTTTGCACCCTTCATCCCAGCCTCTCTTTGCTTTCACTTAGACGACCCTGACACCCATTAGGCTCAGCAAATTACCCGGGCTGTACTGCCGCAAGGCTTCACAGACAGCCCCCATTACTTCAGTCAAGCCCAGATTTCATCCTCATCTGTTACCTATCTCAGCATAATTCTCATAAAAACACACGTGCTTTCCCTGCTTATCATGTCTGATTAATCTCCCAAACCTCAATCCCTTACCAAACAACAACTCCTTTCCTTCCTAGGCATGGTTAGTGCGGTCAGAATTCTTACACAAGAGCCAGGACCACACCCTGTAGCCTTTCTGTGCAAACAACTTGACCTTACTGTTTTAGCCTAGCCATCATGTCTCTGTGCAGCAGCTGCTGCCACCCTAATACTTTTAGAGGCCCTCAAAATCACAAACTATGCTCAACTCACTCTCTACATTTCTCATAACTTCCAAAATCTATTTTCTTCCTCATACCTGACGCATATACTTTCTGCGCCCCGGCTCCTTCAGCTGTACTCACTCTTTGTTAAGTCCCACAATTACCATTGTTCCTGGCCCGGACTTCAATCCGGCCTCCCACATTATTCCTGATACCACACCTGACCCCCATGACTGTATCTCTCTGATCCACCTGACATTCACCCCATTTCCCCACATTTCCTTCTTCCCTGTTTCTCACCCTGATCACACTTAGTTTATTGATGGCAGTTCCACCAGGCCTAATCGCCACACACCAGCAAAGGCAGGCTAAGCTATAGTACAAACCACTGGCCCACCTCTTAGAACCTCTCATTTCCTTTCCATCATGGAAATCTATCCTCAAGGAAATCACTTCTCAGTGTTCCATCTGCTATTCTACTACTCCTCAGGGATTATTTAGGCCCCCTCCCTTCCCTAAATATCAAGCTCGAGGATTTGCCCCCACCCAGGCCTGGCAAATTAGCTTTACTCAACACGCCCCGAGTCAGATAACTAAAATACCTCTTAGTCTAAGTAGACACTTTCATTACATAAATAGAGGCCTTTCCTACAGGGTCTGAGAAGGCCACCACAGTCATTTCTTCCCTTCTGTCAGACATAATTCCTCAGTTTAGCCTTCCCACCTCTATACAGTCTGATAACAGACCAGCCTTAATTAGTCAAATCAGCCAAGCAGGTTTTCAGGCTCTTAGTATTCAGTGAAACCTTTATATACCTTACTGTCCTCCATCTTCAAGGAAAGTAGAATGGACTAAAATCTTTTAAAAACACACCTCACCAAGCTCAGCCACTAACTTAAAAAGGACTGGACAATACTTTTACCACTTTCCCTTCTCAGAAGTCGGACCTGTCCTCAGAATGCTACAAGGTACAGCCCATTTAAGCTCCTGTGTAGACGCTCCTTTTTATTAGGCCCCAGTCTCTCATTCGACACCAGACCAACTTAGACTGTGCCCCAAAAAACTTGTCATCCCTACTATCTTCTGTCTAGTCATACTCCTATTCACCGTTCTCAACTACTCATACATGCCCTGCTCTTGTTTACACTGTTTCTCCAAGCCATCAGAGCTGATATCTCCCGGTGCTATCCCCAAACTGCCACTCTAAACTCTTGAAGTAAATAAATAATCTTTGCTGGCAGAACTATGCTGAATCTCCTTAGGCACTCTCTAATGAGATGTCCTAGGTCCTCCCAATTCTTAGACCTTTTATACCTGTTTTTCTCCTCTTATTCCATTTAGTTCCTCAATTCACCCAAAACCGTATCCAGGCCATCACCAATAATTCTATATGACAAATGTTTCTTCTAACATCCCCACAATATCACCCCTTACCACAAGATCTCCCTTCAGCTTAATCTCTCCCACTGTACGTTCCCACGCCGCCCCTAATCCTGCTGGAAGCAGCCCTGAGAAACATCGCCCATTCTCTCTCCATACCACCCCCCAAAAATTTTTGCCACCCCAACACTTCAACACTATTTTGTTTTATTTTTCTTATTAATATAAGAAGGCAGGAATGTCAGGCCTCTGAGCTCAAGCCAAGCCATCGCATCCCCTATGACTTGCACATATGCATCCAGATGGCCTGAAGTAACTCAAGATCCACAAAAGAAGTAAAAATAGCCTTAACTGATGACATTCCACCATTGTGATTTGTTTCTGCCCCACCCAAACTGATCAATGTACTTTGTAATCTCCCCCACCCTTAAGAAGGTTCTTTGTAATTCTCCCCACCCTTGAGAATGTACTTTGTGAGATCCACCCCTGCCCGCAAAACATTGCTCCTAACTCCACCGCCTATCCCAAAACCTATAAGAACTAATGATAATCCACCACCTTTTGCTGACTTTTTTTCGGACTCAGCCCGCCTGCACCCAGGTGAAATAAACAGCCATGTTGCTCACACAAAGCCTGTTTTTGGTGGTCTCTTCACACGGACGTGCATGAAATTTTTCATATGAAATTATCCAATATTTTATTTTTTAAGTAATGCTTAATTTATTATTTAAAATGAGATGGAAGCCAGAGAAAATATTTTCCTCTCTATGGTCATTGTTAGTTTCATGATAAACAGTTGACAATAGTTTTTTAGGCCATGGAATTGGGTAAGTGGAAGCCATGCAGGAGAAAAGATCAGAATGGACTAAGTGTGATAGCCATAGCAGATAGGTTTGCAGAAGCTGTTGGGGCAGCCCTTCTGGAATTTCCTAACAGTGACTGCCTTTGGTATATGGGAGGTGAGCTGTGGAGGGTTTACTATACTAATAGCTATCTAGGATAAATTTCTCATTCTTCCTCTCGTGTTGCTGTTGTGATATTCATTGCTGGTTTTTGTTTGCTTGTTCGTTTCCTAGATCCACCCACCCATGGTAGGTATGGAGATGTGGCAAAGCAATCTGAAAAGCAATGTACTATAGTAAGATTTGAAGAATTTCTCTGCTTCCTCAATTTGAAATACAGAATAACATATAATGTTTGTAGCTCATTCATGCCTAATAAAATTTTTAAAAGTAAACTTTGTATTGTATAATTTTGGGGAGTTCACTTGAAACAGGATAGGTGAAAAATTGCCTTTTTTGTGTATATCTGTGTGTTCTCATTCATAAGGCTTTTTTGTTGTTATCTAGGGATTAAAAAACAGACTTTTTAAAGTCAGAATGACAAAATATTAATATATATTATCATGTATTTTTAAAAATTTAACTCTATCAAGGAAATCCCTCCAAGTTTTTGAAGAAATGTTCACATTTACTGTAAGTGTGGAATTTTAGAATAGCAAAATTGTTAATTATTAATTTAATATATTATCCACTATCGTAGTCTTGCTTTATCTGCAGTTTTCACTTTCCGTGGGTTTCAGTTACTCACAGTTAACTATGGTCTGAAAATATTAAATGAAAAAATTCCAGAAATAATTTATAAATTTTAAACTGTGCACCATTCTGAGTAGCACAGTGAAATCTGGCTCCCTTCCACTGGGACATGAGTCATCCCTTTGTCTAGCATATTCACGTGGTCTACCCTACCCCTGAGTTATCAGATTGACTGCTGGGTATTGCAGTGTTTGTGTTCAAGTAACCCTTATTTTATTTAATAATGGCCCCAAAGTGCAAAAATAGTGATGCTGGCTATTTGGATATGCCAAAAGGAAGCCAATTAAGTGCTTTCTGTAAGTGAAAATGTGAAAGTTCTCAAATTAAGGAAAGAAACAAATCTTATGCTGAGGTTGCTAAGATCTACCTTAAGAACTTATCTTCTGTCCGTGAAGTAGTAAGAAAGGAAAAAGAAATTCATGCTAGTTTTGCTGTCACATCTCAAACCGTAATGACTGTGGCCATAGTGTGTGATAAATTCTTAGTTAAGATGAAAAAGTCATAAAACTTGTGGGTGAAACACTAATGGCAATCAAGTTCACTATTATTCATGATTTCAGACATTCACTGGAGGTCTTGTAACATATCCTGTTGCGGGAAGTCAGGGACCCCAAACGGAGGGACCCGCTGAAGCCATGGCAGAAGAACGTGGATTGTGAAGATTTCATGGACATTTATTAGTTCCTCAAATTAATACTTTTGTAATTTCTTATGCCTGTCTTTACTGCAATCTCTAAACATAAATTGTAAAGATTTCGTGGACACTTATCACTTCCCCAATCAATACCCTTGTGATTTCCTATGCCTGTCTTTACTTTAATCTCTTAATCCTGTCAGCTGAGGAGGATGTATATCACCTCAGGACCCTGTAATAATTGCATTAACTGCACAAATTGTACAGCATGTGTGTTTGAGCAATATGAAATGTGGGCACCTTGAAAAAAGAACAGGATAACAGCAATTGTTCAGGGAATAAGAGAGATAACCTTAAACTCTGACCACCGGTGAGCTGGGCAGAACAGAGCCATATTTCTCTTCTTTCAGAAGCAAATGGGAGAAATATCGCCGAATTCTTTTTCTCAGCATGGAACATCCCTGGGAAAGAGAATATGCACCTAGAGGTATAGGCTTATAAACAGCCCCCCCAGGTGTGCCTGTCTCTTATGGTTGAGGCTGTAGGGGTGGAATAGACCCCAGTCTCCCATAGCACTCCCAGGCTTATTAGGAAGAGGAAATTCCCGCCTAATAAATTTTAGTCAGACCAGTTGATTTCAAAAAACCTGTCTCCTGATAAGATGTTATCAATGACAATGGTGCCCGAAACTTCATTAGCAATTTTAATTTAGCCTCTGTCCTGTGGTCCTGTGATCTCACCCTGCATCCACTTGCCTTGTGATATTCTATTACCTTGTAAAGTACTTGATGTCTGTGACCCACACCTATTCACACACTCCCTCCCCTTTTGAAAATCCCTAATAAAAACTTGCTGGTTTTTGTGGCTTGTGGGGCATCATGGAACCTACCGACATGTGATGTCTCCCCTGGATGCCCAGCTTCAAAATTTCTCTCTTTTGTACTCTGTCCCTTTATTTCTCAAGCCTGCCAACACTTAAGGAAAATAGAAAAGAACCTACGTGAATATCAGGGCAGGTTCCCCGATAATATCCCCTTAGGATAAGAGAGGAGTGTTATCATTTAGTCACTTATCCACTTATGCATATTTAGATTGTTTTCAATTTACTAAAAATAATGCTTTAATAATGAACATTTAAAGTTTATATGGGAACATCCGAACAGCACTATTTTCTATTTTTAAGTTGTTAAATTGTGAGCATAGGTATTTTTAAACCAATCACATCAAAGAATTCCCCAAACTGAAGTTCTCCTGAAAACTTGTTCCTCTAGAAGTCTAAATGCTGAGAGTTCACCTCAGAGATATACACAATACAGCATGTTATACAATTGAATCAGCACATGATTTGAAATGGTAATGATCACATGAATACAGGCACACCTTCTTGATGTGCTTCACTTTATTGTGCTTTGGAGATATTGCATTTTTATACCAACTGAAGGTTTGTGGGTACCTTGCATTGAGCAAGTCTATTGCCACCATTTTTCCAAAAGCATGTGCTCACTTAATGTCTTTGTATTACATTTTGGCAATTCTTACAGTATTCCAGCCTTTGTCATTATTATTATATCTGTTACGGTGATCTGTGATCAGTGATCTTTGATGTTACTATTGTAATGGTGGGTATGGTGAAAATACCAAGAGAAATAGAATTGGAAGTGCAGCCTGAACTTGTGACTGAATTGCTGCCATCTCATAATAAAACTGGAAGAGGTGAGGAGTTGCTTCTTATGGATGAGCAAAGCAAGTGGCAGAATCTACTCCTGGTGAGGATGCTGTGAACATTGTCAAATGATGAAAAAGAATTTAGAATATTCCATGAACCTAGTTGAAAAAACAGCAGCAGTGTTTGAGAAAATTGACTCCAGTCTTGAAAGAAGTTCTAATGTGGGTAAAATGCTGTCGAACAGCATGACATGCTACAGAGAAATTTTTCATGAAGGACTCAATTGATGCGGC
This sequence comes from Homo sapiens, assembly GCF_000001405.40. Lineage (NCBI taxonomy): Eukaryota > Metazoa > Chordata > Mammalia > Primates > Hominidae > Homo > Homo sapiens. The sequence continues at coordinate 148,160,881 of NC_000003.12, forward strand.
AAACTTCTCTGTTGTCTTATTTTCTTTCAGAAATTGCCACAGCCACCCCAACCTTCAGCAACCAACAACCTAATCAGCTAGCAGACATCAACATCAAGGCAGGACCCTCCAACCTCCAGCAGGAAAAAGATTACCACTTGCTCAAGGCCCAGATGATCATTAGCACGTTTTAGCAATAAAGTATTTTTTAATTAAGGTAAGCTATATAATTTTTTTACATGTAATACTATTGCACACTTAATAGACTATACTACAGTGTAAACATAAATTCTATATACATTGGAGAACCAAAAATTCATGTGACTCAGTTTATTGTGCTATTCGCTTTATGGTGGTGCCTGTAACCAAACCTGCAATATCTCTTAGGTATACTTATAAATCTTATTTTGCCAACTTCAACCACTGTTCTTCAGAAATGTGATAAAAGTAGTGAAAATATAATACAGTTAACCCTTGAACAATACTACGTGGGTCCACTTTTATTAGAGTTCTCTTCAATAAAAGTTAACCCCGAGTGTGTCTGCCTCTTTTGTTCCCCTTTCATCTCCTCTTCATCTTCTGCCTCTGCCACACAGAGACAGCAAGACCACCCGAAGGGTTGGTCCTCCTCCTTCTCAGCCTAGTCAATGTGAACATGACAAGGATGAAGATCTTTATGATGATCTACTTCCACTTATTGATTAGTAAATATATTTTCTCTTCATTATGATTTCCTTAATAACATTTTCTTTTCTCTAGCTTACTTTATTGTAAGAATATAGCATACTATGCATATAACATACAAAATATGTGTTAACTGTTTATGTTATAGGTAAGGATTCTGATCAACAGTAGGCTATTTAGTAGTTAAGATTTGGGGGAGTCAAAAGTTATATATGGATTTTCAACTGCAAGGGGGTTGGCACCCCTAACCCTCATGTTGTTCAAGGGTCAACTGTATAGACAAAAATATGTCAATGGTTACTAATAATATTTATAAATAACTACCCACTTAGAAGCTTTAAATTACAGCATCCTAAGAACAAGGAAATACAAAATGGATTAAAAACAACTGTAAAATGGTAAAATAATACTGACCCACATTACTATCTTGAGACTTTCAAAAAAACAGAAAAATCCTTGACATTCTACTCTCCTTCTTAAAATACCATTTATTTAGATGTTCATAAATGCTTTACCTGAATAGAAAAAAGGGCAAAGGGCAGCTGTCAACAAAGTTCTTTTTGTGAGCAAGAAACAAAGAAAAAAAAATGAAGTCTAATGTGCAAATGTAAATCATCTAACCATTGTAAATCATCTGGATTAATATTACCATTAAATATTTTCAAAATATGTTTGTCACTTATTTTATGACCAAATCTTAAAAACGCAGATAGCTTTTTGCCTTCTGCACCTCCCTGGTTGTAGGAGAATCGTTGTTTTACTCTACAGGGCTGCTCTTTCCTAATGCAACATCCCCATCTGGTGAAAATAGGTCTTTGCAATCAAGGCTCCATGAGGTAGGAGCCATTAGTTGAATTTGTGCATAAATAAAGCCATTCTAGAATAAAAGATCACAATAACACTATTTTAAAGTATATTTTGAAAGCACTTGCTTTAGACTCAAAGACAAAAATCACATCAAAGTTGTTGGTGCTGTAGCTTTGTAGGAGGGGGCTAGGGAAGGTTCAGGGAAGAGAAGGATGAATGCTGAAGGCCATTTCTAGTAAAATTAGGACTAGCTACATTTAAAATTTATTTCAATTCCCCATCTGTTGGCAAAACTAATCCTGACTCATTTTGGAATCTGTAGAATAAAGTGCAGAATTATAAACAAAGAAAAGTAAAAAGGCTTGTGGCAAATACATATGCATGAAAACTTCTGGATATTTTATTATTTTTTCGTATTTCTCATTTTAAAAAACAGACACTTTATGACAAATCAATTCACCACAGTTAGTAAGAGTAGGCAATAAGTGAGCCAGAAGACTAGAAATATGAGGTTTACAGACACTTTGGTTACAATTAACCATGTTCTAGTTTTTCCTATTATTAGAGCTAATGAACTGTTTATGTTATTATTGTTCATGTTAAAAACATATATTTCTTTTTAAACTTACTTTATTAACTGACAAATAATAATTGTACATATTGATGGGGTACATAGTGATATTCGACATATAGAATGTATAATGATCAGTGAGGGTAATTAACATATTCATCATCTCAAACATTTATTTCTTTGTGTTAGAAATGGTCAATATCCCCCTTATAGCTATTTAAAACATGTATTATTGTTAACTATAGTCATCCTGCAGTGTTATAGAACACTGCAACTTATCCCTCCTACCTAGCTGTAATTTTGTATCCTTTAACACATTTCTGCCTATCCCTCCTTTTACCTTACCTTTCCTGTCCTGTAGTATCAGTTTTTTCCTGTGTTCTACATTTTATGTCTGTGAGATCAACTTTTTGTAGCTTCCACATATAAATGAGGACATGTGGTGCTTAACTTTCTATTCCTGGCTTATTTCACTTAACATACTCCAGTTCTACCCATGTTGCTTTGAATGATAGGATTTCATTCTTTTTTATAGCTAAATCATATTTTATTGAAAAAATGTATATTTCATTATTGCTTATATTTGTCAATGCATTTTTTTAAATTAAAGAATTATAAGTATAAACATGTATGCTGTTTTTATGGGTCTTGAATTATTTATTTAAGGATATGTAAAAATGGGCCAGACACTGTGGCTCACACCTGTAATCTCAGCACTTTGGGAGGCCAAGGCATGTGGATCACTTGAGGTCAGGAGTTTGAGACCAGCCTGGCCAACGTGGTGAAACCTTGTCTCTACTAAAAATACAAAAATTAGCCAGATGTAGTGGTATGGTCCTGTAATCCCAACTACTCGGGAGGCTGAGGCAAGAGAATCACCTGAACCCGCGAGGTGGGGGTTGTAGTGAGCCGAGACTGCCACTGCACTCAAGCCTGGGCAACAGAATGAGTCTGAAAAAAAAAAAATTAAAAAAAGAGAGAGAGAGAGAATATGTAAAAATGTACTTGATAAATCTAATTTTTCTGTCATACACAGGTATGGGGTTGGGATAGACGGAGATTATGAGAGACAGCACGTATAATTTCATCACAGAGAGAACTTATAAAATATTGTATCTCTGAGTTAACTGTTACTAACCAAGAAGAATAATTCTTGGTAGCTCAGAATATTCCTATACCTTACATACCTATAAATCTGCTTACTCATTTTTGTTCTCACTACCTCCAAAAGTGTGATTGCAGTCAACTAAAATTATACATAAGGATATATATCCACAAAATAGTTGACTTCATGCATGTACACACACATCCACAGAAATATACTATAGTGGTTTATGGCAAATTAAGTAATGAATTTAACCAAAACCTATGGAGATTTTTTTAAGAGTTTAAAAAAAAATCCTATGAGCCACTAGTCAATTGCTTATTCATTTAGTTCAGAATTCATAGCTAACAGTGTTTTCACTTACTATTATCTCTCTTGTCCTGTCTCTCTGGGTCTCTTTTATTTATAGCTCAGAGTGTGAATCACATGATAGGAAACAGGGCAGTTTTTTGGTTGGAAAAATTGCTTTCTGATCTTTTTAGCATGATAGTGGTTAATTTATAAAAGCCTTTGTCTGGATAGGAGCTCAATTTTACTTTTATTCCATAAAGGTTCTGCAAGCATTTGATGTTGTTATTGTTCACAGAATAACAGAAAAGAAAATGTAAATTTAAAAAATTGTTCTTAAAGAAATGAAATAATGGCTTATTTTAGAAAGATCAGGAGCCTTCCTGCTGGGGGCGGGGGGAAATATATATAATACATTTAGTATAAATTAAATACAAAGGTTATATTTAAAATAGGTGGCAATATGGTAAAACTTCACTGTTGAAGTAAAATAAGTGCATTTATTAATATGATTTTAAAGGCCCTTTATTCTAAAATACTAATATAGACTTTTCCCCAAACTCTCTTACATCCTCAACTAGCAAAAAGCATATTTTCTGATTTTCTGTTTCCAGTTTCTATTTCTCCACATACAGCAATATTGTGTGGTCTCTTTAAAGCTAATACTCTTGTAGAATATTTCACACATGCACACACAAAATATTTTTTAAACCTAATATTTAAAACATCAACCGCATCTAATCAAGTCGATTCTTCAAAGGCTGGATACCATAATGGTTAAGATTATGGGCTCTGAGTTTGAATCCTAAATGTTTCACTTACTAATTATGTAGGCATTAGATTAACCTCTTCATGCCTCATCTTCCCTCATCTGAAAAACAAGATTTTATGTATAATAGCATTAACTGTAAAAGATTAAATGCAAAGAACAGTGCTGCCACATGGTATGTGCTCAATACATTTTAGCTATTATTTATATCAGCCGGGAAAATTTTTGTTTAATAATTAATTCTATGTGTTCAGGGATTATCTTTCTAACTAACTTTGCCTAATCTAAGTGCCTTATATAAGCAAAGGCTTGGTAAATATTTTAATGATGATAGAGAAGAAAGTTATCATCATTTAGGTTCAGTAATCTAGGAAATCAATTTAAGCCATAGTATCATACATAGTAAAGCAATATTTCTTTTTTTTTCAAGTAAATGAAATAATTTATTGATTACACATGGTAATGGATGACACACAAACTTTATTCCCATCTATAATTTTATCTGGTACAATTATTCAATTTAGATATATTGCATAGGATGTGCCAACAATCATTTTTATAACCATTAGTTCCATGATTTTGTTTGGGTAATCTCTTTTAATGGTAAACTTCAGGTCACAACAGTAACTATCAGTTCAACTACACCAAGGTTTCTAAAGACAATGGCTTCTCCACCCAAGCAGGTTGCATATAAATTCCAAATAGAACCTGGCATCACCCTGAAGGAATTCTAACTTCACACTGTTGGGGAAATTTACCAAGATGGCTTCAGAGTAGACTAACTTTGCACAGCACATTAAAAAAAAAAAAGACACTCATTCTGTGTCATGATCATACTACCGTACATTTATGGTGCAAATATATATATATGTATATGTGTGTGTGTGTATATATATGTATATATATGTATGTGTGTATATATATGTATATATATGTGTGTGTATATATATGTATATAGAGTGTGTGTGTGTGTATATATATATGTATATATATGTGTATATACCCTTTGTGGGAATGCTTTACACTTTCCACAGAACAGAAACTAAAACTAAAATAACCTGTTATACAATTAGTCACAAATATAGTCCTCGAGGTTTTTGCCCATACACATGAGGATTTATTTAAAACATGTCTTCTCTGTAGCAGCTAGGCCCTGCCACCACTGTGCTTGGCTGAGTTCACAAATCTGTTATAACCTGTAGCTTCCCTGTCACTTCTCTGGCTTTCCTCTCCTGCTAAGCTTTGTTTACTAATTAAAATCTCTACCACAGCTATGGCTACTGCTGCTACTGGAACTGTCATAGCCACCTTGGTTTAGTGGTTTGGCAAAGTATTGGCCTCCACCATCACAGGGGCCAGAGCTTCTACCTCCAAAATTTCCTCCCATCATGGGTCCAAAATTTGAAGACTGATTGTTGTAATTGCCAAAATCATTGTAGCTTCCACCACCTCCAAAATTGCTTCCATTATTACCAAATCCATTATAGCCATCCCCACTGCCACCATATCCACCACCACCATGGCTGCCACCAAAGCCACCACCACCACTGAAGTTTCCTCCATGACCAAAGTTGTCATTCCCACCGAAACCACCTCCATGACACAACCAAAGTTTCCAGAACCACTCTGACCTCTGGCTAGAAGAAGCACTAAGCCATCTCCTGCTTTGACAGGGCTTTCCTAACTTCACCATTGTGGCCATTCACAGTATGGTATTTCTGAATGACAGTCTTATCCACTGAATCATGGTCATCAGTGTTTACAAAGTCAAAGCCCCTTTTCCTGCCATTGCCTTGGTCAGTCACGATTTCAATCACTTCAATTTTTCTATGCTGTTCAAAATAATCTCTTAGGTGATGTTCTTCAGCATCTTCTTTAATGCCACCAGCAAATATCTTTTCCACAGTTAAATGGGCACCTGGTCTTTGAGAATCTCCTCTTGAGACAGCTCTCTTTGGTTCCACAACTCTTCCATTCACCTTGTGTGGTCTTGCATTCATGGCTGCATCCACCTCCTCCATAGTGGCATAGGTGACAAACCCAAAGCCCCTGGAGCACTTGGTGTTTGACTCACTCATTACCACACAGTCTGTGAGTGTTCCCCATTGCTCAGAATGGCTCCTCAGGCTCTCATCGGTTGTTTCAAAGCTCATCCCTCCAATGAAGAGTTTCCTCAGCTGTTCGGGCTCTTTAGGGGACCCTGACTTAGACATGATGGCAGGGAGAAGAGAGACTTTAATGATGCCTCCTTGGCGGCGTCCACGAGCAGAAAGGAGCAGCTGACAAACGTATTTCAGCAATATTTCTTAATATTTGAAAAAGTTATGTGTTTTCACAGATTACTTTTTCTCTCCTATTAAAAATTTCATTTAGAACTTTTTTTTCCAAATGTTTCTTTCAAACTAGTGCTGATTTTCAGTAAAACGATGGCTATTATCTCTACTTCAACAGGCAATTTTTTCACACATCACATTCTCAGAGTCTATATGTTGATGATTTTTAAAGGAAATCTTTTAGCTATCTCTTAAGAAAAACAGTATTAAAACTGAGGTGACTGGCCAGGCACAGAGGATCATGCCTGTAATGCCAGTACTTTGGGAGGCCAAGTCAGGAGGTTTGCTTTAGGCCAGGAGTTTGAGACCAGCCTGGACAACATAGTGAGACCCTGTCTCTATAAAAAATAAGAAAAACTAGCCAGATGTGGTAGGGTGCTCTGTAGGCCTAGCTACTCAGGAGGGAAGATCACTTGAACCCAGGAGTTTGAAGTTACATGAGCCATGATCATGTCACTGGATCCCAGTGTGGCCAAAAGAAAGAGACCCTGTCTCTAAAAAACAAAACAAAACAAAATCACACAAAAAAACTGAAATGATTAAAGACTACAAATTGGAAGAAAATATATCCAAGCCTCCAAATGAAGATAAGACACTCAGTGACTTAAAATATGGACAGGCATGGGAAGCATGGACAGGCATGGGAAGCACGGACAGGCATGGGAAGCACAGACAGGCAAAAGGAGCTTTGAGCCATTGCTCAAAAGCACACAACTTGTTTTATTGAATAAATCACTATTTCTTTGAAGTTTAAAATGTGTCATGTTAGGCACAGTTGGAAAATTTGAATATTTTAAAAGTATTTCAGGTCATTTTGCATTTTTATTCCAGAAGCAAACATAAAAACTTCTATTTAGATGTTGAAAAACCATAATGGGCACAAATCTCAATTCTTTTAGCAAAGATTAGATTTTTAGATTTAGTGTGCAGGAAAAGCAAGAGAAAAAAGCCTTTTCTAGTGTATCAAACTGTTATTTTTTTAATTTTTCTTCAAGAGTATTAAAGGTTTTCACTGTGGAATCTCCAGTTCAATGATATCTAAATTACCAGAAAAATATATGTAAAGTCACTGGAGGACTTTGAAAGCAAAGATATGAGATACAAACCCATTTTAAGCCTGCAGATGGCCTGAGGGTTTACAGAACATTATTCAATAATGTTTAGTACTTCACCGTGCCAGAGTTTCCTTAGTTAGAAAACATTTCTGCAGTGTAAATGGCATATCCAAGAGAAAACTGTAGCTGTTGACAAACGAAGTTGGATTTACTTTTTAATAACTTAAAAATTCCCAAACACTAACCATTTTATGATTTTAAAATACCAATGCTCATCTCCAAAAGTCACAAAGTTACTGAGGATTAAGTCTTCAAAAACGTGCTAGAATTTTGAAAGGTTCCTCAATTCGTTTGTTGGACATTTCTATCTTTAGGGAGACAGTGGAGAAGAACAGTGTTGTTGAGAGACAGAGATAGTGACTGCAGATGGCAGGATAAGCAGGGAGGAGGCTGCCCATATCCTAAAGAGAAACTGAGTGAAAATAATGGCTGGACCTCTTGGAAAGGGACCAGTGTTCACATTTCTAAGTAAGATTTGCAAGACTTAATTACTACCTTCTGTGGGAAATAAGGGAGTAGACAGAATCAAGTATAATTTCAGAATTTGATTTTGGAAGAAAAGATATTTGATTGGGCTATTATACTGAAAAAAAATAAAAGAAATGAAAGGGAGGGGATAAATGAGAAATTTCTATTCGGACATAATGTTTTTAAACATGTTCTGAATGGAGATGGCTAATGAGCAATTGGATAGGTATAGAATAGTTTTAAAGGAAATTATATTTTGGAATAAGAGTTGAGAAAGTATAGAAATCAGTAAATGTAGTATTATCTCAAGTGTAGCAGTGAAGAGAAATAAGGAAGAGAGTTACAAATAAAGGCTGTTTTGTTTGTTTTGTTTCTATTTGATTTGGGTGTTGTGGAAGGCAGAATTCTAAGATGATCCCCAATAAGCCTCACACTTGCATAATCCCCTGCTATTCAAGTGTGAATAGAGACAGTCAATACAATGATATGGTGCTCTCGTGATTATGATACATGGTACTTTATATGGTAACAAGATTATCTTGGGTGGGTCTGACCTAATCAGGGAAGCCTTTTAGATGCACGGTTTCTCCAGGTGGCCTCCAAAGAGAAAGTCAGAGAGATGACTTTCAATTTGCCTGGAAAAAAAATCAAACATCCATGCTGTGAATGACCTGTGGAGAGGTCACACGGCAAGGACCTGGAGGCAGCCTCTAGGAACAGCCTCTAGTCATCAGCCAACAAGAAAGCAGGGACATCAATACTACAACCTCAAAGAACTAAATGTTCCCAACAACCTGAATAAGCTTGGAAGAGAATCCTGAGGCTCACATGAGATGGCAACCTTGGCTGACAACTTGATTTCTGTCATGAGAGACCCTAAGCAGAGAACCTCACCACACCATGTGAGACTCTGGATCCACATCAATGGTCAGATAGGAATTTGCGTTTGGTTTAAGCTGCTGAGTTCGTAGTAATTTTTATGCAGCAATATAAAGCTAATAGAGATGTTTTATGTCTGTTTTATTTTTACCCTATGGTGGAGGGTGAGGAAAAAGCTCAGAATAAAAGAAAGACATTAAAGATGTTGAAAATCCATAATGGGCGCATAATGCAATGAACCTGGACTTGGGTCTTTCTTTGAGGAAATGAGGGATAGAGAATATGTGTTTCTCTCTCTCTCTCTCTCTCTCTATATATATATATATGTGTGTGTGTGTGTGTGTGTGTGTGTGTGTGTGTGTGCGCGTGTACTACTGGAAATTGAAGGGTGGGAGTCACAGATAATTCTGGTGGATCTCTTTTCCCTATCAAGTATAAGAGGAGGGTGTATGGTCAACACTGGGAATTTGTGGCAGAGACACAGAGATGACTTTTGGTCTGTAGAGTCGGGTATCTTTCTTTTTAGAGGAAATCCTGTGGAAATGCCAGGTCTCTCCATTCTTTCAGAATGAAGATTTCCAAAAGAGAGTGAGTTATTGAAGAATTGAGTTATTCAATCTACACTGCATGGCTACATTCATGTTTGTGGCTTATTTTAAGAATCCATGGTGGAAATGGGGAGTCACTTTATTAGCATATTCTCGGTCTCAATATTATTTCCCCTAAGACTTTACCACACTGAATTTTAGAAAGATAAAGAAGAAAATGATAGGGCATTGAGCAAGTGACCTTCCTGTGTTTTGTTCACCTTCATTTATACTTTCTTTAGGATTTGACTGGAGAGAGGTGATCTCTTTTCTTCAGATACATCCCATAAGTTGTCCATAAAATGTGTCTGACCATGGTATCTTCCTTGGGAGGAGATTATAATTACTAATTCAATTATCTGTTGGTTATTGATATACTCTGGTTTTTCTATTTCTTCTTGATTCAATTTTAGAAATTTATGGTTACCTATAAAATAATCCATTGATCTAAGTTTCCAATTTATAGTCATTAAGTTATTGACCATGATTTTATAGCTTTTTAAAAATCTAGATTCTGTTTGCAATTATACCTTCATTTTTGTTCCTAATATCATTTATATGTGCCTTTGTTGTTATTCTCTTGAGTGATCTTGCCTGAATTTTAATATTGTTTTATTCTTTTTAAGGAACCTACTTTTATTTTGAGCATTTCTTATTGTTGTGCTTGTTATTAATTTCTGCTGTTTTTCTTTCTCTTTCCCTCTTTTATTTACTTTGGATTTCTCTAGAGTTATTTGTTTGTTTGTCTTTTTCTTCTGTCTTCTATATGTAAATACATTTATTTTCAAGTAGTTTAGGAGAGTCTTATGTTTCCAAGATTAAGGGAAGGGAAGGTTTGCTGTGGTTTCATTTTTTATTTCTTATTTATTTTACATCATTATAGTAAATTAATGTAGCCTACAGAGTAGTTATTTTTGGAACTTTTCTGAGATTTCTACATGGTCTAAAAGGTGTTCTGTTTTTGTAATGTTCCATGTCTTTTTGACAAGAATGCATTTTCAATATGTGGGATGGAAAACTGTAAGATATGTATGATATCAAACTCAACTATGTTAAACTTTTCTGATTGTGTCTGCTGGATTTTGTCAATTTCTATACAGTAGTGTATGTTAAAATACACTACTGAGGCTGGATTGATAAAATCTCATTTCAAATTAGTCATATTTTACTTTATATATTTAAACCTAAAGTATTAGTACATAGTTTATAATTAATATAATATCTTACAAATTGCTTCCCTCATCAGTACAGGATGCTACTCTTTGTCCCTATCGATGTTTTTCCCCTTATATTCTGTTTTATCTAATAAATAGTGTTGCTATATAATTTTTATTTTAATTAGGGTTACTTGTTATACATTTTCTCTCACCATATTTTCTTGTATTACTATGTGTCATTTTTTTTTCTTAGCTGTGTCTTTTGAAAACATAGTAAATCAAGCAGACACAAATTAGAAGAGTTTAACAACATAGGTGAGTTTGATATACTATATATCTTACAATATTCTATCCTGCAAATAGAAAATGTGTTCTTGTCAAACACACATTGAACATTATTAAAAAATGGAACACCTTTTAGATTACATAGAAATCTCAGAACATTCCCAAAAATAACTACTCTGTAAGCTACATTAATTGGCTACAATGATATAAAATAAAAACCAAAAAAAATAGTAGTTTTTAATAAGTGAATCCAATTCCAATTTTCTCTGCATATTTTCTTTATATTTGAATAGAATTTTATTTCTTCTCTCTGCTGATATTAAGTGATATAAATTGTCATTTTATCATCAAAGTATAATTAAAAATTATTCTTTAAATTGGTAGATTATTTATTTGGAAATCACTCTCTTGGGTATTTGAAATACATCAGTGAACAAATAAGACACAAAAATCCCTGTTCCCATGGAGTTCACTTTCTGATTAATACTGACAGCTATGAGTTTAGGCTCTATTCTAAATGCTTTATATATACCACATCTTTTATTCCTCATAATAAACCTATGAGATAGTTACAGATAAAGCAACACTAACATAAATGAATAAAGTACCTAGCCAGATGGAGACAGCCAGGATTTAAATGGCCATGCAATCTGAATTTTAAGGTTTACCCCTCAATCACTCCACTGAATACTACTTAAAGTTGAACAGTTTACAAGCAGTGTATTTCTTTTTATGTAAATGGTTTGATACATTATTCAAAGCAACCAAGTGTAGGTCATAACTTTTTAAAAAGTAGAATTCTATATTATAAGGTTATGTATAGAACTTAATAATTGATAATAAAATAGCACACTTTATTATTTATTCACTGTATTTGGGAAATGCAATTTTACAATCTCATGTTTCTCAAATACAAAACTTAATGGGTGCAACAAACTCTTAGAGCAAGGAAGAGTTGCCCTTGATTAAACACAGATTTTGAAAGATATGAGCAGATCTTGTTAGAAGTCTGTCCTATGACTCTCCTTTTGAATATGAGCGTATTTATATTAGTGGGAATGGAATGTCTGAGATTTGCGAACAGAACCCAGGTGCATAACTGTGCTTACACTTACATTATTTCTTACGTTATATTCTCCCACATTGATTATAGATAATAGGTTATTTCAAGTATATATACTAATATTTTATTACTGTTATTCCTGCTTCCTCAGATCCTGTCTCTCTTGTCTTCTTTGACTCTCCTTTGTGGCCTCCTCACTATAGGGCTGTGAAGTATTAGTTAGACAGACAGCTTTACAGACTGTTTCATGAGATTCCCATAGTTTTAAAATCCACATAAAAAGCTCAGAACTTAGAATAAGCTACGGAAAAAGGAGAGCATGTGTTATAATTCAACTTAATCATAACAGAAGAGAAGAGACCATTTTTGTTGTTATTGTTCATGCTCTGTGCTAGACACTGCCTTAATAGGTGCTCAAGGTGTATTTGTTCTTACTTCCTGTAATATAACAAACATTTAGTACATTTCATAAATTTCATAAACAAGAAAAATAAAAGTTTGAGATGTTGCTCTAGGTTTATTTTTGATAACACGGTATTTCAAGTTGGCATCATAATTCATACCTTTGAGATGATTCATTTTAAATATTTTCTAGTAAAATTTTCAATTTCTAGAATATTCTCTGAATAAAACTGGCCTGCAAAAAATAATTCTTAAAATATAAAGCAATGGTTAAAGATCAACCATTCAGCAGAGCAAAATAAAATCAAGTTCTTGATGTCTCTATATTTTGTTAATTTACCCCTTATCTCTCATCTCATACTGGTAGTTGACAAAAAGAGAGAACATCAAATGTTACCAAATAGAACCTGACACATCATACTCAGGAAGAAGATAATTATAAGCTTTCTGAATTTATGCATTTATAACAGCACTTTAATGGTTCAAAATAGCCAATTGCTAAAGAGTAAATCCAAGAGGCTTAGACCACTTACAAAGTGGAATCAGAACAGCATAAGTCAGCAGAGGGGTATGGACTTCTTAGCAGGAGAGACCAGAGAAAACATAAAAACTACAAAAAGATGCCCTCTGGGGAAGCTCTCGCACATTCATGCATGCTATCTGGTTAGAGTAGGCCAAACCTCAAAACTTTCGTTTCCAACCTTTGACCCTGGACATCTGGAAACCCAATTTGAGTCGAACAGAAGGAAGTTTTCTTTTCTATTTCAAAAACTTCGTGGGGGGATATAAAAAGCTTCAAGCATCTAGCATCTATTCTGCTAGCAAAAGCTACTAATATTTATGCACTTGGATGGAACTCTAAAATATGGAATGCTTGGTTAGGAAACCGATGCCTCAGAACCTTAATACTGACACATTGTTCATTTCTAGTTACGGATTTAGACAATGACTTAGATAAACAAAAATATCTTAGTACTTTGATGCTCTTTAATGTCCAAATTTAACAGACATCCTCCAATTTCAGAATTTAAATAAATATGCTGAAGCATTTTTTATCAAGACACACTTGCATGACACATATATATTTGATACAATGTGCATTTTACCTGCAACAAAACTGTAGTCATTATATTACATTTTAAAATAAAACAAAAATGTGATAGTGGTTTTACTCTACTTGGATTATATTAAAATTAAAAAGTTATGTTGTGAACAAAGTTAAATGAGAAATATCTTTTTTCTTTTTTATATAAAAATTATTTGTTATGGCATATTAAATTTTTGTTTGATTCCCCTCTAATAGATATAGTCAGTTAATTCGTGAGTGTAAGATAAACATTTAGCCACATAAAGATAGCATAGTAAATGGAGAAAAATACAAGCTTTAGGTCATAGACATTTGATCTTAGTCATTCAGACACTTGTTAGCTGTGAAATCTTGGAAAAGTTATTTAGCTTTTCTGAGCCCAGTTTCCTCATCTGTAATAGGCATTTTGCTGTCAGTATATATCATGATTATTGTGTGAAGGAACAGCTATCTATGTGAAGCATAGAGTAGACCCTTAATAAATGCCATCATCATAATTATCTTTATCAACTTTATTAATAAAATGTTAGAAAATCCATCCAGTAGGACTAGATAACTTCCAGAATTTTTAATTGCTCATGCAAATCTAAGTAGCGGCTGTGATCTTAATAATTCTTACAGCCCTAGGGATCATGGCAGCAATGTAAAAGAGAAACTCTCTCCTTTGTGCACAGAAACCACACACAGGGATAATTGAATGTTGGTCAGTTAAAAAAAAAAAAACCTAGAAAATTCTTATGGCATTTGATTAAATTATATTGCATAAAACTGTATCTATTTCTATTATGAATATTAACTATCATGTGGTAAATGTTAATCATTTGTAACAGGTCTATTCATGACTCACACTTAAAACTATTCTTTCATCACCATAGAAAAGACATTATATTACCATATAGTTTGCCAAAATGAATTGACTTGGAAATAAAGCAATTTCTATTTGTAGTCTGTTTATTTCCTTTCATGGGACTGACTAGATATTTTCTGTGTGTGTGTGGTTTGTGTTTTTCTGCCAAGATTTCTTTGGAAGATTTTGATCCATGCTAGGCATTCATACTTAGCTATGTGGCAAGAATTCAAAATAGTTACACTTTCCAAACATTTTATGTACTTCAAAGAAGCACCATTCTTATTTATGTTTTTGATGTTACCTGTTTAAACAAAAAATAATTTATATTTATGTCAACTATTGCCTAAAAATGAAATTTTAAATATATTCTGATACTATCTACACAACTGTTAATATTTGAAGTATATTTTGACATATAAATGCTTTCCATAGCCTGCATTTTCTGGTCTATGTAAAAGGAAGTTTATATTTATACAGTTACATTAATTCCAGAATTTATAATTATAATATTTTAAAATCATTTAAAATAGATAACTAAAAAGAGAAAAATGAAGTCAACACCCCCATGCAATCTACCTACTGTTCTATGGAAGCAAATGAATAGCTAAAGTACCAGTTGTCAAATATACTCTTGTGAATCTGGGCTTACACATAGTTGGGAGGGCACATAACTATAGTTTGTTTAAAAAGTGCACACTTCCATTTTCAGCCTCCACAGTTTTTATTATCATTACAGGACTACAGGAGCAAACTGATTTTGGTTTCTTTTATTTTCTGTTATTTTTCCTTCTTTCTTTCTTTTAAAATCTCATGCCTATGTTTTCTTTTCCTCTGAAGTTCACACAGCATAGTGCCTCCTGAAAATGCACATGTAATTCCCATTACCTATAATGGAACTTGCATGCATCAAATAGAGAACAGACCCTGCTGCATAGTATCCTTCTTGTGTGGGATTGTGAGCACTTGGTCTACCTTATGACAAACCCCTTGACAAGTTCTTTGGGCACTTTGTTTATTATCAGAAAAGGCCATTCACATCTTGGACACACAGAAACAGACCCCTTCCAGATGGCTACCTGTCTTTGCACATGGCCAAAATATGGAACTTTCCTTTCCCATGTAGACAAATGTTTTTACAAGCATTCTTGATTGTGCCTTGTGGAAAAATTCAAACATGGATAAAAAGCAATTGGTGTACTTACAAATGTAAAAGAAAATGTGGTATGTATGTAGCTTATGGTTCTTCTAGTACTTATCATTGACTGGGAACTAGGAACAATCATTTTGTCAAATTTAGAACCCAATTAGATCTTATACTCTAAATTTAGAGCCAGCTTCTAGCCTCTGGGGTTCCATTTCCAATATTCAATATCAGATTCTCTGCATTTATCACAGAAATAACAAGGCAATAGAAATGATTGTATTCTACAATGTGTATGCTACATTCCACATTTGTGTGATTGTATAGTTATTCTTGACAATGACGAAACTGATGCATACTATTTTAGAACCATTTAAATGAATATCTAAAGCCACACAAGTCAATGGCATAGCCTATTCTAAATTTAATGGCAAAAATGATTGATCCTGTTTGCTGGCTCTTGATTACTAAATACTCCTTGCTCTGGTAGAAGAGATCTCAACCAGGATTATCACAATAGCTGTGCTCTTCTAAACAGTTGATGTCTGTTAGACATGGGGAAAGAAAAGAGATGTATTATATGGACTGTGATGGTTAATTTTATGTGTCAGTCAGTTTGGCTAGGCCACAGTGTCCACATACTTGATTAAACATTTTTCTAGATATTTCTATGAAGGTACATTTTAGATGAGTTTAACATTTAAATCAGTAGAGTTTAAGTAAAACAAATTATCCTCCATAATGTGGGTGGAAGGTCTTAATAAAGACAGATTTCTCACAAAGAAACAGGAATTCTACCAGCTGACTGCCTTCAGACTCAAACTGCAGAATCAACACTTTCCTGACTCTCCAGTCTGCCAGCCTACCCGTGTATTTTGGACTTACCTGCTTTCACAATTAGGGAAGCCAATTCCTTAAAATCTCTGTGAGTGTGTGTGTGTGTGTGTGTGTGTGTGTGTGTATGTGTGTGTGTCTCACTCGTGGTCTATCTATCCATTCTATTGGTTCTTTTCTCTGGAGGACCCTAAAGAGTCTTGAACCATGGGTTATCAAGTCTTTTTCACTTTTCCTCTGGTAGACTACTTCATTTTAAACTCACTTCAGGGACCTGTCACCTACAATATAGAATTGTGAGTTCTACTCAAAGAGAAGTGTCTAAGAGTCTAAGATACTCAAAAGTTTACCTGAAAAAACTTAAAATTAAAAAAAATTACAATTGTACTTCATAATAGCAGCCACAAGGTACAAGCCTATTTAAGATCAACAACAAGAACAACCGCTACATAGAATTCGAACTTACCAGTGATTTCCAGAACTTAACTGTGTGATAGACAAAATGTTTTCCTGAACAGGATCTCAACCACAAAAAGAAAGGAAGGAGGGAAGGAGGGAAGGGAGAAAAGGAAAAAAAATAATACTTCAACAAAGCAACTATACAGTCGAGATCTAACTGAGCCAATATTTTTCAGTACTCATTTTAGGAAAATTGATTGCTGAAACATTCAGCCAATCTAATATTCGCAAGTGTCAATCCAATATATAGTATGTAATAAAGGCATCAGAATATCATTGACATTGTGTTCTTCAATACAATCAACACCAGAATTGAAATAAAACGATTATGTCCTCATCATTGTTAATATTTGGTCTGTGTCCCTCTTAATATATAGAGATAGACAGAGATAGATACAGATATTCTCATACAAAATACCATGCTAGGCACTGATGATACAACAGTGAACCAGAGAAATAGTCTCTGTCCAAAGGGATTTTACAGTCTGCGAAAATACAGAAAAACAAACACAAAATCACTTTACAGTGAGAGAAAGTGATATGATTTGAAACTTGGACTGTATTAGGGAGCACAGTGGAGACATAGATAATCTGATCCTGGTCATCAAGAGAGGAAGTCTAAGAAGAGAAGCAAGCAAGCAGATGTTAGACAGTAGAGAGGAAGTTAAATGTTGAGGCAAATTTCATTGATAAAGATGAGCTCAATTATCCAAGTACACATTTTCTCCTTTTCTGTTTAAAGCCTCCACACTAATCAAAGAATTTCTTCTATTCACTTTGTATGTGGGAATTCAGTCTTTGTATTTGTGTGCCCAACTGTGACACATTAAAAAAAAAAAAAAGAAATCTGGTGTATAAGTGCTTAAAAGTTGGCATGATGTTATGATACTGTCATTTGTAACTCCATCCACAGAATACTGTCAATGATACAGGCTAGTGAAAAGGAACAAAGGAAGTGATTATGCAGACATTATTTGTGTTTCCTTTTGGAATGCAGCCAGAGATAAACACAGCCACACAGAAACTCTACATTGACAAAACCTCGCTGCCTCAGCGTTGTGACTAGAACTAGCAAAGAGAAAAAAAGCGAGACTAGCTTCTCCCAAACAACTTTCTATGGGATCAATATGTGTTCTGGAAAAACAAACCAACAAAATGGCAAGGGAACCTGATACTAGTAACATTATTTTTCTTAAAAAAAAAAAAAAAAAAACCAACACCAAAATGAGTGTTATATAGATGGGCTCAAAAAATTACATGTATTTAGGTGGTTATTTATGCAAAAAATCCCTGAGATGTGCCACCGTAGAGAAACCTAGAAAATTGCATGAGCAATATATGAAGCATGGCATTCAAACTGCCCAGTTACACATAGGCAGTATAGTCCAATAACCATCTCATTGTATATCATCTTTTAAATGACTATTGATCCATATTGTGTATTTGTGATATATCTGGTGCTTACTGCATATTGAACATTTAAATTAAAGCTAGTGTCAACATATGAAACTTTTTTTTGTGAAACACCTTTTTGCTTAGCAGGCATTAGAGTTCATGAGTCTTTGCTCTTTGGGAAATACATGATTATTTTAAGTTTAACATCAAATAAGTTTAGGAAATACTATTATGAATAACCTGAATAATAATAATTTACTGGTAGATAATTAAAATGAATCAAATTTAGACTCGGCATCTGGGTTCCATTATTTACATCATGTCAAAGAAATAAGCTAGTCATATATTGCTATTTTTATTAGAAGAGAAAGCATACATTTCTATTATATGTGAAACAACACAAGTAAGTCATGTGATAAAAGTTAAAGAGCTAATTAACTGTCTGTATATGGGCAAGGGTATGATGAATTTCTATTCTGTTCTTTTTATTGTTTAAGGTAGGCACATTTCTGAAAATTGAGTGAGTTCCCATTTGGGACCTCACAAAATGTTGGTCTTTCTCTATTATTTCTCTTTTTCTATTCAGCAAATAGAAAAACAGAATATGCCATATGATATTACCATGCATGATTACATAAATATACAATATGCTATTATAAGAGGTGGTAGCACAGCATCTCGCATGTCATAAGCATTCAGTAGCTATATGAATAAATGAAAGAAGAGATTAATGAAGGTATGAGGCAAATGAATGCAATGGAAAGGGTGTAGGGATTTGAGTCAAAAGTCTCACTTGGATTCAGGTTCTAGTTTCACTTGCCATAGTATCTTAGGAAAGACATTTTACATCTCTGGACTTCTTCAGAGTATTTTTACAAGAATCAAAAGAGATTATATGTAACTGTATAATGGTGATTTACTGCTGCTATCATTATTATTAATAGGCAATAGTTTTAATAGCAGTGTTCTAAGTCGCTGCAATAAAGAAAGAAAAGTTTGAATTTAGTATCACAATGTTAAAAAATAAAGGTATTTTTTAGGGAGGTGGTACGTAATTAGGAAGAATTCTAGTTTAGAGGGGCCACAGCCCCAGGCTTCATGCAAGGGAGTCCTGAGTATCAAAAACACAAAGAAAAAAATATGTTTAAGAGCATGGTTTATGAATACTAACTAAAACCTGAAAACAGTCCACATTTCCATCTAAAGGAGAAATTGTGGTATGTTCATATAATGAAATACTATTCCGCTATATTTGCTGATGTATAAAGCACAAAATATCCCATGTTGTACTCATATTATTCCATTGTATTATTTTATATAAAGTGTGTTATTGTTGATATAGCAATACAGTAGAATAATACGATTATTTTGTGTATGGCTTCTCTTGCTTGGCCTAACATTTCTGAGGTTTTCCAATGTTGCTTTAGTTATGTGGGTATGAAGTCTGACACAGGACTAAAATCACAATATCAACAAATCTTGTTCCTTTCTGGAGGTTCTAGGGGAGAATCCTTTTTTTTCTTTTTAACCTTTCCAACTCTTAGCATCCAACCACGTTCCTGGGCTTATGGCCCACATCCTTCAAAGCCAGCAACGTTCCATCTCTCTAACCATTCCTCCATAGTCATATTTCCCTCTGATGCTCTTTTCTAGCTTCCTTTTCCACTTTTTTTTTTTTTTTTTGAGACTGAGTCTCGCTCTGTCACCCAGGCTGGAGTGCAGTGGCGTGATCTCAGCTCACTGCCAGCTCCACCTCCCTGGTTCACGCCATTCTCCTGCCTCAGCCTCCTGAGTAGCTGTGACTACAGGCGTGTGCCACCATGCCCAGCTAATTTTTTTGTATTTTTAGTAGAGACAGGGTTTCACCATGTTAGCCAGGATGGTCTCGATCTCCTGACCTCGTGATCCGCCCGCCTTGGCCTCCCAAAGTGCTGGGATTACAGGCATGAGCCACCGCGACTGGCCCCTCTTCCACTTTTAAAAACCCTCGTGAAGGTTAAGAGATCAAGGCCATCCTGGTCAACATGGTGAAATCCCATCTCTACTACAAATACAAAAAATTAGCTGGGCATGGTGGCACACGCCTGTAGTCACAGCTACTCAGGAGGCTGAGGCAGGAGAATCGCTTGAACCTGTAAGGCAGAGGTTGCAGTGAGCCGAGATCACGCCACTGCACTCCAGCCTGGCGACAGAGCAAGACTTCATCAAAAAAAAAAAAAAAAAAAAAAAAACAACCCCGTGATTTCATGGGCCTATTCAGACCATCTTGTGTAACCTCTGTATTTTAAGGTCTGCTGATTAGCCATCTTAATCCCACCCTTAATTCTCCTTTGCCCTTTAGCCTAACATATTCACAGCTTCCAGGGATTAGAATGTGAACATCATTGGGGGATCAGTATTCTATCTACCTAACTTGCAGATAAGAGACCTTGCAAGCTGTCAATTCATTTACATTGTCACTCAGCAATCTACAGAGACAGTGTGTTTGTATATATTTCAACTACCAGAAATAGAAAATGAAAACTTAAAAATTAGAGTATTTCATCTGTTTCACAACTTTTTAAAATAAGGTGATGTGAAGCACTAGAAAAATACCTTTAAACTTCAGGGATTGATTTAAATATAGTTGAGGACAAGTCTATAATACTGAGGCTAATGCCATTGTAAAGAAAAAGGTGTACCAGCTAAATTTTGGGAAAAAGCCGGAAGTATTCTTTGTGCTATATACCAAAAAAAATTTGAACTTGTCAACAAGACATAATAAGAGACAAATTTATCAAACAAATGTCTTAATAGCAAAAGCATTCTTTGGAACAATTCAAAGATTATACCGAATATTTTCTAGATCTGTCCAAGATAGAACATCTTGATGAAACACACATCACATTTGATCTCCTAACCATTTGGACACAATTTGGGAATCTCAATTAACTGATATTAAAGGAAAGAATTTAAAAATAGACTAGGCCTGTGATACATTAGATGAGCTAAGCAAATATAACTATCTTTAAACAAAAAAAAAAGGACTTTTTGTCTTTGGCAAACAATAAAATTAATTTTGAATGAATTTTATTCATGATTATTTAGTATAAGTTTTTGCTTGAACTTAGCGATGTTAGCAAAATCTTACAAAAAATCCCAAACAGAAAATACTTCTTAACTTTAGGAAAAGAGTTTCTTTAAGACAAACAAACAAACAAAAAACCTACTTGTAAAATATGCAACAAAAGTGACATTCCGTTGCAAGAACATTAGTTAAAAATTTCATATGACTATGAAGGAGATTCTTGTAAAATAAAATCAAAACTAATTTCTATAGAAACCATTTTAGATCAAGAAAAATCTCAATTGAAAATAAATTGAACAAATTGAGCAACATATGGCTGTTTTTAGTTTTCTTTATTGTATTTCAACAATAAAATATCTAAAAGTAGAAGAACTTAAGAAAGGATTTAAGAAGTTCTTAAGAAGAACTTATAACTATAGGGATCTAGATATTGTTTTAAGAGATGTTTGGAAATCATTATATAAATGGTAATATCATATGTTAAAATGAAACCTGTCTTAGTCCATTTGGGCTACCGTAAAATAATACCATAAACTGGGCAGCATATAAGCAACAGAAATTTATTTCTCTCAGGTATCAAGGCTGAGATGTATAAGATTAAGGCATCAACAGATGTGGTGTCTAGGGCCCACTTTCTGGTTCATAAATGCCACTTTCTTGCAGAGTCTTCCCATGGTAAAAGGGTAAACGAGTTCTCTGGGGTCTCTTTTAAAAGTACACTAATCACATTATTCAAGGTTCCATCTTTATAACTTAATCACTTCCCAAAGGCCCCATCTCTTAATAGTATTTGTTACCTTGGGAGTTGGATTACAGCGTATGAATTTTGGAGGAACACAAACATTCAGATCACAGCAAAATTCTTTTGAAATATTTCTGTGACAATGATAATTCATCATATGTAACTTAACTATAATTTTTAATATGACATGTAAAGGTCAACATTTATTTTCAAATATAAATGTGGCTTTAATAATTTTATTGACTATTTCAGATTCTATTTCTTCAGCAGAATGAAATTTCCCCATATTGAAGACTATTTAAAATCCACATTTATTCAAAAAGGATTTTGTAATAAGCAATTGTGTCCATAGAATGCAAATTATGTAAAAAATTATTATAATATGATTAATGGCTTTGCTGAATCACAGGTTAAAAATTATTATTTAAAAATATGTAACAATTTATGAATCACTTCTTTGTTTCAGTCTCCCCATAGGCCATCCCAATATGCACAGTAATAATTCGGTATTTTGCTAAATTTCAATCTTATGAAAACCACAGCTTTATATATTTTTAATTTTACCAATGTAAATTTTGAGGTAGAGGAACAGAACATATTTTATCTAACAATTTGTTAGCTTAATTTACAAGTTTTATGTTTTGCAATGTATGGTGGTAAGTTTTCACCTGTTTTTATGCCTTAGGCTTGCAAGTATTCATAGGGACTAGAAAGATGTCATTTAAAATATCTTAAAAAGAGAATCTTTTCTTTAATCATACCAGTCACACCCTGGTTTGGAGCTTTCATTCTTGCTCCCCTGTCTGTTCTCCAAGAATGTGAATGTCCCACTCTCTCAAGCCTTTGGAGATTCTGTCTATTGTACCCTCTCTCTACTTCTAAGTCAATGTTTCTCAGCTTCTGCACATTTTGGCCCAAATAATTCTCTGTTGTGGGGGCAGAGCTATACTGTGCCTTGTAGAATCTTCGGCAGCACTGCTGGTCTCTACCCACTAGATATCAGTAGTGTCTGTCCAGCTGTGGCAACCAAAAATGTCTGCAGATATTGTCAAATATCACCTGGAGGGCAAAATCGCTCCAGTTGAGAACCACTGCTGTAACCCTAAACTTACTCCATTATCACCCTCTTAACCTCATATTTTGTCTTTATTTTTATTTTTTGACATAGCATTTGTCACTGTCTGACATTGTTTATTGTCTGCCCATCATTCCCCATTTCACTAATGGACTTGATGAAGTCAGGGACTTTATTGTGTCTCCAATGTCCAGAACACTGCTCTATACACAATAGGTGTGCAGTGATGACTGAGTGAACAATGGAGGATACCCCAGACATTTTTTTCACCACTCGAAATAGTCAAAATGACACAGCAGCTTCCAAAACTCATTCTACTTAAAACTTTCCTCCACCGAAAGCCCAAATTTCCAGAATGGGGGTAATAGTTAGCTACAGGCATCCTTTTTCAAGTATTTATAGGCAATATATTATGTACAATTATATATAATTACATTATGCATTTAAAAACATTTATTGGAAAATAATCATTGAATGACTGATGAACTTAGCATATAGTGATAAATTATTTTATTTGCTAAATGAAATATAAAATGTGTAAGAAAAACAATGGAGCTGAAGCATTTTATTTATTTATTTTTGAGACAGAGTCTCGTTCTGTTACCCAGGCTGGAGTGCAGTGGCAGGATCTTGACTTACTGCAACCTCCACCTCCTGGGTTCAAGCAATTCTCCTGCCTCACCCTCCTGAGTAGCTGGGATTACAGGCGTGTGCCACCATACCTGGTTAATTTTTGTATTTTTAGTAGAGATGGGGTTTCACCATGTTGGCCAGGCTGGTCTCAAACTCCTGACCTCAGGTGATCCACCTGACTCAGCCTCCCAAAGTGCTGGGATTACCGGCATGAGCCACCATGCCTGGCCAATGGAGCTTAAGCATTTTAAAAATTAATCTCTTCCTGGGTAATTTAGCTACAAAAGTCATAGATGCTTCCCTAGTCATGATTCATGGACATCACTAGGCCAATATTGCTGAGTAGGAATAATTCACTGAGCATGCATAATATTTTTCCTGGTGGATGAGGTGTGTGTTTAGCTCAATTATTGGACATCATAAATTTTTACTCTGTAACTCCATCTTTCTGGCTCCTGAAGTCATTTGAATGGCACCCTGATTTAGAGGTTCCATAAAGAAAGGCCAACTACTAGCAATGTCCTCTTCAAGCTGGGACAGTGTATTTTTTCATTAGCCTGCAGGTGTTAAAGAAAGCTGCAAGGGACAGTGATGAGGGAAGAGGCCACTTAATCAGGCAGCCAGATTGACCAAATCAAGTAGACAGTCTATGTGATAACACAGGCAGATATCACAACCCAGATTAGCTTTATAACCATCATTATGTAGTAAAGCATCAACTGACTTTAATAAAAATAAAGTTAAGAAATTTAACTACCATATCTAGGTAATCACAGACTCTGATACAGAAAATACAGTAACTCCCAACTTCTCATTATTATTCTAGAGCACATTGTGTTTGCCATTTCTCAGAAACCAAGAAAATGAACTTCTATTTGTCTCTCTTCAAATACAGAATGGTTAAATATTATGGTAAATCAGATGGCACTAAATTAATAACTATCAAGTGTAGTATATCATTATAGTAATTTATAACACACAATATAACTCTTCTAGTATGAGGAATTATTTTTCTAAGATGGCTCTACTATAATAGATCAACTAACAGGTACTTCAGGACAAAAAAGAACCCAGCTAAGCCATACATCAAACATCAGTTGAGAAATATGTGTTGTTTCAAGTCACTCAGTTTATGATAATTTGGTATATAGCAATAGAAAACTAATACAATTAGACTAAAGGGGACTTGTACTAAAGCTCTGATCTAAAGCTATCTATATGGAATTTCCCTTTCTCTTAGCAGATTTTGGGGAGTGGGCAGCAGGAAGGTGTGCCTGAAATTGTATTAGTTCAAGAAATATTCACTAACTGCTGAACATTTTATCATATGCTAGGACAACACATATGAATAGAATATCTTTCCAATTTTCAGGGAGATTATTATAGTATAGAGAAGAACAGATTATTTCAACAGATATATGTTACTATCACAGATTATAGAAAAATGAGGCAGAAAAAAGTGGTGCAGGTACTAAGGGCTTCCTTGGTGAAATGGTTCTGAAATGGGAACTGCCATCCAGGAAAAGGAAAGAAACTATTTAAACTTCTGCCATGCACTAGGAAATTGACTAATAGTGATTATAACAACAACTAAATAGCTGATATGTGCTTATCTTGAGCTGGGTACCAGACATTGTTTTATATGCATTATTTCGTTAATCCCAACAATTCAGTGATATAGATATTACATAATTTTATAGATGAGGATGCTGAGAGTTTAAGAAAAGAAAATAGCTCATTAGTGGCAAAGATAGGATTCATTCCTGACTTTTCCCAGACTTCTCTATCTACGCTCTTTCCTCTATAATGGGCTGTCATTTGAGAAAAGGTCTTCTGATCTTCCTTTCCACTCACACTTCTAAACTGCATGTTCCCTGAATTTCCTTCTGTTCCCATCACTGTCTGATATTACATTTAAATCACCAATTGCACTCTATTATAAGTATATAATTCATTTCTCTCACTGAATAAAATGTAAATTATTTGACAGTTGAAATTTTCCAAATCATCTTTTGGTATTTTGTTTCTATCTTGAGGCCAGAAATAATAATGTTCAATAAATGGTGAGTGGATAGATATTTAGAATATCTATAGGCCAAAAAAAAAGGTCATTTTACTTGTTAATGTCCATGAAGATGACTTCTAAGAAAGAAAGCCTTCTTATTTCTGGGATTGTGGTTTGTTCTTATTTATAATAATTTTTGGTAAACCTAACAAGCAAATAAATAGGTCAATGAAAGATGGATGGATGGATAAATACACTATGCCTAAGAAACTTCAGGGAATGCTTCAGGGAAGCATGTACTGATGTTTAGCATTGCTTAGCACTTACTTCATGGCCAGCACTATGCTAAATTCTTGGCCTGGGTTTTTTCATTTAATCTTTACGATAACCCTGTGAGGAGGATAGTCATTTTGTTGTGCACATGAAAAAAGTGAAGACAGAAGTTCACGAACTGTCCTCAGACACAGATCCTGTGAGTGAGATTGCAATCCAAGCAGCCAGTCCAACATTCAGATCTGCATCATTTACCACTAAACATACTACCTCCTACTTAGATCTATAGTTTGCCTTTCTGCTTTTTTGTTTTTGCAAATTGTTATGAATTAATTACATTTTAATGAGGAATACTTTCAGGACTGGACCACTTACATTGGGCAATGAGATTAAAAAAGAAAATAGGCCTTATTGACTGCAGTGTGTTGAATGATGGCCTCTGAAAAATATGTCCATATTGTTAACCCCTGGAAACTGTTAATATGACCTTATTTGGAAAAGGTCTTTGCAGATATAATTGAATTAAGAATCTTGAAATGAGCCATGTGAAGCAGAGGCAGAGATTGGAGTGATCCAGACATAAGGAATGCCTGGAGCCACCAGAAGCTGAGGAGCCAGGAAGGATTCTTCCTCAGAGCCTTTGGAGGGAGCACAACCATACTGACACTTTAATTTCAGACTTCTGGCCTCCAGAACAGTGACAGAATAAGGATTAACTTCTGTTGTTTTAAGTCACCAAGTTTTTTACCTTTTATTATGGCAACTCTAGGATGCTGATACACTGACCACTCTTGCTTCTCATAAAGAACACATATATAGTATTATCTTCCCTAGTATACTTTAGACAAACCTGTGTTTAAGTGGTCATTGAACTCTGGAAAATTATATATATGAATATATATGTGTGTGTATACATATATACATAAATATATATTCATATATGTTTATATTTATACATTTATACATATATGTATATTTATATATTTATACATATGTAAATAAATAGATATTATACATGTATTATTTTGTATATAAAATATATATTGTTACTTATATATGTATAAATATATATTTATATTTATCTTTATCTTTTCTCCCATGAGAGGAACCCATACACACTCAATTCTTGAAGGGGCTCTGAGCTAAATCATAACCATTGCTATTGAATCAGAAAATGAACAACATAGAATGGCTAGAAGACAAGTGTTGACAAAAAGAAAGACTTTTCTTGAGCCTAACCTTGGAGAATTCTATGCTTCTTGGAAATGAGTAGCAATAGTCAATTGCCAGATTCCATGGATAACATAGAATCCTAACTTTAGACAACATTTCTTCCCAGAAAAGTGACCTAGAGCATATGTATTCATTTTTGTAAATTAATATTTTGTAGACAGACTAAAATATTGTGTGCTTATACTGAAGATTAGAGAAATAACATGGTGTTGAAGACACACAAGGACTTTTAATCTGAATGGTTGAAGATTTAGTTTGAGCACCTGTTGCCCATAAAACCATAAAGAAATTTAACCTCTTTGAACCCTTTTGCTCACTTATAAAACAGGAATATACAGTCTGCATGGTTTTGTGAGGATTAGAAATAACATATACAAAATTGAAACCCAAAAAGTGGCTTCTTAACAAAACAACAATAGTAGAAAATCTATATAAGCATCATGTTTGTGTCTAACAACATTCCAATTATTCAATTCAGAAATTCATCAATGTAGGCCTGTAAAAAATATTTTTAGTGTCCCTTGAGAATAGCTATGAAATTTTGTTCTAAATAAGTCACTATTACAGGGAAAGCAACTTTCAGTGTCAAAATGAACTTCCAGCTCATGAAGTATCATTGGATTTTACTTTTGGAATTTTGCCACTGATTGTTGTTACATCACGTTTCATCTACTGTGCAGATAGTATCAACATTCAGTCGATGATTCTACTCCAGTCCTCTTAATGACGACCTTCATTTTAGGGCTGTGATGAGGCAATCAATAATGTCTGATTTAGGAAGTTCTTTTCAAAGTCCACCCCCTGTCTTGTAAAACTCAATTTCCAAAACTCAGTTGGTCCTTTTGATCACTTTCACTAATCCAGTTTAAGAGCTTAAAGTCTCTCCAAGTGGCCTTTAATTAATGGCCAGAATGAATGTACAAGCACACACTTGGACTGTATTTGGAAGTTAACAAAGCATCTGTATCTTGGAATTTGATAATGATCTTCCCTCTATGGACAACTGATTGCAACAAGGCATATGGTAGCTGTTTGCAAATTTTAAATAAACCTGAGAGGTATATCGATTAACCTTACTTACTCTTGTCCTTTAACTTTTAACATTACTGATTACTCTTCTTCTTTATAATATTCAGGATGTAGGAGAGGAAAGACCCACCGCAAGGGTATGAAAAAAAATAACGTCAATCAACACTTTTACAATTCCTAAAGTATAACTATTTTATATTTCTAGAAAAGCTAATTACCTTCTTGAAGACCAGTATTTTTTACAAAATATTTCCCAAATAAAGTTTCTTCCCAAAGTCTTTTAAATTATTAATACAATCACATTGTTAAGCCATTGAGATAGAAATAAAAGTGTTCTCTCATCCAATTTATCTGTTGCTTGTCTTTATACATTCTCGTGGCTATATCATACATCATTCATTATAGTATATCTTAGCGAAAGCAGCAATTGGAACAGGACTTCACAAAATGTCAAATGAACTCTCAAAATAAAGCACATGATGGATTAATCACAAATATCTGGATAGGCTGTAATAAGAAAGTGAGAATTTCAACAGAAATGGTAAACTAAAAAGAAGGATTAAAATATCTTAATAATAAATATCTACCTGTTAGTATTTATAATGTAATAGCCATTCTCCTTGAGGACTTAAGGGCTATGCTGTCTGACAGGGAGTCGCTAGTCACATGTGGCTGTTTAAATTTAAATTAATTAAAGGTAAATAAGAATTCAGTTCTTCAGCTGCATTAGCCACATTTCAAGTGCTCAATAGCCACATGTGGCTAATGACTTCCATACTGGACTACCTTGATATCACACATTGCAGAATGTTCTTAGGACAGAGCTGCTTTAGAGGCAAAACTGGTGTTCTTGTCCATCGTTTCTCATTGTTCATGTCAGAAAATAAGGAACAGTAACATTTTCTGTCATAAGATTAAATTATTTCAACTTCTTGGTGTTTAAAACAGTTCATCCTCTTTCAAATGTACTTTTCAAATTGCACACTGCAGAAATGACCCCTGAAATTGTAGCTTCAATGGTCTTGCAGAAACTATAATTGTTACCTAGCAGTAGTGTGTAAAATAATATGAAACCGTTCACAGTGATTAAAATACCCTTAACAAATTTATGTAGAAATAATTCATAGAGGTAATTGCTATATGTGCCCCTTGTAATATAATGCTTTTTCATATTTACATACATATACATGTTCTTTTGGCATTGTCTTTGACCAATTTGAAATGAAAGAGCCAAGAGGCTCTCTTTCTTGGAAACACACACACACACACACACACACACACAAAACAAATCCTTCTTTATCTTTTACCCATTGTATCCAAAAATAAATAAATGATACAAATGGTTCTTTTTCTGGTTTTAAGAGTAGAGCCAGAAATTATGTGAAGTTGGAACTATTGAATTATTCATGTGTTCTGATTGAATGGGATCATTATCTCTGGTCTTACAAGCTAATAAATACTGTCTAATGCCTGGATACTGTTTTGATGTAATAATGTCAGGAAAAAGAAAAAAAAATTGACTTCTTTGCAAGCTTGAGCTTAAATTAGGGAGGAGCTCCCTGATGAGTTCATTACAAGAAATGTGTGTATGTGTGTGAGTGTGTGTCTGTGTGTGTCTATACACAAATATGAACTATTTTGGACGATTCTGGTAGTCAGTCTTCTCCTAATCTCTCTGAAGGCATTTTAACTTATACATGTAACTAAAGAGTTGCAAAATGACTCAGTTGTCTGGTACTTGCTGCTATTTTTCTCTCATTTATCTACTCTCCTCTATCATAGCATATGTAAAAGAATTTCAAAAAATGCAGATTGAGGCTCAGTAAATGATTATGCTACCTAGTCATTTGCCAGTGAGCAGTCAAATAATCTGAAATTATAGACCAATGGGTTTTTCCCCAGATTGATTTCAATAAATGAAATTGCCTGAGTTTAATATCACCATAAACCAGACAGAGTGTAGAAAGCCTGAATTAAGGTTGTGCTCTTAAAGGTGATCACAGAAAGACGTGTATTTGTAAAAGGTCTGAATGCATGGAGATAAATATATTTGATAATTAGTTTCAGAGAAAGTAAAATTAGAAGTAGACTGTGTTATAAAATACCTTTACAGATTAATAGTTATAGACATGTAGCAGAATCTGTTAGCGTCAAAGAAAATATCATTATTGACTCTGCTAATTTGTTTAATGAAATAGACATTACCTTTTCTGCCTTTAGAACACCACCTTTTTTTTCTACAAGTGATGTAGAGTCTATTAAGTGTATAAGAACATCCAACAAAGAGCCCATTAGCAATTCAGTAGTTTGCAAAATTTGCACAAGACCAAAAGTCTTTACTTAGAGACAGCTGGCTTGGTCTTACACAGAATGCATAGGTTTTCCAAATCGCTTTTCTCATCCTCTAACATGAGCTAATAAATCACGCAATTTAACTAAGTTGTTTTTTTTTTTTAAACAGGAATGAAAGTGTGTGAACCGTCTAGTGGAACGGTGTGAATACTATTTCAATAGTGCTGTTCCTGCAGAGCTGTCTTTCTCTAACTGATCTGAGAAATGATGGAGGGCAAGTGAGTTTTCTCAAAAAAGTAAATATTCCTATTAGTTGGTATAGCTAATGTGTAGCTGTGATTTTATCACATTTTTCTACAAAATGGCCATGGGATTTTATTCTCAGATCAAAAAAAAAAGACAAATTTGAATTTGGAACTCAAAGAAAAAATATCAGGGGGGTAAAACTATAGTTTTCTGTTAGGACTATTATTATTTCTACCTTTGTCTTTTAGAAATAGAAAGTGCCCCTGCCAAAGAATGCGAATAAGGCACTTCATGCCTTTGCCTCCTGAAAGATGCAAACTGCCAATTCTTCTCCAGTGCTTTCCACCTGTCAGTGTGCTAGGCACGGACCTGACAGTCCACCCGTGCTCTAATTCCTAAAGGCCGGCATGGTTGGCAGGACATTCACAATGAACCTGTCCCCAAACAGGGCCTTTGGCACTTGGCTTCCCCTGTTCACTCGCACTGTGACAAGCTGCACACAAGACAGATATGTGGATCAAAGGCAGACCCTGTGGATACACACAGCAGGATCCAAGGAGCATTACTAGTGTTCTCAATAATTTGCTATTAGTATTGCAAAAAAAAGTAGGGAGTACACTACTAAGTGATAACACATTTTATAAAGAAAATATATACAATATATATTTTGGATCTTGGATTCAAAAGAAGTCACATGGAGCTCTAGAAGAGCATGTAAGAAAGGAAGCCACAGTATGAGCTGGGAAACTTCCAAATATCCTTCATACAGATGTTTTTGTTCAACTATGAAACTGTGATGGATGGAAATGAAAAAACTAGGTTCAAAGAAAGGCAAAAAATAATAATGTAGCTCTGCCCTGACTCTTGTCATATTCCCATATAATTTTATATTGTTATCTGTTCTTCTCTTACAGCCTGGAAATTTTGTGGACTGTTTATAATTAGAGTCCTAACCTGATGCAGAATGTTCTGTCATGAGACCTTGGATCAGTCACTCTCTTAGAGCAGCTTATGTTCTAGTAGTATTGTCCCCTGCCCCTACACTTGGGAATATATGGCTCTGCCAGTCAGCCCTCTGCTGGAGTCTCAGAAAACAATTATGGAAAGGGATATGCATGCTTATTTCAAATGCACACACTTATAACCCACTATTACATTTATAAAGGCAAATATAAACTAAGAACCGTGTCCAAACTCAGTGATGTATATGGGTCTACTCTGTGTACCTAGAGAGACTTGGAGGCTTACTCTCTTTTACCAAAGTCTCTTTCTTTGGTATTTTATCCTCAGGAGTTTGAACTCTGTAATGTACTCCACTTGCTGCCATTTACAGAATCCATGTTTCCAAGTTGATTATTTGATGTTTCTTCAACTGAACACTCCACTTTTTCCCATCAGTACCCAAGTAAATACACTGTCATATAGGGATGTCTTCCTTCAATTATCTAATGTCCTTTGCTGGCACATAATGACCTGAGAATGAGGGAAGAAACAGGGCTTTCAATAGCACTACCAATTTTTTTCTCTTACTCTCAATTGGCCCCTGCTATTAAGAAACTGCCTAACTTCCCTTTTTCATCATTAATATAATGTCAAAGTGGAATTAATTAAACCATTTTTGGTAAAACCATAAAATAAAATGCAGCCAACAAAAACTATGTCATAGATAAATTTTATGTTATAACCTAAATGAACAACACAAATTACAAAACCTATACAGTTTAAATCTACCTTTTAGTTGAAACATATATGTACCTGTTTATAGAACAGTACAGAAGGACATATGTGGAAATAATAAATATGTATGTATATATTATATGTGTGTGTATGTATATCTGAACAATGGGATTATGGCTATGTTTAATCTTTCTGTTTACTTACATTACTATTTTCCAACAGTGAAAAAACTTGTTAAAATTATTAATATTTTTTCAAAATGTAGAAATACATCAAACTTTTTTATTATACTTGTATATTATAAATCCATAGCCATGTATGAAAACAGACACCTCTTTGTGAGAAAAAAATTCATTTGTCAGCATTAGTTTGAAGATAAAAATGAGACACATGGTGCTGGTAGATTAAACCAAGATTTAATCAAGATTAAACTTAGTTTAAAAAAAACAGATTTTAGGCACATTCTTAACAATCTGTATAACCTTTGCAAAGTTGTGTAATCATCTCTAGTAATATTTCCTCATACATAAAGGAGAGAGCTGGACTAGAGATTGTTCCTTCAACTTTGAATCTCGATGACTATTTCATATCACATATAACATTTGAATTCTCCAAATAGGTAGACTTTAATATGAGGAAACAATACTTTTCCAAGATAATAAGGCCACAAATGTGCATACATTAAAAACTATATAATGCTTATTATCATCATAAAACCCCAAATAAAAAATAGCAAATACCATTTGGATTTACTATATTTCAGGCACCGTTCAAAATTATTTACATGAATTAACGGTTTAAATTCTCCCCAAAAGCTTAAAAGCTATGTTATAATTACCTTCACTGTTATAAAGGTAAAGACATCCCCCTACGAATAGATTAGTATTATTAGCCTCCATTTTTTAAAAAAAGAAGAAAACATGACAAAATGTAGTCAGTGTAAACATGTGGTAATTCCTCTTTTCAATAAGTTAATTCTACAAAAAGTGCTCATTAAAGCCAGAACATTTAAAGATTTGTTTTTCTTTATATTTTTTTCATATCCAGTAATTAGAATATAGTTAAGTGAAAATGGTATGTGAGCCCTCTACCTCTAAAATTACATGATTATTTAGGATCATATTTTGAAAATGCACTTGAAGGATGGATATATATTGTAGGTTCAGGACTGTGAGAGAGGAAGCTGGTTGGAATTCATGTTTCATTTCAACTACCTCAGATCCTTCATGTGACCTTTATCGGGCAACCATTGTCTGGTACCCTGCACTGCAATACTTTTTTACAGTTATTATTATACTTTAAGTTCTGGGACACATGTGCAGGTTTGTTACATAGGTATACACTTGCCATGGTGGTTTGCTGTACCCATCAACCCATCATCTACATTAGGTATTTTTTCTAATGCTATCCCTCCCCTAACACTCCACCCGCCAACAAGCCCCTGGGTGTGATGTTCCCCTCCCTGTGTCTATGTGTTCTCATTGTTCAACTCACTTATGAGTGAGAACATGTGGTGTTTCGTATTCTGTTCCTGTGTTAGTTTGCTGAGAATGATGGTTTCCAGCTTCATCCACGTCCCTGAAAAGGACATGAACTCATCCTTTTTTTATGGCTGCATAGTACTCCATGGTGTATAGGCCTGTGCTGCAATTCTTATAGTGGGCACTAGATGTCAGGCCTAAAGTCTAGGTGTAGCAATCAAGGTGACCCTTTCCTTGATGGCCAGTTTTCAAAAGGTACCATGTCTATTGAGTTACATATTTCTAATATCAATGAAAGTTCCTCACTATATTCCTCACTATGTCTATTACAACGGCAATATAAGATAGAATGTTATGTGCAACCAATGCACTACCAGATCAAGTTGGTGTGTCCCTTGACAGTAAAGAACAGGTCTCTATATGGTCCACACATAGTATAGTGTATGTTTTACAGAAAGTTCTTAAGAAATGATTTTTTTTTGTTGAAGTGCTTCTGCCTTAATATTGGATCAATTATTGAGGAATACCTTTCTATTATGAATTCATATAATTTTGATGACCTTATTGGGCTAACCTACTGCAAGCACATAGAGATAATCTAAGAGCATACTAATGGAAATTCCTATATTGATCATTTTCATTATGTATATACGCATGCATGAGAGATCCTAAGTAGACATGGTCATCTCTTCCCTAGTTCACTTTCTCTAAGATAATGTAAATAGTAACCACATCTTTTCCAACCATTTGGCAGTACATGGATAATTAGCTGTCTTCAATTCTTTCAAAGAAGAATGTAATTCAACAATGAAAAAAACTTCTAAAATAAGAGGTTACCTTTTAGTCAAAATTTATGTCAAAATTATAGCTCAGGTCAGATGGTCAATCTCAGGTCAAGCTCAGAGATGAAAAAAAAAAATCCACCGGAGTAGGACATGCTCACCTGTAGAACAAATAGTAGGTCTTTAGGCAGTGCTTGTAATCAGGAATGCATGTGACAGGAAATGTATAGAGGTGTAGGTAGGCAGAGTGTTAACATTACAAAACTCTGCCACAGGTATCTAAAAAACGATGAGACTTGGTGCTGAAAACCAGACTTCAGCCTCCAGGAGAACTGGCAGAAGCAAGCTGGTCAGCGAGAAACAGGACCAACAAGGTAGAGAGGCTGGGTCAAAATTAAGAAAGGGGTATGTACATAATCAACGAGACAACAGTTCTATCTCTAGAACCAAGTACATGGTCAGAGAAAGATATCAGCTAGAAAGCTAGAGAAAAAGATTCAACTAGCTATTGAACCATTTAATTATTAACGTAAACCATGCAGAATCCATCTAGAAAGAAACATAATTGATCTCTTAGCCTGGGATGGGGCAAATCTGGAGCAAATAACGTATAAGTGTGAATATTGGAAGAAACTGAGTTAGGAAACCAGATATTCTTAAAATTTACCAAGAACCCTTTTGCTTGCTAGGCGTGGTGGTGAATTCAATAAGAGCAGAAAGCATGACTCCTGAATTTGAATAAAAGCAACTGAGTAGACAAAATGTTTAAAAATATTTTACCTCAGTGGAAAATTATAATAGCTTCTTTTGAACTAAAATTCCTGTGCTTCTAATCTCTCAGGAACATCACAATGATATGATCAGAAAAAATATTTACTAAGGATTACATTTTTGTACATGTTTATGCTACTATAGTTCTGGCACTCTTAGGCATCCTCATAAGTGGTCTAATAGACACTGAGCATAATGAAGAGGAATCGACAATTTTCTATAAACTATGTATGGGGTCCAGTATGCAAAACTGGAGCCACATAATCTTTTTCCGTGATTTCTTATGAAGAAGCAAACTAACATGTTAGAATGAGATAGCAGTAGGTTTCCATGTTGAATTTATCACTTACTAGAGGTGTGATTATTGAGGCTTTATCTTTGAGATTCAGTTTTCTCAACTGTAAAATGGGAATAATTGTAGGTAACATGAAGAATTATTGTGAGAGTTAGTAGATACTCAGGCACACAGGTAGTATTCATGAAATTACTACCTATTATTATTCCATTGTGTCATTGTTATGAGTCCACTGAGTTCTTATACCCCTACCCATTAGCACCCAGCCATTAGGGGATTTTAATGACCCAAGTTACTTGTTATAAACTTCCCTTTCCCCATTCGTAAAATGGGTTTATTGGAGAGGCCACAGAAAGTCAAAGAGGAACATTTTTAAAACCAGCTGGCACTCAACTTTCCCGTAGGATAGTATCAACTCCCTCCAATGAACCATTCAAAACCCACTGAGGGCTCCAATAGATCTGGCGGGTTGCTGGGCTCAATGCCAGTCACAAGTCAAGGACCTCTCCTGACACCACAGGCTGAAATTGAAGAAAATAATCTAGTGACTGTTGGTTGCCTCTTTGCCTCAAGACTGCTCATAGTGAATGAAACAAACCCACCAGTCACTGAGCAATTAAGCATGTAAAGTAGATGGAAAACACCTCAAAATGAACAGTGCTGACTCTGCAGGATGTTGAAAGCCATTCCAGAATATGAATCAGGCTAAATTCCAAACAGTTACTCTATGTGCAAATAACCATAGTGACATGGAATTGATTCCTCATTCCCCTTTGGGGCCTTAATCAATATGCATAAGGAAAGCCAGATTGTTTCATGCTCTCCTATTCTATTTCCTACATTATAAGGCAAGGATAAATCAGAATAATATTGTGAGACTAGTTTTCTCAAGGTAGTACCATCAATAGATTATTGTCAAAGTACAATAATTAACTCATAATTTGATTGATAATTTATTTAGCAGAATCTTTAAGAAACCTCTGGACATTATCTGGTGAAACCCCAAAAAGCTCTAAGTTGATTAAACTCTGATACTGATGTTATTTTATACTATCACATGACTACCCACAACACAATACACACACACCCACAAACACACACACACACTCACACACACACCTTTTTTGTGCACATCACATACTTTTCAAAAACATCATTCTCAATTCATCTGGGAAAAACTCAGGGTTTCATGGTTGACATAAAATACCTAAATTTTAAAACTTATCACCCATGTGGAAAATGAAGTCTGGAAAGATATTTTGCTAAAAGATTCCACAGGCAGGTGACTTTATATTTCTCTTATTCATCACTAGGTGACTATTTCAATTCCTGTAGCTATTATTTCAAAATATCTCACTCTCTTCAGGTTCCCAGCCACTGCCCCAGATCAATCACACTTCTAAAGGCAATCATTCAAAGTAATAACTTCTACTTCCCTGTTCTTGGCCTTAAAACATCTCTATAGCTACATTCTTTATGAGAGTGAGGTGATTTTTCTTCAGAGTCCAACCCTGCCACCATGACCTAAGATATTTCTTTCTTTTTTATTAATATTATACTTTAGGTTCTAGGGAACATGTGCACAACATGCAGGTTTGTTACATATGTATATATGTGCCATGTTGGTGTGCTGCACCCATTAACTCGTCATTTACATTAGGTATATCTCCTAATGCTATCCCTTCCCCCTCTCCCCACCCCACGACAGGCCAGGCCCCGGTGTGTGACATTCCCCACCCTGTGTCCAAGTGTTCTCATTGTTCAATTCCCACCTATGAGTGAGAACATGTGGTGTTTGGTTTCCTGTCCTTGTGATAGTTTGCTCAGAATGATGGTTTCCAGCTTCATCCATGTCCTTACAAAGGACATGAACTTATCCTTTTTTATGGCTGCATAGTATTCCATGGTATATATGCGCCACATTTTCTTAATCTAGTCTATCATTGATGGACATTTGGGTTGGTTCCAAGTCTTTGCTATTGTGAATAGTGCTGCAAGAAACATACGTGTGCATGTGTCTTTATAGCAGCATGATTTATAATCCTTTGGGTATATACCCAGTAATGGGATGGCTGGGTCAAATGGTATTTCTAGTTCTAGATCCTTAAGGAATTGCCACACTGTCTTCCACAATGGTTGAACTAGTTTACAGTCCCACCAACAGTGTAAAAGTGTTCCTATTTCTCCACATCCTCTCCAGCACCTGTTGTTTCCTGACTTTTTAATGATCACCATTCTAACTGGTGTGAGATAGTATCTCATTGTTGTTTTGATTTGCATTTCTCTGCTGGCCAGTGATGATGAGCATGTTTTCTTGTGTCTGTTGGCTGCATAAATGTCTTCTTTTGAGAAGTGTCTGTTCATATCCTTCACCCACTTTTTGATGGGGTTGTTTGATTTTTTCTTCTGAATTTGTTTAAGTTCTTCGTAGATTCTTGATATTAGCCCTTTGTCAGATGGGTAGATTGTAAAAATTTTCTCCCATTCTGTGGGTTGCCTGTTCACTCTGATTGTAGTTTCTTTTGCTGTGCAGAAGCTCCTTAGTTTAATTAGATCCCATTTGTCTATTTTGGCTTTTGTTGCCATTGCTTTTGGTGTTTTAGTCATGAAGTCCTTGCCCATGCCTATGTCCTGAATGGTATTGCCTAGGTTTTCTTCTAGGGTTTTTATGGTTTTAGGTCTAACATTTAAGTCTGTAATCCATCTTGAATTAATTTTTATATAAGGCACAAGGAAGGGATCCAGTTTCAGCTTTCTACATATGACTAGCCTGTTTTCCAGCACCATTTATTAAATAGGGATTCCTTTCCCCATTTCTTGTTTTTGCCAGGTTCTTACTCTATCTAGCTCTCCTCCATACTCTTTTGCTCACTGACTGTATAACTGATAGGGTTACCTATACTACACCTGGTGTGTCCAGGGAGATAGTTTGGACAATTTGATTTCTGGAACTCATTCTCGCCTCTACTTCCAAAGACGTACTTCCTCCCATGTTCCTTTTCTCAGTTCATGGCACCAACACCTCTTTGTGTTTCTAAGGAGAGAAGCCCAGAATCATCAGTATATCTCTGAGTCAATTGGTACTTACTATAAAACAAATACTTTTTCAATGCATTTTACTTGCATTTGCCCATGAAACTTTTCAACAACCCTATTGGATAGGTACTATTAACCCACATATTTTACAGATGATAAAATAATGAGGCACAGAAAAATTGCAAGTAAGTCAATCTGACTTCAGAGACTTTGCTTATAACGCTATAATCACTTAAAACATGGCTCTTTTCCTTCTTTCTACACTCTAATCAACTATAAACTCCTGTTCGTTCTATCTCCATGCACGTCTCTTCATTTCTATTCCCACTGACTTAGATTCAGACTTTGTTTTTAGTGGCTACCTCATCGACTTCTCTGCCTTTAGTTTTCTAGTTTCTCTTCCTTCTGGTCCAATTTCCAAAAAGCATGGTTCTAATTATTTCTCTGTACCTCTTGATAATATCCAAGAGCTTCTTTTTAACTTTTGAATTAAACATAACTCCTCAGCTGGCATTATTACCTCTATATATCTTTGTGGATCCATCTCCCAAACTAGTGTATGCACTTTTCCCATGAGTTTTCAATCATATGCTTTTCATTCCTTTTAGTGTTGGCCTCATATACCTGCAAAATACACTGCACTTCTACACTGTGCAGAATATATTGTGCTTCTCCTAAAACCAAAGCCTAGTAGAGGATGAAGATTTCAAATCCAGCCTCTTGCAGAATCTCACGCATCTATGGAACTGACTTCTTTCCTATGTCTCTGTAGCACCTCATATTCAAAACTGATGTCCAAGGCACAGGCCAGGCAGATCAACAGGTGTGTGTCTTTCTCTGTTCATATCAGCACCAAATTCCCAGGAAATTTATTTTTGTCCAATTACATAAGTAATCAAACTAAGCACTGAACACAGTATCCTAGTCTGCTATTCTGGCACAACATGGACATTCAATAAACAGGTAATTGAACTGGAGAGAAGGATCCCAAATCCCACTCTGATTTCCCCTGTCCTTTTCTGATTCAACACTTGAAACACCCAGTTTAACCCTGTATTCTCCTATGATCTCTTCTTTAGATGCCCGCATCCATACTCTCTTCTGACTTCTTTTGATGTGAATCTCTTTGGATCACTAGGGGTATTACTCAGACCTAGAGTAAATCTTTTCCCTTGGCTTGCTGTACAAATACGCAGCAGGGAAGTCTGGACTGACTCTGCTTTCTCTTAGCTTCAAGTTCTCTCTCCTTTGACTCTGTCTTCCCTTTGCTTTTGATGGGTGACCCAGGTAGGTGGTCATGCCAACAATCTGCTAGGGATAAATGATGATAACTCTGCACGTAACCTCAAACATGAATGTTCTCTTACCCACCTTAGCTAGGTAAACCTAGTGATACTCTACTCATATTTCAAGGCCTATCTCATTTACCATATTTATGGGGAAATCCTTAATTAAGACCATCTGATAAATCCTATTTTTTTGAGCATTTGTCTGTGTGCCAGACACCACACTATGTACTTTTTGTGCATTGCACCCAATCTTTACAAAGACAAGTTTGTCATTATTAGGCCTACATTTTTAGATATGAAAATTGAGGTTTGAGGAAGTTAAGTGGCATGGTCAGGGTCATACTGAGTTGAAATCAAACTCAGGACCATTTCACTTTTCATTTCTGTATAGTAATTTACAGAATGTTCTGTTTGTGCAATTATTTGTATGCTATAGTTATCTTACCATTTTTATTATACTTCGGCCCTTGTAAAGGAAGATAACCTATCTTCCTAAGTTTTGTATCCACCTGTAACAGCTAATACAGTGTTTTGAACATAGTAGGAATTCAACACCTATTTTTTGAATGGAATAATTGACAATAAGTTATTTGAATGTTATAAGGTCAGTTTTTACACTTATGTGAGTTTTCAGACTTTATTCTTTTGAGGTACATAAAGAGAACCAATGTGCATTCTCTCTCTCTCTCTCTGTCTCTCTCTCCTCTGTCTTTCTAAGTCACTGGATTTAGAAGTTGGATATATTTGACAGTTGAAATGAGATGCACCAAGACAGGACTAGAGCTTCTGCATTTTTATGTCACCGATAGCATTTAGCCAACTCAGTTGGAACTGTTTTTTTTCTTATCTTTTGTAAATCTATTGAGCAGAGAATGGGGATACAATAGAGGGTAAATAATCCAAATTCCCTTAGACTAACCTAGAATTTGTGAAAATCCAGGTGGAGAGAAAAACTAGGTTTACAGATTTGTTGTTGTTTTCTTCTTCTCAGTAGAAGGGAAAAAATAAGGCATGCATGACTAGTTTTAACTGAACAAGTGAACAACATAAGCCACATTGAACAGGGATGTTTATCTGGCTACTTGAGAGAGAACACACTGAATTCAAGTACTTTGGGAGCATCTTTCCAAATGCAAGTGGTTGGTTACAATTTAAGGAGAGCCTGAGGTTGTTGTGGCTGATACTCTGCTTTTCCAATTACCAATAACTTTCACTTGTTCATTAAAGTGGAGATTCTATACAGCTCTTGGTTCCAATTCAGCTCAATTACATAAGTATGTATTGAGTGTCCACGTTATATCAGACTGGGACACTGTGTTCAGTGCTTAGTTCAATTACCTATGTGTCCTGGCCAAAAATAAAACTGTATTTCTTCCAAAAAATCTGTAATTCATATGTTCACACCAATCCTGACTGGTTTTCACTTCAATTAATCAAAATTGATAAAATTTCATTTTGAAGTTTTGAGGAAGTGAAATTAAGGAACTTGTGTACAGCAGTAAGGGAAACCAATGAATGACTGAAATTTCAGACTAGGAGAACAGCGCCCCCTTCCTCATTTGCCCTCTGGGACTCTGTAGAAGTCTTAGCTTGTTAGTACATTGTCTGATTTTACACATTGAACCCCAGTGCAGTAGTAAACCAGACCCAAGAATCAATAAAAAACAATTTAAGTGTTAATATAACATCATGCCAAAATTCACCTATTTTATAATATATTAAATATTGAGCTTAGACTTACTGAAATTCCTGTGAGATGCTACCTATAAAACAAGAAGATTTAATAGGTAGTGCTGTCAGTGATACCTTAAGAAAAAAAGCCATGCGTGTTCCATTGCATGTGTATTTCATCGATTTTTAAAGGAGTATATTTTAGATAGGTCTTCGCTGTATGGATTCACATAAGCTGGGTTTGTGAGATTAAAATA
Organism: Homo sapiens; assembly: GCF_000001405.40. Lineage (NCBI taxonomy): Eukaryota > Metazoa > Chordata > Mammalia > Primates > Hominidae > Homo > Homo sapiens. Next base: position 148,202,993 of record NC_000003.12, read on the forward strand.
AAAATAAACATATAAATGGCTATTTTCCAGGAAGATAATTAGTATCTGGCAATTTATTCTTCCAAGCTCACAATGTTGAAAGTCTGCACAAAAACAACTTTGTAAAAATCACTATTGTCAGGTCTCTTTTAGACCATTGTGTATAATTGCTATGGAAATATGAAAATGTCTCTTTCTTTCTCTCTCAACTAGCACATGATAACCCATTCAGTCTTTCACAAGTTTGCTGTAAATGATGCCAGTCAAAGAGTCCAATGAGACTGTCAGACATTAGCGTATTAGCCATTATCTGTTACACTTCTGGACCAAAATAACAAATAATATGCCTGGAGTTGCTGCCATTTGTGACTGCTAGTTTCCCTGCATGGCATATGCCTAGAGAGTCTCAGATGAGAGGTGATTGCACAAAACTGTGATTGTGAGATGACTTAGCAGAACCCGTGATGATATCCTAATGGACTCCTGCTGGGGGGAACAGGAGTAATTGTTTGTCAGGAGAGGGAACACATCTGTAGGAAGGCATCTTCTGCAAACCAAGCAGCCATGTGGAAAGAGAAAGTGAGAAACACAGTGCTGGGAGCCGACAGTGGAGAAAGTGCACAGGTCGAATCGAATAAAGCAGTAGCTACAAGGGGCAGCAATAGGGCTAGAGAGGAGCTGGTCGAGTAAGATTGAAGTTGTATGCTTTGGAAAACAACACAAACAATTATTTAAAAATGAAATGCTGGCCTGCTAAAGTTACATCATTTTTTTTTTTTTTCTGGCAACCTCAATTCATAATGAAGATGCAAAACAGGAAAATGCTGGAGAAGGAATGAGAGTACCAAACTGGGAGAAAGCTTGCATAATCATACATTCTCTAGGAGTGTTTTCACAGCTCGAGCATTTCCTTCAATTATAGTCCTTTTAATGTTATATTTTACATCCAATTACTTCCTTTGTTCACTCCTTACTGTAGTGATCTAAAACCAGTATTTTTAAAACCATACTTTTAAAATAAAGGCAAAGCTATTGAATTTACATGCATTAGAAACATCAATGTCGTCTTGTACAACTGAAGGATACTCATAGCTTTGTTTGCTGCTGCTCTAAGCATCCTCTATTTGATCAGAAATAAGTGAGAGCAAGTAAGCTAATTAATGCTGCAAAATGCTAATTCTCTCCACCTTTTATCCTGTGTCTAAATTACGATTTTATCTAATTTCTGAGGAAAAGAAATGCTCATGCCAGTGGAGCCTGTCATTATTAAAATATAAATCAATACATAAAAGAATATTGGCCTGTGGGAAAGACTGTAAAAAAAATATTTAATGCCTTCTGCAAACAGCTGTGCTCCTGACCCAGCAGTTTTTGTTTGCTTTACTGACAAGCTACTAGATTGTATCTATTTCAGCACTTCTGGCACATCTGAAGATGTTTCCAACAACATAGATTTTAAAATGTGAAATTTTATATCAATGCTGCTGTAATTAAAATAAAATAAATTTTAGGCAAATAAACTCCCCCACCCCCACCTCTCAAATTTACAAATACAATTGGTGTTAAACATGAGATTAAACATAACAGAATGAGAATTTTAGTTCAATGGTTCAGAAGAGCGCAAATAAATTTTTATATCAACCTGAGGCCCATGAAACTTGGGAGATGCTGTATATGTGAATGTCTACACGAAAAAAATTGCTTCTTGTTTCTTTTAGTTGAAAAGCTTTCAACCATCAACAGCCATTTAAAATAAGTGGTATTGATAATTATGATGATAGGTGACTCCCATGAGGGTAAGAAAGTAAAGGAAGATGAAGTGAAGGAGGAAACAGATCCATGCTAATGTCATTTTAAAAATAATACTAAGATTTAGGGTGACCAATGAAGATTTTCTCAAGATATGAGGCCTTCAGTGCTAAAACCAAGAAAGTCCCAAGTAAGCAAGGATGAGCTGATCACCCCATGAATTGTAATTCCACATGTAAGCCCATGTAATATAGATCTCATCAAAATTAAAGACAAATTTTCATTACCTTACAACTTCTCACACTTCAGAATCCCTGGTTAAATAGCTTGCCTTTAACTATAATTTTTTGTACATTTGCTTATATCTACCCCAATACCCATACATTTTGTCTCAGCATCATTGGTCAAATTATTTACATTTGTTGAGCCCATTGGAACTAATTCAATATCCATACCCTAAGTTTCAAAATTCCTTCTTCTGCTTTTTTTTTCTCTTTAATGTTAAAACCATCAGAAAGAATCATTCTTTCACAGTCCTAAATGACATGTTTTGAATGCAACTGTGGTCTGAAGACCCAAGTACAAGGAAGATTTATCCTTCCCATGGTGGGTCATTACAAGCAAACTATTCCTTTTAAAAACAATCATGTCTATGATCTCTGGTCATGCATATATCATACTACAGATAACTACATTGTATTTCTTAGGAATAAGAGTCTCAATTAAGACAAATTGAGTCTCAATTAGGACAAATTATAATACACATTTGAATTCATAATATTGTCACCACCAACAAAAGTAATGTTCTTTTGCTTCTATCACTATCTAATTTTCCTTGATTATGTTGTATCATAAAATTAAAAGACTCAACAAAGGTTAGGGGGTTTGAGCTGGGTCTACTAGTGCAGTTTTTCTAACATTCCTAAGTTGAGACATGATTTCTGTATGGTTAATTTTGAAATACATGTTCAGACAGAGTAACTAACATGCTTTAGTCGCTATAGGTGGCTAAGTTTAAGCACAAATTGGCATCTAATCCTGGAGGGCAAATCCAATCTATTCGTAGGCAGAATTTGCACATCCTCACAGTTTTAAAAAACTTCAGCACACAAGCTTGAGACATTGGTATAATCAAGGACTCACATAAGGCTTGAAGAGTCCATGAAAATAGAAATAAAACCTAAAATTCATTCTTGGTAGAAGCACACACACACACAAACACACATACACACACACACACACACAGTTTTTAAGAGTTTAAAAATAGCTTCAACACACTTTGAAACATCATAAATAGGAAAACATGTAACCTACTTTCTCACAAGTTCAAAGCATTCCGCTACTCTCCCAGAACTAGCAACAGATGCTTTCTTATAAACTATGTATTCATTCCTACTTTTGGCTGCTCTTAATCTAGATCAAGATCTTATCTTAGTGTTATACTGGCAACATGGATTGATCACTTGTGACAGATCCACTGGCTCCAGTTTCCATTAGCTGAAGATTTTGCTGCCAGGATAATCTCAATAAAATACTGTTTTCATCACGTACCTCCACAGCCCAGTATCATCAGTAACACTGCACTGCACATGGAATGAAGTCCAGACTACTTGTGCTCATAGTCAACCTGATCCCAAACCACTTTCATTATTTTGTTCTTTAAAATAATTTCCCTTGTTGTGAAAGTATATCATCACATTGCAGAAATTCTGGAAAATAAACCTTTCTCTGATAAATTCTCATAGCCTTGATAGCTCCCTTCTCTGAACAGCAGGCACATGGTCCTAAACTGGGCCTTGGTGTTTAAGTGTCCTAGATGTGTATGCCTCTGTCTCTTTGCTTATTTTCTGTCACTTTAGCTGGCCAGATGCAAAACAAATGCTCTAAAACAATGCCCATGTGGTTTTCTCCCACGTCCCATGTAATTCTTTCACAACTTAGCTACATTTAGTGCATTTCAATTGTTCAAATTTTTATTTTCATCAAACATACCAAAAGAACACAAATTCTGGACCCATGAAGTCATCTCCTAGAAGCCTGTGGAAATTTTCTTTGAAAAAACCAACCACCTCCCTCCTAACTTAAAAAGTTGACCTGTTATTATAATCTAGGACCAATTTATCAGAAGCAGCCAAAAACTTTAAATAATTGTGAGAATTTTCATGTATTTAAAATCGATTTATATAGATATTCTCAGTTTATGAGCTACAGCATGACCTAATTAGAAATCACAGACATGTTATGCTATGAGTCTGTAGGAAAAATGGTTAAAACACAATATTTGGGCCACGCGCGGTGGCTTATGCCTGCAATCCTAGCACTTTGGGAGGCCAAGGCGAGTGGATCTCCTGAGGTCAGGAGTTCAAGACCAGCCTGGCCAACATGGCGAAACCCCATCTCTACTAAAAAGATACAAAAATTAGCCAGGTGTGGTGGTGCGTGCCTGTAGTCTCAGCTACTCAGGATGCTGAGGCACGAGAATCATTTGAACCCAGGAGGCGGAGGTTGCAGTGAGCCAAGATCACACCACTGCACTCCAGCCTGGGTGTCAGAGCAAGACTCTATCTCAAAACAAACAAACAAACAAAAAACAGTATTTGATCCTAACCAACCATGAACAGCACCATAGTAGGAAAATAAAGTACAAATGATTGACTTGAAATAAAATGTAAAGAAAATCTTTCTGTACACATCAAATAACACACACACACATCCACATACACACACTCTCTCTCTTTTGAATTTCATTGTCAAATTTGTTCTCCCCGAAACTTTGTTAGCAGAATAAGAATTATTAGCTAGCCCCATAAAAAGAAGAAAAATGAGAGTAACTTCCATGAAGTGATCCCCACGGCTCTTTTGCATGTGAATATATTATGCTCAAACTTCAACCTTAGAGAGCTAAGTGATCATTACCATTCATGGCTAACTACAGTGACCAAAACCTCAAAGTAATTGCAGGCCACAGATAGGCTTTGCAAGTAGATTTACTTTCCATTAAAAAGAGCTGGCAACTGATGCCCATAACAACTTGGATGAATCTCAAAAGCATCACGTTGAGTGAAGGAAGCCATTCTCAAAAGGTTACGTACTGTATTGTTAGCAACAGAACGTATCCGACTCACATGGCACCAAAATATGTAACCAGAGGCATATCCTCCATATGGATCTGCAGCAACCTGAGTTCTTGTCTCCTCATAAGAAAGAATATGACCTAAGGGCATAAAGCAGAAGGAGAGACCAAGGCAAGTTTTAGAGTGGGAGTGAAAGATTATTTAAAAGCTTTAGAATTAAAGTACACTTGGAAGAAGGCCAAGTGAGTGACTTGAGAGATCAAGAGCACAGTTTGACCTTTTGATGTGGGGTTTTATACATTGGCATACTTCTGGGGTCTTGCGTTACTTCTCCCCTGATTCTTTGCTTGGGTTGGGCTGTCCACATGCACGTGCTTGAGCCCACTTGCCCAACTTCTGAGATCTTATCAGGAAGCTGCTGATCAGCAGTTTCAGATGTTTTGTATCTATTAGGTGACTGCCTTTTGCTGGCGCTGGCTGTGACAAATTATTATTTTAGAGAGACATTTAAGAACCACGTTACCGTCACCTGGTCGCCTGACATTCCTGATGTGTGTGTATGTCAGGGGAGCCCTTTCCTTCTCTGCTCATGCGAGACTAGCTACCTACTATAATAGCATAATTCCATTTCTACAACATTCTCAAAAAGACAAAACTATAGAGATAGAGAAAAGATTACTGGTTGTTAGAGGAGGTAGGCAAAGGGGTGACTATCAGTTGATGGAGAGAGTATGGGGGACAATGAATCTATTTTTTATCTTGACTATGACAGTGATTAAATGAATCTACACATGCATTAAAATTTCATAGATGTATAAACTAAAACAACAATAAACCAATGAGTGCATGTGAAAATTGGTGAGATTTGAATAAGGGCTGTAGTTTAATTAGTAATGTAGCAATGCTAGTTTCCTGTTTTTGATAATTCTACTATGGTTATCTAAGATGATATCGCTGGGGGAAACTGGGTAAAGGGCACACAAAATTTTTCTGTACACTTTTTGTAAATTTTATGAAAGCTTAAAATTATTTCAAAATAAAAAGTTGTTTTAAAAAGTAGGAAACTAAATATGTTAATAAGAGCCTCGTCTTCAGTGATTAGATATTTGCAGTCTTATTTTTTAAAAGAAGGTGTGATCAATATAAAATAATAAAAAGGGATGACTTCTGAAGACATAGTTAACTTTATGGTATTACAAATAATTATCTTGTCTTTACCTACATATTTTGGACTGGTCTTTGAGTTAGAGTCATTACTACAATAACATAATAATATACACAATCATCATTCCTGCCTGTGATTTGGGCTTTTTCAGTACCTACCTCATTTCCTGTTCTTGAGTGTCAGGCTTATAGAACTAACAGCTTAATAGGCACCCACCCCTTAAAGTCAACAAGGTTAAAACTTTGCCAAATATTATTACTCTGTTACACCATCTTTTGCCTTCACTTCACTAACTATTAGTCAGCTCCTCCTAACCCAATTTTCTTTCAATTGCTTTTTCCTACTTTATTCAGTAGGGTCAGCAGGGAATAAACACAAGACAAAATCCTGTGAGACATCCTCACAACTGTTTATTCCAAACATCCAATTTAAACCAAGTCTCTCTGATTATTTCTCTTAGGTATATGCTGAATCTTACCTCTTCATTCTCATTGCCATTGCCAAGGCATTTTTCTCAACTGTGCTATTATAGCAACCTGTGATTCATATCCTTAATTCCAAATATATAACATTCAAGTGTATCAGAATGATCTTTGAATGTGATCCCATTGCTCAGAACCCTATTGTCTACCAAACTAAGATCCAATCTGCTTTACATAAAGATACACTCTCAAAAATCTGTCCCTTACCTACGTTTCTAGCTTAATATCTCATCCACTTCCCTTTTGAAATGTATACTTCAAAATACTCTTTTAGGCTGTTTACAGTACCCTAAAAGAACCGAGATCACGCCACTGCACTCCAGCCTGGATGACAGAGCGAGACTCTGTCTCAAAAAAAAAAAAAAAAAAAAAAAAAAAAAGAACCTTGTGGGTTCCCTTCACAAACTGTTTTCTTTGGCCTAAATTCTCTTGTTACTATCTTCTTCCTGCAGAACCCCTAGTCATTTTCCAAACCGTGGCACAGTTACGACTTTCTCTGAAATCATATAATAAAAATTAAGTATCCCTTTATTATCTTTTACATATGTTTATTACTAAGCACATATTTTGTTGATATGCCTACCTTTTCCACTCTTTGTAACTTCTGAATCTAAATCATGACTTGTTAAGCTTTGTAATCCTGGTGCCTAGGATAAAATAGAGTAGGTCTCAGTAAGTGGACCATTGAATACATACTTGACTAGTTAATGGATAAATTAATAAGTGTTTATGTGTGTCTTTAAAGTTATGTATTTAGCAGTGATATAAATGAAAGTTGTATAATAAAATACTTGATGTCTAACATGCTCCAACTTATGAGACTTGCTTATTTACTGCTATCTGAGTTTGAGCAAGTTTTTTGTCCAACTAGGTTCAGAAGTTGTGATAGAAACAGGACTGGTAGGGAAGTCTCAGTTGTTAACTGGGTCAGACAGAAAATGAACTGGGTTCAGTAGAAACAGGACTGGGTCCTACAAAGAGGCCTCCATTGTCTGACTGAATCAGACACACGAAAAACTGGGAGATGAAGAGAAGATTGTTAATGGGTACAAAAATACACTTAGATAGCAGGAATACCAGCATTTGATAATACAATAGGAAAATTATAGGTAACAATAACTTATTACATATTTCAAAATAGCTAGGAGAAAAAAATTGTAAAGTCCTGAAAACAAAAATAAAATAAAAATATAAAAAATAAAATACAAAAATATTTGAGGTAATTACCCTTATTTAATTATAACACATTCTATACAGGTATCACAATATCACATAGGTGATAATAGTTGTACCCAAAATAGGTACAACTATTGTGTATTAATAATAAATAAATAAAAATTTAAAAATTACACAAGAAAAAAGGTATACTGAAAATGACTTTATTAATACATTTAATAAGAATGTCATCATAGCTAACTCAAATTTTTATTTTATATTTTGTTAGTTTTGAAGATATTGTACCTAGAGTGATCCTCTGAATGTGACTAGCTGCTTACTGGCTGTCATTCATGAACCTGGAATATATACATTTTCTAAAAATTACAGATTTTAAACACTTTTCTAATACATTCTAGCTTTTTATTACATCTAATGCTTCTTGTTCTTGCACCATAAAAATGCAATACTCAAATAGCTTTTTGAAAATGTTAACAGTTTATAATTTTATTGATGAAAGGACAGCCATACTCTTTGCTCCACAAATGGAAAGTGTTTTCACTTTTAGATATATCAACAGCGATTAGAATAATCAATTCAATGATTCTTTAATTTCTAAATTACATATTTTCCTCTAGTAACCTTTTATACACATCTGCCTTCATCATTTGACAATTTATGATGCATAGCAACTAAATTTTGGTACAGAAACATCCCAAATTATGAAAGAATACATGTATGTGGGATAGTCCAGGTTCTTGTTCCCAAATGTTGTGCATTGAAGTTATTTTTATTGACTACATGAATGAAAATACCATATTTCCTTTGTTTATAGAAATATTCTGTTCATTTACTTATTGATTCTCAAGTTTGATAAATTTCCTCTGATGATACATAGCTTGGGACTGTGCTAAGATGATAAATTTCACCATTATTTTTAGAATCTGGACAAGAGAGTTGTTCTCTGTCTCTTTGCAGTCATATTCTGATTTATCTAACAATTATGAAATGTTTCCAATTGTTATTTTTTTCTCTTTGAGCTTATGGCCAGAAAACAAAGACCGGAATTCTTAACTGTGTTCAATAAATGCTTTAAAAATATTTAAAAAAACAAACAAAGAAACAAATAAAAAAACTGAACAGGGTTCAGTAGGTAGGTAAGGTTACTGGAAGACAGGGAATCATGGGTTCACCTGGATTCAGGGAGTCTAGAACTCCACCTTCTGGAACTTTATCCAGGGCTAGTTTGTACCATGAGAGAGCACATGACCTTGGGGTGGTCAAGGGTCAGTCTGTACTGTGGAAGAGCCTATGACCATTTTATGGGTGTGTGGTAGCTGTTTGAGTCAGACAGAAACTGGATTGGGTCCAAAGTCTGGAACACTTCCCTTTGAAACTCAAATTTTATGTAAAAAAATTTCTAGAATGTGCACTCATTAGAGAAATGAGTGAACCTTACCAAAGGTAATTTGGAATTACAGTGACCCAAACTAGGAAGCTTTAGTTTGGGTAAAATTGTTTATTTGTGGGATACATTTAGAAAATGACTTTTTAAACCCAGAAACAATAATATTTGCAAATTTGCCATAGAGCATTTAAAACACTAAAAACAGGAGAAAAAAAAAAAGAAAAAATAGGCTTTTTATAGAGATTGACTCCTTAGATCAATGGAGTCTGCTTCTGTAAGTTACACCTTGAGTTCAGAACAATAACAATAGTAAACTGTATCCTAATCCAACATAGAAGAGGCTTTTTGAATCCCATTCGTTAATGAGCTCCACCCTGAACTCAGTAATTTAATTGAAAGATCACGGGCTGAATTGGAAAGCAACCTATTTTTAGTTATTTTGAGACCTGTCTTTAGTGAAGGAAATTTATACCTGTGGAGAGTCTCCATTCACAGGGCTGTCTCCCTCTCTGCACTGGGAAGAGGGAAGGACTAAATCACTAGAGGCTTTTATGATGTAAAAGGCAAAAAAGACTTGGGCCTATATATACAGCAAGACTCATGTTTGGCCATTTTGTGTCAATGAGGTTTTCCATTTATGTCTTTCTTTGTCTCAGCTGGTTATGATATTTAGTATATTTAGTCCAAAATCTGATTACAGTGATCAACCTAATTAGTAATCACTTAGGGCAATAATTAGTCAGGTCAATCAAGGAAAGGCCAGGGGTCCCTTGACTCAACCTGCTTGCTGAAATGAGTAAAGTGATCAAGAGGTGAAGAAAATATACTCAGAATGAATTGTTTTTGAGAAAGTTGAATGGACCTTAGAAGAATAGATGATGGTTTGTAGCAAGGTTTGTCTGGGTGTGGTAAAATCTCTCCTGCGATAAGAGTTAATCTTCAGAGGAGTGATGATAGTTGAGTCTGTTTGACGGCTCTGTCTTTAGGATGATAAGGGGAATTCAGAAGGACTTGCCTTGCCTACCTACCTGTTGGTAATTACCCACTCACTAGTATCTGCAAATGAACAGTGGAATTGAACTCCTCATGCCAACTATTTTTGATGCCATTTATCTAGTACCAGACAGAGTGCTGGTTCATAATTTAATAATCTATAATGAATAAATTCTTTAAGTGAGACTTTTTTTTCACATGATTAAAAATGCTAGGTATATTTGGGTCTGTTAATAAACATTAAAAGGTTTGTAAAAAATGTTAATATACAACCGTTCAGAATTGTATATTTTTTAGGTTGTCACTAGAAATTAAGGTCACCAAGAATAAAAAATTCTAATTAAAACTAGAAAATTAAAATTCTAACTAAGACTAGAAAACTAGAAATAATAACAAAGAATTAAATGAGGAAAGTGAGACATGTTTTTGGTAAGTGAAGCTATAAGGTATGAAAGATATGTCTTTTGTTGAGGAGAAGTAATTTTGTCTAGTTTGGAGGGTATTTAAAACTTGTTTCAGAGTGAGTAAATGAAGGAAGGGATGATAGGTAATGTACAAAAAGGTTGTAGGTTTGTGGAAGATAAATCATGTCAAAGGAATCTTGCGTGTGATCAAGCCGGCTAAAATTAGAAGGGAACCTTTTATAAGTTTTTCCAAGAATTGAGCATTAATATCAAAAGTACACTGATGCAAAATTAGAGTTTGGTTTCTTATGTTAAAACAAGGTTTTCTTGGAGAAATGATCTGCTCTTAATAGAAAATAGAGCTTTAAAAGATCTTTTGATTACTTAGGAAAATTGTGTTTTCTCTACCAATGAGCTGGAGTTTCTTTTTTATAGCTATGTGGCTTCTGCTATTAGCCCTTAAAGTCTTTTGATTTTCATTTTGGTTAAATGAATGATATTACTTCCACAGTGATCTGTAATCTTATTTTGACCAAGAGTTTTAAACCTTTGATATTTTTGACAAGCTTCCTAAAGTCAAGTTCTAGTTTAGGGTTTTTGACTTCAATCTAATTTTGGAACATTCCAGAAGAACCCCAGAGTGTCTGAAAGAGATATATTAAACTAATTAGGCATATTTCATATATTACATTATATATTATTTTATATAATAAATTATATATTAAACTAATTAGGCTTATTTAACAATTAAATTACATTGTCAAAATAAATAATGCTAAACCTTCTTTAAGTTGTATTGATATAGACATGTTATAAAGGTGTTTCAGAAATTGTATGAAATTCATAGAAATTTAATAGTCTTTGCATAACAATTTTGGTAATAATTCTACTCATTATTTTAATATGTTATGTCCAATAGAGGTAACCAAATTATCTTGTCAATTGCTGGTTATAACAAACTCTCATCAGATTTTTGTCATGGCTATTCTAAGCCTTTGTAATTCACAGTTATAGTTTTGATTTTTCTCTAAAAGTATTTGCAACCAGCTATAGTGTAAAAAGTGTTTTTTTCTTCAAGAAAGTTCATGGAAAGGACTTTAGTACAGGTTTTTGATAACTTTAAGATCATACCACTAGATTGGATACAGATTTCAGGAACTTGTGTTGATTGTTTCATAAAACTAACTCAACATCAAAAAGAATAAAAATTCATTGAATATCAAGAAAATGTTTCGGCAGCTTTTCATGCAAGGTCAGCCAATGCTGAAATTGTTAAGATGTTCAAATTAAATAAACTTCCTAAGATCGATCCAATAAAATTCTTCTATGATAATTTATTAAACAGTGCAATGCACCTGATTTAGAAAAGCAAGGTTTGTATCTGAAAGGATACAAATTTTTATCAAGAATGGACTCACAGAGGGCCCAGACAGCTGCCTATTTCTTTCTGAGTCCTGGAGGCTTCCATTATTAAGATTCTTGCACTTCACGACTCATCACAAAATAGGCAAGATGATTCAAATTACTAACAAATATTGATGGAATGACTAATAAAATTGCTAAAATACTTTATGGCTCCTGTTTGGTTTTTCAAATACATCATCCCAGGAGGACAATAAAAGCTTCAGGTGCTACATTTATGCTATCTAATGAACAATTTGAACATTTACAAACGGATTTCACTCAATTGCCACTTTCAATGGGTATAAATATGATCTTGTAATAGACTATGTTCTCTGGTTATATAGAGGCTTTCCATGCAGGAAGGCCAATGTTATAACAGTGGCTGAAAAGTTATTTGAAAGTGTGTTTTCTTTATGGGGCATTCCTGGAAAAATCATCAGTAATAGTGGTACTAATTTTATTGGAAAAATTATAAAACAGTTTAACAGGGTGTTACTAACAATAGCTTTGCCACTGTTCCTATCATTCTCAGTCTTCTGTGACTAGAAAGAATAAATAGAATTTTGAAATTTTAATTGGCAAGGTCAATTGGATTGCCTTGGCCAAGTTATAATCATTATGAAATAGTTACTGGAAGGCCTGTACCCTTAATACATGTGTCTCCTGCTTTTCTAAATTGTGATATGGCCAAATGTTATATGACTTTTATATATTATACCAGGTTGTATTTTCACCAGATAAAGGAGGTTTTCATGATTCACCAACTGATGATATCCAGACCTTTCATATCTAGAACCCAGAGACTGGGTCTTCAGATGGAAGTGGCATCTGAAAGGACTGTCCTTGAACCCTATTGGAAAGGGCCATTCCAGGTTCTTTTACCACCTATACTTCATTAAAACTTCAGGGCATTAAACTTTGGGTTTAAATTTTATAATTTAAAAGGGCCTCTCCAGAGCCTTAGAACTGTCCACCTATTGGAGACTTTCAGGTAAAGCTGACCAGGCAAGGTTTTTCCCTAAAAGTAGATGACTTGTTGGATGTGGACAGCTTTTCCCCAAGACATTGGAATAAGATTCCTTATCATAATGAGGCTCTTACACCTGTTACCGTTTCCTTGCCTATACCTACTTCTTTTGTTTGACAAGATAATTTTGTAACTAGATTTCTGGACCCACTTGTTCTCACTCCCTATTTTAATTTAACCCAGCTATAAGTGCTAGATTACTTACTAGCTGAATAGGGAGGAGTTTGTGCAGTATAATATTTCTGTTGCACATAAATGAATACTTTGGATATTGCAGAGACTTAGTTACAAAAAATTAACATACAAGCTATTTGGTCAAAATGAAAAGACTCCTTCTCCAGCTTCATTCTTTAATAGATTTGATTTTAGTTGGTTTGGTTCATGAGGAACTTGGCTAAGGAATATACTCCAAATCCTTGGTATTATTCTTTTGTTACCATAACACCAGGCATTCAGTCCAGGTCTTGCTGCTCACCTTACAGAAAGTCAATCACTGAGGCAATTATTATAGCCAAAGAAGAAGGCTTTAATTGGGTGTTGCAGCCAAGGAAATGGAGATTAGTCTCAAATCCATCTCCCTGACCAACTAAAATTACGGGATTATATAGCAGGGAATAAATGTAATAATGTGTGGGAAAACAGGAGCTAGGGAGGGATAAGGAAACAATCATGATGAATGAGGGATCCAACATCTCATTGTCTGGATGTGGTGATCTGGTGAGTTTCAGTTCTTTGACGCTTTTTGAGAGGTCTGAGGGTCTTTTTCTGAGGAAAGAACTCAGATAAAACAAAGGTAAGCTTCAAGCTTTAAGACTAGAAGCGTCGATTTTTATGTTTATCCAAAAAAACTGTCTATAGGACTATTATATTGGTTTCACTCATCATAATAGTAGAGCCGCTGGTGCACTGTATTCTTTCGTGGAGTCTTAAATGTCTATGTGCAGAAATATGCTGGACACTAAATGGTCTCTCTTTGGCTGAGATGACAAGAACTCAAAGAAATATAGGATCATGAGGACATCATAACCTATGAACAACATGTTGAGTGCAGTAACCCAGTATGATGGTGACTAAGAGTAGTGCTAATACCCTAAGTTTTGGTCATACACACACATAGACAGAAGGGGGAAATAGTCAAATAAAATTCATGGAAGGCTATTGATTTGGACTAGGCTACTGCACTAAGCCTAACAAGATAAACTAAAATGTAGTTTAACTATAGTAGCTGAGCTTCAGTTAATTTCAGGAAGCTCTATCACAAATTAACCAATTAAGCTATAACCAATCAAGATGTCTCTACACCACACTTCCATTTCCTATATATACTGTCAGATCATGTTATTGATTGGAGTTCTCTGAACCTCTTCTGGTTTGGAAAACTGCCTGATTCACAAATTGTCTTTGCTTTGTTTTGTTTTGCTTTTCTTTGCTCAAAGTAATTCAGCTGAAATGTAAACGTAACCAGTGTTTTTCTCTATTTAAAACCAGAAAAAGAACATGAGTTATCCAACTTGTATGTTCATTGGGTTGTACCCACTTTGAAGTTATATTTGTCTTCAACCTATCCCTGTTCCCAGGAAATGAAACAATGTGCTGATAATGAATCAATAATATGTTGATACCGTGCATGGGATTAATCAAGAGCCCTTATTCTCTTTCAGGACAATTTCAAGCTGCCAGTTATCAGCAGACGCATGCAAGCTGGAGAGTAAGCCAAGCACATGCTTGATAGAAACAATCAGGCTGCACATACTAACCTTAGCAGTGAAATTCAGAAACGGCCTTTTGAGTTTCTAGGCCCCAAAGCTAGAAATGCACACAACCTTAGGTTAAATACCAATCCCCTCATTCTCTCCTTGGGTCAACTAGTACACATTCAAATTACTTAACCTTGAGTTGCTTCTCTTGTAGTGAAGACACTAACTTACCTTTTCCTTTATACTTGAGAGGAGTATCTAATTAAAATAAAGATTTTCTCCACATTTGGATATAAATGCTTAATTTTTGCAGCTGACCATTTTACCACTTCTTGCTTCCTCATTATATATTGAGTAAATATCAACTTCATAGAGTAGAATAAACCATTACAGCTCTGATTAAAGTGACCCTAACAATCTGCTGTTGATTGCCTCCTTCAGGGAGAATTCATTGATAAATAATAATATAAGGAAACAAAAGATGCTATTTTAGTTGCTCTACTAAAAACCAATTCTTAGAAGTAAGGCAATATAAAAACAATAAAAAGTTTGTTTGTTCCTCTTTTTATTTTCCCCACTTAAAATTATATGGCAATAAAACATTCTTTCTATTCCAACTCTCTAATTTTACACATGAAAAAATATATAACTAGAAAAGTAAAAGGTACTGTCCCACCTTCACCAAGTTAGTTGTTTCCAGAATGTTGATTCAGTTAAAATTCTACACTTACAGATTCTATCTGCACTTTCCCTGACTTTACTGACTTCTAAACTCCAGACCTGATTCTTTATCTGGGTGGGCAGTGTTCTTACTCAATACTAAATGTTCCCTTGGCCTGAATGTGTGGATTTCACAACGTTCTGATGCCAGCCAGTAAAGAGTTCCAATTCTAGCCTCTCCTAAACTGTATTCTAGCAACTAGCACGCCTGCTGAATATGTGCCAGATGTGCACGGCACCTCCCACATTCTCTTTTAGGTCCATTCTCTACTCATCTTCATCTTACTCTGTTCCCTAGAGGCTAACCAATATGGACTGTAAAAATTTTTCCCCTTATTTTCTGGTTTCTGAGTGGATTTAGCCAATTGGGAGTATCCACAGGGGGTGGGAAAAGAAAGATAATAAAGTCACAATATTTATTCCCATAGTTCCCTCTCTGCAGAATTAACTCCCTCAACCCAAGGCCACAGCACCCATTGGAAACCTTCTCACTAGGAAACAGACACCTGCTACTACTGGCTGCACTATCACTTGTGGTTTGTCTTAACCATACTCGCAGCCTTCATAATTGAATTCTCCTCAAACGACCACTTTCTTTCTTGTTCGAACCCAGACCAATACATAAAAAGAAGAATTACAATATAAAGCACTGGAAGAACAAAATAATGTCTACTCATCTCTATCTCAGCTGTATTCCTATCTCATTTTCCAAAATTCTATTCACTGGCAATGCAAAGTCTAAGCGTAAAAACTTTATCGTCTACACTCTGTGCCATACTCCTTATTAAAATGATGTTTGAAAAGACATAGCACTTAACCTAAAAAATAGTGGCATGTAAATTATACCACATCTTTAATTTGCAAAGCATATGAAATGGTTTTACTTAAGCTCCTTTATAATAATTCTTATCTCTTAAAATATTAAAATGTGGAAATGCTCTTAGAACCTTTTGATATGTTACATGTTACATCTTAATTGAGCATATTCCTGTTAAAGATGCTGACAGTCTTACTACACACGTGCAATAATACTGTAATCAGTTAAAAAAGTGATTAACAGCATAGAGTTAAATCAGTCTACTGTGGAAGGACAGTGTCTCTTCCCCCACTTTGAAAGTTACATTTTAAATCCCCCATGTAACCTCATGTAAAAATAAGCTTATGATTGAGGGGCTAAAATATAATTTTCAAAAAATTCAAAACATGATCCTTATATAAATATAGAATAAACACTATAAAAGATTGTATTAATTAATTAATAAGAGAATCAGTAAGATGGTAAGTCTGGTTCAAAGGAGATTTTGAGAAACAGAGACTTTTATAATCAGCCAAAAGAGTAATGAAATGGATTTGCTGGTGTCCATAGACTGCAGTCCAAAACTGCTTAACGGAGACATAAAATGGTGATACTTGGAGTTATCTTTTCTATCATCCAGAAATACATAAGTTACCATGTAAATGGAAAATAATAAAAATGATTAAGTAGCAAATAGTTAAGTAAATACAGGTGCATTCTCCTATAAAATTAAATAATTATTGAGTGAGTCTGTAAAATAATGACATTGAAAAGCCAGTTAGTCATCCTCTATTTTAAAGTTTTGGATACTTTTTTTTAAACAAAAAATATTAACACTCCATGCAACATGACGTTGTGTTGAATAAGGTTATTATTAAACCTATGCTTACACACAATTTTTTAATTTATTGAAATCAAAAACATATAGCAAGATCTTCTTTGATATCTTATTAAAAATAAAAAAATCCCTTTCTGCGGCTTAGAATTTCTTATTCTCTCCTACTTCTCTGAATATTTCAAGTCAGAATGGGAAGTGTGAATAAAGTTCATGTGATTCTTTTCTTTCTATCTAACTTTAATGAATTTCTTTTAGAAATAATCCCATGAATAAATAAATTATCAGAGTATGTAGCTTTTCTTCCATTTATGATGACTATGCGACTTTTCTCACACATGCAAATTAAATTTTTAAGTTATTGATTTTACTAGATGCAGACTTTAGAAACAACCACTTGCTTTTAGAAAGAGTTTTGTTTTTTCTTACTCAGGCTATTCCTAAAAGCTTCCAAATATTTGCCCCTTTGGGGTTTTCTTGAACACTGGTAACATGATAGGACAAATCAGTTTTCCACAAAAGCAAAGGTAATAAAACTCAAGAAAATGTGGATAACCAAAGTTACAAAGATGAAAAAAATAAGAGAAAATATGCCACAGAAAATGAAAAGTAATGGCTATGATATTTACCATATGTCAAAAACTGAGATGGGTGCATTTAATACTATAGGTCAAAAACCGAGATGGGTGCATTTCATACCATATTAGCTTCTTCTCACATCAACTCTGCACTCTGTGGGAAAAAGTAGAAAACTCAAGTTTACACAGCTAAAAGGATAAGCTAGGATGTGAAAAAAATCTATTGGTCCCTATTCACTACACCAAACTGCCTTGCTAAGAAATAATATATTCTACATGTTATCGTTATAAGTTATGGTGATACTAACATAAAGCAACCAATCAATTTATGATTATCCACTGATTATAAAGTGTACTAACTTCTCTGTCTTATCAATTCTGGAAATATTTTTTCTTGAAATAATATGAGAATAGGGTATATTTAATCACCACTTTGAAAAGTAGAATAATCAACCGTAACTTTTTTTTACAAATATTTCATTAAAAATATGATTATAACAAAAATAACAAGCCTGAAAAACTCTACTTTGCAAGTAAGAAAGCTCTGTTTCTTCTAAAATTTTGATGCCAAAATCTAAAATGTTTTGCTTTTCCACAAAAGCATGCTTTTTCTCTGTTTTCACCTGCTGTGAGAATTATTCCTACATTATAATTAGTTCAGATAAATGAATGGCAAGATTGCTCTTCAGATTTTACTTCTTAAAGCTCATTTACATGATGGTCTATGATGACATGGTTATTAACAGATTTGGGGCAATTAATTAGGGTAGTTGGTAGAGTTGTTAGCACAAAGGGAAACTAAGAGGTTACTTTAGTAAAAATCTTTGTTCTCATGAGACATGACAGTACCATTAAGCCACACTAACTGAATGAATAGTGCTATTATTACTCCTCTCATGATGCTTTATTTGGTAGACACTACATTATTTGCAGAATTATTTTTAAGTTTCAGAGTGTGAAGTTTTGGTGTCCTTCCTTTAAACTACTGCCATATTTCAACTCCCTTTTAACTTCAAGCTGTAGAGCATTGGTAGTGTGCTTTTGCTGCTTCCTCTTTCTCAGGAGCACTTTCTTTCAGCCTCGTATGCTCCAACTTACACAAGCATATCATAGCAAAATCTCCAACAATAACTAAGAAAAATAAAGAACTGCCTTTCTGTGGCTTAGGGTCCTTTCATTTCCTAGTGCATTCTCCTCCCCTTTTCCAGATACTTATCCAGGACTTCCCAATACCAGTTTTCAATTCCTTCCTGGACCCCAGCTCTTGCTGTCAAGTGGGGTCTGTGACTAACGGTTCTGTACGATGAGATGTGAGTGGATGTGACACATGGCACTTTCAGGCTGATCCAAAATAAACCTTCTGCCCTGTTTTCCACTCGGTCTCTCTCCTCTCCTGCCACAGCACTCCCAAAAGAGGATAAAGAAGACAGAAGTCCACTGAGCTACTACAAGTAAGATAGCTGTCCCAAAGTGTCACCTATGCCCACCAAGGACTTTGCCTTAGAGAAATAAATTTCACTGTGTTAAACCACTGGAATTATTTGAAGTTAGAGCAAAATTTAGCCTACCCTACTAATCCACCTTAGTAGAACTTGAAGTAACAAGCCGTGAGACGGGGGCCGACTCAAGAACCACTTATCCATTTATATTTCCAAAACTTACAGTATTGTGCATGTACGCTGAAAGACTTATTGTAATTTAGATAAGTGAAAACAAATGTTTTTAAACAAAATTTATGGATAGCGAATGTAGAGTAGAGAAAAACACACTATTTTAAATGCTGGCTGCAGTTTGATTTGAGTAGCGGAAAAATATTT
Source organism: Homo sapiens (assembly GCF_000001405.40). Classification (NCBI taxonomy): domain Eukaryota; kingdom Metazoa; phylum Chordata; class Mammalia; order Primates; family Hominidae; genus Homo; species Homo sapiens. Next base: position 148,222,276 of record NC_000003.12, read on the forward strand.
TAAAAATCAGCTTTTATTTGTAAATAAACTAGTCTATAGGCTTTTTCATTATCAAACGCAAGTTCCCACCCCCAAACTCTCTCTCACACACATACACATAAACATGCAGAATTTGGATAGACTAAATTACTTTGCTTAAAATGTAATTTTGGAATTTTGAAGGTGCCTTCAATAAGACCCTGGAAGTGGAGGAACAGGGCTGGGGTTGGGGAAAGGGTCTTTAGTGACAGTGACATAGAAATAAGCTTGATGAGAAGACTGCAGGCCCACAAGAAATTCCACATGAAGACAAAGGATGAGGAAACTTGGAACCATCAGTTCATTAGGAGATGTTCTGTTTTCAGTTGTTGCTAATTCTATGCTGGACAAAGATCCTTCTCAGTGGTCCTCAAACTTCAGGAGCAGTCTATGTGTATTAAAATATTGGATCTAGCTTTAAAACATCTAATATCCATTGACCGTTTCCATGATTTACATGATTTTGTTAGTAGTGAAAAGCTATTTTTTGTGCCTGCCTATCCTCCAGTCTTTTTTTTTTCCAAGAGCTGTGCAAGCTTGAATATATTACATGAGTCTTTAATGGATTAAATATAAATAACAAGCAAAGAGGCACTGAAGACTACAGCTACTCTGAACCTCTTAACCTTCCCATTCCACTTCTTCAGAGGTTTATGAATGAATAATTTTAATTAATTAAATACTCAATCAGTGAGCCTCCGAACAAACAATTCTGACTAATTTTTCTTCCACTAAGCTAAAATTTAAAAAAATCCCATCACCATTATAGGAAAGGGCTGCGTGAGGAAGTATTAAAGACCAAGGAAGGGGAAATGGGCTTCTTTCCTCTGGGAAAATGATAACGATGGAATTCCTCCTTGCCCTCTCTTAGTCTGTACATGTATAAGATCTCAAATACGCCAAATTGAACCTTTAATATTGAACGGCACACCTTCTGTCACAGATAGGAGTACCTTTACTTCATGTATCTTTGATTCTCTTTTTAAATATTTAATGGGCTTTTTGTTTCAGGCAAAACAGGAAAAAAAAAGGAAAGAGGAAAAAACGAAGAAAAATATTTAGAAAGAACACAGTGTAGTTAGAAATGTTTGTCTTGTAATAGGCATAACCTCAGTAACACAGAATAGGTCAGCCGAATGTTTTTGGCCTAAGAATTTTATGGCATTTCAAGATCCTTTCCAGAAGAGTTGTGGTTTGGACTGTTGAGCTACATCACAGCACCCTTCTTGTACTGTGGGTAAAACCCAGCAGTTGGGCAGTGCAGCATAAACAGTTGGTTATTTTTATATTCAAAATATGCTCCAACTAACTTTAATTCACAACTATTCAATGACATTTCATAAAATCAAGCATATTTTGAAAATATTGCACATTAATATTTATTTTCAGCTGCATAATCTTCAAATACCAACAGTAAATAAAAGAAACAATAATTCTTCATAAAACAATCATCTGTACATGAGAATCCCTTTTTTAACAGTGAAATTCTTATTTAGATGAAAGAAAAGTAGCATGCCTTATGAAATATGATACTACCTTCTCCCAAGCCAGGTCAGTTCATAAAACCCTTCTCTTCTTTTGTCTTTTCTCTTTTCTTCTTTTTTCTTTTCTCTCTCTCTCTCTCTCTCTCTTTTTTTTTTTTTTTTTTTTTTTTTTTGAGATGGAGTCTCACGCTGTCACCCAGGCTGGAGTGCAGTGGCACGATCTCTGCTCATGGCAACCTCTGCCTCCCAGGTTCAAGCTATTCTCCTGCCTCAGCCTCCTGAGTAGCTGGGATTACAGGCTTGTGCCACCAAGCCCAGCTAATTTTTGCATTTTTAGTAGAGGGCTCACGCCTGTAATCCTAGCACTTTGGGAGGCTGAGGCAGGCGGATCACGAGGTCAGGAGTTCAAGATCAGCCTGACCAACATAATGAAACCCCGTCTCTACTAAAACCCCTCTCTTATTGGCACTTCTGTTCAAATATATACACATTTCTGTGCATTTATTCTACAATGAAATTATTTTAAATCATGAATTATTGAACAATATACTTGCACTTTATGCAAGATGTTTTTATTAGAGAAACAGTATTTATAGTTATACTACATAAAATTTTTTTTTCCAATTTCCAGACATGTTTTACCCTTTTGAATTTCATTACTTTAATATTTGTCATTTCTGTGGCCTAAAATGCCTAGAATCATTTAAGATTTAATGAAGAGCTATTTACTTCCTAAATCTTCTTCCCCTGAGTAATGAAATAATTACCCTCCCATATCATAGAAACATGAAATATGAATCTCAAATTGAGCTGCTGTGAGAAGGGTTAGTGATGCTGCATAGGTGATCACCATGGTAACATTTGGAAATGGCACTAATGTCAAGCCAAGAATGTGGTATTTCTATTCCCTCAAGAGCCCAACTAGGCACTGGAGATGAACTCTTGCATGGTCTCAGGAAAATGACTGAAAGCTAACATTTACTAAGTCTCCCACTGGAGTGCACACATCAACATTTTATATCATTCTCAGAGGAAGATGATTTGAAAATACAACAACAATATATTCTCAATAGTTTTAATTAAAATTGTATTGTAACATTGTATCACTATGATGTGTGTGTGTTTGTGTGTGTGTGTGTGAACTTGATGTACATTCAAATGAGGCTTATCCCTAAGGAAGAATGTGGTAATACTAAGAAGAGAATCCACCAAAGCTTTATTCATATAACAGAGATAATTAAATAATTAGATATTCTCTAAAATATTAGGATGAGTTAATTCATTTTTAACATCATGGATTTAGGAAGGTGATTCTATAAATCCTAAGGAGAATATGATTTACTTGGAATTGAAGAGGAATAATTAGTGTTACTCTGTCCCTGTTACGTGTGTGTATATGTGTGTGTGTATGTGTGTGCAGTGTGTATAAAATATATCCTATTTTAATTTCAGGATATATAAGAAACACCAGCTCGGACTGAATTTGGAAAATATAAGCTAATGTAAATTAAAAACTAATATAAAATATGTATGCAGAATTTAGCATTATAATATTCAAGTGCATATAGTAACTTAAATTAGAATTACTTAAAATGCTTCCAAGAGAAAGAGTTCATATAATAAGTACATAATTACTAATTGTAATTAGCATACTAAATATTTGTATGCAACTAAGTGCTTGTAAAGTACTTGAAAACAGTTTGTCACATAAGTAAACAATGTCCTTGTAATCTCGCCTGTTTTATTTAACAATATAAGTTAACAAACATTTTAACGATATATAATAAATTATATTTTTATAATATCATAACATACACAAATATATAAAACTTGTTAACAAATATAATAAACATTTTCTACAGCTATTGAAAAGGGAAACTTCAGCCCATTTCACCAATTCATTATTCATTCAATCAGTTGGTCAATCAACAAATAATTATTGAGCACCTGTCAAGTGCTATGCTAGGCTTTACAAATATAAAGAATGAAGTCCTCCTGGAGCCTACAGTCCACTGATGATGGTCCATAAACCACTACAGTAGGAAAATATGGTCCTATGGGGAGATGACAGAACAAACTTCCCTAAGAAAGTGGAAACTGAACTGCCATTTGAATAGGCTTCAAATGGCAAAGGAAATATGGGAGTGTGATATTTTATATATTCCATGTTGTGGAGCAAAATTTCTGGCCCTTGTGATGATTTACATGACTTTTTCTACTTGTGAGGCTGAACAGTTGCCTCTATTTTTTAATGACTTGAACTTCATAAATTACTTTGTGATTTTTCTAAAATATCTTCTTCCCATTTATTTACCTGAGCCAATATTCTTTTGTGAACTTAGTTGAAATGCATAGAGAACACTAGCAAAATTCCATCCTGTTGGCTGTTCCACAAGTATTTATTAATCGCCTACTGTTATAGGTTGAATTATGTGTCCCCCGCAAAAGATGTGTTGAAGTCCTAAAAGCCAGAGTTCCACTCAGTAACACTCAGAAAGTGATCTTATTTGGAAGTAGGTCATTCGCAATATAATTAGTCAAGATGAAATCATACTGGGGTAGGTGGGCCTCTAATAAATATGACTGTTGTCCTTTACAGAAGACAGAGACATGCACAGGGAGAACATCATGTGACAACAAAGGCAAAGACTGGAAGTTATGCAGCTGCAAGCCAAGGAACACCAAAAATTGCTGGCAAACTGCCAGAAGCTAGGAGGATGCAAGGTTAGAATTCCCCAAGTCTCAGAGGGAGCGTGGACCTGCCCACACCTTGATTTTGGACATGTAACTTCCGGAAATGTTAGACAATAAAATGCAGTTGTTTTAAACCATCCATTTGTGATACTTTATTACAGTAACCTTGGGAAACGACTACACCTACTACACCAGGCACTATTCTAGTCTCTTGTTTGATTGACACTACAAAAAAATGCAATGAAATGAAAAGTATGGACCTTGTTCAAAGGAGCTTTCAGTAGATAGGTCTATAAATTAACTTGAGAATAATGAAGAACACATTACTTTTTGGTGACTATGTGGTAGAAATTACAAATAGTTATATAATTTCTTGATTTCTTAATTTTTCTTAAATTTCTTAACAAATTACAAAAACACTTTGGAAATACTTGAAGTTAAATGCATTATAGGGACACCATGGGGCATACATCTTAAAATCTGTAAATCTAAATAAGCACTCAAATAATGTCCCAAATATATCTTAGTCTCCCTCATGAGAAATGAGTAGAATTAAAGCAGAATTTCTGACCACATCAACACCAAGAAAATATCATGTACAATTAAATCAGTCCATACATCACAATACATGGATAGAGATTTAGTCAATTACAAATTCCCCTGCTTCTAGAGACTGAGGTCAAACACTTTAGCTTGTACGAATAATGATGCAGTAATTTAATTGCTAATTCCATTTTAACAAATTATATTAAAATAATAGACTATAATCGAAATGGTACGGGAGTAGACAAAATAAAGTGTGGTTATTTATAATGTAAATAAAGGCAGTGAGTGGCATACACAGTGGGCCAAATTCAGCTCTTAGATGAGCACACAAGGGCCCTATTAACTTTAAAATTAGCCATGTTCATGCGTATGAATTAGATTATTCTCTAAAGTAGTCATTTTTTTCTGAATGAACTGTACGATAGAGATTTATATACTTTTATGCAAATCATGTGAAATTTATATTCTATATAAGTAAAATATATGTATGTGAGGGGGTGTTTTATCCTTCACAGTTTTATACTGATTATGCCTAGAATGAGCGAGTTAGTTTATTTCCATGAAATTTGAACTTGACCATGTAATTTGCTCTGGTCAATGGAATGTTAGGAGGCATGTGAATAGTGTCTGCTTGTTATCTTGTTTTCCTGTTAGATTGCTCTTTTTGCTTGTTAGGTTGCTCTTTCCTGCTGCTAGGAATCTTTCCCATATGGAGTTAACAAGCCCAGGCTAGCCTATCAGAAGAAGAAAAACCATCTGCAGAGAAAAACTCCAGCATGCTGGACATTCCAGTTGAGGCCTTAGATCATCTAGTCTCAATCAAGCCAGCTCAGACCCAAAGAAATTCCCAGCCAACACACAACATAAGAAATAATACATTTTTATTGTTTTTGCAACTTAGTAGTTGGGTAGTTGATTATGCAGCTGAAACTAATACGTACAGCTCCAAAAATCACTGTTTATAATACTAACTGAGTGCCTAGCATGTATTTGGCACTTTTTCTAGAAAATTTGCATACTATTGCTAAAGTTTCAACTAAAATACGGTTATGTTTACCTTCATTTTAGCAATAAGGAAAGTTGCCTTGTTTCATAGTTAATAAGGTTTTAAGCTTAAGTCTGGCAGCTGTTCCTATTTTGCCATGCTTTCTCTTTAAAAGAATCAACTTAGCCTCTCCATGATTATTTACTAATATACTAATAGTTTTAAAGAAGTCCCTTAGGTGCTGTGCCAATAATTATCCACAATGATTACCTCATATTCACTTTTCTACTTGTGTCTATTGATTTAATGAGCAAAGAATTTTCTTTAACCTCAGACAATTTATTTTTGGTCTCATGGGAGCCTCATGTTTGTAAATAATAAGAACTTGATTTAAGAAATGAGGGTCTAAGCAAAAATGAGGTGTGTAAAAATGGACCATTTTGTATAATTCAAGGAACTTTTAGGAGAGTTGGCTGTCTCTGATAATGTACGGTATAAGATAAAGTGAAGAGTTCTTGGTGACTGTTGATCATTAGAATCATAACTGGAATAAGATGATAGATTATTCTAAAGTGGCAATAAAAATGCTAAACAATTATAGAACACTTATAATTTTGGTTAAGATATGGAAACTTGAAACTAGGTATTTACTTATCACCCAGAAAAAAACTCATTTCGTTTTTTCTTTTAATTTAAGAGCCACTGTGTCAAAAAGAACTAACATGTTTTGCATATTTGCTATTTACCTAGCACAATTCTAAGTGTTTTTCATATATCCTCTCATTAATTCTCAAAACATCTCTATAGGTAGGTACTGTGGATTTCTCTATTTTATAGATAAGGTAATAGAAGCAGAGAAAGTTAATTAAATTCACATATTAAAAGGTAGAAGCAGAATATTACTGTTCACCTTATTCAGTTAAATTCAAAACATTCAAAAACTTAATGACATAAATTATTCTTGCTTTTCCCTTCACACTCGTTTACTCCACATTTCTTTATTTATCATATACTTAATGAGCATCTGATGTATACTCAGCAAGGTTCTTGGTCTTGAAAATTCAGCAGTGAACACAAGATACAAAAGCTCTCTGTTCTCCAGTGGAGCTCACATTCTAGTGGGGTTTGTGGGTAGGGGACAGAAAAATAAACATAGAGTTAAACATGCAAGGAAAATATCAGAGAGTGGTGAATGTTGAGCAGAAAATGAAAGCAGGATGATGATGAAAAGTAACTAGTGGGGCTGCTCTGGATTAGGTGGTGCTAGAAGGCCTCTCTGAGGAGGGAACTCTCAATCTAAGATTTGAAAACAGGAAGGGACCAGCAACAGGAAGAGCAAGTGAAAGAGCATTCTAAACACAGGAGCAGCTAGTGCAAAAGCCCTAACTCAGAAATGATGAGTCTGCTGGAGCTGCTGTAACAAAGTACCACAAACTGGAGAATCTCTTCCTGTCTCTCTTCCTGCTTCTGGGAGTTTGGTGGCAAACTTTAAAATTTCTTTGCTGAAAAAATATCACTTCAATCTTCACTTTCATCATTATATGATATTCTTCCTGACTGCCTGTGTCCAAATTACCTTTTTTTTTTTTTGAGATGGAGTTTCTCTCTTATTGCCCAGGATGGAGTGCAACGGTGCGATCTCAGCTCACTGCAACCTCTGCCTCCCGGGTTCAAGCAATTCTTCTGCCTCAGCCTCCCAAGTAGCTGGGACTATAGGTGCACGCCACCATGCCCAGCTAATTTTTGTATTTTTAGTAGAGACAGTGTTTCACCATGTTGGCCAGGCTGGTCTCGAACTCCTGACCTCAGATGATCCACCCGCCTTGGTCTGCCAAAGTGCTGGGATTACAGACATGAGCCACCGCACTCAGCCTTCCTCTTTTTTTTTTTTTTTTTTTTTTTTTTGAGACGGAGTCTCGCTCTGTCGCAGAGGCTGGAGCCTTCCTCTTTTTAATAAGGACACCAGTCATACTGGATTAGGGGCCCATCCTAATAACTTTATCTTAACTAACTACTCCTGCAATTACCCTATGTCCAAATAAGATGACATTCTAAAGTGTTGGGAATTAAGACTTCAACATCTGAATTGTAGGGGGACACAATTCAACCCGTAATGGTGTGTTTGAGGACTGGCAAGAAGGCCAGAGACATAAGAGTGGTGTGGATGAGCCTTCTCCTTTGGTGACTTTATGCTTACTTAACCAATCATATTTTCAACTACAAGTACCATAAAATTCATCTCGAATTTCAGCAATAAGACAACTAATTAGCTTGTATATCTAGAAGTACAGAGTTAGAATTCATTTCTATTTAATTTCCTCAAGACCTTCAGTGCTAATTTTTCCTTTGTATATCAGCTTTATCCCTAGGCTGATATAACAGATTATGATGGCTTTAACAGAAAGATGGGCCTTACATCCAACTATAACAATACGTAGGAGAGAGTGAAGCAATTCTTGAAAGCCACACTGAATAATGCAGAAAAATTATCTCCTCCAATCTCAATGGTCCCAAATGAGCCTCATGGCCATTTCTGAATCAATCATTGGCAAGAGAGATGTGATGCCATAACTATGCCCATCCGGGTCACATTTGGTAGTTTACTTTAAAAGTAAACAGACTTCCAAGTTAACCCACCTTGGGTTAACCCATCTTGTGATTCATGGTGACATCCTGTCCCTGAGTAAAGAATCTTACGAGCTTTCAGATTGTTGAAGTACTGATTAATGCATAACCTACTGACACTGAAAAGGAAGCTAATCTATTTCTGAATCATAAAGTTTGACTGATTGTCTTATACATTGTCTTATATATAAACTGATTGTCTGTATTCTGCAATCCATGTCCAGTAATTGTAACCTCTGCATTGTACCTACCGGTGAAAAAAGATAACTCCCATAATGGCTAGGCACGTTGGCTCAGGCCTATAATCCCCGCAGTTTGGAAGGCTGAGTCAGGAAGATCGCTTGGGGTCAGGAGTTCAAGACCACCCTGGGCAAAGTCCAGTGTGAGACCCCTATCTTTAACAAAAAAAAAAAAAATTAAAATTAAAAAAAGACGAATTCCATGAGAGCAGTCTTACTCCCATCTAAACTTTCCTGTAAAGGCCATCCACCTTGTAACAGACTCTGGAACACTCCTAACTTTATCAACGTGTTTTCCCATGGTCAATCCTCACATTTGGCTTTCAATAAACCTTTATCAAATTATTTCTGTCTCAACAGCCTTAATTTTAGTCAACACCTGTAGCCAGCAGTGCCAGGCATCAGGAAGCATAGATAAGGAGTAAAGACCTAATTAGAAAGGAAGAAAGGTGTTAAAGCAAAATAAATCTTGGGACCCCAAAATCACGAAGCTAAAGGGAAAAGTGAAGCTGGGAACTGCTTAGGGCAAACCTGTCTCCCACTCTATTCAATGTTATCCCTCTGCTCACTGAGATAAATGTATATTTGATTGCCTCCTTTGCAAAGGCTAATCAGAAACTCAAAAGGATGCAACCTTTGGCTCTCATCTACCTGTGACCTGGAAGCCCCCTACCTGCTTTGAGTTGCCCTGCCTTTCTGGACAGAACCAATGTCTCATGTCTCCCTAAATGTATAAAACCAAGCTGTGCCCCAACCACTGTTGACAAAAAGAGTCCAGTTCTGTAAAATATTTGAAGAGATTTATTCTGAGCCAAATGTGAGTGACCATGGCCCATGACACAGTGCTCAGGAGGGCCTGAGAACATGTGCCCAAGGTGGTCAGGGTGCAGCTTGGTTTTATACATTTTAGAGAGGCATGAGACATCAATCAAATACATTTAAGAACTACATTGGTTTGGTTCAGAAAGGCAGAGCAACTCAAAGTGGGGCGGGGGTGGGTGGGGTGGCATGGGGGGCTTCCAGGTTATAGGTGAATTTAAACATTTTCTGGATGACAATTGGTTGAGTTCTTCTAAAGACCTGGGATAGATAGAAAGGGAATGTTCAGGTTACGATACAGATCATGGAGACCAAAGTTCTTTTGAAGTCTTATAGCGGCTGCCCTTAGAGATCACAAATGTTTCCTATTCAGATCTTAGTTAACCTCTTTAGGATTGGAGGGGTCTGGATCTAGCTATATTAATAGAGATTCTTTACAGATACAAATTTTCCTCCACAAAGAACAGCTTTGCAGGGGCATTTCAAAATATGGCAAAGATACATGTTTTGGGGTAAAATATTTTGATTTTTCTTTTTTGTCTCGTAATGTTATGCCAGAGTCAGGCTGGAAAGTAAATCACAATATATTAGTGTTAAATAAAACCCATCTGATGAGAATTTATGATTTGTAGGGCATGACTCCTCCAACTCCTTAGATAGGAATTTGGACAAGATTAAAAAAAAAAAAATCAGAGTTTAGTCCTCACCACCTTGGGCACATGTCTTCAGGACCTCCTAAGACTGTGTCACAGGAATGCATTCTCAACCTTGGCAAAATAAACTTTCTAAATTAACTGGACTTGTCTCAGATATCTGGAGTTCACGAAAGGAAACCTGATGCTTGACAACCAACCATATCTATTACATCTGCCAGGCAACACTTTGGTATTACAAACACGAGAAACAGTATCTGGAAGCTCATGCATCTCCCAAAGTTATGACATCCTGTGAGTAGTAACCTGACCCCAAGAATCTTTCATATTTAATGTCTTCTTTACATGATCAGTTGCATTTTTCCACTTAACAAATGTTTCTTGAGATGTACTATCAAAAAGACCGCATGATGGATACTGGAGATACAAAGATGAATCAGATACAGACCCTGAACTTGAAGAATTCACAATCTAGTTTGGGAGGCTTTTTTATACAGAAAATATATTACAGTGAATGGTATCTATGAAAGAAATGTGCACAGTTTAAATGAAAGCCTAAGAAAAAATGGTCATTGACACAATTCAGGACTTAAGGGAAGTATTCTTAGAGGAGATGACATCATAGTTATGTCTTAAAGGATAACTAAGGGTTGAGCGGGCAAAGAAGGTGGGAATGGGACTGGAGAAAGGCACTTCAAACTGAGGGAAGAGCAGGAGCTGTTCATTGGTGAATTGAATTAATGAAGAGCAAATTCAAGGAAAGTAAGAAGTTCAAGATGAGATAAGAGAAAAACACGGGCAGGACAGAGCTGTGTGTCTTGTATACCAAGTTAAGGGTCTGAGCTTTGCCCTCAGGTCATGAGGAGCTATTCAGGTATTAGGTAGGGGCAACAATTTAAGACAAACTAATTTAAGATAAATTATTCATCTTAGATGATCAGTTGGTTGGAGAAAGTGAGTAGTAGGAGAAAAGTGAGTAGTAGGATCCTAGGTACTTCCCAGAGTGGAGGTTTCTACGTTCTTAACTTCTTCCCCTAGGTCCTGCGAAATTAAACTGACAAAAGGCAGATTAAAAGGAGAAAGGACTTTCAAATTTTATTTAAAATTTATGTACATGGCAATAGACAAAACCCAGAAAGATAATTAATCCTGGGGGCTTCCCTAGCATTTTAACCAAGTACAATAAATTGTAGAGAAGTGACTAAAAAAAGGAAAGTGAGAAGCGTAAGCTCCAAGGGCTGGTAGATTGTGGGAAACAGGAAATGTATGGTAGATAAGAGTTAGTAAAATTTTTCATGCAGACTCATCTCAGTGTCATCTCATGTGGTAAGAGTCAACTGCTATGATTACCAGTATTTCTTCCCTTCCTAGTATGGAAAAGAAACATGTTTACCAGTAGAAATTTCTATTACCAATAGAAATTTCTTTTACTAAAGGGAAATTTAAGCCCTGCTTTTTAGTCAGAAAGAGGGAGGGCAGAGAACTCTTTCTGTGTCTGTGTTTTTCAATTGCATTCAGCTCAAACTAATTCTTATGCTACATTGTTATATTTGGGGGTGGCATATTGTCATCCCCCTCACTAGGCTACTGCCAGTGTCCTTGGTAGATAATGCCATCACTAATGAAAGAAGAGAACATGTAAACAGGGAACAAATTTATGTGGAAAATGATGGATTTATTTTGGGCCATGTTGGCCAAATATGCCTGTGGTATCTTCACTAGGGACGGATTGAGAAGAGAAAAATAAGTCTGAGCTCAAGGGAGAGATCTAAAGTAGAGGCATCAATCAGGAAAAACAAGATTTTTGGTGGGGTTTTTGTTTTGTTTTGTTTTGTTTTGTTTTGTTTTGTTTTTTTGGTAGGTAGTGGTTGAAATTATGATATAGTTAAAATCACAAAGGGAGTTTTATTTCCAGTGGCATTAAAAAAAAAAGCAATGAGGCTAATAAATAAACAGACAAACAAATTGACCTAGAAATGATTTAAAGGGAGAAAAAATAAAACCATTAAAGAGAAAAAAAAAGAAAGAAAGAAAGCCCAGGAAAACCATAATAGCAATACAAATAGGCCAAAACGTTAATGCACTATGTGTCTCACACTGTTCTGAACACTTTGCAGATATTAACCCATTTAATACTCACAACTTTGAAGCTGTACTTGTTGTATTATTATTATCATAATCATCCCCATTTTCTAATGAGGAAACAGAAGCTATACAGGTAGTAGGTAGAAGAGCTAAGATGCAATTCCAGGCAGTTTTGCCTGACAGTTCATTCTCTTATTTTTTAAATAGCAGCTATTCAGACAGTTAACAAAAAAGGAAATACAAATTTCTAATGAAATTCTCGGTGGTTTACTCTCACTAGCAATCAAATAAGTGTATGCTGAAATGAAACAGACTTTTTCATTTTAATATTTGGCACAGCTACTGTATAATAATATTGCCTAGAGTTTGAAAGACTTCAGTGAAACATGAATCATTATACACTATTCTTGGGAAACTATCCTATGTAATAATTCACTTCTGAAAATATATGTAGTCTGGAAATATCTGAAATATAAAAATGCTTATTGCAATATTATTCAGAATAAAAAATTGGAAACGGTCTAAATCTTCAACAGTGGGTGAATTAATAAGTACATGGAATATAATACAATTATTAAAATGTTGAGTATGTAATGCTTTTAGTAACATGGGGAAATATTTCTGAGATAATGATAAGTTAACAAAGCAGATTGTGAAATTATGTATTTATTAAGGTTAAAAAACAAAAAATATGGCTGGGCCTGGTTGCTCATGCTGGTAATCCTAGCACTTTGAGAGGGCAAAGCAGGCAGATTGCTTGAGGCCAGGAGTTAGAGACCAGCCTGGGCAAAATGGTGAAACCCCACCTCTAAAAAAGATACAAAAATAAGTAAATAAATTTGGGGTGTGGTGGCGCATGCCTATAGTCCCAGCTACTTGGGAGGCTGAGGTGGGAGGATCACTTTAGTCCTGGAGGCAGAGGGTGCAGTGAGCCAAGATTGTGCCACAGCACTCCAGCATGGGTGACAGAGTGAGGCCCTGTCTCAAAAAAAAAATCTATATCTGTATATACATATATATATACACACACACACATATATGTATATGCATATATATATACACACACTATAGGGGCTGAGATTAGAGATAATTTTCTAAATCCTTGATCCTATTTTATTGTTATTTATCCATAAATATGGAGATCTTTTTGTTTCCTGTCCAGTGTGAAGTACTAGAGTACTAGAAAGTATTTGAACTTTTTGAAATTCAAAAACTAGAAATTCAAGAACTAGAAAGTATTTGAACTCTGTAATGGAGCAGGGTGGAGGAGTCTAAGGAAGAAGATACAGTAGCTCCTTACTGACTTAGGGGCATTCCACTGTGACCTTGGGCGGGTAACAATTGGCTGAGCCCTCGACTGGTTTAATCACTAAAATGCAAGCCCAGCACAGATCCTTCATCTATCTGCTACTTTGCTTCACAGATTGGGTACATAGAGATGTCTCAACCTCCTGGGTCTTGGGTCACAGGCACTGCAGGCTCTGCCACCGGTAGAAGCAGTCCCTATTTTTCTATTTCCATTTCTTATATGATATGTTCTCAGAAATAAGGTAATATATAAATAAATTAATATTTCAAAAAGGAGGAAACTCAAAGGGATAAAAGGTGTCAGAAAGTCATCTAGTCCCTATGAGTGCCCTTTAGGTTGAAGGTTGTAAAGTTTGAGAGAACTGAGAATCGTAAATTTTTTTGCCTAGGAATGGGGTTCTCTGCTGATCTAGTCAGGGTTGAACTCATGTGATTTTATTCCACCCTAACCCTAAAACCATCTGACCCACTTTATCAGTCATTAATCCATTAACGGATTAATCCACTAATCTATTTCAAGACCCTTTGGAATTCCTCTCCTGTTTAGAGACGGACTTTCCCCTCTAACATACAGCAGTGGTCACTTCCCAGGTAATTCTCTCGACTAGTCAAATCCCACAACTCTATAACCTCAAGAAACATTCAAATAGTCTCCTAAGGCCGATCTTCAAAAAAACCACAGCAGGGCTGCCAGGGCTCATCACTGGAAGGCTCACAGGAACAATCCAGCCAATACACATCTTGCACCTCCAGGCACTAAATAAATTCCAAGCCTAGCTCATTAGTGCCTTCTAGCCATGCTTGCTTTCATTGGACACTATAAGCCAGGCAGTCTCAAGGCCTCTGGCCAGCCAGAGAATCTCTATTCTGGCACTTGAGGGCCACTCATTCTGGGCATGGAGGAAGTAGAGCCAAGGAACTACTGGAATTGGTCAGAGCAAGAACTAGAGTATGCATCCAGTGTCTAAATCAGCTTAGGCAATCTCACTTGAACTTCCAAGAGAAGGGGATGCCTGGGGAAAGACTCTTGCTATGGTGTAAGGAGGTAGGAGGTCTTTTGAGGTATGCTCACTCATGGGAGTCATCCAAAGCGGAGGCTGCTCACAGTCACATAACAAAAAGCCCACACGTTTCTGGCTCTCAGAGACTCTGGCTCCTGTGGAGGGCTTAGACTCTTTGAAGAGAAGCCCCAGACTGGGGATATTTCCACAACTGTGGCAGCTATGCCTTCACCTTAGCATTGAGAGAGTAACGAAACAGGCCAACACCACCTGCTGTCAACCTCATTGTGGCTTCTGAAGCCAGTGCCTTGGAAGAGCCAGGTCATCCTCCTGTGCAGGGAGGAACCCTTGTCACCTTCCTTAGTTGCATCTCATTTTCTTGGTAATCTTCTATAATACGTAAGTATTAATTTTAAAATAAATCATCAGGATGCATTTCCTCAAAAGAATATAAGCTTCTGGATGGGCACAAGCGCTCACACCTGTAATCCCAGCACTTTGGGGGGCCAAGGGGAGTGGATCTCTTGAGCCCAGAAGTTCAAGACCAGCCTGGGCAACATAGCCAAATCTCAGACTCTAAAAAAAATACAAAAATTAGCTGGTCATGGTGGTGTGTGCCTGTAGTCCCACCTACTAGAGAGGCTGAGATGGGGGGATCATCTGAGCCCAGGCAATTTGAGGTTACAGTGAGCTGAGATCATGCCACTGCACTCCAGCCTGGGCAATGGAGGGAGAACCTGGGAGGGAAGGAAGGAAGGAAGGAATGAAGGAAGGAAGGAAGGAAGGAAGGGAGGGAGGGAGGGAGGGAGGGAGGGAAAGAGAGAGAGAAAGAGAGAGAGAAAGAAAACAAGAAAGAAGGAAAGAAGAAAGAGAGAGAAAGAAAGAGAAAAAAGAAAGAAAGGAAGGAAAAAGAAAAGAAAAAGGGAAAGAGAAAGAAAGGAAGGAAGAAAGGAGGGAGGGAGGAAGGAAAGGAAGGAAGGAAGGAAGGAAAAGAAAGAAGAGTATAAGCTCCCTTGGTGGAATATAATCTCTCTTGCTTTAATTTCAAATATATAAGGACAGAGACAAGGAGAGTTTTTTCTGTTTTAGTTGTATATTAAATACATAGAACAGTATCTGACATATAAGAATACACAATAAATATTTATAGAATGAATGATTAAAATAAACTATTTTTCAAAAAGGAGTTACTTGGAACGATATCAACAGGTAGGTCACACATTTACTTTAAAAATATATACAGACGTAAAAATTTAGTCAAATTACAAGAATACATTTCTAGTGAAAAGTGCAGTAACCCTCTGCAATTAATCAAATATCCATCAAAACATGAAGAGGTTAGCTCCTGAGTAAAATAACCAATATGCTTAAGCAAAATTTTTAATATACTCACAAATGGTTGATATAATGGGCAGCTGAATTATAAGAAATTTGCAGACTAGTGTGAGATTAGGGGATTTTATTAGGTCTAGCAACTTCTATGATTGTGGAGGGAAAAGTGTGTTTCTTACCCCTGTGGATCTACCCACTCAGCAAGGTTTGGTGAAGCCCTTCAGATGAGTGTCTTTTCAGTCACCATGCTGTCTCCTCTTAGTTCTCACTGTTTCGCTGCAGGCAAACTTAACATGGGGGCTGCATCCCCACTATACTTGTCAGAAATACCTTGTGGCATCATAAACTATCATATGGTAGAACATCTGGTGCTGATTACAGCCTAGAGAAACATACAGATGTGGTGACCAGCAACTCACATGGCAATTGCTTCAATTATTTAACCACATATGGGTAGAGTGCCTTTTGAGGTTTTCAAAATGCATTACTTGAACACCTATGTGCATATAAAGAGGGTAGCCTCACGCATGCTGTGATAACCACTGAAGCATATCACTCTTAGTCACAGAGGAAAAGATATTATCATGTGATATACTCATCTGGTTAGTAGTACATGTCAATTACATTGGTGTTTTGCCTGAAAGTCAGGATGAAATTTTATGCTTGCTGTGGAGTGGCAGACATATTTTCCCTTGGGTTACCACAGGAAAAGTGCCAAGAAGTGCATTTTGATTAGTATGCTGTGTTCATTCATGGGCTTGCTTTGCAAGGCTTTTTTTCTTTTAAGTAAACTGGTATGTGGAAAATTTTGCAAAAACCAAGACTTTTTAGAAAGTTCATTTGCTGATTTCATGAGAGGATAATAGTAAGTGTTAGAATCAATGAAATCACACTTGGATTTTGCATAAGAACATCTTAGGTGAGTATATTTTTGTGCTGCTGTATTATTATGCTTGTCAATGTTTATCTTCAATGACTGCATTTTCAGTTTAACCTTTAATTTAGGACAAAGATGAGGATGTTAAATCTAAAGAGATTGACAGAGGAGAAAAGAATTGAAGACAGTTAATGACATACAAACCAATGATTGCAAGGTTATGCAAAACAATGGTAAATCAGTTTGTCAAAAATGAACTTTCTTTAGCTCTTTCCAAAATTATAGTGACCCAGTTCCTAAGACATAGGTTGCAACTTGTCCATTCATTCAGCAAACACTTATTAAATGGTCATTACATGCAAGATTCTGGACTCAAAGATGAAGAAAATATACTCTCAAAGAGCATGCAATCGTGTGGAAGTAAGGAGCAAACACATTTACCCAAGGAACTTCAAAAAATCTCAGTTATTTCACAAAAATTTAGCCTTGTGGTTACATGGCTACTTGAAAATTCAGTTAAATAAAACTTACATACTTTAATTCAATTAAAAAGTTCCAAATATACCTTTATTTACCAATCTTCTGATGGACAACAAAGGCCTTTCCTCTGAGTATAAATTTTGTGATCACACTAACATTTTCTTTAAAAGACTTCCAAGATTAAAACTTGAAAATACTTAAAAAGAAATCAGTACAGAATCATTTTAGATGTTTCATCACCATAGTTTTCTCCACAAAATAATATTATTGTTAATATACTTTATTACAAAGCAAAATCTTTAGCAGTTCATCTTCATGAAAGCTTTTCAGGTCATTCTAAATAGTTTTCATTTAAAAAAAGTGTTTTGATATATATTTCCCTTCATATAATGTTTCATTACATATTATAATTATCATAAAAGCACAACAGACATATATAGGTTTGGAAACATACCAACAACTCACACACTCAATTAGTAGAAGCAACAATACAGGTGAATTCTTGGACGTAGACTATTAGAATGCAGAGACATTGGCTAACATGTTTTATGGAGGGAATAAAGAGCATTGAGCCAGACTGCAAATTTGCTAGAATATTCCCCTATAAAATTAAGCACAAGATAGAGTAGAATAAGGTTTTTTTTGGAATAATTTTTACATTGTTAGAAGCTAGGGATAACTTCAAAATATCTCCAGTCTTTCTAGAAAGGCTCTGGAATCAAAATCAATACTGAAACAAAAGTGTATCAAGCCATAATGCTAATGGATTTGTCAAATAGCTACAACATATAATGTTGTAACTTCAACATTTTCAGAGATAGTGCCCATCTAAAAGAAGCACATACATAAATTAGAAGGTAATTTCACACTGCTAGAATGATTTTTTTAAGAAAATGAAATATATCTATTATGGCACTTAAGTTGTGTAATTGGAGAATATTATAATCACAAAAAATAAATTTGCGACTAACTGAATCATGCAATGTATATTTACTATGACTGTGTTTCCTAAGACTGTGAGTCTTCTTCATTGTTCTGGAAGCTTAAGAATCAGGATTCTGTTTCCTTCCTCTGCCTGTTTCCAGCATATAGAACAATGCCTTATACATGTTAGACTATCAAATAAAATGTCAGGACGAACATAGTAGAGACCATTATCCTGATGTTAGAGCAAAGTTGTTTCTCAAACATGCAATATGCCATCACCTTATCCTGATTTTAATAAAGGTCACAAGAGACATTATTGGACAGCCACAAACCACTTACTGCCTTGACCAAGTGCCTAGGAAGAAATTAAAGAGTGTGGTTCAACAGTCGAGTTCTGTTTAAGACATCAGTAATGTTCAGTGGTTCTCTGACTGAGGTATTTTTTTTTACATTTAAGGAGTCATCTAGGGGAGTCTCACTGATAAGATGCTGTTCTCTATCTTTTAAAACAAATAAGACACAGCTAATTCATCTATAAATTACAATCTTTTTTTATTCAATATTACAGTGGTATGTTTCTCATTTATTTTCTAAGTTTTCCTCACTTCTGATGACTTCCTTTTAGAAAAAGAAGATATGAGATATTGATGAGATGAGATGGTCAATGTGTTTTATTCAAGAATTCTGGTGCTTCCGTGGTGGCTCATGTTGTTCTGGAAGTGGCTGGTCAGTGCTTCATTCAGTTTAAGCTCTCTTGGGTTGTAGGAAGTAGAATGGAGTCTTGGCATTATTTCATCTTTGAGCAAATAGTTCGGTAGTAGAGAGATTCCAGATACCTTTCCTAGCTTTGTGTCACAGTGGAATCTGAGGGGAGATCCCTAAATCTACCTTCTCATTTAGGTTATCTGAGTTGGGGCCAATTTGTTTCATCTACTATTTCAGTATTCTTAACATTTTCATTTTCAACTCAGCTGCCCATGTTCTCTCTATGGACTCACGATGTTAGAGAAACAGACCTGTTTGATGTGAAAGAAGTTTTAATTAATATGCCTTGTTTTATCACTCAAGGACTGGTCAGGAAAACAAACACCACTCTGCATCTTATATAAAAGGATTACTTTAACATGAGGGATGGTTAACATAACCCGAAGAGCAACCCAGAAACTAGGAAGAGCAAAAAGTCACTGTAATCTCTAGGGATAGAGGCCAATGGGAAGAAATGTGTTACTAGATCCCCAAAGTGGACTATTTGAATGACTGCCAAAGCTCGAATAGGGGGCCTCTTTGCCAGGAGGTAAGAGCTGTTCAACAATACAGAGGCTCAGAGAAGACTTAGTCATTGCAGGGACACCAGAGGAAACAGAAAGAAGGAGACAAATATCTTGACTTCTTTCCAACTACCACTTTTCCATAATCAAGACTATCTTGTAAGTCTTGGAGTCCTGGAAGGGGTAAGGGGCCTCAGAAATGTATTGTAATGTGGTGAAGAAGAGAAAGAAGGGGCAGGTAATGAATTTGAGTATAAATGAACTGATGACTAGCACACCTGCATTTTAGCAGTTTCCAAATAAGATGCAGGACCAAAGGGTAGAAAAGGTAATCGGTTGGGTTGCAGGAAGAAAATATGAGACCACCTTTTTTATTTTTATTTTTTTAAAGAGACAGAGTCTCATCTGGGCATGGTGGCTCATGCCTGTAATCCCAGCACTCTGAGAGGCCGAGGCGGGAGGATCATGAGATCAAGAGATGGATAACATCCTGGCCAACATGATGAAACCCCGTCTCTACTAAAAATACAAAAAATTAGCCAGGCGTTGTGGTGGGTGCCTGTAATCCCAGCTACTTGGGAGGCTGAGGCAGGAGAATTGCTTGAACCTGAGAGGCAGAGGTTGTAGTGAGCCGAGATGGCACTACTGTGCTCCAGCTTGGCAACAGGGCTAGACTCTGTCTCAAAAAGAAAAAAAAGAGAGAGACAGAGTCTTGCTCTTGCTCTGTTGCCCAAGCTGAAGTCTACTGTTGCAATCATGGTGCAGTACAACCTGGAACTCCTGGGTTCAAGGATTCTCCTGTGAAGCCAGGACTACAGGCATGCACCAGTACGTTTGGCTAATTAAATGTTTATTTTTTTGTTTTTTTTTTTTGTAGAGATGGAGTCTTGATATGTGAGGGCTGAGAACTTCTTTATTATTCATTTTTATCTAATATAAGATAGAAAATTTTATCATTATTTAATATTTAGAGTGACCCTGACACTGTCACTGTGTCTGTGTCAGATGGATATATATTCTTTATATAATGTGATAAATGAGAATGAGGAAAATTGAACACCCACGGTAGGTTGACATGGGCTGGGAGGGCTTACTTCTTTGTCTCCTTTCAGCATACTGCACCACTCTGCACTGTGTTTTACCTCAGTACATGGATATGAGTTGCAGAAGCTAATTTTGACTCTACTAACCTGCACAAAGTGGACACTGAATTAAAAAGATTGACAATTATATTAATAACTCAAGCACAGGTAAGCAATACAAAAATGGCAGAGCTGTCTCCAGTAAAACATCAGGTCTTTGAAAGGTATACAATTGGGATTTAATCAGAATAGCCAAGAAATTGGCTAAAAAATTGAAAATTATGAAAAAGACTATTTGGAATATGGATTTATTTCAATTATTCATAAAAATGAACTTTGCCCTACATGCATATGGTACTTTGAGCATTAACAAATTATGGTATTGTAAAGACAGATGGTCATAACTCATACATATTTATTTTATAAAAATTGCAATCTGTATATAGCATTTTTTCCTTTGTTAAAATTTTATTTCTGATATTTATTTATGCTTTGGTATTGGCTAATAATTCTTGGTTGAAAAGCGATTGTGAACTGATGTTTAACAGTATTTGTGAAAAGTAGATTTTTTTTATCTTATCATAAAGGTTATTTACTCAGACATTTCATTTTTAAGCAGTACTAAAATTTTAAAGTTTTTATGATGAAACTGAAGGCTGAGAATTTACATTAAGATATTTAATGTAAAATAAATCCACACCCATTGTTTTTGAGTAGGGACTCAGTTTTCAGATTATACCCACACCATGTCTTATATCCCACCAGTTATCTATGTTCATTTATATGTTTTTTGAAATTATTTATAAGAATTTTGTGTATACACTTGGACTCAAAAGTTTAAAGTTATTTCCTGTAGACTGTAACTATCAATCTTCAAGCCTAATTAATTTGCAATGCAAACTTTATTGGTCTTTTTGTCAATGTGAAAAATCTCAGAGTCTAAGGTTTTACCCTGCTCTCAAGCTAAAAAAGTAGCTTGCCAAAGTTTTATAGAGACTGGCAGAAGACAGACTTTTGGTTCACAGAAAAAGTCTTTAGTAATTATGGCACAGGAGGCAGCATGAAGTTCACGTTCATGTCAGTTCCCACTCACTCCCCAAGTTCCACTGGGGCTATCCAGAGCAGTCCAGAGAGTGGTTGCATCATCAGTGCATTTGTATCACAGATGAACAGCCCCAAGTTGGGAAACATCCATCTTTTATAATGAGCTATAAGCAAAAACTGCCTCACCTTTGCTCTAGAGATAGACATTATTTTACTGGACAGCAAACAAATCTTCCCTATGCTCCAGAAAGAAATATGTTTCTATCTTCCAAGATAATGCACTCTGCAAACATTCTTGAAAAGAGCACAAAAGTTTGTCCTAATTGGGTGTGAGGGCAAAGGGTTATGAGATTAAGTCTGTGTTTCTCCTTTTTTTCAAATAATTCTTACAAGTCACATTGTTAAAATTCAGTATTTAATATTCATCATATACTAATGATAGTAGGGCATATACCTAATTTTAAAATAAATAAAAGATATATATTTAGGATGTGTTAACCCACAGAAAATGTGTTAATAGAAGTATAAGATCAACAAAATTTGGAGATAGCTGTTATTATAACCAAGTAGGAGGCTGAAAAATGATTCAGAAGAAAATGGCTAAGGTACTTATCAATGAGAAGGGCAGTAAGACAGGAAACCTAGGCTTTGGAATTAAGTAGGTCTAGATCTCACTTCCAGTCTTCCTGTGTAATAAGACAGGTAAATGAATTTCTCTATGGCCCAGCTACCTTAACTTAAAAAGAAAAACAAATAATTTCTTAAAAAGAAAAACATAATTTCTTTTTTGTAAAAGTTATCTACAATTGCTCTTAAAACATGGAAAAAACATAGTATTTTGAATAACATAAAAATCGTGATTCTAAGCAAAGAGTAAAGGTATTAGAAAAAATTAATAGTAATTTTAACCTTGATATTAAGTAAATACTCATTTAATTAAAGGAAAGAAAAAACAGAGATCATATATGGTTATGTTTGTGATTTCTAAAAGTCGTGAAAGGGAAATTCTAAAAGTAGCAAAAAAATATATAATCTTAATAAAATATGAGAGATTAAATATATTTAAACATAAAAGAAGAAAGAAATTTTAGTTAAAATATTTCGTGGCTCACCAGGCGTGGTGGCTCAAATCTGTAATCCCAGCACTTTGAGAGGCCGAGGTGGGCAGATCACACGGTCAGGAGTTCAAGATCACCCTAGCCAATATGGTGAAACCCCATCTCTACTAAAAATACACAAAAATTAGCCAGGCGTAGTGGTGCATGCCTGTAGTCCCAGCTACTTGGGAGGCTGAGGCAGGAGAATCGCTTGAACCTGGGAGGCAGAGGTTGCGGTGAGCTGAGATCGCGCCACTGACTCTAGCCTGGGCAACAAAGTGAGACTCCATCTCAAAAACAAACAAACAAAAAACCCAAAAAACAGTTCATGGCTAAATGGGTGAGTTTAATGCAAAATGTTTAATAAGTATTTTAATGAATTTCTAAGTTATCAAAAATGTAATTTGTAAAAGACTGAGTAGAGAACATTGCTTCTACTTTTATTGTAGGATAGCTTCTTTGAGAGAAAATAATGAATTGCTTCCTTTTGCCCTATCTTTCCCACTCTCTTCCCCCCACATTTGAATTTACATGGCACTTTTTTTCATCCTTAATTTGTAGTTTCTGATTGTCAATTTCATATGGCCTATGCTTGTGACATCACAAATCTCTTCCCATGGAGAGAGTGGCTTGTGATGTCTTAATTAAATGCACTGTGAGGTTTGAACATTTCTAGAATAAATAATCATCCTGGGAGCCCATGTAAGTACAAGTGAAAATAAAATATATTGTGCATAAGTTAATAAATTATAGGCAAAAATAAGAGATAACACGTAAAGGACAGATAATACCATCACTTTTCTGACAGTTAGTGTAACATTTATTCAACATTTCATATGAACAAGAATAAATACATTAAATATTGCTGTGTCATATGTGTCCCCAGTGAACATTTACTCCACTTATAAATTCCTAATTCACTGATGTTCCCAGGACTTGTTTTCTGAATCATCAGTTATTTAGATTCCCTTTGAAAAAAAATATGGTGGAGTACATTTCTATAGCAGGGGGATATATAATAAGTATTACGTAAAATTTTTGTCAATTAATTTGGTGAAATTCATCTTATCTGTTTGACAACTCATTTTTCAGTTTTACATCTTTAAGGTAAATATACTAGCTATAGGCAGAAAGATAGACAGTGGTTCCCTCCAGCTAAGTCATCATTAAAACCAATACATGAGCCAATCTGTCTGATGAAGAGATATTTTTATAAATCACTGAAATTTTGCAAAACATTAATTTGCATTAATTTAATTATTACAAAGTTCCCATTTAATAATTGTAAATAAAATGAGCATCTTCGAAATGACATTGACTAGAGTGCCTATTTTTCAAACTTGGGATTCCAGGAAGTTCCAAGGATTGAAATGTAGTCATTCATTTTGTTGCTTTTTTATTAAACCTCAGCTCTGTGTATCTGTATACAGTCTGAAAAGCTCCAGCTCTAAAGATAATCAAGATCACCTGACTGAAGAATGGCCCAACTGTAGGCAAATAAAGATTCCATCAGTGGAAAGCTAATGCCCTCCTTGTTGAAAGCACGTACTCATTTTGAAGTATCTTTTTTTTTTTTTTAGAAGAATGTCAAAAAAGCAGAGTCTAATTTCATGTGCCTGGGAGTAGCTATCTAAGCTTCAGGCAATACAAACGCTGCTATTACTGGGGAGTAAAAGCTCTGCATAATTAACAAACATCATCAGCCTTACAGTTCCTGTAGAATGCTGTAAGTTCCTTGCCTGAAGGCTGCTCTCATCCTAGTAAGTCTGTTTACCCTGTCCAAGATTAGATTAGTTTAATTATTATGAAAAAGACTGCTAAGATCTTACAGCCTAATTATGCAAATGTTTCTAAATGTTCACAAAAGTAATTTATTTATTTGGAGATAAATGAATCTGTTTTGTCATAAAACAGATTGCAGTCCTGGCAACGTACAAGCAGGGTTATGTAGCCTTGGGCAAATCTTTCACCACAAATATCAGTGGGATCCCTAGATTACAACATTTAAAAATACATAAATGTTTTTAGCAGGTTTTTATTGTTTTTGTAAATTATAGTAATCCCAGAAAGAACTATCACAGGTTTAATACTCACCAACCTTGTTATGAAAACATGGTTTCTCAGCAGAAGCATTTAAAAGATGCTAACAGCTAAAACATTCCTGGTAGACCTATTAAGGTACACCTGTTTTATTATGCTTCAGAGCAGATATATTCACAATACTGTTGTTTGTTCCCCTCTTCCTTGTAGTATCATAGTTTAAGTAACTCATAAAAGAAAATGCTAGAAACAGAAGAATATATGTATAGATCATATTATCTATATTAATTTTACCTGTAAAAAATTGTATTACATTGGAATAAGTTAACCACTACCTCTGTCTGAAAATGACTTCTAAAGAAAAATACATTGATATGTAATTTAGCCAAAGCTTGCAAACTAGGAAACACACACTTTAATCCTACCAAATCTTTTTGTTACCAATATCAATAACATCTTTAAATAGTCATGTCTAATTAATCCAGCTTAGGTTAGTTTTCCAGAGCTTCAAACTTTGATATTAGAAAACTTTTGCAAATTTGCAAATTTTAAGAATCTTTAGTGGGCTGGGTGCAGTGGCTCACACTTGTAATCCCAGCACTTTGGGAGGCTGAGGTGGGCAGATCATGAGGTCAGGAGATCGAGACCATCCTGGCCAACTTGGTGAAACCCCATCTCTACTAAAATACAAAAAATTAGCGGGGCATGGTGGCGCACGCCTGTAGTCACAGCTACTGGGGAGGCTGAAACAGGAGAATCACTTGAACCCGGGAGGCAGAGGTTGCAGTGAGCCAAGATTCCACCACTGCACTCCAGTCTGGCAACAGAGCAAGACCTCCATCTCAAAAAAAAAAAAAAAAAAAAGAATCTTTAGCAAAAACAAATATTCAATGGGCCAGGTAGTTGATTAGGGAAATGTAGTGGATATATGTTGTTCTTGCTTGCCTGACATTTGTTATTTCTGCTTTTAGAAATAGATTACCCCCATTTAGCCTGTGGTAATCCATTCTCTAGGTTTGACTGAGTATGAATAGACTTTAATTCCCTTCCCTCCTACCACAAGATGATCACATGACCTAGGTCAAGCCAATTCTAGGACTTGCCTGCCACAAGCTATCAAGATGATGATAATAATGATGATGTTGATGACAACGACGATGATGATAATAGAATAACAAGAGTTGCAATATAAAAAACCATCATTTATTGGGAACTTTCTATATGTTGGACACTGTGATCAGCTTTTGTGTGCATTAATCTCATTGAATCCTCAACTCCATTTACACTGAGACTGAAAAGCTATTAGGAGGTGGGACCTGAGCTATCAATAGCTGGATACTGACCGTATAGGGAGAACCTGTCGAAAAGATGGAGCTCAGAGGACATTACTTAAGGACAAAGGCAGCCTACTTCTGAACTAGACTTGTCATTTGCAATTAGGAATCATAATGTCATGAACATTGTGTGCAAGTAACAAACCCTAAAATAGAGTTGTTAGCCATGATTGGCCATGCTATGAGGAGCCATGTCCTGACCAGAAGACATGATGCATATAAACTAGAGAACTCCTAAACTTAGAAACAAATGCAGAATTCAAACAGCACATCAGCGAAGGGGGAGCGCATATTTCAGAGTCTATATGATGAAGTTGCTGTGTATTATGTATCTAAAAGTATATAGGTGGCCAGGCATGGTGGCACATGCTTGTAATGCCATCACTTTGGGAGGCCAAGGCAGGTTCACTTGAGGCCAGACTCGCCTCGAGACCACAGATGGTGAAACCCCATCACTACTAAAAATACAAAATCTAGCCTGGTGTGGTGGTGTGCACCTGTAGTCCCAGCTACTCGAGAGGTTTAGGAGGGAGGATTACTTGAGCCCAGGAGGTGACAGCTGCAATGAGCGGAGATTGCACCACTGCACTCCAGCCTGGGTGACAAAGGTAGGCCCTGTTTCAAAACTAAACTAAACTAAAATAAAGTACATATGTAAGAAAAAAGAAGGGGGTACATATATACGAGAAAATCCACCGTGGAATGCAAAGGAATATGTTGAGGATCCCAGCATCTCTTTCCACTTCTTTTAGTAAATGAAACGCCGCTTTTATGTGGGGTACTGATTCCATGTTTCAGTGCAAAAAACATAGCCCTGTTTCCTTGCACCCCTGCCTGGAGGCAGGCATACAACCTAATTTAGACAAGTCAGAGTCTTCATCAGAAATTCTCTGCCCAATCAATCAAGTGGGGAAGACATCATTTTTCAGCTGAAATTAAGCTGGCTTCATGTGGATCTTTAGGGTGACAGGCGGTATATGCTATGGCTCTCTTATTCCATTATAAAAAGCTTTTCTGGAAGACAAGCAGTTGGCAGAGGAAAGTCTTGAGCACCTGGGTCTAGCCATGGCTGAAATCAGTTTAACCCTGGACTTTTCAGATATTTGAGTCAATAAATTCCTTTTCCTGCTTAAGCCAGTTGGGGTTTGATTCCTCTCACTTATAACCAGAGTCTTGATGAGAAGAAAAAGTTCAAAATTCAAATGAAATGACCTAGACACCCACATCCATTTTTCCTCTCTCTATATGTTTGTAATCATTGCTATTAAATGTAGTTTGTTTTTAGAAGTGTGAATTATGTTCATTTCAACTAAGGATCCTCAACACAGCAAATCAAAATTTTGTCAACTTTGCTTAAATCCACTAGTTTCTATTCCTTTTGGACTCTGGGGAACATGGTGGCTGCTACCTTTTAGGGCCTTGGTCAAAAAGTTGTACTGCCAGTCTTCGGCATTTCCTGTGCCTTTAACACTAATGGGGGATAAATCTCAACAGCAAAAGAATGGTGCCTATATAAATATACAGACATGTTTCTCGAGACAGGGGTTCTGTTATTGGAGAACATAGTTTATTAGAAAGAGGTGTGTTAGAAATAATGCAGTTTTGACTTGGGTGTGTGTTTAAATTAACTGCTATTTAAATAAGCAGGGCAATGAGTCCACAGGGAGATTCCATCTGAAGTTCTCTTGTGTATTAAATGAATGGCATGAACAATGAGTTTAACAGGCTTCTCCAATATCACCATTATCTTGGTTATTGAAGCCATTAGAAGCTGTTTTCTTTCAGTTAAATGATCATATCTCCAGTGCACCTGCTTTATAATTATTCATTTGGAGCAAGATCATTAACATATTCCTTAAGTCATTTACAGGCAATTTGACTTGACATTAACATTTTTTTGCTCTTTATAACAAATTAATGAGATACAAAAATGTATAGTTGCACAGAAATTCTATACAATTCAAATAGGCTACAAAAGAGCTACAATTTGTGTGACTTGCTTATTTTTATATAAGTAATGATTGAGACTCATCGGTTATGACATTTAAGAAGTTTCTAAAATAATGCAAAAATAATTGCAATGGGCAGATTAATGTAGACTTGTCTTTTAGTTTGAGGCAACAGCAAAATATTACAGTTCTTAACACATTCCCTGGCACACAGTAAGCACTCAGTTAATGATTGTAATATTAACGATAATATGCTCAGTTCTATGAGGATAGATAAATATAAAATATATTTTTCCCTCAAAGAATGTATAAGCTAGTACAGAAAGCATACCAAAAAGCATTCAATAACGTAATTTTTGTAAGTAACACCAATGCTTATCTACTTTGCAGTTGTTTCTTACTATATGCCAGGCATTGTCCTAAGTGTTTCACTTGGGTGTATTAATTTAATCTTCATAATACAGCTACAAGATTGGTGCTATTAATATCTCCAGTTCATATCCAAAGAAAATGAGACATAGAGAAGTTAAGTAACTTAGTTAAAGTCACACAGCTAGAAAGCAACAAAACAAAGCTAAGATTTGATTTGAGGCACTTGACTCAAGTATAATTAACTTCACCACTGCCTCTTCAGGTATAGAGGCCAACCACCTAAGGTAGTGGTTCTAAACTTTACATGAGCATCAGAATCACCTGGAAGGCTTGCTAAAACACAGATGGAAGAGCTGAACATCCCAGAGTTTCTGATCAGCAGGTCTGAGTTGAGGCTAAAAATCTGTATTTTCTAACAGTGTCTCAGGTGATGTAGATGCTGCTGGTCCTGAAACAAGGCTTTGAGAGCCACTTGCCTATGGTAATGTAGCAGGAGAAGAGGAAACAGAAGTTCATCATGATGGGGTTTTGAACTTCCTTAAGTACATTTAATCTGTTGATAACTGGACTAATGAGACCTTCATTGGTACTGGGGAGTCTTCAAAATGGAAAAGTCAGTCTCCCCTGCTTCCTAGACACTATTGTTCTGACTTCTCAGATTTTAATGCCTATTCAAAGAGTTACAGCAAAACAAAAATCATGGCTTTTATGAGATGACTTATTTGAAAAGGGGTAGCTTTTGTAATTATGATAAAGGAGCACACTCATACAAGAATGGGTTTGTGTGTTTATAGAAAGGAGGAAACAGGTAATAAGTAGGTTAGGTTACTGAAAATGTGAAAGCCTCTCTATGAGATTATTTCCAAGAAAAAACTCTATATTTATTTCTTCATTCAACATATATTTATTGATACCTATTATGTACTGGGCTTATATTAACAAAATATAGTTTTTACTCCCATGAAATGTACATTCTAGGAGGCAGAAACTGGTAATACATGAACATAAATTTATAGTATGTTGGTGGTAATAAGTGCTATAAAGAAAAATAAATCAGGGCAAGGAGTGAGAGTCTATTAAACGGGAAATCAGAGAATGCTTCTCTTGTAAAGTAACATTTGAGAGAGACCCAAATGAAGTGAGGAAGTGAGCCATACAGAAAGCTAGGAATAGAAGCTTTCTAAGTTGCTGGGAATAAGAGCTTTCTAGGCAAGAACATCCCTAAGGCAGGATAATTGCCTCTTTGAGTATAAGAAAGAAGACTAAGGTAGAATGGAGGAGATAAAATCGGGAAATTAGCCAGAATAAGAGGATCATATCTTTTAGACCAAAGTAAGGACTTTGAATTTTATTCTGAGTGAAACAGTAAACCATTCAAATGATTTTAATGGGTCAGGATCACTCTGCCCTTGCTATGGAGAATAAATTAGAAAAGCAAGGGAAAAAGCAGAGAGACTAGATAGGGAAAACTTGCAAATAGCTAGGCAAGAGATGACCTGAATCAGGATGATACCAAAAACGGAGAGAAATATTTGAATCCTGAAAATATTTTTATGTTAGAACCAACAGAATTTATTGATGGTTTGCAAGTTGGGTGTTAATTAAAATTATGTGAAACTTAGGAAATAAGGCAAGAGGTGGATGGCCTTATTGAAAGGATGGCATATCCTTTCAATGTCTTATGGGAACAAAGGCCCATTTAAATGTTATCTCAGTGTAAGAATTTTGGATTAAAGGTACCAGGTTTAGTAAAATTACAGGACAATTTGGAGATGTCTGTCCAATAGATATTCAAATAACCATTGTCTAGTGAAAAAGATAACCCCCAAATTATACTTTATTGCTCTATGGGATACTAACCAGTTTTACATCTAACATAGCAATCCTTTTCTAATATTTATTTCTTAGTTAGCAAGCTTATAAATACACCTTACTGGTTCCCTCTTTAATGTGTCTTTGACATATGTTTATTTTATTTTATACTTGCATGACAGCTATGCTTTCTTTGGAAAATTATACTTTAACATGAGTGAGAGAAAGAAGAAAGGCAAGGATGACACCATGGTTATTGTCTGAGCATTCAAAAGAATGTAGTTGGGAAAGGATGCTTGTGGAGCAGGATGGTGTAGAGGATGAGAATGGAGAGTTTGTTTGTTTGTTTGTTTGTTTATTTATTTATTTATTTATTTATTAGACAGAGTCTTGTTCTGACACCCAGGCTGGAGTGCAGTGGTATGATCTTGGCTCACTGCAACCTCCGCCTCCTCCCGGGTTCAAGCTATTCTTCTGCCTCAGCCTCCCTAGTAGCAGATATTACTGGCGTGCACCATCACACCCGACTGATTTTGTATTTTTAGTAGAGACAGGGTTTCACCATGTTGGTCAGGCTGGTCTTGAACTCCTGACCTCAAGTGATCTGCCCACCTCAGCCTCCCAAAGTGCTGGGATTACAGGCATGAGCCACCGCGCCCAGCCCAGCCATTTACATTTTCATACTGGAGTCATTCATTAGGCAAGTCAAGTTATCAGGCTAGAGGTTACTTTACAAGAAAAGCTTTCTCTGATTTTCTGTTTAATAAACTCCCACCCACACCCTGATTTAGAAAAACAGAACAATGGCTGCAAAGAGATGTGAGTTCAGTGGGAGACAGTATCACATGTTTGCAAACCAGAGACAATTATCATGTAGAGGGGGAAAACAATGCAGGAGTGAAGTTTCTGAGTAGGTTAGAGGAAAACTCAAGTGGAGTTGGCTTCAGATAAAAGGACTAGTAGTTAATACACATAACCAGAGGGATGGCAAAATACAAGGGTCTAGGTGCAGGGCATTTGGCAAACCAAATAATAGCAACAATTGCAAAGTTCTTCTGATTGCTTCTATTTTGTCAGTGAAACAAAAAATAAGTCATTGTCTGATACTCTGGAGAAGGAGGAGGCATCAGAGATTTGAAGTGAAAGGAAGAAGTGTGAAATCATTGTTTAAGGGAAAATGGGAAATGAAATGTCCAGGGAAATATCAAACAGGATGTCTATTAAGTAGCCCTAAAGGTCCCACTTAAGAGTTTTGTGGTCAAGAATTTAATGTGAGATGGTTAATTATGTTATGGTCTCCTCTGGCAATACTCAGCTAAATAGATACAAGCACCATGTAGTTAAAGAATTGGATGTAACTAGAGTTGGGACTGTGTTGGGAAGATATTATTTGGTAAGAGACTAGCAAAGGAATTCATTCAAAGAGGTGTTGCTAAAGGTAGACTATAGAATCCAAGGTTGGTAAAAAGATAGTGACAGTGAAAAGCTCATAGAGATAATGGACTAGAGGTCCTGGTGGTGCAAAAGAATAAAAACCTTATCAAGCAAAAAAAATATGGCTACAATATTAAGTCAATATTTGTAGTCAAATACTGACTTAGGACTGTAAAAAATTAGAGTGCAGCTTTGTATGCTTTTTTCATTCCGACAAAACTTTTTCCATTTAACTCTTCTCTTTTTTTGAGACAGGGTCTTCTACTGTCACCCAGGCTGGAGTCCAGTGGCGCCATCTCAGCTCACTGCAACCTCCACCTCCCAGGTTCAAGGAATTCTGCTGTCTCAGTCTCCCGGGTAGCTGGGATTACAGGTGCCCACCACTATGCCTGGCTAATTTTTGTATTTTTAGTAGAGACTGGGTTTCATCATGTTGGCCAGGCTGGTCTCAAACTCCTAACCTCAAGTGATCGGCCTGCCTCAGCCTCCCAAAGTGTGGGGATTACAGGTGTGAGCCACTGTGCCCGGCCCCTTCATCTCTTCTTAAAGCAGAGCTAACTGAATAGGAAAGGAAATATGTGTGGAAGCGTAGGGATGGGTGCATAAAGGAAAAAAAAAAAAAGAAAGAAAGAAAAGTAAGAAAATCTCCAATTTAAAGGAGTTCCTGAGACCCTACGGGCTCAGAATAAAACAGATCATCCATTGGGGCATAAGAAGAGCGATTTACCTCAAGCAGCATTTAAGTCATGACCATTGCCCCTTCTGGGTGGGCAATGAGACTGTCTTTCCTGTGACTCCCCACAGCACCTAGTACAGTGCTCATTATCTTTAATAGATTATTAACCAACAAGGGCAGAATACAAAGGGAAAATCTTTTGCCAAGGTCATTTTCTTTTTTAAAAAAATTGTACTCCTGCTTCAGTTTGTTAAAGCAAGGGCCAGAAATAGTGTGTAGAATTTCCAATTACAGCACAAGATCACTCTTCTAAACTCATATTCTCACACAATTTCTTTAGAAAGTGATATTTTAGAGATAAGAAAATGAGGTGCATATATTTATGCTATTAAATTAAATAATGTAAGACCTAGGTACAGTAGTTTCACAGAATTTTTCCAACATTGTTATACACAAAATTACCTGCTAGCTAATATTTTAAACCTGATAATTTAAAAACCCCATAATATCACCATTAGAAATTTACTAGTTTATCAGGCAATAAAAATACTTACAAAATCAAAGGCAGAATTAGCCTAAACAGGGTTGTATGTAAAGATGATTTTTTAAGAGACAAGTTTATTTGTCTTTTCCTTTTTTTCAGCATCACTAATACAGTTTTGAAAGTTTATCTTTAAATTAAAAGAAGTGTGAAGGGAAACAAAAATTCCACATCTGATGTTCTAAATTTTAGCTTGCTTTTATTATTTCTACAGAGCAGTATTGTCTAACTAAGAATAGTCTATCAATATTAGAACAAACAAGCTAGTAAAGTGGCCCAGCTCTTTCCCAGGTGGATTCACATCACATGGAATGATTATGTCACAAAGTGTGCTCAGTCCCATATACCTCCCTATCCTTTCTATGAGTTACATGGAAAGCCCCACTTTTGGAGACGGTCTAGGTTCAAATTTTGCCTCAGAGATGTAGGTCAAGGTGAGCTGGATAGATGGCAGTTTTCCAAGGGCCCTCTCTCACATACCATTTGCAAGATATGATCCCCTCCACTGCTAGAGTTCCTCTAGAGGAAGAGCTCTGTGAGATGAGAGCCAAGTCCCTGAAAATGCAAAAAGACAGAAGACCAAATGCTGAAGACCATGTCATGAGCCCTGAATGCTTGAGCAAACAAGAAAGCAAGGATCTGAGTCTGAGCTATAACCACATTCACGTGGAGCCTAGACTAGGGCTCACCAGCGGGTCTTGACAGACTTTAGGTTAGCAATATTGAGCATATGGAAAAAGAAACACATTATAACATGTAAAAATTAGTAAAAAGTATACTTATAATAATGTACTCCTAAAAATGTCCAGAACGGCATTTTATTCTTCTTAGAAAAATAATGTTTATTGAAGTAAAATTAGAAATGGCAAAGAGAAGGAAAAATAATTTAATACCCTGCCAAGAGATACATGCATATTTTCCTAAAAAACTGGAGTTATTGAATAACAATGTTTGATCTTGGTTTTGTCACTTAATATATCTAGAATCCCATTTTAAAGTATTATTCATCCATTAATATATTATGTGTTACCTTAATGCTGAATAAATCAAGGTATTCAGTCCATGTTATTAACACTCTATTGTTAAATGTTTGGGTGGTTTCACTGTTGTCATATGCATCTGCAATAATTTCTGACACGAACTCCCTGCAGAGGTCAAATTTCACTGGCTAAGGACACAGGTCTTCACAAGACTGCCCTTACTCAGACACCACGAGCCACAAATTTGGGGGCCTCCAGGCCACTTTCATTTTAACCAGCTGGCTACAATTTGGAAGTTCTCACTCTCCCCTCAGGTTTCACAATTCTATAGAATGATTCACAGAACTCAGGAAAGCGTTATACTTCTTATTATAGTTTTGTTATAGCAAAAGAACACAAATTGGTATCAGCCAAAGAGAGCCATAAGGCAAAGTCCAGCAGGGTTCCAAACACAAAGCTTACATTGTCCTCAGGAATGCATTACCCTCCCGGCACATCAACGTGTGATAATACACAGAGTGCTGCTGATCACCTAAGCTCACCTAAACTTCAGTGTCAGAGTCTATTGAGGCTTCATTACTAGGTATAATTGCTTGAATAATTGACCATGCAGTTAAACTCAATCTCTAGTCCCCACTTCCATCACAGGATGTCAGGCTGATATCATGTGGCTCAAAATCTCAATCCTTTAATTTCATGGTTGATCTTTCTGATGTAGTCAGCCCCCATCCTGAGTCATTTCACAATCTGATAGGTGCAAAATAGTATTTCACCATGATTGTACTTTGTATGTTTTGATTACTAGTGAGTGGAAACATCTCTTCATACCTTCTTAACCATTTAGTTTCCTACTTTGAATTGCAGGTTTATATCCTTGCCCATTTTTTTACTATTCTGGATTATCAGATGTACTTTTGTATATTTTAAGTATTTATCTCTTGTTTTTAGGCATTACTAATACTTCCGCTTTAACCACTTTTGCTTTTTTTAAGGTGTCTTTCATTGAACGGAGATCTTTAATCTAATATAGTTAAATAAATTCTTTCTCCTTAAGATTTGCATTTTTGCAGCTGTCTGTAGGAAGACTTTTCTTTCTTCAAGATTGCAAGGGTATTCTATATTTTCTTCTATTAATTTTATAATTTTCTTTTTTCATGCTTAGGTCTTTAATCCATATGGAGTGAACCTTTGAATATGTTGTAAGAAAGAGATTCAAACTTTCCCAACCACATTGTGTACCAGTTTTTCCAATATTAACATCTAAATGATTTATTCTTTCTCCATCGGTTTGTGTTACATGTCAATTCTCATACATATTAATGTTTTTGAGCCTTCTATTTCTGATATGGTTTGGCTGTGTCTCCACCCGAAATTTCATCTTGAATTGTAATCCAAATTGTAATCCCAACATGTCAGAGGCAGGACCTTGTGGGAGGTGATTAGATCATGGGGGCAGTTTCCCTATGCTGTTTTCATGATAGTGAGTGAGTTCTCATGAGACCTGATTATTTTATTAGGGGCTTTTCCCCTCTTCACTCTGCACTTTCCTGTTCTGTCACCCTATGAAGAAGGTCGTCTTTGCTTCCCTTTGTGCCTTGATTGT
Organism: Homo sapiens; assembly: GCF_000001405.40. Lineage (NCBI taxonomy): Eukaryota > Metazoa > Chordata > Mammalia > Primates > Hominidae > Homo > Homo sapiens. The sequence goes on from NC_000003.12 coordinate 148,257,581, forward strand.
AAGTTTCCTGAGGCCTCCCCAGCCCTGTGGAACTGTGAGCCAATTACAACCTCTTTATAAATCACCCAGTCTTGGGCAGTCCTTTACAGCAGTGTAAGAATGAACTAATACAGTAAATTCGTACTGAGGTAGTGGGATGCTGCTATAAGGATACCAGAAAATGTGGAAGTGGCTTTGGAACTGGTTAACAGGCAGAGGTTGGAACAGTTTGCAGGGCTCAGAAGAAGACAGGAAAATGTGGGAAAGTTTGGAACTTCCTAGAGACTTGTCAAATGGCTTAGACCAAAATGCTGACAGTGATATGGACAATGAAGTCCACGCTGAAGTGGTCTCAGATGGAGATGAAGACCTTGTTGGGAACTGGAGTAAAGGTCACTCTTGCTATGCGTTAACAAAGAGACTAGTGGCATTTTGCCCCTGCTCTAGAGATCTGTGGAATGTTAAACTTGAGAGAGATTATTTAGGCTATCTGGTGGAAGATATTTCTAAGTGGCAAAGCTTTCAAGAGGAAGCAGAGCATCAAAGTTTGGGAAATTTGCAGCCTGATGATGTGATAGAACAGAAAATTCCATTTTCTGGGGAGAAATTCAACCCCTCGGCAGAAATTTGCATAACTAACAAGCAGCCAAGTGTTAATCACCAAGATAACAGGGAAAATGTCTCCAGGGCATGTCAGAGACCTTCACAGCAGCCCCTCCTATCATAGGCCTGGAGGTCTAGGAGGGAAAAATGGTTTCCTGGGCAGGACCCAGGGCCCCCCTGCTTTGTGCAGCCTTGGGACATGGTGCTCTGAATCCCAGCTGCTTCAGCTCCAGCTGTGGGTAAAAGGGACAAAGGAAAGCTCAGGCTATTGCTTCAAAGGGTGCAAGCCCCAAGCCTTGGTGTCTTTCACATGGTGTTGAGCCTGTGAGTGTACAGAAGTCAAGAATTGAGGTTTGGGAACCTCCGCCTAGATTTCAGGAGATGTATGGAAATGCCTGGATGTCCAGGCAAAAGTTTGGGGCAGGGGTAAAGCCCTCATGGAGAACATCTGCTAGGGTCATGTGGAAGAGAAATCTGGGGCTGGAGCCCCCAAACAGAGTCCTCACTGGGACACTGCCTAGTAGAGCTGTGAGAAGAGGGCCACCATCCTCCAGACCCCAGAACAGTAGATTCAGCAACAGCTTGCACCACACACCTGGAAAAGCCACAGACACTCAATGCCAGCCCATGAAAGCAGCTGGGAGTGGGGCTGTGGCCTGGAAAGCCACAAGGGCAGAGCTGCCCAAGGCTGTGGGAGCCCACCTCTTGCATCAGCATGAGCTGGACATGAGACATGGAGCCAGAGGAGATCATTTTGGAACTTTAAGCTTAGCTTAATGACTGCCCTGCTGGATTTTGGTCTTGTATGGTGTCTGCCTGTAGCACCTTCATTTTGGCCGATTTCTCCCATTTGGAAGAGGTGTTACCCAATGCCTGTACCCCCATTGTACCTAGAAAGTAAATAACATGCGTTTGATTTTACAGGCTCATAGGTGGAAGGGTCATGCCTTGTCTCAGACGAGACTTTGGACTTGGACTTTTGAGATAATACTGGAATGAGTTAAGAATTTGGGGGACTGTTATAAAGACATGATTGTATTTTGAAATGTGAGGACATGAGATTTGGGAGGAGGCGGGGGCAGAATAATATAGTTTGGTAGTCTTTCCACCCAAAATCTCAACTTGAATTGTAATCCCTGTTGTAATCTCCACGTGTTGGGGGCAGGACCTTGTGGGAGGTGATTAGATCATGGGGTTGGTTCCCCCATGCTGTTCTCATGATAGTGATTGAGTTCTCATGAGGTCTGATGGTTTTATAAGGGGCTTTTCCCCATTTCACTCTTCACTTCTCTCTCCTGTCACCATGTGAAGAATGTGTTTGCTTCCCCTTCCACCATGATTGTAACTTTCCTGAGACCTCCCCAGCCCTGTAGAACTGTGAGTTAAACCTCTTAAATTAAACCTCTTTTCTTTATAAATTACCCAGTCTTGGGCAGTTCTTTATAGCAGCATGAGAAAAGACTAATACAATTTCATTTTTTGGTCTATTCTTGTCAGTATTGTGCCTATACTATAATTTTAGTATGTTTTATTATCTGAAAGTCAGTCATGATATATTTACATTTCTTCAAATCATTCTCCCATAAAGATTGATTTATTATTTTGTGGTATGTTAGGTTGCTATTGCAAATGATGTATTGTTTACTATATTTTCTAGCTAGTTATTGTCATCGTTATTGCCATAGAAGAAACCTATTAATTTTTGTTAGTTGAGCTTCTATTCAGCAAACTTGGTCAATTTTCTCATTAGGACTAATAGCTTACCTGTTGACCTCTTGGGTTATCTACATAGTTGATCAAATCACCAGTAAGTAATGACAGTCTTATCTCCTCCCTTTCAATTCTTATGTCTTTCATTTATCCTTTCCAATGTTACATTACTGACATTGCTGTAATAAACACCCTGAAAGCTAAATCTTTGAGCATAATCCATATTATTTTTATAGAACACACTCATAGAAGGGGGTTTTTGGGTCAGAGAGTATTCTACTTTTAAGACTTTTCAAATATATTGTAAAAATGTATACCAAAATGTTTTCCCAACAATAGTGTATCAAAATGTGATTTTTTGGGATTTCTACCAATATCTCAGCTTATCTATTTTTAATTTTTATAATTTGATAATATTAAAGTTATCTCCTTTTAAGCACCACACACCTGGAAAAGCCACAGACACTCAATGCCAGCTGCTGGAAGTGGGGCTGTGGCCTGGAAAGCCACAAGGGCAGAGCTGCCCAAGGCTGTGGGAGCCCACCTCTTGCATCAGCATGAGCTGGACATTTTTAGGTATCAGTTATAAAGTGAGTGTAACGTATAAAGTAAATCAGAAAATATATTAGCTTTTTGTCAGAATTTTATTATGATATTAAATAAGGCAGTTAACATATTTAAATGCTCTATTGCTTACACCCAATTTCCCATTCTCTAAATGCACAAAGGATTCTTAATTTATATTTTCAATGTATTAAATTTCTGCTTTGTGTAAGTCATGATACTAGGTACAGTCAGGGATCAAAACTCTGATAATCATGATCCTTGGTCTTCAGAAACTTCTAACAGGAAAAATTAGAGATAGACATAAGTAGTTATAACAGATGGTAGAAACTGATATTTGCCATAGGAGTCTCATAAGTAAATTCCATAGAATGTTAAAAGAGGTAAATACAGTCATATGTCACATAAAATACTTCTGTCAGCTTTGGATGCATGTATGATGGTGATCCCATAAGACTATAATACCATATTTTTACTGTACCTTTTCTATGTTTAGATACACAAATACCACTGTGTTACAATTACCTATAGCATTCACTACAGGAACATGCTATAGAGGTATGCTGCCTAGGAGCAATAGGCTATACCATATATCCTGGGTGTTCTGTAGGCTACGCCATCTAGGTTTGTGTAAGTACACGCTATGATGTTTGCAAAATGTCAAAATCGCCAAGCAATGCATTTTTCAGAACGTATTCCATGTCACCAAGCACACAAGACTGTAACATAAAGTGAAAGAGTTTTAAAGAATGCAATAAGAAGTGGAGGACAGCTGAAAAATTCTGAGCAGGGAAACAAAATGATTCCAATCACATTTAAAAGATCTTGATCTGTCAGTGTATTTAGAATGGATTGAGAAAGGTCAAGAAAGTAGCCTCAAGACAGATAAAGTGGTTAATGGAATATTTAGACCAGGTAAAGAAGCAGTGATGGGTTGAATCAGTGAATTAACAGCAGAGATTAAAAGGTGGGAGACAATATGCAGGTAAACTTGTCAGGATTTAGCATTGGTCAGATTTAGTAGCCTAAAGAACAGGGAATGGCTCCTACATTTTTAGCTTGAGCTATTGGCAAGAGAGTGGAGCCATTAACACAAATGGGTTAGAAATCCAGGGCAAGAGTAGTCCAATCTGAAGAGTTGAAAAATAAAATGTCTGACATGTAGTTAGAAGCTGGAAGTGTGTGGTTTTTTTTCTGTGTGTGTGTGTGTCTGTCTGTCTTTCTAGCTCAGAGTAGAAGTAAAGACATGAATTTGGGCTGGGTGCAGTGGCTCATGCCTGTAATCCCAGCACTTTGGGAGGCTGAGGCAAGCAGATTACTTGAGGCCAGGAGTTTGAGACCAGCCTAGCCAACATGGCAAAACCCTGTCTCTACTAAAAATACAAAATTAGCTGGACACATTGACGTGTGCCTGTAGTCCCAGCTACTCGGGTGGCTGAGGCAAGAGAATCACTTGAACCCAGTAGGCAGAGGTTTCAGTGAGCTGAGATGGTGCCACTGCACTCCAGCCTGGGTGACACAGCCAGACTGTTTCTCAGAAATAAATAAGTAAGTACATGAATTTGGGAGTCATTTGCATAGAGCCAAAGGTAAAGCTCCTATGGCCACAATCACTCAGAAAGAGAAGATAAAGCAAGTAAATGAAAGAGAGTTAAGATAGCAACATCTTACAGGTTTACAAGTAAAGAAGCAGCAGAGAAAAAGATAGTGAAAACAAAGGCAATCATTAAGAGTGACAGGAGAACTCAAAGGTGCGGGAACATGAAACCCAAGGGAGACGGAGATGAGAAGCACAATTTGGTCAAAAGGATCAAATGCATGACCAATTGACAAGGGTGAAGACAAAGAACAGAACTGAATCCACTGCATAAGGGGCATCAGTAACCCTGAGACAAAATCTAGCGTAGTTACAGGTCCTGAAGCCAGAAAGTATTCATCAGCCACAAAAAAGAACAGGCAATGACAGCCAAGCATTCTAACTGTAGGTGTGGTCATGAAAACCCCAGGAGATGTTAAGACAGTACCTCAAGAGAGTTGGGAAGAAGCTTCTTTAGAGAAAAGGAAACCTGACATACTTATAGGAAGAGTAAATGGGGCCCATGAAGAGATAAAAGTTAAAGATACAAAGAAAAACTCTAATTAATAAAACAAAGCCTTTAACGATGTAGAGGGTATTGGAGAAAATGTACAGATCAAGAAACAATCTTAAAAAGTATGAAGGGTGCATTTTGTTCAGGGAACAGAGAACTGTTTTTTTGAAAAAGTAACCTTTCACAAATAGAGCTAACATTATTTTTAATGTGGGAAAAAGATCAACTGAACTATAACCTGTAGAATTTAGGACTGAGACTATCCTCTAATTGGTCAATCATCTTCTCAGATATATCAGTAAGTAAACAGTTGTTTTGAAAAGTCTTAGTGGCAAAAGTTGCCTTCCTGATAACAGAATGGTGATTTTTCCTTTCTCTTGGTACTGCTTGCATTTGTAATAATATTAATTTTGCTACCTATTTGAGTCAAGGGCTAGTGAATAACTCAGGATATCTCCTTCTACAATTCCAGGGTATAAACCAAGTCCAAATGACTTTATGGCAGGCTCTGAAAAAAACTTTCACCAGTGACTAATAGAGTCCTATGGCTTCCTACATTGTAAACTGCCTCTGATTACAAAACAAGCCACCATATGCTGCTGCTCCCTGAGGCTCTTTCTTTTGTGGTAGTCCATCCATCCTTTGTTGTAAACCTGTAATCCTAAAGGATCAATATCTGACCTTTTACTCTGTATCAGTTAATGATCTACCTTGTTATGAAACCAAAGATGGGAATAGCCACATGACCACACTTTGCTATTGCTCTCCTCTAATATACACAAAATACTACACTTTGTGGAAGTGAAGGGAAATGCTAGGTAACTATTTCAACTCAAATAAGTACTGCACCTCCATTCAATGGGAAGAGTTAGTTCACTTGCCGATGTGACTAAAGGAGTGAATGAAGGCAAGTGCAACGCTAACAAGGAAGGCAGATTCCTCTCTGGGGCATTCTAGGGATTTGGAGTTGGCAAACAAGATGATGCCCTACATAACACACAGAACATGATAGAACCTAATAAATATAAAGAAAGAGCTAGAGGACTATAACAGAGTAAATAAACTTCTGATTTAAAAAACCATCTATTTAAATACTTGCTCAGGAGTTAATCATAAGGTCTATCATAATAGTTGGAGACTATTGTCAGTTTTCATAAAAGATGTGCTTTCACTTGCATAAGTTGATAAACTCTAAGCTTAGGTATTTTGATAGAAAATAATTGACTAAGTAACAATTTACTAGACCTGTGGTTTGTAAATTTAAAAGTAGTCAGTAATAAAATAATATACTTCCATTCCTTATCTCTTTAAAATGTTAGGAGATTGTGTGCTCTTTTTTTAACATAAGCTTTATATGAACTCAGACATTTCATAGTCACAAGATAAGCTTCTTGTTTCTTACCTGGACACATCTGGAATAGGAACAGGTGGTAGCATACCTTCAACTGCTTTAAAACTCTTGCTTGATTTATAACATGAAACTTGTCTTGGCACTAAATGCTTCTGCTTCTTCTGCCCATCCTTCTGCTTCTTTAGTTTCTATTTCTTACTGCCCTGCACTGCATTGTGAATATTAAAGCTTTAATGACACAATTGCAAAATGTAGAAGTTATAGAAATTTTGGAATGATTATAACAAAATGTTACAAGAAATTGTTACTATGTAGTGAGATTATTGGTGACTTTCTTTTTTATACTTCTATATATTCATCTTCCCCATGCTTCTTTAATATTCCCTGAAATATTCACAAAATATTATTTTATAATAAGATGATACTATTTGCATTTGAAAAAATTGATTGTAAACCATTTACATTTGAATCACTTTTTTCATAGTTCTATGAAAGCACTTTTGTATAAAGCTAGAATCATTTGAAACTTGTAATTCCTATGTTTCAGGTTTATAAAACATTGCCTTCCTTCTATAATTTATTTAAATTCAGGTATATGTGTGATTATACAAACATGTATTTCTACATTTTCTGATTCTTAATGGAATTGGAGGTGAAGAAAACCAAATTTAGTCAACTCCTGAGATTTAAGATAAGCAATTTTGCTTACCAAAACCAAGTTGAATTCCAAACCATTCATTTCCACCCACATTAATCTCAATGCAACACAACCAGTTAATCTTATTTAATTTTATTTTTCTAGAGTGGAAAATATTGTGGTCAGCATTCTGACTTTATGAAAAAAAGATGACTTTCAGCCAGAGCAGTATCGCTTATTCTCATTTAAATCACTGATGATTTTCTTACTGCAAAAATTCACTTTAATTTTTAAAACATGTTCAAAAAATAATGTAACAAACACATTTGGTAAAGGATCAAAGATATTGAGTCCTTCTCCCCCTTCAATTTCTAAATTCTATGGAACCATAATACCTCATAGCTAATTAGGTGTTAATTTAGAAAATTCCCTACATGGAAACATATCCCAGTTCTTGCAAATCTACACAATTGCGATATTTCCTGTTCTTGTGCTATTCAACTCTTCCTTGAGAACTAGCTTACAGAGGTTTCTTTTTTAAATATATATTATACTTCAAGAGCAATGTATATATCAATGTTACTGCCCACTGAGAAGTAACCTAAGGGGGAAACTGTCCCAATAGGATGAATGTTCATCTTCAGGAAAGTCTGTATCTTTTAGGAAAAATAATGGCTCAAAGGAGTCAAGTTGACAGAGAAAGAGAGTATATGATGATAAATCAATTATATATTATCCCCTGGAAAATAGTGACTCTGACCACCTCACTAACTACTTCACAGGATTATTGTGAAGAGAAAATGAGAATTTAGGTAAAAGCATTTTGTAAATTTTAAAGTACTATGCAAATATTATTCTTCTATTCTTCCCAAATAATTTACGTTGGTACAGTTTCTGGCACAGCATAAAAATAGTCAAGTTTCCTGACAACACAAGTTAAATGTTTACTTTAGCTGATTAAATTGGTCACAATTAGAAATACATTGATTTGTATTGTTTCTTATTATTTTAAAATGAGAACTCAAGCAACGTGTTACGAATAAGATGATAAAGAGGCATTACCTGAATTTTCTATAATGAAATTGTGTAGCTTAGAGGGAAAAATCATGTAGTAATGTGACAAATTTCTAGTATTCTTCGATCATACTCTGCCTGGTTGCTCCAGTCCACCACTGAACTTACTGGGTTTCTTTTGTTTGTTTCTCTTCTACTATATGTATTTGATATTTGTTATTCAGATTGCATTTTTGATCATCATACTGCATTCACAGTTGACAGACTTGTTAATATGATAGTTTTCCATTGTTTTATTGTAAGAAAATTTTAGCATTATAGTAATTGTGCTTAAATTGAAAGTAACACATCCAGTTTTCCAGGTACAAGATTTTTATGGATGTAGAACTGCTCACAACTTCAATGGACAACAGCGGTGCTGATTACAGATCATTCAAACAAATGTTCTTTGATTTGGCTATTATAACCACGTCTGTCTCTGCTAAGGGGGGAAAATAAAGCTGGTGATGTAATTCCCTGTGTGTTGAAACCTTTTAGCTGGGAACAGCTTTTTAATGGCTTTTCTTGCAGTCAGCAAGAAATGTACATTTATTCAACTGAAAGCAACGATGATAAAGAGAAAAAAAATGTTTCCAACTCTTGTTTCACTACATGATTTTGAAGATGGTTTTGTGAAGTTTCATTTACAGTCTCTAACAAAGCAAATCAAGAGATACATATATTATCTGTGTATAGAACACAATAAAAGTCTGAAGAGAAATAAAATGACTGCATCAGATGATATAGCACTGTGTCTGCCCAGACAGGGCCTATTTTATTCCTAATCATAAAGAATTGACTGGTAAATGTTACATATTTATTCACTTTTGGAAAAAATTTCCTAGTTCAATTCAATATAATAAGTCACCTAATGATCATAGCCTTTGTAACAAAAGAACTACCAGGATGTTGCAAATGTTAGTGCAGATCAGGGGAAACATTACCACTCTCATCTGCAAGATGGCTTCTGTCTAATTAGATGACTGCAAGGATCTCAGCTGAGGTCACATCGCCATCACCAACATTGAGACATGTCAGAATACAGTATGCTGATTGTCAGATTTAGGCATATCCAGAGACTATATTGAAATTGGCTGTAATAGGATTTAACTTCTTTTCTTGAGTGGGTGCTCTATGAAAGATTTGAAATTAAATCTCTACGACACATTTATGGTGGAGTTCAATTTAAACAGGAATTGGGTTCTAAAATCGGCAAGTCAAACAAAAAATCTAGTAGACCCAAAATCACCATTTAAAAGCTGTTGCGCTATCCTTAAACCTCCAGGATTTAGGTCCTTGTGTAGTCAAAATCCAGGAGTTATCTCCTTTTTTTCTTTGCATTTTAGTCGTAACCTCCTCTGGCATAGTGGAGGTCAGGATCTAATTTGAACCAGGGACTATCCCTGAATCAATGAGTCTCTCTCTTTCTCTCTCTCTCCTTCTCTCTCTCTCTGCTTTTCTGTTTTTGCGAAGCCTGCAATATTGAGTTCATAGAATTTAAATGAGTTTAATGCTATTGCAGTATCCTGAAACTGCCTATGCTATTCTGAATATTTAACTACATTATTTTTCTTTAATCTTTGTGATAGGCATTAATACTTTCATTTTTAGAGGAGGAAACAGGCTAACAGAACTTATGAAACTTGCAGATAAGTGACAAAGCTTGAATTCAAACCAACTGTATTCCAAAGCCTGTGGCCTTTATATTATACTGCCCTCAATGCCTAGAAATGTTGGGATGTATTTAAAGTATTACTACAATCATAAAATAAATAATAGAGTGGAATCTAACCAGATTATTTGATAATTTTTAGCATGCTACTTTAAATGTCTCCATTAAATAAAAAGCAGTTATCTAGGCCATGTTATCTAACCCTCTCCATCACTCTTCTCAGCCAGGTTCTAAAAATTCCTTAGCCTTACTGATTGTTTATTTTATTTTAATTCCTCCTTCTTTTAAACCAACATGCAAAATACTTTTATAAAAGTCTTCCTCAAACACTTTTTCATCACATTATCACCCTCCTTAAAAATTTTCAGTTGCTCCCAGTAATGGTTAATTTTTTATGTCCACTTGGCTGGGCCGTGGTATCCAGATATTTGGTCAAACATTATTTTGGACATTTCGATGAAGATGCCTTTTCAATGATATTAGCATTTAAAGTAGTAGACTTTGAGTAGAGCATACTGCCCTCCATAATGTGGGTGGGTCTCTAATAGAATAGAGACTGATTTCCTCCCCAACAAGAAGGAATCCCACCAGCAAACTTCCTTGAACTGCAACTGCAACTCTTCCCTGAGTCTCCAGTCTGCTGGCATACCCCATCAGATTCTTTCTCTTCCTCTGTCTGTTCCTCTCTCTCTCTCTCTCTCTCTCTCTCTCTGTGTGTGTGTGTGTGTGTGTATGTATACATCCTGTTGGTTCTGTTTCTCTATTAATTCCCTATTTTCTATTTTATTAAGCTAAGCTCTTGACTTTGGTTTTCAGAGGTTTCTGTGATTAGAAAGCATCTATTGAAATTCATTTCCTGTCAACTTCTCATACACTTCTTCCATTATAGTCAAAATTTATTCATTTGCTTTTTATTTTCCCATATTTTTGCCTATAAAATGTTAATAGCTACTGAAAATGTTTAACATGTTTGTCTTTTTCATGCCTCTACCTCGGCATCAACTTTCGCTATCCAGAATAGTACAAGTTTGGAAGTAACTTTATATCAATGTGGTAAGAAATTAGCTATATTTTGCAAAATACCTGCTTTGCAATTTTGCCTGTGGTGTTTTAAATTTCTGTCTCTCTTACATATCTATTCACTGTTCTCTTTACACTCTCTAGTTATTCAAAATCTCATCCACCATTACAGACTTATTCATCATTGAAGTCTCATTGTCTTAGTCCATTCAGGCTGCTATAGCAAAATATCATGTCTTCCAAACAATGGATATTTATTTCTCACAATTTGGGAGACAGAGAAGTTCACGGTAAGGCAAATCCAATGTCTGGTGAGGGCTTTACTTTCTGGCTCATAGACGGGGGCTTCCTGCTATGTTTACCCTGGCAGGAATTGCATGTTGGTGGCTCTATCAGTCTGGGGTCACAGGGGCAGCCCCACTCCCATGGCTTCTCTGGACATTGCCCTGATGAAGGCTCACCACTGTGGCGGCATGCTCACTGGGGCTTTTGCACTCTGAGCTTGTAATGGAGGTGGTACCTCTAAGTATTTCTGAATTGCCTTCAGAATTACTCTTCTATGGTTTTGGACAATAGGTCCTGGCTTCTGTTTAGATGGCTGACTAGTATCAGACAGTCATTTGGCCACACTCTTGATGTTCTCTTCTGAATACCCTTTCTCATTCTTCGTGAAAGAGATAGGTTGAAAATTTTCCAAATACTTATGTTCCACTTTTTTGTTTTCAAGTTAGTAGTTCCACTTTAAAATTGTTTCTCTTGTCCCACATTTTACTAGAGCAGGTGAGAAGAAGCACTTTCAATATTTTGCTTAGAAATTTACCCAGCCAAATAGTCAATTTCATTCCTCAAAAGTTCTGCTTTCCACAAAACACAATGACATGAACACAATTCAGCTAAGTTCTTTCCAGTTTATGATGAGGATCACCTTTCCTACATTGTCCCATAACATGTTCTTCATTTCCTTCTGAGACTTCATCAGTAGAACCATTACCCTCCATATTTCTACCACCATTCTGTACACGATCACTTACGTATTCTCTTAAGAAGAGGGAGGCTCTCTCTACAGCCATCCTTCTCTCCTTCTGGGTCCTCACCAGAATTGCCCTTTATAATCTGTTCATGGCAATGTAGACTTTTTATAACATGCACCTCAAAAATCTCTGGCTTCAACCCATTACCCAGTTCCAAATCTCTTTCTGCAGTTTTAGGTATTTGTTACAGCAGCATCCTCACTTCTCAGTACCCATTTTCAGTCTTAGTTCATTCACATTGCTAGAATACCATAAGCTAGGTAACTCATAGAAAACAGAAATTTATTTCTCATAGTTCTGGAGGCTAGGAATTCCAAGATAAAAGCATATCCGGTGTGTGGTAAAGATCCATTTTCTGGCTCGTAGACAGTGTTCTCACATGGTAGATGAGGCAAGAGAGTTTTTTTCAAGTCTTTTATGATGGCACCAATTCCATTTATGAGGATTCTTTACTAATAAAGGTATAAGCACAACTTGCATGTCAATCCATACTGGTTATGTATTTCTATGTAAAAAATCAACCTAAAGCTTAGTGGTATAAAACAACCATTTTATTGTTCTATTTTGTGGTTTAGAAATTCAGGCAGAGTACAGTGGGGATGGCTCTTCTTTAATCCACAATGACTAGGCCCATAGCCATAGAAGCTTGAACAGTTGGGATCATATGGCAGGGACCATGACAAAGGACTTTTGTTCTTGCTGTTCACTGGGGTCCTTTGTACTTCTTCATGTTACATCTGCTGGGAATGGATCCAAGATGGCTTATGTCTGGTGCTAGGATAGCTAGAATAGTTATGGCTGGGCCATCATTTCCTTTCCACATGGTTTTATTGGATTCCTCACAGTATGGCAGTCTCAGGGAGGTAGTCACATTTATTCAACAGTGACTGACTCACTCCAGGGGAAGCCTTCCATGAGCTGCTGGTGAAAGTTGCAAGGCTTCTTATGACTTGGTCTGGGAAGTTTCAGAATGTCTCTTCCACCACATTCTGTTGTTCAATCAATTCATCCAGACAGGTCCAGATTCAAGGTGAGGGGAAAAATAGACTCTTCTTCTAAAGAAGGAATGCCATGAACATACATGAAGAGAAAAATTTGGTGGTGGCCATCTATGAGATAAGTTCCTACATTCTTCATAAAGTTATTTTGAGTATTGAAAAGGTAGATTTATATAATAAGTACTTCACTCAGTAAATGGGTGAATACTATTGTTTGAATACCCCTTCCCCTCCAAAACTCATGTCGAAATTTAATTGTCGTTGTGATGATGTTAAAAGGTGCAAGCTTTAAGAGGTGATTAGGTCATGGCATCACCACCCTCATGAATGGATTAAAGTCATTATCATGAGAGTGAGCTAGTTATTACGGAAGTGGGTTAGTTATACAAAGAATAAGTCCTACCCTGATTTTCACATTGTCTTTCGTGCTCCCTTGCCTTCCACCATGAGAAAACACACAAAAGGGCCATTGTCAGATGCAGCCCCTCAATTTCAGACTTCCCAGCTTCCAGGACTGTGAGCCAGATCACTTTTCTTTAAAAGTTTCCCAGCTTGTGGTATTCTGTTTATAGCAGCAGCAAATGGACTAAAATGGTGGCTATATTACTGTATAAAAAGTGTTTTTAAAGAATGTGCTACTTGTAAGATGGCAATATCCTTATTTGTGGGAAAAGGAAACACAATTATTTTTTCCTCTATTTAAATTAATCAATACATAATTTTCATCTTAAAATTTTGCTCCATGCACATTGTGATTGTTTCCACATCTTAGAACCAAAAGAAACAGTCACCATTGTAGATTGCCTCCTATATGAGAAGTCTGAGATCTAGAGAGTTTCCCAAGTCCAAGTCACTGGCAAATTGTGACAATAAATGATGTTTTAGCATGACTTACATGTGTTTACTATGTTTAATTTAAAACCTATTTATATTACATAGAATTAAATTTCCATAGAAAGAATAAATTCTCTGGTTTTGAAACTTTATTTAAAGACCTCAAGTAGTGCTTCTCACGTAGTGGGCAGTCAGTAGCTATTTGTGAAATATTTATAGAATGAATAATGTCAGTAGACTTTCTTCTTTTTTTTACTTTGCTTTTAAGTTCAGGGATGTAAGTGCAGGTTTGTTATATAGGTAAACTTTTGTCATGGGGGCTTGTTATACAGATTATTTCATCACTCAGCTATTAAGCCTAGTACCTATTAATTATTTTTCCTGATCCTCTCCTCCTCCTGCTCTCCACCCAGTAGAGATTAGAACAGTTTGAATTGTTCCCTGGCGAAAATTAAGTAAAAAATAAGATTTTCAAGTAAAGGAAACTGTTCATTTATATATATTGAACAGCATCTGTGTGGCCTTATGTCCATGTTTGGTTAATCAACTTAAAGAGTACCCTTGCAAGAGGGACACTAAGAACCATAATCTCCTCCGATGGGCTTTTCTGGTCTCTTCACATCAACAACCCTGTATTAACCTGTGGATCCTAAAACAGGCAAGTTTCCTGCCCTACACTTATGATTTCCTCCACCTAGAATCTATTCCTTCAGATGCCTGCATGGGTTGCTTCCTCAGGGATGCAGTTTTCTGCTCAATTATCTCCCTTCCAGAGAGGCCCCTACACCTCCTAAGATGCAATAATCCAGTCCCTTTCTTTGCTTAATGTTTCTCAACAACCCTTGGCAATTTTTGACATTGTTACCAAAAAGGGGTTCCATTCTAGACCCCAAGAGAGTGTTCTTTGACCTCACGTAAGAAAGAATTCACGGAGAATCTGTAAAGTGACAACAAGTTTATTAGGAAAGTAAAGGAATAAATAATGTCTACTTCACAGACAGAGCAGCCCTGAGGGCTGCTGGTTACCCATTTTTATGGTTATTTCTTGATGATATCCTAGAGAAGGGGTGGATTATTTATGCCTCCCCTTTTTAGACCATATAGGGTAACTTCCTGATGTTGCCATGGCATTTGTAAACTGTCATGGTGCTTGCGGGAGTGTATCTGTGAAGATGACCAGAGGTCACTCTCGTTGCCATCTTGGTTTTGGTGGGTTTTAGCTGGCTTCTTTATTGCACCCTGTTTTATCAGTAAGGTCTTTATGACCTGTATCTTGTGCTGACCTCCTATTGCATCCTGTGACTTAGCATGCCTTAGCCATCTCAGAATCTAGCCCAGTAGGTCTCAGCCTCATTTTACCCAGCCCCTATTCAAGATGGAGTTGCTCTGGTTCAAACACCTCTGACAATTTGACACACTTATTCGTTTGTCTATTTATTGTCTGTCTCCCCTACTGGAATTAAATCTTATAAAGACATAGACTTTATTGCTATTTCTCTTACTGACTGCTATATGGCTCAGCATGTAGAACAGTTTGTAGCACAAAGGAGTGCTCTTTACCATTTGTTAAAAGACAAAATGCATTACATGAGGAAGGAGCTGGAAGGGGTTGGGCAGCAAGGCAAATCAACTTTTCTGACAAAAACCTGCAATTAATTTTTATCTACAGAATCTCTTCTGTTTGAACAAAAGTGATGATACTCTGGTTATTCAGAATTACTACAGAGAATTTACATCTTACCCTTCAACAGAGAGGACTTACCTTGGCATCCATATAAAATAGAAGCTCTATCCTCTATACAGGAATTTCATTGTTTTATTTGCATCATTCAGAAAACAATCAAGTGCCAAATAGACCATTTTGAATAAAATAAACTAAATCAAATAAAAATTAAATGCAAATATCAATATATTGTTAAATTTAAAATACTGTTAAAACTTAAAAGGATGAAAATCGTTTAAAATTAGCATGAAAATTAAGCAAAAACAGCTAAACTGAATTGTTAAATAGGATCATTAAGACGACAAAGTACCACTTAGGCTATTTTCTAACCAAACAACAATTTGTTAATACAAGCAGATCGGCTGCAAATTAATTCCTTATAATGTAAAATGCGCACTGGTTTCATTTTCTTCACTGATACAAACATCTACCCTCTAAATGCTAGTGTAAAAGAAAATAGGGTAAAGAGAAATGCATTTTTGTTGTGTGAATCCTTGGTTGAGACTTACTATTACAAATAATGATGCTTTTCCTTTTGTTGTTTTGTAAAATCAAGTGGATCTTATCATAGAGAGAGAAAACACATCCAGGGTCACACAGTTTGCTCCTTTGCATTACTGTGGGTTTGACCTTGTCCTTGCAGCCATAAATAGTAATATGTATTTCATCTAATCTACTCTTGAGTATTACTAGTGATAGCACCTTAGTGACCTTTTCTCAGCAAATTATTCCAAAACCTAATCAACCCTACATTTGGAAATACTTTTCTAATGTCTAACCTAATGGTCTAGTTTCAGGC
This sequence comes from Homo sapiens, assembly GCF_000001405.40. Lineage (NCBI taxonomy): Eukaryota > Metazoa > Chordata > Mammalia > Primates > Hominidae > Homo > Homo sapiens. Next base: position 148,273,645 of record NC_000003.12, read on the forward strand.
TGTTATACCTCATTATACTACCTTTAACAACATTAGCAAATTCTTCTTCCTGTTGGGTGTTATCACCTCCCAAGTATCTATGCTCTATCATGGCCACTTGTACAGCCTATTCTCTAAACAGAATTGGGTAAATAAATAATGTTCCCTTAACCTCACTGAAAAGACCATGCTCTGCAAATCCCCTATTATCCTTATTACTACAATCTAGATTCTAGCCTTCTAAAGAACTAGAATGACTTTATATTTTAAAATGCCCAAGTAGTGATATAGTGTTTCCTTTTTTGCATTGTGCAAAGCTACACCCTAGGTTTAGTCATCTCAAAATGAAAATGAATCTACTAGTATGATCTTATTAATGGTGGGTGACCAAAATGACCTTAACATTTCCCTTAGTTTGACTAATTAACAGATTTCTTCATGACTATAGACCCCGATCTCCCTTTTCTTAGAGCACTAGCTTTAGAAAACCTTGCAATTACAATTTATTTCTTGGCCCCTTTGAGTTGTAAATCTTCAACCTAGCAGTACTTTCACAAGGACCTGGGAGGCATCCCTTTGGAAGTGTAATCAGGAGAGAGAGTGCCCCCATTTTTCAGAGTTTATTAGGGGTCAGGAATCCAACTTCAATAAGTGCCAATTAGAAAACATAGATGGCCTAATTGCATTGACTAGTCTCCCCTCAACATTCTCCTGTATTTTTTCACTAGTAGACTCCAATGCTTAAAAAATCTCCTACCTTTTGTTTTAGTGAGGTTAAGTTCAATCTCTGTACCCTATTGCAATAGTCTTGAATAAAGTCTTCCTTGCCAGTTTAACTGGTCTGGTGCAAGTTTTGTTTCACATACAAAAAATAGAGATAGCCTTAGCCTCTATAAAACACTAAGTCATTGGTTTAAACAAAAGAGGCTATTTCAGCACAAGTAATGTTACATATAAACAGGTATGTCAACTTTGTGAGACTTTATTGAGCCATACATTTACATTTGTGCACTTTTCTTTATGTATGTTAAGCTTCAATCAACAAGCTTACATAAAAATATAGCTTGAATGCTAGCTCTGTCATTTACAATGTTAGGACATTCGGGCTGGTTACTTAAGTTCTCTGAACCTCAGTTTCTTTATAGATTAAATGAAGAGAATAATATATACCTCACTGGGTGGCTTTGAGGTTTAAATCAATCAAATGTCACAAAGTTTCTTCTGGTAAAGTATCCAGCCTCTAGCAGTCAGTAAGTGATAGCTGTTATTGCTACTCACTGTTAGTTTTTAAACAATCTTTTGTAGTAAACAGTGGAAAATCACTGAAATGAATTTGCCTCTTATTTTAGCAGCCCTCCAATGGATCAAGATTAAAAAACAGAAACAATTAGTGAACTTGAAGACAGGCTATTTGAAAACACACAGTCAAAGGAAGCACACACACAAAAAGAATAGAAAAGAATGCTGCACACCTACAAGACCTAGAAAACAGCCTCAAAAGGGCAAACCTGTTATTGGCCTTAAAGGGGAGATAAAGAGAGATTGGGGTAAAATGTTTAATCAAAGGGATAACAGAGAACTTCCCAAACTTTGAGAAAGATATCAATATTCAAGTACAGGAAGGATATAGAACACTAAGCAGATTTAACCCAAAGAAGACTACATCAAGGCATGTAATAAAAAGAAAGAATCCTAAAAGCAGCAAGAGAAAAGAAACAAATAACATGCAATGGATCTTCAATATGTCTGGCAGTAGACCTTTCAGTGGAAACTTTACAGAACCGGGAGAGCATGGCATAACACAGTTAAAGTGCTGAAAGAAAAACCTTTTACTCTAGAATAGTAGAACTGATAAAACAAACAAGCAAGCAAACAAAAAAGAGCAGGAGTAGCTATACTAATGATAGAGAAAATACATTTCAAGACAAAAATATAAAATGAGGTAAAGAAGGTCACTATATAATGATAAAGAGGTCAATTTAGCTAGAGGATATAATAGTTATACATATATATGCACCCAACACTGGAACACCCAGATATATCAAGCAAATATTATTTGAGCTAAAAGGAATGATAGACCTCAATACAATAATAGCTGAAGACTTCAACAACCTACTTTCAGCATTGGGCATATCATCCAGACAGAAAATCAACAAAGAAATGTCAGACTTAATCTGTACTATAGACCAAATGAACCTAATACATAGTTACAGAACATTTCATCCAATAGCTACAGAACACACATTCTCCTCAGAACTTGGATTATTCTCAAGGATAGACCATATGTTAGGCCACAAAACAAGTCTTGAAACACTCAAAAACACTGATATCATATCAAGTATATTCTTTTACTACAGTGGAATAAAACTAGAAATAAATAATAAAAGGAATTTTAGAAACTATAAAAACACATGGAAAATAAACAACGCGCTCCTGTATGAACAGTAAGTAAATAAAGAAATTAAGAAGAAAATTGAAAAATTTCTTGAAACAAATGAAAATGAAAACACAACATACTGAAATCTACGGGATACAGCAAAAGCACTACTAAGAGGAAAGCACTACTTATAGCTGTAAGTGCCTTTACCAAAAAGTAGTAAAACTACAAATGAACAACCTAAAGATGCATCTTAAAAAATAAGAAAAGCAAGAGTAAGATAAAAACCAACTCTCCAAAGTTAGTAGAAGGAAAGAAATAATAAAGAACAGAGCAGAAATAAGTGAAATTGAAATGAAGAAAATATAAAAGATCAATGAAACAATAAGTTGGTCTTTTGAAAAGATAAGCAAAACTGACAAACCTTTAGCCAGACTAATGAAGAAAAAAGAAAAGAGAAGACTTAAATAAATAAAATCAGAAATGAAAAAGCAGACATTACATGTTTCACAGCCAGGCGAGAGAGGAATCACTAATAGTAGGATGAAAAATTGCATTAACAAAGATGATCAAATACTGTCATACCTCCCATTTGTTTCCATAAAAGCCCATTTATTTTTCCCTTATTAAGCTTATTTGTTCTTCCCATAGAAGCCTTTTCTACTTTTCTCCCTTTTTCTTATTAAGTTGGGATAGAAATCCCTATTTCTAGCTATTCAGGGAGTCACTTCTTTTGTACACTACCACAGGCATATGAGTAAACTTTGTCTTTTCTCCTATTAATCTGTCCACTGTTAGTTCATTCACAGGTCCCCAACCACTCTAGCCTTAGATGGTAAAGGGAAAGTTTTTCTCTCAACAGTAGTGAAAACAAATCAAATGCCACTATAAAGAAAGCAGTTTCAAAATGAAATACAGAAGCTAGTTGGGCATAGGAAACAAGACTATAAAATATGTGAAGGCCTTCAAGAGATATGCTGGCAGGAGAGCCCTACTTAATAGAAAATATGAAAGAAATTAGAAGAGGGAGGAAGAGAGAGAGAGAGAATATCATTGGAAAAGAAAAAGAATAAAAGAGCTTTGCTTTATAAACTCTGGCTTATATATCTTGTAGTACATGGATAGAGAATGAACTCTATCCTGTTCCCCAAAGAGTTAAAACTAAGATATTCTAACTTACTGGCATTTTAAAGGCCACAGATTAACTTTATTCTTCACCACCTTTCCTACCCCTCTTTAGCTGTTGTTCCTAGAGTGAACACCCACACTGCCCATTTATCCACACTGCAACTCACAATTCTCCTTTAGGTTGTCCAACTCACTTTCTATGCCTCCCTGACTGGCAGTCCTTCTATGGTACACATATTACTAATACCAACAGAAAGCATTACTTTTACAAAATGCCCAAGTATAACTGATTACACTTGGTTTGTTTCCATTAAAAAAAAGACAAGGCAATTGACTTTCACTTTTCTTCTAACTACATTCTTGCATAAATAAAGCTTTTCTTGGTAGCCCTCAGTATGAAGCGGAGCATGGTGCGTATTTTCTATGGTTAGTAAACTCTTTGTTTCAATTGCTTCCAAGGCAAATACATTTGGCTTCAACATCTGCAAAGTTAAGCAATTAATACAAGTGTCAGATAAATGACATCAAAATCAAGCCTCAGTTGAATACAAATGGACAAATACACAGAGTACATTTGATATTTAATAGAATGAATCTCAAAGATCACAAAATGATGAGTTCCGTTATTAGCAGTGATTAACTCTGACACTGCAATTAACTTTTGTTTCACATGTATGTCATGGAAACATCTTTATATATGAGTATTTTTACAGTTGTGTTAGGTATTAATATCGTAGTTTTTATCTCTTACTCTCTTTCTCTTCCTCCTCCTTCTATTTTTCTTCCTCCTCTCCTCCCTCTCTTGCTCTGTGAATTTCATCAAAAAGTTCTTACTTCTAATTTGCAGGGCCCAACACAAAATGAAAATGAGGGGTCCCTTGTTCAAAAAGCAGGAAAAATACACCATTGCATATGTTTAAATATAAAGATTTTTCCCTTTAAAATATCTATACTAATTTAAAAGGATAATGATGATATATGAATACCACCATAAACTAAAAATTGCAAAAAACCTCACACTTTACTTCATAATAGAGCATTGTTTCTATTAGTATAAATATAAATGCTTATCAAATACAATGACCTTAAGTAGAAGAGATCATGGGAAAATGACACCCCAACACAGAGAAGACAGACACAGACTGCTCTGGCACACAAGGAATAGTGCAGCAGGGACTCTACCCATGCATCCTTCCTTCCATCCCTTTCCCCTAGTCCACAGAACTAGGGCTAAGGGCTCACTGCAATGCCATCCAGGAGGACTGGCTCTCTTAATGGCAGAAGAGAGGGCTGAGTCCCTGTAACTCTCTTGGGGATGACGACCAGACTGCCCAATTTAGGCTACTCTCTCCCTTCATGAGCCTATAGCATTCTGCTTGCAAACTTGGACCTCAGGTCTATATTCTCTGTAAGAGGGGACAGAGGAGGGTAAGGTAAATGCCAGGAGGGTGGGAAGAAGGAAATTTGCCTTGGTGCAACCCAGGAAGCCATCTCTTCTGCTGTAGGCAGCTAGGCAGTACTCAGGTAGCAGAGAGAGAGAGATGGCATGAAGAGTTTCTGTGTGACAATAGGAGAGCTCATGGTTTTTGGCCCACACGCTGCAGTAACTGAATTTCTCAGGCTCAGCTAGAGGGTATGGGGGTCTGTGGAAGGGGTATATTTTCAGAATAACAGTGGCAGAATTACCTGGGTTAAGTCACAGCATGGCCTAAGTGAAAAAGTACTATATTGCTATGAGAAGAAATGAATTATCCACCAAAAGATCTGTAAGAATTGGCTAATTTGTTATAAAAGCAACCAGGAGAAAAAAGTCTAGGAGTATATATTGAGGATGCAGAAGCAGGGAGGGAAGATTATTAAACTTGTAGATATTGACTGATTTGAGTTTATTGATATGAAGACACTCTACTGTGCCTTAGGATTTAATCTCCTGGCAAAAACCAGGAGAACAAATGACTTATATTAGATACCAGCCAGATTTGGCACTTGGTTATTCGAATGCTCATTCAATAGACTCAGGAATAGAGTAGCAATAATGACAGGAAAGGAAACTATGCACCAGCTCCATATCCTTCTCTTCCTTCACTGTGGCTAATGTAGCTGCTGCTGTTGCTGAATATCTGATCTTCAAACAACAGTTACCAACACTAAGCACGGAGGCCACCTCCCAACCACCACCCCCAATATAGGGATATCCCATGAAGAGACCAACCAACATTACAATGTGGGCCTTATTAGTCTGACTAGTGTTTCATCCTTACTAGGACAGATGTGTGTTTGGCTATGGGTTTGCCTTCTCTATCTTTTTAACACCGTATCTGAGTAAAAGGCATAAAAAGCATTAGATTCCCAATGAGATAACCTTTGATTAAGAGTGGAGAAATGAGCAAGTAACCACAGGACCTACTAATTCAACCATATACCACATCATGATAGCCTCTTAAAGTCTCAGCTTGCGGCATCTGCAAGGTTGGGGCACCATCTTTCAAAATGTGAGGTAAAATTCCAACTACTGGCCATTATATGACGTTGTATCCCAGGTAATTAGAATGCAATGATCTGAAAACCAAAGGGTGTCGAATTCTGCAGATCATATAGAGCAGGAAAAAAAAAGAAAGAAAACCAGAGTTAACATAGTAGTGGTCCCTCTTACCGTGTCCGGAATTGGTGGGTTCTTGGTTTCACTGACTCCAAGAATGAGACTGCAAAACCTCGCCTGAGTGTTACGGTTCTTAAAGGTGGCCTGTCCAGAGTTTGTTCGTTTTGATGTTGGGAGTTTCTTCCTTCTGGTGGGTTCGTGGTCCCGCTGGCTCAGGAGTGAAGGTGCAGACCTCCACGGTGAGTGTTACAGCTCATAAAGGCAGCATGGACCCAAAGAGTGAGCAGTAGCAAGATTTCTTGCAAAGAGCAAAAGAACGAAGCTTCCACAAACTGGAATAGCACCGGAACAAGTTCCCACTGAGGGCTCGGGCAGCCTGCTTTTATTCTCTTATCTAGCCCCACCCATATCCTGCTGATTGGTCCACTTTACAGAGAGCCAATTGGTCTGTTTTACAGAGGGCTGATTGGTCCGTTTTGACAGGGTGCTGATTGGTGCGTTTACAATCCCTGAGCTAGACACAGAAGTTCTCCAGGTCCCCACTAGATTAGCTAGATACAGTGTCCACACAAAAGTTCTCCACGTCCCCACTAGATTAGCTAGATACAGAGTGTCGACTGGTGCATTCACAAACCCTGAGCTAGACACAGGGTGCTGATTGGTGTGTTTACAAAACTTGAGCTAGATAGAGTGCCGATTGGTGTATTTACAATCCCTTAGCTAGACATAAAGGTTCTCCAAGTCCCCACCAGACTCAGGAGCCCAGCTGGCTTCACCCAGTGGATCCCGCACTGGGGCCGCAGGTGGAGCTGCCTGCCAGTCCCACGCCCTGCGCCCGCACTCCTCAGCCCTTGGGTGGTCGATGGGACTGGGCGCCGTGGAGCAGGGAGTGGCGCTGGTTGGGGTGCCTCGGGCCGCGCAGGAGCCCACGGCGGGGGCGAGGCTCAGGCATGGCGGGCTGCAGGTCCCGAGCCGTACCCCGCGGGGAGGCAGCTAAGGCCCGGCGAGAAGTCGAGCACAGCAGCTGCTGGACCGGGTGCTAAGCCCCTCACTGCCCCGGGCGCGGGGCCGGCTGGCCGCTCCGAGTGCTGGGCCTGGGAGGCCACGCCCACCCGGAACTTGCCCTAGTCCGCAAGCGCAGCGTGCAGCCTGGGTTCCCGCCCGCGCCTCTCCCGCCACACCTCCCTGCAAGCTGAGGGAGCCGGCTCCTGCCTTGGCCAGGCTAGAAAGGGGCTCCCACAGTGCAGGGGCGGGCTGAAGGGCTCCTCAAGTGCCACCAAAGTGGGAGCCCAGGCAGAGGAGGTGCCGAGAGCGAGCGAGGGCTGCGAGGACTGCCAGCAGCTGTCACCTCTCGTTACCATCACTCCTAGTGACCATTTCGGGTAAGGGGAGCTCTCTGTTCCTCAAATTTTAGATACTACTACATTAGAAGATCTAGTTCCCAGAATAGAAATGTTTCTTCCAGGAGGTGAAGTATGGATTTTAGTAAATATAAAGCTCAGGATATCACCTGGCCATTTTAGTCTCCAATGCTAGAAGACCAGCTGACATACATTGTACTATACAGGCAGTGTAATTGATCCTGATTATTATGAAAAAACTACATTGATACCTCATAAAGGACTCAAGAAGGTATATGTTTGGGCTGGGCTTGGTGGCTCACGGCCGGTGGGAGGCCGAGGCAGGCAGATCACGAGGTCAGGAGTTCGAGACCAGCCTGGCTAACATGGTGAAACCCCGTCTCTACTAAAAATACAAAAATTAGCTTAGCTAGGCATGGTGGCAGGAGCCTGTAATCCCAGCTACATGGGAGGCTGAGGCAGGAGAATCGTTTGAATCCAGGAGGCGGAGGTTGCAGAGAGCCAAGATCATGCCATTGCACTGCACTGGGCAACAAGGCAAGACTCTGCCATCTCAAAAAAAAAAAAAAAAAAAAGGTAAAGGTATATGTTTAGAGGCTTAGACTCCTAAGGGATGAAGGCCTGGTTTACCCATTGGGCAAGCAACCTAGACTAGCAGAAGTGCTATCTGAGAGTGAGAGAAATAAAGATTGGGTTGTAAAGGAGTGAGATAATTAATAGTTTACAAATTCTGGCCTAGGGGCTGACTGCAGCTGCAGGCAAAACCACAACTTCAGTTTTATGTTTGTTTCATATTATTTTTAAGAATTTTAAATTTTTGAAACAACAGCTATCCAGACCTGTGAGAGAATTAAAAAAAAAAAAGAGAGAGAGAGAGCGAGAGGAAGAAAAATAACTAGACATCATCTTGAAGAGTCAGTGACCAAACATAGTGAAATTAAACTGGAGCATAAGTGAATCAGAAGGATACAAGGGATGGACCACAGTAGACCCTGCCATGGTACTGCCAGTTTCCCCTTAGCACTTAGTGCTCTCATTCAGCTTCTTAAGGCAACACTTAGAAGCTATTAACAGTGTTGAGGAACATACTCAGCCACAACATGGGAAAGGCTGAGGTGCTGGGGAATTAATCCCCTCAAGAACATTCCTCAACCAATGGTGGATGAGAGTTGAAGGATAAATGCCCCAGCTTTCTAGTCCCTCTGCTGGGGCAACTCTCAGAGATGAATTACAATCTTTCAGAGGCACCCATCAGGATTGAATTTTAGTAGACAAAAGCAGTAATCTGCTCACTAATGCACATTCATTTTTTTTCTTCACCTTGCTGACTCACTTTCCTACTCTCCTACCAATGTTTTCTTGAATAATATGTCAAACAAAATACTTTTACTCAAATCCTTGTTTCGGGATCTGTTTCTGGGGAAGCCAACTGGAGAAACTCTTGAGGAAGCATTAGGGGGACTATCAATCCACGTAAAAGGCAACTGAAGGATATGTATCAGAAAAGGTGTTATTTTTTTCTTAGAGGAATTAAAAAATATGTTTCTATTAATTGGACTATTAAGTATAGAAAAACAAATACAAAATGTTATATTAATTATATAAGAGTTAATTTTCAATATTTAAAGAAGTTTAAAGACATATTAAGAGAAGAGGTTAATATAATCTTTATTGAAAGGATCTAAACAAAGAGAAATATTAAATGTGTTCATAATAGGAGAGTTCTTTTATGGAAAAAATGCATGTTTCAGTTATATATCTGCTTTGCATCTTATTTTGTCAAATCAGGAAAATTAATGATTTGGATAATTGTTGATAAAGTAGAAATTATTGGCATTAATCATTGACATAATGTGTTTCTAAAAATCTCTTATAAAGCATTTTTCTGTGTTACTAGCAACCAATATGTTGGACATAAAACAATACTGTGAATTAGACCCTATGAGATATTGTCTGGATAGAAAACTCACTATTAATGATCCCTCATTCATGATTTTTTTGTGGGACCTATACACGCAAAGTGTTTCTTTTGGGAGGCTTATGTTCTTCTAGGCTACAAAGCTGGTTTGTAGCATTTGTAGCATTTGTAGCATCTGCTGTAGGCTCAGGGTCTAAAAAGGAGTCCTCATAGCCTAACCTCAAATACAGATCTTACCATCACCCTGATGCTAAGTCAGAAAGGATGCACCTGTTGAAGCACACATATAAGATGAAACAAACAAACAAAAAAAGATCTGTAAGAATAAAAAAGTGTGTCATTAGGAAGTATTTGAGATAACATCACTGGAAGCAGACAAAGGCGATCCCTTGTAGATGTAATTTTTTAAAATATTTTCACCTTTTATTTTAGATTTGGAGGGTACATGTGCAGGTTTGTTATGTGGGTATAATGTGTGATGCTGAGGTTTGGGGTAGAAATGATCCCATCCTTCAGGTGGTAAGCATAGTACTTGATAGTTTTTCAACCTTTGCCCCCCTCCCTCCCTCCCTCCCTGTTCTAGTAGTCCCCAGTGTCTATTGTTGCCATCTTTATGTCTGTGAGTACCCAAGGTTTAGCATCCACTTATAAGTGGATGTGGATACCACATCCACAAATACATGTGGTATTTGCTTTTCTGTTTCCGCATTAATTCACTTAGGATAATGGCCTCCAGCTGCATCCATGTTGCTGCATAGGACATAATTTCATTCTTTTTTAGGGCTGCATATTATTTTTACATTGAGAAAAAGGACAAAAATATTTCAAGATAACATAGAAGGCAACTTTTCTGAAAATAAAAGTAATTGCATTTGTCAATTGAAAGAAAAAAATAGGTCCCAGAAAAATTTGATACATAAGTATTAACGCCAAGACAATACAAAGTATTAACCCTGAAATCAAAAGTCATGAAATGGTTGTGCAGGATCTAGATTTTAGGCAAAAACAAAACAAAACAAAACAATAACTCATGAAAAGGCTGTGTAGTAGTTTGCTAGGGTTGCCATAACAAAATACCACAGACTATGTGACTTAAATAACAGAAATTTATCTCACAGTATGGAGGCTGGAAGTCTAAGATCAAAGTGTCTGCAGGTTTGGTTTCTCTTGATGCCTCTCTCCTTGCCTTGCTGATGACCATCTTCTCTCTATGTCCTCATGAGGGCTTTTTTCTGTGAGTATGCATCCTTGGTGTGTTTCTTCTGATAAGGACACCAGTCTTATTGAATTAAGGTTCCCACCCATATGACCTCATTTAACCTTAATTTCCTCCTTAACAGTGACATTGGGGGTTAGGGCTTTAACATATGAATTTTGAAGTGGACTCAATTCAGTCCACAACAGGCAGTCAGGAAAGATATCCAATTTTCTATGAGAAGGTGACAGTAGGCTTGCTTCACATTACTGCAGCAACACTCAATCTATGACGCAGCTGAGTTAAAAAAAAAAAAAGAAAAAAAAAAGAAGGATGTTATCAATAATTTTATAAATAGGCAAGTTGTTTTCAAAGCATTCTTAAGGCCTTTTTAACTTGTGTAAACTGAGGTAAATATTTTTCCTGAGCCCTCTTAAAAACAAAATTTAAGAATAAATTCCCCCTGAGAAACCAATGGAAAATCATAGTTAAAATCCATAGACATGTAGAGACATACGTAGTCACATAGGTAAAAGAACTGCATTTAAATAACTATTAGGATTATAACTACAAACAAGAATGTATAAGAAGCTCCAAAGTGGTTAAAAAATTGTTTACCATTTATCTAAGGCTTAGAAAGGAATTCAGTGACAAATTGTCCTTCAAATTAAATTAGTACCCCAAAATTTACCCATGTACAATAATTCTTATTATAACACTAATCATGTACCTATAACTAAAAAATATCCAAATGCCTCTCAATGGCAATAACTATATAAGTTATAATGTATTCAAATAATGGAATACAATACAGCAATGAGAATAGATTACTATAAGTAACAATATAGGTAAATCTCACAAATAATAAGAGAAAAGCCAGACACAAAAGGTTGCATAGTATCTTATTTGATTTATATAAAACTTAAATAGGCAAAATTAATGCATGTGTTAGAGATCAATATAGGATGTAGTGTTTTAAAAAGTGGACACAGTGTGGGGTTTCTGGGGTACTGGTTCTTTTTTTTTTATCTGGATGCTGGTTGCATGTGTGCACTCTTTCTGCAAAGGATCTGTGTACTTTTATACATCTATGCTACACTTCAGAAAAGTTCAAAGAAATTATATTACTAAAGGCAGCCTTAAAACACCTGTTCAGCACATATCAAATAAAATTCTTAACAGTCAAAAACCAGGCAAGGATCGGTAAAACTTAGTTACATAAGACTGGTAGCAATCATTTTAAATCCCATTTTTAAGTCTGAAGGAGATATTAGGTTAAGGGGTATACTCCATAACAGTTGCTTTTGGAGAGAAGACATTGATTAAAACAAGAGATATTACAGTCTATTTTTTGTTAATAAGTAAAGATAAGACATAAGGCTAAAATTATTGAGGACAGAGGATATGGGGGAAAGGGGCCATAGCAGAGGAAACCTGAGTCCTTGAAAGATTAAAACATCCATGGAAAGCAGTGATTCGGAGGACCTCTTGCAGATTGATAGTCAAAGAGGCCATTGGGGGAATTTGAGAGGGAAAATTTCAGCTAAAGGAATTAACTTCTTGACACATTTGTGACTTAAATGTTTTGCTCACATCCCAGGTCCAATCAAACACTAAAATCTGTTTTTTTCTACATTTTAAAAATCTTTGTAATCTGCTGCTTCTTTATGACCATAGTGTCTTTACCTTGGACCAGGGCAACTGCACTTGAATTACTGCACACTTATTTCTTTGGCCTCATACCCTTTCAAGATATTTTCCATGGTAAATCAAAATGTTTCTGAAACCTGACCATGTTAAAGTTTACCTGAGCCCTGTGCTCCTAGAAAGTAGATACAATTAAGGAGCCCTCCCACACTTTTGTATTTTGAATATGGCTTACTGCAAAGAATCACCCTTCCCCTTGTAACTTAGATACAACTCACAGCTCCTCCCTTTGTTTACCTATGACAACAGGACACACAGATATTTAGTCTCCAAATTCCCATTCTTTTCCTCATACGTGATTAGCTGAACTTTCTGTACTTACTGACTAATCTGAACAAAATGCCTCCTAACATGTCTAGTTAAGCTTCTCTCCTTCCCCCAGGTCCGTAAGTTTTGACCCGTCATTAGCATAAGCCAGCACAGAAATTGTCCGTAATAGTCCCTCACAGTTGTAGACTGACCTCAGGGTAAAACATTCTCTCATCTGCTATCCAATCATGCCCTTTCCATCCGTTCATCTCATTTTCCCACACTTGTTTTTTTTTTTCTATCCTTGTTCACTACCCCCTATAAAAGAAAAGTGTTTTTGGCTGGACACAGTGGCTCATGCCTATAATCCCAGCACTTTGGGAGGCCGAGGCAGGCGGATCACGAGGTCAGGAGATCGAGACCATCCTGGCTAACACGGTGAAACCCCGTCTCTACTAAAAATACAAAACAAAACAAAACAAAAATAAATTAGCCAGACGTGGTGGCAGGCACCTGTAGTCCCAGCTACTTGGGAGGCTGAGGCAGGAGAATGGCGTGAACCTGGGAGGCAGAGCTTGCAGTGAGCCGAGATTGCACCACTGCACTCCAGCCTGGGAGACAGAGCAAGACTCTTGTCTCCAAAAAAAAAAAAGAAAAAAAAAGTGTTTTTTTCTGCCTGAACTTTGAAACATTTGCAGATGTCATTGTTGGAGCATCCTTCTTATTTCAATAATCTCTCTGCTCTTATTGAAATAGTCTACCTTCTCTTATTACAATAATCTTTTTGAATAAGGTTACCTAAATCTGGATTAGACACATCAAAACCTAATCATACCATCTCCCTATTTGAAACCTGATTGTCTTTTTACTGTTTTTAAGATAAAGTTCAAATTCCTTTGTTTCCCAGGCCCTTGATGGGTAAGTTTATCCCATGGCTATTTACCTTTAATCCTGTCTCTTTCCACTCCTAAACCACCTCCCTTGCTATTACCCTTTATCAAGCCCTTCTGTATGTCTTTTCAGTTACTTAATTTATGTTTTCTTTGGAAGGTAGAGTTCAACTCTCTGTCTCCTTGCCTTGCCTCAGCCTTTCTGGTTTTACTTATCTCTCAGGCCTCAGGTTTGGTGCTCCCTCATCCAGGAGACCCTCTGTGGCCCAACATTTAAGGGCTTGATGTTCTTTTAAATTCTTTTAAAAACTTTTTGTATTCTTCCTCTCATTGTAACTTCTTCTTTAATAATCTTCTCTATTATGAGACTCTGTACTTTAAGAAGAAAGAGACTATGTGCTTTTTATTGTTGCATCAACAGTATCTATCACATAGAAGACACTCAATATCAATTATATCTGTACAATTGTATTAATGGAATGAAAGAATGAATTGATTGCTTAGACACAGGAGAAGTGGAGATCAAAATATTGAATCTGCCATCAGCAAAGAACAGTTTATTAGTATTAGTTTGGTTACAAGTATCAAAAACTGAACTGAACTACTTTAGGCAGGAAAAGGTGATGCTACTGATGTCATAAGAAAATTAAGGTAAGGGACATGTGAATTAGTTAAGGCTCTCTCAATTTCAGGAAACTCAACTTTAGCTAAAACTTTCTGGGCTGGATTTAGCTTTAAGGTGAAACTTAAATGAAGAGTCCAAGTGCTGATTCATAATCTGGTCTCTCATTATCTCCAGTTTTTCACTGTTCTCTTCTGTGTGAAAGTCTCAATCTCAAGCCCCATTGGGTGATAAGATGAGGGGAATGGAGCTTCCCCTCCTCCCAACTTCTCCAAGATCAACTTCCAGAGCAGCCTTTGTTGTTGTTGTTTTCTAGTGGTTTATATAAAAGTTCTGAAACCCATTATGAGGTAACTGAACTAAGTCACGTGTGCTCTCCGAACCAGTCACTGTCATGCACAGAACGTAATTCCCTTTTTGTCCTAAACTTATGTTACATACTCATCCCTGCATATGGAGGTGAAGCCATGATCAAACCTCAAAATTGAGAGTGGGAGAAAGCTAAATCTCCATCCTAACATTGATGCTGCTGCTAGATTAGCAACAAAAGCAGCAGAGGCAAAGGACAAATGATCCCTACAGGAGATGATAGAGATGAACTAGGGACAAATAAGCCAGGAGCCCTAATGCCCTCAGGCCATGCCCTCCCTGCCTGTGCCACACTCTGCACTGTTACTTTCACCACAGAGCTAAGCTATGGCTCATAGTTCACTTTCCTTCTTTCTACTTCAACAAATGTGACTACACATTAACATTTTAACACTTGAAAATGTATTAAACATTCATTTTCTTTTCGACAATAAATAGTGAATATTTTATTGCATTTCTAAATGAACAATGTAAAAAATATGTTGCTATAGTAGTTACAGGATAACCATAGGACACAAATGCCCATATCCAATTAGTGTGCCATTAAACACTTGTCACACATGGCAACAATACTAATCAAACTCATTATCCTAGAGAAAATATAAAAACTAAGAGGTAATTAAAATGTCCCATTACATAGTAGGGAAAATCTACCACATTAAATTCTCTGTAATGCCAAATAAATGACCCTGAAAAAGTCAGACAAAGTAATACAATTCTTCATGGTGCTTTTGGTACAATTTTTCAAAGTTGCTATGTTTTCTGTTCAAACCATATTTAATCCTGAGTTTGTGGAACTCTTTTCCCTATCTTTCTTTATCTGTCCAAGCGCATGAAAGAATTCTCTGTAAATAGATTTTAACTGCAATTAACAGCAAATTAATCCTTCCCTCTAGATAATCCACCTTGCCTCATCAAACCAGAAAACAATTCAAACCTGGCCTCCTTCTAACTGGAAGCCACATTTTAAGAACTTATTGTGAAGAACTGGAAAGCCTCCAATAGGTGAGTGTAACTAAGGTAATTTGAATATGGGTGAATACAGGAACAATTCCCAGGCTCTGTTACTCTCTTTGTTGAAACCCATTCTTTTGGAAAATCATTTTCTTTAGCCATTGGACAACAAAATGCATTGTCAAGAAATTTTATAGCAATAATTATAAAAGATGTCCATTTGAACCCATTGAGGTCTCACTGATTTTATAACACCCAGCAGACCTCCCTGCAGGAGAACACTATATTTATGTGAGCAATATATGCGAGAATTGAGATCGTAAAATTAAATGACCACATAGAACTGTCATTTATATGATGAGCGCCTACATATGTGAAGGCTGGTTTATTTTGCAGTGTCGGGTTGCGTTAAATGGTCCACTCTCAGTAAATGTTTTTAATCACGCATTTCTTCACTCTTTCTGCAGTATTACACTTGAAGGACTGGTAAGCAGTTTGCTATGAAATGCTAAATGGTTACTGGTACTGCTATTCTGACAGAAGAGCTCACTAAAATAGAAGTACAGTACATATTGTATGCAATTGTTTTATGAGAGACATTATGGTTACTAGAATAACATTTCACCATTACCAACTGCTGAGAGAAAAGTCATTAAGATATTTGGCAAGCCAGTGCAATTTTTCAACAGAACTATAGTATAAGACCATAGAACAGCTTCCATATAGAGAGGCTGGCTGTCTCACAAGAAAAAAAAAAAGAAATCAAGTCTCAAGTCTTCTATGTTGTTTTATTTATAGTTGTTTATTTTCAGAGTCCATTGAAAAAGTTATAAGATATGTCATGTATGTCAGGAGAAACATAGCAAATGCTTATGTGCAATATATGTATATTTCACATATAAGTATTTTCTGTATATGTGCATGTTTAGTGTGTGTGTATGTAAAAGATTAATCTCTTGTGATAAATCTTACAACAACTTCAGTGTGTTAAAACTCACCTTTTCCCAGGGAATTGCCTTTGTTCAGAAATTATTATGTACATTTTTAACAGTTAATTTCTTGTTGTTGTTTCTTTTTTTAATAAGAAGACATTCATGAATGGGGCAGAGGTGAGAATATGGATTAGTCTGAAGGCACTTCATCCAAATAAAGGAAAATAAAATAAGCAGCTTGCTGTAAACATTTAACGTTTCCTACCATGTATTGGTGGTTTAAAAAAAGAGAAAGTCATGATAACAGCTTTATAAATGTTTTGCAAATATATATACCCAAAATATATATACACACGTTTGTGTGTATTTGTATACATATTATATATATGTATAAAATATCTGCACAGTAGATAACTTTTTGATTGCTAAACCAACAAAGCTTGCCACTTGCTCCTGCCAATGCTACTTTCTTATGCTACTTCTTTATACTTCATTTCATCAAGAAAAAATGCCAGCATTCACCAAAAGCAAATATACTTTGGAGTGTCTCTAAAACAACAAACATATAACCAAATTGGAATTATTTAGTCAGATACATGAATATATATGAATAATCGTGAAGGCAAAACTAAGCTACCTTTCTCATCACTGCTGTGGTCCCTTCAGTAAATGGCATACAATCTTAAACGGAGCTCCTAGTCAGTAACTATCAGCTGGATGAATATTCAGAAAAAAGATGCTGGAGATGTAATAAATAATAGTTTTTAATAGATATTTTAAATTACCCAGAAAACGGAATTCTATTTCTGTATATTCAAGACTTTTGACTCCATATAGAGAGGCCCTGAGTTTCTCACAGAAGTTATAAAGGAAAAATAAAAGCTATGCAGTCAATTCAGTTAAAAAAAAATCAACCCAGCTGAATTAAGCAAATTTTTTATTATTTGGAGGTGCCTATAGAAAAATCCAAAGTAGGAGCTAAATGATGAAAACTCGTGAACACAAAGGAACAACAGACACTGGGGTCTCCTTGAGGGTGGAGGGTGGGAGGAGAGAAAGGAGCAGAAAAAATAATTATGGGGTACCAGGCTTAGTACCTGGGTGATGAAATAATCTGTGCAACAATCCCCCATGACAGGAGTTTACTTGTGTAACAAACCTGCACATGTATCCCTGAACCTAACATAAAAGTTTAAAAAAAGAAACATCCAAATTATATATAACTTGTAGAATCATGATGTTTAATTAAATAGCTCAGCATAGCTAGGTCTTATTTCTATCAAGGTCTCTATGACTCATTTTACAAAAGCCAGTTTTTATCTCTCCAGTTACTGATAATAAAATTCATCAGTATCATTAAAATAAATGTAGATATCACCTTTTTTTTTACACAATTTTGGACGGCACCAAGGTGACAAGGAAGATAATGTTCTAGATGGAGGTGATTTTTCCTAACAAGGAAATGAAGTAAACTCTTAACTGCTGATCTTTCAATAATCTCCTTTTCATTCATGCACTTTGTTTCAAATAAATTATTATAGCATCTTATACAGATGGTATAATTAACCTACTTTATTTAAAATTAACAAGTTTCTTTCTTTACCTACTCTGCTGTATCCCATCATAGCTACATTTCTTCCCAATGGAAGCCAAAATGGCCTGACATAGTCACTGACTTTCTATACCTAGAGATTTCGATGTGGTGGAAAGAAAGGGGAAGAGACTGGAAGAGCTGAAGCACGGTATCCTTTGGTTCTACTTCTCCCTTTGTACCCAGATCAAACCCAGATCCAATCACAAATCAGCCTGTAAAAATTCTAAAACCTGTACACACTGTAAAGCCCATTCCACTATGCCATGTGGAAGCAGAAAGGAGTTAACTCCACTCTACCGTGAAAGCTCTAGCACCGTTTCACTTTTTCTTTTTTGCTTTTTTTGTTCTTTCTTTCTTTTCTTTCTTCTTTCTTTCTCTTTCTTTTTATTTCATTCCTTTTTCACCTTTCTTTCTTTGTCTCTGTCTTTTCTTTTTCTTTGCTTTCTTTCTTTCACTAGCATCTCCTAGCATTATAAGTCGTATGTGGCAGGTTGTATTTGAATGAATTAATAAATGAATGAATATACAGAGGAATAAATTAAACAGTAATGGAGTAAACAAATGAGCGAATAAAT
This sequence comes from Homo sapiens, assembly GCF_000001405.40. NCBI lineage: Eukaryota > Metazoa > Chordata > Mammalia > Primates > Hominidae > Homo > Homo sapiens. The sequence goes on from NC_000003.12 coordinate 148,292,094, forward strand.
AGTTTGAATTACTGTCACATAATACGTTTCCTATATTAAGCACATAAACTTAATTACCTTGCAATGGAAAATATTTATAAGAATATTATTATATATTTCCATATATAGGTATTGAAGGTGTTATTCATATTTGATAAGAAGAAATAACGTAGCACAGAAAACTTTTAAAAATTCAGTGCAAAAGGCATTGCCTTTGCCAAACTATAAGGATTTTTTTTTCTAGTGGAGTGGCTGACACCTTAAAAATGCTGAACAGCAGCCCTTGTAAAACAATTTTAACAAAATAGATACTTCAGTTTAAAGAGAGATATAAAAATCTGCCTGGTAAACAAAAGTCTTATTTTTTAAAAGTTCTTCAAGGCTGTGACCCTGGGGAAAGCTTAAATAAACTCAATGAAGAAAAAAAATTAAATCATAAAAGTTGAATAAGTCAAAATATAAAATATTCAATTATTATTTCCTGTGGGGTTTATTTTGTAAATATTTTATCCACAGTCTATAGTCAGCTTCTTCTCCTTCTCATCTTTTAAGGACTATCTGGGGAATAAACCCACATTTCCCCACTCAGTTGCTTGACTTCCTTTTAGTCTTCTTATAATTTATTAAATGATGTTTTTTAAAACATAAGTACTTCAAGTTTTCCTTCTTGCTGCTTTGTGTTTTGTTCCTTTCACCCACAAAATTGCCACAATTAGTGATATAAAAAGGATCCATTAGGGCATCAGCCCATCCTTTGGGGTTTTAGCTATAATTGTTTCTTTCATGGAAGTGCCTCCAGTCCTGCCTCACATACACTGTGTTGAATGTCCCAATATGACATAACTCTCTTAAGATACAGGAGATTTTATTTCATTCAATATTCAGAAACCCCCAGAAGTGTTTCTCATTCATGTTACAATTTTTAAAATAATAATGTGACCATCAAAGTTTATCTCATTACTTTTCTACTATGCACCTGTTCATAAAATGTGAGCCCAGGGTGAATATTGGATAAAGTTTAAAATGCTTTAAATATGAATAAGCCTATAAGAATTGACTTTATGTTGAAATAAATGGCTTAACGTTCAGATATGTAATAAAGCTATATCACTATTTTTTAAATCAACATAATTGGTAGCCATTCACCATATTACCATGATTTTTCCATCCCAACAACAGACTACATGGTTTTTCTAGTAAATCCAAGTTATCAGAAAGTGTTAGTCTCTGATACATCTTTTTATTTTAAACATAAGCATATTTCTTTTACTATAGAGGCTAACTTAAAATTATGGGAATTTTTTTATTAACTAAGCCATACTTTACAGGTCAACAATAGCATGTTATTTAAGTTACAACTTGCTTTCAAATTTATATTTTGGATAACTTATGATTATCACATATTTAATTTATTTAAGTAGGAGGAAAAATAATAATTATAATTACATATTTTATTCTACAGTATATCTTGATGTAAATTGATCATATTCATACCTGCCACTCATATTTTGAATAGTCTTTCTATATGTGGGAAAAATCTCACACTGGGTGTCTTCTCCCCAGTATGGAAGGCAGAGCCAAAATTCTCTAATTCTCCAGCAATTATTGCCCAGAAATATGACCTCAGCTACACCAATCAGAATAACCTAGAGAAGATTGTTTTGGACATTATCAACATGATGCCAGACACTACACAGACTTTCTATTTTATTGGTGTAGTTGGAGCAAAGTAGCACTCCTAGAAAAGAAGTGACATCCATGCTGTGGTAGTCATGGTTTCTTTCAGAAAAATCTCATAGCTGATCTTTGCTTCTCTGTGGTGGCTGTGGCACCAGGGAGGTTCCCTCATCAGGCCATGACAGCCTGGTCATGAGCATTGCTCCTGGCAATTAGTTTTAAATCTTCATCTTTCTAGTCATTCTGAAGATGCTCTAAGCAACCTAATCTTTTTTAATAAACTATTGTTTTTTGTTTAAATCTGCAAGTGTAGATTCTGGTACTTGCAACTAAGAGGTCTAACTGATATACAAGGTTCTCATTATGTTCATAAGACCATCAAGGTTGGGACATTTTTTAGTGCTCTATGATTATAAGATTGGAAGAAAAATGAAGTAATAGTAAGTAAATAAAATTTTCTGAAAGTTTTTGAAACCTAAGTTATGATCTAATTTAATAAGCTATAGAATGACCTGGTAAGTCAGTAAAAGCCATAGAAAATACTTAAGAAATAATTCAAAATTAATGGTATAATTAGGGATAGACACATGATTTAAAAAATTGTATTAAATTTCAAATTGCATTTACTCGGGAGTGCACTGGAAAATTTGTTTATCCTCACTGTCTAGAATACAATTACTAGAATCCTTTGCCCAACAATACTGAGTAAATGTAAAGTGGGAAAAAAAGAAGAAATAATTTTAAAATAACAAGGTGGAAGTCTTGAAAAGGCAAATAACACATAAAAATGACCTCAGGGGGTATGCTATAGTTTTCTTTTTATAAAAAAAAAAATCAATATTTAGTACTCATTTAAAGGAATAAAAGTGACAAGCAAGAGTGACAAGGAAAAGTGTTCTGAAGAGTGACTCTGAATTACGAAATAGCATTTCATATGACAGGGTAGTAAAAGTAGAATACTAATTTAGTGCAACCAATTCATCTATTTTAATTTACACTTTGCACTGTGTCACTCATTCACTAATGCTTGAAATATATAGATGCCTGAGATAGTTCTTGTTCATCAGGGCAGCTCTTGACGCTAAAACAGTAATGTAAATGTCCCCAAAGCAATAGACTATTACCAAATTGATTTATGTGCCATCTCTAGGATACTTTTAAATTCGTAGCCTATCACATGAGTACCATACAAAATTCAACTCAGAATTCAAAATTTAGTTGAAAAAGGACATCTCAGTTACAAACATCATTGCCAGTTAACATTCGAAAAACAGGAAAATATTTAACAGAGAGAACCACAGTTAATTGAATATTTACCCTACCCCAAATATAATGTTACTAAATGGCTGCAAGGGATATCACAATAAAAGAAAAAAATAAATAAGCTGTGCTCTGAATTTGGGCACTCACATGAGCTAATATACTATTCAAATTAAATAAACTAAAATGAGACTATTTTTCTAAAATCTGTTAGTTGATTTTGCCATTATTAAATTGCAGACTTTGTTCTTCAAATACTCCAAGATGGAAAATTCAGATGTAGTTTGAATACAAGGCTCTTAAAAATGACAATATGAAAAAACAATATTTATCTGTTTGATAAACTAATAAGGATATCATATATAATATGAGATATTACTCTCTATATGGTCTATTATATTTAATGTTAATATACATTTGTGGGGAGTGATATGGTTTGGCTGTGTCCTCACGCAAATCTCATCTTGAATCGTAGTTTCCTTAATCTCCACATGTCGAGGAAGGGACCAGGTGGAGATAATTGAATCATGGGGTGGTTTCTCCCATCCTTGTCTGGTGATAGTGAGTTAGTTCTCACAAGATCTGATACTTTTATAAGGGGCTTCCTCCTTCTCTGGGCACTGATTCTTCTCTTTCCTGTGGCCATGTGAAGAAGGACATGTTTGCTTTCCCTTCTACCATGATTGTAAGCCTTCTGGGGCCTCCCCACCCATGCTGAACTGTGATCCAATTAAATCTCTTTCTTTTTAAAATTACCCACTCTCAGGTATGTCTTTATTAGCCTGAGAATGGACTAATACAGGGAGACACTATGTTGAGATATTAACTGGTGTGCTTTCCCCATTCTATACTCACAGACTCTCTTGTTTTTACTCTAAAAGAATCTTTTAACCTCCTTTCACCACCCTCCACAATCGTCCATAGCGATTAGACTTGAAGGATACAGCATGGTTAAGCTGTATTATTGAAAGAAGTGTGGACAAATGGTTAAAAATGCACTCTTGAGCCAGACACTTTGAATTCAAATGCCAGCTTTGTTAAGTTGATAATCAGATAATTTTGAGCAAGTTATTTAATTTTTCCATGCCTCAGTCTCCTCAAACACAAAATAGGATTGTTTTATGGCTTATGTGAGTTTATACGCATGAATTGCTTAGAATAGTGCCTGCTACACAGTAAGCATTAAATGTTCATTGTTATTAGTTGTTACTATGCTCAGAAGTCGTTGATGCAAGTATCTAAACAGATCGAGCTACTTATAGTTTTAACCATTCCAAAAGACTAGATCAAAAGGTGCCAGGCACAGAAGAACAAGTGTAGAGTTGATAATCATACAAGGAGCATGGGAATATGAAAGTCCCAGAGCAAGCACCTCCCACCGCGAGCTCCTGAGAGAAAGGTAGAAGCCAGGGCAGACTGAAATCCAAAGTCAGCTCATTTCTGGCAATCACCCAATTTGGCCAAATGTTTACCTGTTCTTTGAGATTCCATCTAGGTCCGTGGTCTACACCCCAACCCCAATATTGACAAATGCACCCAGCAAACTAGGACTTTTGTATAATCCTCCTGAGAGAATGATGAAAACTTGGAGTGACAAGGTAGTGCCACACAGGGAAAGCCTTGCCCTGCACCAGGATAATTCCAAAGCAACATATTTATTGCCAAATATTTATTGAATTTCTATTAGATTTCTACTAGATATTTTCACAAACATTATATTTTTCTACTACATATAGTTTCTACTAAGTTTCTACTAGATTTTCCCACATGCATTATTTTACTAACAAACTCTAAAAATCAGGAGTACCATAATACTTCAATTCTTCTTTTCTTAATGTAATGGCAAAGTCTACCAAAGATATATATTTTTAAAATGAGTATAGAATGTTAGGCTTTCTGTAATGAAATAGGGCATTCGAGCATATAAAAGGAGCCCTGCAATTAGAATCAGAACACCTACATTTGAATGGGCCCTGCTACCTGGTAGCTAGATGATCTTGTCAAGTCACATAGCCATTTGAGACCTCAATCTCATCTGTAAAATGAGAAACACTGCATTTGTGACCTTACAGAATTATTTTAAGAACCCAATCACATAATAAATATGAAAGCATTTTAAAAACTGTACAGTGCCCTATAATTATCAGGCATAAATCTGCAACAATATGTCAGCTACTTCCTTCTAAATGTCCCACAACAACCTCAATATAAACTCATTCTCTTCTGAGAAATGCACACTTTTATGCAGGAAGATAGCTTTAACTTTGGCAGTAATAACAGGTAATTGTTTTTCTTAGAATTCATTATTACTTTCTATAGAAAACCTTGTTTATAATGTTTAATGATTGAAATGACTCAAAGTTCCTTAATGAAATAATTGGTAAAGGTAATGAAAAATAGTTGATGTGACTTACTTTGCTGTGTTTTTTAGTTCAAGACAGAAAAAGATAACTTTAAAAATAAAAGGGTAGTCTTCTAGGATCCTAAAGAAAAGAGGCCAAACACATACTTAACCCTTGTTTTGTGTGGAAAACCACAGTTATATTGCCCCGAGTCCCCAATAAGGGGACAATGAGTACCCAAATTAAAATCATAGAAATGGTTGCCAATATATATTTGTTGTATTGAAAAGCTGAAAGGTAGGAAAATAATAGCTATGTTCCTGTCCCATGTCCTGATAATGACAGTAGTAGTGATACTGGCTAATCAAAAAGGTCAAATCAATTCAAAAGAGCAACCCTAGAGGAGTTTTGCATGTTTAACTTAATTTCATTATGTGATTGGTATTTATTAGAGTCAAATCCTGAGTAGTCAAGAATTGATTATCTAGTTTGTAAACTATCTAGGGATTTTTTAGGGTCTCTCTTACTGCCTCCATCTCCTAAGTTTTGGTCATTTCAATGTCAACTACCCTCCCTGCTGAATGGTGGATAGAGAAAGTAAAAAAGAAACACAAAATGTGCTATATCATGGCTTAGCAATCCTGACAAAGGCTCATGAGAGATAATTTGGAAGAATTCAGCATGGGTTATTTGTAGATTTCTATATTTAATTATATTTGTGTTCTTCCTTAATTTATCTCATTTAATTAATAACATTTTATTTCCCTTACTGACAAATGGTAACTCTAAAGGGCCAACTCAAGTATATTTCAAATTCCATGAAGACATTTATCTAAAAGCAAATTAATGATACTTTAAAACATCTTATTTTGCATGGTATTTTTTATTTTGTAATAACAATACATTTTTAAATTATAGACCACATTGAAGGATTTAAAATGTACATAAGTGGTATATAATTCTTCACATTCTATAATTCACTCTTTTACTTGATTTTTAAAAAGATTTATCCATGTTAACACACACACGCTTTATTTATTTTGAAATCCAAGTATTATTCTGTTAGATGAATGTACAATATTTATCTGTTTTCTAATTGATGTACATTTTACCTGCTCCATTTTCTATGATTTTAAATTATTCTGCAACTCTCCTTACTAATTTATATGAGCATTTTTTCATGGGGAACATCCAGGGGTAACAATTTCTGTGTCCCGAGATACATCAGCTTTACTATATACCAAACTAATCTCCAGAGAATCTGAACTATTTAACACTCCTGATAGGAGTATCTGAGAGTTTCTGTTTCTCTAACACTTGTTATTGTCAGATCATTTTTCAGTTTTGTTTTTCAGTTTCAGTTTTGCCAGCGACAGGTGTAAAAGTTCTTTTATGGTTTTAATTTGCTTCCCGTGATTACTAATATAGTTGAGCATGTTTTTGCTCATTTCTTGGCCATTTATATTTTTTTCTCCTGTGAATTACCTATTCATATCCTTTGGACATTTTGATTGGCAGTTGATACTTCTGTTTGTTATTCACATGGGCTGCAAATGTCTTCTCTTAGTATGTGACTAGTTTTTCACTTTGTCTATAGTTTCTTTTGTGCAAAAAGTTTAACTTATTGTGTTGCAAATATATCACAATCTTCCTTTCTTTCTCTCTCTCTCTCTCTCTCTTTCTTTTTCTTTTTTTTTTGGCGGAGTCTTGCTCTGTCACCCAGGCTAGAGTGCAGTGGTGTGATCTGGGCTTACTGCAAGCTCCACCTCATGGGTTCACGCCATTCTCCTGCCTCAGCCTCCCCAGTAGCTGGGACTACAGGCACCCGCCACCACGCCCAGCTAATATTTTTGTATTTTTTCAGTAGAGATGGTGTTTCACCGTGTTAGCCAGAATGGTCTCGATCTCCTGACCTCGTGATCCACCCGCCTCGGCCTCCCAAAGTGCTGTGTTTTCTTTCATAATTTGTGTTTTTTTGTGTCTGGAGTAAATAAATCCTTTCTTATCTGAAGGACATAAAGATGTTACTCTTTATTTTACTCAAAAAGTTTTAAAGGACCTAATTTAACTTTTTCCATATGGATAAACAATTATCCCAACACCGTTTACCTAACAGTTCATCTTTTTTCCTCATTTATTTGTAATGCTATGTCTGTCATACATTATTGTCATATATGAATGGATCAGTTTCTAGGCTTGTTATATTCTGTTGCTCTATTTATTAATCATGTACTGATATCTTTATTATTCATTTATTAAAATTTTTGTTATATGTTAGGTCAAGTTTATTATCCCAGTTGTTCAAATCATCATAGTGGTTTTTGGCCATGTGATCTTGCATTTGTAGTTTTTGAGTTCCACAAAAACCTCCCAAAGATTTCCTTATGTAAATTGTATTAGATTTTGAGATTAATCTGTGGTGCATCATCAAAGTTTTCCCAACAAACAATCATATGAACATAACTTTCCATTTATTCAGGCTTTTAAAAATCATCTCCAGTAATTTTTCACCTACAGTCTAACATTCTGTATAACTTTTTCTACTTTATAGAACATATTTTTATTGATTGATTTTTGTTAATTATTGGTGTATTCATTATCAGGAATGATACTGATTTTTGTATGCTGGTGAGTTTTAATAATCTGTCCACAGAATCCCTTAAATTTCCAATGTAGGTAATCATATGCTTAACAAATAAGGGGAGTTTTATCTCTTCCTTTGTGATTATTATTATTTCCCAGATTTATTTCCTTTTCTTTCTTACTGTAATCATTTTTGAACATTGTGTTGACCATTACCTTTTAGAAACCATAAGATTAGGCATCTTTTTCTTATTCCAGACTATATTAGTCCATTCTCACACTGCTGTAAAAAGACTACCCGAGACTGAGTAATTTATAAAATAAAGAGGTTTAACTGACTCACAGTTCTGCATGGCTGGGGAGGCCTCAGGAAACTTACAATTGTGACAGAAGACGAAGGATAGTTAAGGCACCTTCGTCACAAGGTGGCAGGAAGAAGAAGTGCCAAGTGAAAGGGGAAGAGCCCATTATAAAACCATCAGATCTTGTGAGAACTCACTCACTATCATGAGAACAGCATGGGGAAAACTGCCCCCATGATTCAATTACCTCTACCTGGTCTCTCCCTTGACATATGGAGAATATGGGGATTACAATTCAAGATGAGATTTGGGTGGGGACACAAAGTCTAACCATATCACTGACTTAATGGAAATGCTCATCATTTTCTTTTAGGTTTTTGATAGGTAACTTCAATAAAACTAGGAAAATTCTTTTTTATTGATAGTTTTCTTGCAATTTTTTAACAAAATATCATGAATGAATTTTAGAATTTGCTAAAGGAGTTTTCAGCATTTATCTTCATATGGTATATTTTCTTTGACTTGTTAATATGATATTTTGGAATAGTAGATTTTCTGAAGTTAAACTATTTTGTGTTCCAATATTATAATTAGTTATGGTGTATTGATTAACTGAAAGATAAATTTGGTTTGCTAGTAGTTTAGTAAGATAGTATCTTCAGATTTTTTGCATGCATTTGTATCAATATGTCTATTTTTAAAATATTCTCCTAATTACTGTAATATATCTAAACATTAGTCTAGTAGTATCTGTGCTTTTGCTGTTCTCCAAAATGGTAGGTGTAAAATAAACACGTCTGGCTCCCTCGAAAGCTTGGTAAAACTTATCTTCTCAGTTTAGTTTCTTTTGGGGTGGTTTTGTTCACCTTCTAGTCATGAGGTTGTGACTATGCCTATTCTGTATCTCAGCAGGAGCTATAAGCAACTCTAGGACTTCAAGTAGCAAACCTCATTTTGGTCCCCTTTCTTGAGGGTATATTTTAGATCCTGGAAACTTCTGCCTACTGAGAACCTAAAGTTAGGAAGTTAGGAAGGCCATATCATCATCTGCTCACAACTTTTCATTTCTTTTCTGTTAGTGGCCAAAAAAAGATTTTGCCTTTGCATTTGAGAAAGGCCATGTCCTTCTGACCTTATTTTATATTTTACCCATCTTTGATAAGTGTTTGGAACAAAGGGTGTTATCAAAATATGAAATTTTGTCATAGTTTTAATTAAGCACCTGTAAAACTTAGTTTTCTTTTTCAAATATTTGATAGCTAGACGTATTCGTTTCCCAGAACTGCTACAATAAAGTATAAACTGGACAGCTTAAAACAACAAAAACATATTATCTCACAATTATGAAGTCTCAAAGTCCAAAATCAGATTTTCTGAAAGATCATGCTCCCTCTGAAGCTTTCAGAAAGGAGTGCTTCTTTGCTCTTTTCTAGCTTTTGGTAGTTTGCGGGTAATCTTTAGTGTTCCTTGGCATTCCTTGGCTTGCATCTGCAGCACTTGAATCTCTGCCTGTTGTCACATGATGTTCTCTCTGTGTCTCTCCTCTCTTTTTATAAGGATGTCAATCATATTGGATTGTGGGTCCACCTACTGACTTCATTAAATATTTGTTATTATTATTATTATAATTTAAGTTCTGCGGTATATGTGCAGAACGTGCAGTTTTGTTACATAGGTATACATGTGGCATGGTGGTTTGCTGCACCCATCAACCCATCACCTATATTGGGTATTTCTCCTAATGCTATCCCTCCCCTAGCCGCCCACCCCCCAACAAGCCCCAGTGTTTGATGTTCCCCTCCCTGTGTTCATGTGTTCTCATTGTTCAACTCCCCCTTATAAGTAAGAACATGCAGTGTTTGATTTTCTGTTCTTGTGTTAGTTTGCTGAGAATGGTGGTTTCCAGCTTCATCCATGTCCCTGCAAGGACATGAACTCATTCATTTTTATGACTGATAGTATTCCATGGTGTATATGTGCCACATTTTCTTAATCCAGTCTATCATTGATGGGCATTTGGGTTGGTTCCAAGTCTTTGCTATTGTGAATAGTGCCACAATAAACATACATGTGCATGTGTCTTTACAGTAGAATGATTTATAATCCTTTGGGTATATATACCCAGTAATGGGATTTCTGGGTCAAATTGTATTTCTAGTTCTAGATCCTTGAGGAATCACCACAGTGACTTCCACAATGGTTGAACTAATTTACACTCCCACCCTGCAAAGACATTATTTCCAAATAAGTTCATATTCACAAATACTAAAGGTTAGGACTTTAACATATCTTTTTGGGAGACATACACTAATTCAACCCACAACTTTAGGCATATGCTGTGACTAATTATATCAATTATATTTTGAATTCAATATATATTGAATTTAATATATATTGAATTATTTGAATTCAATATTGAATGTTATATATAATCATATTTTTTAAACTTATGTGTGTCTTTGTATATCAAAATATACCCACAAACACACGCACAGAGATATGGTTATATGCATATTTGTAATTTTCTCTTCCCACCATATCAAACTTTGACATCCATTTGTTGAACTCTGACTTGCTTCCCTTAATTCTATTATACATAACACTGCTCCCTTTGTTTGAATTGAAGCTACTGTAATTCTGACTGATTAACCTAGTGAAAGGCAGTCAGGAGAAAGGTCCCAGTCTTCTTATTCTAATAGCAACAAAAAAGTGCCTTAAGAAAAACAATCTATCAATACAATTTCTAAATTATAATGAACAAAAATAGTATGGAGCTCTTTTAGATTGGTAAAATCTACCTCCCTGTAATTTGTGGCAATTTTTAGTTTAAAAAAATCAGGTGTTTGGTATTGATTAAAGAGGGAACAAAGCATAAAATCTCACCTGCAGTAACATGTCAAAATTTTGCTGTAAACTAACAATTCAGGGAATACAGCCACTCCAGGACACCCAACAGAAATGTGAAACAACTGGGAAGCAGGACTACTGCAAAGCATGGCTAAATGACCTAAAATGCATTTTGGAGTAGAGCATATGTGTGTATAGTATAAGATAACAAATTAGCTGTTTATAAATTAAAGATTCTGCATCATCCATAAATATTTATGGAGCACAGGTCATTTGCAAGGTCCACGTATTAAGTTCTTATGTAAGACATTATACTATTTTTTAAAGTATATCACCTGCGTTAAGAACTTGTATATGTAGAAAGGGGGAGATACAAAGTAATATGTGCAAGAAGGCCATTACATAATGGTAAAGGGATCAATTCAACAAGAAGAGCTAACTATCCTAAATATATATGCACCCAATACAGGAGCACCCAGATTCATAAAGCAAGTCCTTAGTGACCTACAAAGAGACTTAGACTCCCACACAATAATAATGGGAGACTTTAACACCCCACTGTTAACATTAGACAGATCAACGAGACAGAAAGTTAACAAGGATACCCAGGAATTGAACTCAGCTCTGCACCAAGCGGACCTAATAGACATCTACAGAACTCTGCACCCCAAATCAACAGAATATACATTTTTTTCAGCACCACACCACACCTATTCCAAAATTGACCACATAGTTGGAAGTAAAGCTCTCCTCAGCAAATGTAAAAGAACAGAAATTATAACAAACTGTCTCTCAGACCACAGTGCAATCAAACTAGAACTCAGGATTAAGAAACTCACTCAAAACCGCTCAACTACATGGAAACTGAACAACCTGCTCCTGAATGACTACTGGGTACATAACGAAATGAAGGCAGAAATAAAGATGTTCTTTGAAACCAACAAGAACAAAGACACAACATACCAGAATCTCTGGGACACATTCAAAGCAGTGTGTAGACGGAAATTTATAGCACTAAATGCCCACAAGAGAAAGCAGGAAAGATCCAAAATTGACACCCTAACATCACAATTAAAAGAACTAGAAAAGCAAGAGCAAACACATTCAAAAGCTAGCAGAAGGCAAGAAATAACTAAAATCAGAGCAGAACTGAAGGAAATAGAGACACAAAAAACCCTTCAAAAAATTAATGAATCCAGGAGCTGGTTTTTTGAAAGGATCAACAAAATTGATAGACCGCTAGCAAGACTAATAAAGAAGAAAAGAGAGAAGAATCAAATAGACGCAATAAAAAATGATAAAGGGGATATCACCACCGATCCTACAGAAATACAAACTACCATCAGAGAATACTACAAACACCTCTACGCAAATAAACTAGAAAATCTAGGAGAAATGGATAAATTCCTCGACACATACACCCTCCCAAGACTAAACCAGGAAGAAGTTGAATCTCTGAATAGACCAATAACAGGCTCTGAAATGGTGGCAGTAATCAATAATTTACCACCCAAAAAGAGTCCAGGACCAGATGGATTCACAGCCGAATTCTACCAGAGGTACAAGGAGGAACTGGTACCGTTCATTCTGAAACTATTCCAATCAATAGAAAAAGAGGGAATCCTCCCTAATTCATTTGATGAGGCCAGCGTCATCCTGATACCAAAGCCAGGCAGAGACACAACCAAAAAAGAGAATTTTAGACCAATAACCCTGATGAATATTGATGCAGAAATCCTCAGTAAAATACTGGCAAACCAAATCCAGCAGCACATCAAAAAGCTTATCCACCATGATCAAGTGGGCTTCATCCCTGGGATGCAAGGCTGGTTCAATATATGCAAATCAATAAATGTAATCCAGCATATAAACAGAACCAAAGACAAAAACCACATGATTATCTCAATAGATGCAGAAAAGGCCTTTGACAAAATTCAACAACCCTTCATGCTAAAAACTCTCAATAAATTAGGTATTGATGGGACGTATTTCAAAATAATAAGAGCTGTCTATGACAAACCCAGAGCCAATATCATACTGAATGGGCAAAAACTGGAAGCATTCCCTTTGAAAACTGGCACAAGACAGGGATGCCCTCTCTCACCACTCCTATTCAACATAGTGTTGGAAGTTCTGGCCAGGGCAATTAGGCAGGAGAAGGAAATAAAGGGTATTCAATTAGGAAAAGAGGAAGTCAAATTGTCCCTGTTTGCAGATGACATGATTGTATATCTAGAAAACCCCATTGTCTCAGCCCAAAATCTCCTTAAGCTGATAAGCAACTTCAGCAAAGTCTCAGCATACAAAATCAATGTACAAAAATCACAAGCATTCTTATACACCAATAAGAGACAAACAGAGAGCCAAATCATGAGTGATCTCCCATTCACAATTGCTTCAAAGAGAATAAAATACCTAGGAATCCAACTTACAAGGGATGTGAAGGACCTCTTCAAGGAGAACTACAAACCACTGCTCAATGAAATAAAAGAGGATACAAACAAATGGAAGAACTTTCCATGCTCATGGGTAGGAAGAATCAATATTGTGAAAATGGCCATACTGCCCAGGGTAATTTATAGATTCAATGCCATCCCCATCAAGCTACCAATGACTTTCTTCACAGAATTGGAAAAAAATACTTTAAAGTTCATATGGAACCAACAAAGAGCCCACATCGCCAAGTCAATTCTAAGCCAAAAGAACAAAGCTGGAGGCATCACGCTACCTGACTTCAAAGTATACTACAAGGCTACAGTAACCAAAACAGCATGGTACTGGTACCAAAACAGAGATATAGATCAATGGAACAGAACAGAGCCCTCAGAAACAACGCTGCATATCTACAACTATCTGATCTTTGACAAACCTGAGAAAAAGAAGCAATGGGGAAAGGATTCCCTATTTAATAAATGGTGCTGGGAAAACTGGCTAGCCATACGTAGAAAGCTGAAACTGGATCCCTTCCTTACACCTTATACAAAAATTAATTCAAGATGGATTAAAGACTTACATGTTAGACCTAAAACCATAAAATCCCTAGAAGAAAACCTAGGCAATACCATTCAGGACATAGGCATGGGCAAGGATTTCATGTTTAAAACACCAAAAGCAATGGCAACAAAAGCCAAAATTGACAAATGGGATCTAATTAAACTAAAGAGCTTCTGCACAGCAAAAGAAACTACCATCAGAGTCAACAGGCAACCTACAAAATGGGAGAAAATTTTCGCAACATACTCATCTGACAAAGGGCTAATATCCAGAATCTACAATGAACTCAAACAAATTTACAAGAAAAAGACAACCCCATCAAAAAGTGGGCGAAGGACATGAACAGACACTTCTCAAAAGAAGACATTTATGCAGCCAAAAAACATGAAAAAACGCTCATCATCACTGGCCATCAGAGAAATGCAAATCAAAACCACAATGAGATACCATCTCACACCAGTTAGAATGGAGATCATTAAAAAGTCAGGAAACAACAGGTGCTGGAGATGATGTGGAGAAATAGGAACACTTTTACACTGTTGGTGGGACTGTAAACTAGTTCAACCATTGTGGAAGTCAGTGTGGCGATTCCTCAGGGATCTAGAACTAGAAATACCATTTGACCCAGCCATCTCATTACTGGGTATATACCCAAAGGACTATAAATCATGCTGCTATAAAGACACATGCACACGTATGTTTATTGTGGCACTATTCACCATAGCAAAGACTTGGAACCAACCCAAATGTCCAACAATGATAGACTGGATTAAGAAAATGTGGCACATATACACCATGGAATACTATGCAGCCATAAAAAATGATGAGTTCATGTCTTTTGTAGGGACATGGATGAAATTGGAAATCATCATTCTCAGCAAACTATTGCAAGGACAAAAAACCAAACACCGCATGTTCTCATTCATAGGTGGGAATTGAACAATGAGAACACATGGACACAGGAAGGGGAACATCCCACTCTGGGGACTGTTGTGGGGTGGGGGGAGGGGGGAGGGATAGCATTAGGAGATATACCTAATGCTAAATGACGAGTTAATGGGTGCAGCACACCAGCATGGCACATGTATACATATGTAACTAACCTGCACATTGTGCACATGTACCCTAAAACTTAAAGTATAATAATAATAAAATAAATATTAAAAAAAACAAAGTAATATGTGCACATTACTTCAGTGATCAGCAAATTTGTACGTTATTTCTATGTTTTCATATGTGTCTCAACTATTGCTTTATTGATGTGACCAATAACTTAGTTTCACTAGTGATGTATAAAACATCAAAATCAAGAAATATCAAACTATGCTAGGGTTTCTTATTTTCTTCTAATGCTATTTTGTGGGTGTTCAATATATCTTTGTGTGGTAAAAGTAAAAGTCCTCTCAGAGGACAATACCCTCAGTCATTATCTTATGAAAATATGAGTCAACATAGGAGCAGTGCCCTATTTCAGATTGTGATTGATAGATAATAGTCAATTTGCTTTCACTTTTACCATAACAAAAGTGCTATTTCTCTGCTTCACCTGCTGGACGATGCCAGCTGGTTGGGAACCAAATCTCTAAAAGTACCAATTAAAATAAAAATAGCTAAATCTGGAATAAGTAATAAAGTACAGCTTTGGAACACTGTGAAAATATATAAGTGATCATTAGCAACACCTGCAGTCTACTTCACTTTGCTTATAATGACTCATTGACAATAGTCTAATGATAGCACAAAAGGCTGAAAAGTGGAAACCGAGAAACTTCAACTTTCTTAGTGATAATTAGACTCAATTTCTTATAATTTCTTTTTATACTAACTCGTTTAACTTATATTTATATCAAACAGCATCAACATATCTATCCTCAAATTTTTCCATTATTCAACTAAAATACTCTGTGATAAAAAGAGGTATTTTTAAAAATCAGTAAGTTACTTATTAAATCAATATCCTCATCTATAAAATGAGGAAATATGTCTAGCCGAGGACTGCACAGAGAGTGCCACTCTTTAATCCCACACCCAAGGTGGACATTGACTATGGAAGTTTTTCTGGTATGGATTATTCACAGCTTTTTCTATAAGGCTCTGATGTAGATTTTCTTGTTTCTTAAACCTATGATCTGAAAGAATAGTTATCTTCTGCTCTTTTCATATATTGAATATACTATGCTATAATGGGGATAAGATAATTGCAATGAGGATTATCATTTAGAAAAAGAAACAACGGAAGAAACAGATCAGTAAGTGGTATGTGGCAATGCAGAAATTGTCCAGGACCAGACATTGTGAAGATTCACTATCTTAGGGATGAGCATTTACACGATTAGACCTGAGTCTGCTCTCTGGGTCCTTGACCACTATCCATTATGGCCCTTGTCTTGCCTCCTGCAATAGTCTCCATTTTCTGTTATCTTGGTTGGATGTATTCGTAATGGATGTTGGAAAATATACCTTATTTATAGTCCATTTTATGATAACGCAAGAGTGGCAAATATAGTTGTAAGTCCCAAAAAGTTAAAAGAATTTGAGTAGAGGCTTATGATTTATTCAGGAATACAATTATTTCAAAAACTTAGTTCTATTTGCTTTCAGTCAGACTTGTAGCTGGTACAAACACTCATTTTTATTGTAATCATGTCTTTGAATGTGATTATTATTTCACAATCTTGATGAATATTTTCACTGTGTATAGAATTCTAGTATGGCAGTTCTTTCCTTTCAGCAAATTAAAACGATCATCTACTGATACCTGCCTTCCATTGTGAACATTGAGCAGTCAGCTGTCAATGTAACAATTCAAAGTAATCTATAAACCCACAGTTCTTGCTTTCATGATATTTTCTTAAGATTTTTCTCCCCTCTTTTATTCTATTTTTTAAAAAGATTTTGCAGTTTTACTAAATTGTAAAGTCAAGGATTCATACTGATTTTCTTATGTAAACTGTACTTTACAGTAATCAAATACTCAATGGGAAAAGTGTCTCCTTATAAAAAGATTCCAATTAATACATAAGGAAATAATAATAGAATTATAGTATATCCATTTTGTAACTTCTAATCTATGAATAGATGTAAACATTGACTAGTTCCTGTTACTATTGTTATTTAACAATAGTAACCAGTCCTTGGTAGATTTAAACAATCTTTTATTTTGCTCAGAATTTTGTGTTGGAAATTCAGGAAGAATTTCTGGCTGGGCATTTCTCTCTTGGGGTCTCTCAGGCAATTCTAAGTAAAGGTCAGCCAAGGCCACAGTGATCTGAAGACTCAACTGGACTGAATATCCAGGATGGTTGGTTTTCAAGGCTAAAAGATGCTGGCTCTCAACTGAGAGCTCTAATGGGATTGACTGGAATATCTACAAGTGGATTATCCAGCATAGCAATCTCAGAGTAATTAGACTTGTCATATCGCGGTTGTTCTCAACCTTGGAACTATTGACATATTCTTGTAGGGGGGTCTGTCCTGTGCATTGCAGGATGTTTAGCAGTATCCTTGCCTCTACCCACTAGATGGCAGTAGCACCACCCTCCCTATTGTCTCCAGACATTACTAAATGTCCCCAAAATGGGAGAGAGGATTAATCGCCCCAGAAAGGAAAAGATTGCCCTAGTGAGCATCCAAAAAGAGCCAGGGGAGCTGCATAATTTTTCTCTGATCTAGCTTCAAAAGTCTCACAGCATTATTTCCACTGTACTCTACTGGTTACAAGAAAATCACTAGAGTAAATTGAGATTTGAGGAGAATCTCTTAATGGTGGAGTGTCAAAAAATTTTGAATATGTTTTAAAATACCTACAAATGGTGAATGACATCAAAAAATGAAGAAAATACATGTGAATCTGATAAAACCTCTAGTTCTAACCGGAAATTTATAGAGAATACAGGGAATATACTAAATAATACACAGGGATTAATGAGCAAAATCCAGTTGTTCCAGGTGATGGGAAAATCTAAAAGTTCAAAGACCAAGTTTATCCAACAAATAAAATTCAAGTCGAAAAAGACTGAGGAAAAGCCTAGAGATTAAAACAGACTGAAGAGACATGTCAACCATTACAATGCATATATTTTATCTGAATTATGATTTCAACATTGTAAGGAAAAATTAGACAACCAGAGAATTTGAATACTGAGTGAATATTTGATAATATTAAGAAATATTGTTAAATTTTTTCCTATGTTAATGTTATTGAGTTTTTTTTTAAAAAAAGATTTATTTTACTTTGGAAACATTCTGAAATAATTGAGGCTGAAATAATATGATGTCTGGAATTTGTTTCAGAATAACACAGGGCTTGAGTAAGGGGATCAGGCATTTCTAATTTTTAAAATTCATATTTGGAAGATTGTCACAACTTTGTTCACTTTTCATTACTTTTACCAAATTGTTATATATATATAAAATTTTATTCAAATTATAAAATATATGCCCATGATAAAAATTTTTGACAATAGAGTACTCTTTTAGGGAAAAATAGCAATAACTTAAAACATAGAGAAAACCAACATTAAATTTTTCTATGCTTCCTTTTGGTCATGTTTCTATTCATAGACGTAATGGAAACATAATTCAGATCACATTGTATTTACCAATTTCTCAGTCAAAATTATATAGTGTACATTTTCCTATATTATTTAAATTTCTTCAATATTTCTCTGACAATAAAATTTTAATTGTGGACATGTAAGTCCTGCACAAACAACTTAAATCCAAAGTCTTTTTCTGAATATTTAAAAAATATATTGTAAATGAAAACTTATTTTCCCACTGCATCTACTCATGGGTTATGAATAGCATAGATTTAAAAATATTTTTTAAATCTCAAATCATTTATTTTAGAAGTTTTTAATTGTTTCTCTTAGATTTTCTATGTATAATTTGTATTTTTTTTCCATTTTTCCAATGATATGTCTTACTTCTTTTCTTTCTATGCTGGCAACATTTTCAACACATCATTAAATAATAATGATCCTGACAATTATATTTTTAAAAAGTATGTTCTCCAAAATTTAAAAAATCAATATCAGATAATATGAGTGCTTCCAAATCCAGGATGTCATTTCAGTTTTGTTCAGTCCTCAGAAGACACAGATTCACAGAAGTCTCTGGTGCAGAATAGCACCAAGAATTCTGGCATAACAATGGGCTATCTCTGTTCATAGGATCAGATTTCATTCAGTCATAATATTTGAGTCAATTCTAGGAGGATTAGAGATTGATCTCGAAGGCTTTAGGTTCAGAAAGTCTTTGGGGGTTTAATCTAATGATTGCTATCACTGATATAAAGATGGAGAGCTGAGATGAATTCAGAGACTGAGCTCAAAGCCTTTGAGGATATTGAAAGCTATAAGAGCCCACAACACAAATCCAAGGTTTGTAAATTATGGACATTTGAAAACAGTTTCTTATCCTGAGGTCAGATGGCAAAGAGAAAAACAATTACTGGCCGGGTGCGGTGGCTCACTCCTGTAATCCCAGCACTTTGGGAGGCCTCACTTGAGGTCAGGAGTTCAAGACCAGCCTGGGCAATATGGTGAAATCCTCTCTCTACTAAAAATAAAAAAATTAGCTGGGCGTGGTGGCACACACCTGTAGTCCCAGCTACTCGGGAGGCTGAGACAGAAGGATCACTTTAACCCAGGAGACAAAGGTCGCAGTGAGCCAAGATCGTGCCACCGTGCTCCAGCCTGGGTGACAGAACAAAACTCTATCTCAAAAAAAAAAAAAAAGACTGTAAAAAAATGATAAACTCTGAAGAAGCACAACTATGGCTCACAAATTAGTGATTCTGAACATTGAGGTAAGTAGCCAGCAATGGGCATATATTATAGAGACAGATGACACTTTTGCACATCATTAAAGGAAAAAGAACAGTCGTCACATATTTTTTCATTAGTCAAAGAAATGCTTTCGTATTAGTAAAAAACAAAAAAAAATTGTTCTGATCAGCCATTTTTGACGCCAGATATCTGATAAATTGAATACTAAACAAAGTACCATTTTTAAATTTATTTTATATAGAACAGAAGCTAAAAGCAGAAATTATAAAAGCTGTTACACCTACTCAGCTCTATTACATGTTGGAAAAACTGAACCAGAGAAACAATTACATACACTCTTGTCTTCTGGAAAAGCTGAATTGGGTTTTGGTCTGAATCAATAGGTGAGTTCTCAGTCTTCCCACCTTTTTTCCTTTTTTCTTTTTTATCATGTCCTACGACCTAATGCCAGAAAGAAAAAATAATTTTAGCCTGATTATGAAAGCTTGTATAATAAGTAAACTCTCAGTAACTGGAAGTGTATGAATCGGGTATGGATGATGATGACTAGCAACTTTGTTTAGAGGGAATTCAAACATCAGGAGGCTGATTGGGTTTTGTGATCTGTAGTGTGATAACCAATGCTGAGTTTCTTTTATTCTTTAAAATCATAAAGTAAATTTTCCTTATGTGTTACCATGTTCCAGTTATTAATAAAGAGTAACAAATGACTTTGGTCAGAACCAAAACTTATTGATGTAAAACAATAATTTTATTATACTTGTGAATTCTGTGGACGAGGTAATTTAAACATGGCATAGGGGACATGGCTTTTATCTTCTCCACAATTTCTGCTCCACAATTTCAGCTGTCTCGATAAAATAAAAAAAAAAGATTAATAATATTCTGTGATCACAATGCAAGGAAATAGAAACTAAATCAAAATAAATAATCAAATCCCCATCCAAAATGTCTGCAATTTTAACTCTCTGTGAAAGAACACTTAGACAAAAAGAGAAAAGAGCCCTGAAGTTACAGAATTTTTAGAACATACTTTTAATGAAAATACTATATATCAAAATATATAATTAAAGCAATTATTTAAATACAATACATAGCCTTACATAATTATTTTAATAAAAATGATAAGATAATATTTTCTAACACAAAAGTTTGAAAAGGAACTTTAAATTAAACAAAAGAAAGGACAAAGAGCAAAATTATACAGATAGAAGCCGAAATTAATCAGGTAGAAATTAGTAAAACAGCAAAAATAGTGATGGTTCATAAAAATATCCAGCAAAGTAAACAACTAGCTAACTTAATTTGAAAAAAAAAAAAAAAAAGAGAGCAAGCACAAATATACAAAATAAGAGGTAATGAGTGGGAAATAATCATTGAAACACATGCATCAGCACTAATACACATGTACTGTAAGTATGAGTATTTTTAAAATTCAAAATCTGAAACACTTCTGGTCTCAAGCATTTTAGGTAATGGATACTCAAGTTGATGACACCTTCTCCTTGTATTCTTACAAGGGGTCTCTCCTGGATCTGTTTTATAAGGCCACTAATTTTATCTATAAGGCCTCCACCCTCATGTCCTAATCACCTCCTAAAGGCCCTACTTCCTAATACCATCGTCTTGGGGTTTGGAATTTTAACATGTGAATTGGAGTGGGACACAAACATTCAGACCATGGCAAGTTCAAAACTAGTTATTGAAAATATGCAAATGATAAACATGGCTCAGTCCAATAAAGCTTTAAGTATAGGCACTAAAAATTTAATTTCTTAATAAAGCTTTTTATATGTCCCAAAATATTATTATTATTTTGATTTTTTCCAACCATTTAAAAATGGAAAAATCTCTTCTTATGTTATCCAAAAATAGACAGTGAGCCATAGTTTGCCAACCTCTGGCTTAACCATTCGGTGATTATTATTGCTGGATGGTAGACATCTATTTCCTATTAGATGAAAGACAAGAGAATCTAGTGTTTAGTCTTTTTGATAGTTTATTTTGAACTCAAATTAATTTACAAATTCTGTAGCCATTGGCAAGAACAACTTTTTGATGTGTGTAAAATCTGTTTTAATGTTTGTATTCGCTTTGACCTGCCTGTGACTGAAATTGTAGAACTGAAGCTATATGTTCTCTCTGCATCTGTTTGTCTCTCTTTATATCATTGTCTATACTCAAGCAATGCTTTACCTCTCATGGTTTTCCTGCCTCTGAAAGCTTTTAATAAACTATATTGTTTTATATTTTACATTAAAAGAACACTGATGGGATTGCTTTATGGAGAAAAATAAGTACTTAGATAAATAAATATTTTTTAAATTCCCAGAAAATAAGAAAATTCTACTATTTTAAATGAATTAGACTTTTAAAATCATCTCTCTTACAGAAATTTTTAGCACAGAAACATTTTGGAAAGTGAGACTAGTTTAAATTTTTAAATTTAAAAACAAACAGCTAGAAGCAGGCAGAGCAAGAAAGCTTCAGTGATTATCTCCCCCTGGAAGAACACCAAATTGAACTATCCACACAAGGAAGCACTTTCATAAGAACCAAAAATCAGGTGAACGATGATCATAATACCTGGTTTTAACATCACATCAGGGAAAGAGGCACTAAAGAGGGTAGGAAAAAACAGTCTCGAATTGTCGACACCATCCCTCACCAGTTTCCTGCAGCAGCCACATGATGCAGAGAGAGAATCTGTGTTTGGGGAAGGGAGAGTGCAGTAATTGTGGACCTTGAATTGAAACTCAGTGCTGTCTGTCACAGTGGAAAGCAACACAAGGTAGAATTCCGCTGGTATCCAGAGAGGGAGCATTTAGACCAGCCCTAATGAGATAGAAATCATCCATCCCAGTGGTCAGAACCTGAATTCCAGGAAGCCTTTCCTCCATGGGCTAAAGTGCTCTGGGGTCCCAAATCAACTAGAAAGGCCACAAGAACTGTAATCCTGGGCAAGTCCTGGTGCTATGCTGGGCTCGGAGCCAGTGGAATTGGGGTACTTGTGAACTAGTGAAACCCCAGATGTGGTAGCCGAATGAGTGTTTGCATCACCCCTTCACTAACCCCAGGCAATACAGCTCACAGATCTGGGAGAGACTCCCTTGCTTAGCTTGAGGAAAGGAGAGGGAAGAGTAAAGAGGACTTTATCTTGCAATCTGGATACCAGGCTACCCACAGTGGTATAAGGCCCCAAGCCTGATGCCCCCATTCCAGGCCCTAGCCTCCCAGGCAACATTTCTAGAAACACAGTGAGCTGGAAGAGAACCCACTGACTTGAAGGGAAGGACCCGGTTTTGGCAAGATTCATTACCTGTTGACTAAAGAGACCTTGAGCCTTGAATAAAAATTAGCAATAACCAGGCAGTACTACCATGGGCCTTGGGTGAGACCCAGTGCTGTGCTGGCTTCAGGAGTGAGCCAGCACATTCCCAGCTGTGGTGGCCACAGAAAGAGTCCTTCTGCTTGTGAATAGGAGAGGGAAAGGTAAACGAGACTGTCTTGCAGCTTGGGTAAGAGCTTGGCCACAGTAAGCTAGAGAACCAAGAAGACTCCTGGGGTTCCCAATTCCATGCCTTGGCTCCTAGGTGGTCACTATCTGGACCTACCTAGAGGTGGAGGCTAGAGGGGAGCTCACTGCACTGAAGGGAGAGAGCCAGGCCGAGCAGCATTCATCACAAGCTGACTGAAAAGCCCTTGGGCCTTGAGTGAAAGACAAGCATTAAATGTTTATTATCTACAGATAACAGATAACATGCTGTAGATGATTTTTTATGTATTCTAATGTGTGCCTGAAGGCTCTCCTATAAATTACAGACCGGAGTTTTTGTCTTCACAAAGGGCAGTCTGAGAGCCTGATAGAATGGACTGTACAAGATACAGTAAGCCCCCATCTGCAGTTTCACTTTCCATGGTTTTGGTTACCTATGGTCCATCACAATCCAAAAATATTAAATGGAAAATCCCAGAAATAAACAATTCATAAGTTTTAAATTGTGCACCATTCTGAGTAAGGTGATGAAATTTTATACCATCCAGTTCTATCCAGGCCTGGACATGAATCACCCGTTTGCTCATGCTCAATGTATCTATGCTGTAGATACTACCAACCAGTTAGTCACTTAGTAGCAATCTTCGTTTATCAGTTTAACTGTTGTGGTATATCAGTGCTTCTGTTCAAATAACCCCTATTTTACTTAGTAATGAATCCAAAGTGCAACAGTAGTGATGCTGGCAATTTGGATACGGAAAAGGAAAGCAGTAAATTGCTTCCTTTCAGTGAAAAAGTGACAGTTCTCCACTAAATTAGGAAAAAAACATAGTGTATATAAGGTTTGATATTTTTCATGGTTCTAGGCATCAACTAGGTGTCTTGGAATGGCCCTCGAGGCTAAGGGAGGACTATCGTACTCCAAGTGATACTTCAAAGAATAGACTCTTGGGCGCAAACTCTTGAGCTGGCATTGCTTAGATAACTTTCAGACCACACCATTGACTGAGTCAGGATTTCCAGAACTCTTTTTAGTATACAGGTAAAAGACTTCATGAAATCAGACCACTGAACCAAATTTAGCAAACAAGAATTAATTAAATAGCACAGCGGTCCCCAAACTTTTTGGCACCAGGGACCAGTTTTGTGGAAGACAGTTTTTCGATGGGCTAAGGGAAAGGTGGAGGGATGGTTTCGGGATGAAACTGTTTCACTTCAGATCATCAGGCATTAGTTAGATTCTCATAAGCAAGCAGCCCAACCTAGATCCCTCGCAAGTGCAGTTCACAATAGTGTTTGTGCTCCTATGAGAATCTAATGTTGCCGCTGATCTAACAGGAGGCAGAGCTCAGGTGGTAATGCTTGCTTGCCTGCTGCTCATCTTTCTGCTGTGTGGCCTGGTTCTTAGCGGTCACAGGGTGGCCTGGGGCTAGGGACCCCTGAAATAGCACTCATCGAACTGACTAGAAAAATTTTTTTCTAGTTATTTGTTTAAAATATTGTTGGTGCCATTTTTTTTCTAGTTATTTGAGATATTGTTGGTGCCATTTTAATGCTCTATTTTTTATGGCTATATAAGGAAATCCTGTCTTTTCTTGAGTGACCTTTAAGGCTTAAATTAATAGATTGCTTTATAAATAAAAATGAAACATTTTAAACTTACATCTGCTTCTCAGTGAAACCCAGAATTCAGATACCCTTTGTGCTTCATGGCAATAGAGTCATTTGTATAGATTTTGTAAACAGAAGTTCTCTACATCAGAATTTGAGGGAAAGAGACTTTGTGACAGTGAACAGTTTGCAAAGTGGGAAGATACAGAGTGTATTCCAGAGAACAGAGGGTTTGGGTTTTTTTTTTAATTGCTTTTTGTAGAGCAATTTACAAAAAATTGTTTGGGGGGTCTCACTATGTTGCCTCGGCTGGCCTCAAACTCCTCGCCTCAACCCATCTTCCTGCCTCAACATCCCAAAGTGGTGGGATTACAGGCAGAAGTCACTGTTCCTGGCCAGGGTTTGGATTTTATAGCAAAAGCTCTCATTTGGGTTCCCAATCAGGTTCATTTATGCAGATAAAGGATTCAAGTTTACTTAGTTGTGATTGGTCAATATAGCTGAGTTCTGATTGGGCAATTCATCTCAGCTGTAACTGGTTGATACAGCAGAGCTCTGAAAACTCCCAGATTTAAAGAGGTGCGGGTTTAGCGGGAAGTCAGAGTGTGTGTGTGTCCTGTAGTCGGGAAGTGGCTGCTTGGCTCTATTTTAAATTTAGGCCCAGTTAGCTACTTGGAATCCATCTTGAGGGATTTGCTCTTTCAAGCTCACTTTTGTTCACAGATTGAAACAGAATCTTTCCTCCTTTTAATCCAGAATATAATTGCACAAATTTCTTATGTAACCACGATCTTACTTTTGGTGGCATATTTGAGACAAATTCTCATTCAATCAGTTATGATGAACCACTATTAAAGAACAAAGTTGACTTAATACATAGATGTATGGCTTAAAAAGACCTCCTATGAAAACTGACATGATGCCTGACTAATGCATTCCCAGTCTTATACATAGTAAGGAAGGTGAGCTCTTACCAGGCTGGTAGGTTTAGCAAATCTTGGGAACCTCACAGAAATGGAAATTCCTTTAAATGGTAGAGGTTACAGGTGAAGTTCGGTGGAGAAAGTTTTTGGGGGTTTGATTTACTAGCCCTGTAATACCTGCAACACCAAAAACAGAGGCTTTTAAAAGTCCTATCTGAAATTTCTTATGGAAAATTTCAAACAAATGTTAATTCTGTAGCTTTAGTGGTTGCTTGATACCATATGCCTGTATTTTTGCAAAGCAACTCAAGGAGGCCTTGTATGTTTAGTTATTATTCTTGCTTCACTTATGTGAACCATTATCACAAACCTGAATGAAACAAGCCTTTTTGTGAATAAGAATAACCTCGAGAAAGAGAGATATTATTTATGATCATAAGGGGAGTAGAGTGACTGCCAGGAAGAATTGTGGATAAATTTTTAAATGTCACAGAAGAAACGACTAAATGTCCTTTCAATGGGATGCTGGGCATTACGTAACCAGTCCTCTGGGAATTGTGTAATTCCATGATTTGTGCATGTTTGGTTATCTTTAGATGGGTGTCACTTGTTTCTTGCTCATAGTAATGCAAGTGGTTCATTTTCATGAAAAAGAAAATGAATTTTGACAGGCAAAGATATCTATATATAGATATATTTAACATATGTAATAAATTTAGCATATATATACAAATTTAACATATATGTTAAATTTACTATATTAGATATATAACATATATTAAGATATCTATAACATAGGTATCCTATATATTAATATACATATCTTAATATCTAATATAGATTAACATATATCTTAATATATTATACATCTATTATATATATTTTATATAATATATAAATAAATATTTAATAGATAATCTTTTATCTTTTATCAGAAGTTTTCCTTCAAAAGACACAACAGAAAAAGTGTTACAATTATAATTTTGGAACATATTAGTGCAACACATATGACTGACGATTATTGCATCCAGAATATAATATATAAAGAACCACTGTGAAGCCCTAAGAAAACAACAGCCTCAAAAGTCATTTTATTTATTAGGTATTTGAGGTATGACAATATTACTCCCAAACTCAGCAACTATAAAACAGTAAATACTCATTATCTCACAGATTCCATGGATCAGAAAGTCAGGTGGGTACCTCTGACCCAGGGTCTCTCACAAAGCTGCCATCAAGGTGTCAGGAGATGCTGTAGTCTCCTTCGCAGGCTCTGCTAGGGGAGGATCCACTGTCATGCTATCTCATACGGTGGTTGACAGAATTTAGTTCTTGCCAGCCCATTGAACTGAGAGCCTCAATTCCTTGCAGCTATTGGCCAGAGCCCTCCCTCAGTTTCTTATCTTGTGGGCCTCTCCATATGGTAGCTCACAACCTGAGTCCTGGATTCTCGCAATGTGAGTCCATGAAAGGGTGAGAGAGAGGAAACGGAAGCCACAGTCTTCTGGTAACCTAATCTCAGAAATGACATCTCATCATTTTCTGCCTTGTTCTATTTCTCATATGCAAATCACTAGGTCTAAGTGCTCACTCAAAGGGAAGAGATTACACAAGGAGGCAAAGATCACCGGGGTCCATGTTAGAGGCTGCCTATACCGGTCAAGAGTAGAAATTTATAGAACAAGAAACACAGAGTACATAAACCTATTAAAAAATGTTTAACCTTCTTAATAATAAAGAAAATGCAAACTAAGACCACAATTTCACAATCACTAGTTTCATTTTTAAAAGTAGAAGTCTGACAATACTATATGTTAGCAAGAATTTGCAGAAATGAGGAAGTGATGGGAATGTAAACTGATACTATTTTAGAAAGTAATTTCTCATCACTTAGTAAAGTTCCACTGACTCATAATCTGACTCAGTAATTCTTCTCCCACATATATAGTCTAGAGAAATTGCACGTGAACATCAGATGTTCAAAATGTTCTTAAACACATTGTTCATAATAGCAAAAAACAATTAGAAGCTTAAATAAATAAATGAGTGATGGCAGATTAATACAACAGAGTACAGTACTCAAAACTGCATATATCAATAAATATTTGTGAGGAAATAAAGTCACAGAAAAGAAATATAGTATGATCCAATATAAATGTTCAAAAAAGGAAAAGCTAAGTAATATCTACTTTAGGAATGCATTTACAGTATCTATGGCTACACTATAAAGAAAAGCAAATTAATGTGATTATACAAAGTTCAAACTGCTCGTTCTATGTGTGTGGGAGGGAGGGAGATGTTATGGAAATAGGCTCATAAGAGGCTTTAACTTTTTCTTCAGCTGAGTGATACATACATGAGTATTCATTTATTATTTGGTTATTACTTCTAAACCACACACTTACATCGTATACATTTTCAATGACATGTTTTGCATTTTTAACTAAAATTGATGAATTTCTTTGACATGAAGAATATTGTATATGTCACAGCATCCAGTAAGGATTAACCAAAGCAAGTCATGACTGCATTATACTAATGGAAAAGCATCTCTATAAGGACTTTGTTATAAGGACCCATCAAAGATTGATTCAATAGCTGTTCATATTTTCATGAATGCATTCCCTGAATATAATGGGAATATTCCTGTATTATAGTCACCCTTATTGCTCGTCTTCAACTGTTTTTAGTATGTTAAATATTTCTTTTGTTAAGGAGAGTATACTGATGTTATGTTTCCTAAACTACTTTCTCTAAAGAAGGGAATAAGTAATTAAAGTAACATGATTATCTGAATTTAATATCACATCAATGAACCCCACTTCAGTTCTCTCAATAGTATCTAGTGTTTTTAAATAATCAATTTACGAGAAACAAAAAATGAATGACAGGATTCAAATACGCAAAAACTTAAATGAAACAAGGGAATTCTTCAAGATGTGTTATACACATACTATTTATTCAAATAAATTAGCTTGTGTTAAAAGTAAAATCTTGAAAATAATAATACGGTGTCAGAGCAAATATTATTAAATTAATTACATAAACCAGCACCATGTTTAACTTAGCAAAATATTAGGTCTAAATTATTTGCCTCCAGTGACCCCTGAAAAGGGTTTATATTTGTGGTTTGAATATAAGAAACTTAGAAATGCTAATCATTCCATCTGGAAATTAAAATCTTAAACTGCTAGATTAATGAGTGTTTTCAATGAACTCTAACATGCAGAATAGTAAAGACAGGAATTTGTTTTGATGAAAATAATTAGAATTTTTTAAAAACATTTTCAATACTGAGATTGGATAAATCAAACATGATGCAGTATAATTTAGAAATACATCAATCTTCATTATAAAACAGAATGAAGCTAAATTAATTAAATGATGTTACTAAAAGGAATTTAATTTTTTTTCACAAGTTTGTAAACTTAAAAATGAAGCAACACCAATATATTGAACTTGTTTTCCTTTAAAAACACATTTCTAAATTTACAGCTTTCCTACTGCTTAAGATTGATAAGCAGTAAAACATGGGGTGCATTATGTAGAGACTTTTTACCTTTTTTGTAAAATATTACATACTCCAAACTCTTGTATTAGTCAACCTAACGATTGTTCAGGTTTCATGCAGAACTATGGTCAACTTTCTATATGAGCACAGTGCAAAGCATTTGACTTTCAAAATGTTTTAAACGTTTGATAACTACTTAAAATCTTAAATGGAATTATCTCCAATATCATGTATGTATTGGAGAACACGAAAAAGACATCTTATTCTTTTGTATATAATAAGCTTGGGACTTGAGGGGTGAATAAGACTTACCTGATCCCTTTGCTTAAAGATCACAGTATATTAGGAAGAAAAAAAGACATATCATCAGGCAATCACTTATAATTGTGATTAGTGCAATTGAGAAAGAATAAAGTTGCTCCATACTATATAAAACTATAATTGATGATGCCCAACTTAACCTGGGGAATCCCAGGAGGAAGCTCAGAGTAAAAGAGCAGAAAAAATAAAGGAAAAAGGGATGTCATGGAGAGGGGGAATGTCTCAGGTGGGAAGCATCATGACCTTTCAGGAACTTGAAAGACAGACATGTGACTGGGACACAGAAATATGGAAGAGGGGAATAAAAGGAGGAGGTGGGGAAAGGGAACAGAGTTTGGTTCCTTTTTCCATTTTCAGTCACTATCCTGGTGAGATGCAGGTTACCTTTCCCTTAAGTGCTGTACCCACCTCCTCCAAAATGTTTCTGCTTAAATTCAAACTGCACACAGCTCCCAGAATATGTTTTTCTTAGGCTTATTGCCATTGTGATAATTTATAGTGAAATATTGTACATTGTAATATACTTAATAATGCACATTGGGAGAATATGTAAGAAGTCATTAGCCCCGCTTGATCTTGCTTTCGTGTCCTGCCTCACAAATCTCACTAACTTGAATGTAAATGAGTTAAAAGGCCCACGTAAAAGACACAGAGTGGCAGGTTGCATAAAAAAGCAAGACTCTGTTGGGCGTGGTGGCTCATGCCTGTAATCCCGGCACTTTGGGAGGCCGAGGTGGATAGATGACGAGGTCAGGAGATCGAGACCATCCTGGCTAACACGGTGAAACCCCATCTCTACTAGAAATACAAGAAGTTAGCCGGGCATGGTGGCAGGCACCTGTAGTCCCAGCTACTCGGGAAGCTGAGGCAGGAGATTGGTGTGAACCCGGGAGGTGGAGCTTGCAGTGAGCAGAGATCACGCCACTGCACTCCAGCCTGGGCGACAGAGCGAGACTCCATCTAAAAAACAAACAAACAAACAAACAAAAAACCAAGACTCAGCCATATGCTGTCTTCAAGACACTATTCTCACATGCAATGACACCCATAGGCTAAAAGTAAAGTAATGGAGAAAGATCTGTCAAGAAAATGGAAAACAGAAAAGAGAAGAGGTTGCTATTCTTTCGGACAAAACAGACTTTAAATCAACAATGATGAAGAAGGAGAAAGAAGGGCATTGCATGATGATAAAGGATTCAATTCAACAAGAAGACTTAACTATCCTAAAGATATAAGCACCCAACACTGGAGCACCCAGATTTAAAACAAGTTCTTAGAGATCTATGAAGAGATTTAGATAACCATACAATAACAGTGGGAGACTTCAACATCCCACTTACAGTGTTAGAAAGATCATTGAGGCAGAAAACTAACAAAAATATTCAGAATCTAAGCTTGACACTTGACCAAATGGATTTAACAGACATCTACAGAACACTCCACTCAACAACAACAGAATATACATTCTCATCTGCACATGGCATATACGTTAAGATTGCCCACACACTCGACCCTAAAGCAATTCTCAAAAAAATTTTTTAAAAACTGAAATTATTTATTGATTTGTGTATGAACCAACCTTCCATCCCAGGCATAAACCCTACTTGATGGTGATGGATTAGCTTCTTGATGGGCTGCTGGATTTGGTTTGTAAGTATTTTGTTGAGAATTTTTGCATAAATGTTCGTCAAGGAAATTGGTATGAGGTTTTCTTTTTTTATTGTGTCTCTGGCAGGTTTTGGTATCGGTACGATGCTAGCCTCATAGAATGAGTTGGGGAGGAGTCTGTCCTTCTCAATTTTTTGGAATAGTTTTAGTGGGAACGATGCTAGCTTTTCTTTGTAAATCTGGTAGAATTTGGCTGTGAATCCATCTGGTTGGGCTTTTTGTGACTGGTAGGCTACTTATTACTGATCCCATTTTGGAGCTAATTATTGGTCTGTTTATGGAATCAATTTCTTCCTGTCTCAGTCTTGCGAGGGTGTATGTGTCCAGGAATTCATCCATCTCTTCTAGGGTTTCTAGTTTATGTGCATCAGAGTAGTCTCTGATCATTCTTTGTATTTCTGTGGGGTCTGTGATAACATCCCCTTCATAATTTCTAATTGTGTTCAATGAAGTATTCTTTCTTTTCTTTATTAGTCTAGCCAGCAGCCTATCTATCATTAATTGCTTTTTAAGCAAACTCCTGGATTCATTAATCTTTGGAAATGCTTTTTGTGTATTGATCTCCTTCAGTTCAGCTCTGATTTTTGTTATTTCTTTTATTGTGCTAGATTTGGAGTTGATTTGCTATTGCTTCTCTAGTTCTTTTAGTTGTAATGTTAAGTTGTTAATTTGAAATCTTTCTAACTTTTTAATGTGGGTGTTTAGTGCTATAGATTTCCCTCTTAACAAGGCTTAGCTGTGTCCCAGAGATTCTAGTATGTTCTAGATTTTTTTTTCTTTGGTGTCAAAGAACTCCTTGATTTCTGCCTAGGAATATAGCCAGCCAGGAAGGTGAAAGATCTCTTTAATGGGAATTACAAAACACTGCTCAAAGAAATCAAAGATGACACAAAGAAATGGAAAAACATTTCATGCTTATGGTTAAGAAGAATCAATATTATTAAAAATGGCCATACTACCCAAAACAATTTACAGATTCAGTGCTATTCCTATCAAACTACCAATGACATTCTTCACAAAGCTTGAAAAAAACACAACTATCCTGAAATTTATATGCAACCAAAAAAGGGCAAAAATCGCCAAAACAATCCTAAGCAAAAAGAACAAAGCTGAAGGCGCTACATTACCCAACTTCAAACGTTCCTACAGGGCTGCAGTAAACAAAACATCAGGGTACAAAAGAAGACATACAGACAAATGGGACAGTTTTAAGAACCCAGAATAAAAGCTATACACCTACAATCATCTGATCTCTGACAAAGTCAACACAAATAAGCAATGGGAAAAAGACTTCCTATTCAATAAATGGTGCTGGGATAACTGGCCAGCCATATGCAGAAGACTAAAACTGGACCACTTCCTCACATCATATACAAAAATCCACTCAAGTTGGATTAGAGACTTAAATGTAAAACCCAAAACCATAAAAACCCTTGGAGACAACATAAGCAATACCATTCTGGACACAGGAACTGGTAAAGACTATATAGAACAAAGATGCCAAAAGCAATCGCAATAAAAGCAAAAATTGACAAAGGGCATCTAATTAAACTTAAGAGCTTCTGCACAGCAAATTAAACTTATCAGCAGAGTAAACAGTACAGAATGGGAGAAAATATTTGCAAACTATGTATCTGACAAAGGTCTAATATCCACAAATTTACAAGAAAAAAAACAACCCCATTAAAAAGTGGACAAAAGACATGGACAGACACTTTTCAAAAGAAGAAATACATGCAGCCAACAATATGAAAGAAAGCTCAATGTCACTGATCATCAAAGAAATGCAAATCAAAAACACAATGAAATACCATCTCACAACAGTCAGAAAGGCTATTACTAAGAAGTCAAAAAATAACAGATGCAGAGGTTGTCGAGAAAAGGGCACACTTATACACTGTTGCGGAAGTGGCAATTAGTTCAGCCATTGTAGAAAGCAGTGTGGTGATTCCTCAAAGAGCTAAAAACAGAACTACCATTCAACCTAGCAATCTCATTACTGGGTGTATACTCAAAGGAATAGAAATTGTTCTACCAGCACTACTAACAATAGCAAAACATGGAATCAATCTAAATGCCCATCAATGGCAGATTGGATAAAAAATAAATGTTAATATATATACACCATGAATACTATACAGCCATAAAAAAGAATAAGATCATGTCCTTTGCGGGAACATGGATGGAGGTGCAGGCCATTATTTTTAGGAAACTAATACAGTAACAGAAAACCAAATATTGCATGTTCTCACTTACAAGTGGGAGCTAAATGATAAGGACACATGGACACAAAGAGGGCAATAGTAGACACTGGGTCCTACTTGAGGTGGAGGGTCAAAGGAAGGAAAGTATCAGAAAAAACTAGCTATTGGGTAGTAGGCTTAGTACCCGGGTGATGAAATAATCTGTACAATAAATCCCCATGACACAAGTTTACCTCTATAACAAACCTGCACATGCACTCCTGAACCTAAAATGAAAGTTTAAAAAAGTGTGATACATATACACCATAGAATGCCACAAAGCCATAAAAAAGAATGAAATCATGCCCTTTGTTCCAATATGGATGCACCTGGAGGCCATTATCCTAAGAGAATTAACACAGGAGCAGAAAACCACATACAGCATGTGTTCTCACTTACAGCTGGGAACTAAACTTTGAGAACACATGGAACCAAAGAGGAGAACAACAGACACAGGAGTTTACTTGAGGTTGTAGGGTAGCAGAAGGGTAAGGATCAAAAAACTACCTGTCAGGTACTATGCTCACTACCCAGGTGATGAAAAAATTGTACACGAAATCCCAGTGACATGAAATTTACCCATGTGACAAACCTGCACTTCTATCCCCTGCACCTAAAATAAAAGTTGGAAGAAAAAATTTAAAATAAAAATAAAATAGAAAAAAAGTAATGTGAGAACAACTTAACCATCCATTGAAGAATGAATTGGAAAACAAAATGTGGTATATACATACAATTAAATATTATTTAGACTTAAAATAGAAGGAAATTCTGACACATGCTAGAACATAGATTAACCTTGAAGACATTATGCTTACTAAAGTAAGCCAGTCACAAAAAGGAAAATATTGTATGATTTTACTAACATGAGGTTTCTAGAGTTGTCAAATGCGTAGACACAGTAAGTAGAATGGTAGTTACCAGGGACTAGTGAGGGAGAGATACTGGAGAGTTAAGCATTTGATTGGTACAGAATTTCAATTGGGGAAGATGAAAAAGTTTTGGATAGATGGTGGTGATGGTTTCAACATTATGAATATATTTAATGTCACAGAAACATATACTTAAATTGTTTGAAATGTTAACTTTTGTGTTATGTGTATTTTATCACAATAAAAAAATGTGTTTCATTCTGAATATATTTGGAAAGTAGAGTCCCAATCTGAAGGATTTTATGGGAGTATGAAAAAGAGGTTTGGGGTTAGGGCAAATAAAATTAATAGAGAAGTCAGCAAGAATTGGAGATTTGAGGTGAAAATCAGATGTTGTGTTGTGAGATTTTGTTGAGATTCAAGTGAAATGAACAACTGGATTGTTGTAATTGATTGCTAACTGCTTTTCCAGCTTCTGCTCTGGCCTTAAGGTCTAATCTCAAAACAACAAAAGAGCAAACCTTATAAATTTAAGTCAGAATGTTTACATCAATACTGAAAATCTCCACTAGACCCCCCACCTCATCCACAGTAAAATGCAAAGCTTTAAAGCAGGTCTGCAAGGCTCTGCATGACCTGTCTCCATGTGCCCTCTAACTCTTCACATCACTCACTGCTCTCCAGTCACACCTGACCTCCTCTAGTTTTTCTTGATTACCCCACATATGGTCTCACCTGAGGACTCTTATACTGGCTGTCTCCTCTGCCTGGAATGTTCCCCCCGCCCCCCAATCCCCCTGCAGCTATTGGCTTGTCTATACATCCTTCAGATCTTTCTATTTAGCAGTCTTATTAGTGAGGTCTCACCTGACAGAATATACAATGAAAAGCCTCCCCTTCCTTGTGCCCGGACCTGCTTTATTTTTTGATCTACTACTTACTACCAGATGGCGTATCATTTATTTACATGTTTATTTACTTATTTTCCCTC
Source organism: Homo sapiens (assembly GCF_000001405.40). Lineage (NCBI taxonomy): Eukaryota > Metazoa > Chordata > Mammalia > Primates > Hominidae > Homo > Homo sapiens. The sequence goes on from NC_000003.12 coordinate 148,327,506, forward strand.
ATAGAGTTTAAGCTCCATAAAGGAAGAGATCTTCTATTTAGTTCACTCACTTATCTCCAATGCATAAAAGAGTATCATATGTGACATCTGATAGCTTCTTTATACATTTGTTAAATAAGTAAATGAATGAGCTTTTTCTGACCACTCTAGGGATGTTTTCAGAACTGATTGTGTACTGCTCTTAATTTGTAGTAAAGAACTGGGACTGCTTGCCTATCTACAGTTTTCTTTAATTATTTATTATATCGTCCTAAATATACTGTATTACTGATTTTACACCTAAGATATGAAACAAGCAGTAGGTATTTACATTTTCAATTGTCCCATAAATGTAACTTTTTACAGTTTTGTTTGAATCAGGATTTAAACAAGGCCCTCACATTGACATTGCTTAATAGGAATTTTAAACATTCCCCTGGATTATTTTTTCTTTTTTTTGGAGGTGGGGGGTGTGGTCAGGGGGCTTACAATGTTGTTGTTGTTGTTGTTGAAGAAACTAGGTCATTTGCTTATTGAGTTTTCCACAGTTTGAATTTCACTGATTTCACCCTCATCGTGATGTTTAAAATGTTGCTCTGTCCCCTGTACTTCCTATAAATGTGTTTAAAAGGCCAGGAGTGGTGGCTCACACCTGTAATCCCAGCATTTGGGAGGCCGAAGTGGGTGCATCACCTGAGGTCAGGAGTTCGAGACTAGCCTGGCCAACATGGTGAAACCCCGTCTCTACTAAAAATACAAAAAATTAGCTGAGTGTGGTGGGGGGTGCCTGTAATCTCAGCTACTTGGGAGGCTGAGGCAAGAGAATCGCTTGAACCCAGGAGGTGGAGGTTGCAGTGAGCCAAAATCGTGCCACTGCACTCCAGCCTGGGCGACAAGAGAAAAACTCCCTCTCAAAAAGCAAACAAACAAACAAATAAAGAAATAAATGTGTTTAAATGTGTTGTTGAGTTGTGACTCAAGGTTTAGACTCAGAGTCTAATTATTATTATTGTTATTTTTGGCAATACCACTTCAGTGGTGGTTAAGTGTTCTATCAGCCAGCACTCAATATTTGGTTGTCTCACTTTCCAAAATAGGTGTTTTTGTTAATGAAATAAATCATTACAGATTCAGTTTATGTGTTCTTTTTTTCCCTCCTTTATTCTTTGGCTGTGTTTCCTTTGTTGGGAATATATTCTTCCCATCCAGGTTTTCATGCTTTAATAATATAGTTATGCATACATAAATAACCTCTTTTATATCAACACAATAACATTTATGTTACTATAAATGGTATCATATTTTATATTGGATACTAAAACTTACTTTTCCCACTGAAAGTTTTTCTCTCAATTATTCAAGTTAAAACATGTTTCTATTTTATCTATTTTAATAGGCATTCAGTATTCCATAATATGAATATGTTATGATATATTTGTTTCCCATTGAATTAATGCTACAATATTTTTGTAGGTACCTGTGTATAGATATAGAATTACTCAGTCCTATAGGAGACATATTTTAAACTTTACTATATCCTGCCAAATTGTTTCCCAGTTCCTGATAACATTTCAAACACCCATCAGCATTGTTTTCCCAAATGCACAGCAACACTTGGCATTGTTAGATTTTAAATTTTTGCCAATCTGATATTTGTCAAATCCTTAACATTTTTGTTTTCCTTTGCATTTCCCTACTAATGAGTTGAAGCATCTTGATATGTTTGTCGGGTTCAGGGTTCTTTTTCTGTAAGTGATCTGTTCATACTATTTTTATCTGAGTTAATTTTTTAAAAATTAATTTATAGGAGTGCTTCATTCATTCTGAAAAACAATCCTCTCAGCTATTGCATTGAAATATGTTTTCCTAGACTTTATCTTGTTCTTTCACTGTGTTTATATTGCCCATTGTCAAAACAACATATTATTTATCCCTCAAAATTTGTATTTTCACAGCTAGTTTAAAAAATGCTTACCTTCCTTAAATTCATAAAAAGTCATCTATATTTTTTGTAAACATTTTAAGTTTTTTATTCAAATTTTAATTGTTTTTTTCTATGATGTGGCATATAAATCTTCTTTTAATTTTTTTCCATATAAATAACCAAAATGTCCTCAAACCAAACATTAAATTTTTTTTCTTTCCCCATTGATGTGTAAAGCCACTTCTGTGGTTTACCAAATTCCCAGATAATGTTGAGTCATGTCTGGGATCTCTACTCTATTGCATTCATCTAATTTTCTGTCCATATATACAGGTGCTATTTATAATTTCAGATAAAGAGATCATAATTGTTTTAAATCTAACAAAAGGCTCTGCTAAACATTAATGGTTCTCTTACAATCGACTTTCTCTATTTCCAACCATCTACCAATAAACTACTCCAGTTTTAACAGATTACTTCATCCATTTGTGTATCCTAGTGTAAATCCTAGCCAACATCCTGGAATTGCTGCAAGCAAACACATTTTATATTCCCTTTCTCTTAGACAAATTCCCCACCTGACATCCTCTTCCCTCCCTCTCCTCCTGGCCTAGCTGGGCCCCACTTACATATTCATGGTTCACATGAGTCCAACACATGTCACAGTTCACCAACTTTCCTGGGTTATTCACTTGGTTTTCTTCCCTCATGAACCTTTTTTTTTCCTGTTGCCTTGTGAATTCTGAAGTACGTGTCACGACTGAAGAAACGATGAACATAATATCACAAATCTGGAAGTACTTATTAAAGGGCATATCTGATAAACATTGATCCTTCTAATTCAAAATTATACAATAGTCAAAAAGAGTGAAGGCAAATTTATCTGTGTAATTTAAATGCAAAAAGTTTAGCAGAAATGAAAATTACTATAAATATTTCCTTTTTAACTGCTTTTAGATTTATCTGTTGGACCTCCTTTCTAGTCTCTGACATTTTTTTGGCCAACTTTGTGCTAATATGTCACCAGTCAAGCCAGCACAACAAGGAAATCCTATTGTTGAAAAAAAAATTAAAGGCTTTAAAATATTGTTGATTGAGGAACATAGAAAACATCATTTAAAAGCCTTTTAAATTACCATTTCCTCCCTTGCTGCTAAATTTCCCTTTGTCTCATTTCACGCAGCTGGTCTGAATGATGACAGAGTGGTTTGTGATTATGTGGGTGACAGTAGGCACTAGCTGAAATGGACACTAAAGGAAGAATCCAGCATCCTGAATGTATAATTCCTACTACGTTTGGCACTGCACCAACTTTACAAACATGCAGCCCTCTTTTCCTCCCTCTCTCTCTCTCTTTTTTTTCTGTAAATCCCATGGCCAATGAATGCTGCTATGGCAACGAAAGCTGGGGAAAGCCAGGGGGGCCTTGGCTATAAAAAGAGTTTTCAGAACATCATGATAACTGGGAGCCCAGTGGCAGACTCTCAGGCAATAACATACTGTCACACATATTGTCTAGAAGCAAACGCTTCTACAAAATTTATTTACCTGTGTTGTCGAATTACTTGCTACTGAATTCTAAGGACTCTTATTTCTATGATGGTTTTCATTTTCAATTATTGTATGGTTCATTCAAATCACACAGGTACATTTCTACCCGTTATAAGACGCTTCCTAAAATAGACTCTTAGAAACTGAGCACAGCTGTCAAAATAATGTTATCATCTTCAAGAATCTGTTTCAAAGATAGTTATTCCAAAGAAATTTAAAAGTTATATTCCTATATTAGCACACTAAGTAGTTCATGCCAGTTTAGTAAATCAAATATTCCATACTGCTAGCTTAATAAGATGGGGAGTCATGCATGAAATGACTGCCAGGTTAATGACATAGGGAGCCATGCATGGCATGTATTTGCATATAATAGCACAGAATGTTCTCCTAAATCCTTTAAATTACTCATCAATTCTTAAACAGGCATTTAACTAAATCCTCATTCAGAATCAGGAAGTTTTTTAAAAAAAAAAAAAAGAAAGAAACACCTATGTATTTGAAGTGATTAGATGGGAGCTAAACAAAACTTAAGGGATTATCTTTGGTTGGAAATTCTAGTCTTGGGAAAGGTTTACAGATCTGCATAAAGAAATAAACACATCTCCAGGGCCAGAGTAGAGGCGAGGGCCAGCAGCAAGCCAGTTTCCCAGCACTGTTTTTATCATATGCACAGTGAGTGTAGACCAGAAGTTTCACTTTTAGCCTCAGGAAAAAAAGGATGTATCTCTAAAGCAGTGCAAAAAATATAGATTACATCTAGAATTGTTTCTTATTTCCAGTGTTTTGATGCACCCAATTGTGAATAAAATGAATGGGTTTTCTTTCACTTGGCAATCTATACATTCAGGGTGTTAAGAAAATATGTAACTGTTTATACAAACTAAGCAGACTGCATACAATCAGTACAGTTATAAACCCCACTGTTACTCAGAGAAAATCAGAAAGTACCCATGTCACACAAAGGCTATTTTCTCTATCTGAAGGTGATGGTTTACAAATAGCTTCATTAATCTCATAAATACTCATTGCAAAATAGGATGTATGTACACCTCTAGAAGCAAAGCATGTCCGAAGAACAAAGGGAAAGATAAAAAATGCATATTTAGGTAACTGGTCTTCTCTTCCTCTCACATCTAGTAATAATGGCAACTTATCATTGAGCACGTTCTCTACCTCAGTGTGCCAAGTGCATTTTCTGTAGCCCTAACATTGACCTTCAGTGTAGTTATTATCTTCATTTTACAGACAGGGAAAGTGAGGTTCATAAAGATTAAATAACTAACTCAAATGACAGTCTGAAGCCAGGATTTGAACTCTTTTGCAATTTCAATCCCATTTCCTTTCCACTAGCTACATTTTTTTTTCTCCAAGGCAGAAATAATTAGCAGCAAATAAACTGTTTCTTCAGTGAATAAAGAAAAATAAGCTCAAGGATTTCTTTAAAAAGAGTGGTCTAGATTTTCTAGGATTCTTATATTGCCATCATGTGCTAATACAGAAGAGATGAATCCCAATACCAGTCACTTCTTATGGCACGGTTACTCTCTCTGGGAATTTTGGTTGTTTTTAGCTGATTAAGATCATAAGATAAATTGACAATGGGGTGCATTTTATGTTAATTAGTATCTTAAAGCACTTCTAAAGCATGGTTCCAGAAATATAAAGCGAAAACCTACTCATTGACAAGAGAGGCAGAAAGTGTATATGTAAATATTTACATATGGTCAATGGGTTGACATAAGTCTATGAAGCAATGTTTTCTTTCAAGTATAGCCTTTCCTTAAGTGTTCATTATGTCTGATTGGAAAATGAGCTCCTTTCTAGTGAAATGGGTAGCCTTGCTGTCAGATAAAATAGTAGCCATAGCTATGACACGTGTGTCTCTGATTAAGGTGGGGTTGACAGTCAGCTGTTGAAACATAAATGATTTGCAGAACTTAATATTCTCCCAATAAACACAACTGTAAATATTTTTTAAGTTGTAAAATGTAGTAACACAAAATTATAAGAAATAGGGTGTTTTCTTTTACTTAAAGTTGCATAGAAAGAAATGCATTTATAAGTGAAGAAAACATAGGTATCTGATATGAGTCAGATTAAGGAGATACAAAAGTAAATGAAGCATAGATTTTTGCCCTCCAGGAGCTCATGTCGAATGGAAAAAAAAATAAACACTGGCAAACATTTAATCTTCTAGATTCTGCAATAAATAGAGACATTGGAGCACACAGAGATAAATTTAGCCCAGGCAGTAGTAGGTGGTAGGGAGAACAAGGAAGGTTTCCCAGGTGACACCCAAGTTGAAAATGACAGGATACAAACGACTTAGGCAAGTGTGGGGGAAGGGAGCATAGTGTGTCAATAAAAGAGTTTAGAATACAATCCAGCCAGGAAATCAGGGAATTACATGTAGCTCAGGTATGCCTGGTAGGGCAATGGTTGTGTCACGACCAGGACAGTGTTCACCTCTAGAAAACTCTGTACTGGCATAAATGCTGAAACTCAGTGCTTAGTTTTGTTAAATGTAGTTACAATGGGCATGATTTTCTGATCCAAAAAATTAGGATAAATTAGGAGGAGACATTTTGTAGAGTGGGATAAACAATTGAGATCTGATGTTTTCAAAAAATTTGCATTGCCTAATTGTTGTAAAAAGAAAGTAAATTTAGGCTGAGTTAGGTAACAAATTACATATAATCTCTGTTTTTGTAAAATCTAGAGATACTTGTTTCTTGTTGGTTTAACTTTAATGTTTTTCCTTAGACTGCAAATAAACGATATTGGGTTACTTATGATTATTTATTTATTTATTTATTTATTTATTTATAACTTTCATTTTAGGTTCAGGGGTACGTGTGAAGGTTTGTTACATAGGTAAACATGTTTCATGGGGGTTTGTTGTACAGATTATTTCATCACCCAGGTATTAATCCCAGTACCCAATAGTTGTCTCTTCTGCTCCTCTAGCTGCTCCCACCCTTCCCTCTCAAGTAGATCCCAGTGTCTGTTGTTTCCTTTGTGTTCATGAGATTTTTTTTTTTTTTTTTTTTTTTACTTTAAGTTCCAGGATACATGTGCAGAACGTGCAGTTTGTTACCTAGGAATATGTATGCCATGGTGGTTTGCTGCACCTATTGTCCCGTCCTCTGAGTACCCTCCCCTCGCCCCCCCAACACCAACAGGCCCTGGTATATGTTGTTCCCCTTCCTGTGTCCATGTGTTCTCATCACTCATTTCCTACTTATGAGTGAGAACATGTGGTGTTTAGTTTTCTGTTCCTGTGTTAGTTTGCTGAGGATGATGGCTTCCAGCTTCATCCTTGTTAGTACATGATCTCATTTTTTATGGCTGCATAGTATTCCATGGTGTATATGTGCCACATTTTCTTTATCCAGTCTATCACTGATGGGCATTTTGGTTGGTTCAATGACATTGCTATTGTAAATAGTGCTGCAGTAAACATATGTGTGCAAGTGACTTTATAGTAGAATGATTTATAATCCTTTGGGTATATAGCCAGTAATGGAATTGCTGGGTCAAATGGTATTTCTGGTTCTAGATCCTTGAGGAATCACCATACTGTCTTCCACAATGGTTGAACGAATTTACATTCCCACCAACAGTGTAAAAATGTTCATATTTCTCCACAGCCTCGCCAGCATCTATTGTTTCTTAACTTTTTAATAATCGCCATTCTGACTGGCATGAAATGGTATCTCACTGTGGTTTTGATTTGTATTTCTCTAATGATCAGTGATGGTGGGCTTTTTTTTTCAATGTGTTTTTTGACCACGTAAATGTCTTCTTTTGAGAAGTGTCTGTTCATATCCTTTGCCCACTTTTTGACAGGGTTTTTTTTTCTTGTAAATTTGTTTAAGTTCCTTGTAAATTCTGGATATTAGACCTTTGTCAGATGGGTAGATTGCAAAAATTTTCTTCCATTGTGTAGGTTGCCTATTCACTCTGATGATAGTTTCTTTTGCTGTGCAGAAGCTCTTTAGTTTAATTAGATCCCATTTGTCAATTTTGGCTTTTGTTGCAGTTGCTTTTGGCGTTTTCATCATGAAGTCTTTGCCCATGCCTATGTCCTGAATGGTATTGCCTAGGTTTTCTTCTAGGGTTTTTATGGTTTGGGTTTTACATTTAAGTCTGTAATCCATCTTGAGTTAATTTTTGTACAAGGTGTAAGGAAGGGGTCCAGTTTATGCATGTCTTGCTTGCTTTCTTCCACTCATGTATTAATTTTGGTTACGTAATAACCACCTGGAAAACCTCAACCCCCAAACAGAATTGGTGACCTAGATAATCTACATCTAATTTTACAGTACTCTTCACCAACCTACTATCCTAAATCAGGCAGCAATTATCCTGACTCTTTTCATCATTCTTCAGCTTTCCTGTTTAGATAGTACTGTTGCTTCTAAAGTTTATATACATAAACTTTATGTTTGTGTGTATTTACTCATATATATATTTACTATTTTATATATTTTTACTGTTTATATATTTACTGTAAATATATAGAGTAATTTTAAATTATTTTTATCGTGATAAAAGGCTAATAAACATCATGTAATTCTTTGAGAATTAACTTTTCATTTAACTATTGTATTACCATACTGCTAAGATTAATTCATAATTTTTTGTCACTGTATTTCATTCATTTTGACCATTATATATTATTCCATTGGGTGTGAATATATGAATCTACCACATTTACCCTGTTTATGTGCTTTTCTGTTTTTCCAGTTTTTGCCATTGTGAACAGTGCCACTGTGAATATTTTACATGTCTTTGGTTAAACATGTGCACAAGTACTAGATTTATTTTGTTTATTTACCTAAGGCGTAGAATTACTGAGTCATGGGGTAGGTAAATGTTGTGCTGTGGTAATGCCAGATTGTTTTCTAAATCACTGCATCAATTTATCCTCCAAAAAGTAGTGTATAATAGGTACTGTGAATCTACAACCGTTCCAACACTTGATATTGTCAGAGTTTACAATTTTTGCCAATTAAATGGGTATAAAAATGTATCCTATTGCATTCTTCCTATATATGTCCCTCATCATCAGGGATTGTTACTTTGTGTTTTATTGAACACATAGGTTTTCTCACACATATGTTTGGTGAAATATCTTGCCCACATTTTCTTGGATTTTTTTGAGTTCTTATTGGCATAAGAATACTTCATGCCTTTTTGATGCCAATTCTTTGACAATAGTGAATATTGTAAATACATTTTCCTAGTTTGAAATGTCTTTTCATTTTCTTCAAGCTTTGCTTTTATAACCAAAAGTTTTTACTTGGAAAAGTTGCAGTTATTAATTCTTCCTTTTATGGTCAATTTTTTTCCGTTTTATTTTATAAATATTTCCCTACCTTAAAGTTTAGGAGAAATCATCTATATTTTTCTATCAAGGATTAAAAGTATGAAATTGATTTTTGTATATCATGAGAGGTAGGAATTCAGTTTTTTCATGTGTATACTGTTTTCCCAGCTTTATTTATTGAAGTTCTTCCTTACCCACTTTTCAGACGCAATACACCTCTCGTGTATGAGTTCCACACATGTGTGGGTCAACCTCTGAGCTCTATGTTATTCTGTTAGTCTAACTGTCTATCTCTGCAATAGTATCACACTATCTTAATCACCATAGCTTTATCAAAAGTCCTGTTATCTAAATAATAAGTCCCCCCTTCATGCATATGCTCTCAGAATTCTTCTGGCAATTTTTCCCTTTAATCTTCTATATAAATATTATAAATGGGTTATCAAGTTTCTTTTTTTTAGATTTTAACATGATTTGCCTTAAATCTGTGCATCAATTTGAGAAAAACTAACATTTTTAAGATATAAAGATATAGTCATGGTATATCTCCCCATTTATTTAAGTATTTCATATTTTTTAATACAGTTTTGTAATTTTACTATGGAGGTCTTAACATCATTTGTTAAGTTTATTTCTATATACTTATTATTGTTCCTTGGTTTTATCTTTATCTTTGCCCTTGATGTTCTTTGGTGAACCAAAAAGCCTTAATTTGACATAATCAAGGTAATTAATTTTTCACCTTTCTCCTTTTGGGTTTTTGTTAAAGTGTTTTACGACTCTAGATTGCACGGATACTTTTCTACATTATATTCCATTCTCTTTGTAGTTTTATGTTTCTTATCAGTCTTTAATCTAGTTGTAGTACACTTTTTCTATATTGTTAACTAGAAATTCAGTTTTGTTTTTTCTTCACATAATGATCTAGTAAAAATAGTTCATATTTCCTGCATGGATTTGTGATGACACTTTAATCACATATTAAATTTCTGTTTATAGAACAAAATAGTGACATTGATTTATTTAATTTTTCTTTCTTAAGTTTTTATATCTACTTTCTTATTGACTGCAAGATATAAGTGATTGACAAGAATCAAAATATACATTTAAAAAATGTTCAAGTGACAGAATTGTACATATATAGTTTACAACACGATGTTTTGAAGTACATACACATTGTGAAACAGTTAAATCTAGCTAATTAACAAATATATTGTCGCACAGTTATCGTTTTCGTGGTGAGAACACTTAACCTCCAATTTTTGCATTTTTCAAGAATTCAATGTATTGTAATTAACTGTAGTCACCATGCTATGCAATAGATCTCGTGAGCTTATTCCTATCTAACTATAATTATATATCCTTTAACCAACATCTCCCCATCCTCCTTTTCCCCTGACTACCCCAGCCTCTGGAAAAGACCATTCTACTCCCTGCTTCTATGATATTAGCTTTGTTCAGCTCCACGTATGAGTAAGATCATGTAGTATTTGTCTTTCTGTGCCAGTCTTAGTTCACTTAACATAATGCTCTCTAGGTTCGTCCATGCTGATTTTATTTTTTATGGCTGAATAGTATTTCACTGTGTATATAGGTGAAATTTTCTTGATCCATTCATCTGTTGATGAATACTTAGGTTGATTCCATATTTTGATTATCACATATCTCTTTGACGTACTGATTTCCTTTCCTTTGGATATACACCCAGTTCTAAAATTGCTGGATCATATGGAAGTTTTATTTTTAATTTTTTGAGGAAACTCCAGACTATTTTTCATAATGGCTGTACTAATTTACATTCTCAAAAACAGTGTGTAGGGTTCCCTTTTCCCCACATCTGTTCCAACATTTGTTATCTCTTGACTTTTGACAATAGCCATTCTAACAGAAGTGAGGTAATATCTCGCTGTGGTTTTGCCTTGCATTTCTCTGATGATTAGTGATGTCGGGCATTTTTTCACACACTTGTTGGCGATTCACATGCCTTCTTTTGAGAAGTGTCTATTCAGATATTTTGCCCATTTTTTAGTCAGGTCATTAATTTTCTTGCTGTTGAACTGTTTAAAGTTTCTTATATATTTTGGATATTAACCTCTTATCGTATGTATGGTGTGCAAATCCTGTTCTGTGGATTGTCTCTTCATTCTGCTGGTTGTTTCCTTTGCTGTGTGAAAGCTTTTCAGTTTAGTTGTTCCATTTTTCTATTTTTGCTTTTGTCGCCTGTTCTTTTGTGGTCACATCCAGAAAATCATTGCCCAAACCAATGTCATGTAGCTTTTCTCTTAGATTTCCTTCCAGTAGGTTTCATAGTTTCAGGTATTACATTTAAGTCTTTAATCCAATTGAGTTTTTGTTGTATATGATGAGAGATAAGTGTCTGATTTCATTCTTATGCCTGTGGATATTCAGTTTTCCCAATAATTTATTGAAAAAACTGTCATTTCCCCATTATGTGTTCTTGGCACCTTTGATAAAAATCAGTTGGCAATAAAATTTCTGGGCTCTTTATTCTATTCCATTGGTCTGTGTGTCTATTTTTATGCCAGTGTCATGCTGTTTTGGTTATTACAGTTTTGTAATACATTTTGATATCAGGTAGTGCTATGGTAGTGTGATACCTCCAGCTTTGTTATTTTTGCTAAAGATTGCTTTTGCTATTTAGGATCTTTTGTGGTTCCATAAGAAGTTTAGGATTTTTTTTCTATTTTTGTGAAAAATGTCATTGGTATTTTGATAGGGATTGCATTGAATCTGTAGATAACTTTGTGTAGTATGAACATTTTACAATATTTATTCTTCTGATCCATGAACACAAGATGACTTTCCATATATTTGTTTCTTCAGTTTCTTTCATCAATGTTTCATAGTCTTCAGTGGAGATTTTTCACCTCCTTCATTAAATTTATTCCTAAATATTTTATTTTTTGTAGCTATTATAAATGAGATTGTTTTCTTCATTTCTTTTTCAGATAGTTTGCCATTATTGTATACAGACATTACTGATTTTTTGTATGTTGATTTTGTATTCTGCAATCTTGCTGAATTTACTTATTAGATTTAACAGGTTTTTGATGGAGTCAGAACACACGTTTTAATGACACCCATTATAATGAATTATCTATAAAAAGAGTTATGTGTTTTCATTTATAAATGACATCTCAGATTAGTTAATAATGTGGCCTCAACTTGTTCTCAAGAGTGTCATTTTAAAAAATTAGGGGTGGTGAAAATTAAGCATTTATGAATATAATCACATCTTTGACCACTGAGCACTTTTGACCACTTTCACCATTTGGGACACCTGAGACCAATGGAAGCCAAATCTCCCACTACAGTTTTGAACGGTTACCCATTCAAAATGATGGGAGCTCCTAAGCTTAATACTCAGTACTAAGCAAGTTAAAAATATCCACACATTAAAGTGAAATCTCAGAAAATCAAGGGAAAAGAAGAAAAACATTACATAGAAAGGAGAAACAACTTACCAGATTCCTTATAATCAACAACGAACAATTGAAGGTATTGGTGCAATATTTTGTAAAGTGTTGAGGGAGAATTAACTTTGTAGCTAAATCTCTATAGTTTCCGAAACTCATTATTCAAAAGTAAGTATGAATGCTCGGCCTGATGGCTCACGCCTGTAATCCCAAATCTTTGGGAGGCTGAGGCAGTTGGACTGCTTGAGCCTATTAGTTCAAGACCAGCCTAGGCAACATAGCAAAACCCAGTCTCTACCAAAAAAATTCAAAGAATTAGCCAGGTGTGGTGGTGCACACCTGTAGTCCCAGCTATTTGGGAGGCTGGGAAGCTCCCTTGAGTCTGGGAGGTGGAGGTTGCAGCTGAGATCCTGCCACTGCGTCCAGCCTCGGTGACAAAGACTCTGTCAAAAGAAAGAAAGAAAAAAAAAAGAATGAGTACGAAATAAAGACTTTTCAGCCATACAGACTCAGATATTTCACAAGACTGGGTATTACTGGAAGGGATGGGCATGGGGATGGGGATAGAACCTAAGCTAGACTGAAAAGAAAATAATCAACCAAGATAGCAAGTAAATGAACCCAAGAAGTAGGCTGTGAGAAAAGAAGGCTAGTCAAGGAAATCATTACATAAAATAAAACAAATAACAGTAAATCTTTATTTAGAATTTACCATATCCAATTGTGTAACCACTTTAAATGATTTGATTCATTTAATCTTTCTACCACCCTAAGAGGCAGGTATTATTATTCTCATTTATCAAATGCGAAAACTGAAGGGCAGAGGTCAAGCAACTTATTCAAAGTCACGCAGCTAGTAGATGTTGAAGAATAGACATGAACCAAGGCAGCTTAGCTCTATAGCCTTTGCCCTTAGCCAACCTACTCTATTACATCTCAATAAGTATAAAGCATAGGAGAACAATAATAAATAATTATGATAAGATATCTTACAGCAATTTCAAATACAGCTTCAGAAAATAAAAACACAGTAACCCAGTGGGCAAGAGAAAAGATGGGAAAAAGAGGGAAGGGAAATAAAAAATGTTTTTTATCTTGAGTAGTAATATACAGATATGGATTAACTTTGACTGTATTTTTTAAAGTATAATGTTACTTATATTTTAATATTTAATAATAAAATTGGTTATAGTTATATGTTTTGTGGAAAACCAATGAAAATATTAATAGAACACCTGATTACTGTGTTTCTTTTTTCTGTTTCTTTCTTTTATTCATTTTTCTTTCTTCTTTTCTTTTTTCCCTTTTTGTTTCTTTTTTCTTTACCTTCTTTATTATTGCTGTTGGCTATCCAGTAACTTAACTCTTTTTCTATGTCTGAGGGATTCTTAGCTATATGTGTTTTGTAGAAGTGGAGCTCTCCTTCTACCATAGGAGCTAAAATGATCCGATTGCTGCTTTATGCCCCTCAGCAGCTGGTGCAAAGGAACTGGGCTTAGGCATGCCAAACACATCCCATTTAGGTCTTTGAATCTGTAACAGTCTCCACAAAGAAGCAGAAATGGCAAGAACAAGATCCAATTCCCAGGACAGCAATGACAGTGATGTAAGTAGCAGCATTCAGAATTGAAACCTGTTGACTATAAAGATATAAACTGTAGCATCAATGCTCAACTAAATGGTGGTGATGGTGTGCTAAAGGGAATGCATCTGAGACATGGTTTAGATTTTGTCCTGCCTCTTTTTCTATCTTAGCACTCTATCCTTCTCAACAATTTTGGGAGCTTATCAATGTTTCTTTCATTAATGCCTTTTCTGCTCAGATTATTAGAGTTTGTTTCTGCTGTTTGCAAATAAGGACCCTAATTAGTGCAATGTCTAAAACTGTAGAGAAAAAAATGAAAATAATAATTAAAAAAAGATCTAAAAGAAGGTGAAAAAAAACAAAGATGGGGAACAATAATAAAAAAACACAAGATAATATAGCAGAAATATGTCCAAGTACATCAGTAACAATAAATGTGACTGGATTAAACCTAGCCTTTCCTTAAAAGTCTAAGACTTTTTTTTAAAAGGCCGAGACGCATAGAATTTTTCAAAAGTTAACTTTATGCTATTTTTATTTACAAGAGTCTGACCAAAAAAAAAAAAACATATACAATTTGAATGTAAAGAAATGAAAACATATATTCCAGAAAAAATATAATTTAAAGTTCAGCATTCTTAGTTGCTTTCTAAAAGCAATAAACTTATTTTTCATTCCTTTTCACCTCTGCCTACATTTTTCCTACAACATTGAATCATTATTCCCATTATTTATATCTGATAATGAGGCTCCTTGCTTTCTTATCTGGGATGGGAACATTTTTATTCGTAAACTTTCCTGACACCTCAATTAAGTTACAATGTTAATCCCTATGTACAATAAAACATATCATATTAAGCAAAGAAAATCCTAAAAATGTGAGACTTAGTTGAACTCAGAATCCTCTCATCTTAACCTTCCACTGTGGAGTTCAGACAAAAGAGAGTTGACATTATATTAACAGAGCATAGGAAGTAGACTATGGACCCTAAAACCAGAGAGACCTGGTTTTAAATCCAAGCTTTGCCACTGACTAGGTATGTGACATTGAATAAAGCTTTTGATTTAGCTGAGCCTAAGTTTCCTATGCACAAAATGGATATGAACATCTCTATTTGTAGGGATTTTATAAAGATTTAATTAGATAATTAATCAAAACAGTTGTTCTCAACCTAATTGGAATTACCTTGGGAACTTTAGCAAGTAATGTTGGCTGGGTCCCTTCCCTAGAGATTCTGGATGTAATTGATCTGGAATATAACCTGGGCTTTCAACTTTTCAAAAGCTACGCATATTATTGTAATGTTAAGCTAAAGTTGAGAAACACTGATCTAAACATATAGTCTAGTTTATTGCATAGTATATAGAAAGCATGACAAAATTGTTACTAGAAAGATGATGAGGAGGATAATGATGATGATGATGATGATGAAAAAGGTGATAAATTTCAGCTATAAATTTCTGGCATTGAAGTTGGCCTAGTGTGATTATTCTTCCACAGAACTCAAGAGAAAAAGAAGTGATCTGGTTTGAATCTGTGTCCCCACCCAAATCTCAAGTTCAATTATAATCCCCTGTATTGGAATTTAGGCCTGGTGAGAGGTGATTAGATCATGGGGGTGAATCCTTCATGAATGGTTGAGCACCATCCTTTTGGTGCTGTTCTCCTGATAGAGTTCTTATGGGATCTGGTTGTTTACATGTGTAGCACCTTCCCCTTCTCTTTCTTCCTACTGTTCCAGCTATTTGAAGATGCCTGCTCTGGCTTTGCCTTCTGCCATGATTAAAAGCTCCCGAGGCCTCCCCAAAAGCAGATGCTGCTATGCTTCCCATACAGCCTGTGGAATCATGAATCAATTAAACCTCTTTACTTATAGACTACCCAGTTTCATGTATTTTTATATAACAATGTGAGAATGGACTAATATAAGAAGTCACTTAGTATGGAGATTGCCAGAAACTTCATAGTAATACATGTGTACTATTTTAATAGCTTTTAATTTCCAATCCTCTACAACCTATGAAATAAATATTACAATGTTTTTCAGAGTGAAAAACACTCATAGAGTTTAATTGTTTTACAAAAGATGATAGCTTAGGGAGCTAAACCAGAATGCAAATTTTAATCTATTTATCCCAAATTCAGTACTATTTCTATTATGTCACAGTTGTCCACAGTGGACAAAAGTAAACAGTTCAGCTTCTTCATAAACAGAATTTAGAAAAAATTTTCTAAGTCTGGAAAATACTCCAGAAATCACATGATGACTAGAGCAAAGGGTAAAATTGCTTCAGCCACTAAAGATCTCAATGGGATATGAGTAGTTTGAAGCTAAAGACTATTTTTTATTTGTCATTATATCCCTAGTGACTTGCATAGTACTTGGCACTTAATAGGAGCTCAATAAATGTTTGTTGAGTGGATACGCCAAGGCTCTAAAATAAACCATTTTTAGCAATTTAATGAAAGTTTTAAAAAAAGATGTTAATATCTGAAAATAAAAACTCTAAATTCTTACTTTCAGTGAAAATTAATGACCATAAGGATTTATTCCAAGTATATCAATCCAGGAAAGTACTTGGACCAGAAAACAGAAGTTACCATGCACCCTCTGTCTGTACATATATACACATACATATGCATATATATATATAAACTAATTCAAAGAATATTATTTAATATATACAGATGTTACCTATATACTGATTTTTAAATTGCTTTACAAATTGTGTATTTTATCAGCAGAATAAGTCTATGATGCTTTCCTTCAGTTTCAACTAAGATTGATTGAAATTGGATACGTTAAGTATTTTTTTAACTTCGAATACCATAAGATTACCTAAGATTTTGCTTACAAATAGAAAGTAAAAATCATTACTACTGCTAACAAAGAGGAAGTATAAAAATGTGAGATGGCTAAGATTAGAAAAAAACTTTTAACGAAAATGTAAGTAAGAAACATTATTCAGAAAATAATTTTCTATCTAATATAAATTATTAATAATGGTTCTTTGGCATATTATTGAGTCACCATAATATTAAATGTATAGTACAAGAGCTTACTGTGTAAATATTAAAATGTATAACGTATATCACAATAATTATATATCATTGAGCTAGTGTCATTCTTTTATTTATCTTTTAGCTAGTGTTACTGATACAAAGAATTTAGGTGATGGCCATGTGTGTTACTTTAAGATAGAAGAATGTACACATCATTTCCTGGTGAATAGTAAAATAAGAATTCAGATAGTTTTGAAATCATATTTCAGAATATAGTAATACTGTTTTCTGAGGGGCATGGGCAGGGCAGGGGGTATCATGTTCTATCCTCCACTTAGAGACAGGCATTTAGTAGTAACATGGAAAGTTCACATGATATCCCACAATTTAAAAGGTCACGATTTCAAAATCTCTGGCCCTTAGGGTACTCAGATAAGGCTTCATGTAAAAGCAGGATTAAGCTTGACTTGAAGGCAGTAAATAGTTTAATTGGGAAATGAAAATGGGTTGGAAATTCCAAGCAGTAGAAAAACATGCTCAAAAGTAACTCTGTTATAAGTTATAGAGAGAAACAACAAAGAGGTCTATTTAAGTAAAGAGTGGAAGATAGGCTTGGAAGTTTTAGAACCAGAAAGAGGATTTTGAACAGAAACTTCAAAAGATTCAATTTTATCCCAATTGCTAATTAACAACCTGTATCACAGGGGATAGACTAAGTTATGAAGAGATTTAAAACAAAAATGTTAGTTCCTTAAAATAAAAAGTTTTTGGCAGGTTCTTGCTACATGTTCATCTCAGATTGGTGAGGGGCCTGCTTCATGTTGTCCTCAATCAGGGATGCAGCCTGAACCATCAAAAACGTTTCCACCATCTAAAATGTCACCATGGAAGGGGGACAGGGAAGAGATATGCATACACAGGCTCTGCTGTGGTTTGAATGTTTTTGTTTCTCCCTAAATTGATGTTGAAACTTAATCCTCAATATGACAGCATTAAGAGGTGAAGCCTTTTGGGAGGTGATTAGGCCACGGCAGCTCCATCTTCATGAAGGGATCAGGGCTTGCAGGGGCTAGTCCATTCCCCTATTTTGCCATTCTGCCTTGCCCCATGTGAGGACACAAGGTTCACCCTTCCACCACATAAAGATATAGCAAGAAGTTCCTCCTCAGATATCAGACTTGCTGGTGCCTTGATCTTGGACTTTCCAGCCTCCAGAACTGTTTGAAAATAATTTCTGTTATTTATAAACTAACCAGTCTATGTTATATTGTTATAGTAACACCAAAGGTCTAAGGCTTTTCAAGGCTACTATCTAGAAGTGATATCTATTCTACTCACATTTCATTGACTAAAGCAAATTACATTATTATATCTAATTTCACAGAAGTAGGGAAAAGTAACCATACCATGTACCCAGAGGAAGGAGAACTGGAAATACTGATGGAGAGCACTAATGATCACTTAGAATGTCTGATGCTTTTGGTCAGGTACATATTATGTAATTAAAAATTTGTTCTGGAAAAACACTTGGTTGTAGAATGCAAAATAAAAGAAAGGGACACATCTGGAGATAGGGAAGCCTATTATTACAACTACCTAAGTGTAACAATAAAAATCCAAACTGGGGAAAAGAAAGGAAGCGCCACAGTGAGAGATATTATGGAGGAATAAATGTGAAAAATCTGTTAATTGACAGGCATAAAGGAAAATAAAATTTTGAAGGTGATTAAGATATTTCAAGCCTAGATAAAAGATGTTTCTTTTTAAAATAAAGTTCAAGGAAGCCGCTTTGGGGAAAAGATGGTTTAGTTTCATACGTAAGTACTGTCAGATGGAAGAATAAGAACGAAGGAAGATTGGGCTGCTGGAGAATTTGAGGTGTAATGTGGTCTCATTGGAAGTGTCAGCTGATCCTGTGTGAAGTTCTGAATACCAGATGACTTTTCAGAGTGGTCCTGCTTTAGGGTGAGAAGGCTGGCCCTTTAAACCTGTGAGGGGGATGCCCATGGTCAAAGTGGCTCTCCTGGCTGAGACAATTCCTGAAGAGGGCTAACTGTTGGTGCACATCACAGCATCTGCTGCAATTACAGGTGCCTGCATTTAACATATGTGAAGATGAGAGAAAACTTCAGAAAAAGATGTTCAGAATACCTAAAGGAAATATAAATATTTTGTGAGGTAAACTATTTTCTTAGGATTGGTATTCCCATAGGTTAACCTTTCACTGATCTGAGCTGACCCTATGTATAATTCACAAGCATGATATTCCTTGAGGAAAAATCATAGACCATGGCCTCCATGTCAAGCAGCTTGAAAAGTACATGGGGATTCAAGCTATCAGACCTCTTGTTATCTTACTAGCTCATTCAGGTTTCACCTCTGAGATTTTAATCAAGCACCTGTGCTATGTGGCGAATAGCAAGCTGGTCATAGCAAAATTTGGAGTAGACAGTTTCATTTCTTGTGTGATTTAATTAGTATCTGGCATTTCACATTAATTGGAAGTTCAGACAATGAGGCATTGTTTAAAGCAGTGAGAAATCTTTGGTATAATTATTCAAATATTAGGTGTACTTATCATTGCACAAAGGTGGAGATCAAAAACACAAAGGCAAGAATTGTTTAAAGATTAAGGGAGAAGAAGTACAGCCTGGTGGCTATATTTCATAATAATGTATTGCATATTTAAAGTTTGCTAAGAGAGTAGATCTTAAGTATTTTCACCACACACAAAAAAGATAACTCTGTGAAATGATAGATTTATTAATTAGCTTGATTGCGCTAACAATTTCTCAATGCATATTTATATCAAAACACATTACACACCTTAAATATATTTTTTATTTTTCAATTATACCTCAATAAAGCTGGAAAATACAATAAAGAGAGAAGGATGTGTTAGGTAATTGCCATATTAGGAGACATAAATCTAAACAAAAAAGAAGAAAAGAGGGGGGTGGAGCCAAGATGGCCAAATAGGAACAGTTCCAGTCTGCAGCTCCCAGCATGTGCGACGCAGAAGACGGGTGATTTCTGCATTTCCAACTGAGGTACCAGGTTCATCTCACTGGGGAGTGCCAGACGGTGCAGGACAGTGGGTGCAGCGCACCGTGCATGAGCCAAAGCAGGGCGAGGCATCGCCTCACCCAGGAAGCACAAGGGGTCAGGGAATTTCCTTTCCTAGTCAAAGAAAGGGGTGACAGACGGCACCTGGAAAATCAGGTCACTCCCACCCTAATACTGCGCTCTTCCAACGGGCTTAACAAATGGCACACCAGGAGATTATATCCCGCACATGGCTCGGAGGGTCCTACGCCCAGGGAGCCTCGCTCATTGCTAGCACAGCAGTCTGAGATCAAACTGCAAGGCGGCAGCGAGGCTGCGGGAGGGGTGCCCGCCATTGCCCAGGCTTGAGCAGGTAAACAAAGCGGCCAGGAAGCTCCAACTGGGTGGAGCCCACCACAGCTCAAGGAGGCCTGCCTGCCTCTGTAGGCTCCACCTCTGGGGGCAGGGCACAGACAAACAAAAGACAGCAATAACCTCTGCAGACTTAAATGTCCCTGTCTGACAGCTTTGAGGAGAGTTGTGGTTCTCCCAGCATGCAGCTTGAGATCTGAGAATGGGCAGACTGCCTCCTCAAGTGGGTCCCTGACCCCCAAGTCGCCTAACTGGGAGGCACCCCCCATTAGGGGTGGACTGACACCTCACACGGCCAGGTACTCCTCTGAGACAAAACTTCCAGAGGAACAATCAGGCAGCAGCATTTGCAGTTCACCAGTATCTGCTGTTCTGCAGCCACTGCTGCTGATACCCAGGCAAACAGGGTCTGGATTGGACCTCCAGTAAACTCCAACAGACCTGCAGCTGAGGGTCCTGACCGTTAGAAGGAAAACTAACAAACAGAAAGGACATCCACAGCAAAAACCCATCTGTATGTCACCATCATCAAAGACCAAAGGTAGATAAAACCACCAAGATGGGGAAAAAACAGAGCAGAAAAACCAGAAACTCTAAAATTCAGAGCACCTCTCCTCCTCCAAAGGAATGCAGCTCCTCACCAGCAACGGAACAAAGCTGGATGGAGAATGACTTTGACGAGTTGAGAGAGGAAGGCTTCAGAAGATCAAACTACTCCGAGCTAAAGGAGGAAGTTCGAACCAATGGCAAGGAAGTTAAAAACTCTGAAAAAAAATTAGACAAAGGGATAACTAGAATAACCAATGCAGAGAAGTCCTTAAAGGACCTGATGGAGCTGAAAACCACGGCACGAGAACTACGTGACAAATGCACAAGCCTCAATAACTGATGCGATCAACTGGAAGAAAGGGTATCAGCGATGGAAGATGAAATGAATTAAATGAAGCATGAAGAGAAGTTTAGAGAAAAAAGAATAAAAAGAAACAAACAAAGCCTCCAAGAAATATGGGATTATGTGAAAAGACTAAATCTACATCTAATTGATGTACCTGAAAGTGACGGGGAGAATGGAACCAAGTTGGAAAACACTCTGCAGGATATTATCCAGGAGAACTTCCCCAATCTAGCAAGACAGGCCAACATTCAAATTCAGGAAATACAGAGAATGCCACAAAGATACTCCTCGAGAAGAGCAACTCCAAGACACATAATTGTCAGATTCACCAAAGTTGAAATGAAGGAAAAAATGTTAAGGGCACCAGAGAGAAAGGTCGGGTTACCCACAAAGGGAAGCCCATCAGACTAACAGCTGATCTCTTGGCAGAAACTCTACAAGCCAGAAGAGAGTGGGGGCCAATATTCAAGATTCTTAAAGAAAAGAATTTTCAACCCAGAATTTCATATCCAGCCAAACTAAGCTTCATAAGTGAAGGAGAAGTGAAATCCTTTACAGACAAGCAAATGCTGAGAGATTTTGTCACCACCAGGCCTGCCCTAAAAGAGCTCCTGAAGGAAACACTAAACATGGAAAGGAACAACTGGTACCAGCCACTGCAAAAACATGCCAAAATGTAAAGACCATCAAGACTAGGAAGAAACTGCATCAACTAACTAGCAAAATAACCAGCTAACATCATAATGACAGGATCAAATTCACACATAACAATACTAACCTTAAATGTAAATGGGCTAAATGCTCCAATTAAATGGCACAGACCGGCAAATTGGATAAAGAGTCAAGACCCATCAGTGTGCTGTATTCAGGAAACCCATCTCACATGCAGAGACACACATAGGCTCAAAATAAAGGGATGGAGGAAGATCTACCAAGCAAATGGAAAACAAAAAAAGGCAGAGGTTGCAATCCTAGTCTCGGATAAAACAGACTTTAAACCAACAAAGATCAAAAGAGACAAAGAAGGCCATTATATAATGGTAAAGAGATCAATTCAACAAGAAGAGCTAACTATCCTAAATATATATGCACCCAATACAGGAGCACCCAGATTCATAAAGCAAGTCCTTAGTGACCTACAAAGAGACTTAGACTCCCACACAATAATAATGGGATACTTTAACACCCCACTGTCAACATTAGATCAACGAGACAGAAAGTTAACAAGGATATCCAGGAATTGAACTCAGCTCTGCACCAAGCAGACCTAATAGACATTTACAGAACTCTCCACCCCAAATCAACAGAATACACATTCTTCTCAGCACCACATCGCACTTACTCCAAAATTGACCATGTAGTTGCAAGTAAAGCACTCCTCAGCAAATGTAAAAGAACAATAATTATAACAAACTGTCTCTCAGACCACAGTGCAATCAAACTAGAACTCAGGATTAAGAAACTCACTCAAAACCACTCAACTACATGGAAACTGAACAACCTGCTCCTGAATGACTACTGGGTACATGACGAAATGAAGGCAGAAATAAAGATGTTCTTTGAAACCAACGAGAACAAACACGCAACATACCAGAATCTCTGGGACACATTCAAAGCAGTGTGTAGACGGAAATTTATAGCACTAAATGCCCACAAGAGAAAGCAGGAAAGATCCAAAATTGACACCCTAACATCACAATTAAAAGAACTAGAGAAGCAAGAGCAAACACATTCAAAAGCTAGCAGAAGGCAAGAAATAACTAAGATCAGAGCAGAACTGAAGGAAATAGAGACACAAAAAACCCTTCAAAAAATTAATGAATCCAGGAGCTGGTTTTTTGAAAAGATCAACAAAATTGATAGACCACTAGCAAGACTAATAAAGAAGAAAAGAGAGAAGAATCAAATAGACGTGCAATAAAAAATGACAAAGGGGATATCATCACTGATCCCACAGAAATACAAACTACCATCAGAGAATACTATAAACACCTCTACACAAATAAACTAGAAAATCTAGAAGAAATGGATAAATTCCTCGACACATGCAC
Organism: Homo sapiens; assembly: GCF_000001405.40. NCBI lineage: Eukaryota > Metazoa > Chordata > Mammalia > Primates > Hominidae > Homo > Homo sapiens. The sequence continues at coordinate 148,350,684 of NC_000003.12, forward strand.
TCTCCCAAGACTAAACCAGGAAGAAGTTGAATCTCTGAATAGATCAATAACAGGCTCTGAAATTGAGGCAATAATTAATAGCTTACCAACCAAAAAAAGTCCAGGACCAGATGGATTCACAGCCAAATTCTACCAGAGTTACAAGGAGGAGCTGGTACTATTCCTTCTGAAACTATTCCAATCAATAGAAAAAGAGGGAATCCTCCCTAACTCATTTTATGAGGCCAGCATCACCCTGATACCACAGCCTGGCAGAGACACAACAAAAAAAGAGAATTTTAGACCAATATCCTTGATGAACATTGATGCAAAAATCCTCAATAAAATACTGGCAAACCGAATCCAGCAACACATCAAAAAGCTTATCCACCATGATCAAGTGGGCTTCATCCCTGGGATGCAAGGCTGGTTCAACATACGAAAATCAATAAACGTAATCCAGCATATAAACAGAACCAAAGACAAAAACCACATGATTATCTCAATAGATGCAGAAAAGGCCTTTGACAAAGTTCAACAACCCTTCATGCTAAAAACTCTCAATAAATTAGGTATTGATTGGACGTATCTCAAAATAATAAGAACTATCTATGACAAACCCACAGCCAATATCATATTGAATGGACAAAAACTGGAAGCATTCCCTTTGAAAACTGGCACAAGACAGGGATGCCCTCTCTCACCACTCCTATTCAATATAGTGTTGGAAGTTCTGGCCAGGGCAATCAGGCAGGAGAGGGAAATAAAGGGCATTCGATTAGGAAAAGAGGAAGTCAAATTGTCCCTGTTTGTAGATGACATGATTGTATATTTAGAAAACCCCATCGTCTCAGCCCAAAATCTCCTTAAGCTGATAAGCAACTTCAGCAATGTCTCAGGATACAAAATCAATGTACAAAAATCACAAGCATTCATATACACCAGTAACAGACAAACAGAGAGCCAAATCATGAATGAACTCCCATTCACAGTTGCTTCAAAGAGAATAAAATACTTAGGAATCCAGCTTACAAGGGATGTGAAGGACCTCTTCAAGGAGAACTACAAACCACTGCTCAATGAAATAAAAGAGGATACAAACAAATGGAAGAACATTCCATGCTCATGAGTAGGAAGAATCAGTATCGCGAAAATGGCCATACTGCCCAGGGTAATTTATAGATTCAATGCCATCCCCATCAAGCTACCAATGACTTTCTTCACAGAATTGGAAAAAACTACTTTAAAGTTCATATGGAATCAAAAAAGAGCCCACATAGCCAAGTCAATCCTAAGCCAAAAGAACAAAGCTGGAGGCATCAAGCTACCTGACTTCAAACTATACTACAAGGCTACAGTAACCAAAACAGCATGGTACTGGTACCAAAACAGAGATATAGACCAGTGGAACAGAACAGAGCCCTCAGAAATAATGCCGCATATCTACAACTATCTGATCTTTGACAAACCTGACAAAAACAAGCAATGGGGAAAGGATTCCCTATTTAATAAATGGTGCTGGGAAAACTGGCTAGCCATATGTAGAAAGCTGAAACTGGATCCCTTCCTTACACCTTATATAAGAATTAATTCAAGATGGATTAAAGACTTACATGTTAGACCTAAAACCATAAAAACCCTAGAAGAAAACCTAGGCAATACCATTCAGGACATAGGCATGGGCAAGGACTTCATGTCTAAAGCACCAAAAGCAATGGCAACAAAAGCCAAAATTGACAAATGGGATCTAATTAAACTAAAGAGCTTCTGCACAGCAAAAGAAACTACCATCAGAGTCAACAGGCAACCTGCAAAATGGGAGAAAATTTTCGCAACCTACTCATCTGACAAAGGGCTAATATCCAGAATCTACAATGAACTCAAATTTACAAGATAAAAACGACCCCATCAAAAAGTGGGCGAAGGATATGAACAGACACTTCTCAAAAGAAGACATTTATGCAGCCAAAAAACATGAAAAAACGCTCATCATCACTGGCCATCAGAGAAATGCAAATCAAAACCACAATGAGATACCATCTCACACCAGTTAGAATGGAGACCATTAAAAAGTCAGGAAACAACAGGTGCTGGAGAGGATGTGGAGAAATAGGAACACTTTTACACTGTTGGTGGCACTGTAAACTAGTTCAACCATTGTGGAAGTCAGTGTGGCGATTCCTCAGGGATCTAGAACTAGAAATACCTTTTGACCCAGCCATCCCATTACTGGGTATATACCCAAAGGATTATAAATCATGCTGCTATAAAGACACATGCACACGTATGTTTATTGTGGCACTATTCACAATAGCAAAGTCTTGGAACCAACCCAAATGTCCAACAATGATAGACTGGATTAAGAAAATGTGGCACATATACACCATGGAATACTATGCAGCCATAAAAAATGATGGGTTCATGTCCTTTGTAAGGACATGGATGAAGCTGGAAATCATCATTCTCAGCAAACTATTGCAAGGACAAAAAACCAAACACCGCATGTTCTCACTCATAGGTGGGAATTGAACAATGAGAACACATGGACACAGGAAGGGGAACATCACATACCAGGGCCTGTTGTGGGGTGGGGGAGGGGGGAGGGATAGCATTAGGAGATATACCTAATGCTAAATGACGAGTTAATGGGTGCAGCACACCAACATGGCACATGTATACATATGTAACAAAGCTACACGTTGTGCATATGTACCCTAAAACTTAAAGTATAATAATAAAAAAAGAATAAAAATGTTATTCCAAATAATGTCAAACCAGCTTGTATTATTTGTTTCTATTTCTATAAAATTTTGTTTATATGCATGTATCAAAGTAAGAAAAACATATATGAATATCTCCTGGTATACAGGGTTATCCATGATGTATGAAGTGAAGAAAAGCAAAAGCAAGCTGAAAGGAAATGTGTATATTATTCTACTATATGAAAATAAAATAACCAATCAACCAACCCAAAACTCCATTTTTTTTTTACTTATATGCCTTGTATTCATTTGTGTGAGCGCAGAAGAGTAAACTTGGTAATCTTATGAAAATGGGGGTGAAAAGGATGTGATAATTGGAATTTTAATCACATTGTTGTTTTATGTTATTTCACCAGTTACAACACAGAAGTATATATTTTCTAATTTGAAAAAATCCTATAAAGAAATTCATGTAGATTTAAAAAAGATAGAATGATGCATGAAGCCTATTCTGAAAGCTGAATTTTAGAACAACTTTCTGAAAGCAAACCGGACAGCCATTTAGAAGAACCAAACACCTTGCAGGAGTTTGACATCCGGAAAGAAACAAGCATATATGGTACAGGAATAAATAAGGTTCTTTTGTCTACAGCAAGCAAGTCAGTCTTGCTCTAAGGTAGCAATCTGAGCTAATCAGCCTGTCTATTCATATGGGGCCATTCAGAATAGATAGATTTGTTTTACCAAAAGTGGTGAAATGAAAAGAGGAAATAAAGATTGATTTTATGAATTGCCAGGGTTAGTTTTGTTAGAAAGAATTTGTTTTAGATGTTGCCTTATCAAGTTATTTGGTTCAGTAAGTGTTGCTCCATAAGAGTTGCTTAAAAATTTTTGAAACAGTGTAAGGTTATTACAAAAATATAAAGCAGAAGCTTTTTCAGATTGGGAGCTATGACAGCAGAGGAAAATCATAATTGGAAGCAGAGAAAGGAAAGATACTGGATTAACTGATGATTTACAGTAGACTAAATGACCCTAGAAGTCACTATTAAAATTCCACAAGTGGATCCCATTCTGGAAGTGGGAAAACTGAGCATTATAAAGGTGTCTGAATAATGAATTATAGCAAAATTGTAAAATAGAATAAATTAAAATCAAATAGGACACATACATAAAGATGCCACTAAATTTCTCTCAGTGTTCAGAAAATTTAAACTTTGTAATAATATTTTAAAATGTCCCCAAATGTTAGCTTTTATAGCTTACAGATTAATTGAAAGTTTTCTTTCAAAAATGAATTGTGCTTAATCATGTCCCTTAGAGCTTTCTGCATCAAAAATATCTACTAAATTCAGTGCTATCTTATTTATCTGGCTCCTACATAGCCAGGCCTCTAGTTTTTCTGGATGGATTTAGTGTACAAGTAAACCTATTTTCTTAAAAATGAGGCCAATACATAAGAAGAAAATTCTATTAGGGAAAAGCACCTATAATCTTAGCTGAATGATCTAAAAAAAATTACATCCACTTTTCATGTAATGAAAACCACAGGACTTCATACATTCTTTCTTTGTAGAGGACAACTTGGTGTATCTGAAAGCATGTTCTGTCTGTACAATATATAAAAACAACTCAGAACAGCCTGGGCAACTCAGCCAAGGTGAGAAGAGATCCCACTGTGCAAACTTAACTCCTGTGCAGACAATTCCAAGATTATTTATTGCACCTTGGTGTTAAAGGGAATGAAAGCGACTAATTGTGCATAATCATTTTCAAATGTCTTCCACATCAAATATATCCACTAAATTCAGCACTACATGATTTTTTCTCACTACCAACCTACCCAAGTGTCTAGATTATGTGGATTGATTGTGGGTGTAACCTTCTGAGTCCCGCACTGGGCCAAACACTATGCTAGGCACCTTCACACACAACATATAATTCAGTAGATAGCACAGTCCTCCCCCATAGGCTTCCGTCTCCCAATTTCATAGATGAACAAGCTGAAGGCAACAAATATTAAGCAACTTGTCCAAGGTCATACAATTATTTAGTGACTAGATTAGGTTTTGAGTCTTAGTAAGTGTGCTTCCAATGCCCAGATTATTTCTACTGTATAATGCTGTCTCTAGGAGGTTATAATTCAAGGTGCCTCTTCTTTTTTGCATTAAAAAGATCAAAATGATTAGGCTGATCTCTTAGCTTTCTTTTATTCCTACTCAGGAGAAGGATGGACTAATGAGCTAGAGTGACCAGTTAATGAAACCACTGGTGATTTAATGAAGACACCACTGAGACATTTTACAGAATGACCAAATTCACTATATTTCATTACATTTAAAAAACTCTATAAATATGCATGTGTACATAATTTTACATAATTATATAAATGGAATCCCCCTTCTCATCAGCCACTACCAGACACTCATCTTCACCTAGAAACCTCCTCCACGTTCACTCTACAACACTTGGACATTTGTTGTTGGTTTTTGAGCTACAACATTTTTTTTTATATTCCTCTGTGTTTTCCTTCTCACCTTCCCCTCAGGGAACAATGTCTATGTAAATAATCTACTACATATCCGTTTATAGTTTTTCATATTCGTATCATTATATGAAACATATATCTATGAATATTCATATCCAACATTAGTTATAATATCTGTAAGAAATTATGTTCTTTTATAAATATTGGATCATATCATGCCTACTTTTCTTCATTCTACATTTTTTAATCAATAATACCTAGGACATGACTGGGCATGGTGGTTGATGCCTGTAATCTCAGCACTTTGGGAAGATGAGGTGAGAGGATGGCTTGAGGCCAGAAGTTTGAGACCAGCCTGAGCAACATAGCACGACTGTTTCTGTGAAAAATAAAAATTAGACAGGCATGGTGGCACGCGCATGTAGTCCTAGCTATTAAGGAGGCTAAAGTGGGGGTATCACTTGAGTCCAGAAGACCGAGGCTGCAGTGAGCCATGATCACACCACTGTACTCCAACCTGGGTGACAGAGGGATCCTGTCTCCAAACAAAACAAAATAATTATAAAAAATTGATAATAATATTTAGGGCAAACCCCTCTAAGTCAACTAGTATACTCTCTGAGTCATTATTTTTAGTGTTTTTATTATACTTACCAATGCAGCAATAAATATTCATGTATGTATATTTTTATTTGCTGATGTTTTTATTTCTATGAAAGAGATTCCCAGGAGTTCTAACCTGGAATATAGTATATGTAGTCTTGATTTTAACCAGCGTTATCAAATATTTTACAAGAAGGCTGTAATTATTCACATTACCAGATAACATTTATGAAGAATATCCTTTTCTCTCAATATTCCTGGCAGCACTAGTTAAGTTTTGATGGGAATAAAATGATATAACACTGTTACTTTAATTTAAATATCCCTTGCTACTATAATATTTGGACATTTTTGACAAGGTTTATTCACATAGATTTAGTTTTTGTTTATTTTCTATGAAATTGTTTATTTTCTTATTATATAAGTTTTTAAATATGGTTCGTAACCCTTTGTTCAAAAAAGATACGTGGAGCTGTTTTTTTGTTGTTGTTTTATTACAAAAGCCTGTAATTTATTTACTATTTGGGGTGTCTGGCTGAAGTTTTAAATTCAATTTAGTCAAATAAGTCTATCTTTCCTTTTAAAAATGTTTGTATCTTCTGCCTTGGTTAAAAGTTTCTCCTGATCCTATATTGTCAATATTATCACTTACATGTCTTCTAAGATAATTGTTGCCTTATTTTTCTCTACTTTGATACTTAATTTAATCAAGCATTTAAGAATTACATAGAAATTTTCTAGATAACAAGTTGCTGCTATCATTTATTAAATTCATCATCCTTTCCTGCTTAATTGAAATGTTCACCTTTGTTGTACATTAAATTCATAAACATTCTGGTGATGAGAATGCAGGAAAACACTACCCCAAAATATGATACCTCAGAAATTGAGAAAACAGCAGAAGTAGGAAGGCCGCTCTCATCTTCCCCTCGCCTTTCACACTGAAGCAAGCCAGAAAACCTAGGAAGGTCACTTTCTGATCTTTTCCCTCCCTTCTCTCCAAAGACTTTCTTATGACAAGTGTCCTTTCTGATACCTGGAGAAGAGAAATGTCATACAGAGATGTCAAGAATCTGGACAAACTTTTGTTACTCCCAGTGTATTACCATTAGATCACACTCCCTTTTGTTCACACTTCTACACAACTGCCTGCTCTTCATCAAACTGAGCATAAAAATATGCCTTTTCTCTGTTTCTTTGGGTCTTCATTTCTGATGTCTCCTATGTCGCATAAAACTTACATTAAATAAATTTGTATACTTTTCATATCTATCCTTTATAATAGGGGTCTCAACCATGAACCTAGCAATGGGTGAGGAAAGAAATCTTTTCTCTCCTACACTGGCATCCCTTCCTGGAAACTTTACATCTTATAATTTAGAATTCCATATTATCCAAGAAGCACAAGTGGCACTAATTTTTTAATAAAAACTTTATTGCTTATCAAATGTAAATTGAGTATAAGATGGAATAAGAACTTTGAAAATACAAGAGTGTGGTAATTCCTATCCCAAAGGGACTTATCAGTTATTAGAGGGTAATAGGATGATACAGGATGTACACAAAAAGTGTTAATTAGCAATGCCACACAACAATACCATGTGAGATCTGTGAGGTCTATTATGACAAGACAAAACTATGGGAGAAGCAGTTGATGATATGTGGTTTCATATCAGAAGGAATAAAAACAGTGGAGCCTGCAATGTGCAGAAAAAACTTTGGTGGAAGGGGGCAGACATAGCCCTTAAAATGAAATTAGATCATTAACACCAGAATTTAGAAGCTCTGAATATTTCAGCATCCAGATTTTCCAAATTTTGTTTATATAGAAAAAAGAAAATATTTTGTTGATGACACCACACACAATAACTGATATCAACTACCAATGAAAAATGCACAATTTAAAAATAATATGCAACAATGATTGCTTAATTTTTCACATTTTGATCTTAAATATATTTTTCATACTTTTTTGAATTATGATATTGCCTTAAAATTCTATTTTATAACATTTAAAAACAATCAACTAAGGTAAGTGTAGGCATCTCTTTGAATAGTGAGATCCAGCTAGTTTCTATCCATTAATTCATGTAAAATTCCTGTAATATATGAAAATAGGAGGAGACAGGACCCAAGTTTTGTATTTGCGTTTGTTTCTCTTTGCTTGTGATGTGTGAAGACTGCTGCCAATTGGTAGTAGGGGTACTCCATCATTACACCATTAATAGATCTCTCCAGAACAAGGTTTCATTACTGTGGATATTGGATAAGGCTCTGCCAGAAGGCTTTCAATACCCTAAGGATAAGATGTGCTAAGTCCCCAAATTAGGTGCAGCCGTCTTTGGGCAAGTATTTGAGGTTTGCAGGGATGTTTATGCTGGGGTTTGAGGAACCTTGATCAAGATATTTCCCTAGGGTGACAAATCCATAATTGCACTTATCAGCTTTAGGCTGCCTTGATTAATGCAACCTTCTGTGATTTATCACCCAGAATATTTTTAAACAGGTGCTCTCTCTTCATTGTAATAGACTGGAGTTTTTCAGAAGTGACAACACAGGCTTGTTTTATTTATTTGTTTTGTGAAATTCAATGAGAATGCATTACAAGCAAAAATACCCAGTCATTTTGTAGAGACCTGAGGTTAGTGTAGTTAGTTTTGTAGAGGCCTGGGGTTAGAGGGTTAGTTGATGTCAGCCTGTCATGATTTCTACCTGACTTTCTTGACCCTTTAAAAAGAAATTGCTGCTTTTTAAAATGTTACTCCCTACCTCCGGACACCTAACACACAGTATACTGTCTTGGATCCCAAATCTTCCTATCCTTGGAGAATCTCGAAACTAGCTGCCTAGTATATAAGAATCAAATATAGCATACCAAAAAGCCTTGACAGAAAAATCACACACACACACACACACACACACACACACACACGCATGCAACATTGGCCATACTTGATGAGAACTTTTAAACTATGGCAAAATATGTTAGAAATCTAAAGTTAACTGTTCTGCAAGTGGTATACAGCCATGCACACCAATTTTACAATTTTAGCATTTAGAGTAGTCTGGACCCAGCTGGAGTAACAAATTCTTTTCACTACTTTATAGTTGTGCCAAACATATTTCTATAGGGCAGCAGTACATCACAGTGGATCAGAAAGTAGTCCCTGAGTGTCAACATCCTGGAATGTAAACCTGGCCTCACCATTTATTAGCTGTATGATCTTGGAAAAATTAATTAACCTCTCTGTGCCCAAATCGTCTCATTTGTGAAGTGGAGTTGATAACTACCTACTTCACAGGACTATTCTGAGGATTAAATCAAATAAAATATGTGGAAAGCTTTGCTATTTTAATTTAAAAAAAAAACACTATTTAACCTATCAAGGGACTACAGATTGTCTTAAGAGCACCTTCTATTTTCCTAAAATCAATTAAAGATCAGCTTACTTTGGTTCTTATCTATTTATTAAAACACATGAGATGGACAATACTTACCAGTACTTTGATGAACCCACAAACTGGGAGTAAATAAAATTTTTATTTTCAAACATCTGGTCTGTTTAACCCAGGCTGCTGTCTCATTAGGTTTCTCACTATGAAAGAGTAAGTTTAGAATGGGCTGGAAATTCACTATTTGAAAAATCTATATACCTCAACTTATGTTTCCTTCCAGGAAACAGAAAAAAAAAAGAGAGAGAGACAGAGAGTAAAGATAATGGGTGAGTAACACATGAAGCAAAATCTAAGACTTTCAGAAAGCCCTGTGAGCTAAGCAAAGATGAAATTATTTTCTGGTTGTGAGGAAAGAATGTGAGTGCTTAAAGGCTCAAGTTGCCCACAAATTCCTGGGATAGTGTGCAATCTACTTTGCTTAATTCTGTAGAACTGTTATTCCCAAACCCAGCAGCATGTCAGAATCTTTCTGAAGAGGGTCTTTAAAAAGTACAGCTTCTTGAACTCTGTCCAGGCCAACAGAATCAGTATCTCCAAGGATATAGCCCTGAAATACATGTTTTTAAAAAGTTTTTATAGTAGTTCTTATACACAACTATATTTGATAATCAAGAACCAGAGATTTTTTTTATTATACTTTAAGTTCTAGGGTACATGTGCATAACGTGCAGGTTTGTTACATATGTATACATGTGCCATGTTGGTGTGCTGCACCCATTAACTCGTCATTTGCATTAGGTATATCTCCTAATGCTATCCCTCCCCATTCCCCCCACCCCATGACAGGCCTCAGTGTGTGATGTTCCCCATCCTATGTCCAAGTGTTCTCATTGTTCAATTCTCACCTATGAGTGAGAACATGCGGTGTTTGGTTTTCTGTCCTTGCGATAGTTTGCTCAGAATGATGTTTCCAGCTTCATCCATGTCCCTACAAAGGACATGAACTCATCCTTTTTTATGGATGCATAGTATTCCATGGTGTATATATGCCACATTTTCTTAATCCAGTCTATCATTGATGGACATTTGGGTTGGTTCCAAGCCTTTGCTATTGTGAATAGCAAATAAACATATGTGTGCATGTGTCTTTATAGCAGCATGATTTATAATCCTTTGGGTATATACCCAGTAATGGGATGACTGGGCCAAATGGTATTTCTATTTCTAGATCCTTGAGGAATCACCACACTGTCTTCCACAATGGTTGAACTAGTTTACAGTCCCACCAACAGTGTAAAAGTAAGAACCAGAGATTTTTTAAATAAACTTTTGTTTTTACATTGGAATAAGTTTGGATGACACTACCGAGTTCTCGTATACCTTGACTCATTTGCCCCTAATGTTAATATTTCATATAATAATCATGGCACATATGTCAAAACCAGAAAATTAACACTGGCAAATTACTAATGTCTTTTTCATATTCCTGAATCCAATACAGGATGCTGTAACAACACTTTTAATCATCATGCCTCCTTAGTCTCCTCTGACCTGTGGCAGTTTCTCAGGTTTTCAAAACTTTGAGAACTTTGAAGCATGTCTTCAATGTAGAATTTCCTCTTTTTCAGACTGAGGTTGTGGGTTTTGGAAGTGAGTACCATAGAGGCAAAGTGCCCTTCTCTTGCATACTATTAGAGAGTACATGATACCAACATAACATCACTGGTGGTATTAGCCTCCATCATTTGATTAAGGCAGTATCTACCAGATCACTCCACTGTTAAGTTACTATTTTTCCATTCTCATACTCTGTTCATTAGAAATAAGTCTTTAAATCTAGTCAAGGGTTGGCTGTATGCGTGTTGAAGGGGTGGTATGGAGAGATGAATCAAGCTCCACTTCCTGGAGGAAGGAGTATGAGTGAAGGTTTATGATCAAAGTAGTACTTTCAGAAAACTGAGTTAACTAGGTACACTGGGGGAAGGAGACTATTGGCTGGGAAATCAGTTGCCAAATTCAAACCAGAGGAAATGACCTGAACAAAAGCAAAGGCATTGGTGAAAAGGAACATATATCTAAAAAATATTGTGGAAGTGAAAGAAACCATGGTTACTGATTAGACATGTGGGAGAGAGAGAAAAATATATATTTTCCAGATATATTGAGGTTTTGATCCTGAGTAACTTAGAAGAGGGTAATGCAATAAAGAACAGAGAAAGAGGATACCTTTGGTTGGGACATACAGAATTCAAAGGCTTGTGTGCATCAAGGTAGACATGTTGAACAAGCAGTTAGAAATTGAATCGCAAAACAATTTACCTCCTTGTGAATTATGCTATCTTCCAGGACCCATTATACAGGCTGCCTTTCCAGCTCTCCAATCATACTTCCAAGAAAACTGCTCACTCTCAGAACCAAGGTTCAAGTTGTACATTGGGATTTGGGTAGAGGTAAGAGGAAACACCCTCAAATAGATTTGGATCATTCCAGATGTCCTATAAATGAAGTTTGACATTTGCTCAAGTATCACCACCTCACTGTAAAAGCAACGAATCTACCTTCATTGTGAAAATTTGGGGACTAGAATTAATGAGTACAGTAACCTTATGGATAGAACCTTCAGAGTTTTTCATTATCTATGTGAAGAGATAATTCTAAATTATTTGAGATCTAGTATCTGTCAGCTTGGGGACTGGTGTCTAGTCCCAAGACTAGACAAAGGAAACCCTTATTAGTATTTTTATTTTCCATTTCAAATAAAAAGGGTATGTGTTAAAAAAAACTGAGCTGGTTCAAGCTGTAAAGCATTTCTTAATTATAGTTTGGTAATGCCTGAAAGCCAGAGGACTCCCAGACAAAAAAGAAAAAAGTATGTTGATTAAATATTTTCCCCTTTTGAGGGTAGATAGAAAGAATAAAAGGAATTTCAAAGTCTCAGGTTGTTAGGAACCTGCAAAGGTGATTTCTTTTTTTCTATTCCTTCACCTTGGCAAGGTGATAAGGCAGATGAGGAGAAGTAGGAGGCACAGGGCCATGAAAATGGACCCAAAGTGATGGGGCTCTGTTCTCTTGTAAATGGCCATCCTTCCAGGACAGCCTTTCTCACAGGCTGCTTCAGCATCTACTGACTGATCTCTGAAATTCGTTTCTCTCATTTCACCTTCATACCTCAGAGTTTGTAATCCATTCCTTTTGTGCTGTTAATGATAAACCACCTGTAAAGACCAGTTTAATTTCTAAAGAGATGAAAATATTAATTACACAGACTTTAAGAATTTTTTTTAAATTTTTTCCCTCTCATTTTTTTTTTGTTGTTTAAAACAAACAAACCTTTTTCACTTCTTCCTCTCTTTTCCTCATTTATCATCTTATTTCTTATTTACAGTTTTACTTGTTTGTGTTAGTGGCAGGATGATATTAATTTCAAAACCCTTGGAGACATACTTTGTTGAATCTGAAAGTTAAAGGTGGCTTTGTGCTTAGCTTTTTCCTAGCAAGATCTAATATTAAAATGTAACTTGCTATTACAAAACTTTTCATGTAAATTATGTGCTTTAAAAAGAAATGAGAAAGACTTCCTGAGAAAATGGTCTTTATCATGCTGTATCCTATGAGCATCCTGTGGCCACTGAAGACTCACATTCTCTTACTCTTACCAACCTATCACTGTTTCCCATTCATTATTATGCTCTCACCTTCACTCTGCTTGATATTGCTTTCTTGTCCAATCACCAACAAACACTTATCTTTGCCTAGAAACCTCTTCCACATTTGGTTTTCAACACTTAGAACTTTACATTTTATGTTTTTCTCCTACCTCTCATTTTTATTTTTACTTACATTTCGCCTTTTCCCTCCCCCTTTCTGGGATGATTATTAAAGCATGACTCTGCCCTTACTCAGCTGTTGAGCATAACCTACCACCCACTTTTCCTAAAACATTTAGTAGTGATTTAAAAAGAATAAAACAATAGGAAAAGAGATTGTCTGAGGATACACAGTTCTTTCAGTCTAGACCTGTGATTATCAACCATTTTGCAGTCATGGGCTGCTTTGAGAATCTGCTTAAAACTAGGAACATTTCTCCAGAAAGATTCACACAATTGCATAACACATACTGCTGTAGTCTGTTTTGTGTTGCTGTAAAAGAATACCAAAGACTGCATAATTTATAAACAATAGAGTTTATTTTGTTCACAGCTCTAGAGGCTGGAAAGTCCAAGAGCAGGGTGCTGGCATCTCTTGAGAGCCTTCATGCTGTGTCATCGCATGACTTAAGTCAGAAGGGCAAGAGAGGCAAGAGCAAGAGATAGAGAAGGCCAAATTCACTTTTATAACAACCCATTCTCACAATAACAAACCTACTCCTGTGATAATGACATTAATCCATTCATAAGGGCAGAGTCCTTCTGGCCTAACCACCTCTTAACAGTCCCATCTCTCAATATCGCAATGGCAATTACATTTCAACATTAGTTTTGGAAGGGACTTTCAAGTCATAGCACATATCAGTCTAGGTACACGGATTCCCTGAAACAAGGTGAGTCACTGCTTTTCCAAGTAAGCTAAATTATATCTTATATGAAAATGGTCAATTAGAAATCATTGTCCCTGAACAGCATTATTTGGGTGATTCCAGAACTGTTTCTAAGGAACTGTTCCCTAATGTTAAGTCCGCAAAGCATAATGGGATACACTTCAAGAAGCACATCCAAGAAATTCATTATTTTATTAAAGGAAGAGATATTATTCAGCAGTTTGTTCTCTGATTCACATCACACTCAGCTTCAGAAATCCCTCTGTTTTACTACCAGGAAGCCTGTGCCAGGCACACTCCCACTTCCAGATTCTCCTACCTGACCTTGTCTTCTTTAGAGATGTTTAGGGTTGACACTCACCTCCTCCAGGTGTTTCCTCAACTACAACCCCATAGTTTCTAATATTCCAGTAAAGGTGCTCATCCAAAGGCTCCCTCTCATGTGACTCTGTGATGTGTGTTTCTAAAACATCTCTACCAAAGTGCCCATACTTGTAGAGACAGTGAGTGTATGGTGCAGGGGAGGAAAAATTTCTCCTCTACCTTGTTAGGGTTTCTGGCTGGGCCTAAAAATTAAACTGATATCAACAAATGAAGAGGAGAAAGCATACACATTTTATTCAGTAAAATTTTACATGTACATGTGCGTTCTAAGGATATATTAAAGACTGAAAGAAACAGAGCCAAACACTTACATACAGGGTTGAACAAAGAGTAGTAAATTACAAAATGTAACAAGAGAAAGGAGTTTGGGCTAAGACAGTTAATAGTGAAAAAGTAACTAGTAACTAGAAAGATAAAGGTTAATTTAACAAGGTTTGTTTGTATACATTTTTCTTGGTCTCCACTCCCCATCTCTGGAGATGAACATGTCTTAGTTTCTCCAAGTGCAGGGAAGACATCTTTCACATGGAAGTTTTATTTCCTTCTTTCGGGAAGAAAAGAAGGAAGATCAGAGTGCCCTTTTGCATCTACTGTTTTTCAAATTCTTTTAATTCAAAATAATCAATATGCCAGAGTGGCACGTTTTGGAGTGGCATGTTCTGAGTTCTTTCAATGTCAACAGGGCTTTTAAAACTTCTGTTTTCGTGTAAAAATACACATGAAGTTGGTTTTCTACTCCATTTGATATAAAGATATTATTTTTAAATTACTTGCCATTGAGGGAAACAGATTGTCCATGAACATACACTACGTAGATCTAGGACTTGCAATATTGGCTGAGCACTAGAGAAGAAGCCTAGGGTATATGAATTCCGTGGAGATTGAGAAGCTCAGCAATAGAATATTCATTGCTTAGTCTAACTCTTGTTTTGTAAAGTATCTCTACTATTTGAACATTTTTTTGAAAAAGTTTTTTTGCCTGAAAAAATGCTTCTAGGTCCAGCACCAATTTTGCCTCTTCCATGATCATGACCTATTTTCTAATTCCCATAACAGGAATTAATTGCAACTTCTCCCAAAAAAAGAAGTCAATTATATTCACAGAGATCATAAAATGTAAAAGAACTGACTGAGAAATGCAAAGTAAATGGACAGATATTTTTAGAATCCCTATAACGTGCCAGTATGTTCATAAATTATTTTATTTAATGTTGCATTAATTCCATGAGATTTCTACTGTTATTCTCAAATGAAGACACATAAGCCAGATGTTGAATAACCTGCCCTAACACACTGCCAGAAAGTGGCAAAGATAGTTAGAAATTTTTGTTTGTATAGTTTTAAAATCCGTAATTTTTATTGCATCTAGTTTAGTTTTCTGGCCTCTATAGCAATTGCCTCTCAAAAATGGAGACAAACAAATGAACCTACTTAATTCTCAAAATAGAAATGCTAATGAGTACTGATAATGACTTTGTATTTTAGTATGTTTTTTCAATGAAGAAATTACTTTGTAAGACAGTATTTATTATTTACAACAAGTTTTCTTGACACTGTTTTTCATCCATCAAGAAGCGGCATATCACTGAATAAAACGGTAGAATAGAGGATGCTTTTGGTTTACAACTTTTATATACAGACCCCTGGGAAGTTACAGAGGTATTGCCAGAGTACCTAAATCTATATGTGCATTTTGAATTGTTTGCAAGTTGAATAATGTGTCTCATGGAAACATTAATTTGCATCTAGTCTTTAGAATGTATATAGAGAATATTCCCAGTTAAGAAATATTTTACCGAATTCAGAGTCATTTTTTACACTTTATTTTTTAACTAAATGAATACTTATATACCTGAAAGCACAGAGATAATCAATGATTTTATTTTATTTTAGAAAGTGGTTTTAGTGCTGATAAAGATTGAGAACTCCTAGAATTTCTTTTTAAAAAAAAAATTGCTCCATGTGGTTTTCAGAAGTAAACTAAATTTACTTTTGCACTGCACTGCACTTTATGTCTCTGTGGAAACATTTTGAAGTACATGGTGGATTTAATCCCATTAATCTTTGGAAATATGATGAGTGGTTCCGTTTCTGATTTTTCATAATCAGCTGGCCTAGCTATAAGATATTATTGCCTTATAGGGACATCTGCTGGTAGATAAATAAAGATCGGGAACAATAAAATACTGTCTTCTCAGTATTTCCCAGGGCATCCCTCTGAGACTGCAGGCTTGTGTGCATCTGCTTCAGATAGTGCATGGCTATTCAAGTTCTGAATATTGTATCATTTCACAGTCCAATCCTGCTGAGGTAACATAAAACTTGCCTTCATTACATATATGCTTTGTTACCACAACAGATTCACACAGGTATTAACTTAAAAAAAAAAAAAAAACTGACCACATATTATCCTGGAAACCTCAGGCTTTCTGGAAGCTTATGTAGTCTGGGGCAGATGGCATGAGAATTGCCGCACTTGGAGTACACAGACTCCCCACAATAAGTCGTCACGTGCTCTGTTACCTGCCTTGGCTTTTTCAGATACGCATTATCATCTGATACATGCAAAAAAAAAAAAAAAGCCGCTCTTTCTGTTCCCAAATTCCAAAAACAAAAGTAAAATAAATTTAATCATGTTACCAACTTCTTAACCTTAAGGCCTTTTTTTCACAAGGAAAAATATCCTAATAACTTTATCATTAAGTTGAAATGCTCCTCTTTCACTCAGCTACACAAGATTTTTCAGTAAGAATTAGCTGCACTAATTAATTACTACCTATTACTTCAAAAATAATTACTTGGTGAAAGTAAAGCAACTGGTAGTACTATTTCTACTAACCTTAACCATCACCAGCAGGATGAAATAATTGATTTTCTTTTGGTGTTTTATTGAACAAAGATTACCTTCATACTCTGTCTTTGGAAAAGCAGCACTGTATTAAATCACATATTGTAGACTTAAAATTAAATTGCCCATAAACGTCAATATTGCCAACAGTACAGAGTGGTAACTTATTCATGCCACTTCTTTAAACTCACCACACATTAATGTGCTAATGTGATGGAAAATAAAGAATCATCATGTGCCTTCCAAATGCTGCTTTCCCTATTGTTTATATATGTATTTTGTAAGTGACTAGAAGACTGTTTCATCAGCTAAGGGATGCCTTGCCAAAAGAAATGACATAATCGTTAACTAATTACAACTAAATGATAGCATCACACATTTTGACAGGTTAACACACATTCTATTACAAGTTGGAAACTTGAGAAAGAGAATAATAAAGCTACTACTCTTGCAAAATCCTCAAATGCCAATAGGGAAAATAAACTCTTTAAGGATTTTCACCAACCATGTGTTTTTCTTTTTCTTCTTGCCCTCATTGTACAAAAGCAAACAATGTGAAGTTGAGTTAACATTCTAAACTAATTCAGTAATCAATTAACTTATTTTTACCAATTTTATCCAATTATAAATCAGAGTCTACCCACATTCACAGTTTAAACATGCTGAAATCATCATTTTGGGCCCTTTTCCCCTTTATCAGTGAAGCAGCAAGATACATGTGGGCTGAGATATAAAAAGAACAAGGAAAACCAGGAGAGGAAAATTGGTATTTTCAGATGTAATCTAGTTCATTAAAAATCCAAAAGCAAAACACAAAGACGTGCCTGAAATGGCATATTACCAGAATTGTCTCTGAAGAGCTTCTCAGTTTAACTGAAAAAAAAAAATTTTAGAAGGATTAATAAAAAATTAAATCATCTATTTTATAATTTCTTACAAAATGACTCCAATACTATAAGTAGAGTGTCTCATTGTTCTCAATCACCCCATACATATTATACCAAAATTCTTCAGAAAAGAAAAAAAAAATAGAGAGTGCTTTCTAAGCCCTGTCCTTTAGAAAGTAAATAAGATGACAATTAAAGAATTGTTCTCCACCCTTGTAGGTACTGAAGTATATATAAGTAAGTACTACAGACTGTTAAACCCCATACAATGTGACCGGAGAATCACTACATGTCAAGTGGCATGCATTTAAGTATAGAATATCTAGTTGTTGGGTTTTTTCTTTTAGTTTACTTATTATAGCTTGTAAAAAATTTTCCCTTAATTCTACTGTTATAAAATTTCACTAGCAAAGACGTAAAGTTGGCCAGTTTGCTACTGCTAGGGTAATGAGTAAAGAGAGTTGGCATATCAAACTAAACACTGGGCAAACACAAAACATTGGAAATCAATTACAATATAATATAAGAAGTAAGTCATTTAAGATATTTTGTCCTTAAGACTTGATATGGAATGATAAAAATTTTAAATGACTATATATTTTCCTTGTGGGAGAAAACTGAATGATTACTTAGCATACAACAAAAGAGAATCTAAAAGGAAGGAATGTTAACATAAGAAGATGAAATGAGATCCATATGTTAAAGGGTGATATTAGTATTTCAAACCCCCAAAAAATTGTAGAAAAAATTAAATTACTTACCTTTCTAGTTCAGTACAAATGTCCTACAGCTAATTATCATGAAATATTGCCTGGAAATTAACCAGTCATGTTGTGTTTCTATCTCCAGATTTACAATTAGTAATGCTATTAATGTGGTTCCTGTACTTAGCGTTACTAATTATATTGCTATGAACTAATGGTGTTAAAAATAGCAATAGCCATCAACTACCAATTAATGCTTAATGAGAGCATATAAACCCTGGCATTGTAATGAATTTCAAAATTATGGTTGCTTGTATTCCTTTTGCAATCATGCAAAAATGGGTGTAACCAGTAACCACTGAAGTAGGGCATTGACTGAAAGCATAGTTACCACATCATTGCAGGAAAATCAAGAGAAGAAATAAATGGCTCCTTCAAGGAATATATATGTGTCCTTTTAATCTTACAATTCAACACACAGATTTTTGGAAAGATTCTTTTCTAGTTACGCATATAAAAACACAGCTGAAGCATGATTTGTAAAGATGTTGTTTCAAACCTATGAATAAAATAGGACTTTTTTTTAAAACTTTGGAAGATTAGTTTCTATAAAAGAACCAGTCAACAAATCATTTATCCTAGAATTTACATAGGGTATAATATCTCAGAAGTTCAGACATAAGATAGGGATATTAGCTAGGTTAAGCTGGGTTATGCTACAGTAACAAATACCCACCAATGGCTTAACATTCAAAAATTTATTTCTTGTTTATGGTGTATGTCCAGCATTGTCACTTAGGGACTAATGCTCACTAGTTACTCAGGAACCCAGGCTGAAAGAGATTCCATCTTGTCATGTGTTTTCATTACCTGCAGAGGGAACTGGGAAAATTGTCTTCTGTCTATTATTTCTATCCAAAAGTGACTTATATTACTTTAGATGACATTTCATTGGGAAAAAAAAACAAGTCATATGCTTGTGTCTAAGTTCAAACTGATGGAGAATGACAGCAAGAAAGAGAAAAACTAGAAAACCAAGAAACAACTATATATGTTTTAGTACTTTGGCACTGTTTTAATGACCAAAGCAAGAAGACTTTCTCTAAAATGGAAAACTTCACTGGGGAACTGTCTGGTGGTAAGGGAATATTGAATAAACACCAATACATCTCTCTGAGTCTCTGGAAATATGTTATTTGACCTTGTCACTAAAAAAGCCATTTCCTACAATGGGCTATGTGTATTTTCCTAGTAGTACACAGAACTGCGGTATTTATCTTTTCAACTTCAAAAATGTACTTTAATATTTTATCTTGACAGCAGCCTTTTCATCCCTTGGTCTCAGTCAAAACTATAGTGAATTTCAGAAATAGTAAAGAGTAGAAGTCACCATAGAATGAGGTAAGCAAAGGAGGAGCTTAGCCAATAAAGTAGCTAATGATGTGAGCATATTATGTGTATGTGTTGGTGTATTGTCAAACCAGTACAAAAATATAATTAAGAAATCCACACTAATTATGCCAATTAGACACTAAAGAAGTGTTATAAATAAGACTATACCACCCCAAAATATAACAGCGACGTAGTTCACGAGATGGCACCCCAGAATATACCCAAAATATAAGTTTTGGTATATTGACTATTTTGAGGTTGAGGCATTTTGAAAAACAGCAAATGAAAGGAGAATCTTTCTTTGAACTCCCTTTGCCTACCTAAAGACAAATCTTCCAAAATAAACTCCATTGTTATAAACCATCTCCCCATGAGTTTCATCAACTAGGAAGATGGACTCTTATTACAGGAGCAGAAACTAGAAGTTGACAACACCCTGACAAACTTTGTCTGAATCTATCATTATCTCCCATCTATTCTTCCTAAGGACCCATTCATCTTTCCTAAAAATCATTTATTCTCCTCTAAGTAACCAACATCTCTCTTCCCTTTCCCTATTAAAATGGTTTGTAAACTCTCACATCTCATGGTTTTGTGCGGTATTAGTTTTTTCTTATAATTCCCTTGTGGACATATTAAAAATTAATAAAGTTGTATGCTTTTTCTCTTGTTAATCTTCCTGTTCTCAGTTTTTCTTTGTTTTGTTTTGTTTTGTTTGTACACCCAGCTACCAACCCTAGGATGATAAAGTCTTTATTTCCCTGCAGAAGATTTAAAAAAGACACTAAAGAAGACTCTTAAGACTTAACCACAATTCTTACAAATCTACACTTTACTGAAGGAGAAGGATAAAATATAGCATGAGCATTTTAGTAAGAATATGCATCCCAGCCAAAGGCTGTCTTACAGCAAGGGGTCCAGAGTGGTCTGATGCAGGCTCCAATTGTCCTCCTTTTTGCGAGGCCATACTGGATGCACTTTCTCACTTGCATCAGTGACATCCAACATGTGCATGGAACGCCTAGAAAACAGGGGCTCAAAATAAAGTCTTGGTTGGGTCTTCTCATATTCTACTGATCCAAAGGGTCATCACTGTTATGTGACTTGCCATAATGGTGGAGTCCACTGGCATCACACCTGAACAGGGTATAAACTGTCAATCTTGCTGTTACTAATAGCCTATACTGACAAGCTGGAACAAACTGTCCTGAAAGTTGTCTGATAAGTATGGTTATAAAATTATACTATTAATTATGTTTTTTTCATCCCAAGGCCAAGGCTCAGCATCATTAAGTTATATCTCTTACAAAGCAGCTTAGGACAATCCCAAAATAGAAGTAGCACTCATAGCACAGCATCCAAATAGGTTTCACAAACTGCTAAGCATATGAACTTAGAAGGACACTTATAGTATTAATAGAGCAATTCAAAATACTGGGGTTTAAGGATGAGCATACTTCTTGGCAAGGGACATATCTACATTGTCTGAAGTTATTTCCAAACTGCATCCCACCCCCCCGCCCCACTTCAGTGTCCTCCAAAACTTAAAGACTGTCGTTGTGCTGAGGCACCGAAACTGAGGCTGGTATGTTTTAGGAGTACTTGCTATTCTAGTTACTATTCTGTGTGTAACATATTGCCTCACAACTTAGAAACTTAAAACAACTATTTTATTAGACTTGCTGAATTTATGCTTCAAGAATCTGGAAAGAGTTCATCATGATGGAGTATCTACTCTGCTATGTCTGGGGCCTCAGCTGGAAGGACTTGAAGGCTAGGGGCTGGAATCTTCTCAAAGACTCCATCAGTCACATGTCTGATGGTTGATGCTAGTTGCCAGCAAAGACTTCAGCTGTGCTCAGCCAGAACACCTACACACAACATCAACATCCACCAGCACCTCTCTCTGGGGTCACGTCACAGCAGGTAGCCAAATATTTCTTACATGGTGCCTCAGGGCTCCAAAATTGAGTGCACAAAGAGAGAGGAAGTAGAAATGTCAGTTTTTGTTTTTGTTTTTTTCCAAAGTTCTGGAAACTAGTCCAGCATAACTTCCACTAGTCCAGCTTCCTCATTCCACACAGGTGGCTTCATGAACAGCTGACTGTGCTTGTGGGAAACTTTGAGGCCTATAAGGCAGCTCCTCCCTCTGGGAGCATGCTGAGCTATCAACTGCTCTACTTATCTCTGCAAAGATATCTGCATCTTATATAATTTAAAAAATTGTATGTCTTTCGAAAGCATCTGTTGGTGCCTTTCTGTCAATCACAATACTGCCTTATTGTGACTATCATGCATTTATAAAGTGAACTTCTAAGAAAATATAAACAACATGGCTTTTAAAAATTTCCAACTTTTATTTTAAGTTCAGGGGTACATGTGCAGGATGTGCAGGTTTGTTACATAGTTAAACATGTAAACCTGGCTTCTTTTCTAAAGCTGACCTAATTTTTTTAAAATTGTTTGCTTTCTAACTGACAAAATTCTTGTTTTCACATGCATAATCCAGTAAAATTATATTTACAACGAGGATAATATTCAAAACATTTAACAGCTAGTGTGTGTTTGGCATGGACTCATCAGAACAGATGCCATCCGTAAACAACTAGTACTGGTAGATAGCAATAAAACACCAGTCTTGTTTACAACTCTCTGTGAGTAACTAGTACAAAATTAAAAATAGAAAAGGGATCAATAAGTCACTGGCATATCTAAACTTCTCTGAGAGATTTTTAAATGACCAAAAGGCATTCTTAAAATAAATAACATTGTGCGAAGGAACTTGTCTCCTCCCTAAGAGTTTTTCATACAAATAGAATTTATAGCGATAATACACTGGCAAGCAGCTGGTAGAAATATAGTAGCATTGATGCACTTAAAATTAAGAATTCCAACATTAGCAAGCCTATTTATTTGTTTGCTTATACATTTATTTATACCTCACTTTGTTTTATGTAAACTTTGAAAAGGCCATATGATATAATGAATAAGAAGTTCACCGACTGCAGTTAACAATTCTAGAAAACATATTGAGTAAAAGATGGCATAGCTTGGTACAAGTATATTTGAGTTATACTCAGAAATATACGCTATAAGTACAACGTGGTTAAATGATTTAATTGTACTTATTAGTGTGCCTGTAAAGTTAATTCAAATGATGCTCAGCAAAGGCAATAAACATATAAAAAAATTCTATAACTTTCTCCATTCAGCTAAGCCATACCCTTTATTTTTGTCTGTGTTATTTTGCTGTACATCTATACAAAATTTTGAGCCTAAATTCATTTGAGTTTAATTTTTCAAAAGTAGTAAATAATATGATTTATTATGTTTTAATTTACATCTGTGCTTTCCCCAAAGGTAAAGGTAAAAGATCCAGTTTGATCTCTGTACTTATACCATCCTCAGCCTCTATTTATCATATAAACACTGGTGCTAATTAAAATAATGGATTCTTTTAGTAACACATTCCAGCTAAACCCAGAATCACAGAATAATAATTTTTACCATATAGGGGAGAGATTTCATCAAACAATGAGTGTGTCTATATAGTTAGGCATTTTTACTGCATTTCTTTATGGTTTGCATATTAGACATATTTTAAATCCCATGAGTCCTGCAGTAAATTTTATACATTGTTAAATATTTTGTCCTTGACTGATTCTCAACTTTATCTAATACATTTTTATATTTGTAATTCATTTTTGTTTTAATGTTGCTTCTTCATTTCTAAAACTATGACTTCTAATCAACCTATTGATATTTTTATTTCTATATTATTTTGCAATTCACTGCAATTCATCACAGAACTTGACATATTTATTAACTATAAATGGGTTGTGGCCAAATTAAGTCATTAAATATGCTGTGTGACTTTCCCTAAAATATGCATGGCTCTTCTAATTAAAACAAATATTTATTTATGAAATTACATAGGTTGTCTAACTCCTTGAACATTAGGAGATATAAAAGATACACACCATTATATTGAATAACTCTGGCATGACAACTGTTTCAATTTAACCTTTGGATTTAAAGCTCTATTTTCATTATAATCCATATGTATGGATGTGTCAGCAAATGTTCACGATCAAAGAGAATATTGTGTATACTATATTCGCATTACACATTTATCTTTCCAATGGGTCATGCATAAACGAGGAATAATAACATCAATAAACAAAACCTATACATAATAATATAAAATATTCATCTTTGCCAATAGTTTCAATCTCTATTCCACCAAATCATCCCAAAATTTGTTAATCAGCAGCAAAATGGACAGACACAAAGGTCACACCCTTGCCTTGTCCATGCTCTAGAGGAAGTGTTAATGAGCATAAAATTAGCCAAAAGTTGGCAGCAGTTAGATGAAAGAGAAGCAGGAGGTCTGTGGATAATTCACAAACTAATCACCTTCTGAGTAGTTGGAAATAGGCCACCATCATTTTAAACTTAGTTACAGTCCAGTATGCATTTTTCCTGTGAGCACCTTTGTTGCACATTGCATAATATCTATTTCCATTTCTGCCATGACCACAAACTAAACTTGAATGATTTTATAATGATTTAAAGAAAAGCCTATAAAAATTCAAAAGCACACTCCTAGAGCACCTTCTGTGTGCTTGGATATATCCAAGGCTCAAGGAATACTGGGATGAACAAGATACATTTTCTTTCTTCATGGCACTTAAATTCCAGTGGAGAAGACCTACAATAAATAAGTAAATGGTGCCTTGCAAATTATTCTATCGCTGAGCAATATTATTGGAAATAGGAGTTATGGAAGGCATATTGAGTCGGCTGAGGAGAAAGTGGGTGATGTCTAAAAAGAGTCAATACACTACTCATTCTAGAAGCTCAAAGTTTAGAAGAATAGGAAGAGGCTTCTTGTTCTAAGCCTGTGTCCAGGCAATATTTTCTCTACAATTTCTTTCAGGTAAGTTGCTTTCCTGATTGCAACTATTCCCACTCATCCATCTTTGCTTTTCTAAAATGCCATTTAAATATGCAACTGCCCTGCTCCAAAATCTATTACAAAAATAATCAGCTATTTAATGTGCATGACTTCCAAGATCTGTTTCCAGCCCACAGCCCTAATCATCTTAATCTATAAAACATACACCTGGCTCATCAGACAAGCATACTCATCTGCCATGTTCATTCACGCACTAGGCTTCTATCGCTTAACCCTGCCCTTAACCCAACATGGTTTAGGAAATCCAGCATGAGTGCTACCTCCAGCTTTCTCTAAAATGGTGACACAACAGAAAAAAGATAAGCTTTGGAGTTAAATTCCCAGGTGAAAAGCCCCTGGGCCTCCCTGAAATCTAGTTTCATCGTCTGCAGAATGAAATGAAATAATCAATACTGTCTCAAGAATATGGTAAAGAGAATACTGAACCCATACTAACCTTGCTTTATTTTAATTTCTCTTTCATTTATTGACATAATGCTATTTTTATCTTTGTTTTATCTAATAATATTGATGACATTTGTTAATTCTGTCACTCAAGCAAAATTGCAGTCCTATGAGGACATACACCGTATTTCTCTCTTCTGTGTTCCTTGCTACAGTGCTGGACATACTGAAAATGCTCAAAAATATGTACTTACCAATTGATGAATGAGATACATGATTGCCAATAAGTTAAAAGAAATAATTGAATAATTAATGTTTTTGATGTAGTACAAGGGTGCTTCATCATAAGCGTAACTGGTTAGCAATGAAATCCAGCTTTGTCAAATAATAAAAAAAGAGAAATAAAATAATGCGAATAAGGTGGAAATATTTTACCAAAAATTTTAATATTTCCTAAAATTTAATTTTGGGACATTCAGAAAGAAGGAAAGTATTTACATAAGAAAGATAGAAGGCTGGGTGCAGTGTCTCATGCCTGTAATCCCAGCACTTTGGGAGGCCCAGGCGGGCGGATCACAAGGTCAAGAGTTCGAGACCAGCCTGACCAATATGATGAAACCCCATCTCTACTAAAAATACAAAATAAATAAATAAATAAATAAATAAATAAATAAATAAATAAGCCAGGCGTGGTGGCATATGCCTGTAATCCCAGCTACTCGGGAGGCTGAGGCAGGAGAAACGCTTGAACCTGGGAGGCGGAGACTGCAGTGAGCTGAGATCACGCCACTGCACTCCAGCCTGGGCGACAGAGCGAGACTCCGCCTCAGAAAAAAAAAAAAAAAAAAAAAGAGAGAAAGAAAGAAAGAAAGAGAAAGAAGGAAGGAAGGAAGGAAGGAAGGAAGGAAGGAAAAGGAAGGAAGGAAGGAAGGAAAGAAAGAAGGAAAGAAAGAAAGGAGAAATACGTTCAAAACAATAAAGATTAGCCATTTCGACATGAAGCTATACTGAATCTATTCTCAAATTCTCACATTTAACCTCAGAAATGTAGATGATATATGCTTGAAAATAATGTTTTTTTTCTACAAAGCAAGGTCATCATCTCTACAACTCAAAAAAAAGGTAACAAAACTTTGTGTTTACACATTTAGAAAAAACTAAAGGGAAAAAGTGCATTTTTAAAAATGCAGAATTTTCTAACTTTTAAAAAGTAAGTAATATGTGTTTCATATTAAATAAAATATTAAACATCCATATTTCAAGTAAAAGTTAGCATGATATGCCCTCCTATCCCCATTCTGCTGGGATAATACAAATGTGTTTCCCATTTCATATTTCATAATTAAGCACAAAACACCATCTAATGAAGTTTTTAGGATATCTTATTCAAATAGTGATTCAGAGAATCCTGTAGATGAATAAAAACACATGATCAGAAATGCCTGCACAGCCACAAAATCTCAACTATGTAATTAGGGGATCTGTTTTGTGTCTAGCTCAAATTACATATTATTTGATAAATATGTGTTTATCTGGTTATGAGACAAAATTCTCCCTCCTTTATGTTTGAATCCACATCTCTGATAATCAAAAAAGTATATACTTGATATACTTGAATTCATGAGAAACATACTCACTGAGTTCTAATAACATTTTCCACCAAACTCTTAACGCATTCATAATGGTTTATTTAAAATAAGTATTTATTAAAAATGTAATAAAACATGACAGTTATCATTGTCTGACTTGCAAGTAACAGGACCTAAATTCGAATTCTGGCTTTTTCATTTGCCAGCTTTACAGTATTACTTTAAAGAAGTTACTTAACCTCTCCAAGGCTTACTTTTATCATTTATAAAATGAGGTTAATGATACAACCACAGAGATCTTGAAAGAATTAAGTGTTCAATATATATTAATAACTGTTAAAACTAACTGCTTCCTGGCCTCAAAACTGAAAACCTTAAGGATGTATTATATAGAGAGTTTGCCTGTGTATCTGCCTCAGTACTTGGCTAAGTGACTGACATATAATATAGATATAATATTTTATGAGTAAATTAAATGAAAATAATTTGGGAGTTGAATGCAAAATATTTCTATATGCCTATACACTTGCAGGGTACCATCCAGAAAAGTTTTTCAGGATGTCATATTATTCTAAGCCATTGGTCAGGATGGAGGGAGAGAAGGACTTAATGAGATAAGGGGTTCCTCTGTGACTTTACTTTTGACATTTGAACAAGATAGTGCTGAAATTTAAATCTACTCGTATAGATTTCAAGTTCACTTACATATATACTTAAAAACTCTCCTATGTTGTTCAAATAATTAAATTTATTGCTTTTCAGAATTTATGCAGAATTGTGAGGCAAAACTTAAAAAATTATATGAGAATAAAGGCCAGAAGGTGAGTATAGGAAGGAAGCAAAACTATCTCAATAATTTAGGTTATAAAAAATTCTTATGTGAATGAGTTACAGAATTCTCAAGCTTTATTTGAGATAAGACACAAAACATGAAGCTGAGAATTGTAATTATTTCCTACAACAAAAAGTAGAAATAATTTAACACATAATGTTCTAATAATTTGACATTTATTCATTGAATATATATTTTTCTAAGGTATTTTTAGGTCCATCTTGTCCATACAGTAGCCACTAGACACATGAGACTATTTAAATTTAAATTTATATTAATTAATATTTAAAAATCACGCTAGGCACGGTGGCTCACACCTGTAATCCCACCACTTTGTGAGGCCAAGGCGGTCAGATCACTTGAGGCTAGGAGTTCAAGACCGGTCTGGCCAACATGGGGAAATCCTGTCTCTATTAAAAATACAAAAATTAGCCAGACGTGGTGGTGCATGCCTGTAGTTCCAGATACCCAGGAAGCTGAGAGATGAGAATCGCTTGAACTTGAGCATGGGAGGCAGAGGTTGCCATGGATCTGCAGCCTGGGAGTCGAGATCACACCACCGCACTCCCGCCTGGGTGACAGAGCAAGACTGTGTCTCAAAAAAAATAAAATTAAAATTTGTCCCTCAGTCACACTAGCCACATTTCAATTGCTCTATAGCCACATGTGACCAGTGATTACCGTATTGGATAGTTCAGAAAACATTTTTATCATCACAGAAAGTTTCATAGGACAATAACTCTTCTAGATAGTTTGGGGTCACAAAAAAGGCTGAGGGCAGTACATTATAGCCAAAGAGCTGAAGATATGCTAGAGGCGATGAAACATGAGCAAAAACCATTTTAATACAAAACAAGTTTTAATTTTACAAATCAAGTGCCACAAGAACACTAGTGACCACAGAAGACTGTTCGTTAAGATTTGAGTTTAATTTTGAAGAATGAACAAGATATTTACATTTGTTGCATGGCTTTAAGTTTCTCTTTATGTAAAAGATAAAATTTCTAGGGCAGCAATTATAGGAAAGTGAAGATTTTTAATGCTATTCGACTAATGTTTCTTCTTACTTTATAAGTGTTGTGTCTTTACTAGAAAAATCTAAGGGGATTTTACTTTCATCTTAAGATTTTTAGATCTTTCATCGTTCCTTAACAATTATTTGAAGACTCCAGAAATAATGCACTTCTAAATTATTTTAAATTCAAAATTGCTTCATTGAGATTTGGTACTTAACCTAGTTCATGTTAAGAAGCAATGAATATGATGTGTTAAATGCAAAAACAATGTGGTATCAGTGCTATGAATTTAGTTTATAAATTCCTTCCTGAGATAAAAGCATTCATATTAAAAATACAAAAAAGTATTTTTTGTTTTGTCCGATTCATCACCTCTCTACATCATTTTCTCTATCTTCCTAGGAACACAAACACAGACACTACATAAGGCTTAGAGCGTAAAATGGTAGGAAGCTATGACACTTGCCTGTTGTACTCAAGAGCATTACTGACAGGCTCTCACTTAATACGATGGAAAGAACCTCCCTTAGGTGTCCCAAGGAGGTGTAATAACTTACTAACACAAGGTGGTGCTCTGTTCTTATGAAACAGCCTGTCTTTGCTTTGGTTCTAGGAAGCAGAGGTCAAACATTCTTACAGCTTGACCATTTTTCTTGAAGGTTTTAAAAACTGTTAATGTCTCATTCTCACTTAAAAACCTCATCCAAACCATTTAAAAATCATTCTTAGAAAGCTGTCCTAATCATAATTCCAACCACTCAGGGAGGATCCAATTTATCTCATTGTTCTCAACAGTAATTTTGATGGCAGTAGGCCTTGGATCGCTCACTGATTGCTTCTTTTCATTTTTCTCTGTTTGTGATCCTTTTGATCAGATAGTTCTTACACTTTTTTTGGGGTTGTCTCAAGCCTATTGTTTCTGTAAACTGATCAGACTTTTTCCAGACAAAACTGCCAGATTGACCTCCAAATAAATGATTAGAACAACTTTGACTCTCCTTCAGCTAACCAGTCTATTATTATTTATTTATTTCATTTTGCTTCCTACGTATGAACATATATAATATATCGTTGTATAGTTATATTAATATGTTTACCTGTTGGTAAATCTCTAATTTCATCCTTCCTGTAGAAAAACCTTGACAATGTAATTTGAAAATGTGACATGCAGTTAACCACATTTAAATAATCCTCCTTATGACTGAACAGGAAACAGGCCAATGCCATATTCCATTTAATGATATTTTTAAGGGAAGAATAACTATAGCTTCAAATATGGATATATATGTACACATATATGTGCATCTACATATAACACAAAAATATACAAATTATAAATATCTATAAATATTCCTGGAAAGAGCTAAAGGCAGGATTCTAGCATTACATAATTTCACATATGCCAAATCCTCTAATCAAATGGAATCTGATTATTTATGCTGCCAGGTAGTTATATATTTCTTTCTAATACTTCTCAAGGAAACTTTCCATAGCTGTCTTAAATTTCTCAAGGACATTGATCTCAAAATAATCTCAACCTCTATTCTTCTATTCTGAATCTTATGAAAGCATTTATCTTGTTTATAAATAGCTAAAAACTTCTTAAGAAATCAGACTGGAAGAGGTTGCATATATTTCAAACATTTTAAAATCACAAAACAAAACCAGTAAGTCAAGAAAATAGACAAGAAAAGATTCCATTTGTTTTAAAGTGTGTTCTAAAATCATATCACTAATGAAAGTCTGCTGATGTCATGACAATGTCATAGCTTCAGCTCTTCAAAGAACATGTTGTCTGGTTACTATAGCATTGCTATATTTGGATTAATTAGAAACGGAAACGTGGATAGCATTAGCTTTGAAATTAAATGAGCCCCCTAACGGGGAAGCTAATTACTGAATTCATTCTGAAGATCTGTTTTACTCGTGAAAATTTAGGTTATTAAATTGAACAATATGTGCTCAGGACTAGAAATGGAAATCAGGGCATCCTCGGACGGAGCACAGGGGAACCAGTGGCTCTTATGGAGCCAGACCTGATATTAGTCTTTTGTTAGAGAGGATTATTATTGTTAATATTGTCACCTTTATGACAAAGGTTCTAATATGAAGAGTACTTGGAATTCTTAAAAAGCTTCCATTAGTCCATTCAATACCCTACTCTGACTTCCATTAATGTATCTTCCCTACTGTGTGATTAGGAAGCTCCACCGGAAGCCATAATCTGGATGCATTGGGGAAGATTTAGGGAGGAAACTTTTCCATAAGCTTGAAAGACAAAAATGGCATTTATCTGGGTTTCAAATGTTTCTTCTCCTTGAGGTTTCGTTTTCTGAATTAAAGTTTGAAGTGAACATACTATATATTCACAGTATTGTGCTTTTCAAATGTCCCCCTCACACAAACATACATACAAACACAGCAAAGATAGCAGGAGGCAGGTTATGGTCAGAGAAAATTCAGCTCCCTTTGTTATGCTATTTAAGTAATCGTTAAGTACATTACTAATATCCATGGCCATTTTTAAAACCAAGTAGCAATAACTAGTTTATCTCACTAAAGCACCAAGATCCTTAGGAACCAGAAAGAAGCTTTTCAGCATCACATCCAATATGCCCCTAATACTTAGTAAAGGCTGATATGATGATGCAGATCTTTTGATCACTTTTGGGATTAAGATCCAAGTTATGTTACTAAATCCCAATTCAATAAGGCAGTGCGGAAGATGCTGACCTAGCAGGGTCTTTATAACTGAAAGCCAGTGTTTGGTTTTATTGACAGAACTTTGTGCTAAAGACATGGAGTTTCCCAGCTACTTCAGGGTTATCCCAGTTACCTGTTCTCTCTCCACCTCCCACAGACTATATTGTGATAATCTCTAGAATTATCCCCAAAAGGAAGAAATAAAACATCTGCTTGGTGTATTCCTTATCAATCTTTATTCTATACTTCTCTTTCTGGATTCTCCATGATTCAGAGCACCTCCAGCCATATTCCAGCTGTGTGGTGCAAAGGACCCAGGCATTGTTTTAAAAATTCTTGAATCATAATGAACTAATAAGGTCCTCAATATAGCATATTTCTCTCATTGTTTAGGTGAGTTAAATTATTTGTAAGTTACAAAAGCCATGCATCTTTCTTGTTTTACTCCAAACATCATATTGGCACTTCATAATAGAAAAATTGAAAGTTGGCTATGTGGTAATATACTTTTTATCATAGACTTGTGTAATACTGTATTAATATATAACAAGTCCATGTAACATCTTTATTTTGTCTAAGAAATAAGTCTAGAGAAATGAGTGATTTATTTTTATAGAAACTGCATCCAAGAACTGCAGAGTTTTCAGCCCCAGAAACAAGAAAACAAGAACCTTATCAAGATATGGGTGCTGTAATGGGCTAGATTTTTCTTTAAAAAGAAAGAAAAAAGGAATAGGGAAGGTGTACGCAGTCTTGCAAATGAGGCAAGAACTGTTCTACAGAGTCAGGAGAGAGTCGAAATAAGGATGCCTGATGCTGAGTTGCAGAATCATTAGACTGTTACTCCTTATCTTCTTTCTGCCTGTGAATAATTTCAATGACCAGTACGTAGTAATGACATTGCGTATGTATACATGATAATATATTATGCAGTAATTTAAAATATGTTGGAAGTGTTGTGCCATTGGAAAAATTGCTGAAGGGGTAATGTTATAAAAAAGGCTTAGTGCAAGAAAATAAGATAGGTGATATAATATCAACTATATGAAACGTTTAGATAAGTAACAAAACTAGAAGAAAATATGTCAAAATGTTAAGAGAGGTTAGGATTTTAGGTAGTAACTTAAGGCCCTATATGTCTGGCCACCTGTAATTCTCTGAGATCATCTTTTACTATTGCTTCACTCCCCATCCCCCACAACAGTATCCTGCTCCAGCCACAGTACTGTTCTTCTTCTTATTGTTATTAAGTTCTGCGGTACATGTGCAAAACGTGCAGTTTTGTTCCATAGGTATACACGTGCCATGGTGGTTTGCTGCACCCATCAACCTGTCATCTACACTAGGTATTTCTCCTAATGTTATCCCTCCCCCAGCTCCCCACCATCTGACAGGCCCCGGTGTGTGATGTTCCCCTCCCTATGTCCATGTGTTCTCATTGTTCAACTCCCACTTATAAGTGAGAAGATGTGGTGCTTGGTTTTCTGTTCTTGTAATAGTTTGCTGAGAATGATGGTTTCCAGCTTCATCCACGTCCCTGCAAAAGACATGAACTCATTCTTTTTTATGGCTGCATAGTATTCCATGGTGTATATGTGCCATGTTTTCTTTATCCAATCTATTATTAATGAGCATTTGGGTTGGTTCCAAGTCTTTGCTATTATCAATAGTGCCACAATAAATGCTATATAAAATTACATCCACACTTTATTTTTCTCCATAGCTGTTACCATTACCTGACATAACTTACCAACGTAGGGATTGCTTTTTGCTAGTATTTCCCAAGAAAACAGAATGATTGCTTAGAAAGGGAGAGAAGAGGAAGCTGAGGGTGTATGTTAGAAAGTGATGGAATTTAGGCTAATAAGAAAGGAAAGAAGAATATTTGGGAGAGGCAGAGATGTCAGGCAGAACAATCACTGGATTATACATCACAAAAATTTTGAGGATCAGGGAACCAGGATAAATAAGCCTGGAAAAATAAGAAGTACTAGTCAAGAATGTTGTTGTTTGTTTTGTTTTGTTTTGTTTGCTTTGGAAGTGAGAATTGTGGAGGGATTGCAACTACTGTCTGGTGTCATTTCCTTACCTTTATAGACACCCTGCCTAATGGGTTTTGGACTGAATTATTCAGGAGGGGAAAAGAAAAAAAGGGGTAGAGGATATTCCACTCTTACTATTTTGATGTATATAATTAGCAGGCTCTGTCTAGATAAGTATGCACCTATAGTAACTTCCTTTTGAAAAAATAAAAATCAGATCTAATGGAACATTTGCAAACTGCTTTTCTTGCACTCAGTAATGTGTCATGGACATTATTTCATGTTAAAAAATATAGATATATATTTTTAAAACTATATAATATTTCACTACTTGTAGAGACCATAATATAGTTAACCAGTAACTGATTGTTGAGCATTCATATTGTTTTTCTCACACTTTAATAGACAAAGTAAAATCTGTATATACTTGATTTCTATTTTGCATACTTGTTGCTATGGGTTTGAATATATTACCTCCAAAATCAGGTGTTGCCAATGTGAAAGTATTAAGAGGTAGAGTCTGTAAGAGGTGATTAGGTCATGAGGGTTCGTCCCTCATGAATGGGATTAAGACCCTTTTAAAGGATCTTTGCAGAGTGCTTGGTAGCTTACCCTTCCACCTTCCACCAGATGAGGACACAATGTTTCTTCCATCTGGAGAATGCAACTCTCACCAGTCGAACCTGCCACCATCTTGATCTTACACTTCCCAGCATCCAGAACTGTGAGAAATGAATTTTTGTTTTTTATAAACTACCCAGTTTGTGACAGTCTGTTATAATAGCACAAAACAGACTAAGACACATGTTTACATCCTTTGGGTAAACTTTTAGGAGTGGAATTATATAGCAAAAGACCATTAGATTTTAAATGTTGATATTAATTTACTGAACAAGCATTTATTAAGAATTTGCAATGTTTCTCAGGCACTATTGTAGTCTTTTTGAATATGGCAATAATCAAAACAGAAAAGAATGGCAGCTTTTATGAAGCTAATGTACTGGTACAAATATAGTTGAGATGATTCAATCAACTTATATTTCCACCAACACTGTATCAAAGTATCCATTTCCTCTTATCTTCACTAACTTCACTGGCTATTTCAAAACTTTAATACTTTTGGCTAATCAATTTTTTTCTTATTTTAATTGTTTCAATAATTTGCACTATTTGATTACTAGAAAAGTTAGACATGTGATAGGCTTATTAGTCATTGTATTTCTACTTCTACATTACATTTTTGTGCTGTTTGCTCTTTTTTTCCCTATTTGGTTATTTTTTCCTTATTTGATTTACAAAAGGTTTTCAAATGAAAAGAAATATAAACTTCTTAGTAGAGAATAATTGTTCAGGCTGCCGAAAAAATAAATATCCTTTCTAATATGAGAGAATTCCATGCTGCCTCCCACTCAGGAAGCCAAATAAGACATGCCATTTTCTCTCTCCAACCTAGTATAGCAAGTACATTGGAGTCAAATGCCCTAAGGATGGCCAATCAGATGCTTCTGTGGGGGATATTGAATCTAGAGGAGGTAATTCAATACAGAGAGTCTTTTAGAAATAATTTGAGATACCTGTGTTAAATAAAAAGCCCCAAAGCTTCCCCATGAACTCTTAGTGAAAATATGCCATTTTGGTACAGTGCCTTTGCTGTACTTGTTCCATCTTGCTTCTAATTAAACTTGCTTCTCAAGCCTTCCTGTTGGTTCTGTGAGCAACTCCCAAAACAACCTTTAGGCTAATGTTAACCAGTAATTTTCTGTTGTTTTGTAACTAGCAACATTATTAGAATAGGTGTTTCATAAATATATATTTCCAGCATAATTTTTCTAATATTTTGTAGTGTATTTGCCAAACACAATGTATTAATTTGTACTTAATCAGGTATATCAATATTTTACTCTGTGTATTCTACCATTGACATGTGCTTAGAGGGCTTCTGAATATCAAAATTATAAAAATATTCATCTATTATATTTTCTAGTATTTAAATTACATCATTAATATATGTGGAATTTATGCTTATACAAGGCATAAGAGCTTTATTTGTTTTCTTTATTTTGGTTCTCAAATATGTATCCAATTGCCTCTCACTTTTTTTTTTTTTTTTGTATAACCAGAACCTTGCTCAGTGATTCAAAAACTACTCTTGTCAGATATTTAATTCTTCTGCTAATTTGTAGAGACTTTGTTCTTTTTAATTGATCTGTCCATTCTTGGATTCTCATTACAGTTTCAATCAATCTAGTTTAAATGACACTTTCATATTTGATAAGGTTAGTCCCCTTCATTACACATCTTTTTCAGAATTTGGCTGGATATTTTTGTCCACTTATTTTTCAGGATATATTTTATAAATTTTTCAATTAAAAACCCTTTGTAATTTTGATTGCTGTTATACAAAATACACAGGCTAATTGGGAAAAATTCGTCAACGAAATATTTCTAGCCAAGACCATGTGATATTTCTTACTTACTTACCATTTTTTATGATCACCAGTATTTTGTTTTTATGTATGCTTTGCATAGTTCTTGGTAAGTTTATGTGCTTTATATCTTTATTTAATTGTATTTTAAAAGTGATTATTATTCATTTTCAAGGGAGTTATTGTTTTTGTTTATTTTTGGCAGTTTATTTACTAATTTTAATTCTAGTAGTTTGGTTTTCTCAGTATGTAATCATGTAATACATAAATCATTATAATTTAATATCATTTGTTCAACTTTTATCTTATTTTCTTGTGTGATAGGTCATGTCCAAGGTTTTATTTGTTATTTTTCTTTTCTTTTATTTAACATTAAACTTAATGCTTTTTTAGAGGAAAGTCACTACTAATTTTAAACATAATGTAGACTCATATTGTTAATAACATTAATTAAGAAATTGGTGGAAAGTCATTTACAGTTGTGGGAATGGGGTAATTTTGTCTCTGTTTGCCTTTTCCCTACATTTGCTGAAACTTTTGCAACAGGGGTCCACCCAGCCTAAAAAAGGGTGAAGAAAAGACTTCATGACCAACGAAAGTCCAACTCCAATTTCAGATGACTTTCCTGCATTGGAGTAAGGCAGCCATTTTGGCAACACATTTGATAGAACAAAAGGTTTGCCATACAAGGCTTTCAGTTGGTGTTTCTCCCCTTTTCTGTTATTGGTCCACTGTTGTAAAAGGTAGTTTCAAATGATTATTTTACATTCCTCCAAAGTCACACCAAATTCTGTGAGATTTTGGAATGTCTCCTTTCTGAAAAACTACACCCAACATGTACATAATACTGTATATCAATTGACCATTTTTCTTTACAAGGTTTGTACAATGCTAACAAAAAAATATGGAACTTTTACCTAAACCATATGTTGGAAAACTGAGTCAGGGTATATGTTATTTTACCATAGGTGACACAACAAAACTGATAACTGCTAATTTCCAAGGCATATCTTGCAGAGCATGCATTTTACAAAGTACATATAGAGATTAAGTCTCAGTAAGACTCAATCTGTCATTCATTCTGAGGCAAATTGCTCTCCAATCATTAACCTGTGAAATCAAACATATTATGTGCTTCCAAAATATAATGATGGAACTGCCATAAGATGGACATTCCCATTCTGAAAGGGAGATAAGAAAGAAAAAAGGAAGGACAGGTCCCCAGTCAAGTCCAAAATTTAACAGGGCATACAACATTAAATCTTAAGGCTTTAGAATAATCTTCTTTGGCTCAGTGTTCTGCCCTCCAGATCTACTGGGCCAGAGATCCTGCCTTCTGGACACACTAGGACTGAGATTCTGCTTCTGAATCTTTGCCTGGCAAAGGTTGGCTCTAGGTGGTCCTGCTTTCATAAATTTGCTGGACACAGCCCATATTGTAGTCTCATGGGTTGGATTGCTTGTGGCTCTCCACAGTGGAATTCACATGCCACACAGGTGGCTCCACCAGTCAAGGGTCACAAAGGAGGCACTGCCTCTAAGGCTCTGTTGGGTATTGCCTTGATGGAGGATCTCTGTTGCAGTTTCCTGCCTGGACCTTGTGGCTCTCCAAAGCATCCTTTGAAATCTAGGTGGAGGTAACTATGCCACCATAGCTTTGCTGGGCACAATGCTCACTTTACTAGGGTTTGTCAGGGCTGCACCTGGGACAGCAAAAAACAAAGCAATGGAGTAAGAATAGCAGAGTCCTTGATTTGTGCTATCATTGGGCAATGGCAGCTCCTTCTTTGAAATTTTTCTCACCCCAGGCCTTAGCACTCTAGGTCTCTGATTGTGGGAGCAGCCTAGATGATCCCTGAAATGTCTTGGGGGTCATTCTTCCATTTTTTTTGACAATGGGTCCTGGCTGCTGTTTAGATGGCTAAATAAACTCCCTATCATCTTGGTGAATAGTGCCTGGCTCCAGTTGAGATGGTCCATCCATACAATCCATAGTAATCTCTTATCATTTGGCCAAATCCTTGCTCTCTCCCAAACAGGCTTTCTCATTTTTTTTTCCAATATGGACAGGCTGAGAATTTTCTAAAATTTTAAGGTTTGTTTCGGTTTTGATTAACAATTCCATCTTTAAATAACTTCTCTCACCTCACTTTTAATGATACAGGTGGTCAAGAGGGACCAAGCTGCACCTTCAACACTTTGCTTAGATATTTACTCAGCCAAATACCCACTTGCACACTCACAGATTCTACTTTCCAAAAAAATACTAGAACATGAACATGATTCTTCCAAGTTCTTTGTCACTTTATAACAAGGATGTCCTCTCTTTCAGTGTCCAATAACATGTTCCTCATTTCCATCTGAGAGCTCATCAGAATGGCCTTTACAAATCATACTTCTGCAACATTCTTCCATTCATAACCACTTAGGTATTTTCTAAGAAGATTGAGGCTATCTCTATAACTGTACTGCTCTCCTTCTGAGCCCTCACCACAATCACTCCTTATGTTTTATTCATAACAATGTAGGCTTTTTCTAGCATTCACTTCAACTATTCCAACCTCTGCCAATTACCCAGTTCCTAACCTGCATCCACATTTTTAGATATTTGTTATAACACCCCCACTTCTCAGTACCAACTTTCTGTCTTAGTCCATTCAGGTTGCTACAATAAAATGTCATAAACTGGCCTATAAACAACAAAAAAAATATTTCTAACAGTTCTGGAGGCTGGGAAATTCAAGACCAAGGAACCAGCAGATTTGGTGTCTGATGAGTGCCCACTTTCTGATTTATAAATGGCATCTTCTTCCTGTGTTCTCACAGTTGGAAGAGGCAAGGGGTCTCACTTAGGCCTCTTTTATAAGGGCATTAATCCCATTCATGAAGATTACTAATAGGCAAAAGGAGTAGTCCAGTTTCTGGTCTCTGTTCACTCTCTGTCTACTCTCCTGAAGCAGTTCAGCCACTCTAACAGCAGCTGTGAAGTGATGTCAATGGCCCATTGTTGTTATGCATCATTTTCTACAAAGGTAGTTAACTTTGAGGGCTCTGGAGATAATGTGGCTGGCACAGATACACATATGTGATTTTATTCCAGTTTGCCTCTTTTTTCTTCATCGTTACCATTAAGATTGACAATAAATCTAAGGAAACTGATATACAGCAATGTGTGAAGGCAATGTATGGCAAAAAGTATTATTTGTTTGTATATTTGTTTTCCTTCCACAAGAGGAGTAGATCAAAAAATTAACAACCTCAGGGAAACAATGAGACATGGTCAGATCCTCTGTCTTCCAACTCTAGCACTAGACATGAGATGCTATTTATCTAGAGTAGAAGAAGGAGCTTCCATCTTTTTTATGAGTTCTCCTAATCAGGGAATTTATTGAGATTTGAGGGAATTTCCCGAGCTAATTTCTCACAACAGTGCTCTGATATCTTGAAGAGAAGTTGAGTATCAGTTCCAAGAGTCATGTTGAACTTGGTATGACTATCTGGAAAAAAATGTCTTGAAGTTTAACAGGAAATAGTTGCTACTGTTCTCTATTTCATTGCTGGTGGCTATTTTATTCCCCCAGTTCCTTATGTCTTATTCATTTTGGACAGATCCTAGGAGTGAGGAAAGGCAACATCTTTGGCTCCATCGTTTTGAAAAGTTTTTCTTTATACATACTTGTTTTGTTCTTCATTTCGTTTATTTAACAAAGTTAGTTTCTAGGAACTAACCCGTGGCCAAGAAAGCAAATATTAAATGAGCTCTCTCTTCTCTTGGTAATGAGGAAAATATCTAGATATTTCATGGTAGATAATTACAACTAAGAGTGATGAGGTCATTTGAATCCATAGTATCATAAACTACAGGTTTTTTTTTTTTTAGAGATAATGGACATTGTACAAGGATGTAATCAGCCTTTTTATTGAAAATCAATTTTACTTCTCTACTTCTAAAGATTGTGTGGTAGGAGCTCTGGAAAATTGAGTATTATTTTCAATGAGGAAACCTGGTGAGGAAATTGTTCTGCTGTGAATGGCAACAAATTAAAACCACAAATTAACATGAATCCACAGGAAATATTGAATATCATTTTAACTTTGTCATTTAACCAGAGGTACTCCAAGTTACACTGCATTTACAACAGTAAAAACAGAACTATAACTACCACCATACTTACTATGTTTTTAATACTGGAAACTTAAAAATTGAGAAATTTGCCTTAGTAACATTTCCTCAGAAGATGAGCTACTTGGGTGTTTACATAAACTCATTTTTAAAAAATGTTCATGTATTGAAATACAACTTCACTTTTAAAGAAACAATTCTTCATGGAATATCAAATTTATACACTGTTGTTTGAAATATTAACCTTTTACATTTGTGTAGTTTCCACATCCTATTTACCAAACACATACACAAACAAACACTGCTATTATTTCACTATGTAAATCGCCATTTATTTTTGCAATAATCTACATTAAAATTACTAAGACACATCTCCCATTTTCTTAATCTATCTACGACTATGAACAAAAATATTCTGGCACAAAATTTCAATGTGTTTTGTAGCCATACATGCCATAACATAACATAGATTTTCTTTTAAACTAAGGCTTTTTGGTTGTTTGTTTTCTAACCTAAAAGCAAATGAGTGCTAGCATATTTAATAAACAATGCTACATAACAGTATATCTTGGTCAGACACAGTGGCTCATGCCTGTAATCCCAGCACTTTGGGATGCCAAGGCAGGAGGATCACTTGAGCCCAGGAGTTCAAGACCAGCCAGGGAAAAACAGAGAGACACCAACTCTACAAAAAAAAAATCTAAAAATTTAGCCAGGTGTGGTGGTGCATGCCTGTAGCCTCAGCTACTCAGGAGGCTGAGGTGGGAGGATCACTTGAGCCAGGAAGTTCAAGGCTACAATGAGCCATGATTATGCCACTGCACTCCAGCCTGGGCAGCAGAATAAGACCCTGAAAAAGAAGAAAAAGAAAGAAAGAAAGAAAAAGAAAATAGAAAAGAGAAAAACAGAATATCTTATACGATGGGAAGACTCAAGACTGTATGTCAATGCAATCTATTTCTCCAAACTTGCTATGCTTTCACACCTCTAAATATATCTATTAGCTATGTAACATAGCTAATATATAATATAGATAATGATTTGTTTTCACTTTTACTTCAGTTTTCACTATGCATATGGCAAAGAGACAAAACTTTATGTCTACCCTCTTAGGGTCTCTGTCTGGGCCTGAAAATTAAACTAACTAAAATAGATTACCTAGAGAAAAGCACATAGATGTTTACCTGTAGCTGGGAATCCCCACAGAAAAGTAAAGACCCGAAGAAACAGCAAAAACTAAATGCTTCTATGCTAGGTTGAACAAACAGTACCAATTGTTAAAAAGTAACTGAAATGAATGAGGAAGCTGAAGAAAGGTAAGAGTTATTTTAACAAGGTTTGTTTGTATAAATTTTTCTCAGCCTCAATCTCCCATCTCTGGTGACAAGACAGTACAGAGAGGTACCTCCTAGAACAATAGACCATCTTTCACATGGTAGCTTTCTCCTTTCTTTGGTGATAAGAGTGTTTCTTTTCTCCTGGGACATAAAGGGCAGAATGTCAGTATATACTATTTTTCAAATGTCTTTAGCTCAAAATAATTATTACGGCAAAGTAGCATATTTATGGGTGGCATATTCTGCCACCATTCTCATATAACAAAAGATTTTATCATTACTGTCTCCAGCATTTGTTTTTACACTTCCATTATTGAAGTTATTTTATTTTATTTTATTTTTTTGAGAGGGAGTCTTGCTTTATTGCCCATACTGGAGTGAAGTGGTGTGATCTCAGCTCACTGCAACCTCTGCTTCTGGGTTCAAGCAATTCTCCTGCCTCAGCCTCCTGAGTAGCTGGGACTACAGGCACCTGCCACCATGCCTGGCTAATTTTTGTATTTTTAGTAGAGGCAGGGTTTCACCATGTTGGCCAGGCTGGTCTCAAACTCCTGACCTTGTGATCCGCCCACCTTGGCCTCCCAAAGTGCTGGGATTACAGGTGTGAGCCACCACACCAGGCCCAAAGTTAATTGTTTAAATAAGAGGTTCTCTTTTAAATATAGGACTTGGATAAAGGCAAGTGGTTAGTTTTTCACAAATCTTACATTTCACATAAGGAAGCTGTATTAGTCCATTGTCACGCTATGAAGAAATACTCAAGATTGGGTAATTTATAAAGCAAAGAGGTTTAATTGACTCACAATTCAGCATGGCTGGGGAGGCCTCAGGAAACTTACAATCATGGCAGAAGGCAAAGGAAAAATAGGTACCTTCTTCACAGGACGGCTGGATGGAGTGAGTGCAAGCAGGGGAAATGCCAGACACTTATAAAACCATCAGATCTCCTGAGACTCACTCACTATCATGAGAAGAGCACGGGAGAACCACCCCCAACACCAATCCAATTACCTCCACCTGGTGCCACCCTTGACACATGGGGATAATGGGGATTACAATTCAAGATGAGATTTTGGGCAGGGACACAGCCAAACCATGTTAGAAGCCATGTTAACACTTTTGACCTAGGTAGAGGCCTTCATTAAAATAAATGTATAACAACAGAAGTGTTCACAAAACACAGTTAATATCATTTGATTTTTTTTTTTTTTTTGCTGTAGATATGAGCAAGCAACAATAGTTCTTTATTTGTAAAACAAAATTCTTAACTTGGAAACCATATTTTACTCTTTAAAAATCCAGAATATCCAGCATAGTGTCAGACATATAGTAGGCACTCCTCAAAATATAATAAATAAAATTTTAGCAAATCTAGAATACAAATATGAAGAACTGTTGTCTCCCTTATTAGAATATGGGCTTCTCAAAAATAATGGCCTTGATTTCTATTTTGTCTTGTCTATACATATTAAAGTGTTCATTTCCAATAAATAACTGGGTAAAGTTCAAAGGAAATGATTTTCTAATTATATTTAGGTATATTTTAAATTAAAATCTTTAAAAGCAAAAGTCAAATAGAAAAATCAAAGGTATACATAATAAAAAACTAAAATCCCGATATAATACAATTTAAATAGCTCAGAGAGTTTTGTAGACATTTCCAAAGTTTTGCATTCATTTATTCATTAAGAAAATTACTTACTGAGTTGCTCTTATAAATTAAGAATTGAAAGATGAAGGACAAATTCCCTGAACTTAAATGGCCTACAATGTAGTACAGGTAAATTAATAAAACATAATTTATACAAAAAAGCTAAATTTATGATACATTGAGACCTTGGTGACAGTTGCCTATGAGTCTGACTTGTTGGGGAGGTGGAAGTCAGAAAAGCCTTCAGAGAAGAGATGAATAATACATAAGTTAAGATTTACCAGCAAAACTGAGCTTCTGGGAGCAGGAATCCTTCTTTTATTTACTTCTGATAATTATATCTAATACAATGTTGAGCACACAACATTGTATTGTGTGCACCAAATAAATATTAAATAAAATTCTAATGAATCTACAACACATATTTAGAAAGAAAATACAGATATAAGCCTATAGACAGATATATTAGAACAATAGAGAGATCTAAAATAAGAGCAACTTTAGTGAAAAGACGAAAAATGGCTTCATTTTGGAAGCCATATATATGGCATTGGACATAGAATAGGAAGACAGAAAAAAGAGCTTATGCCATTACAAAGGTGAATGACAGAGCATGGCTTCTTTGAAAGGTACATGAAACTCAATCTTTTGAGAGTTCAAAATATATATAGGAAGGAGTTGATGCCAAACAGAGGTGAGTGACAGATGAAGAAGATCTTTAAAGAAAGTGAATGGAAAGGAGAAAAGACTAGAATGAGGAAGACTGGAAACAAGGTACTAAAATGGTCTAGACAATTGACAATGTGTTTCCAAGTGAAGATGGTGGTGGCAAAGGGTCAGAAGAGAAGCAATAAATTCTTATGGGTAGGATCAACATGACCTGGTGATTGACTGGATGTAATAAATAGGGGAGAATAAGTCTCATATTATCCCCAGGTTTCTCATTAAAGCAACCAGGTGTGGTTACTAACTGAGATTGCGAGTGTGAAAGAAATGTCAGGTTTGAGAAGGATGGTGCTAAATTTATTTTAAATTTGTTAAACTTGAAGCAAGTTCCAGTTACAGAATTCCAACTATTGGTTGGATATATAGATTTAGAGTTAAAGATAGAAATCTAACATGGAGAC
Source organism: Homo sapiens (assembly GCF_000001405.40). NCBI lineage: Eukaryota > Metazoa > Chordata > Mammalia > Primates > Hominidae > Homo > Homo sapiens. The sequence goes on from NC_000003.12 coordinate 148,394,812, forward strand.
AAAAATTGGGTGTCATGGGAATTTATGTAGTTATTGACACCCTAGACAAAGTTGAGCTTGATTAAAGTGAAAAAGAGACTAAAAAGAAAAACAGGGCTGAAGAGAAATCCTGCATAACATGAGCCTTTTATGGGCTACAGAAGAATATGAACTAATGAATGAAATTGAGAAGCAACAGCCAGAAAAATAGAAAGAAAAACTAGAGGTGTGGTGTAACGGAATCCTCAGTAATATTGTAAAAGAAAGATAGTAATGGCAATTACCACGGGAATTAGGGAAAGATGAAGATGGTGGACTGTGTGGCAAGTAGGACATTATAGTTAATCATAATCTCAGCTTCTGTGAAAAAAGGAGAAACGGCTACATTTTTGGGCACTAAAGATTAAACAGAAACTGAGGAAGTAAACAGACAATACACAGTGACCTTTTTTTTTCTATAATCTTAACAGTAAAGGAAAAGTTAAATCCTGGACAAATTATTCAATGCAACCTAGGTACAACACTGATGATAACTTTCTCCTTGCCAAAAAAATAAACCGCGTAATTTCATGGATGCACAAGCTGTAAGTGTGTTGTAGACCATTATTTGTGGCATATTCATAAAAATTATATAAAACATATGTAGATCAACCAAATGAAAGTTTACATTTTAAAGTTATATAATACATAATATACAATGCAAAGTTAGATAAATAATATAAAACTGCATCTCCTTGTCTAAAGCTCTCACACAATACATTTATTTCTAATTGATTTCATGCCTTAGAGTAAAGGAGTAAAAAAACAGTCACCATTACTATTAAAGTAAAATAGAAATAAAGGTCTAATATATTACCTTTAGTATATTAGATATTAGATATTTAGGAAAGCTCAAATAAGCAATTTTGAGAATTCAAGACAAATCTGGATTTTTCCTCTGTTTTTAACTTAAGTTTTCCAAACATGTCACTGGGGTGGCTTCATGTTTAGGATTTTTACATTGAGGATAATGTTATACAATTAAAACTAAACATTTAAATTATATGTTAATATTCACTTATTTGGATGTTGATGGGCTAAGGGATTTCTATTTACAAAAAAAAGCAACCCTTACATTTGTTAAACTGCATCTGGAAAATATGATTTTGCCAATATTAGAACCCATCTGACCTTTTTGAACTGGCTTTAAATCTTTGGGGAATTTCATTTGTTTATCCTCAGAATAATATGACTTCCTGTGTTAAGAACAGAGCTTCTAAACAGCCAAAAGTCTTCTTGGATATCAGGTAGTTAGTTTCATAAGCAATATTTCAGAGGCTGTCCATGAATTAATTATAAACACATGAATTTTATTTTCTCCAATGGACAAACTGTTTTCTGTTTTGTTTTAATAGAAAATATTAGCAAAATACAGTTCAAATTTTGCTATACATAACAATCTGAATTAAAGTTGTAGAAACAGAACATATGTATCTTCTCTCTACTTGAAAATAGAATGTAATTTGTACTGAATACTTGGGGTGTGCTGTAACTTCAATCATATGTTAGGACTACCCAGTGTTCTTATAGCACCAAATATTTAGTGAATTCTCTAGGCTTGTGGCATTTGAGGATTTAACTCTGAGTTTCTACTTTTTTTACTAACCTGAAAGATCAATGACATGCTGTAATTATTAGTTTTTCTAAGGTACAAATACAAGTCAAGAAACAAATTCCTTGTATCTACATTTCAATGTAACTTTGTGGTTTTTCTACCCATCTTGTGTTAATAGCATTCATTTATTAACATTCATTAACATTAGTCTTTTGACAAAAATGTCCACAAGAAAAGATAGAAGTGTCAGTTAAAAAAAAGAAAAGAAAAGAAATAATTAAATTGTTTATGAGAAAACACACAGGAAACACATGACTTAACAAAAAGAGATGGAAAAGCTGGGAACTTCTACAAAAACTTCCACATTTGCAAATTTGGAAACAGATGTTCTTAGAAAGAGCTGCTCTTGAAAGCCTGTGGTCTTAAATTCAGTATCTTCACTGCAAATAACTAAATGATGCTGGACTTATAAAACAGAAGAGATGAATTTTTAAAAGACTGCCATTTAAAATTGTTTCACTTACTAGTAGATAATAACACTAAAAAAATAGCTACTATTTGTTAGATGCTTACTGTGTGCCCACTGTGTTAGTACTTCATGCAGTCCATTAAATAACCCAACAAGATAGCCTATAATTTTCCTCATTATACACCCAGGAAGACTGAGGCTCAAAGAAGTTATATAACCTCCTGAGGAAACCAAGTTATGATTATACAAGCTCATCAGCAAGCTCTGTTGGACTTTAGTTTGCTTTTTTGAGTGTTACTATGAAAATACATATTTCAGACATGGGCTATTGATTGCCTCTGGTAAGCTCATTTATTAGATTCTATGCAAAACATATATAAGGTGGATGGAGGGCTTAATATTGTAGGTTAAGTGAGTGGGCTCTGGAAACATGAGTGCCTGAGCTCAAACCCTGGAAAGGCCTCTTACTAGTTAGCTCATTTCAGACATGTTACTTATAATCTATGGTCCCAGTTTTCTCATTTATAAGATGTGTATAATAATAATACCTACCTAAGAGAATAGATATGTATAAAGCACTTAAAGCAGTGCATGACACTTAGGGCTAAATTATGTTGGCTATTATTCCAGTAAGCATACCTCCATCGCTATCATAACTGCCTTTTGTTATCTAACTATTTATGTTATGTTTTTCCTCCCTCTCCCCAGAATTTAGTCAATTCAGTAAGACATAATAACCAACAAGCTGATAACTATCCTGTTAGGTCAAGGACATTATAGACAAAAATATGCTTTTAAAAGTTTCAAGTATAGTTCTGACTACTTATTTCCCACAAATTTTTTTTACTATTCATGGTAATATTTATTTTGGAAATTCATTGTGGAATTATATATGCAAATAAGCTTTAAGAAAATATGACAGTTATTTTTTGCAAATGTAATATGATATGATATGATATTCAACCTGAGAAGAGCTAGAAACAAATCTTCAAGTTCCGCAAAAGAAGAGTTACTCAAAATGATACAGTCTGAATTAAGCAATCTGAATTCTTTTAAAAATGGCATTTAACTAGCAGACAGAAAGACAAGAAAGCTGAATCAACTTAGAAACTTCCTATATTTTGCAGCAATGGTGGTGTGATCCTTTAAGTAAAGGGAGATCAGTTTGATGTCATTTTGAGCTCATTGTGCATTGGAGCATAAAAGGAAGAGGTGGGTGGGAGCAAAGTTGAGCTAGAAGTCAACTGGAATGAGACACAGCAGGAGACGAATGGAGCAGTCAGACAGATGGGTGGATGAAAAGACGGGAGCACACAGGAAGGTGTTCAGTGATGACGCAGCTAAGAAGGTGGAAAAGGTTATGATATGACCCAATTACCACAAATAACCAAAAAAATAATACCTATAAGGATAGGATGCAAAGAAAAGATTAAAGCCTCATTCGAAATGTTTTCTGGAATTCCTTTTGCGGTTCTGCTCAGATTAAGTTATCTAACTATAATGTACTCAATTTATCTGACAACTATTACATTTTCTTATTTTATTATACATTCAGTACCCTAAATATATAATAACTGTTATTCCAAGGTACTTATGACTCCAAGTTTAAGACTTCTGTTTTGTTTTAAGATTTTGTAATAAAAGGAGAATGCCAATTGATGAAAACATAGTCTTAAAAAATAATAATTACATAACTAAACCTCCCTATCCAGTTCATATATTTATTGTTGCACTTATAATTTATTACTTTTTTGTAAGTGTGTTTCCCATACTAGACAATGAGATTTCTTGAGGGAAAATATATTTTATTATTTGGAATATGTAGCACGGGACCTGGCATGGAGCAGCATTCAAAATATTGGGTAGAAGGAAAAAGGAAGAAAGAAGGGAAGGACAGGGAAGCAAGGAAATAAAGGAAATCAGGTACGTATAAACAAGAGAAAATAAATGGTGCTATCACAACTTGCTTCTGCATTCTATCTTAAGCAATAATTTTGTGGGATAGGGTTCCATTGGATTTAGTGTTCCATGAGGGGTCAAATAAGAAAAATAGTGTCTTGCATATATATAGCACTTTATAATTTATTCTTTCATATTCATTATTTGTTTGATCTTCACAGTAACTTCATGAGACAGATTTTTTTTCTGTCAAATATTTTTTACTATTTATGGTAATATTTATTTTGGAAATTCATTATGGAATTATATATGCAAATAAGCTTTAAGTAAACCTGACAGTTATTTTGTGTGAATGTAATATGATATGATATTCAACCTGAGAAGAGCTAGAAACAAATCTTACAAAAGAATAACCTGATTCCCAGAGTATTTAAATGACTTTCCCAAGTGTATTTAGATAATAAATAGCAGAGCTTGAATCAAACTAAACATTTTCAAGTCCATAAATTTCTTAGGAATATAGTTTAAGTTACATTTTATTAAATCAATTGCACACAGTAGTATGCATTCCTCAAGAAGAGGCTCAAAGTTTGTTTTATATATACCAAGGAACAACAACAACAATAACAACAATAATATAACTAACATATATTGACTGCTTCCTACTTGGAGACACTGTTCTAAGAGTTGATGTGTGTTCATCTATTTAATCTTTATAACAAACCTATTTTTAAAAGTACTATTATTATGCTTATTTTATATATGAGAAAAATGAGGCGCTGAAAACTGAAGTAACTTATCCAAATTCATACAGTAATGGTAAAGCTAAGATCTAGCCATTATTATCTTCTAATAAAATATCTCTGTCCTTATTACAGTATAAAGTATGCACTTAAAATATGAGAAATTATAGTTAACTCATAATGTCTTCCTGGAAACTTTATACCAGTCTCTGAAGCCAGTTAGTTGTATTTTTTGGCAAAGTACTAACCCTGTTTTTTCTGCTTCTTTCCCATGAAATAAGGCTATATATACAGTGATGCCCATCTACCCCTGAGATCTAAAAATCTAAGATGAAAACGAGCACACAGTCTTGGCAGCATTGGGGTAACAGACTATGAAAGAAGAAATCAGATTGGAAAATTCAGTATATCAATGAAGAAAATAATCACTCAAGGAGAGGAATAAACAGCAAAACAATCTATATATTTAATTATAGATACAATTGTTTCAATGCTGATTATTCATCCTTATATAACTGTCTACAGCTATTTAGGGTTGTCTTCATCCATTTTGTGTTGCCATTGCAGAATACGTGAAACTGGGTAATTTGTAAAGAAAAGAGATTTTTTAACTTATGGGTTCTGCAGGATGGGAAGTTCAAGAAACATGACACCAGCATCTGCTTGGTTTCTGTTGAGGACTTTCATGCTTATATCACAACATGGCAGAAGGTTAAAGGGGGAGTAGACATGTGCAAATAGGCAAAACCTGAGGGGCATCTTGGCTTTATAACAACCCACTCTTGGAGGACTAATTCATTCTTGAGAGAACTAATCTGGTCTTGCCAGAGAAAAAATTCACTCACTGCCTACTGTGAGAATAGCACTAAGCCATCCATGAGAGTGGAGCCCCATCACTCAAACACCTCCCATTAGGCTCTACAGCTTACAGATTATACCTCCTAACATTGCCACAGTGGGAAACAAATTTCAAGATGAGATTTGGTGGGGACAGACCATATCTAAACAAAGAGTAAACAAGGGTAAACAACTTTTGAGAACATACTTGTGATCCTTTATTTCAACCCAGAATGATGCCAGAATTTTGGAGATGGGGCTCAGAGCAAATCAGTAAGTTACAATTCTCAAGTTTCACAGGGAAGTGGGAGTGAGAGACACATCATGGAGGACCACGCGACTCTCAGTTACACTGGGTGAATTGTCTTCATTGAATTCCCGCACCATGCAGACTCATTTAACGGTAGTTCTTCCAAAGCTGCTTTTCTGCTTTGCTTTTGGAATACTACTTTATCTAAATTTTCATCTACCCTTTCAATTCCTATGCTTCTTGTGTTGATTTCTCTTTTCCGACTTCTCAGATTTTTAATCTCATTTTTAAACATGAGAATTCTCTGAGGTCTATTTCTTGACCCTTTGTCCTCTTTTTAACTATCCCTTGGGAAACTTGCACAATCTAAATGACTAACTAGAACTTATGAGATTATGAGCCAGATCTCTCCCTGCTTATGAGCCCATTTCAATTAGATGTCTCAGCATCATTGTAAGTTAAAATGCATAAAATCCAAAACAATAAATTTTTCTCAAACCAATGTTATATCTGAAATGGTTATTTCAATGACTTTAATGACTTTCAATAACTTCAATGACCTTAGCTTCTTTCTGTTCTTTCCACAAGCTAGTGCTTTAATTTTTTAAGAATAAACTTAACAGATGAAATGATAAAGACATAATTTTTATGTTGTGTTATACTCTTGATGGAAATATTTCCAAATCTTTTGAATGAAGAGCTTTGAAGAAAAACCTGATCTTACTTTATCCAAAAATTCTTTTAAAAATAAGGGTTTAAAAATTACTAAAGAAAAAGAGTAATTGGAAAAGCAATTTGTACTTTCTCTCCTGAGTTAATCTCCATTTTCTCTATATCCATGATGACAGTAAAATATAATTAAGAAGAATACATGTTCTATTGATCAAAAACCACTTTTGGAAAATACTGAAATTACACATCTATTGCGCTCGCTCTCTCTCTCCCTCTGGCTAGCTTATCCCAACTGTTGTGTCACATGTTTTCGAAGTTACTATGATTATTTAACAATGTTGCAGCTAAAATGATGGACATAAAATCAACACTATAAAATATAGTCCCAGCTACTCAGGAGGCTGAGGTGAGAGGTTCACTTGAGCCCAGGAGAGTGAGGCTGCAGTGAGCCATGATAGTGCCACTCCACTCCAGCCTGGGTTAGAGTAAGACCCTATCTCAATCAATCAATAAAATAGTTTGAATAGTGTTTATTTTCTCAATTCTTGTTAAATAGCTGACATCAGATTGAGCTCTGAAACCCAAAACTCCTGGAGTAGTGAAGCGCTCTCCTTGACGGGAATCAGATATTAGTTCTTGATACGCCACAAGCAATCTGGATGACTTAAAAAAATACTAAATTCAACGAGTTTCAGTGTTCTTACCTGAAAATTGGGGTATTGGGCCAAACGACTCATACACTTACTAATTCTAATTATTAATTCTAATTCTAGGATGTTCTGCTTCTTCATCTTGTTCTCAGACCTTGTTCTCTGTTCTCTCACTCAAACAGAACAGAGTACCAATAAAATAGGTAAAAGTTGATTTGAAAAGCATTTTTAAAAGCTTCAAATTGGAATTATAAATATAAAGGTATTTGGTGTCCCTCCAGAAGAGAATTTAGAAAGATCACATAAAATACATTGTTATCTTTAGACTTGTGAGATTGGCCCCAGCTACTTTTAGAACTGTTCTTGAGTACTCAGTAGGGGGAAAGTACTTTTGTATATTTTAAAGTTTGTCATCAACTTCAGGATATATTCAGTTATGGTGTCATGTCTCATTTCAAGTGGAAAAACAAAGGTAAAAAGCCTAGTGGCACAATAGCATTTAAAAGCTGATAATAGTGTTTCTGCCTGATTTGGTGTAATTACCCAGATTGAACATGCTCAGCTTCAGAATTATAGGCAACCATTAATTATCTGTTCCCTATCCCAAAGTGTATATACTTTTCCTGAGCTTTTAGGGTTAGAAGTCAAAAGGAAATACAGCAGTTGGTTTTATTTAAACTTTAGTTTGTGGTATATTTTACAAGACTTTTGAGAGAAAAGCAATTTGTAATACAGGACTACTAACTTGCCTAGTGTTGGATAAAAGAAATATATATGCCAGCTTAACTCACTAACTATATGGACTTCAACAATGTCTGCAAACGAGAATTTTTATAACATCACACTATAATACAACACTTATATTCACTCTACCTGTAAATAAAGCCAATTTCTATAAAAATCGGGGGCCTTAAGCAAGTGGTACAGGAAGAATATTTCCTCCATTCTGACTTGCCCATGGATATAAGATATTGAAAGAAAGACATAAAGGAATAAAAAATGAGAAGTTCTGCTGTATGATTTCAACACTTTTTGGCATTTTCTCCAAAGACTACAGTAAAGATTTAAATTGTTGTTTAATTATTGTAAATACAAGACTCATATTTCATTAAATGCAAGAATGAGCCAAGACATGTTAATGTGACTTTATGCAAACGCAAAATTTTGAAGTTCCATTAATTTGCATAATTGTGAATTTTTCGTGATGGTATATCCAAAGTAAAGTGCATCCTCTTTTTATTACCGTAAACTTAGCATCTCCAAGTACGGTCGTGCAGGTTGTGCTCTGCACAAAGTTACCTTGCTAAGGAAACATGATTAGGATCTTAACTGAACCTGGGTTTACTTCTTCAATCTATGGAGCTGTGGCATGAAACTTGCATTCTGTCCCATACAACTTTGCAAGAAAAAACTTTTTCTAACTTCTTCGCCCAGAGAAGAAGCCTTTCTCTAACATGCTCTAAAGAATTGCAGGTGAAAACAAAGGGTCTTGATTCTTTTTTTTTTCCTCTAACATAATTATCTACTATTTTTGTTAAATGATATACTGTATTAAAAAGGGATAGTGTTCTCATTTGTCTTTGTTTTCCCACCATCTAACCCAGTGTCAGTCTCTGACTAGATCTGAATGGCTACATATATTTGCTGAATTAGTAGAATCTGGAGACAATGGAATAAGGTACTTGAGTTCAAATCCAAGACTTTGTGCAACTGCAGGGCCTGCCATGTAAATGAAATGCTATGGAAATACCATTTGCACCACCTGGAGTTGTGCAACACTGTTGTACAGCTTTCCATGGACTCCTAATTTGATAATGGTATGCTATGGCATTTTTAAGAATGATTATAGCAATTAATAAGTAATAACGAACTTTAAATGCACAATATGTCACAATACCTTGCTTATTCTTCACAGTAAGCAAGTAAAAATTTATATCACTATTTTTAGATGAATTCACTGAACCTCAGAGGGTTAAAATTACTTCTTGCCTAACATCACATAACCAGTATTTTTTGTGCCAAAATTCAAACACAAGTTAGTCTGATACCAAGGCATATGAACTTATAAGTTATATTCTTTTATATAAATAATTGAAAGAATGTCATGATTTTATAGAACTGCAGACTTCTATAGATGATTGAGTCCTAAGGAAACATATTTGCCATAACAATTACTCTGTGAGACCAGTAAGACATACGAATAATCTTTGGGTTAATAAAATGTTGTGTTATCTTAAATTGTGACACATACAAATACATATCAACATATTTTGACTCTGACTTTGGTGAAATCACAAAGTTCTGTAATATTTATTTAAGCTAGTGTTTAACATGAAGGAAAACAAACAAAACAAATGACCACCTAAGGCCTATCTGATTTTAGCTTAAAGGATATTCATTTAGGTAAAGACATCAAAGGGGGAGAAAAACGCAAGGCATCCTGGAATTATTTTTATTAAAATAATTTCTATATTTTAAAATACTCTTTCACATTATGCCATTTGATTTCATCTTGTAATAGGTAAAAAGACTCTGAGAAGACTAGTTATCACTAAAGGTGATGGTGCTGGTAAAAGGAAACTGATACCACGGCTTGTACACTGATCTGACTCTATATTAAGAACACTTTCATCAGGAATATTTTTGGATGCTACTGACTATTGAGAACACTGAGCAAATGAAATAGGTTTTCTAAAATGGATTGTTTTATAATAGCAAAGAAATTTACTAAGAACTGGGGAATTTTACCTACTTAGATTTGGCTGGAAATCTTATACTGATGAAAGCAAAGCAATTGTTATGAAGTTACCTTGCTAACTTTTTATGTCCGATGAGAGAGTAGAATTAACAAAGGTTACTACTGCTCTAGACTTAGATGATTATTATATCAAAAAAATTATTGATGAAACTAAGGCAGTAGGAAGCTTAGGAGAAAAGTATCTTGGCACATTCATCCAGGGAAGCAGTTCTAGACCTGGTCTCACATGCATTTTAGACTTAAGAGAAACTGATTTCCAGCAGTTTAGGGGACAAGAAAAATTATTGCTATTATCAAATATACTGAGAGGCAAGATATTTTCCTTAAAATGTAATAGCTATGTATCAGCCTAATAAGGATAAACCACAGGGAAAGAAGACATCTAAAGTACGGCTCCTCCGGGATGATGACTTGAGTCAAGGATGTATGGGTGAGTGGAACACATAAAAGGATCATGGGAAACCTTCACAGGTTTTTGATAGAAATGTTGAAATGTGGAGAAAGCAGAGGTGTGAATGAGTCTTAGGACAAAGAACAACATAAAGGGTATTTTCAAATATGTTAAAAGTTGGAACAATGAAGAAAAGTAAATAGCCCCAGTGTTAGGAGAAGGCAAAGTAATATCATACTTCTATTGTGCAGGAATGTATACCCACAGACAGAATTCAGCTATTTCTGTGAGTGATAGAAAATAAGCATTACTTTTAAATCCTCTTTTGCTCTTGGCTTCTTCATTAAGAAGAATGTTCTTAAAACCAAAACTGGTAGTCAAATGGGTTAATAACAGACAGAATTTCAAGTAAGGCCAATGAATCAGGGAAGTAACATGATATGAACACAAGTTTTAGGTTTGAATATTGATACTTCTACTTATGAGCTGTGAGATCTTCAGGAACTCATTGGATCTCTCTATGCAACAGCTTCCTTTTCATCAAAATAAAGTGTCACCCCCATGATGCTGTGAGGAAAAAAATGAGCTTCCAGTAGGCAAACACCTGACATGTAGTCCTTGTGCACATGCAGCACTCAATTACTTTAACTGTTGTTATTATGAAACATGGAGTCCTAGAAAACAAAATTGTATCTAATTAATTTTTATATCTCCATTCCCAACTTAAGATCCAAACACTTAGGGCTTAAATAAATATTTGATAAACAAATAAACAAACAAAAATCAAAATAATGCCAGAGCACTGGACTGTTTTAAATGAATTCAAGATCTTGGGTTCTGATTAATTTTACCTCAAGAGTCAAAACCTTAAGATATTATCATAGAATCAACTATTAGTTATTACTGAAGAATTGTGACAAATATGACAAATTCCAGAAATACAGAATAAGGAAATATTCCAATTTTTAACATGAGAGGATCAAATCCAGAAACTACTGACTGGCAATTTAGAGACTGATTCATAACATAGCTCTAGAGTGAAGCATTGAATACAAGGCCTGTGAGCACCTAGTACAGGAAATCTGTTTTCTAAAGTAAACCAAACACATGGAGCAAGCAGAAGAAACACTGTACAATTGAATTTTAGCCAAAAAAAAAAAGTCTATGGGTGCTTACACAATAAACAAACATGGTTCATTATTGGTCTTATCAGAAGGGAGTTCTCAAATGCTCCCATACTACTACTTCTTATTCTCTACCTCTCCCCACCCTCAGCTCAAAAAAGCTTCATCAATGATTAGAGCTATACAAAGATAGACACCATGTGCATGAGAGATGTCAATCGCTTTTCCTACGAGGTTCGGTCCCATTGTGATGGAATTTTCCACATCATATATATAAAATCTCACTTTCCCTGGCCGTGCTCTTATGAAACTCAAAAATCAAGAAGCACCTAAGAGATATAGAGGGTACTCTTGTTTTCAAAATTTGTTTCTTTTCTATCAATTTTCAACTACAAGACATAACTAAGAAGCTGCCACAAAAAGCGTTCAGAGTGGGGGAATTATTCTCAAACTATGTCTGTCGAAAATAGTCATCACGTTTTGGGAATACTTAGGCCACAATCATGTGTTGTGGTTGACCTGTTAGTGTTATTTTGTTCTATTTTTAATTGAAACCCATTTCTAGTACTTAGGGTACATGAACTTTGGCAGAATGAGAGCAAGTTCCTGAATTATGCAGTTGGCTGGAACTGAGTAAAAACTCTTCTTCAGAGAGTGTAGGTGCTCTTCATTTTGTCAAGCAAGCTGTCTTTTCTAACCTGGTCTTATTAATCTCCAAACTAAGTTAAAAACCAGAAGAAAGAGGTTATGAGGAGACTAATTTCAGTTTGTTACAAAGAAGAGTTAACATTAAAAATGTTCAAAATTTGGCTAGGCGCGGTGGCTCATGCCTGTAATCCCAGCACTTTGGGAAGCCGAGGTGGGCAGACCGTGAGCTCAGGAGTTCAAGACCAGCGTGGTCAACATGGTGAAACCCCATCTCTACTAAAAATACAAAAATTAGCTGGGCATGGTGGCATGTGCCTGTAGTCCCAACTACTTGGGAGGCTGAGGCAGGAGAATTGCTTGAACCAAGGAGGTGGAGGTTGCAGTGAGCCGAGATCACACCACTGCACTCCAGCTTGGGCAACAGAGCAAGACTCCATCTCAAAAAAAAAAAAAAAATCAAAATTTATAGGGACTTCCTGGTTCAACACATGGGGCTTGAGCCCACGTTTACCTTCATTCTTCCAAAGTGCCATGGAAATAACTATTTTTGTGTAAAAATAAATATTTATGGATTATGTTGTAAGATAGTAGGCTCCCTGCTAAGCAGTTTTTTAAAGAAAGATTAGCAAATTGTCCATATACTATAGAAATTGTTTCAGAATCAGATAAAAGACTAAATTGGATGACCCACATTTCTTCAAAATAAAATTAAATAATTTGTACAATTAAAAATGATTTTATATTCCAATCAATCCACCTATAAATATGTATTGAATATATATGCTATGTGCATTGCAATAGGTATTAGAGTGATATATTATTCTCCACTAAAGTTGCCCATCTCTCACCCTATTAATATTATTAATATTCCACTTAACCAAATAATTACTTTAGCCAATAAAATATGAGTATAAGGGATATGTGCCACTTTCGAGCAGGCAGAAGTTTTGAAAGAGCCAGCTTGTATATAGTTCCCTCTGTGTGTGTGTGTGTGTGTGTGTGTGTGTGTGTGTGTGTGTCTTTGTTTTGTTTTGTTTTGGTTTAGTTTGCTTTGTTTTCTTTATACCTCTCCCACAAGAGTAGCAATATCCCAATTAGAGGCAAAGTCAGCATGGGCACTGGAGTGAAGAAAACACATGAATGCCCTGCAACAGGAACAAAAAATAAACCTTTGATACTATAAGCAACTGAAATTTGGGGGTTGTTTGTTAGTCACATAGCTAATTGTATCCTGATTGATACAAATGGAAAACATTGAAGGAATTAAGAAGAATAAAAATTGAGAAGCCAATGTAATCAATATATTTTCTAAATGGATATGGATATTGAAGATACTGAGGTCTTCAAAGGATTAGTGGGCATAAAAAAGGTCAGCAAAGATCAGCAATGAGGCGTGGTTGAAGATGATTTAGGCAAATAACATGAGTTTCAAAGGATCACTGGCTTTACCAGTAGAGTAAAAGCAGCATTGACTATGTCAGTTATGATTAGGTTTGGTGGTCAGGGACAAAAAATCCAATAACAGATCGATATTTATTTATCTTTTAAATAGGAGTCTAAACATAAGCATTCCAAATGAGTTAGAATACTCAACTTATCAAAGATCAAGGCTTCTTTCTTCCTGTTGCTGTGCCATTTGTGGCCTCCATTCCCCAAGTCACAGCTATTCCAGCTCCACCATCACATCCACCTTCAAGCCAATAGAAAGGAGGGATGGGAAGAAGGGTCAGTTCTCTTCCTTTAATGACACTTCAGGAAGTTAAATAACCTATTTCTGCTAACACCTCATTAGGTACTTAACTCAGTCTCATGCCACCCAATTGTAAGGAATTCTGAGAAATAGCTTTACTCAAGATAACTATGACTCAGATAAAGTGGGCATTCTTTTAACATAGAAAGAAAAGAGAATGAATGACCAGGTTCAACCAGCAACCTTTAGACGTGGACCAAAACTACAGACCAGAATATAATATGGTTTGGGAGAATGACAGCCTTCCGGCCATTGATAGAAGCTGCGATGAAGGTGATTTCCTCAAGGAGGAGCCAGTGTCAAGAAGGATCAGTGAGGTAATTGAGGATGAGTAGGCATCTAACAAAGAACAGAAGTTTTAACAAAGAACAGAAGTTTTACAAAGAGCATATTTGCAATTTTGAGAGGCCAGAGAAAACAGAAGTGGACTGACAAAATTAAAGAGAAAATGGATTATCTAAGGGACTTACATGTTTAGTAATGGTTGGAGAAAATAGGGCCATGGTTGGGTTAGCTGGCTGCCAGTATGTCAAGATGAAAAGAACTCTTAGCTTCAGCTCATCAGGACTTGGCTTCATCTTGGGAAGACACTGATAATATAAGAGCTTGTGCATATTTGACAGCATCTCTGCAAGGTGGAGCTGCTGGAAGAGAAGGAATAGAGAAATCTGGGACAACAGAGACAGCCCAGTTTATGCTGCTAATAGAGACATACTTGAGTCTGGGTAATTTATAAGGAAAGAGGTTTAATTGATTCACAGTTCCACGTGGCTGGGAAGCCTCACAATCATGGCAGAGGGTGAAGGGGGAGCAAGACATGTCTTACATGGCAGCAGGCAAGAGGGTGTGGGCAGGGGAACTGCCCTTTTATAAAACCATAAGATCTTGTGAGACACTCACTATCATGTGAACAGCACAGGAAAAAAAACCTGCCCCTATGATTCAATTACCTCCCACTGGGTTCTGCTCACAATACATGGGGTTATTACAGTTCAATGTGAGATTTGGGAGGGGACACAGAGACAAACCGTATTATTCTGTCCCTGGACCCTACCAAATCTCATGTCCCTTTCACATTTCAAAACACAATCCTGCCTTCCCAGCAGTCCCCTAAAGTCTTAACTCACTTCAGCATTAACTCAAAAGTTCATGGTCCAAAGTCTCATCTGAAACAAGGCAAGTCACTTCTGCCCATGAGCCTGTAAAATCAAAAGCAAATTAGTTACATCCTAGATACAATGGGGGTACAAGGATTGGGTAAATACACCCATTCCAGAAATTGGCCAAAATGAAGGGGCTATGGGCATGATGCAAGTCTGAAATCCAGTGGGGCAGTCAAATCTTAAAGCTCCAAAACAATCTACTTTGACTCCATGTCTCACATCCAGGTCATGCTGATGAATGAGGTGGGTTCCCATGGTCTTGTGGTCTTGGGCAGCTCTGACCCTGTGGCTACTTTCACAGGCTGATATTGAGTGTCTACAGCTTTTCCAGGTGCATGGTATAAGTTGTCAGTGGATCTACCATTCTGGGGTCTGGAGGACAGTGGCCCTCTTCTCACAGCTCCACTAGGCAGTGCCCCAGTGGAGACTCTATGTGGGGGTTCCTACCTCACATTTTCCTTCTGTACTGCCCTAGCAGAGGTTCTCCAGGAGGGCTCCACCCCTTAAGCACACCTCTGCCTGGACATCCATGCATTACCATACATCCTCTGAAATCTAGGTGGAGGTTCCCAAACCCCAATTCTTTTCTTTTCTTTTCTTTTCTTTTTTTTTTTTTGAGACAGAGTCTCACTCTGTCACCCAGGATGGAGTACAGTGGCACGATCTCAGCTCACTGCAAGCTCCGCCTCCCGGGTTCATGCCATTCTCCTGACCTAATGATCTGCCTGCCTCGGCCTCCCAAAGTGCTGGAATTACAGGCATGAGCCACCACGCCCGGCCCCAAACCCCAATTCTTGACTTCTGTGCACCTGCAGGCTCAACATCACATGGAAGCTGCCAAGGCTTGGAGCTTTCACCCTTTGAAGACATGGCCCAAGCTGTACCTTGGCCCTTTAAGCCAGAGCACCAAATCCCAAGACTGCCCAAAGGAGCAAGGCCATTTTCCTCCTAGGCCTCCAGGACTGTGATGGGAGGGGCCTCTGTGAAGCCCTCCGACATGCCCTGGAGATATTTTCCCCATTGTCTTGGTGATTAACATTTGGCTCCTTGTTACTTATGTAAATGTATGCAGCCAGCTCGTATTTCTCCTCAGAAAAATGGGTTTTTCTTTTCTACCACATAACTCTGCTGCAAATTTTCTGAAATTTTATGCTTTGCTTCCCTTTTATACATAAGCTCCAACTTCAAACCATATCTTTGTGAATACATAAAGCTGAATGCTTTTAATACCCCCCAAGTCACCTCTTGAATGTTTTGTTGCTTAGAAATTTCTTCTGCCAGATACCCTAAGTCATTTCTCTCAAGTCAAAGTTTCACAGATCTCTAGGGCAGGGGCAAAATGCTGCCAGCCTGTCTGCTAAAACATAGCAATAGTCACCTTTATTCCAGTCCCAACAGGTTCCTCATCTCAATCTGAGATGAGCAGCATTTGGTCAAAGCCATTTAAAAAGTCTCTAGGAAGTTCCAAACTTTCCCACATCTTCCTGTCTTCTTCCAAGCCCTCCAAACTGTTCCAACCTCTGCCTATTACCTGGTTCCACAGTGGCTTCCAAATTTTCAGTTATTTTTACAGCAATGCCCCATTTCCCATTACCAATTTGCTCTATTACTCTGTTCTTTCTTTCTTTCCTTCCTTGTTTCTTTCTCTTTTTTTTTTTTTTTTGTTTGTTTTTTGAGATGGAGTTTCATTCTTGTCACCCAGGCTGGGTGCAATGGTGCAATCTCGGCTCACTGGAACTTCTGCCTCCTGGGCTCAAGCAATTCTCCTGCCTCAGCCTCCCGAGTAGCTGGGATTACAGGCACCCGCCACTAGGCCTGGCTAATTTTTGTATTTTTAGTAGAGACAGGGTTTCACCATGTTGGCCAGGCTGGTCTCGAACCCCTGACCTCAGGTGATTCACCTGCCTTGGCCTCCTAAAGTGCTGGGATTACAGGTGTGAGCCACTGTGCCCAGCCCCAGTCTGTTCTCACACTGCTAATAAAGACATAACTGAGACTGGGTAATTTATACAGGAAAGAGGTTTAATTGACTCACAGTTCCACATAGCTGGGGAGGCCTCACAATCATGATGGAAGGCAAAGGGGAAGCAAGACATGTCTTACGTGGCAGCAGGCAAGGGGGTGTGCAGGGCAGCTGCGCTTTTATAAAACCATCAAATTTCATGAGTCTTATTCACTATCACAAGAATACATGGGAAAACCCACCCCCATAATTCAATTACCTCCCACTGAGTCCCTCCCACAACACGTGGGGATTATTACAAGTCGTGGTGAGATTTGGGTGGGGACACAGAGCCAAACCATATCAGAGGGTAAAAAGGAATGTTTCAGGAAATTTTGATGAAATTGATAATTTCCAACAGAATCTGCGAAATCTAGCCCCTAATTCTCAAATGTTTGGATAGAGAAAAGGTACTGGCTTTTCTCCCTGTTAGCAAGAACATTCTGTGTCAAGATGGGAAAAAAGTAGCATTCATCGTGCAGCACCTGTGATGGTGATTTATAAACAGATCCAGGCTGAATCATGTGGGTGCCTGCCCCAAGGAGGTTAACACTTTGCTGCCTCTTTTAACAAATGTTGTGTGAATAGTTTTAAATATTTATTTAGAGAGAAAACTAAGTCTTATGTAAGGAAGAAAATGAGAGCTACTGTTGATAGAATTTAAACCCCACTTCTAGCTTGCTCTTTGCTCTTTTGTTACTCTGCTCTTTGGCAAACTTGTGCCTTTCGCTGAAGAACACTAAAGCCCTACAGGTAAAAAATAAAATAAAGTAAATTACATAAATAAAAAAAAACATGCTCCTGAGAAGGCAATTAGTTAGTCATCTTTTATCACTTGAACATACTCATTGAGGTCTCACTGCCTACACCAAGGACATATGAAAAATCCTTTCAAACAGAATGCAATGGTCTTCCTAAGAGTAGATCAGGAAAATACTTTTTTTTTTCCATTCTGCTGCATTTCCAGTGATATCTGAACACCCCTGATGGACTGGCATCTTAGGGTTTTCCATTAAAACAGGCTGCTGATTTGCCTCTGAATTTAGAGTTCAACTTGGATCCTGGAAACACAAAGAAGAATAACACACAGCCTCGCCCTCAGGGAACTCACAGGTATTCCAAAATAGACTTTGAGACGTTTATGCCCCCACAGAAATGAAGGAATACACAAATTTACTTTTGTTGTCTGTTTTGTGAACAACCTGAATTTTCCTGCCCTTTAAAAACTATTGTTCTTTAAGCTAATGCTTTGTAATAATTATTGATAGACATCATGCTAAATTCTATAAGGACAGTTTTATTATTTGACCCCATTTAATAATTTAATAATTTGCTCATCCATGTTCAGGCTCAGTACATTTTTCCTTCTCTGAATTTCCATACAATAGCCTTTGCTCCTTTTCTAGGCAAAAAGAAAGAATCCTATTTCCCTATTTAGAATATTATTATTCAGGTTTTGCATCAACTACTGTGATTTTTGATCATCCCCTTAACTCTCAATAGCAGCTTGTATCTGGAAGGTCACTTATGAGCCTCTGCAGATCCCAAAGAGAAATTTATCTATTTGGAAAACAGAGTTTTTCAACATGAGTAAAATGACATTAGTAACAATCTTCCAGGAACTATTGTATCGCTCTGAAAGATGGCACTTGTAGAGTTCAGGTCCAGGAAAATTTTTCTAAATACTCAAAGGCAACTTTCCTAGAATGAACTCATGTATTTAAAAAAATGTGAAACAGAGATAATACCATCTCTAGCTTATTTGGTGAGACAGAGAAAAAAACTTGTTTATAGTTATAAGGAGTTGGAACTAATTATATTTCTTTGTTTCTAGTTTGCCATATCCTGTCTAATTGTTAGGGTATGTGTACCCTTCTAAATACACTGTTTGCTTTGAATAAGATCTGAGTGAGAAAGAGTTTCAGTTCACAGCCTATGGAATCTATTTGCATCTCCAAGGAAATAGTTGTTTACTACTCTGTTGTCATTTGTTCAGAGCACAACACAGAAGTGAGTTCCCATCAATATTCATGGTCCTTGTAGCCTCCAAAGTCTCCCTGTGTGATTGTGCTCCATTTAGCTCTAAATCTGTACTCCCATATAGATTTAAACAAGAGATCTAGGGAAATTTTGAAGTCTTTTGTTCTCAGTCACAGTAATATTTAAATAGTCCACTGAGTATGCAAGTATTGCCAATTCCTTTATTGCTTTGTTATAGTCTACCACAAAAAGATCCACCTTAGGGAAACATAACGCTTTTCTGTTTTTGTTTTTTGTTTTTTGATTTCTGATTGTGAAAAGTCTTTACCTCTTCCTTTACTAGCTTAGTTATTATTCAATTTTGATTTTTAAATGCATATAGTGGCAGGCATATATAATTATTTTCAAGGATAAGTTATAGCCTCCACTCCTACCCTCACCCCAGTGTTCTTACACTTACTCAACAGGTAAACCTGAACTTACCTTGATTCTTCTTACTAAACACCACAAAAGTTTTGGTATGTGTCAGGCCTCTGAGCCCAAGCCAAGCCATCACATTCCCTGTGACTTGCACATATATGCCCAGATGGCCTGAAGTAACTGAAGAATCACAAAAGAAGTGAATATGCCTTGCCCCACCTTAACTGATGACATTCCACCACAAAAGAAGTGTAAATGGCTGGTCCTTGCCTTAACTGATGACATTACCTTGTGAAAGTCTTTTTCCTGGCTCATCCTGGCTCAAAAAGCACCCCCACTGAGCATCTTGTGACCCCCACTCCTGCCTGCCAGAGAACAACCCCCCTTTGACTATAATTTTCCTTTACCTACCCAAATCCTATAAAACGGCCCCACCCCTATCTCCCTTCGCTGACTCTCTTTTCAGACTCAGCCCGCCTGTACCCAGGTGAAATAAACAGCCATGTTGCTCACACAAAGCCTGTTTGGTGGTCTCTTCACACATACACGCATGAAATTTGGTGCCGTGACTCGGATTGGGGGACCTCCGTTGGGAGATCAATCCCCTGTCCTCCTGCTCTTTGCTCTGTGAGAAAGGTCCACCTATGACCTCAGGTCCTCAGACTGACCAGCCCAAGGAACATCTCACCAATTTTAAATCAGGTAAGCGGCCTCTTCTTACTCTCTTCTCCAACCTCTCTCACTGTCCCTCAACCACTTTCTCCTTTCCACTCTTCAATCTCTCCCTTCTCTTAATTTCAATTCCTTTCATTTTCTGGTAGAGACAAAGGAGACATGTTTTATCTGTGGACCCAAAACTCCGGCACCAGTCACGGACAGGGAAGGCAGCCTTCCCTTGGTGTTTAATCATTGCAGGGACGCCTCTCTGATTATTCATCCACGTTTCAAAGGTGTCAGACCACGCAGGGACGCCTGCCTTGGTCCTTCACCCTTAGCGGAAAGTCCCGCTTTTCTGGGAAAGGGGCAAGTACCCCAACCCCTTCTCTGCTTGTCTCTACCCCTTCTCTGCTTTTCTGGGGGAGAGGCAAGTACCCCTCAACCCCTTCTCCTTCACCCTTAGCGGCAAGTCCCGCTTTTCTGGGGGAGGGGCAAGTACCCCTCAACCCCTTCTCCTTCACTCTTAGCAGCAAGTCCCGCTTTTCTAGAGGAGGGGCAAGTACCCCAACCTCTTATATCTCTGTGCCCCAATCCCTTATTTCCATGCCCCAACCACTTATTTCCATGCCCTGACCCCTTATTTCCATGCCCCGACCCCTTATTTCTGCACCCCATCCCTTATTTCCATGCCCCAACCTCTTATCTCTGCACCCCAACCCCTTTTCCCACTTTTCTGGAAGAACCCCCAAACCCCTTCCCTCCATTTCTCTACTCTCTCTTTTCTCTAGGCTTGCTTCCTTCACTATAGGCAACCTTCCACCCTCCATTCCTCCTTCTACTCCCTTGGCCTGTGTTCTCAAAAACTTAAAACCTCTTCAACTCACACCTAACCTAAAACTTAAATGCCTTATTTTCTTCTGCAATGCCACTTGACCCCAATACAAACTCGACAGTAGTTCCAAATAGCCAGAAAATGGCACTTTGAATGTTTCCATCCTGCAAGATCTAAATAATTCTTGTCATAAAATAGGCAAACGGTCTGAGATGCCTGACGTCCAGGCATTCTTTTACACATCAGTCCCTTCCTAGTCTCTGTGCCCAGTGCAACTCGTCCCATATCTTCCTTCTTTCCCTCCCGCCTGTCCCCTCAGTACCAACCCCAAGCATCGCTGAGTCTTTCTAATCTTCCTTTTCTACAAACCCATCTGACCTCTCCCCTCCTCCCCAGGCTGCTCCTCGCCAGGCTGAGCTAGGTCCCAATTCTTCCTCAGCCTCTGCTCCCCCACCCTATACTCTTTTTATCACCTCCCCTCCTAACACCTGGTCCGGCTTACAGTTTCCTTCTCTGACTAGCCCTCCCCCTCCTGCCCAGCAATTTACTCTTAAAAAGGTGGCTGGAGCTAAAGGCATAGTCAAGGTTAATGCTCCTTTTTCTTTATCCCAAATCAGATAGCGTTTAGGCTCTTTTTCATCAAATATAAAAATCCAGCCCAGTTCATGACTTGTTTGGCAGCAAACCTGAGACACTTTACAGCCCTATACCCTAAAAGGTCAAAAGGCCGTCTTATTCTCAAAATACATTTTATTACCCAATCTGCTCCCGACATTAAATAAAACTCCAAAAATTAAATTCTGGCCCTCAAACCCCACAACAGGATTTAATTAACCTCGCCTTCAAGGTGTACAATAATAGAAAAAAGTTGCAATTCCTTGCCTCCACTGTGAGACAAACCCCAGCCACATCTCCAGCACACAAGAACTTCTAAATGCCTGAACTGCAGTGGCCAGGCGTTCCTCCAGAACCTCCTCCCCCAGGAGCTTGCTACATGTGCCAGAAATCTGGCCACCGGGCCAAGAAATGCCCGCAGCCCGGGATTCCTCTTAAGCCACGTCCCATCTGTGTGGGACCCCACTGAAAATCGGACTGTTCAACTCACCTGGCAGCCACTCCCAGAGCCCCTGGAACTCTGGCCCAAGGCTCTGTGACTCCTTCCCAGATCTTCTTGGCTTAGCGGCTGAAGACTGACACTGCCCGATTGCCTCGGAAGCCCCTTAGACCATCACGGATGCCGAGCATCAGGTAACTCTCACAGTGGAAGGTAAGTCCGTCCCCTTCTTAATCAATACGGAGGCTACCCACTCCACATTACCTTCTTCTCAAGGGCCTGTTTCCCTTGCCTCCATAACTGTTGTGGGGATTGACGGCCAGGCTTCTAAACCTCTTAAAACTCCCCAACTCTGGTGCCAACTTAGATAATACTCTTTTAAGCACTCCTTTTTAGTTATCCCCACCTGCCCAGTTCCCTTATTAGGCTGAGACACTTTAACTAAATTATCTCCTTCCCTGACTAGTCCTGGACTACAGCTGTATCTCATTGCCACCCTTCTTCCCAATCCAAAGCCTCCTTTGCATCCTCCTCTTGTATCCCCCCACCTTAACCCACAAGTATAAGATACCTCTACTCCCTCCTTGGCGACCGATCATGCACCCCTTAGCATCTCATTAAAACCTAATCACCCTTACCCCACTCAATGCCAATATCCCATCTGGCAGCACGCTTTAAAAAGATTAAAGCCTGTTATCACTCGCCTGCTACAGCATGGCCTTTTAAAGCCTATAAACTCTCCTTACAATTCCCCCATTTTACCTGTCCTAAAACCAGACAAGCCTTACACGTTAGTTCAGGATCTGCGCCTTATCAACCAAATTGTTTTGCTTATCCACTCCGTGGTGCCAAACCCA
This sequence comes from Homo sapiens, assembly GCF_000001405.40. NCBI lineage: Eukaryota > Metazoa > Chordata > Mammalia > Primates > Hominidae > Homo > Homo sapiens. The sequence goes on from NC_000003.12 coordinate 148,417,541, forward strand.
TATACTCTCATATACTCAATACCTGCCTCTACAACCCATTATTCTGTTCTAGATCTCAAACATGCTTTCTTTACTATTCCTTTGCACCCTTAATCCCAGCCTCTCTTTGCTTTCACTTGGACTGACCCTGACACCCATCAAGCTCAGCAAATTACCTAGGCTGTACTGCTGCAAAGCTTCACAGACAGCCCCCATTACTTCAGTCAAGCCCAAATTTCTTCCTCATCTGTTACCTATCTCAGCATAATTCTCATAAAAACACACGTGCTCTCCCTGCCAATCATGTCCGACTGATCTCTCAAACCCAAGCACCTTCTACAAAACAACAACTCCTTTCCTTCCTAGGCATGGTTAGCGCGGTCAGCATTCTTACACAAGAGCCAGGACCACACCCTGTAGCCTTTCTGTCCAAACAACTTGACCTTACTGTTTTAGCCTAGCCCTCATGTCTGCGTGCAGCGGCTGCCACTGCTTTAATACTTTTAGAGGCCCTCAAAATCACAAACTACGCTCAACTCACTCTCTACAGTTCTCATAACTTCCAAAATCTATTTTCTTCCTCATACCTGATGCATATACTTTCTGCTCCCCGGCTCCTTCAGCTATACTCACTCTGTTGAGTCTCCCACAATTACCGTTGTTCCTGGCCCAGACTTCAATCCGGCCTCCCACATTATTCCTGATACCTCACCTGACCCCATGACTGTATCTCTCTGATCCACCTGACATTCACCCTATTTCCCCAAATTTCCTTCTTTCCTGTTCCTCACCCTGATCAAGCTTGATTTATTGATGGTGGTTCCACCAGGCCTAATCGCCACACACCAACAAAGGCAGGTTATGCTATAGTACAAGCCACTAGCCCGCCTCTTAGAACCTCTCATTTCCTTTCCATCATGGAAATCTATCCTCAAGGAAATCACTTCTCAGTGTTCCATCTGCTATTCTACTACTACTCAGGGATTATTCAGGCCCCCTCCCTTCCCTACACATCAAGCTTGAGGATTTGCCCCACCCAGGACTGGCAAATTAGCTTTACTCAACATGCCCTGAGTCAGATTACTAAAATATGTCTTAGTCTAGGTAGATACTTTCACTGGATAGGTAGAGGCCTTTCCTACAGGGTCTGAGAAGGCCATCGCAGTCATTTCTTCCGTTCTGTCAGACATAATTCCTCAGTTTAGCCTTCCCACCTCAATATAGTCTGATAACAGACCAGCCTTTATTAGTCAAATCAGCCAAGCAGTTTTTCAGGCTCTTAGTATTCAGTGAAACCTTTATATCCCTTACGGTCCTCCATCTTCAAGAAAAGTAGAATGGACTAAAGGTCTTTTAAAAACACACCTCACCAAGCTCAGCCACCAACTTAAAAAGGACTGGACAATATTTTTACCACTTTCCCTTCTCAGAATTCAGGCCTGTCTTTGGAATGCTACAGGGTACAGCCCATTTAAGCTCCTGTATAGACGCTCCTTTTTATTAGGCCCCAGTCTCATTCCAGACACCAGACCAACTTGGACTGTGCCCCAAAAACTTGTCATCCCTACTATCTTCTGTCTAGTCATATTCCTACTCACCGTTCTCAACTACTCATACATACCCTGCTCTTGTTTACACTGCCGGTTTACACTGTTTCTCCAAGCCATCACAGCTGATATCTCCTGGTGCTATCCCCAAACTGCCACTCTTAACTCTTGAAGTAAATAAATAATCTTTGCGGGCAGGACTATGCTGAATCTCCTTAGGCACTCTCTAATCAGATATCCTGAGTTGTCCCAATTCTTAGACCTTTTATACCTGTTTTTCTCCTTCTGTCATTCCATTTAGTTTCTCAATTCATCCAAAACCGTATCTAGGCCATCACCAATCATTCTATATGACAAATGTTTCTTCTAACATCCCCACAATATCACCCCTTATCACAAGACTTCCCTTCAGCTTAATCTCTCCCACTCTAGGTTCCCACGCTGCCCCTAATCCTGCTTGAAGCAGCCCTGAGAAACATCGCCCATTCTCTCTCCATACCACCCTCCAAAAATTTTCGCTGCCCCAACACTTCAACACTATTTTGTTTTATTTTTCTTATTAATATAAGAAGGCAGGAATGTCAAGCCTCTGAGCCCAAGCCAAGCCATCACATCCCCTGTGACTTGCACATATACGCCCAGATGGCCTGAAGTAACTGAAGAATCACAAAAGAAGTGAATATGCCTTGCCCCACCTTAACTGATGACATTCCACCACAAAAGAAGTGTAAATGGTTGGTCCTTGCCTTAACTGATGACATTACCTTGTGAAAGTCTTTTTCCTGGCTCATCCTGGCTCAAAAAGCACCCCCACTGAGCACCTTGCGACCCCCCACTCCTGCCCACCAGAGAACAACCCCCCTTTGACGGTAATTTTCCTTTACCTACCCAAATCCTATAAAACGACCCCACCCCATCTCCCTTCGCTGACTCTCTTTTCGGAGTCAGCCCGCCTGCACCCAGGTGAAATAAACAGCCATGTTGCTCACATAAAGCCTCTTTGGTGGTCTCTTCACACGGACTTGCATGAAAGTATGCCTATAATTATTAAGTGAAAATACATAATGAGTTGTGATTGCTGCTAGCAGTGAATCTGTACAGCTCTGCAGTAAACTTGATCCTTGCCTCCTCAGAGGCAAGAATTCGGCTGAAGGGCAGAAGTAGGTTTAAGGCAGAGGGAGAGACCAAGGCAAGTTTTAGAGCAGGAATGAAAGTTTATTAAAAACTTTTAGACCAGGAACGAAAAGATGTAAAGTACACTTGGAAGAAGGCCAAGCAGGGGACTTGAGAGATCCAAGTGCCCTGTTCAGCTCTTGACTTGGGATTTTACACATTAGCATGGTGCCAGGGTTTGCAGGGGTTTTTTTTCTCCCTTGATTCTTCCCTTGAAGCAGGCTGTCCACATGCGTAGTAGCCTGCCAGCACTTAGGAGGGGCCACATGCACAGTATGTTTACTGAAGTTGTGCACATGCTTACTTGAAGCATTTCTTCCTTATCAGTCGAGATTTCCTAGAGGTAGATCGTATACCACTTAAACGCCACCATTTTGCCTCTTAGTGCGCATGCTTGAGGCCACTTGCCCACTCCTGAGATCTTATTGGGACGCTACTGATCACCAGCTTCAGGTATTTTCTAGCTATTAGAGACTGCCTTTCCCTGGCTCTGGCTGCAACCAATTATGATTTTAAAGCGACAGTTTAACAACTGATTGACCATCACCTGATAGTTGCCTGACATTCCTTGTTGTGGAGCCCTTCTCCTACTCTGCTCATGTTTGCATAACTACCTTCTCTAACATGGCAGCCATAAGAACGGAGATAAAACACCTTTTAGGGTATATGTCAGGTCAATCAGAAGTAAGAATTCCTCTAAAAATTACATTCTATATATGTACTTTATTTTGAAGTACATATTCAGCAAACTGTAAACGTGCATCCAACAGGTAAAAATTTGTTCTTCTCCTCTAATGAGAGGAATAGTTATTAAAATTTTGCTTTCTTTCCCTTCATTGTGTAATTATTTTAAAATGTGTATATATACCTACAATAATTTTTATTTAAATAGTTATTAAAATTTCTAATCCCCCTAGATATTTATAAGCAACATTTTATTTGGAAAATGATGTAATGCACCATAGTTAAAACTAAAGAAAATGGACTTAAAATTTAATGGAATAATATAAAGAAGTAATGAGGCTAGATACTAACTGAGGTTCTGGAATATACTTAGAGGGGCTTTTTTTAAAAGGGATTTGTGCTATTTGCCTAGAATGCTTTAGGACATTTAAGCCTAACAATATATGGAAAAAAACAAGTAAATAAGATAGACATAAATTAAAAAGTACCTAATATAATCTTTTCAATATATATTTAAGATTCTGGCTCCAGTTCAGATAAAAGTAAGCATATGTCACCCTGTTTCTCCTGTTGAGTACAACGAATGACTAAAACAGATATATTGAGCAGCTATCTGAAGACTCTGAAACGTTAAATGGTAGCAGGTAGAATGAAATAAGGAAATGAGTACTCAAAGTAAGACCAATTTAAGGGGGAGTTTCTTGTTTTTTGCCTCTGGTATCTCCCACGGTGGAATGAAACGCATCATAAAGTTCAAAATTCTGGGCTGAATGTAGGCAGAAAGCTGTAAGAGAAGACCTCAATTTCCAGTCCCAGTCAGGAAAAGGAGTCCTTGGGGTCAGTTCCTGGGGAAAGTATAAAAATTTGACTGTGTTGTTTTTTGTTTTTTCCATCCCAGACCCAGGAAAATCTATGGCAGTACTGTCACAGAGGTGAAAACAATAACAGTGGTAGCTGGGCAGACACTTAAAACTCTGAGGGAAAGCAACCCTTCCCTCTGACAAGAGGGACCGTGGTCCTAAGAATGTGATGGAATATCCCAATTCTTTCTTTCTCTATATACCCTGCTACTTGGCTTCAGTGGCAGACACAGTTGTGGAATGTTCACAGCAGAGAGGGAAAACTAAAGCCCTTTCTTTCTAGACTGAAGAGCAGAATCAGGGCCTTTCAGAACCAAAAAGTGTCACAAAGACTGTAAAGAGGAGAGAATTCAAGAAAGTAATTCCATAAAGTTGTGTCTGAATTGTGGGTCTCCCCTACAAGCTGCATAAGCATGAATAAGAGCCTAACTAAAGACTCTTGAGAACTGATAGGTAGGCCATCCCCAAGGTCTCAGACTGTGGCTTCTGAATGGCACACACATGGGAGACAGCCAAACAACACTGCAAACTCTGAAAATGGAACCCACTTAGAACCATCGCTTACAGAAAGTGGTTTGGTACTTTTAGCTTAAATCTCCAAGTCTATAAACTTCTCTCTCTCTCTCTTTTCAATAATCTCCATAAGAGTTAAATAAGACCCAGAGTCTCATAACACAGTATATTAAGTATCCAAAATGCAATCCAAAACTAGTCAGCATAAGTAGAAGCAGGAATCAACAGATGCCAATCCTGTCATGATCCAGATGTTGGAATTAACTGATAAAGATTTTAAAGAAGCTATTATAGTCAAGCTTCAAGAAGTAAAGGTGAGGCCGGGCACGGTAGCTCACGCCTGTAATCCCAGCACTTTGGGAGGCCAAGGCGGGCAGATCACGGGGTCAGGAGATGGAAATCATCCTGGCTAACACGGTGAAATCCCATCTCTACTAAAAATATAAAAAATTAGCCGGGCGTGGTGGCAGGCACCTGTGGTCCCAGCTACTCGGGAGGCTGAGGCAGGAGAATGGCATGAACCCAGGAGGCGGAGCTTGCAGTGAGCCAAGATCGCACCACTGCACTCCAGCCTGGGCGACAGACCAAGACTCCGTCTCAAAAAAGAAAAAAATAAATAAAATAAAATAAAATAAAAATAAAGTAAAAAGAAGTAAAGGCGAATTTTTTAAAAGTGATGAAAATACAGAATGTATTCGCCAGGAAATAAATGATATTACAAAATAGGAATTTTAAAACAGAAAGGTAAAAAACTAAAAAAAAAATTTCCTGGAAAGACCCAATAGCAGAGTAAAGACAGAAAGTCAGTGAACTGAAGAAGTTTAGTAGAAATTATCCACTCAGAATTACAAAAAGAAAAAAAAGATTGAAAAAATTAAACAGAAGTTCATGGTCAGACAACAACTGGTGTAATATTTGTTTAGTCGTAGTGCCAGAAGAAAGAAGAAAACAAAGTGTAGGGGAAAAAGTGAAGAAATTATGGCTGACAATGTAACCAAATTTCGTTAAGTACATAAACTTGCAGAAGCTCAGCTAACCTCAGCTAAAACAAACACAAATAAATCCATGCCCAGAAATATCACAATCAAATTTCTGAAAATTAACAACAAAGAAACCTTAAACAAAGCCAGAAAGAAATGACATATTATTTATAGAAGACAATGATTTAAATGACAGTGGACTTCTCATTAGAAACCATGGAGTCCAAGGGTACTGGGATGATATTTTTAAAGTAAAAGAACTATCAATATTCAGAGAAAATAATATTTAAGAATAAAGGTGAGATAAGCACATTCTCAGATACAGGAGGCCTAAGATAATTTGCTACCAGTATATCTGCTCTAAAAAAATGGTAAAGGAATATCTTGAGAGAGAAGAAAAATGATACTAGAGGGAAAGTGATAACTTTAAGAATGAAAGAACCACAGAAATGGTAACTATCTGTGTAGATAGACTATTTTTCTTCTCCTAAGTTCTTTAAAATATATGATGGTTGAAAGCAAAAAATTATAACCTTACCAGTATTAAAAGGTAAGTTTCTCGACATGGTAAAGAGGCACTTATGAAAAATCTACAGCTAACATCATACTCAACGTTGAGAGACCTAAAGACTTTCCCCCTTAAAATGTAGAACAAGGCAAGGATGTCTGCTTTCAACACTGCTATTGAACATTGTATTGGAAATTTTAGCCAGAGCAATTAGACAAAAAGTAAAAGACATTCAAATTGGAAAAAAGGAAGTAAAATTATGTCTATTCACGGAAGTGACCGTATATAGGGGAAATCCCAAAAGAATCCACAGAAATTACAAGAGCTAATAAATAAATCCCTCAAAGCCACAAAATACAAGATCAACACACAGAAATCAGTAGTTTCTATACACCATCCATGAAAAACCTGAAAAGTAAATTAAGAAAGCAATTCATTTACAATAGCATTTAAAAGAATAAAACACCTAACAATAAATTGAACCACGGAGGTGAAAGACTTGTACACTGAAAACTGCAGAGCATTGCTAAAGGAATAAATGGAAAGATAGCCTATGTTCACGAACTGAAAAACTTAATGTTGTTAAGATTTCAATACTACTCAAAGGAATCTACAGATTAAATGAAATTCCTATCAAAATTTCAGCAGCCTTTATTTACAGAAATAGAAAAATTGATTCTCAAATTAATATGGAATGTAAATGGTCTATATTACAATGCAAGTGGTACATACACACAATAATTAAAACAGTGCACTATTGGCATACACATATAAATATAGAAATATAGACAAATTGAATAGAATTGAGAGTCCAAAAATAAATCCATGCATGTATTACCAACTGAATTTGACAAGGGTGCAGATTTCTTTCCACTGGGAAAGAATTGTCTCTTCAACAGGTGGTACTGAAGCAACTGAATGTCTACATTCAAAACAAAGAAGTTATTTGAAGTTATTTTAATGAAATTCTACTCGACATTATATACAAAAATTAATTTTAAATGAATGAATAACCTAAACATGGAGGTAAATCTTCATGAATTTGGATTTGACAATTGATTCTTAGATATGACAATAAAAATAATCAACAAAAGAAACACAGATAAGTTGGACTTCATCAAAATTAGAAAATTTTGTGTCTCAAAGGAAATTATCAAGAAAGTGAAAAGACAACAAACAGAATGAGAGAAAATTTTTGCAAACCATATATCTCGTAATAGCTTATTATCCAGAATATATAAAGAACAACAACTCAACAACAAATAAACAATCCAATCCAAGGATTGGCAAAAGACTTGAATAGGCATTTCTCCAAAGATATATAAATGGCCAATAAAGCATTGAAAAGATGGTCAACTTCATTAGTCATTAAAGAAATGCCAAAAAACCACAATGAAATACCATTTCATATCGCTGGCATGGTTATCATAAAAACAACTGGAAAATAACAAATATAATATATAAGAAATGTCTACAATTTAATAATAAAAGACACAGTTTGTTGTTGTTGTTGTTGTTGTTGTTGTTTTGAGACAGAGTCTCGTTCTTGTTGCCCAGGCTGGAGTGCAATGGCGCAATCTCAGCTCACTGCAACCTCCATCTCCCGGGTTCAAGCGATTCTTCTGCCTCAGCCTCCCAAGTAGCTGGGATTACAGGCACACACCACCACACCCAGCTAATTTTTTGTATTTTTAGTAGAGATGGGGTTTCACCACGTTGGCCAGGCTGGCCTCGAACCCCTGACCTCAGGTGATCCACCCACCTCAGCTTCCGAAAGTGCTGGGATTACAGGCATGAGCCACAGCGCCTGGCCCGACAACACAAATTTTTAAATGGACAAAGGACTTTAGACACTTCTCCAAAGAATATATACAAATGGCCAATGAGTATATGAAAAGATGCTCAACATCGTTAGTCATATGGATATGCAAATCAAAGCTGCAAATGGATATCACCTCATCCCCCAGTGAATGGTGATCATTAAAAATACTTACAAGTACTGGACAAGATGTGGAGAAATCAGAACCTTCATACCTTGCTAGTGGAAATGCCAAATTGTGCAGCTGCTTTGACAAACAGTTTAGTCATTCCTCAAAATGTTAAACATAAAGTCACCATATGACCCAGAGAGTTTACTCCCAGGTAATTAAATGAAAACATAGATTCTTACAAAAAGTCAAAAACTGGAAACAACTAAAATGTTAATCAACTGATTTATATATAAATAAAATTTAGAATATCTATACATTGTGCATAATTTGGAAATAAAAAGAAATGAAGTACTGATACATGCTACCACATAACTGACCCTTGAAAGCATTTTGCTAAGTAAAAGGATCAAATCACAAAAACCACATATTTTTTTGTCCCATTTATTTGAAATTCAGTATAAGCAAATCCATATAGACCCAAAGTCAATAAAGGTTTGCTTAGGAATGAGGGTGGGAGTGGGGAGAGGAGATGAGAATTGATTGCTTAAGGCTGATGGTATAGGGTTTCTTTTACAAGGGATGAAAAGTTTCTAAATATTTATTCTCCTGTTTAAATAAATACTTAATTTTTAAAAAATTTAAAATGCAATTTCAACTTTTATTTTAGATTCAGGGGATACATGTGCAGGTTTGTCACATAGGTATATTGTGTGATGCTGAGATTTGGGATATGAGTATTTCTGTCACCCAGGTAGTAAGCATAGTACCCAATGGTTAGGTTTTCAAACCTTGCCCTCCTCTTTCCCTCCCATCTAGTAGTCCCTAGTGTCTACTGTTGCCATCTTTATGTCCACGAGTACCCAATGTTTAGCTCTCACATATAAGAGAGAACATGCAGTATTTGGCTTTCTGTTCCTGCATTAATTCATGACGTTGAGTATTTTTTCATATGTTTGTTGGCTGCATGTATGTCTTCTTTTGAGAAGTGTTCACATCCTTTGCCCACTGTTCAACAGGGTTTTTGGTTTTTGCTTGTTTAATTACTTAAGTTCCTTATAGATTCTGGGTATCACACCTTTGTTGGATGACTACTTTGTGAATATTTTCTCCCATTCTATACATTGTGTTTACTCTGTTGATAGTTTCTTTTGTTGTGCAGAAGCTCTTTAGTTTAATTAGGTCTCACGTATCAATTTTTGGTTTTGTTGCATTTGCTTTTGAGAACTTAGTCATAAATTATTTCCCAAGCCCAGTGTTCACGATGGTGTTTCCTAGGTTTTCTTCTAGGATTCCCATAGTTTGAAGTCTTAGATTTAAATATTTTATCCATTTTGAGTTAATTTTTATATATGATGAAATGTAGGGGTCCAATTTCATCCTTCTTCATATGACTACCCAGCTATCCTACCACCATTTATTGAATAGGGAGTCTTTTTGCCATTCCTTATTTTTGGTGACTTTGTTGAAGACCAAACAGCTGTAGGTGTGTGACCTTATTTCTGGATTCTCTATTCTGTTTCACTAGTCTATGTGTCTGTTTTTGTACTAGTATCCTGCTGTTTTGATTGCTGTAGCCTTAAAGTATAGTTTGACGTCGGATAATGTGATGCCTCTGTCTTTGTTCTTTTGCTAAGGATTGCTTTGGCTATTCAAGCACATGTTTGGTTTCATATGAATTTTAGAATAGTTGTTTTTTAATACTGTGAAAAAAATAATATTGGCAGTTTGGTAGGAATAGTGTTGAATCTATAGATTGCTTTGGACAGCATGGCCATTTTCACAATTTGGATTCTTCCAATCCATGAACATGGAATGATTTTCAACTTGTTTGTGTGATTTATGATGTATTTCAGTAGTGTTTTGTAGTTTTTCTTGCAGAGATCTTTCACCTTCTTAGATATATATATATATATATATATATATATATATATATATATATATCTAGGTATTTTATTTTTCTGGTGGCTATTGTAGATGGGGTGAGTTCTTGATTTGGCTCTCAGCTTGAACATTATTGGTGTATAGAAATGCTACTGATTTTTGACATTGGTTTTGTATCCTAAAACTTTACTGAAGTTGTCTATTAGTTCCAGGAACCTTTTGGTGGAGTCTTTAGGATTTTCTAGGTATAGAACCATATCGTCCACGAAGAGAGATAGTTTGACTTCTTCTTTTCCTATTTTGATACCATTTGTTTTTTCTCTTGCCTGATTTTTCTGGCTAGGACTCCCAAAATGTTCTAAAATTGGTTGTGGTGGTGATAGCTACACAGCTAAGTGTATAATCTCGAAACTTTACATTGGGGGCTGGGCTGGTGGTTCATGCCTATAATCCCAGTGCGTTGAGAGGCCAAGGCAGGAGGATCATTTCAGACTGGGAGTTTGAGACTAGCCTGAGCAACATATCAAAACTCCATCTCCACAAAAAGTTTTTTAAAAAATAGCCTGCATGGTGGCACATACCTGTAGTCCTAGCTACTTGAGAGGGTGAGGCATGAGGCTCACTTAGGCCCAGGAATTTGAGGCTGCAGTAATCTTGATCATACCACTATACTCTAGGCTGTGTGACAGAGTGAGGACCCTATCTCTAAAAAAAAAAAAAAGAAAAAAAAAGAACAGAAACAAAACAGATACATCCTTTCTTGCTGAACTGAAATGTTAACTTTTGTTATACACTAAATTCATAAATACTCTAGTGACGGAGTACAGGGAAATGCTACCCGAATATATGATGCCTTGGAAACAGAAAACAGCAGAAGCAGGAAGACCATTCTCACCTTCCCTATCTCCAAAAACAAAACAACAATGAAAACTTAAATTGTACACTGTAAATGGGTGAGTTTTATGTTAATTATATCTTAATAAAACTATTTAAAACAAAACTGTTAGTCTACTCTAAGAATAAACTAAATGAATTCTGTCTCTTGGAAGCTTTAAAACTATCAGCCTCTACATTATGCCCTTTACTCGGAATTTCTAATTCTAACAAAGCCTGCTTACTTTCAGAATAACCCCAAATTCTAAATTATACAAGTCAAAATTGATGGGTTGGTAGTAAAATATATCCCTGCTAATTTTAAAATTAACATAGAATATTTAATACTGAAGTCACAGACAGTGAACATGAAAATAGTATTTAACAAAAAAAGTCTTAAGTGATGTTTCAAATGGTCATATCGACATTGTAACCAGACAACAAGTATTTTGCAGTGAAAGTGCTCATGTAAAAATTACTTGTGATGCAGACTTCCAGGAAGAGAAGAAATATAAAGAAACCTAGAATACAGAATAAAAGTCTAACATCATGGACCATTCTTGCCCATTACCATAGAGTAGACACCCAATATATGCAGATGACTGGCTTTGGAGATAGATTTAAACTCATAAATGACACAGCTTTTCTTTGATTCAACAGGCCACATCAGCATGTATCATTCTTACAGAATGTTAGTGAATAAAAGAAATATCGACCATACAATGACAATGTTTATAGATTTTTTTTAAAAAAAACTACTTACCCCATTAAAGATTATAGAACCTACAAAATTCAAAGAGCTGGTTTAGAGTAGAATCAAGGGCTCCTGAATACTTGTCTATTTTCTTTCAACCAGTCTCATGTTGCCTAATTTGTTAAGTCCACTGGGTAAAAAACGAATGTAACTAAACCTTAGTATAACTTTAGAATTGACCCTGTCAGCTATTTTTTCATTGTGTGCAGCTGCTTAAATGGATTGTCTTCAGCAAAAAGCAATGTAAGTAATTGCATAGCATAAAAGTAAATGTTAAATTATAATTAAATTATTCTGCAAGCCTATCACACTAAGTTTATGGCCATTTCATCATACTGCAGCAGCACACAGAACAACAATTAGAGAGAAAGAAACATTTTAAATTGAGATCTCAACTTTCTGAGGACTTGTCTCCTTGAAGGCATCTCCTAACATTATGTCATTACTTTTCATTTTAGTTTTTCAACTGTCAGCTTTTCTTTCATACATACATTTATTGCAAACCTTTTTCCTTGAGCAGATAGCCAAACACTGGAAGATTCCAAATTAAATGCTTCTTAGTTTGACTTAGCACAGAAAGGTCCTGATTTATTATTCAAGATTTACCAAGTGCTTCTCCTTGTCTCAGAGTTTTGCAATCATTTATTAGCTTTTCCTAAGGACTATCCTGTGAAGGTCATTTTTTGCATGTTTATTTGACAGACCTTAATGGAGAAAATTATTTTGACTGAGGTTGGAGAATAAGGTTAGTTCAAAGTCCGCAATAAAAAGCCAAGGTCATTTTTTAGCACACTTAGTTTCACTTTAGTTCATCCATCTGATCTTTAACACAGAAGCACAAACTATTCATTTCGAAAATCACTGACTTTTTAATGATTGCCATTCTAACTGGTGTGAGATGATATCTCATAGTGGTTTTGATTTGCATTTCTCTGATGGCCAGTGATGATGAGCATTTTTTCATGTGTTTTTTGGCTGCATAAATGTCTTCTTTTGAGAAGTGTCTGTTCATGTCCTTTGCCCACTTTTTGATGGGGTTGTTTGTTTTTTTCTTGTAAATTTGTTTGAGTTCATTGTAGATTCTGGATATTAGCCCTTTGTCAGATGAGTAGGTTGCGAAAATTTTCTCCCATGTTGTAGGTTGCCTGTTCACTCTGATGGTAGTTTCTTTTGCTGTGCAGAAGCTCTTTAGTTTAATTAGATCCCATTTGTCAATTTTGGCTTTTGTTGCCATTGCTTTTGGTGTTTTGGACATGAAGTCCTTGCCCATGCCTATGTCCTGAATGGTAATGCCTAGGTTTTCTTCTAGGGTTTTTATGGTTTTAGGTCTAACGTTTAAATCTTTAATCCATCTTGAATTGATTTTTGTATAAGGTGTAAGGAAGGGATCCAGTTTCAGCTTTCTACATATGGCTAGCCAGTTTTCCCAGCACCATTGATTAAATAGGGAATCCTTTCCCCATTGCTTGTTTTTCTCAGGTTTGTCAAAGATCAGATAGTTGTAGGTATGCGGCATTATTTCTGAGGGCTCTGTTCTGTTCCATTGATCTATATCTCTGTTTTGGTACCAGTACCATGCTGGAGAGGATGTGGAGAAATAGGAACACTTTTACACTGTTGGTGGCACTGTAAACTAGTTCAACCATTGTGGAAGTCAGTGTGGCGATTCCTCAGGGATCTAGAACTAGAAATACCATTTGACCCAGCCATCCCATTACTGGGTATATACCCAAATGACTATAAATCATGCTGCTATAAAGACACATGCACACGTATGTTTATTGCAGCATTATTCACAATAGCAAAGACTTGGAACCAACCCAAATGTCCAACAATGATAGACTGGATTAAGAAAATGTGGCACATATACACCATGGAATACTATGCAGCCATAAAAAATGATGAGTTCATGTCCTTTGTAGGGACATGGATGAAACTGGAAACCATCATTCTCAGTAAACTATCACAAGAACAAAAAACCAAACACCGCATATTCTCACTCATAGGTGGGAATTGAACAATGAGATCACATGGACACAGGAAGGGGAATATCACACTCTGGGGACTGTGGTGGGGTGGGGGGAGGGGGGAGGGATAGCATTGGGAGATATATCTAATGCTAGATGACGAGTTAGTGGGTGCAGCGCACCAGCATGGCACATGTATACATATGTAACTAACCTGCACAATGTGCACATGTACCCTAAAACTTAAAGTATAATAAAAAAAAAAGAAAGAAAAGTAAAAAAAAAAAAAAAAAGAAAATCCCTTGTTCTCCCAGCTGTTCTCAGAGCAGCAATTTTCCACAGGGGTCATCACTGCTCACACAGTGTCTTTTACTTAATCTGTATAAATCTCTACAAGATACAAGTACTCTTTAAGTACAAGTCTTAGCAAAATTGTGACAGTCATATCAATTACCTAGAAAGTATTCATGTGGGTGTACACACATGTATACAAGTAAAGGGGAATAATTTATTCAAAATGTATTCTTTCAACAATAATTTTGGGAAGTCTGCTATGTGTCTGGTATAATACTAGGTTCTGAGGATACCAATGCAAATAAGACATAGTTCTCACCTTTTTTTTTTTTTTTTTGAGACAGAGTCTCGCTCTGTTGCCCAGGCTGGAGTGCAGTGGCGTGATCTCGGCCCACTGCAACCTCCGCCTCCCAGGTTCATGCCATTCTCCTGCCTCAGCCTCCTGAGTAGCTGGGACTACAGGTGCCCGCCACCACGCCCGGCTAATTTTTTGTATTTTTTAGTAGAGATGGGGTTTCACCGTGTTAGCCAGAATGGTCTCGATCTCCTGACCTCGTGATCCGCCCACCTCGGCCTCCCAAACTGCTGGAATTACAGGCGTGAGCCACTGCGCCCAGCCAGTTCTTGCCTTTAAGAAACTAAAAACCTACAGTAGAAACAAAAGAAAGAATAGAAAAAACAGCAAGCAGAAAATTTTATGTATATGTATGTATGATACACACACACACACACACACACACACACACACATATATATACACACACCCCATACACAACAACAATGAGAAATCTTAGTGACGTTAAAATGTCCAGGGTGTTTACGGGACTTCCAATAAAATAGTGGCCCAGAAACTGGTGATGTCTTTGAGAAGAAAAGGACATATTGGTAAAAGCTTTAGATTGGCGTATTTTGTGGGTAAAACGTGTGAGATGGGAGCAGCTGACAGTCCATTTCTCCACATAGATCTCTTCTCTTCTTACTGGGCACTGAGACTCTGAAAACGATACAGAATACAAAAAAAAAAAAAAAAAATTGGCATGCACTAATGAATGTCCACCTGAATGTTAACATAACTAAGAAGATTCTGTCTCATCTTCCATTGTCATCATTGACTGCAGGATAATCAGTGACTACATCCTTCATAATCCCAAATATTATGAAGAAAATGATACAAATAAGTACTAGCAATATAGTATGTATAAACTGTTTAGCACAATGCCAAGCACAGAGTAACTGCTTAATAAATGTTAGCTATTTTTAGTTGTTATTTCTATCTCAACTAATTGTGTAAGTAGCTCTTTTCAAATGCACTGGCGCTGCCATCTTGATAGAATCAGTAAAGGGGAAATAAAGGAGAAAAACCATGATAACAATATTGGCATTCATGTTTTAATTGGAAAAATAATAAGATAGAATCAATTATATTTTACCCTGTTTTGTGCTATTCATTGTACTAGACGTATATATTATTTACTTTTTACATCGAGGAAGGTAGGTAGACAACTTCATTTTACAGCTAAGAAAAGTAAGGGTCAAAGAAGTTTAAATAGTATCACAAGTCGATATAGCTAGTGAAAGGGGCAACAAAATTGGATAATTTCTCCAAACTCCAATTTGTTTCTACAAAATCTCTTTTCAAATTCAGAAAATAGTAAAACCATGGTTTAATTCATGCTATATGCCAGACTCTATGTATAAGGTATACAGAGGGAACAGTGACTCTTCAGATGTGGTCCATGGACTTCCATGGCTAAAAACGCAGAGGGAGATGGAAAAAATGGAGGCAATTGTAAAGCAAAAAACCAAAGTACTGTGGGAGCACACAATAGGAGCTTTAAGCCCTTGGAAAGAGTGCTATCAAAGCTGAGACATGAAACATGAGTATAAATTAGCATTGATAACGTGCAAGGAGCTGAGTGATGTAGGTATAGAGAGTAGTCTGCGTGATGCTCCGAGACAAAACTGGGAAGCATGAGTTTGAGAGTAAGACTCTCCACCACAGGATGGGACTGTGATGTGGACAGAGGTCCAGGTCACGCAGAGACATTGAGAGTCTCTCAGAATGACCTGAGGATCATACAAAGCAATGGCTTCATTCCAACTTAGGATATGGAGCCTAGGACACATTTTAAGTAAGAGAGTAGAGTAATCAGAATTATATTTTAGAAGTAATATTTTTAGTAAAAGAATAAATTAGAAGAAAATTGGCAGTCACATTTTGTTTTCATTAAATTGGCTTTTAAAAAAAGCTATTAGGCTCATATAAATAATTAGTAGGTGAACATACATACAAGTGAGAAACAGGCCGATGTGAAAACTGCTATGACTTATGCCATCTTTGAAGCTAAACAGGCTTGGCCTGACAAGATGTTCTGGTGAAGCTAACTGTGGAAGGCCATCTGTTTAGTGATCATTGAGAAGGTTTTAAAGAATAAAATGCATTTAGCACTCAGTTGGAATTCCATGACAGGTTGCCTGCCACGGTTTCTACTTGTAAAGAGAGATTTACAACAGGGAAGGCAGTTCAGGTAGTTGAGACACAGCAATTTACTAAAACATCCTAAAGCTGGTTCTGTTCCAAAACAAGGGAAAAAGCCATTTTTTATAATTCCAGACTTTTATTTCTGTTTCCAACTCCTAACCTAACACCTTACCTTTGGCAGATGATTTTGTTTCCTAATTCACAGAGATACAAGAGCAATTCTACCATATGAATCTCTTTAACTTCCCTCTATCACACATAAATATTCTATTCCCCTCTCCAGCTATTTATTAGGTTTATTACATTTGAAGTAAAAGATAATCCTACCCGTTGGCCAGGTCTAATAATCATTTGCCTTTATTCTCCTTCCATCCCCTCACTTTTGGATTAGGGCTTCACTAAACAATTTCCCCCTCTTTCTTCTATCTTCTGACCCTCCCCCTTTCCCTGATCTCTTTCCAAAGCCTATTAATATACTCAGGTCTTATTCATAATAAAAAGAAAAAAGTTTTCTTTCATAAAGATGGAAATGTTGGCTGGAGTTTTATTTTAGAGTACTTATAACTGCACCAGGATTGAGAGAAGACAGGGAAGGTGATGAAGAGGAAGGGAGAAATTTGCTTCCGTGATCTCATATCTTTTTCCTATTACTCTCTCTTTTGCCTTCCTTCTTTTAAACATCTTAGCTATGGTCTGAACTTGCAATTATTATTGCCCCATGCCCCACCATTCCAATTCGTTCCACTGAAACCTAGACTCAAACCTTTTCATAGTTACTTCTCTTGCAAAGATGAGGCATACCTCCTTCTTGAAGCTGTCTATTTGCATCAAAGTAGATAAATTGGACTTTACCAAAATTAAAAACTTTTATGGATCAAAGGATACTATTAACAGAATACAAAGACAAACCACAGAATAGAAGTAAATATTAGCAAATCATATATCTGATAAGAAATTAATATCTTGACTATATAAAGAACTCTAACTCAACAACAACAAAACAAAACAAAATTTAAAAAATGAGCAAACAGCATGGGTAGACGTTTCTCTAAAGAAGATAAACAAATGGCCAATAAGTACATGAAAAGATGCTTAGCATCTCTAATTAGGGAAATAAAAATAAAAATTATAAGACACTACTTTACAAATATTAGAATAGCAACTACTTAAAAACTAGAAAATAACAAGTGTTGGTGAGTATGTGGAGAAATTAGAACCCTTGTGCACCATGCTGGTGAAAATGTACAACAGTGCAGCCACTGTGGAGAACAGTATGACATTTGCTCAAAATATTAAACATATGATTTACCAATTTCACTTCTGGGTATATGTCTAAAAGGACTAAAAGCAGGAGCTTGAAGAGATATTTGTACGTGCAATTCATAACAGTTTTATTCACAACAGCCAAAAGGTGAAAGCAATCCAAGTATCCATTGATGAATAAAAGGATAAATAAAATGTGATATAAACATACAATACAATATTTTCCAGATCAAAAAAAAAAGGAAATTGTGACACATGCTACAACATGGATGAACCTTGAAGACTTATGTTAAGTGAAAAAAGCCAGTCATGAAAAAAAAAAAATCAAAGATTGTTCAATTCTACTTATACAAGGTACTAGAGTAGTCAAATTAACAGAGACAGAAAGTAGAATAGTGGTGGCCAAGGGCTGGGGAGAGGAAGGAACTGAGAATCAGGGCTGAATAAATACAGTGTTTCATTTTGGGAAGATGAAAAAGTTGTGGAGATGGATGGCAGTGATGGTTGCACAATAATGTGAATGTACTTAACAATATTGAACTGTACACTTAAAATTGGTCAATATAGTAAATTTTATGTATATCTTAGCACAATAAAAATATTTTATTGTTTTCTTCCATTGTGCATGGTATCTTATTTTGTTTTATGGGCTTTTTTCTTTGTAAAGGTAAATGCTGATATTTATAAGATCTTATTTTTTATTTTAAATTATCATTTAAAAATTTTTTGTGGGTACATGGTAGGTGTATATATTTATGGGTACACAAGATATTTTGATACAGGCTTTCAATGTGAAATAAGCACATCATGGAAAATGGGGTATCCATCTCCTCAAGTATTTATCCATTGAGTTGTAAACAATCCAATTACATTCTTTAAGTTATTTTAAAATGTGCAATTAAGTTATTATTGACAATAGTCACCCTGTTGTGTTATCAAGTAGTAGATCTTCCTCATTCTTTCTATTTATTTTCAGTAACTATTAGCCATCTGTACTTCCCCCACAACCCTCAATAACCTTCCCAGCCTCTGGTAGCCACCCTTCTACCCTCTATGTCCAAGAGTTCAATTGTTTTAATTTTTAGATTCCACATATAAGTGTGACCATGCAATGTTTGTCTTTCTGTACCTGGCTTATTTCACTTAACATAATGATCTCCAGTTCCATCCATGTTGTTGCAAATGACTGGATCTCATTCCTTTTTATGGCTGAATAGTACTCCATTGTATGTACCACATTTTCTTTATCCATTCCTCTGTTGATGGACACTTAGGTTGCTTCCAAATCTTAGCTATTGTAAACAGTGCTGCAACAAACATAGGAGTGTGGCTATCTCTTAGATACACTTATTTCCTTTCTTTTGGATATATACCCAGCAGTGGGATTGATGGATCATATGGCAGCTCAATTTTTAGCTTTCTGAGGAACCTCCAAACTGTTCTCCATAGAGGGTGCACTAATTTAAATTCCCACCAATAGTGCACAAGGGTTCCCTTTTCTCCACATACTCACCAGCATTTGTTATTGCCTGTCTTTGGATATAAGACATTTTAACTGCGGTGGGATGATATCTCATTGTAGTTTTGATGATCAGTGATGTTGAGCACCTTTTCATATGCCTGCTTGAAATTCATATGTCTTCTTTTGAGAAATGTCTGTTTAGATCTTTTGCCCATTTTTAAATGAGATTAATAGATTGTTTCCTACAGAGTTGTTTGAGTTCCTTATATATGCTGGTTATTAATCCTTTGTCAGGTGGGTAATCTGCAAATATTTTCTCCCATTTTGTGGGTTTTCTCTTCATGTTGATTGTATCTTTTGGTGTGCAGAAGCTTTTTAACTTGATATGATCCCATTTATCCAGTTTTGCTTTGGTTGCCTGTGCTTGTGAGATATTACTCAAGAATTTTTTTCCCCAGACCATGTCCTGAAGATTTTCCTCAATGTTTTCTTGTAGTAGTTTCATAATTTGAGATCTTAGATTTAAGTTTCTAATTCTTTTTTTAGGTTTTTTTTTTTTCATTATACTTTAAGTTATGGGATACATGTGCAGAACGTGTAGGTTTGTTACATAGGTATACACATGCCGTGGTGGTTTGCTGCACCCGTCAACCCATCATCTACTTTAGGTATTTCTCCTAATGCTATCTCTCCCCTAGCTCCCCCTGCTTGACAGACCCTGGTGTGTGATGTTCCCCTCCCTGTGTCCATGTGTTCTCATTGTTCAACTCCCATTTATAAGTGAGAACATGAGGTGTTTGGTTTTCTGTTGTTGTGTTAGTTTGCTGAGAATGGATGAGTTCATGTCCTTTGCAGGGACATGGATGAAGCTGCTAAGTATCATTCTCTAATTCATTTTGATTTGATTTTTGTATATGGTGAGCAATAAGCATCTATTTTTATTCTTCTGCACATGGATTTTCAGTTTTGCCAACACCATTTATTGAACAGACTGTGTTTTTCCTACCATCATTTATTGCAGAGACTATACATTCTTGGCACCTTTGTTGAAAATGAGTTCACTGTAGGTGTATGGACTTGTTTCTGGATTCTCTATTCTGTTCCATTGGTCTGTGTGTCTGTTTTTATAACTATGATATTGGAAGAAAAGTTTCATTAGCTTACCAATGATTGTGCATAAACACAATTTATACCTTTTTCACAATCACTGGGTGATAATCAAACTAGACTCTAGCAAAATATTGAGTTCCTAGTACTATCTGTGGTGAAAAATAGTTCTAACAACATGTATTGTAAGACTAAAATTGTACTGTAAAGGCCATAAATGATATTGCAACTACTGTACTTATCTATTACTGAGTTTCTGTCAGCATATTAAGGAAGTGTTCATTGGAAATAACTAGAGTGGAAATACGTTTTGTTTAGCTGCCTGCATCAGAAGATAAGCAATATTACCCTAATTTTTCCGTGTAACTCTTTGACGACTGTTATTTTATACAAATAAAGAGACATCCCTGTCACCAAAGAAATGATAGCTTAATAATGGTAATAAAATACCTGGCTTCTTTATTTTTAAAAAATATGCCCAAAAAAATGACATATTGTCTAGAAATGCATCCATAAGAACTAAACATATAAAGACATGCCTAGAAGGATGACCATCAAACTCAACATACTCAGAAGGAATTTGATTGGTGTGGGCAAGCAAAATACTTCCACAAAAAAAGTAATTATTTATTATGTCATAATTTATAGTAGATATATGTTTATTATTCTTTATCTTTTTGTCACAAATCTTTGATAATAAAAAACAGAATAAAATCCCATGTTTAAATTATTTTCCTTTGCAATTGTGACCTCACTTCTTGCTTCTTGGGTCATTAAGAGAAATCTAAAGTCAATCTAAGTCTTTTTCTTTTAGGAAGATCTGCTCTATTCACAAGCTTTTGGAATATTCTTGATATAGTTGATGTTAATTATAATATGTCTAGATGTAAATGTTATATTTTAACTATAATATGTCTAGATGTAAATGTTTCCTTGTTTATCCTATTTGTCATACTAGGAATCTCTTCAATATGATTTATTTATTTTGCTCTAGTTCTGAAAAATTGTGCGTGATTATGTATTCAACACTTTCCTCTCCATCTTTTCTATCCTAATATTTAGATTTTGATGTTTCTAGTACTAAATTTTATACACCTTAACTTTTAAAATTTCTCTTTTAATTCCTGCTAATTCTTTTCACAAGAGTTTGTTGACACAATACTCTCATTTATTCATTTTCAGGTATAATTATTCATTTTTAATGTTTTAATTATTTTCTTTCTACATCCAAGTTTTCTACTTTGTGTTTCTTTAAAATGGCTTGCATTTCCCTCATTTTGTTATTATTCTGTAGTATTAGAGGACAGTGTTTTTATTTTTAATTCTTGATTTGATATTTTAATTAAGTCTCATTCATCTAGTCTGACTTGCCTATTTTATTGACCCTCCTATTTCATGATTCTGCCTCACAAAAGTCTGACACCATTTGCCAGCACATCTTCCCTGGGCATATGCAATATCTTGCTGGTAATGTGTATAAGGTAGAGCATGTGCTGCTCTTGGCCTGGTTAAAGGTGGGAGAGATATACCACGAGGCAGAGGCTGAGGAGCCATCATCTGCCCCCGACCCAACAGATGGCACTGGTTTTCAGGGAACCCTCTGCTGTGACACAGCTCTCTCCCAGAGCCTGCCTTCATTGTTTGGTTATTCACAGCTAGGTGAGGGTGGTGGCAGGAGAGGAGGGGATGAGGGCTTGTTCAGAAGCTGGCCTTCCAGTCTGTGTGGTCTTAAGCCTCTCTGATGTCACCCTACTGACCCCAGTGGCCCTACACAGTCACAGCTGCTTTTCTATCAAAAATGAGGAGGAAGTGAGCATCTATGCAAGCCAGTGTGACACTACGAGAAAGGAGCACAATTGAAAGCTCTTCCCCTAAGTAGTTTCTATGCTGTGCATGCAAACCTTTTCAGTCCTGCCAGCTATTTCTCTCCATACAAGCACAAAACCACCTCTCTCTGCCCAGTGTTTTCTAACAGTCTTGATTTAGTTCTTCAGACCCACACTTTTTGTCATTTAACTCCTGTGTCTTTTCTGGGGTTGAACTGGGAGAAGGAATAAAGTAAGCAGCAGCAAAGTCTGATAGAGATTCAAACATTGCCAAGCAAGATTACTTGGACATGGCATTGTCTGCATTCAGTTTATTTTGCTAAAACTCACAAACAAGCAATGCAAATAATTCATGCAAGTAGAAAACAGGACACAGCTCCACAAGGCCTCCCTAGTCTCTCATGGAGGGTACTTGAGGTCTAGTCAGCGAAACAGTGAAGGGAGTGCCAATTCACCAGAGCAGCCCAGAGCAAGGGCTCACTGGCTTTCACCATTACCTACAATAAGGTTCTACCTACATATAAAAGGTCCCTTGCTATACCTGTGCTGTCTTCCTGCTTCATAGGGCCAGTAGTAATCTGTAGCCTGTGATCTGTTTCTCTAGTGGCAGTAACCCTAATTATTTATTTCATTTTTTATATTTCTGTTTTATTTACCAACCACTCAAGGTCAGAAGTCCTATTCATTATTTCTGTATCTTTAATAGTTTGCATTCTGTAGCACTCAGTGAGCATTCATTTTTGTTATTGTTTTGTTGTTTATGAGCAAATGGAGGAGAGTGTCATGAGTTAACACGGTAAGTGTTAAATAGTTGAAATCTCAATTAAAAAATTAGATGTCTATCTGTGAAGCAGTCACTTCTGAGGTATCAGTCTTCACAGGAATTTTACTCTAGAGTTTGGAAGTAGGGGTGTTCTGCAAAGCCAAAAGGAGAATCCAGAAGTCATAAGAAACTTAGGCGCATGGGGGAAATCAATAACAGAAAGTATAGACGAGTTGTCAGGGTTCTGTACAGAAATTTAAGGGAAAAGCAGAGTCGAGTTTGTTCAGGTCAATGAAGAGAATTGTAGGACCTCAGTAGATTGACTCTAGGAAACAAACAAACACAAAACATTAAAAAAAAAAAAAAACTGCCAAAGCAACATCTGAAGTGACTCCTAACCTCTCTTTTATCAGGGCTGAGCCTAGGTAACCACTCAGTGGGCAGATCTCTCACCTAAAAAAGGTGAGAGCAGAACCGAAAACATCAAAGTAATTATTGATAAGAAAGCGTGCTTTGATGTATTGCCCTCTTCCCAACCATTTCCACTATGAGCCTCCAGAGGTTTGAGATGATGAAGCAATAATGTCTGGGGGAGAGGTTAGCACAATTTCTCCCCTAATTGCAAGGTAGATAAGAAAATATTTAATATTTCCCATGCAGTGTTAGAAAGTTTTCCAGTCTCTAAAATTCTATATCTACATTCAAATTTAATGAGGCTATTAACTAAAGTTGCTTCATGTTTGAGAGTTGTTTATAAAGCACATATAAAAGATAAACTAAATGACGGGTATATACAATCAAGTAAAGGGTCATTACCCTCATTTGAACAACCAATATACAGCAATTAATGGGGATTTCTCAGTTTAGAAATATTTTTAAAGAGCAGGACTAAATTACTAAGGGAAAAATGAAAAGTTAATTAGTTACTTCTGACTTGTGCTGGGCTTTATTGTTATGCAATCTTTTGAGGTCATCTTTAGAAACAAGATATTGATGTGTCCAAGGTGCTAAGCCCATCCGCTTGTTCTTGAGGTTCTAATTAACTTCCATGCTGGTTTGATTAACACTGGCATTTGCTTTTTCCTAGAAGAAAGCAGCCTCTGTATAAAAGAGCATAACTGACTCATTTTTGGTTAGAAGGCTTGATAATTACAGAATTTTTTTATGTGATAACTTTTTTTTTGCATGGACTTTGTAATACATGACTTTTGTAACTTATATTGAGTTATTACATAAATGCACATTTTTAAAACTTTCTTCTTAAAAGGCCAAAGGGGAACTTTTACTATGTTTTTGTGAAAGAAGGTATGAAAAACAACATAAAATAAGCAATTTCATTTGTCTCTGCTTGTTATAATTGTAATATTAAAATAACCAGCATATTTTATTTTTGGTGTCTACTTGAATAGCCTATGCAACATAGTCACAGTGATTTCTCAATTCCTTAACTTATCTTCAGGGTCCTACCATCTCCATTCCAGCCACCTGTTCTAATAGTTCTTCCCTGGAAATTTCATCTTATCATGCTCTTCTGCCAATATCACTAGATCAACCTCTCTACTTTATGACCACAGTGACCATCTTTCCTTACAGCAAGAATGGCATAATTAGTGTTTCTAGTGGTTCTTAGAGTGAGTTGGAGAGGAAAGAAGATCATTCAAAAGGCCATTTTAGTAACAAAATAAAATAAATAAATAAACCAAAGTGGTAGTGATGAGAAGGTGAAAAATGGGAGTAAGAAATATTGTGTATGTAGAAGAGACAGAAATTGGTTGAAGAGCAAATGTGGAAATTGGAAGAAATGAGTGTTCTAGTTTTCTACTGCTGCATAACAAATTACCATAAATTTAGTGGCTTAAAACAACACATATTTATTATCTCAAAGTTTCTGTAGGTCACAAGTTTGGGCATAGCTTCACTGGGTACTTTGCTCAAGGTTTCACAAAGCTGTAATCAAAATGGTGGTTGGGATGTATTCTCATCTGGAAGCTCAACTAGGGAAGTATTCACTTCCAAGCTTCCTCAGGTTGTTGGTAGAATTCATTTCTGTTTGGCTGTAAAATTCATGGCAGCTTACTTCTCCAAAGCCAGAAAGGGAGAGAGTATCTGCTATTTCCTGTGCCTTATTTTGGAAAAGGCTTACAGCCTCTTTTAAAGGGCTCACATGATTAAGTCAGGCCAACCCAGGATAATCTCCCTTTTTATTAACTAAAAATCAACTGACTAAAGACCTTAGTTACATCTAAGCTTTCCCTTCACCTTTGCAATATTCTACTGGTTATAAGTGAGTTACAAGTTTCACTTGCATGAAAAAGGAGATTACAAAATGTTGTGCATTTCACAGGGCAGGAATCACAGGCATCACTTTAGAATTCTGCCTATACAGAAAGAAAAAAACCCACAGATCTAAATACTTATCCTGGCTGAATGAGGACGTGGAGGTACTAGTGAAATGAGACAAAAAATAAACAGGCTTGGGAGAACAGATGTTTATACTTTCATTAAGATGATAAAAACATAAGAAGAGTTGCCCAGAGAAACTGAAAATAAGATGGAACGAAAGGTGGAGGTCCTAATTCAAAATATTGATTTACCCATAGAGGGTACATTTTAAGTTATCATATTAATATCTCATTAAAGAACAGAAAGAAATTTGGGAGCAGGAGGCAGGGAATAGAAATCAGCAAAGAGTATAGTAATTAGACTAATTAAATATCATGCTGTGTTTGAATAAAAATGACTAAAATATAGGAGAAAATTTAAGTAAGCATGCAGATATATAGCATGCAGGCCAGTGGGTTTTAGACTTATGTGTGCTTTCTTAGGAAAGCTTCTTAAAGAAGGTATACAGATTAGGAATACAGATATAAAACTTTTTGTTCATAGATGACATGATCTCCGTATAAAATTCAAAACAACAAAAAACTGGAACTAGTAAGTGATTATAGCAAGGTTGCAGAATACAAGGTTAGTATATAAAAGTAAATTACTTTCCTATAAATCAGCAATGCATAAGTGAAATTTGAAAATAAAAATACAACACCATTTGTATTAGCATGCTAAAAATGAAATACTTAGGTATAAATCTAACATAATATAAACAAAACTTATATGAGAAAAACTACAAACTCTGATAAAATAAATCAAGGAAGAGCTAAATAAGTGGAGAGATATTCCATGTTCACAGATAGGAAAACTCAGTATTGTCAATATATCAGTTTTTACCAACTTAATCTATAAATTCAGTGCAATCTTAATGAAATTCCAGTTGGTTATGGTTGAAGAATATCATACAAATATGAGTAAAATGGCTATATTAGTCATTTATAAGCACATTTTCAACGTGTTATGTGTGATTTTTATAATTATTTTATTCTACTCTATTTGCTTTGATCATAGTAAATGAAATTTTACATCTATTGACTCTTAAAGTAAAAATTGTTTGCATTTTGTATGTACTTGTCTATTATTTTCAATTCTCAAGTAAAATTCATGATTATTATATTTTAATAAAATATCATTTGACAGTGGGTTGGGAAATAAAAACTGGTCCTTCACCTCACAGATAGTTTCAGAAACCCTGCTCCAGAATACAAATAAGGACTTATAGGAGAGGCTAAAAGATGGAGGGAATAGAGAAGTTTAGAGACAGGGAATCAGGTGAAATTGAAAAATGGGGTCAAGAAAGACTAAAGGGAAAGGGAACAGTTGGAAGGGAAGAAGGGTAAAGTCACAAAGTAGAACCTTAGAGTTCATTTTCCATCTCATCATTTCCAAGTAATTTCAAGATTCAAGATATTGCCATACGTAAGGGACAATATGGGAAGGTGATAAAGGAGGCCATTGATGTTGAAGTTGAAGCTAGTTTGGTAGATGATAGCAGTATGGACAATAAAGTGTCTAAGGAATAATCCCTGCAAATCATAAAAATAAAATAATAAATTAAATGAAGAATATAAGGAGAACTTGAAGCTAGCATATCATGTCAAAAATGGGGAAAGAAAAGCAACCACCAGATATCATCAACTTCAAGGGAGGAGAGATTGTTAGATGGTGGTTGTAGAATAATGGTGTGGAAGAGGCATCAAGAAATAAGGACGAGGCATCTCCTTACATGCACATTGAGTTGGCAGAAGTAGAAAAGAATTTACTTCCAGCAGAAGGTCATCTTACAGAAATGGAACCTCCAGGAGAAAGTTGTGCTTCCATTTCAGGGAATTGAAGCACCATTAGAAAAAAAGATTCAGGTAGAAGAAGTTTGTTCTAGAAGTAATGCTTCCACCTCACACAGGGAAGGGGGCAAGGAAAAGTCCGAAGTTTATAAAGTAGGCATGTTGGGGAAGGTTGGGCACGTGGCATCAGCATAAATTTCATGGATACTCAAGGATAATTTCCTTAAGCAAACAGGTGAACTGTATGGATAAAAATACTGGCGTTCAGGGGAGGTAAGAAATCATGGGAAGATTTACTGAAGGGAGAGGTGAGTAGCCAGAATTTTACTTTAGTGAATTTTATGCCAGTAGAAGTAACAATGATGGCCCTCTATCCAGATGTGACCAATGTAATCAGGGGTCCTTGTCAGAGGGATGCAGGAGGAGTCAGAGTCTGAGAAAGAGACTCTGATGAAAACAGAAGTCAGAGTGATGTAGTTGCTTGTTTTGAAGATTCCTTAAAAACCAAGGAATACAAATAAGTGGCCTCTAGAATATGGAAAAGGAAAGAAAAAGGATTCTCTTTTAAAGCCTCTAGAAGAAATGCAATCCCATCAACACTTTGTTTTAACACTGTGAAACTCATTTCAGACTGATCATCTCCAGAACGATAAGATAATGTATATTGTTTTAAGCCATTAAATTTGTAGTAATTTGTTACAGAAGCAATATAAAACTAGTACATGCCATTACATTTTAATTTAAAATTTTAATTACAATGATAAAACCACAACCTCCACTTATGCACACACACAAATCACATACACACACATGCACAAATATGCACACAACACATACACACTCAATCATAGAAGACTGCAAAATCCTGCACTGCAACCAAGATGTGAGCCGGTATAAAAATTATGCCATCTTGCCTACTTGTTTTTTCTGAATTTTCAAGTTTTATATAAAGTTGGCAGATTAAAACATTCATTTCTATATAATTAACTAAAAATTATATTCAATGAATGAATGCAAAATAAATACAATCCATCTCCTAATCCATCTTAAGGTTAAAGTGTAAGATACTTAAAATGATCATTTAAAAGAAAAACCCTCCAATAATTTCAATGTAACAACACAAAAATGTGTAAGGACATGACTCTTAAAAAGAGATAGAAATCATTACTGAGAACTTTTAAACCTCTTAGAAGTTTATTGATTTTAAAAATTAGCAGGAACATTACTACTAAGAGATACACCCAAGAGACTTTGCACAAACATCTGTTTTTAGCAGCTTTGGTGTTCAGCAATAAAACCTTCCATTGTCCCAAGGCAAGGCCCTAGGAAATGCCCACCAACAGTTCCAACAGTCATTATGTATGTACTGTGTTCTCATCTCTGCCCTAAGGAAGTTAGACAGCAACCCAGTATTTTTTTTTTATTTACATACTTATTAAAGTCACACAGGTAAAACATTTCCGAATGTGTTTTCAGAACACGTTTTATTTTAGTGCTTTCAAATGTTTTGAAGATAATTGTTAGGGGAATGAAAAAAATATAGGAGCTCAGTCTGAAAATAAAAATCTGTTTTGGCATTTTAATGTCTAAAGACTCGGGAACTGCCAAATGTTTGCTAATCAAGAAGCACTAGAGATTCACAATCAGTACCCAAAATATAAAACAATTCTATTCACTGTAAAAATATGTTTACTGCATTTACTTACCGGCTGTTTAGCACAAATGTTTTTTGTCCCAAAGTGGAAAAGCTGGCAATCCTTTAATTTCCAAAGTGCTCATAGAGTGCAGCTGTAGATATACAAGGCATTTGTTAATGGCATATCAAGGTATCATTTGCTTCCCCTTTTGTCAGATACCGCCTTTATTTGAAGTCAACAGAAGCCTTTTCTCTTTTCCCTCTGGCACCATTTGTGGTTATTGTGTTTTCAGAGAATGCACACAGCATCAAGATATGGACTGATTTTGTTTTGAACCCATTCAGATGCAATGCTGACATTTTTTGGTAACTTTATATTTTTTGCTCTCTAATGTTCCATAGTCTTCAAAAATAGCCCAGAGAATTGCATTTGGGATTCATCGACATTAAAGTATCTGCTACCCAGAGTAAAATTCCAACAATAACAAGTTTATAACAACTCAAAGAGCATACCTTGTACTTGAAGGAATTTCATCATCCTTTTTAAAGGCATTTTCTTTAATTGAACCATAGTCTCACCTCTCTTATTGGATTCCAAATTTCCTTTTTAAGTATGAATATTTAGGGGTCAGTGGACTAGCCCTTGCTGATGTAATCTCAGCCTCAGTGAATACATATTGATTGGAGAAAAAGATTATCTTACTTACATGTATAGGAGCCATGATTCCAGGAATCAGTAAAATAATTCTATTGCCCATAAAACCGAATCAAGATTACAGCCGCTTTGACTCCTCCTTTGGAACCTTTGGAAAAGGTTTAGTGTGTTGAAAAGAGAGAGAAAAGGAAAATTAGTGAAAAGAGCAAATATTTTGTGCTGTCTCAACATTCAATAAATTCCACTGTGTGCACAATTGCTTTAGAAGGAAGGAAATGACAAAGGTATTTAAAAGATTGAGCCTAGAAATGTACTTGTGGGTGGTATGACCTTGATCGTATAAATCAGGAGCATCACCATATTATCTGAGGTTCAGCTTGCCAGCACAGCAGGTGTTGGCTAAAGAGTTGCTCAAGGTTTCTTCAAATGAGAGGACATCACTCAGAAACCCAACCTTTTTTAGCTTCTACCAATTTGACACCCTTTCACTTACATGTTGCTACCACCTCTTCTTAAGACTTCAAAGAAACCACTAAAATAACCACTATAGAAGTCTTAGGGATCATTACCTAGAGTATCAGATTCATCCAAAAGAGTTCATATATATGATTAGTAATATTCTTCTGAGTAAAACAAAAAGTTCAAAAGGATGTTTGATGAACAGGTATTTAGGGTACTTATTTTTAAGGCCACTTTAAACTTCAGAGTAACTCTCTAAGGGAAATAAAACTTCTATTAAAGCTTTAATTAAGTTTAAAAAGAGCTCTAACAGAAAAATGTAAAAGCCACACTGCTGCTGCTGACTCTAGGTATCGAGACCTATAAAAGAGTATTTAAGAAGCAGAAGTGGGGCTGGGGCTTTCAGAGATGTATTGATTTAAATTTGTGCATCCATATTGTATTTTCTAGCCACTATGTTCATGCAAATCTACAGACTAGAACACTCAGGAACATTAAGGATGCTGTGACTATTTTTTCCCATCACTTTATTTTTTATAAGCCTAGAAGCTTTATCATCCCTTCAGGTCCTGGTTATGAGTGATGATGAAGCATATCATTGTCAGTGCTGTCAGATCAAGAAGAAAGTTTCAAAACTAATAGAGTGTATGTTTACATGGTTCGAGGAACATATACCATGCAGAAAACACATATAAAAACACATACAAAACCCACCTAATCTTCTGGTCTCATTATTCCCCCAAGTTTTTCTTAAAGACAATCAACACAACAAATTTTGAAAGATTGATGACATATCAAAGAATCAAATTTGAACATAATCCAAACCCAGAGTCCACAGTGTGTGTTTGTGTATGTGAAGGCAGAAGAGGGGAGGTGGAGGAAAACAGGGAGAGGTGGGATGTGAACTCTTGTTGTGAGAAGAGCTAGGCACCTGATATACTCTTTCATTTAGCCTTCCACTGACGGATCAAATGAGAAACTGTTTTGCTCTGTTTCTGAACTGATTGACATTTTAATTATTCTACAGCTGGAAGTGTTAATCACACCAGAGAATGAGGGGATAATTCCCAGCTGGTAAAATTTCACACAATAGCTTGGCATGCACCAACATGCAGATAGTTTAAATTATTTGTTGAAGAAAAAAATCAATATTTAAAACCTCTTCACAAATTAAACCAGCAACAATACAGCTATACTTCAAAACCTCCTTACTTATGATTTGCACTTCCTATTTTTGACTCTCAGAGAGTCAAAACACCTTATGAATCTGAGAAATTCACAAATTTAAATGTTACTGATCTGAAAACTGTGAGATGATTAAAAGAAATTAAGATAATTGAATTTGGTTTTGTTTGTAAAATGTAAACTTTATTGCTGTTCAAATTCTGTTGCATTATTTTTAATATAAGCCTCTCTCTTAGAAGGTCCATGTTGTTTGGTAATGATTAAAAATCTTAAAAGATGTGCTTAACTCAGAGAAATATTTGTGTTAGTTCTTCACATACTTATCTGATCATAAGAATAACACAGAGTGTTATTTCAGACTGTCTTTAGAGTTTCTGATTTGATAGCTCCAGAATAAACCCTAGGAATCTGAATTATCAGAAATGATTCTGGGTGGGTGATGCTTAAAATCAGACGAGTATGGAAAACACTGAAATGCATATTCTGAATTTTAAATTAAATTTCATTTAGTTCTATTGGTATATATAGCAAATACCTATTTTTCCCAAGTACTGAAACATAAAGATAACTACCAAAATTTCTGCCTGTTAGCTCAGGTGGTTAAAAACTAAACTTGATATTTTTTCATAAAACAAATTCTCTTAAATATTCTAGTTTTAAAAAAACAAAAATAAATGGGACTTAATTAAGTTGAAAAGCTTCTGAACAGCAAAATAAATAATTATTAGAGTAAACAGACAGACTAAAGAATGAGAGAAAATATTTGTAAACTCTGCATCCAACAAAAGGACTAGTATCCTTTGAATCTACAAGGAACTCAAACAAATCAGCAAGAAAAAAACAAATAAGGCCATTAAAATGCAGGCAAATTACATAAATAGGCAGCTCTCAAAAGAAGATATACAAATGGCCAACAAGCATGGAAAAATCACTAATTATCAGGGAAACGCAAATTAAAACCACAATGAGATATCACCTTATCCTAGGCAGAATGGCCATTATTAAAAAGTCAAAAAACAATAGATGTTGGTGTGGATGTAGTGAAAAGGGAATGCCTATATGCTGCTGGTGGGAATTTAAAGTAGTACAGCCTCTATGAAAAACAGCATGGAAATCAGTATGGAAAGAACAGAAAGTAGATCCGGCATTTGATCCAGCAATCTCACTAGCGGATATCTACCCAAAAGAAAATAAGTTATATCAAAGAGATACCTGCATGCATATGTTTATTGTAGCACAATTCACAATTGCAAAGATATGGAATCAATCTGAGTGCCCATCAACTGATGAGTGGATAAAGAAAATGTGATATATACACACCATGGAATATCAATTGGCTATAGAAAGGAACAAAATAATATCTTTTGCATCAATTTGGGTGGAACTGGAAGCCATTATTCTAAAGGAAGTAACTCAGGAATGGAAAACCAAATACTACATGCTCTCATTTATAAGGGGGAGCGAAGCTATGGATACAAAAAAGCATATAGAGTGGTATATTGGACATTGCGGGGATGGGCATAGGGTGAGAGGGAGGTGAGGAATAAAAACTACATGTTAGGTACAATGTATGCTAGTCAGGTGACAAGTGCACTAAAATTGTAGACTTCACCACAATACAATTCACACATGTAACCAAAAACCACCTGTACCCCTAAAGCTATTGAAATAAAAATAAATATTCTAGTTTTGATAGTTAATAGAACTTTTGACAATCAAATGTTTTTTTAGTTTTTAACTTTGTTGTAAATCTTGAGAATGTGGATGTGCTTTCTTTTTAATAAAATCAGCCTCCAATGTTCAACAGAAAACACATTCTAAGAGGAATACTGCCACCTTAGATATTAACATTTTGTCTTCAAAGTAAGTTTTTCTCTATTTTTCATTAATGTGTATGAAGGAGTCAAACTCCAAAAGTTATGATAAACACGTTTTTAATCCATGTGAAATACACAGACATACGTGTACTTCTGTATTTCTGATTAATTAGGGAAGGTCTTCAGGAAAGAGATGCACTGTCAAAAGTTTGATTCCTTATAGGGAATGTGTTACTATGTGCTAAGTTTCATTCTAGCACATAGTAAAAAAGCAAAGTTGAGACAGCCATCATTATCATTATAATTACCATTTTATAAATGAAGAGACTGAAGTTTACTGAAAATAAATAATTCAAGGCTACATATTTTAAGTAGTAGATCTTGGACTTGAACAGAGTAAGTCTGACAAAAAAAAAAAAAAACCCAACACAAAAAACCTGTGTTCTACTGCTACTTTATCTTTAATCTTTCTCCTAAGTATACTGATAAAATACAAACATTATTAAGTTGGTATCTGATATGGTTTGGATATTTGTTCCCTTCAAATCTCATGGTGAAATGTAATCCCCGGTGTTGGAGGCGTGGCCTGTGGGAGGTATCTGGGTCAGAGGAGTGGACCCCTCATGAATGGTGTGGTGCCCTCCCTACGGTAGTAAGTGAGTTCTTGCTCTGTTAATTCATGTGAGAGCTGGTTGTTTAAAGGAGTCTGGCTCCTCCCCCTGCTCTCTGTCCCTCTCTCACCGTGTGTTGCACTGGCTCCCCCTTCACCTTCTGCCATAATTGTAAACTTCCTGAGTCCCTCACCAGGAGCAGAGGCTGGCACCATGCTTCCTGTACAGTCTGTAGAACCGTGAGCCAAAATAAAACTTCTTCTCTTTATAAATTACCCAGCCCCAAGTATTCCTTTATAGCAATGCAAGAACAAACTAAAACAATTTCCTTCATAATCTCTTAATTTTTTTTCCTGTTTGGGGGTAAAGTTTTAGAAAATTAACAGCTCTGTGTTTGATGAGCTGTGAAGCCCTAGTGTGGCAGAGGTTGTCTGGGACATAGAGCAAGCTACTGCTGCTGCTACCTTTAAACTTAAGAACAGAAGGAAAGATTAGTGTGCCATTAGCTAGAACTGACTTTCAGAACTAACAAAAGGCTTAGAAAGATATTCTCAAGAGTCTTAGGGCTGTAACATAAATAAATTTGGCTGGAATATTTTCAGAGATCTCTTAACCAAACTGAGGAAACAGAGACTAGGTTGGTGGCAGTCCTCTTACTTGAAACCAATCACCTTCTCATTCCACCACAATTTTCTTTTTCCCATCGCTTTCTGTCAGCTTTTAGTAATAACAAGGAAGAAATGGCTTCTTGTCACTTAACTTTTAAAATGAAAAAGTTATATATATATATATATATCTAATGATGTATATATATATCTAATGATGTATATATATCTAATGATATATATATCTAATGATGTATATATCTAATAATATATATAATGATATATATATCTAGATATATATATCTAATGATGTATATGTATATCTAGATATATATCTAATGATGTATATATATCTAATGATATATATAATTATATATATAATTATATATATATCATTTTATATATATATAATTATATATATATATATATCATTCTGTCTCTAAGAACTGTGTTTCATTTAATATAGAAAAAAAAGGCCAGTCCTCTATGAGTGTTGTACATTCTGAATTGTTTTGAAGAAAACATGCAAACTGACTGCTCCAAGGTTGTGAAGCTCTTAGGCCCTTGGGTTGCTGATTTACAAGTTGATGTCCACATGCTGTATCTTTTTATGTCTCCATTTATAATGCAGTTATGCAAGCAAGTTAAGCTATAAGGACATCATCATTGATGTTGCAATTTGTGTATATGTTTTCTACCTCATTACATTCTCATCTTTCTAGCCCAAAGCCATGGGATTCTGGCCTAGGCTATAGCTTACTCTCATAACATAATGAAAAATGCAAAATCATCACAGAGAAAGCTGATGGTTAAAATCTTTACCCCCAGTCAGTTGATTTATTGGTGTATATGGCTTTAGAGTCAAATAAAAATTTGTCCAAGGCAAATTCAGGTAATTTTCTTCTTAGTATTTCCAGAATTCCCACCTGAGAGAGCAGGTAATTTTCAAAAGCAGAAATTTTAGCATCCTGTCAGTAAACATTTCTGTTTTAAAACAAAACCATATAAACAACACACAGAATAATAGTATGGGCTGTTTCTCTACAAAATCATAAAGTTTTAGATTATCTAGTAAATGGATACATTTGTAATTGATGCTACTTTCCCACTTCTGTAGTTTATAACTTAACAAGACAATTCTGCCTTCTCAATACTATATTGTCATGAGGAAATGTCTTCTGTGATTCTAGACATTAATGATTGTTTTGGAATTTTCCCTGATCAACTGATTAATCCCCACCCCGACTCAGCGCCTCAGACACAGAGTGAGGCCAAGAAATATCTGTTGGCTGAAAATACCCAATTCATTTAACCGAATTAACTGTTACTTAAAATAAAAAATCACTGGGAAAAGTCCACAGCAGGAAAGAACAATTAAGAAATTAAGAGATTAATTAATTGTCCTTGCCTACTACTATTTACAAAGCTATTCATTTGTTTGCTTAAACACAAATATCTATCTATCTATCTATCTATCTATCTATCTATCTGTCTATCTATCTCTATCTTTAAAGAAACGTAATCTTGCAAAACATTTATGGAGCCTGGATTCTTTACATGAATTGAAAAAAGTTGAGTTTTTATAATTTGAAAACTAAAAAACAACTCTCTTTTTACATGTACAAATGTTAGTGTTAACAGACATAAAGATAACTTCATTTTATAATCTCTCGTAAGAAAATATTTTTCTCGTCTGGCTATAAGTGACAAATGTTTATCCTAAGGCTTTAACCTCCTAGTTCCTACTTCCAACTACAGCACTTGCTTATAATATATTCACACTATGCAAAATTTATATATTAACTAAAACTTATATAGAAATTATCATATACATCAATGCTAAAATTCTAACACACCTGAAGAGATAAGTTTATCTGTCCATTATCTGCCTCAAAATAAGAGTAATTGAGGAAGGAGAGAAGTAAAAAAAAAAATTGGGGGAGATGAAAAGCTATACATCACAGGACTCAACCTCAAAGCTATGTAACTTTGATGCACACATAGATTACAGTAAATAGAGTGTGGGTTAAATAAATAATAGAATATGTTCACAAAATAGTAACATTGGCAATGTCCACCAAAACGAAGGCTGTTGAGGCAGAAATAATTTGATAATGGTTTATTGGAAGGCAAATGTGAGGATTGACCTGGGAAAACACACCAACAAAATTGGGAGTGTTCTGGAGTCTGTGACAAGTTGGAAGGCGTTTATAAGAAAGCTTGGAAGGGAGGGGGGACTCCTCATATGGGAGTTGTCCATTATTATTGATGGGTACAATACAGAGGTTACAATCCTTGGAAACAGATTGCAACATACAGGCTAGAATGTCTACGTGCAAGACAGTCAGTAAAACTTTATAATTCAGAAATAAATCAGTGTCCTTTTCAGTGTCAGTAGGTTATGCATTTATCAGTACGTCAACAATTTGAAAGCTCACGATAAGATTCTTTACTCATGGACAGGATGTTGCCATGAATCACAAGACCTTCCCAAGGTGGGTTAATTTGGAAGCCTGTTTACTTTTAAAGTAAACTGTGAGATTTGAACTGTAGGTTATCAGCAAAAAAGAAACCAATGGCAAAAAATAAATCAAATCTAATCTATTTATCTGAGGTTGACCCCTTCACAAAAGAAGGAAAGAGAAAAATAAAGAATGCTTTGCAGAATGGTTCTTCATGAAAAACGCTTTTCTCTCTCTCTCTTTTTTTCTTTTCTGTTTTTCCCATCCTGGGTTTTTCCAACTAGTTTAGATAGGAATCAAAGTTAAAGAGAACACTAGTTGGCTGCAAATAAAACACCTGTGATGACTTTACAGCCAGTATCAACCCCTGATAGCCTGGTGTCCAGTGTGATATCAAGGTCATAGTAGCCAATCAAAAACATTTGCAAAATTAAAAATGCAATCTGTATCATGGTCAGGAATAATCTATTACTGAAAAATTTAGCCTTTTAGCAAGGTTATCAGAGAAACAACATTATTGGCACTGAAGTGTCATCTATCCAGAAATCCTGTCAAGTTTATTTTAACATAATTTCACCAGTGTTTCTTTGTAAGAGAAAAATTTAGTATACCTGCCTAATTTATTTGTTCTTTGATAATCAGGGGCATTTTATGAAGGTCGCAAAGGCCCAAAAGGGGCTTTATAAACACTTGTTTACGAACTATGTAAAGCCTTAAAAAAAGTTTTTCTTATGCTAAACAGTTTTACCGTACGATTTTTTTTTTTCCTAAAAGGGATTTGAGCTCTGAACTGAACGCTTTTTTCTTTTTCTATTTATGACACAAAATAAAGATACCCACAGGCCATGAGTCTGACAATACTTAATAAATGGATCTGAGATAAAGTCATAATTGAAAGGTAGTATCATTCTTTTTTGTAACTCTTGGATCAAGTTGCTGCTTTGTATAATTATGACATACTCAATCTCATAATGCATGAGTTAATGTACTCTTAAAATATTGTGTTACAAAGAAATAATTACATAGGCAGCAATCATTGTAAATGGAATCAATTCCTAATGTTAAGGGAAAAAATTAGGGATCAGATGACTGAAATGCCAATATTTATGATTATACTGCTTGAATTTTTTCATCTTGGACGATGTGCCAATGAAATACAAATCATAAGCAAGATAGATGCAAGTCAAGTACTTCATGTTCTGGACAGAGGGTAACACATCTCCTGGAATTGATGTTAATAATAAACAAAGAGGAATTCTGCCATCAACATCTGGCAAAAGTGATGACAGAAAAAGAGCTACCCAGGGATATGTTTTCTATCCAAGGCAGAGTTTTAGGAAGGGGCTGGGAAGCATGTGCTCACATTTCTCAAAAGTAGGATGTGTTTGTGATTGCTTGAACGCCAATAGGAATGGACCGGTTACCAGCAGATGAGAGAACTTCAGATTGGAAGGAATTGCTGAGATGTTGCCCAAGACCCAGTTTCCACGAATGAAGTATAAATTGGGGAACTGATTCATCTCAAGTCAAGAATTGCATTTTCTAGAAATAAAACAAAAGGTCAGAGTAAAACCAGAGAAACATGGATTCAAGGTTCAGTCTCCCTGAGAACTCAGCTACAAATAGTTAAACTCCTTTATACCTTCGATTTGTCCCAGATTCCAGAGTAGAAATGACCTCATAGGCGGGGTGGGTTTGAGGAGATGAATGGGGACAAATCAGGGTGCAGATTCAGAGTGTAGGGCAGAAGACTACTTATTAACTTCACCCTCAACTCCTTTCTTCTTCCCCTTTGAATTTTGAACCAGTGACTAGTAATTGGTACTTCATTTAGAGCATGTCTTAACTCTAAAGCTAATAGCACTTAAAATGCCAAGGAGCAACTTGGTATGAGTGTGCCTAGCCCCTTTAAAAGGAAAAAAAAATGTTGCAGGCTCCTAAGACTTCACCCACATGCCCTAATTCGGGGGGTGGGAGGATGACTTGATAGATGACTAAATAAATACTAATATTGTGATGCTATTACTTCCGGATGATTTTTCAGAATTTTAGCACCCTTAGGAAATAAAAAATAAAATAAGGTTTTTTAAAAAAAATATGGTGAGAGAGTAAAAAATCTGGATCCTTGGAGGGGGGAGTTGGGGATGATTAAGGGGTATGAAAAAAATAGAAAGAGTGAATAAGATCTACTATTTGATAGCACAATAGGGTGACTATAGTCAATAATAACTTAAATGTACATTTTAATGATTTAAAGGGTATAATTAGATTGTAACTCAGAGGATAAATGCTTGAGGGGGTAGATACCCCATTCTTCATGATGTGCTTATTTCATATTGCATGCCTGTATCAAACTATCTTATGTACCCCATAAAG
The DNA here is from genome assembly GCF_000001405.40 of Homo sapiens. Lineage (NCBI taxonomy): Eukaryota > Metazoa > Chordata > Mammalia > Primates > Hominidae > Homo > Homo sapiens. Next base: position 148,456,366 of record NC_000003.12, read on the forward strand.
ATGTACACCTACTATATACCCACGAATTTTTTTTTTAAAAATCTGGATTCTTCATTTAGTAAATACTTCTTGAGGGCCTAGCATTGTGCTGGGCACTGAAATAGCATGGTAAGCTAATGAGTCATGGTTCCTGACTTCAAGAAACTTGCAATCTAGCAAGGTAAGTAAACGAGGAGGCAATTGCAAGTATTATGACAGAGAAAAGGGCAAAGTTCTAGAGAAGCACACATCTAGGGACCTTCTCTGAATTACTAACATACACTGAAATAGAAATTTTATGACTTTAGAAGGAGTGCGTTTTTTTAGAGATGTTGTTTTTTCCATATATTTTATCAGAAAATTTAAAATGCAGATTGAAAAAAACAAATACATGTTAAGTATCCCTTATCCAAAAAGCTTGGGACAAGAAGTGTTTTGGAGTTTTTCAAATTTTGGAATATTTGCATATACATAATGAAATATCTTGGGGATAGAACCCAAGTCACAACACAAAATTTATGTTTCATATACACCTTGTACACCTAACCTGAAGATAATTTTCTACAATATTTTAAAACAGATTTGAGCATGAAACAAAGTTTGTGTACGTTGACTCATCAGGAAGCAAAAGTGTCACTATCTCAGCCACTCATGTAGATAATCTGAAGATTTTTTTCTGGCATTACCATCACTCCTGACTCTGAATTTATATGCTATTAATAAGCAATCATTTTCTTACACTTATTCACACATAGGTATTTAACTGTAAAAAAGAGGACACACCATTAATACAGTGAAAAAAATAATGTGTTTGAGGTAACCAAACAGCACAGTGTCATCACCAGAATGCCTGTATCAGCTGTCAAACAACATCCACAAGCAATGGCAGACTTTCAGTCTCTACCCGCAATCCTCTGTTTAGATTAGAAGGTTACTATACATCGTATTGTATTTTGAGATAGGCGAGAAGAAGAATCAGAAGCACTTGAGGGCCCTCTAAAGATGAAGAAGCATCCTATTGGATGGCTTCTTAAAATGTTTCTTCCAGAATGTCATCTGCCTCATTAACAACTTGTTTTAATTTTTCATTTTTTTGTCTTAGAATTATTTATTTGATTTTATAGCTTACGTGATTTCTTGTTCTGTGATGAATGCATACTGCCCTAGTCCTTCAATAAGCCCATCACACATTTTCACCATGCCATCTCTAGATAATTTTTCTGCAGTGTTAACAATGTCAGTCATCTTCATCATCACTGTTATCATGATCACTAGTCTGTTGTGTGCCTGCATTTTGATTGCAACCAATCATGTGAGGTCAACTGTATTATTTCCACTTGTGGCATCAAATGGGCACTCAAAAGTTTTGGATTTTGAAGCATTTCAGATTTCAAATTTTGGGATTAGGAATGCTTAACCTGTACAGGATTTTGAAATATTAAGAAGTAATTTCTTTCTCAATCCTAAAAACACTTTCTCTCTCTAAAATAAAATCGATTATTTTCTTAGGTTTTTAATTTAAGGGATTGCTCTAGGAAAGTCATTATAATATTTAACAAACATTTTTAGTAATAAATTTTTTAAATATCTGTTTTTACTCTTTTCCAAATGGTCTTTTTCATGAATATGAAAACACTTAATGTACTCGGGGGATGTATTTCATGTAAATTTTTATGTCCAAAAACTGAATTCAATTTTTTATTGACATTAAACACAACAACATCTGCAAGTCATTAAAAGGAAATTCCTTTGGAAAACACTATAGTTTGACTCTACTGAATGATTTTTCACTTGGAATAAATTCATTCATATGTTTCATGATATTCCAAAAGCAGTTATGACCTAGATTAACAAAAATAAATTTTATTTTCATTAATATATTAGACATCAGGTTTTACAAACTACTTTTTCAATAATCAGTGTGTTCCTGATAATGTCTTTGGACATTGAATTTTATATTACAATAATTATTTTATCAGTTATAAAAAGTATCATTCTTTTAAAAGGACACTTCAAAATAGTAAAAGAATTCTTTGAAAAAATCACCCCTTATGTCACCGGCTGTAAAATAATTCTACATAATACCATCTAACCATTTTCCACAATGAAAAATATTTTACACAGTTATACAGTGTTTTTAAAATGAGCACACACAACAAATCCTGTTTCTCACATATTTCAATACTAATTTCAGAGATGTAAAGATAAATATGTGTATGTAAATGTCTATATATGTATGTAAATGTCTATATAAACACATTTACATACATATAAAAATGCCCTCAGAATATGTTAGAAGTCACTTATCTGAACGTCTAATATTTAGGTGGCCTGTATAGAATTGATATGCTTTAAAAATATAAAATGTAAATATTTAAAAATTTGGTCAACTTTTCTTGTCTTTTTTCCTTATCAAGAAAATAGTACTAAAAGAAATAAATTGTCTTAGTGAATGCTTCTCTTTTTTGATCTCATTAATATAAGGATAATGATCCTGCTTATACAGATGCTCCTTGACTTAACGTAACATTTCATCTCCATAAACATTGTAAGTTGAAAATATCATAACTTAAAAGTGCCTTTAATACACCTAAACTACTTAACCTTGTAGCTTAGCCTAGGCTACCTTAAATGTGCTCAGACACCTTAAATTAGGCTACAGTTGGGCAAAACCATCTGGCAACACAGGACACTACAGAGTACCAGTTGATTACCCTCGTGATGGCATGGCTGACTGGGAGCTGCAGCATCACAAGAGAGCGTCTTACCACTTTCTATTGAATGTGCATGGTTTTTGCACCATCATAAAGTCAAAAAGTCAAGTCAAACCATTGTAAATTGGGGACCGTCTGTACATCAGTTTTTTATCCCTTTGATTTGTATACTAAATAGATGCAAGCATAAAAAGAATAAGAAGATTTAAGGAGAAAATTATCTTCCTTTTCTACAACAGCAGAAATATGTGTTACTTCAGGATATCATTCAGTTGTTCTATAAGAAATTGCTGAACTTTAGGAAGTATTAACAAATAATCTAAACCAAGATCTTGTTTGCTTGTACAGTACTCAGATATTCTGAAGTCTTTCTTGAAATCTTTCTTTGTAATCTTTGACTGGTACCCATTTCATTGATCAGTCAAAAGATAATATGCATTTTAATTTTGGACTAATAAATGTGGGGTTGGACTAAGGCAAAAGAGAAATGTTCCCATATACTCTATCAGAATTTGATCTCAAGGTAATACAAACATGGACACCCCAGCAATGGAAAGATACATTATTATATTTTTAAATAATTAGAGTCCTTTTTAACCATATTTTGAAGAGTTGATAGTTGTAGATGTGGGGAAGGGGACCATTGTTCCTTCTCCAATCCTAAACAGCAAATACAGAAAAAAATTATGTATATGATATATGCAATTTATATACATATAATTACATGTAGATAAATAGTGACCAACACACAATATATCATTTTTATCATTTCTGTGACATAATTATATTCATATAAATTTTATATTTATATATAATATATATCATCCATATCTATCTATATACCATCAATTATGAAAAATAAACTTTTTTATAATTCTTCTATCATGGACCAACAGTGACCACTTTCTTTTTTTAAGTTTTCTTTCTTACTTAAAGCTTCTAGAAAGAAGAGTTATTGGGCACCCTCTTTTCTCTTCATTTTTCAAAGGAAAAAAGAACAAAAGTGTTTTTATGAAAAGTGAGATGTGTTTTATTTTAGCTAACCAAGGATGGCAGATTTTTATAACAACACTACCATCTGCTGGAATTTAAGAGTATTGTTGCTAACATTTTGGAAGCCTTGGGTTGCATTTTTACAACTATTGGCCTAAAGTGGTTTTTATTATATACTTTTTAACAGCACTACGTGACTATTTCCAAAGGGAAGTTTACTGGTAGGTGCAATCTCCACCTCCTTACAAGTCACACAAACACTTCTACACTGCTGATGGGAATGTAAACTAGTACAACCATTATGGAAAACAGTGTGGAGATTCCTTAAAGAACTAAAAATTAAATTGGACTTCACCTTTCTCTGGTGCCTCCTTGATTAGCTTAATAATCAACATTCTGAATTCTTTTTCTGGCAATTCAGGGATTTCTTCTTGGTTTGGATCCATTGCTGGTGAGCTAGTGTGATTTTTGGGGGGTGTTAAAGAATCTTGTTTTGTCATATTACCAGATTTGTTTTTCTGGTTTCTTCTCATTTGGGTAGGCTATGTCAGAGGGAAGGTCTGGGGCTCAAGGCTGCTGTTCAGATTCTTTTGTCCCACGGGGTGCTCACTTAATATAGTACTCTTGCCCTTTTCCTAGGGACGTGGATTCCTGAGAACTGAACTGTAGTGATTGTTATTTCTCTTCTGGATCTAGCCACCCCGCAGGGCTACCAGGCCGTGGGCTGGTACTGGGGGGTGTCTGCTCAGAGTCCCATTATGTGAACCATCTTCAGGTCTCTCAGCCATAGATACCAGCACCTGATCCAGTGGAGGTTGCAGGGGAGTGAAATGGACTTTGGTACCAATACTGTTGACACTATTTCCCAAGACTGAGAAAGAGGGAATCCTCCCTAATTCATTCTATGAAGCCAGTATCACCCTAATGCCAAAACCAGGAAAGGACATAACAAAAAAAGAAAACTACAGACCAATATCCCCCATAAACATAGATGCAAAAATCCTTAACAAAATACTATCTAACCAAATCCAACAGCATATCAAAAAGATAATCTACCACAATCAAGTGAGTTTCATATCATGCAGGGACAGTTTAACATACACAAGTAAATAAACGTGTTACACCACATAAACAGAATTGAAAACAAAAATCACATGATCATTTCCAGATACACAGAAAAGGCATTTGACAAAATCCAGCATCCCTTTATGATTAAAACCTTCAGCAAAATCGGCATACAAGGAACATACCACAATGTAATACAAGCCATCTATGACAAACCCACAGCCAACATCATACTGAATGGGGAAAAGTTGAAAGCATTCCTTCTGAGGACTGGAACAACATAAGGATGCCCACTCTCACCACTTCTATTCAACATAGTACTAGAAGTCCTTGACGAGCAATCAGACAAGAGAAAGAAGAAAGGGCATCCAAATTGGTAAAGAAGAAGTCAAACTGTCGCTGTTTGCTGATGATACAATCATGTACCTAGAAAACCCTAAAGTCTCCTCCAAAAAGCTCCTAGAACTGATAAATGAATTCAACAAAGTTTCAGGATACAAAATTAATGTACACAAATCAGTAGCTCTGCTATACACCAATAGCAACCAAGCTGAGAATCAAATCAAGAACTCAACTCCGTTTACAATAGCTGCAATAAAATAAAATAAAATACTTAGGAATATACAACCAAGGAGTTGAAAGACCTCTACAAGGAAAACTACAAAACACTGCTGAAAGAAATCACAGATGACACAAACAAATGGAAACACATCCCATGCTCATGGATAGGTAGGATCAGTATTGTGAAAATGAACATACTGCCAAAAGCAATCACAAATTCAATGCAATTCCCACCAAAATACCACCATCATTGTTCACAGAACTAGAAAAAACAATCCTAAAATCCATATGGAACCAACAAAAAAAAACCTGCATAACCAAAGCAAGACTAAGCAAAACAAACAAATCTGGAGGCATTACATTACCTGACTTCAAACTATACTACAAGGCCAAAGTAATGAAAACAGCATGATAGTGGTATAAAAATAGGCACATAGACCAATCAAACACAATAAATAACCCAGAAATAAACCCAAATACCTACAGTCAACTGATCTTCAACAAATGGTGCTGGAATAATTGGCAAGCCACATGTCAAAGAATGAAACTGGATCCTCATCTCTCACCTTATACAAAAATCAACTCAAGTTGGATCAAGGGCTTCAATCTAAGACCTGAAACTATAAAAATTCTAGAAGATAACATTGGAAAAACCCTTCTTGACATTGCCTCAGGAAAGACTTCATGACCAAGAACCCAAAAGCAAATGCAACAAAAACAAAGATAAATAGATGGGACTTAATTAAACTAAACAGCTTCTGCACGCAAAAGGAACAGTCAGCAGAGTAAACAGACAACCTACAGAGTGGGAGAAAAAATCATCACAATCTATAAATCTGACAAAGGACTAATATCCGGAATCTACAATGAACTCAAACAAATCAGCAAGAAAAAAACACACAGTCCCATCAAAAAGTGGGCTAAGGACATGAATAGACAATTCTCAAAAGAAGGTATACAAATGGCCAACAAACGTGAAAAATGCTCACTATCACTAATGATCAGGGAAATGCAAATCAAAACTGCAATGCAATACCACCTTACTCCTGCAAGAATGGCCATAATAAAAAAAAAATTAATAAAATAGATGTTGGCATGGATGCAGTGAAAAGGGAACACTTCCACACTGCTGGTGGGAATGTAAACTAGTACAACCATTATGGAAAACAGTGTGGAGGTTCCTTACAGAACTAGAAGTAGAACTACCATTTGATTCAGCAATCCCACTACTAGGTATCTCCCTAAAGGAAAAGAAGTCATCATGCAAAAAAGATACTTGCACACACATGTTTATAGCAGCACAATTCACAATTGCAAAACTATGGAACCAGCTGAAATCCTCATCAATCAACGATTGGATAAAGAAATTGTGGCATATATATATATATACAATGGAATACTATTCAGTAATAAAAAGGAACAAATTAACAGCATTTGCAGCAACCTGGATGGAACTAGAGACTATTATTCTAAGTAAAGTGACTCAGGAATGGAAAACCAAACATTGTATGTTCTCACTCATAAGTGGGAGCTAAGCTATGAGGGTGCAAAGGCATAAGAATGATACAATGGGCCAGGTGCGGTGGCTCACGCCTGTAATCCCAACACTTTGGGAGCCCAAGGTGGGCGGATCATGAGGTCAAGAGATCGAGACCATCCTGGCCAGCATGGTGAAACCCCATCTCTACTAAAAGTACAAAAAGTTAGCTGGGCGTGGTGGTGCGTGCCTGTAGATCCAGCTATTTGGGAGGCTAAGGCAAGAGAATTGCTTGAACTCAGGAGGCAGAGGTTGCAGTGAGCCGAGATGGCACCACTGCACACCAGCCTGGCAACAGAGTGAGACTCTGTCTCAAAAGAAAAAAAGAATGATACAATGGACTTTGGGGACTCAGGAGAAAGGGTGGGAGGCGGGTGAGGGATAAAAGACTACAAATTGGGTTTAGTGTGTACTGCTCAGGTGATGCGTGCACCAAAATCTCACAAATCACCACTAAAGAATTTGCTCATGTAACCAAATAACACCTGTTCCCCAAAAACCTAGGGAAATAAAAAAATAAACTAAAAGTTTAACTAGCTTCTTTTTCCTTTAATTAATTTTCTGGGATCCTACCCCTATTTATAAATATACAAAATGACTCACTCATTCAACAAATAGCAGTTAATAGTCAATAACTGTTGGCTGCATACTAAGAAATATACTACATATTAAAGACATACAGTTAAATAAAATATTAGTCTCTAGGTCTTAGCCTATCAGGAGACCTAGACCAAAATAAAGTGTTGCATTACAGCATGGGAAGTGCCATCATCCAGCTCTGGTCAGAGATAGAAGCTCCAACAATGAGCCTTTTCTCTCTGTCAGTCTGGGTGTACCCTGGGTGTAAATATTGGGGACGGTGGCATTTTCTGAGGAAAAGATGCATATCTTGAGTCTTGACATTTGAGTTGGAATTATTCAGACAGATAAGAACAAATAAATTTTTAAGAGTCTGGCAAGTAAGATTTGGAAACAAGCCTTCCATACCACAATCACTTGTGTTTATTCATAACTTCACTTTTTCATTCTTTCATTCATTTGGCAGATGTTTCTGAACAACATCAGAAGGAAGGCCAGGAAAAAAGATTATAAGATTATAAAATAAATAGCTGCAATGCATATGATAACTGTGATAAAAATTTGTACAATAAGAACATTCACTCACTTATTCAACTAGGACTCAGGAAATATCCAGGCACAGGAGACAAGATGACATCATCCATGCCTTCAAGGAACAGGAAAAACACAAATCGGAATAGTCACATAGTAATAATCTCATCTAACTCTGCACAAAGGGGAAACATTGAAATGTCTGTCATGCCAGGCTCTACTCCTTGGAGAAATGGTTAGCTGCAAAGATTTTGTAAAACCAGTTTGCATTCGCTAGCTAAATAAGTTAGAATGATTGAAGGTTATCATTATATTGGTGCAACAGTAATTGTGGTTTTTGCCTTAAAAAAAAAAAAAGTCAAAAACCGCAATTACTTTTGCACCAACCTAATAGCTTGAGAGCTATAGTCATACAGATAGAAATTAAGTCCAATTTCCACACTAGTTGTGTAACTGTGGGAAAGTTCATTGATCTCCTGGTTTCAGTTTTCTATATTGTCAAAAGGGGATGATAATGGTTCCTGCCTCATTTGGTTATTGTGAGCTTAAATTAACTAATTAAAGTGCTTGGCACAGTACCTGGCTCAGCAGGTTCTTGGTACATGTTGGCTATTTCTCCCCTCTTTCCTCTTCATTTTCTTCTTACCTTAATGACTCAGCTAGACAAGACTCTGACCAGAGAGAAAGCATATGCAAAAGAATAGGAGTGTGAATTAATCCATCATGGGCTTGATGAGAGCACTGCAAGTGATTAGATATCTAACCAGTCAGTCATTCTGTTAGTCTGTAAGTGTCAATATTGATGCCAGTCTGTAGATATTGAATGCCTATTTTGTTTCAAGCACAACCTCAGGTGCCCCGATGTATTCTAGGGGCTGTTGTTGAAAAATGTGCTGGATACAGAGAACCAAAGCCACGAGTAGCCAATTTTGCCTCGTTAGGAGTTTGCTGAGAAAGCTGTCATAGGAAAACTCAAGTTTGAGTCATTTAATAGAAGAGTTGAGAGCTCGCTTTTGTCTGTTCTGAGGAATGGAAGGCATCCCAGGCACCTTAGTTCAAAGGTGTGAAACAAAGCCTGTGTGCACGGATCTTAAAGAACCTTTGAATTAATATAGAAGAAAACGCTATCCTTTGGCTTAGATGTGAAGAGCAGTAAGACGTCAATATCAAGTGGTAAAGAAGACAAACTCTGGAAGTCTAAAAGTCACTTAACAGGATACCAAAATGGGATATCCTGCCTGTAGATAGCCCTTTTCTGTTACAGGAGAAAACCTGCATTAGATGGATTTTGAAACACCAAGGATCAAATTGGATCTTCTGAAAGAAAACAACGACATATAGAAATTTTAATAAGCGGTATCACACTGCTAGTATGTCATTATCTTCACCAACCCTAGGGTTCTTTCACAGGCAGGTTACATAAAGTATGCAGAAATGTTGAATCACATTTTAAATCTTATTTCTCAATATATCACCTAAGATGTCTTCATAATAAGTGTATTTAATTCTACATAAAAAATATGAAGAAAGGCCTCAATAAGCCATTATATGTATCTCTGTGAACACTACCCTTTTATGAGAATATTTTATTCTAGGCAGCAGTCACGTTCCTCAAAAACAATAAGAAAACATAAATGTAAATTCTGATTTGTATCCCATACATAAAACAATAATTCTTTATAATAATCTGTCTTAATTCATGGACCAATAAAGATTACATTCTAAAAAAGATTACTCAAACCTCACTTTAGAAGAAAGATTAAAAATAATTGAGACAAAAACTGAAAAGGCATTTAAAATGGAAAAATGGGGTGTTTTTATCAAACAGTTTTCCTTTAAGCATGTGTCTGCACTTCAAGCTTCTTCCGTCTCACCAGCAATCCTTGGCCCCTTTTTCTTTTCTGACTCTGCAAGTTGGAATTTCTGTCAGTTTGTGACTGAGTACTGATTGTCATTGTTAGGTTTAAGAGCAAGGAAGTGGGAAGGTGGCAGCCTCATTGTGGTGGTGGCTGACGTGAACTCTGGAGAAGAGGAAGGCTTGAATCACCCCCAGCTTTGAAATCACCCCACTCAACTTTTATCATTCTAACAACAGAAGTTGAAGGAAGTTTGCCATTCTCCACCCCTTTTCTTCACTGTGGTGTGGCAAATGTTAGAGGCATCTGAGACAAAATTCAGACCAGTAATAAATTAACTAGGCTCTTCCTACAAAGAAAAATAACACAATAAATAGGAAATAAATGTCTGAAAGGGTTTTCTCAAGCAGCAGAAATCAAAAAAGGCAGAATGCACAAAAGAAGAACATAAAGAAGAGAGATGCAAAGAAAACATGGGGGCACCATGGGGGGGCCTGTGAAATAGAGTCTTAAAACATATACAAAGACCAAAGAAAGAGTTAGTGATGTGAAGGACTGGGGGTCAGGGGAAGAACCAAATCAGAAAGGAAAAGTATAAAATTCAAAGACAGAAAGGGGACATTAAAAGGTACTGAGCTGTCACGTGAGGCCACAGCACCAGAAGGCCCTGTCTTTTTGCCAAGACTTTGAAAACATAAAAAGCTCCAGATATGTTGTCATTAGGCATTGAAATAAAGTTCCAAAAGCCTTTAAGATATACATGCTTTTAAATATCATGATAAATTATGCATCTATGACACAGATTGGGATGCCCTGGCCTTCAAGTAATCAATAATTCAAAAGCTATGAACATGAACCTAATCCAAATGGCAGGTTCAAAATTGGATTCTAAAAGGATTTGCACCATTGACAAGAAGGGTGTGCCCAGCAAACTATTTCCCTCTCATCATAAAGAAAAAGGAGTAGCTTAAGCATGCACTTGTATATGCAACACTGGAATATTTCAGCTGAATGTCTTGTGTAAATAGTCAGATGAATTATTCATGGATTTTTCAAAACTTTGTCTTTTTTAATTGTAAATATTCTATCAAGGCTCTAGATCCACTAGCTACATAATGACATCTCAGATGATTTCCATTTCTTGGAGCAATGACAGTATGAATGTTGAGCCAGCTCACTGAAGGGAGCAAGAGTTTTAAGCCTGGCAATATCCATATATGACCAGACATTTTTTTCCTAATATGCTAATGTGTCAATATAAAGAAAATATGATGACATCTAGTAGTTACTTTGTCATTTCTATTTTACTCAAAATATTTTCTTCCAGTCTTAAACAGAGTTAAACTATTGCCAAGTGATGTACAAGGCAATTGCTACATTTATGTGAGATGTTCTACAGACTTTAAATCTGACATTTGAAATTGCTCCTAATTGAAGAGCTGCAAGTTGTACTTTAAATAATAAAGCTTTTACTCACACAGTCAAACTCCTTTCTTGGAAAGCTAGCAAAAGGAAGATACTTTTCTTCCCCAAAATTAATGTTGCTATCTGTTGAGATAATAGCATTCAAACTTAATTGTAGGATCAGTTTATTAACTAATAGGAGTCCTATCTTTAAGGAACTTCTTTGGATACTCTCTAAAATCAAAGCATAGTCAGTATTCTTATTTCAAAATCATAGATGTAGATACTCTCTAAAGATACTCTCAGATACTCTCTAAAATCAAAGCATAGTCAGTATTCTTATTTCAAAATCATAGATGTAGACTAGCAGGGACAATAATTTGTGAATTAAACCAGTCTCTCTTCCCCTACTTTCCTAAACATAAATCTCTCAGCTTAACTGCTTAAGTGCAGGTATGATGATTTTCTTTGTATCTCAATTTCCCGCAGTTAAAATTCCATTTAACGAGGGCATTTTAGCTGCTCCATATTATACTGCTGCAATTGCATTACAGAAATTATGTACTAAGGATGCAGTGATTAAAATTGATATTTGACTTAATTACAGGGTACAGTACATGGATATTTGAATGTAACTTAATGGAAAACAAGATGCTTTATTTGTAGTGATTTTCAAAGCTTTTATCCTTGCAGAAAGCTCCCTTGTCAGTAGCTGTTGGGCCAAATCTCAAGCTGCTGACTCTCTTCAGAAGGAATAAAGAAGAATATGCATAAATATGAAGCTAATGATGTAGTTATCCTGCTAAAATACTACACAATTATAATATATTATCTTCTAAATAGTGCCTTTCTCAATCAATTGTCCTAATTCTATTATACCTCACTGAAGTAAATATTTAAATAGCCAGATGACAAATTTTCATAGTACCATACATCAAACAGCAAATATATTACATGAAATATGTCAAAATTTTGACTAATAAAGAAAGAATTAGAAGGGCTATGACTGCAAGAAGGGAAAGTATGTAGTCATAACTTATATATAATTTAGTTAATAAGTCTACCTAAAGTCAATCTATCTTCAATGAGAAAGGGACTGGGAATACAATTATGTATTTATTTATCTATTTATTTATTTATTTTTACAAAGTCACATTTCAAAGCAATGTTTTAAATTTAAAATATAATATTTTAAGATCTAGTTAAAGGTTTATATATCAGATAATCACTTCAAATATATGCCTCTAAATGATTCACTCTTTTAAACAACTAAATCATAATAACAGTTTTTGGTTTAGTTTCAACTTGTGCTCTTTCACTAAATATATACCCATCTAGTTACCCTAAGTTTTGGAGCACACAACAATAACAAATACATCTTAAGTATATTTGAACACGAATTTATATACCTATGCCCAAAGCATTTGATTTAAATTGAGACTATAACTCACAAATTTAAAAGACTAGAATTAGCTCTAACATCATGGGGAGGGAATATGAAAACAGAAACAGGAAGGGCAAATCCATTAAATAGGGGTTGCAATTCATATGAAATATACAATTTCCATAAGTCACTTATCTAGCAACTTCACTGTATGAAGACATCTGAAAAATCATCTGAAGAACCTAAACAGGTATTACAAAGTTGAGTGACACTTGTTAATGACTTACTTACTCTTATCTTGTGCAGAGCTTATTCATCTGCTCCCTTAGGCATGTATATTAGAAGAGGTAGATATGAGTAAATAGGAGAAGACCAGTGGTATGATCGTGGATTCAGCATCAAGAAAACTAATTTTACCCCATAGATACTTTACATTACTTCATAGGATTGCTGAAGATGAAGTTAACCAACATATGTAAAGCACTTGGAACAGTTGGCAGAATATATTAAACACTCAATAAGTATTATTCATAACAAGCCTAAGAGTCTCGAAGTACTGGAATTCAAAGCAAGTAGCCCTGTACATCCTGGTAATCCAAAGGGGATTAGATAGCCTCAAGAATGAAATGCTAGCCTTTACATTACTTCATGTAATCCATGTGATTTTGTAGTTTACAAAAGCTCCCTGCCATTGCAGCTTTTGTAAACTATAAAACCCTTGCAAAGGAAATATTCAGCTGTCAGATTGCCTGATCTGACTGCTGAGTATTTTTGCACTGGTGAGGTAAAGCTCAAAGCCAAAATGGGCAATGCATGCTTTTTTTCATTTGTGTTTCCCAGAAGCAGACTGTGAGTTGAGAATTCAAGTGGAAAAAGTTTATTTATTAGGGAGGTGAGCTAAGCAAATGCCAGTCAGGTTATGGAGAACTGAGATAGGAATTTGAGGGCAGCCAATGAAGAAAGTGTTGTTAAGTTAGTTTACCACTATCAGTAACTAGAGATTGATCATGTTACAGATTGAATGTAAAACAAATTCCACAGACTCAGCCCACTTGAGAGGGGATAAAGCTGAGATATTTGTGCACAAACTTCCATCACCCTTAGCTGAGGGATCCCTCAGGGGATTTGAATTATCCAGCACTTCAAGCTGCTGTACAAGGCAAGTTGTGGTGTAAGAGAAAGCCCTCACCCAGTTAAAAGTCACAGGCCATTTTACACTGCAATGATATGGGAGGAGCACAGACAACACCTGTTATAGTCAACTATTTCTTCAGATCTACCTGTGACCCAAGTCAAGTTCACTCCATCCATCCTGGCAAAGCCTCTTCAAAATGGTAACCAGATACAATTTTGGAAAAAAAAATGGTGGAGGGAGATTAGTTCTGGCTATTGCACTTGATCTTGAGACCACAACTGATATTCATCATCTCTCTCCTCTATTACCCATTCTAGTTTCCTTTCACTTTCAACCAACGTTTCTGCCAAACTAAATTGCTTGTCTATTGGGATAATCCAGGCAGAGGAGTCTGCACCGCAGGTATCCTGTTAGGTTATGATGGCTATAATTGCCTAATCACAGTTATCAATGAGCATGGAAGCACTAAGATGTGACCTATGACCTAATGCATCTCTAGGTTCTAGACATATCCTTCTCTGCCCACATCATGTAATATGTAGCAACGATATTTCCTCATGGTACTCATGGCATGTGTTTATTACTGTGTAATTATACCAATTATAATAGTAAAGAAACTTTTTCTTTACCTGCTTGTCTACTGGCATGACAACCCTTAAAGAAGTGGGCAGTGGTTAGCTTAGATTTAGAGAAACCTTAGCAGCATAATCCCCTTTGACAACAAGGCCCCTAGTCCAGCGCAAATTCACCAAGTGGGCCATGGGGAGTAATAATGGAGAAGGCACTCCAACGTTCACCTTTTGGTTCCTAGATGCATGTTTTACTGATCAGGGAAAGAGCATATTAATTCCCATTGGCTCTAAGCAACATTTTATTAGCCTGGAAACATTTAGGTGCTGTAACTGGTGAGATCAATGGAGCTCTTGAACATGTGCCATTGTTATACTTTATTTGCTATAAAGTGGATCATTTGATCTAAGATAATATATGTGATGCTGTGATAATAAGTGATAATAAGTCAAACACAATGAAACCTCAGATATTGGTGATGGTGAAGGCAGTAAGGTATGAAAGGCCAGCCTAATTAGAATATTAATGCCAGTCAGGACAATTGCTATCCTTCTAGGATGGAAAAAATAGAATGCTATCAATGTGAGGACAGGTAGTTTGTTGGTCTCTTCAGAGAAGACTAAATTGAGAGCATAGTGCAAGTCTGCTTACAAGTCTCTGCTGCTGACAGGTTGAACACTCAGGAGTAACAGTAGCCATATTAGGCTTGGTGAGAAACATCTCATGCCTTTGAGACCATGCATAATCTCCATTTCTGCTACTCCATGTGTGAGTCCCTATACTATCATTTAAGTAACTAAAAAACAAGTCTGGCTGATATCCACTGGCTGAGTCATTTTATCCAGGTGGCTATTCTGTGGTTGATACTTTTGTAGGCATTAATCAGAGACACATTCCTGCAGGTTCTTCCACATGCTTTTTCTTCAGATTGATCCCCATCTTTCAATGTTGCTTCTTCCAAACCTTTGACCACCAGCCCAGCTATTCATCATTGCCAATGTGCTCATGTATATCATTAACCGAACTTCTCCTTTTTCATGAAGTTTACTACCAGGTGTACTGCTTTAAGGTCTGCCCACTTGGAGGAATGTATTCTCTACTATCTTTCAGAGCCACTTTTGATTTGGGCTAGAATGTAGCAGAAGTCCATTTCTGGCTTTCATCAACATAGTCAACCCATCTGAGAGATATAGGCTTGGGTGTTTTGTTTTGTTTTGATTCTTTATCTATCATTTAGTTTCAGGTATCCCCTAACAAGGCCATAGCTGTAAGTGAAAGAAAAGGCACTGATGCAACAGGGACATGTAACATGGGGCTCTGGTCCCCTGTTGTGTCACTTGTTTATGGACTTCAGACCCTCTTGAGCCCCATCCTGAATATACCATTTCCATTGTACAATGGATTGTTGCCGTTACTTCCTGATATTATGATTTGGTGGATATAATATATTCATTTTGTGATGGGCACTTCTGGTTGCATAATTACTTAATGTTCCATGGTCAGGAGCTTCCTGCCCTAGGGTCAGGGAACAATGGCATTATAGAAGTTGTTTTTCAAGCTCTGAATATTTTTCTCTGCTGCAGATTGGATGGCCTTGCTCCAGAACCTAAGGAGTGAGTACTATGACTTTCTTACTGAAGCTGGAAGAGATTCCACATAGCATCCTTATATACAATGGATACCAGCAGTATATTTGCCATCATGCAGAGGGATAAGTGGTTGAGGTAAAGATATCCATGAACTCGTGGCAGTGATCAATGGCTTGGCTGGTAGTCAAAAGTCTGGAAGAAGGGTTCTATGACTCTTACATTGGGGCTTAGAGAAACTCCACATAGCTCCTGCCGGATCATATGATCCAAACAATGTTGCAGCTTAAACCTGCTATAAACTCTTCTGTTCTGGACCTGTTCTGGAACTCTTCTGTTCTGTTCTGGACCACTCAAAACTAGCAGTTTTCTGAGTAACTCAATAAATAAGATGGATCAGTATAACCAAAGTGCTTTCTTCCAAATTCAGAGAGCTACCAAATATGACATCTCTTTCTTAGTAACAGGAAATGCAGAATGTAATGTTTCAACCTTTACATTAGAGGATATGTCTCAGCATGACCCAGATCATCTGATCTCTTAAGCCTTACTCAAAGGGGTAGACCCCTTAATTTTTATTGCATTTCTCTCCAACATTGTGAACAAATATCCAGATTACTTACAAGTTCCTGCTTACCAGATCTGATTAACACAATGTCACGAATATACTGCACCAGTAAAATACCCTATACAATTTCTCTATAACCAAGGTCACTTCAGACCATGCTGTAACAGAGAACGGGAGAATTAACACAGTCTGAAGCAAGATTATAAATGTGTGCTGCTGTTCATTCTCAGTGAATGTGAAATGATTCTAAAATGAATGTTTAAGGGTTTTAAAAGCATGCATTTACAGGATAAATAAGTGCATATACATGGCAGAGTCTGCATTGATTTGTCTAGTAAATAATCATCTTTTAAATAGCAGCTATAATTGGAGTTATCATTTGGTTAAGTTTATAATAGTCCACCATCATCTGCCATAAGTTATCTGGATCCATTTTTTTTGGAGACTATACTGATTCACCAAGAAGAGATATGATAAAGACCACCAGCTCTGCATCCATGAGATCACTGAGGCTGCCACTAAACCCTGCCATTCCACTCACCATGCACTCAGGATTGTTTATGACATGCTACTTTCATTTGGGGTGAGACGCTTTCAAGAGCTTCCAGTTGGCCTTTCCTATAATTATGGTTCTTACTCCACAGGTCAGGTAAATAATGCATGAGTTTTGCCCACTTGCTAAGTATATCCATCTTAATTAGGCCCTCAAGTGATAGTAAAATGACCATAGCAGGAGGCCATAGACCCATATTGGGTGCATTGTGAAACAGACTTGGATCTTTATCACAGGGCCCTCATACTACCTCACTCTTACAAGGGTTCCATGATGGCATTTTGAATCTACAGTTGTGAGTTCGGACCCTAAATTCAACAGCTTTTTAAAAATCTAGATATTTCCCTTTCTCCAGTAAATATCCCTAGATACAGTTACAGAAAAATTGAGGAATCCTGCTGTGCCGCTACGGAAGAACTGGCTTTCTCTTCAAATGGTGGGCTTTGTATCACAGAACTGACTCTGGTCTGGAAATTGGTCAATGGATTACAATTTTTCCAATGCAGCATTTTTCTCAATCACTGTATTTGTTATCTATTGCTGCATGAAATATCAACCTCAATCCTGGGGGCTTAAACCAACCAACCCTTATTATCTCATAGTAACCGTGCCAGAAATCTAGGAGCAGCTTAACTAGGTAGTTCTGGCTCAAGGTCTTTCAGGATATTGCAGTCAAGACATTGGCCAAAGATGCAGAAAGTCACACTAAAACACAAATAAGTGATAACATTCAACTATACCTACCTTTAAGAAATAGTTATCTAACTAAAATAACTTTTTGTCATGCTTTCAAGCAAAATGCCATTGAAAACTGGAAAATTTCAAGTGGTCAATGCAGGAGAATTTGGTAATAGAAGGTAATTCAATTGGGACCAAAGGATCTACTTCCAAGCTCACCCACATGGTTTTTGGCAGCCGTTCGGTCCTCACTGACTGTTCACAGCATCACTCATCACTTCGCAGTGCATCTACCACAGGTGTGGACTTTGCATGGTCTTCAGGCAAGTCCTGAAGGCTATTAATCTCTAGCAAGAGGAATTTCTCTGACTGCTAAAACCTTCTCTGAGAAATTATAGTGTCCACTATAAGCTCATCCACTAATGACATCTCAGGTCACAGGGCCCTAGTCCTACTTACGTGCCTCTTGACTTTATATAGGGAGTTGGTGGGACTATGAATTCACCTTTCTTTGTAATTCTACCATGGTAACAATCAAAGATCTTCAGCAAAGTCTGCTCTTCAGCTACAAGGGATGCCATGCCCCAAGTAAACTGTCTGACTTGAGCTTGCCATTTTCTTTCCTCAAACATTGATGGCACCTAACAATAGTCAATCAATTCCACAGTCCTTAGTCACAGCGCCCCACATCACTCAAATACTGAATATACTGCATAAGCCAATTTATCTCCCTTCTCCTGTACTCCATCTCAGTCACTACAGGTGAGCAGTTTAATAATAGTCACCACTATAATTAGTAGTTTTGATGTTTTAACCACAGGATTCATCACCGTCTCTTTGCACTAACATTAGGTCCCTTTTTGTCATTTAGCTTGCAAGTATTTAATTCTAAACTCCCATTCTAAGTATCTGCTACCTCGAACCCCTTATATAACAAAATATCTTAGTTTGGATTTTGCCATAGTAGATTCTGTAACAAGGAATCTGGTGGAAGTAGTTTATTTTGGAATGGGCCTCAGGAAACACTAGTTGTAAACGGGAACTAGAGATAAGGAAGGAAAGGCAACAAACAAAGTGGCTGTTATCAAGTCAGTTACCACTGAGGGAGCCACTGTAATTTAATCCCCCTGAAGGACCATGCTATAGTTTGAAGGTTTGTCACCTTCAAAACTCATGTTGAAATTTAATTGCCATTGTGATGGTACTGAGAGGTGGGACTTTTAAAATGTGTTTAGGTCATGAGGGCTCTACCCTCACAAATATACTAATGCTATTATCATGGGAATAGATTGGTTATCACAGGAATGGGTTTGCACCCTTTTGCTCTCTCTCTCTTGCCATCTCTTTGCTCTTCCACCATGTGATACCTACCACCATATTGTGATTTAGCAAGAAAAGGCCCTTTGTCAAATGCTGGCACATTAATATTAGACTTCCAAGCCTTCAAAACTATGAACCAATACATTTCTGTTCAGTAGAAATTACTCAGTCTTGGGTATTCTGTTATAGCAGCAGAATACAAGCTAAGACAGATTCTGAGATCCAATGTGGAGCAAGCAGCTCTGAATTATAGTAATCAGTGGTCAAAAGAACCAAAGTATTAAACACTTTCCATCACTTATACATTAAAGGATGTTTCTGGGAATTATTAAATCTCTGGGACTTTGGGCCTGATGTGCTAGTGAGTAGAGGAGACTCTAGAAGCCACAGAAAGTTATTAGGCAGTTAGAGCTCTGCTTGTAAAGTACTATAATGCTAAGATGCTAAAAGGATTAAGGCAAGATTCCAACAGCATGTGCTACTTATTTTGTATTTAAGAAAGAAACACTTTGCACACACCAGAGGTATGCATTCTAAATGGGCTAGAAAATGTTTAAAAATGCAGATGTGGATGAAATTAGATATTGATCTATTTATCCCTGCTTAGTTGTGCTTTGCTTTGTTATTCATATAGAAGTATATTAAATATCTGTACTTCTGAGTGGAGAAGGTTTATAAAGCAATACTTTATAATAATTTTTAATTTGTATTTAAGGCTAGACATATACTTGATTGATGGTTTATATAATTATTCTTAAAACTCTGAATTATACACTATACATAGAATATGACTATTGTAATTAAAGAGGGGGCTCATCCTAATTGATTGTATTACATATGATCCCAATTACTTCTATCTTGGAAGAGAACATCTAGTGTAATCTTGTCAAGAAACAACAATTATTTTATTTAATAGAGTTTAGTCTCACGGTATTTTTGGAGAGCCTGCTATGTCTACAGAAACTGAGATCTTTGTGTTATTCAATCCAAAAGGAATCTCTGGTTACTAGAATCACAAACCAGAATGAAAAGTAAAATAAAAGAAATATTTTTACAGAAGTGATGCTTATGCTTAAAAGAGTATTTCTCCTATTATATTTTTATCTCTTGAAAATATTAAGATAAGTATTAATTATTCAGCCTATAATCCATTTATAATAAACAACTCAGGTTAAAATCCCAGCTCTACCACTAAATAACTGTAGGACTTTGCCAACCCTCTATCTGCTCATGTGAAAAACGTGAATAGAAAACATTAGCTTCCTCATAAATTTGTTTGTGGGGGTTAAATGAGATAGTGAATCACATATCAAGTATCAGCTTCATAAGACATCAATATATGGTATCAATTACTATGATAAGGCTAGAGGAAACATAAAACTCATTTTTTGGATGAAATTGAATTTCAAGTTCTTTCTCACTGTGGATAAAACAGATTTAATTCTTGGCTAACTAAAATTAAGTTCAAATCATCATCCTTTCAAGTTTCAGATGGTAATAATTTCTAAATAACTTATTTTTTATGATACAAAACTTTAAAAATTCAGGAAAACATAAAAAGAAAAAATATCATCTATAATTTAAGAACACATAGATATACCATTAAACTATTAAAATACATTATTTTCATTCTTTTTATACACATTTCAGTTTCAACAGCATTGGGACTATAGACTACGTACAATTTTAATTACTACTTTTTCATTATGACTGAAGTCTAAGGTTCCTTTCCTTGCTGACTGGTTAACCTAAGCTCCTGAATACTACCCATATTCTTCTCATGTAGCATCCTCCATCTTCAGAGCAGCTATGACTGTGTTGAGTCCTTCTGAACACTTCAAATTTCTCTGATTTCCCCCTCTACCACCAGAGAGAAAACATACTTTGCTTTTAATAGTTCATGTGATTAGATAAGCCTCTCAGATAATGTTTCTATTATAAAGTCAACTATGCATTAACATATTTTTAGGAATAATATTTCACCATATTCACAGTTTCTGGAGATTAGGGTATGGAATCTGGAGGGAAGAGGGGTCCTTTTTAAGAATGCTGCCTACCATAGACTCCAAGTAAAAAATTAAAGAAATCCAACCAATTCCTAGCAAAATAATTTTTTTAAATCCACACATAACAATACGACATGACTGGAAGAATGGAATGACTTTTTTCAATGGACTAAAAATCCCTGCTAATCTCAAGTTTTATATCCAGCTAAATTACCCTACACAAATGAAACCTGAGTAATAATGTTTAATGAACAAAAACTGAGAATGTTCACCACAAATAGTCCTGCACTAAAGGGTATTTTTACTGTCAGAAGAAAAATATTCCAATATAGAAGATGGCATGAGATGCAAAAGAGAATGTAGAGCAAAGAAAATAGAAAATGTCCGGGTACATCTAATGATTAATAATGCCTTATGTAGTCTTTTTAAAAACAATAATTAAAGTATACTGTGACAACAGTTTATGAATTAATGTTGGTTAAAGTATCCTAAGGTCCATGGTAATTTTCAGAAGAAGGGTCAAATATTATTTAAGATTAGTCTTTAATAGGTTAGGGATGCATATTGTATTTTCTTGAGTCACCACTAGTGTGTGTGTGTGTGTGTGTGTGCGTGTGTGTGTGTGTGTGCGTGCGTGCGCGCGTGCGTGCTCTTCCAAAGTAGTCGAGGGAAAATAAATGAATTGAAAAAAGTGCTCAATGAATCCTAAAAGAAGGAGAGAGTTATATAGTAGATAAGTGATAAATCAAAAGCACAAGATAGTAGATTTAAACCCAAATAGTAATTGTATTAGATACAGATGAATAATGTTCCACTTAGAAGACAAAGACTGTTAAATAAGAGGGGGAATCCAAATGCTAGCACAGCAGTCTGAAATCAACTTGGGATTCTGGAGCTTGGCTCAGGGAGGGGCGTACGCCATTGCTGAGGCTTAAGTAGGTGGGTCTATGCTCACAGAATAAACAAAGTGGCAGGGAAGCTTGAACTGGGTGGAGCCCACTGCAGCTCAGCAAGGCCTACTGCCCTCTAAATTCCACCTCTGGGGACAGGGCATATCTGAACAAAAGGCAGCAGACAGCTTCTGCAGACTTAAACGTCCCTGCCTGACAGTTCTGAAGAGAGCAGTGGTTCTCCCAGCATGGCGTTTGAGCTCCGATAACGGACAGACTGCCTCATCAAGTGGGGGGTCCTTGACCCTCATGTAGCCTGACTGGGAGACACCTCCCAGTAGGGGCTGACAGACACCTCATACAGACAGGTGCTCCTCTGGGATGAAGCTTCCAGAGGAGGGATCAGGCAGCAATATTTGCTGTTGAGCAGCCTCCGCTGGTGATACCCAGGAAAACAGGGTCTGGAGTAGGCCTCCAGCAAACTCAAACAGACCTGCAGCTGAGGGGCCTGTCTGTTAGAAGGAAAGCTAACAAACAGAAAGGAATAGCATCAACATCAACAAAAAGGACATCCACACCAAAACCCCATCTGTAGGTCAACAGCATCGAAGACCAAAGGTAGATAAAACCACAAAGATGGGGAGAAACCAGAGCAGAAAGGCTGAAAATTCCAAAAACCAGAATACCTCTTCTTCTCCAAAGCAACACAACTCCTCACCAGCAAGGGAACAAAACAGGATGGAGAATGAGTTTGACGAGTTGACAGAGGTAGGCTTTAGAAGGTCGATAATAACAAACTTCTCCAAGCTAAAGGAGCATGTTCTAATTCATTACGAGGAAGCTAACAACCTTGAAAAAAGGTTAGACAAATGACTAACTAGAATAACCAGTGTAGAGAAGTGCTTAAATGACCTGATGGAGCTGAAAACCACAGTATGAGAATTTCGTGAAGCAAACACAAGCTTCAATAGCTGATTCAATCAAGCAGAAGAAAGGATATCACTGATTAAAGATCAAATTAATTAAATAAAGTGAGAAGACAAGATTAGAGAAAAAAGAGTGAAAAGAAATGAACAAAGCCTCCAAGAAATATGGGACTATGTGAAAAGATCAAATCTACATTTGAGTGGTGGACCTGAAAGTGATGGGGAGAATGGTACGAAGTTAGAAAACACTCTTCAGGATATTATACAGGAGAACTTCCCCAACCTAAGCAAACACAAGCTTCAATAGCTGATTCAATCAAGCAGAAGAAAGGATATCACTGATTAAAGATCAAATTAATTAAATAAAGTGAGAAGACAAGATTAGAGAAAAAAGAGTGAAAAGAAATGAACAAAGCCTCCAAGAAATATGGGACTATGTGAAAAGATCAAATCTACATTTGAGTGGTGGACCTGAAAGTGATGGGGAGAATGGTACGAAGTTGAAAAACACTCTTCAGGATATTATACAGGAGAACTTCCCCAACCTAAGAAGGCAGGCCAACATTCAAATTCAGGAAATACAGAGAACACCACAAAGATACTCCTCGAGAAGTGCAACCCCAAGGCACATAATTGTCAGATTCACCAAGGTTGAAATGAAGGAAAAAATGTTAAGGGCAGCCAACGGGTTACCCACAAAGGGAAGCCCATCAGACTAACAGTGGGTCTCTCGGCAGAAACCGTACAAGCCAGAAGAGAGTGGGGGCCAATATTCAACATTCTTAAAGAAAAGAATGTTCAACCCAGAATTTCATATCCAGCCAAACTAAGCTTCATAAGTGAAGGAGAAATAAAATCCTTTACAGACAAGCAAATGCTGAGAGATTTTGTCACCACGAGGCCTGTCTTACAAGAGCTCCTGAAGGAAGCACTAAACATGGAAAGGAACAACTAGTACCAGCCACTGCAAAAACATGCCAAATTGTAAAGACCATTGACACTATGAATAAACTGCATCAATTAATGGGCGAAATAACCAGCTAGCATCATAATGACAGGATGAAATTTATACATAACCATATTAACCTTAAATGTAAATGGGGTAAATGCCCCAATTAAAAGACACAGACTGGCAAATTGGATAGAGTCAAGACCCATTGGTGTGCTGTATTCAGGAGACCCATCACATGTGCAAAGACACACATAGGCTCAAAATAAAGGGATGGAGGAAGATCTACCAAGCAAATGAAAAGAAAAAATAAAGGGTTGCAATCCTGGTCTCTGATAAAACAGACTTTAAACCAACAAAGATCAAAAGAGACAAATAAGGTCATTACATAATGGTAAAGGGATCAATTCAACAAGAAGAGCTAACTATCCCAAATATAAATGCACCCAATACAGGAGCACACAGATTCATAAAGCAAGTTCTTAGAGACCTACAAAGAGACTTAGACTCCCACACAATAATAATGGGAGACTTCAACATCCCACTGTCAATATTAGACAGATCAGTGAGACAGAAAATTAACAAGGATATCCAGGACTTGAACTCAGCTCTGGACCAAGCAGACCTAATAGACATCTACAGAACTCTCCAAATCAACAGAATATACATTCTTCTCAGCATCACATCACGCTTATTCTGAAATTGACCACATAATTGGAAGTAAAACACTCCTCAGCAAATGTAAAAGAACAGAAATCACAACAAACTGTCTCTCAGACCACAGTGCAATCCAATTAGAACTCAGGATTAAGAAACTCACTCAGAACTGCCCAGCTGCCCAGGAAACTGAACAACCTGCTCCTGAATGGCTACTGGGTAAATAATGAAATAAAGGGAGAAATAAAGATGTTCTTTGAAACCAATGAGAACAAAACTATGTACAAGAATCTCTGGGACACATTTAAAGCAGTGTATAGAGGGAAATGTATAGCACTAAATGCCCACAAGAGAAAGCAGGAAAGATCTAAAATCAACACCCTAACATCACAATTAAAAGAACTAGAGAAGCAAGAGCAAACAAATTGAAAAGCTAGCAGAAGACAAGAAATAACCATGATCAGAGCAGAATTGAAGGGAATAGAGACCCAAAAAACTCTTCAAAAAAAAAAAAAAAAAAAAAAAACAATGAATCCAAGAGCTGGTTTTTTGAAAAGATCAACAAAATAAATAGACCGTTAGCAAGACTAATAAAGAAGAAAAGACAGAAGAATCAAATAGATGCAATAAAAAAAGATAAAGAGGGTATCACCACTGATCCCACAGAAATACAAACTACCATCAGAGAATAGTATAAACACCTCTATGCAAATAAACTAGAAAATATAGAAGAAAGGATAAATTCCTGGACACATACCCCCTCCCAAGACTAAACAAGGAAAAAGCTGAATCTCTGAATAGATTAATAACAGGTTCTGAAATTGAGGCATAATTAATAGCCTACCAACCAAAAAATATCCAGGACCAGACAGATTCACAGCCAAATTCTACCGGAAGTACAGAGAGGAGCTGGTACCATTCCTTCTGAAACTATTCCAATCAATAGGAAAAGAAGAAATCCTCCCTAACTCATTTTATGAGGCCAGCATAATCCTGATACCAAAGCCTGGCAGATACACATACACAAAAAAAGAGAATTTAAGCCAATATCCCTGATGAACATCGATGTGAAAATCCTCAATAAAATACTGGCAAACTCAATCCAGCAGCACATCAAAAAGCTTATCCACCACTATCAAGTTGACTTCATTCCTGGGATGCAAGGCTGGTTCAACATATGCAAATCAATAAACGTAATCCATCACATAAACAAAACCAATGACAAAAACTACATGATTATCTCAATACATGCAGAAAAGGCCTTTGACAAAATTCAGCAGCCTTTCCTGTTAAAAACTCTCAATAAACTAGGTAGCGATGGAACGTATCTCAAAATAATAAGAGCTATTTATGACAAACCCACAGCCAATATCACACTGAATGGGCATAAGCTGGAAGCATTCCCTTTGAAAATGGCACAAGACAAGGATGCCCTCTCTCAACACTCCTATTCAACATAGTATTGGAAGTTCTGGCCAGGGAAATCAGGCAAAAGAAAGAAATAAAGGGTATTCAAATGGGAAGAGACTAAGTCAAATTGAATCTGTTTGCAGATGACATGATTGTCTATTTAGAAAACCCCAGCATCTCAGCCCAAAATCTCCTTAAGCTGCCAAGCAACTTCAGCGAAGTCTCAGGATACAAAATCAGTGTGCAAAAATCACAAGCATTTCTATACACCAAGAACAGACAAACAGACAGCCAAATCATGAGTGAACTCCCATTCACAATTGCTTCAAAGAGAATAAAATACCTAGGAATCCAACTTACAAGGGATGTGAAGGACCTCTTCAAGGAGAACTACAAACCACTGCTCAAGGAAATAAAAGAGGATACAAACAAATGGAAGAACATTCCATGCTCATGGATAGGAAGAATCAATATCATGAAAATGGCCATACTGCCCAAGGTAATTTATAGATTCAATGCCATCCCCATCAGGCTACCAATGACTTTCTTCACAGAATTGGAAAAACTACTTTAAATTTCAGATGAAACCAAAAAAGAGCCTGCATAGCCCAGACAATTCTAAGCCAAAAGAACAAAGCTGGAGGCATCAAGCTACCTGACTTCAAACTATACTACAAGGCTACAGTAACCAAAACAGCATGGTACTGGTACCAAAACAGAGATATAGACCAATGGAACAGAACAGAGGCCTCAGAAATAACACCACACACCTACAAACATCTGACCTTTGAAAAACCTGACAAAAAGAAGCAATGGGGAAATGATTCTCTATTTCATAAATGGTGCTGGGAAAACTGGCTAGCCATAGGTAGAAAGCTGAAACTGGATCCCTTCCTCACACCTTACACAAAAATTAACTCAAGATGGATTAAAGACTTAAATGTTAGACCTAAAACCATAAAAACTCTAGAAGAAAACCTAGGCAATACCATTCAGTATATAGGCATGGGCAAAGACTTCATGACAAAAACACCAAAAGCAATGGCCAACAAAAGCCAAAATAGACAAATGGTATCTAATTCAACTAAAGAGCTTCTGCACAACAAAAGAAACTATCAGCAGAGTGAACAGGCAACCTACAGAATGGGAGAAAATTTTTGCAATCTATCCATCTGACAAAGGGCTAATATCGAGAATCTACAAAGAACTTAAACAAATTTACAAGAAAAAATCAAACCACCCCATCAAAAAGTGGGCAAAGGATATGAACAGACCCTTTTCAAAAGAAGACATTTATGCAGCCAACAGACATATGAAAAAATGCTCATCACTGGTCATAAGAGAAATGCAAATCAAAACCACAATGAGATACTATCTCACACCAGTTAGAAGGGTGATTATTAAAAAGTCAGGAAACAACAGATGCTGGAGAGGATGTGGAGAAATAGGAAGGCTTTTACACTGTTGGTGGGAGTGTAAATTAGTTTAACCATTGTGGAAGACAGTGTGGCAATTCCTCAAGGATCTAAAACTAGAAATACCATTTGACCCAGCAATCCCATTACTGAGTACATGTACCCAAAGGATTATAAATCATGCTACTATAAAGACACATGCACACGTATGTTTATTGCAGCACTGTTCACAATAGCAAAGACTTAGAACCAACCCAAATGTCCATCAATAATAGACTGGATTAAGAAAATGTGGCCCATATATACCATGGAATACTATGCAGCTATAAAAAAGGATGAGTTCATGTCCTTTTTAGGGACATGGATGAAGCTGGAAACCGTCATTCTCAACAAAATATCACAAAGACAGAAAACTAAACACCGCAAGTTCTCACTCATAAGTGGGAGTCGAACAATGAGAACACATGGACACAGGGAGGGGAACATCACACACCAGGGCCTGTTGGGGGCTGAGGGGATGTGGGAGGGATAGAATTAGGAGAAATACCTAATGTAAGTGACGAATTGATGGGTGCAGCAAACCAACATGGCACATATATGCCTATGTAACAAACCTGCACATTGTGTACATGTACCCTAGAACTTAAAGTGTAATAATAATAATAAAATTTTTAAATATTGTATAGGTGTAAATAAATCATATCTCATAAAATGTCTAAAGTTTTAATGTATAGTATATTCTCACCACAAATTTGTAACAATAAATTTTAAATTCATTATATTTTTAGAAATAAAAAATTAAATCTAAATAAATCATGTGTTAAAGAAGAAATTAAACTGATAATTAAATATATTCACCCAAATGGTAACAAAAATAGTACATAACACACTTGTAGAATCCAGCCAAAGCACTGCATAAATGAAACTATGCGAACTTTATTTATGCATTAGTAGAAAGAAGACTGAAAATGTTTAAGCTAAACATTTACCCAAAAGGTTCAAAAATGAATTGCAAAATAAACCCAAAGAAAGTAGAAGAAACAAAATAGAAAAAAAATTTTACAATAAAAGGAATCATCGAAAGAAAACAGGGGTTTATCAAAAGGCTAACAATGTTAACTTGAAAAAAAAAAGAGAAAGAGCAAGAGAGAAAGAGAGAATAATAAAGAGAAATGGGGTGAGAAAAGAGAGAGAAAAAATAGAGACATTTAACAGATAACCAAATTTCATGAACAGCTTCATGGTAATTCTGAAAATGATAAATGTCTAATTCTTTTTAAAAATATAACTTACTGGAACTAACTCTAGAAGAACTAGAAAACCTGACTAGTATTATAAACATTAAATGAATTGAATTGGTAATCAAACTCTTTGCACAATGATTACCTCAAAGCCAGATGTATTAATCAGTGAGTGTTAACAAACATTCAAAAAGGAAACAATTCTAATTCCAGAGAAATACTGGTAAGAAATAAAAAAAGAAGTTATTATATATATTTATATATATTATTTATATATACTTACAATACATAATCTATAAATACATATATATGATTTTATGAAGTTAACACAACCTTGATACCAATGTTCTGAAAACCACAATAAAAAATGGAAAGGTACAGACCAATTTCACTCATTAACACATGCAAAAGTTCTAAATGAAATATTAGCAAGCTGCATTGAGCAACATATAAAAATCTAATTGAATAGCTAGCTTTATTATAGGAAGACAAGTTTGGTTTAATCAAAAATAATCAACATAATCACTGATTTAATAGATTTAAAAATTATTTTAATCCTCTCAATAACTATAGAAAAAGTAAAACAATTCAAAAAATACACACACACACATACACACACACAAAGAGAGAAAATATATATTTATTATATAAACTCTAAGCAAGCCTGGAATAGAAGGAAATTTCTTTAATGTGATAAATAGTATATACAAAATGAACTACTAGGAACATACTAATTAATAGTAAAACATAAAAATATTTATCTATTTGATATGTAGAACAAGACAAGAATGCCCCTTATCACTACTTCCATTCATGGGAAAAGAGTGAATAAAAAGTGCGAAAAAAAGAAAGAAGAAAAAAGTTCAGTTATTCTCAGAATATATCTTTGAATGTGTTAAATATTCAAAAATTATCAGCAAAAATTTATAACTAATAAGGAGTTTAGTAAGATTGGTAGATGCAAAGTAACCATAAAAGATAATTTTATTTCAAAATGCACAAAGCAAAAACAAAAAAGAAAGGAAATATTTAAAAAGGTATCAAATATGTCTATTAACTAGAAAACAATATGAAAATGTATAAAACCTATAACAGGCAAGTTCTACAAATTTTAAAAGAGACATTAGAGAAGTTGTAAATAAACTGAGATATGTGCTGTTCATAGACAGTGCTCTCTATATATGTCAATTCTCCACCCAAAAATCCTAACGGATATTTTAAGTATATTAAAAGTTTTTTATTGGAAGTGATTTATATGGAAATGCAAAGGGGCAAATTACACAAGATACTCAAAATAAATGATTCCAACAGGAACTTACACTATTAGGTATCAATACTCAAGTAATTAAAGCTATTGAGCACTAACACAGAGATAAGAAATAATAACAAGCGAATGGAAAGAATAAAGATCAGAAAACTAATACACATATAATGGACAATTGATTTACCAACAAGACATGAATGCAGAGTAATAGGAAATAGATTTTTTCAATGAAAGTGCTGCATCAGTTGGCAATCAAACTGGAAAAAATTCGAAATTCACTCACTCATAGTTTATACCTTATAAAAGAATTCCAGGAGGATTATTGATCTAAAAGTCAATAGCAGAACTAGGAACTTTCTAGAAGATAATATAAAAGCATATCTCTATGATCTTGAAGTAATGAAATATTTTTAATCCAAAATGATACCAAGTACTAAAGAGGTTGTTAAAGATTGATGTTTTCCTTCAAATTTAAAAAGTCTCTGTATCAAAGAAACAACATTAAACAAGTTACAAGACAAATGACAGAGACATTTTCTTTTCCTTCTTCTTCTTATTTTTTTCCATTTTTTCCTTCTTTTTGTTTTCTCTTTTCCCTTTTCTTCCTCTCTTCCTTTGTTTCTACCTCCTTCTCTTCTTCTCCCCTCCCTTTCCTTTCATTCTCTCCCTCAGTCATGTTGCAAACATTTGCATGATATGTAAATGACAAAGTCTTAACTGTAACTTATGAGCATAAGTTACATATGACCCAAAAAAGACATGACCCAAAGGGAAAATGGGCACTTCTCAAAAGAGGGATTTTTAATGGTCCATACACATAAAAAATTGCTCAGAGAAATTCAGATTTAAGCCACAAGAAAATACCATATACGTCCAGGTGCGGTGGCTCACGCCTGTAATCCCAGCACTTTGGGAGGCTGAGGCAGGCAGATCACAAGGTCTGGAGTTCGAGATCATCCTGGCCAACGTGGTGAAACCCTGTCTCTACTAAAAATACAAAAAATTAGCTGGGTGTGGTGGCACGCGCCTGTAGTCCCAGCTACTCTGGAGGCTGAGGCAGGAGAATCGCTTGAACCCAGGAGGTGGAGGTTGCAGTGAGCCCAGATCATGCCACTGCATTCCAACCTGACGACACAGCGAGACTCCATCTCAAAATAAAATAAAATAAAATAACATATACAACACCTGTTATGTGTCAACTTGATTGGGACATGGGGTGCCCAGATATGTGGTTAAACATTCTAGGTGTGTTTGTGAGGGTGTTTCTGGATGAGATTAACATTTAAATAAGTAGAGGGAGGTAAAGCAGATTGCTCTCCCCAATTTTGGTAGGCACCTTTTAATTCATTGGAGACTGAATAGAACAAAAGGGAAAATTTGCTCTCTTTCCTAATTGCTTAAATTAGAACAATGGTGTTCTCTTGCCCTTGGCTAGAACTTAAACCATCAGTGATCTTGGTACTAGAGCCTTCAGACTTGTACTAATACTTACATCATCAGGTCTCCAGGTTCTTGGGTGTTTGGACTCAGACTGGAAGTATATCACCAGCTTTCCTGGATCTCTACCTTACAGATGGCAGGCTGTAGGACTTCTCAGTCTTCATAATTGTGTAAGCCAATTTCTTTTAATATATCTGTGTTGTGTGTATGTGTGTGTGTGTCCTATTTGTTCTGTGTCTTTGGAGAACCCTAATACAGCCATCTAACTGGCAAAACTATAAGCATTACAGTACCAAATATTGCTAATGGAGAAAGAAAATGAACTTTCAAGCAAGAGTTTTACTTCTGTATTTATACCCTAGGGATATGCATGCACATGAATGCAGCATGCTTATACAGATTACTTATGGCAGCATTGATTTTATTTTCTAATAGCAAATGAAGGAAAGAATGACTGAGGAAGAGGATAAGATGGGGGGAAGGTTAAAAGAAAGAAGGAGGAAGCAAAGAAAGGAAACGAGAAGGGGAGGAGTTAAAAGGAATAAAATAAATAAAAAGAAAGTAAAAGAAATAATATAAACATTCATCAATATTAAATAAAATGGATAAATAACTGATGACATATTCATAACTGGTTGTATATACAAATATTACAAACTACACAACAATAAAAATAAATAAGCTATAGATTTATATATAAACTTTATACCCATAATATTGAGTTAAAGAAGCAAGACACAAACACATATATGCAGAATTATTCCATTCATATAAGATTTAAAAACCAGGAAAACCCATATTATTTAAGGATGCATGCTTGGTGTTGAAATAAAATTCAGTATAGTGGTTACCTTTGGGGCAAGTAGGAAAGAGGTTTTTTGTGTGTTGGCCCCATTCTGTCTTGATTTATGTGATATTCATATATGTGCTTGCTTTATAATTGTTGTATGTTTTATGTAGTTTTCATCATTTGTGTTATATTTGCCAATTTTTAAAATAAATGATTAAGAATAGCAATGCATGGAAAATCTTTATAAATAAATCTCTATCTAATTTTCTTAGTATAAATTTCTAAAAGTTGGAATTACTGGGCCAAATGGAATAGATATTATTCTCAAGTTCTTTTTTTTTTTTTTTTTTTTTTTTTTTTGAGACGGAGTCTCGCTCTGTCGCCCAGGCTGGAGTGCAGTGGCGCGATCTCGGCTCACTGCAAGCTCCGCCTCCCGGGTTCACGCCATTCTCCTGCCTCAGCCTCCCGAGTAGCTGGGACTACAGGCGCCCGCTACCACACCCGGCTAATTTTTTGTATTTTTAGTAGAGACGGGGTTTCACCGTGTTAGCCAGGATGGTCTCGATCTCCTGACCTCGTGATCCGCCCGCCTCGGCCTCCCAAAGTGCTGGGATTACAGGCGTGAGCCACCGCGCCCGGCCCTCAAGTTCTTATAGATGATAGATAGGTAGGTAGATGGATAGATAGATGATAGATAGATAGATAGATAGATAGATAGATAGATAGATAGATACAGATAGATAGACAGGTTTCTTTAAAATCATCTACCAATTTATACTTTCACCACAGTTAATGAGATTGATGATACTCCCGAACACTTGTTAGTGTGTTTTGCAACTTTGCTCAAAATTGGCAAAAGTAGATGAAAAATGGAAAAACAAATATACATGGGCTTTTTTGCTCTGATTGAAGACTCATTTAAGTACAGCTATCTTATTTGTGTCCTACTCTGCTCCAATAAAAACAAAATAGCTTATTCTACAACCTGAGCCAGAAAATGGCTTTAAATGGTCCTCTGATTAACTTCCCTTCTATACACACAGAAACACACACACACACACACAAACACACACACACACACACACACACACACACACACACACACGACAACATATACTTTATATCTGGCTCCTTGACTCTACCCTGGCCCTTCAATCAGGATTGATATTCTGTTTTTCCTCTGAGTTCCAACATAGTCTTCTCATTATTTTCCTTTTCCTTTAAAAGCTTCACTTGGTGAAAATGCTGTTGACCTCTCTCGTTTTTAGTAAAGCCTAAGAATATCATTAACTCTTGGCTAAAAGTCATGGCCACACTAACATGATATACTTGAATCCGACTCTCTACTCCATCACACCATGCCATAAGAATTTAGTAAGTATTGTTGAATTATGAACACACATGTAAATATTTCTCACTTTCTTCATTACCATTTTAATGAAAATTACCATTCTTGCACCAATATAGCATATACTTTATATACATATATCTTAAACATTTTCCATTTTTCAAGAATTCAAATACATGATACATTATCATCTTGATAACACAAAGAACACAACATGGAGGAAGACTGAGAAAATAGCTTCCCAGTGTTTAGTCACTAGTGATTCTACAGACTTTCCTTTAGTGTTTTCTACTAGAATTTTAATATGTCCTGCCATGGCTCTGCAAGAATAGAGCTGCCTGGGAAAGGAGACAATGAAAAAAAACTGGACCCAAAGTTAGAAAAAGTTAAGAAGGAAATCCAAGAAATAATATATTTTGAACCTAAATAAAAGGACTCCCTTCCACCAGAGTGTACATAAATATAAGGACTCCCTTCCACCAGAGTGTACAAATAGGTATAAAAGAAGCAATTATATCTTCCCATTTTATCCTCAAAATTGGCCATTTAGAAACAAAACAGATAGCACCCATTCATCTGAGAAGCAGAACCTTTTTCATAGCATTGGGAAAGGAATGTCAGGGCACAGGGAAAGGAATCAGATATACCTGATATACCTGAGTTATAGGTATCAAAACCATAGGCAAAACCTGTCACAGGTAAAGCTGTGACCCTCCAACATCCTTTATAAATTACAATATGTAATAGCAGCTTTCTGTTGAAGAGCTACATGAACTGAGAAGAAATGTTTATGGAAAAGAGCCAGATATTCAGGCAGCAAGATCATGTGAGAACTGAACAAGAGTTTTAAGTGCTTTCAACCTCTCTGCTCTACAGATCAGGTTAAAAACTCTAACCCCTTCAAATTTAGGTCAAATGACCTTAGGGCAAATACAAAGCAATACCTTTGCTTCAAATGCAGCAACTAGATGGAGCCAGAAGAAATTAAACACTCCTATAGAATATCACTTGGAAGATGTTGCACAATTCAACAAACAGAAAAGAATAGTGGAGGTGCCACCAACACAACCCTCTTATCATAGAAAGAAACATTCTTTTCAAGTAAACATGGAACATTCACTAAAAGAAATAATCTGGACCATAAAACAAGTCTTAACAAATTTTAAAGATTGAAGTCATACAGAATATATTCTCTGGCTTCAGTAGAATTAAGCTAGAAATCAATAAGAAAATAATATTTGGAATAAGCTACACATACAATCTTGGACCAAAACATAAATTGCTGTGAAAACTAGAAAATTCTTTGAAATCAGTAATGAAAATATGACCAAACAAAATGTGTGGAATGCAGCCAAAGAGTACTTAGAAGGAAATTTGAAGCTTTAAATACGTATATTCACTTTGAAAAAGATAGCAACCTATACACTCAAGATCTCTGCAGTTGACTTTGTATATATTAATCTTCAATTTCAAAAGTTTAGACAAACAGGAAATCATCTGATTTTAAAATTTACACTAAAATTCAAATGAGTGATAACATTCAACTACATCTACCTTTTAAGAAAAATTATCTAACTAAAATGATTTTTTGATCATGTTTTCAAGTAAAGTGCCATTACAAAGGAAAATTTCAGCTGGTCAATACAGGAGAGTTTAGAAGCCTTTCAAATAGTAACTTAGGCCAACCCATCTAGCAGGAATTTATATAAAAATTGCATTACAGGGACACATTTAGGTGAAATAGAACTAAGAAAGTAAGATGTTGATATGTGATTAAAAAAAGACAAAGAAAAATAATTTCCCAAATATATTTTAATAGGCTCAGATTTTAAATGGTAAATGGAGACCTATGAAACTCTTATGAAACTCTTTACTGATATCAACCATATTATATCTAGGATAATCTTTAGAAAAGATCCTGTTAAACTCTCAGTTGCCTCCCAATTTGTACTCCCATGTTGATTTCTCTATGATTCTATAGAGAATATAATTCTTATTCCGCCTCTTCTACCATTGATTATTTAACAAGTTCTTAGGATTTTGAAGCCCATCTTAATGTTAACTCAGTTAAATATTATTAATAGTTGTTATTGTGGTTCTGTACACATAGTTGACTTAAAAACATGTGTTTACTGAAAATATATGCTTAGCAGAATTGAGAGTCAAATTTAATTTGGTTCAAATGCATCTTGTTGGTTCTTCATTTTCAAATTTATTGACACTTCAGCATTGATTTAATCTAAACTTACCTGCCTTTTCCCCTCCTTAGTGAAAAAGAAATATTTCCAAATGATATATAATTTGGAAGTGGTACTTTCATTTTACCTTTTACTACAGTGTACTTAACAAGATACTTTCTTCTTCCTCTTCCATAAACAACTATTTCTTTTTCTCCCTGCTTTCCCATCTAAATGTTTAAAGACAATTTATCAACCTGGTTGCACTTGACTGCAAACACATTAGATCAAGAACAAAGAAGCATAGCTTTTAAGAACTATAGATACAAGTAGGTCATCATGGTCACTGAAATGATATTTAGTGTCATTTGCAACATAAAAGACAACAACTTCTTGACTTTGAATTTGAGTTTCTATTCATAGCTGTGGGGGAAATTTAATATCAGAAACTCATCCCAGAACATTTTGTGAACATGAAAACAAAAAATCTATGTTATAAAATACAACCATTGCTTAAAATATTAGTCATTGGTAAGTTTAAAGACAAACTTTCACGTCATGGGGCTCATAAGTTCTAGTTTACTCTGGATCAGCTGAATGGTTTACACACAGGACCACCATCAACCATTTCCACATTTCTGGCAAATGCATACTAAGAGGTGTGAGGAAAAAATAGTCCAGCATCCAACAGGGAAAAAAGTATAATCTAAATATATAAAATAAATATTTTCTTTTGCATATACTCAGTGGTTCATCATTTTGAAATCACATTATACAATACAATATCCAAAAATTTGGAAAATTTCTATGTTATTTTAACATATTATTGATTTGGAATTTTCTATCTAAACAAGAGTTCAACAGATTTGTTTTGTTATAAAACAACATATCCCCATTATATATAATTTAGAAAATACAGAATAATGTAAAAACTAATCATACATACTTCCATTATCAAGAGATAGTTATCATTATGTCTGTGTTTATTAATCTTCTTTCCTGTTTATTATTATTTTGGTGGGATTGGGGGAGGGTTAATTGCACAATTATGGCTACATTGTTTAAATCTTTCTATGCTATTTTAATTACTTAGGCTGTTTTAATGTTAGTACATAGTTGTTCATAAACTTCATTTACATGGCTTCATAATTCATTGCAAATTGGCTTTGCAACAGTTTACTTTAGCACTTCTCAATTTTTTTAACTTTTGATTTGTTTCTCCCACCATTTTTCTTCCTTAAATCTTTTTTATGTTTATGATTTTAGCTTATGATAGATTATGAAAAGTATAATAAATAAATGAAAGGGTACAGGTATTTTTAAGGGTCTTTTTTTTTTCTGTTACCAGATTGATTTTGATAAAGTTTATACCAATTACTATGTTGTAAATATTTGTCCCCTCCAAAACTCATGTTCAAATTTAATTGCCATTGTAACAATATTACGAGGTGGAACCTTTAAGAGATTATTAGGCCATATGGGCTCCACCCTAAAGGGTGGAATTGGTGCCCATATACAAGGTCTAGTGTGGTCCCCTCTTGCTCTCTTGCCTTCTGCCATGGGATGACGCAGCAAGAAGGCCCTCCTCAGATGGTGGCAGCTTGATCTTGGACTTCCCAGCCTCCAGAACTGTGAGGCAGTAAATTTCTGTTCATTATAAATTACCCAGTCTCAAGTATTCTATTATAGCAGAATTTAAGTTCTAATACATCAGTTTATATATTAGCAACAAATGAAAGTATCACTTCAAATCATCTCGCCAAGATTATTTGTAATATTTGCTAATTTGAACATAAAATATAGTTAAATGTCATTGTTATTTCTCACTTGGCTTGAGAATCTGGTTCATATTAAAGTAAAACATTGAGAAAAATGCCTAATTATTCGATAAGAGATTTCTACAGAACACAGGTTCAATGCCCTTTTTAGAATTTGCTCAAAAGTTCACTGTCTGCCCTCAGTTAGACATCCCAAATAGTCAAGATCCTTAAACTCCTACTGCGTTTCAGTCTTTCAAGTAAACTTTTCAAATATTTAAACTATTTAAAGGAAAACACTCATGATCTGTGTTTCCAATGGCAAAAGCCAACAGAAATTTTATCAGGAGCAAGTATTCTACCCAGCAGTGTTGAAATTGAAACATCATTATTTACATGCTTATTTATAACATTTTTTATTCATTTGGATTATACCTACCTATTATTTAAAACACACACACACACATTTTTCAACATACAATTCAAAGCAATGTAAAGTTTCTATTGTCTGTAACTGGCATCCTGTGGGGAAGATAATTATCTTATTCTGTGGTAAAACAGCACGTTATATGGTTAGCACAATAACTCATGTCTCAAAAGTACTCTTTGAAACATTATATATATAATTTGTTTGTCTCCATTTAGCGCACACACAACTGTCTCCATTTGTTTAGTTGCCAAAATAAACTACTACTAAAATAATAGCATACTTCCAAATGAGATAGAAATGGTTAAACTCTTCCTTCTATAATTGAAATTTGCCATGTTTAAGTGCCTAAATGTAATTATGGAAAAAAAGAAATTTCCTCTGCTTATATACAAAATAATATTTTATTGTAATAGTCATCTTGAATTGAACTGAGTTTACCTGTGTAGTGTAGATGGCCAGCATGCATTTTAATCCTATTTCCTGTATAAAAAGCAATTCAGAGTCTATGACAAGAAGGCAATATTTCTGTAGCATTATCCAAGTACAGAGCATGTTGTTCTCGTAATATCCTCTGTCACTTGGCCTTCTTGCAGAGATTACAGCTCTTTCTTGCCTCATTAAAACTCAGGGAACATGCTGATGTAATTTTCATTAACTCACTAAGCTTACCATTTTTAATTGAATCAGAATACTTGAACTTTTAGAAATTTTAAGATTTATTTTCTGTATTTCTAGGCTTATTTTTCCTAATTATTTGTGCATTTTCCTGTCATATCCGTTTTTAAAAATTAGTTTGCCTTTGCACTTAAAATAAGTATTAGTTCTCATGAGTGAATCTCTGTATGGTGAGAAAGGAAAGGTGAGACAAAAAAGAGAAAAAATGTGGATACGTATGATGGTTTTTTTCTTGAACTTATTTTATATGCTTCCTGACACTGTGGATACAACAGGGAAAGGGGTCTACTGTTTTTTTCTCCATCCTTTTTTTGTGTGCGTTCATTTGCTTTATTTTTATTAATCATATTGTATTTATTATTGTTACCAAATATTGAGCAAATAAAAAATTAAATAATATATGTAGGGCATAAAGCACAATACTACAATAACTACACATTTTCTTACCCAGTTTAGAAAATGAAACTTTATCACCATTGGGAAGACTGCTCTCTGATCCTACACATTTTCTGCTCCATCATAAGTAACCACTTCCCTGAATTTTGAGTTTAATATTTCCTTATTTCTTTCATATAATTTTACCAAATATGCTACATATATTTATTTCTTTCAATAAGATATTCTTTACTTTTTATTAATATGTATAATTATGTTTCTGCTTCCAAATCTTCTGTCTTGTTTTTTGACTATTATATTTCTGAGATTGATGCATGTTGTGTTTAGCTATAGTTCATTTCACTGTTGTACAGTATTCCATTGTGTGACTATACATTCCTTTATGCCTTCTATTAATAATAGATTGTTTGTTTTGGGTACTTTGCTACTGTAAACAAAGATGCTGCAAACAGTTTGCACGTGTCTCCTAGTACACATGTGCAAATCTTTCTCTAGTGTAGTGGTTCACACATTTTAGCTGTATCAGGATCACCTGAAGAGCTTATTTAAACATGATTGTTGAGCCTTAATCTTAGTGTTTCTAATTTCGTATGGCTGTGATGAGTCCTAAGATTTTATATGTCTAGCAAGTTCCTAAGTGATGCTGATGCTGCAGGTCCAGGAACCAACTTTGAGAACAACTGCCCTAGAGTGTATAGCTATGAGTAGAATTGCTGGGTCATGAAAAAACAGCAATTTCAAATTTATTATATAATGCCCTGTTATTTTCCATATATTCCATTATGCCAATATAGACTTCCACCAGCAATGTGTATAAATGTTTTGATTTCTCCATATCCTTGCCAATATCTGTTAGTGTTAAATTTTTTAATTCCTGCCAAACAGGTAGGTGTGAACTATTGTCTCCCTACAGTTTTGATTTTCACTTCCCTGATTGAACAATAAAGTTGAGTGTATTTTCATATGTTTGTTAACCACATATTCTTCCTCTTAGTTCCTTTTCTTCATTTTTCCATTGGATTAGATTTATTTTTCTTACCAATTTACAGAAGTTTCTCTATGATCTTTTAATGAAGGCTCTTATGTTCCATTTTTATTACCTACTATTTTTTCTTGAAGGGGTTAGGAGAAAATTGCTTGTATTTTTTCATACACTTTGCTTAAAGCCTGAACATGTAGTTTCTTTGTAACTGCTCAATATAGACATGATAATAACAATAGAATTATTTACTAAAAGCTTATCCATACCAAGTATCATATTATCTGATGAAGACTCATTCACTCCAAAACACTGCTCCCAAGTCAAAGCACAGCTTTTTCTCTTGTTCTCCTATGTTAGCCTGCCATCACTCCCACTCTACCTCCTCCTCTCCCACTTCCACCTTGTCTCCCCTACAGCTATTCCCTACTAAACACCTAGACTAATCTTTGCAAAGCACAAATCAAATAATCTCTTTCTCTGTGCAAATCCCTCCAATGGTTTCCCTTTATTGCACTTAGAATAACATTTCAATTCTTTGCCATGGCCAAAAAACCCTAGCAAATACTTCATTCTTATTTTCGCCATTTTTCCCTTAAATAACCAAAGTGTAGCCATTCTTACCTTGCTGTTTCTCAAACACTCTAAATATATTCTTCTTTCAGCAATGCCCTTTTCCCAGACATTTCTCAGAAAGGCTATCCAGACTACCCCATTTAAAATAGTTCTCTCTTCTCTCCTTCACACACACATACTCCCCACTCTTGCTGTATTTCTCTTCACAGAACTTTTCAACATCTGACATTATATTAGATGTTTAATTTTTAATCATCTCCCTTTGTCCTCTAATAAAATGTAATCACAATAGGCTAATAAGATTTTTTATTCATCCTAATATCTCAATGCCTAGGAGAGTTCCTAATAACAATTATGTTCTCTACAAATATTTACTGTATAAGCTAATGAATTCTCACACAATCCTCACAGTCCTTTTAGCTATATAATTCTTGAAAGCAGAGACTGGATATTACTCATCTTTATGCCCCTAGGATCCTAATACATGCTCTACAACACATTTAATCACTCAATAAAACTATACAAGTCAATTAATAATGCACATAAGTAGGATTAGGTTTGTTTTACAGATGAGAAAATGGTAGTGCTTGCTTAAAAGCGCAGGAATCTGTTAGTCTTGAAAGCAATTCGCTGTGCCACATTCTCTCTCAGCTTGACATCATAGCACACCAATGAGACATTGCAATCAAGATGAGCAGATCGGTTAGGACAGTTCACACCAGTTAACATAGCCTGAAAAACCTGTGGCCACCAAAGAGCCCAGGAGACGAATTAGAATCCTCACTTTCCTATTTCTAAAGGAAGATCTTTTTCCATCTCCTATCACTTGGAAACAGCTAAGGGAGAGAATATTTCTTCGTTTGTTCAAAGTAGCCACATACTTTGGTAATATTTGAAAGGAATGGTAAGTTTTATAATGTTTAAATTTTATTGAGATATTTCTTATTTTGAATGGTGATTTGAGTGCAGATGTTTAACTCTATCCTCTTCTAAGTTCCCACTAAAATGACAAACACAAAAATATCTAGAAAACATCTACATAAATCCTGGAAACAAGCAAAATGAGACCATATACATGCCAGAAATTTCAGGGAATTTCTGTTAGAACTACAAATCCAGATTAAAGTAATTGTTAATTCATCTGGGATTAAATACATATAAATGAAAAGAATATTTAATATAAATATAAAATGGTAAGATTAAGAAGAATCAATGATCAAAGAGGAAAAAAATCCCTACACTGAAAACAGAATTAAAGCATCAGATCAAAAAAAAAAATTTTTTTTCAAGTACTAGGCTAAGGTTTTCATTTTGTTTGTTCTTAATTTCAAAACCAACGTTTAAAATGAAATCTATACATTTCCATGAAGAAAGAAAAAGTAGCCTTTAAAATGACAAATAATAGAGAAGTGCTTACTTCAGTTTAAAATAACTTGAAACATTTTAGTTAGGAGGAGTAAGTTCAGGGATCTACTGTACAACATGGTGACTAGAGTTAATATAATGTATGCTTGCAAAATTCTAAGAAAGTGGATGTAAAGTGTTTTTGGTACAGAAATGAAAGATAACTATGTGAGTTATCATTTGTCATTTATCTATTTGTCATTAGAATATCTTCCTTTCACAAGAGATGAATCTATTTATCATTATCTATTTGTCGTTAGAATTCTCTTCCTTACACAAAAGACAAAATGTCAAGAAACAATAGAGTAAGGTCTTAAGAATGTGTCACCTACCTAAATGATAGTATGTGAATAAGAGCAAAAGAAAAAATTAAGAATTGTAATAAAAATAGCGAAGAAGGGGTATGAAAAATAGTGAGCAATAAAATTAATGAAACTTAAAATTAGGTATAAGATTGTTCTTAGAACAGTTACAAAACAAAATGTCCCAAAAAATTCCTATAAAGAGAAGAGACACTTGCAAAATCTAAATCCAAAATCTTCTAAACAAATCTTGGAGATCACAGGGAGAAGGGATGAAGAAAACTGTCAAATTTATCTGCTCACCCAAAGGGAAGGTGTGCCAGTCCTTGTCCAATTTTCTCTCAGATCTACTGTCTGCCTTACCCTGGTCTGTTCTGTATTACAGGGAAAGATTCTTATGGCCAGCATTTCTGGCTGGGGTTAGCATATTAAAGAAGTTAAGAGGAGATAAGAGTGTAGAAAGAAAGGAAAATCAGGAAGATTTTCCCCTACCTCTGCCTTGAGTGGCATCTCTAATAGCAGCTACAAATCCGTCATGGTACCAACTTCAGCCAAGTGACCTGAACGATGATAAAAATATATTATATGAAAAGAAGGTGAGTTAAGCTATCTTCCAAAAAATAATTATCTAGATGAAAATGCTATAATTCCAAATTGAATATTACATCTGGAAGTTATTCCTGTAAATATAAGAAAAGGAATATTTTTAGATTTATTGCTGGCATTTTAATAAAAGCTCTCATTTCTCATTCTAAGTGTCTTTTCATAGATATCTTTCATGAAAGGTCTATTTTTAAATGACAGATAAAATGATATTAACTATGTACAACATGATGTTTTGGAGTATGTATACATTGTGAAATGAGTAAATTTAGCTAATTATTAACATGTGCATTATCTCACATAGTTATCATTCATTTTTGTGCCAAAAACACTTTACATCCACTTTCTTAGAATTTTGCAAGAATGCACTGTAGTAACTCTAGTCACCATGTTGTAAAATAGATCCCTGAACTTACTACTCCTAACTAAAATGTTTCAAGTTATTTTAAACTGAAGTAAGCATTTCCCTATTACTATTTGTTTATCTGTTCATTTTGGTTCCTGAGTTTTGCTGCTGTGCAAAGAAAAAAAAATACATCATAATGCAATAAGTATTCTTGGGTGTGTATGTGTGTAAGCAAATCAGGGCAGGTGATCATATTTAAAGGAATGTATTTCCAAGAGTATAAAATTGTTCTGTCAAAAGATATGCACAGATCATTTTTCCAAAAGGGCAGAAATTTTTCACCTAACCACTAGCAGTAAATGAAAATTTTATTCTGTTAGCATCCCTACCAGCAATAGATTTCACCATACTTTTAAATTTTTGCCAGTCTTATGAGTATAAAGAGATATACAGATTTTACTTCAATTTACATCTCCATGGTTACTAAAAAAAAACTTGGAGACATTTTATATTGGCAATTTAGATAGCAATTTTGTAAATTGTTGTTCATATACTTTTCCTGTTTTTCTATTGGGTTTTTAACATTGTTGTTTTAGTTCATAAGACCTCTTTTTGTCACAGATAAGTGTTTCCAATGCTTTTTACCTCATGACAACCAGAGAATTATACTTCTATATCATCCTGGGGTAAATTGACTTAGTTGTAAATGTATATTTGTACTTTATCATGGGTAAATGGACTATGAGGCTGCTATTGGCTGGGCTACAGTAGCCTGGAGATCCTAGCCACCTTCCAGATGAAAGGAATTCCAAAAGAATCAACATCTTGT
This sequence comes from Homo sapiens, assembly GCF_000001405.40. Lineage (NCBI taxonomy): Eukaryota > Metazoa > Chordata > Mammalia > Primates > Hominidae > Homo > Homo sapiens. The sequence goes on from NC_000003.12 coordinate 148,500,189, forward strand.
CAGAGCTGTAACTCCTATCTGGTCTGATCACATGAGGTATTATTACAAAAAGTTTCCAAATTTATTATTGATTTAACTATTGACTTTACCCATACATTCTTTACATCATCTAAAAATTTTACATTTTGTGTTGTAGCTTTCAGATTCCATACCTTTTAAGTAATTTCCTTTCAGTTCTGAATTTTACTGTAGCTTTTAAAAGATTTTCATCCAAGACTTTTACAAACCATGTATTCTAAAACTCTAACATTATTCTCCCTGCATGTGAACATTTTAGAGGATACCAAAGTAAAAAGCAAAAACATGAGAAACTTCTCATTTATGACCAATTATAGATGCTTGTACTGGCTAAAATGAAACTAACATAAAAAAATCTCTGAAATACTTTGAATTAGGCAATATTTTAATAATTTTAAGAGAAAAGAATATGGTGTCATCTAAAAAGCTGGGACATTTTTGTTTTAGGTGCTGCTCAGTCCCTGACTTGGGAAGTCTAACAGTTTCTCAGGATCTCAGTGTTAACACTCTAAAAGATGTTTATTGCATTAAACAAAGTCAGAGAGATTTCTTTCACTCTAACAATCTACAATTCTACTAATTTGCTCAGAATTACATGTTAATCATTCAGAAGAAACCAAAGGAAATATATTTTTGGTAGTATTTCCTTTGGGGAAGCCCAGTGAGATAATTCCCAGTGTTAGAAACTTGATTTTTATATTTCCCTTTCTTTGTAAGAAAAACAATTTTGATGAAAAGCTCTTAAGGACTACTTCAGTTCATTGTTGAAGTGACTGACATTATAATCTCACCCATGGGATTTCACAGTTTACAAGAAGTATTACCTCAGGGATATGTGTTTAAAAAGAAATTCAAAAGACATAAATAAATTATGGAACACTAGGCAACTTGTAGAGGCATTTTGTCCATTCTTTTCATGTTATGCAACAGACTTTCATGAATCAAGATCAGTGTTCAAAATAAAGAGAGACATCAAAGCCACACAAGTGTAACTGAAAATTGCATAGATTCTTAAGGATTACTGGAACTTAGGCTGATAATTTAAACAAACAAACAAAAAACTAGACTGCTTCCACAACACTGACCAGAATCCAATCCTTATTTGATTCTGACAATATTCTGTTATTCATCAGCTTAAAAGTTTCACTGATTTTACTGAGAGCCAGAATTTATAATTTTTAATGCAGTGCATACCCTAGGACAAAAAGGATGTTATTCCCATTATAAAAGTCTATCATATGCCCATCAATACTAACACCTGAACAAAATATCCTTGCTGTAATCACAGATGAAATTTGTCTCTTCTCCCCTTTCCTGTTCAAGACATGTTTTGTCTGCCTCCAAAGGATCCTTTTAAAATCTCTCTCCAGATGAAATTCATTTAAGTGAGCTAGCATAGATGACCCTAAGAAAAAATTAAAAGAATCTACTTTTCAAGGTCTAACTCTAGTCTGGACCCTTTCCCTCTAGAAAATCTTTCCAGATCACCCAAGCTACAGTGTTGTCTCTCTCCTCTAAATTTACGAAACTCTTTATCTAAATCGCTCACTTAGAAATTAATTGCATACTCTTGTTTTCATGTTGCACTTTCATTGCAGACTCCCTTTTTTTCCCAATTTACTTTCAGGCTTAGATTTCTATTTATTTTTTTCAAACCTTTATAGTTTTTCTTCCCAAGTAATCTCTAACTAAGATAGTTGAGAAAAGAACTTTTGTTGCAACCATGAGACCCAACTCCAATCAATTTGAATAACATCAGAGCAACAGAAAGGACAGAGTGAACCTGGCTCAGTAGCATTGGAAGCTAGAATGTGGAAGACATCAAGCCTTCCCCATTCCATCTGTTGTCTTCTCTTTAATTGGTTTTAATTCTTTCTTGCTGCAGTTCACTGGGAGGGGAAAATAACCAGAAGAAAAAAAATGGCCACTGATAATTGCAGGCTGATTTTTTCTTTTTTTTTTTCTTTGTAAGCTCTTCACCCAGAGACACAACTCTCCAACTCCAATCAAAAAAATCTTTGGGCAGAAGATTGATTGATCCATCTTGGATGACACTGTCATCTGTGGATGGAGGACTATGGATCAGACCCTTTAATGGCTCAGCTGCAGTGCTCAACCTGTGGTTAGAAGGAGTTGACCTGTACAACTTTTATGTCATGGTTGTGAAGGAATATTTTCCAGGAGAATGTAACTGCTCTGGGCAGACAAGGCAATGTGTTCAGCAGTATTTCATAACTAACATGATGCTTTTCACAAATTAGATGCTAGAAAATTACTTATTCTACTATTACACTACTAGATTTCTTAACAGCTTTATTAAAATATAATTCACATACAATAGCATTTACTTAAAGTGGTTTTTTTTATATTCACAGAGTTGTGCAACCATAACCATGATCTAATTTTAGAATATTATCTGAAACTTGGTTTTAGCCTAGTGAGAATTCTAATGTAAAAAACTGTAAGATAGTAAATTGGTGTTGTTTTAAGCCACTGAATTTGTGGTGATTTATTATTGGTTTATAACAATAAGAAACCAATATGGATTCACTCACCCTGAGATTCTGTTTTCTCATATTTAAATTGAGCATAATAATGTATATCTCACAGGATTTTATGAAATTAAATACGATAATATGCATGGTAGAAACTTCTGAAGACTCAGTACTAATAAATTTATCATTTAAGTTTTTAATTTTAATGTATTATAGTCCAAATATTTTACAGTTTATTGTAAAAGATTATACAAAATAAAACATTTGTAAATATTGTACAAAACTGTGCTTTCTACCACCCTCAGATAATGAATCTTTTTAGATAATTAGGTAACTGGGAATTAAGCACAAACACATTCTTTTAAATTCTAAATGTTTTTAAGGAATCATTTTGAATTGCATCATACACTTTTCCAGTTTCCTTTTTTTTTTTTTTTTTTTTTTTTTTTTTTCTGAGACGGGGTCTCGCTCTGTTGCCAGGATAGAGTACAGTGGTGCGATCTCGGCTCACTGCAACCTCCGCCTCCCGGGTTCAAGCGATTCTCCTGCCTTAGACTCCTGGGTAGCTGGGATCACAGGCACGCGCCACCACGCCCAGCTAATTTTTGTATTTTTAGTAGAGACAGAGTTTCACTATGTTGGCCAGAATGGTCTCCGTCTCTTGACCTCGTGATACGCCCGCCTTGGTCTCAGGAAGTGCTGGGATTACAGGCGTGAGCCACCGCGCCCAGCGACAAATTAGCAGCGGTGGGATTGAAAACCACGCCCCCAAAGAGACTGGAGACTTAATTCAGAATCTTAGACCACTCAGCCATGCTACCTCTCCTCCATTTTCTTAAATACAGAACACCAAATGTAAATCAAATTTTTTATGTCCTTGGGTTGTCATGCTACATTATTTCACTTAGTTATAATCCTGTTGTATTCTCAGGGTCTGGAAGCTCTGTAGGCATTATTTGCTTTTCCACCAGATAAGCTCAAGATTTCTGTGCTTTTTAAAATTATCCTTTTTTTTTTAGTAGATTTTCTGACCCCCACTTTTTATGGGGTCAGAAAATTCAGATCATATTTTGTCAAATGTTGATTGCTGTGAGTGTAACTCTAACAACAAGAGCTTACAATTATTTGTGTAATTTTGTTTGTTTGTTTTTGGTTTTGCTTTGTTTTTTTTTTTTAATTATACTTTAAGTTCTGGGATACATGTGCAGAACGTACAGGTTTGTTACATAGGTATACATGTGCCATGGTGGTTTGCTGCACCTATCAACATGTCATCTGTCATCTGCATCAGGTATTTATCCTAATGCTATCCCTCCCCTAGCCCCCCCACCCCCAACAGACCCCGGTGTGTGATGTTCCCCTCCCTATGTCCTTGCGTTGTCATTCAATTCCCACTTATGAGTGAGAACATGCAGTGTTTGGTTTTCTGTTCCTGTGTTAGTTTGCTGAGAATGATGGTTTCCAGCTTCATCCATGTCCCTGCAAAGGACATGAACTCATCCTTTTTATGTCTGCACTAATTCCATGGTATATGTGTGCCACCTTTATTTATCCAGTCTATCATCGATGGGCATTTGGGTTGGTTCCAAGTCATGGTTATTGTGAATAGTGCTGCAGTAAACGTATGTGTTCATGTGTCTTTATAGTAGTATGATTTACAATCCTTTGGGTATATACCCAGTAACGGGATGGCTGGGTCAAATGGTATTTCTGGTTCTGGATTCTCGAGGAATCGCCACACTATCATCCACAATGGTTGAACTAATTTACATTCCCACCAACAGTGTAAAAGCCTTCCTATTTCTCCACATCCTCTCCAGCATCTGTTGTTTCCTGGCTTTTTAATGATCACCATTCTAACTGGCATGAGATGGGGGGATCTCATTGTGGTTTTTATGTGCATTTCTCTAATGACCAGTGATGATGAGCTTTTTTCATATGTTTGTTGACTGCATAAATGTCTTCTTTTGAGAAGTGTCTGTTCATATCCTTCACCCTCTTTTTGATGGGGTTGTTTGTTTTTTTCTTGTAAATCTGTTTAAGTTCCTTGTAGATTCCAGATATTAGTCCTTTGTCAGATGGATAGATTGCAAAAATTTTCTCCCATTCTGTAGGTGGCCTGTTTACTCTGATGACAGTTTCTTTTGCTGTGGAGAAGCTTAGTTTAGTTAGATACCTTTGTCAATTTTGCTTCTGTTGCCATTGCTTTTGGCGTTTTAGTCATGAAGTCCTTGCCCATACCTATGTCCTGAATAGTATTACGTAGGTTTTCTCCTATGGTTTTTATGGCTTTAGGTATTACATTTAAGTCTTTAATCTATCTTGAGTTAATTTTTGTGTAAGGTGTAAGGAAGGGGTCCAGTTTCAGTTTTCTATATATGGCTAGCCAGTTTTCCCAACACCATTTATTAAATAGGGAATCCTTTCCCCATTGCTTGTTTTTGTCAGGTTTCTCAAAGAACAGATGGTTGTACATGCATTGTGTTATTTCTGAGGCCTCTGTTCTTTTCCACTGGTCTATATATCTGTTTTGGTACCAGTACCATGCTGTTTTGGTTACTGTAGCCTTGTAGTATACTTTGAAGTCAGGTAGCATGATGCCTCCAGCTTTGTTCTTTTTGCTTAGGATTGTGTTGGCTATATGGGCTCTTTTTGGTTCCATATGAAATTTAAAGTAGTTTTTCCTAATACTGTGAAGAAAGTCAATAGTAGCTTGATGGGAATAGCACTGAATCTATGAATTACTTTGGGCAGTATGGCCATTTTCACGACATTGAGTCTTCCTATCCATGAGCATGGGATGTTTTTCCATTTGTTTGTGTCCTCTCTTATTTCCTTGAGCAGTGGTTTGTAGTTCTCCTTGAAGAGATCCTTCACATCCCTTGTAAGTTGTATTCCTAGGTATTTTATTCTCTTTGTAGCAATTGTGAATGGGAGTTCACTCATGATTTGGCTCTTTGTTTGTCTATTATTGGTGTATAGGAATGCCTGTGAGTTTTGCACATTGATTTTGTATGCTGAGACTTTGCTGAAGTTGCTTATCAGCTTAAGGAGATTTTGGGCTGAGATGCTGGGGTTTTCTAAATAGACAATCATGTCATCTGCACACAGATTCAATTTGACTTCGTCTCTTCCTATTTGAATACCCTTCATTTCTTTCTCTTGCCTGATTGCCCTGGCCAGAACTTCCATTACTATGTTGAATAGAAGTGGTGAGAGAGGGCATCCTTGTCTTGTACTTATTTTCAAAGATAATGCTTCCAGCTTTTTCCTATTCAGTATGATATTGGCTGTGGGTTTGTCATAAATAGCTCTTATTATTTTGAGATATGTTCCATCAGTACCTAGTTTATTGAGAGTTTTTAGCATGAAGCAGTGTTGAATTTTTTCGAAGGCCTTTTCTGCAACTATTGAGATAATCATGTGGTTTTTGTTATTGGTTCTGTTTATGTGATGGATCACATTTATTGATTTGCATATGTTGAACCAGCCTTGCATCCCAGGGATGAAGCCAACATGATCGTGGTGGGTAAGCTTTTGATGTGCTACTGGATTCAGTTTGCCAGTATTTTATTGAGGATTTTTGCATCGATGTTCATCAGGGATATTGGCCTGAAATTTTCTTTTTTTGTTGTGTCTCTGCCAGGTTTTGTTATCAGGATGATGCTGGCCTCATAAAATGAGTTAGGGAGGATTCCTCTTTTTCTATTGATTGGAATAGTTTCAGAAGAAATGGTACCAGCTCCTCCTTTGTACCTCTAGTAGAATTTGGCTGTGAATCCATCTGGTCCTGGACATTTTTTGGTTGGTAGGCTATTAATTATAGCCTCAATTTCAAAACTTGTTATTGGTCTATTCAGGAATTCAACTTCTTCCTGGTTTAGACTTGGGAGGGTATATGTGTCTGGGAATTTATCCATTTCTTCTAGATTTTCTGGTTTATTTGCATAGTGGTGTTTAGACTATTCCCTGATGGTAATTTGTATTTCTGTGGGATCAGTGGTGATATCTGCTTTATCATTTTTTATTGTGTCTATTTAATAATTCTTCTCTCTTCTTTTTTAGTCTGGCTAGCAGTCTATCTATTTTGTTAATCTCTTCAAAAAATCAGCTCCTGGATCCATTGATTTTTTGAAGGGTTTTTCCGTCCCTATCTCCTTCATTTCTGCTCTGATCTTAGTTATTTCTTGTCTTCTGCTAGCTTTTGAATTTGTTTGCTCTTGCTTCTCTATTTCTTTTAATTGCGATGTTAGGGTGTCGATTTTAGATCTTCCCCACTTTCTCCTGTGGGCATTTAGTGCTATAACACTGCTTATAACATTTACTGCTAAACACTGCTTTAGCTGTGTCCCAGAGATTCTGGTGTGTTTTGTCTTTGTTCTCATTGGTTTCAAAGAACTTATTTATAGCTGCCTTAATTTCATTATTTACCCAGTAGTCATTCAGGAGCAGGTTGTTCAGTTACCATGTAGTTGTACAGTTTTGAGTGAGTTTCTTAATCCTGAGTTCTAATTTGATTGCACTGTGGTCTGAGAGACTGTTTGTTATGATTTCCGTTCTTTTTGTTTTTGTTTTGTTGAAACGCAGTCTCACTCTGTCACCCAGGCTGGAGTGCAGTGGTGATATCTTGGCTCACTGCAATCTCTGCCTCCCAGGTTCAAGGGATTCTCTTGCCTCAGCCTACCCAGTAGCTGGAGTTACAGGTACCCACAACGACACCCGGCTAATTTTTGTATTTTTAGGAGAGATGAGGTTTCGCCATGTTGGCCAGGTTGGTCTCGAACTCCTGACCTCAAGTGATCCGCCCACCTCCGCCTCCCAACGTGCTGGGCTTACAAGCATGAGCCACTGCGCCCGGTTGCCAAGAGTTTACAATTATTGAGCGCTTGCTATGTTTCAAGCACTATTTAAGCACTTTACAATATTACTTCTTGTAATGTTCACAATGAACTCATTATATGGGCACCATTGTGTTACCATTTTACACATGAAGAGATTGAAGCACAGAATATGAGCTCTTAAACACTATGCCATTCTGCTACCTGTAGCAACCTCTGACCTTCCTTCTAATTGGCTTTTTATAGATTTCTGTGGACTTAAAAATAAAATAAGGAAACGGGAGAAAGTTATGTGTCAAATATGCACAAATATACATTAAGTGAGAGATGAAGCCTGATAAGGTTTTCTATGAATGCCATGTACAAATTGCATGGCATGGATCCTAGGATCTATTCTCAGATGAATGAAATATGATGTATTCAGAGCTAAATTCTGAATGGCTAAAGTCTTAAACAAAAATGGTCACCTGTATTTTGTGAAAATTCATCCCCTCGAATTTACTTTAAAAACAATATATTAACATTATATTATGAATCAGAAATACTGCTTACAAAGACTTTTAAAAAAATTTTAATCAAAAAGGATGACTAGCCCACTATGCCTGCAGGAAAAATTTTGTAAGTGTATACAATGTTCTCTCCAGATGGTACAATAAGGAAAGAAAACTTTGGTTTAATACAATTTTGGCAAGAAGTAAAGACTTAGAGCATCAAACTTAAAAGTATATCAAATTTACCTGATTATGGTAATAATATGAATACTCCATTCAACATGTTGTTGCCAGATAAATCGCCCAGCATGTTTTCAAGCTGGCTAGAGAAGTCTGTGTACTCATGTTTTCTGCAAATCAATAAAGCCAAATTACTTTAAAATGTAATTACTGTAAAATGTAGAATATAATGAATAACCACGGTAATTCCAGAAGAGAGATTTGGGTGGGCAGTGTGATTCAACAAGGTTCACATTCCCAGTTTACAAAGAATAACTATAATAAACTTCTGTATACCTGAGATAGGAATGGACTATGTCTTGTTTTATTTTGTAGACTCCGAAGGATAAAACTGACTCTTTTTACATAAGTAATTATACCTAAATTGGATCACATCCAATGGGATGAGATATTTAATTTTTTGATTAAAAAAGTAAAATATATTGTTTTGTTTTTGCCTCTTCCCTCCTCTGCATCTCCCCCTTTCTTCTGACATGACCTCACCCATTCAAGATAATGCATGTTGATACTGGGTATACATTCCTTTTTGTTTTTACTTTTTTTCCATGTTCATATAAACATATGCATGTGCATATATATCTCTGTATATATATACATACATACACACAGAGACACAAATATCCTCACACAGATATAGATACACATACATTTATGTCCCCATTTTTGCACAAGAGTTTTTGCTTCTTGCTTTGTCCTGGGATTTGACTTTATTTCTCAGATTTTGCCACTACTAACAGTGCTAAAGTACTTTAAATATTATATTTGTTCACATGTTTTGCTACATTTATTTCTTTGGGATAGATTTCCAGAATTAGGACTTCTGGGTCAAAGGGTTTTGCATATTTTTTTACTGTAATGTATATTGCCAAATTACTTTCCCACAAAAAAAACTGAAAATTTTCACATTTGGCCTTTTTCATCATTATTGTGAACAATGGGTAAAGTCTTAAAATATTTTCCAGTCTGATAAGTATTCAAGAATATTTCTTTATTAATTTAACTTGCATTTCTGTAACTAGTAGTGGGGTTAACCATTTTTTTCTACTTCATTTATCAGTTTAGATTTTCTTTTCTGTGAACTAACTCTTCATATTATTTGACAATCTTTGTATTGGTTTGTATGTTTTTCTTGAGAATTCTTAAAATCATGTGTATATATTAATCCTTTGGTTCTTATCTATTTTTCGAACTTTTTTCCACATCTATTATTTATCTATCGATTTTGATGTTCCAACTTTCAAATATTTTTTAAAAATATTATTAACCATCTCTATATCTTGTTAGCAGTTTCTGAATTTCCGGTCTTGGAAAAAAAACCACTAACTTTGAGATGTATATGTAGCTTCCCAGATATTTTTCTAAGGTACTCATTTAATTTTTAATATATAAATATGGAGCTATCTGGAAGATGATGTTCTGGGTGATGATACGAAGCAAGGGCACAATTTTACATATTTTTTTCATATGGCAGCCACTTTTACCACGTTGTGCCTGTGCCATCCCACTCAGTGAAAAGTCTACCTTTGTCACATTTGAATTCTCATTTATGCTTGGATCTATTTCTGGATTGTCTATTTCATTCCACTGATCTATTTGCTTATTCCCTTGGACTACCACTGATTTGATTATAATGACTTTATAATATGTTTTGGATCTATAAAGAAAGACTTTTCTTATTCTTCATTTTTTAAAGCTTCTGGCTATTGATGACTTTATTATTCTATATAAAATTCAAGATGATTTTCTTCATTTATGAGAAAAGCCCTATTGATATTTCTATACAACTTATAAAAAAGGAGTGTTTTTTATTACATAAATTCTTCAGGAAGGTAATTTTGACTTTAGGTTTAGTTTTCATTTTTATGCTTACTGGAAAAACTCATACAAACTGGCCTACAGGGAGATGCCTTTATTTGAAATATAAAGTATAACATAAATCTTTGGAATAATTCTAGCAATATGACATTTATTCCTCTGTGTACACATTGAAAACAGAAGGTTAAGTTTCCATAGAAAACAAAAAGGAAAACATTTCATTTTATTACTCCCCTTTGCATCTCAAGAGAATAATTCTTCACATTGTTTTGAGGTCAATAATGGAGCTACAGAGGCATAAAATGTCATATTTTCCTTATTTTTATAATTGACATGTATAGTGTCTAACATCCTTTCATGCTTGTGGTCTGGCATAGTTTACTGTAATGTATACTAATACATAATTAGGATATATTTCAGCCTGAGACACCTGGCCAAATACCAGATAGGAAATCCTATCATTCGATACATCTGTTCTGAAAGCAAATAAGAATATCTTCATTTTCTAATTTTTCTTAGGATTACATGTATTTCTTTGTCTTTCAAACAGCCCTTGCATTTTGTGATACTTTAGAAAACAAAATTTAATTGCAATAAAGAATATCATTTTGCAATTTAATGGAAAAAACACATGTTTGGCACTCTACAAAGTTATATTCAAATCCAGACTCTACTGTAAGACATTGTGCAAGTTTTGTAACCATTTTGAGTCTCAGATTTTTCATGTATAAGATATGCTGAATTTAGAAAACTTCTGAGAGATTTCCAAAGATTTAACAGGACTAAAAGATCTAGTGCTGTGCCTGGCAACCAAAAGTTTCCAAATATTACTACTTTTTTTAATAGTAGAAAATAAGGCTTCATTCATAATAATTATACTATGCATCTACTTATTTATTGTTATTAAAAATAAGGCCTCATGTTTTCCTAACAAAATCATATAATTTGATTTTTAAAATCCATTAATTGTTTCACTGAAGATAAACATAGTTAGCATTAATTTTGAGCCAGTACCACCCTACGCACTGTATACAGATGTAAATTGGACAGGTGGGTTCCTTTCTCTGGTGGAGTTTACATTTTAAGGAAGAAATATATATATATGAAGAAATTATCAAAATAATTAAAGATTTTGAGAAGTGTTAGAAATTAACAACATGTGTGACAAAGTAACTCAGTAGTGTATAGCAGTTACAGGTTTGAAAGTTCCATCTGAACAGTTTAAAAGTGTTCATAATATATATGCTATTTTATTTCAGGAGAAAATAAATATTTTTTAAATTGGGAAATAAATATATCCTTTAAAGAAATTGATTATATAATTTGTAATTAGTACCTCAATTACTTAATGGATGCTTCAATTAACACAATATTTTTGAGGATCTAGAATGTTCTAATTACACCACATACATTATTAGGTCAGAGACATACAGAGATTTATAAAAGACAGTTTATGTCCTCAATATAAGTAACTGTAACAATGTGATTAAGACTATATAAGGGATGTGCATAAAGTGATACAGCCTCCCAGGGAACAGAACTTGAAAATGCACTCTGCAACAAATAAGTATCTACAACCGTCTTAGACCATCTTACACTTGTAAACTTCTAATAAAAACTTTGCTCATAGTAAAATAGTAACACCTATACCTCCCTTAAGTATCAAACCATTGAATCCTTAGAGTAGGATTTATTGAAATTCCACAGCATGTCTTCTCTTTTTTATATGTCTTTAAACGTCTTTTCAAATATCACCGATTTCTTCCTTTACGCTAATCAAGTGAAGATATTTGCTTGAAAGCAAACTCTTAGAAAAGGCCCTGCCTTCAGAGTACTTTCTCTTTCATCTGGGGAGATGAGAAGAGAAAGTTGTCTTCATCAAGTCCATGAAAAAACCTCACTGCCTGACCCAGATTTGCTCCTGCTTACGCATTCCTGTTTTACTCAGAAAATCACCACTTTCACATTTACCTAAACCAAATGTCATCCTTGAGTTGTATTCTTTACTGCCACTGCCCACATCCTGCTGTCCACCAGTGTCCCCTGGGTCCCCTCACCTCTTCAATCTCACGGCAGCTGCCTTGGATTATGTGCATATCACCTTTATCCAGGATAACAGCAATGACTGCCTAATTACTCTCCCACATGGTCTGTCCATACTTTCAGTCTACTAGAGCTTATTTTTAAATTGCTGAGTGTAATGTTATTCCTCTACTTTATTACCTACATGAAAAAAAAATCATCCAAACTCTTGTCCTGCCTTACTTCTGGCTGCACTGTCCCTCCTGCTCTATGATCCAGATACAAGTTACTTGCCATTATTGCAGAATACCCCAGACTATTTCACTTTTGCATAGAATGTTCTTGACTCCATTAGCCATCTGAGAAACTCAGACTTCATGATGGAGTTTAAACATCCTTCCTTTGCAGAGAAGTGGCTGTTAAGTCTGTGATCACATTGTTAGCACACTGAACTATCAGTATCAGCTCTAGACCAAGAGTTCCTCATGGATGGAAACTGTGCCATAGTCATCTGAGCATCTAGCACAGTTCTTCCTAGGAAAATTTCCTGACTCTTTTTCCAACTTTGAAGTCCATTTCAATATGAAAATAAACACAGAGACAACTCATAATTTGGTTCTTAGAGCCAATTACCAAGTGTGTAGTCACCAAGAAGAGGAGAAATTACTCTCAGCAGTTCTTACTCCTGACCATAAAGACAATAACTTTTGCTATCACTAGAAACATGGAATTAATCATTAAGCCTTCTGGATTTGGGCCCATGCCTGCAAATGTGAAGAAATAGACACTAGATAGTAATATGCAGTAAGATGGTAATAGGCTTAATCTAATAAACTACAAATTCCCCAAATGTAGTTTCAATTAAAAATTATGCTTAAAGGGATCAACCTCCCTAACAATATAAGAAACCATTTTTGAATATTAAAGAATGATAGCATCATGATGATTTACATATAAAGTCATAGTCCATAATTTTTCATCCCCATTGAGATGAAAGGTAGCCAAGACCATAAACAGACACATTTTTGCAAGGTCTTACATAAAACATTCAGTATCAGTAGAATATGTGTTGAGTTATTACCAAGGAATTGCCTCACTGGTCCATTTTCAAAGGAGAGGTAATCTATTATTTACATTGTTTTATTCACATTAGCCTCAGGGGAAAATGGAAAAATGTAGAAGTTTAGATAAGTCTACATCTCACATCTATCATAAATATTGTAATAGTAGGATTTTCTCAGGCAAAAAAGTGAGGAAACTAACTTTTTGCTATAAAGCAAATACAATGAGTAAGCACATATTAATATGCCTATTATTTCTCAAAACTTGAATGTTCTTACCCAGGACAACCCAATAACATGAGCAATATACTTTCAAACAGGAAAAGGACAAAATGTTAAGTGCTGAGCAATTTCCTCTCTCTATGTTATTTTTAGAAAACCTTATTCTTTCACTATACATTTCATCTTCAACATTAATTTCTTCCTTAACCTAAATTTTTTACTATATCACAACTTTTTCTCTTCATTCCTCTTGTCTATCCAAGACATGACAGTGCCTTATTTAGACTATCATCTTGGGCTTTTCTATTTTTTAATCAAAAAAGTTTTCTCTCCCCAAAAAAGAAAAAAAAACTAAATCTTTTAGCAACTCTAATAAATCCACTTATGGTCCACTGACTACCTCAGTTTAGAAAACTTATACATCAGTCTTTTCTCTTTTTAATAAAGATGGGAGAAGATGAGAACAGTTACTAAGTCAAACTACTTTGATCGTAAACTGCTATTTTTAAAATACCAAAACACATGCTGCCCCAAAAACTGCCTGCTCCCCCAACTCCCACTCCAATTGTAAACAACTGGAGACCTAATTTCCCACCCTTTACTCAGACCTACCTGAATTGCCCCCACCTGCTCCAAGCATCAAGCTCAGGGCTAGCAGTAACAGCAGACACATCTAGCTTAAGTTAAGTGTTGCACTTCACTTTTCTTTATACATTTATTGTTATAAAATATATTGCCACCTCAATATGTATTATGAACAGCATGTTTCTAAGGATAAAAGTTGATTTAATTGGGCCAGAGTGGTACTATGGCCAGATTGACCAGAAAATTTTTTAAAATAATTTCAACTTTTACTTTAGATTATATGTACAGATTTGTTTCATGGATATATTGTGTGATGCTGAGATTTGGAGTATGAATGATTCCATCACCCAGGTAGTGCATAGTATTCAGTAGGTAATTTTTGAGCCCTTGCCCCTCTCCCTTTCTCACCCCTCTAGCAGTCCCCAGTGCCTGTTTTTTGCATCTTTACGTCAATGTGTACACAATGTTTAGCTCTCACTTATAAGTGAGAACACGTGGTATTTGTTTTTCTGTTTCTGTGTTAATTTGCTTAGGATAATGGCCTCCAACTGCATCCATGTTGCCGCAGAGGACGTTGGACAAAGATCAGGTGATTTTAATGAGGACTCAGATGGCAATGGACCGCCCTACAGGAGACAGCTTTGTAGATGGCCAAGCTCTAGGTTGAAGTCCTTAACGTGAGTTAGGTTTTTTTATCTCAAAAGTATCTGTATAATGTCATATCAAAGGCTCTTAGTAAACAAATGATGTAAAAAATGTTGAGGTTATGTTTCATTACAGCAATCAACAAGAACTGTCCACATGAGTTACAACGAAAGAATTGTTAAAGAGGGACAAGGATTGGAGATTTAAATATATTTCGCATTTAGATTTTTATTTGAATTGCATTTATTTTAATTGCATTTGACATATCCTATTACTACATTTGTTTCTTGTTCTATTTTAAGTATGAATAACTTTAAGTCTTTCCTTTTACAAATAACTTATGAAAAGTAATAACTAATTGCTGAAATTAACCTTACTGCAGAAAAAACTATGTTTTGATTTTCTGAAATATTTGCATTTTAATAACATGTATCAGGGGTATGGATAAAATTTAAATCTCAAAATGCTGCCATTGAGAATTTTCAGTTTTAACTTTAGCATTGTTTTTCTACAAGGCTAATATAGTTCTCTCTTTAAGATACAATCAGAATCATTATTTTCTCACACTTATCTCTTTGAATGATTAAACTTAATAGACCCACATGGATTACCTACCTATCCAAGGCAGTTTCTGATTTCTTAAAATTTGAAATATAATATTTATTAAAGATGTGAGTTGACAAAAAGTGAATCAGTCCAGCTCACAATGAGTTATTTACAGTTCACTATTTCAATCAAAGCTATGTTAATGAAAATTACTGTGTAGCTCTGAAGTTTAAAAATGAGTTAATAAAGTAAATGTAATTCTAAGGTTTGAGATACTTGAGCTGATTCACATTAGATGCAATGTTCTATGTATTATTATGTTAGAGCTACAACTTGATTGACTTAGAATGATTTGTTAAAACAATTTACCACTGCAATATTGAGATGGAAAGCAAAACAAAATCTCCATCCCCTTACTTTCTTGTTCCTTAGTATAGTGCATGTGAGTTCACATATTCATATTGAGTGTCTATTTATTCACAAACTCCTTCAGCAAAATTAGCACAAAGTACTTACCACAGACTTTGCGAGGCCCTGGAAAAATGAAGACAAAAAAGCAATGGGAACAAACAAACAAAAGCAAATTTAAAATGTATTATCATTGCATACTTCACATCATAGAACTTCAGTGGATAGAGTGAGCAGGTAACACATGCCTTTTCAGTCAAGGAAAACTGTACGAAAATGGTCAAGTTATTTGTCATCATTAATTCCTTTGACTAAATAGGAAATTAGAAGCCCAGATTTACACATACTTCCCAACTACTTCTGCATCCTTAATTTACCACTAACACTTTTAGAGAATAAATTCTGGTTTTAAAAAAAAAGAAATAATGATTACAACTTTTGCATATGACAAGATGCAAGACTAAATAACTTGCTGCCCTCAAGGAAACATCTAGAAATCCTACAAAAGGATAAAATAATTTCTTTTAAAGAATCTATTAAAAAAGAAAGGGAATACCAAGTGGCTGATATCAAGGGGAATAGTCCATTTTAGAGTGAGGAGAACAAACTTATTCTGGGAATATCCTGGTAAGAGATGTTCAGCAATAAAGAGATCTCAACAATAAAGGGCTTAGAAATGGAATGAACCCTTAATTCTAAACAATACAAGAAATTGGAGCAAAACTCCCACACAAAAAAACTGTGACCCTCCAAGAACTACAGCCTCGAGGAATAATAATAATAATAATAATTAACTAATGAGAAGTCCATTCACACAAAGAGATTAGAAGGGAGATTAGAAGGGAGCTTTTTTTCCTCTCAGTCCACGGGTCTGAAAATAAATAAATAAATAAAGCCTGTTTTTGAGATTTTGTAAGCATAGGTTAATCACCATTCAGGTTTAAAAAGTTGACAAATCTGTGGAGAAAGCAAAATAAGCTTTGACTGATAAAACAATAATAAGCTCTAACTCAAGGATTAAGAAAAAAGTAGAGATAAGATTTTGGAAAACAATAACATGGAGTAGAGCCAAGATGGCTGTCCCCACTTTAATTTGCATAGGACAATGGCCTCCAGCTGCATCCATGTTGCAGCAATAAACATGATTTCCTTTTCTTTTGGCTGTGTAGTATTCCAGGGTGTATATATAAAACAGTTTTTTCTTTTTAATTCAGTCCACCACTGATGGGCATCTGAGTTGATTCCATGTCTTTGCTATTGTGAATAGTGCTGCAATGAACAAACACGTGTATGTGTCTTTATGGCAGAAAGATTTATATTCTTTTGGGTGTATATCCAGTAATAGGATTGCTGTATTGAATGATAGTTCTGTTTTAAGTTCCTCGAGAAATCTCAAAAATACTTTCCACAGTGGCTGAACTAATTTTTATTCCCACCGGCAGTGTATAAGTGTTTGCTTTTTTTCACAACCCAGCCAACATGTTATTTTTTAACTTTTTAGTGATAGCCATCCTGACTAATGTGAGATGGTATCTCATTATGATTTTGATTTGCATTTCTCTAATTATTATTTATGTTGATCATGTTTCATATGCTTATTGGCTGCATTTAAGTCTTCTTTTGAGAAGTGTCTGTTCATGTCCTTTGCCCATTTATTAATGGGGTTGTTTGGTTTTTGCTTGTTAGTTTGTTTAAGTTCCTAATACATTCTGGATACTAGCTCTTTCTTTAATGCATAGTTTGCAAATATTTTCTCCCATTCTGTAGGTTGTCTGTGTACTCTCTTGATAGTTTCTTTTGCTGTACAGAAGCCGTTTGGCTTAATTTGGTCTCATTTGTCAATTTTTGCTTTTGTTGCAATTGCTTTTGAAGACATTTTTATGAAATCTATGCCAATGCCTATGTCCAGAAAGGTAGTTCCTAGGTTTTCTTCTAAAGTTTTTGTAGTTTTAGCTCTTACATTGAAGTCTTTAATCAATTTTGAGTTGAGTTTTGTATATTGTAAAAGGAAGGGGTCCAGTTTCAATCTTCTGCATATGGCTAGCAAGCTAGCCATTTATCCCAGCACCATTTATTGAATATTGAGTCCTTTCTCCAGTGCTTGTTTTTGTGAACTTTGTCAAAGATTAGATGGTTGTAAGAATAAAACACTTAGCAACCAGAAAAGGCCATGGACCCAGCAAATTTATAACTGAATTCTATCAGATGTACAAAGAAGAGCTGATACTAATCCTACTGAAACAATTCCAAAAAATCAAGAAGAGAGTCTTCCCTAACTCATTCTATGAGGCCAGCATTATTCTGGTACCAAAATCTGAAATAAACACAACCAACAAAGAAAACTTTAGGCCAATATCCCTGATGAACATTGATGCAAAAATCCTCAATAAAATACTAGCATACTGAACCCAGCAGCACACCAAAAAGCTAATCCATCTTAATCAACTAGGCTTTATTCCTGGGATGCAAGGTTAGTTAAACATATGCAAACTAATAAACTTGATTCATCACATAAACAGAACTAAAACAAAAATTACATGATCATCTCAATAGAGTCAGAAACAAGTTTAGATAAAATTCAACATCCCTTCATATTAAAAACCCTCAACAAACCAGGCATTGAAGAAATATACCTCAAAATAATTAGAGCCACTTATGACAAACCCATGGCCAACATCATACTGACTGGGCAAAAGCTGAAAGAATTCCCCTTGAGAACCAGAAAAAGACAAGCATGCCCACTCCTACCACTCCTATTCAATATAATGCTGGAAGACCTAGCCAGAGCAGTCAGGCAACAGAAAGAAATAAAAGGTATCCAAACAGGAAGAAAGGAGAGGCAAAGCAAAATGGCAGAATAGAAGACTGCATTGATCGTCCCCCTTGCTACTCCCACAAGAACACCAACTTAACAAGCCCACACAGAAAAACAACTTCATAATAACCAAAAATCAGGAGAGCACTCATAGTACCTGTTTTTAACTATATCACTGAAAAAGGTACTAAAGAGTTAGAAAAAACAGGCTTGAATTTCCAATGTCAACCCTCCCACAACTTAGGCAGCAGCTGCCTGGTGCAGAGAGCATCTTTGAACAGTGAGGGAGGGAGAGCACAGCAATTAGGAGGCACTGAACTCAGTGCTGTCCTGTTAGAACAGAAAGGGAAACCAGACCAAACTCAGATGATACTTAACCATGGAGGGAGCATTTAAACAAACCCTAGACAGAAGGGAATTGCTGATCTTAGTGGTCTAAACTTAAGTCCCCACAAACCTCACCACTGAGGGCTACAGTGCTCTGTGTCTCCAAGGAAACTTGAAAGGCACTGTTGGCCATAAGGACTGCAACTCTTAGACAAGTCCTAGAGCTGAACTAGGCCCAGAGACAGTGGACTGGGGGACACCTGAGCTGCTGACACATCAGCTGGGGTAGCTAAGGGAATGCAGGTATCACCCCTCCCCTAACCCCAGCCTGCACAGCTCAAGGCTCCAAAAGAGACCCCTTCTTTCCACTTGAGGAAAGGAGAGGGACGAGTAGGGAAGACTCTGTCTTGCATCTTGGATACTAGCTCAGCCACAGCAGGGTAGGGCACTTGTCAGAGTTGTGAGGCCTCTGTTCCAGGTCTCTAGCTCCCAGATGATGTTTCTAGACACACTCTGAGCCAGAAGGAAACCTGCTGCCATGAGGGAAAGAACCCAGTCCTACAAACATTCATCACTTGTTAACTGAAGAGCCCTTAGGCCCTGAATAACCAACAGTGACACCCAAGTACTACACAGAGGGCTTTGGAAGATCCTCAGAGGATTGCTGGCTTCAGGTACCAGCAAGACTACAGTGGGGTAGAGTACCAAGCAGGCTCTTTGGGTGCCCAATTCCAGGACTTGATTTTCATATGTCATGTCTGAACTTATCCTGGGCCAGAGGGGAGCACACTGCCCTGAAGGGTGAGTCCCAGGCCTGGCAACATTCACCAAAAACTGACTTAAGAGTCCTTGGGCCTTAAGAGAACATTGGTAGTAGTCTGGCAGTACTCCTCATGGCCTGGGGTGGTGGTAACTAGAGGGTGAGGCTCCTCTGCCTTTGGAAAGGGGAGAGATAAGTGGGAAAGACTATGTGTGTATTGTGGTTTGAGTGTCAGCTCAGCTGCAGTACAATAGAACAGCAGGTAGACTTCTAAGGTTTTTGACTCTAGGCCCTGAATCTCTCATGCACCTCTGGACCCATCCAGGGCCTAAAGGTCCTTGCTGCCCTGAAGAGGACACAGGCCTGGCTGGCTTTGTCACCTGCTGATTGTAGAGCCCAAGGCCTTGAACAAATGTAAGTAGTGGCCAGGGAGTGATTAGAGCAGGTTTTGGGCAAAACCCAGTGCTGTGGGAGCTTCAGGTCTGATGCAGTGCAGTCATAGTGGTGGTGGCTACAGGGATGCCTGTGTCACTCCACTCCCAACTTTAGGTGGCTCAGAACAGAGAGTGAAATTCTGTTTGGGAAAAAGTCAGGGAAGAGAACAAGAGCCTCTGTGTGGCAATTCAGAGAATTCTTCCAGATCTTGTCCAAGATCATCAAGGCAGTACCTCTATGAGTCTGCAAGAACCACAGCATTACTGGGTTTGGGGTGTCCCCTAAAGTTAATACAGCTTATATCACAACATCCATGTTCTTTCAAATATCTAGAAAGCCTTCACAAGAAGGATGGGTACAAACAAGCCCAGACTATGAAGACTACAATAAACACCTAACTCTTTAATGTCCAGGAACTCACAAACATCCACAAGCATTAAGATCATCTAGGAAAACAAGACCTCACCAAATGAACTAAATATGGCACCAGGGACCAATTGGGAGAAACAGAGATATGTGACCTTTCAGACAGAGAATTCAAAATAGCTGTGTTGAGGAAACTCAAATAAATTCAAGAGAACACTGAGAAGGAATTCAGAATTTCATTGGATAAATTTAACAAAGAAACTGAAATAATTAAAAAGAATCAAGTGAAATTCTGGAGCTTAAAAATGCAGTTGGCATAATAGAGAATGCAACAGAGTCCTTTAATAGCTGAATTGATCAAGCAGAAGAAAGAATTGGTGAGCTTGATTAAGCAGAAGAAAGAATTAATGATCACAGGCTATTTGAAAATACACAGAGGAGACAAAAGAAAAAATAATTTAAAAACAATATAGCATGGATGTTTTGATCTAGAGGATCTAGAAAATAACCTGGAAAGGAAAAAGCTAAGAGTTATTGACCTTAAAGAGGAGGTAGAGAAAGAGACAGGGATAAAAAGTTTATTCAAAGGCATAATAACAGAGAACTTCCCAATCCTAGAAAAAGATACCAATATCTAAATACAAGAAGGTTATAGAACACCAAGTAGATATAACCCAAGGGAGACTATCTCAAGGCATTTAATAATCAAACTCCCAAGGGATAAAGAAAAGATTCTAAAAGCAGCAAGAGTAAAGAAGCATACGATATAAAATGGAGCTCTAATATGTCTGGCAGCAGACTCTTCACTAGAAACTTTACAGGCCTGGAGAGGGTAGGAAGACATATTTAAAATGCTGAAGAAAAAATAACTGTTACACTAGAATAGTATATCCAGTGAAAATATCTTACAAACATGAAGAAAAAACAAACATGAAGAAGAAATACTTTCCCAGACAAACAAACACTGAGGAATTTCATCAACACCAGACCTGTCCTACAAGAATTGTTAAAGAGAGTGCTTCAATCATAAAGGAGAGGACATTAATGAGCAATAAATAATCACCTGAAGACAAAAAACTCACTGGTAATATTAAGTACACAGAAAAAACACAGAATATTACTGTAACTGTGGTATGTAAACTACTCTTATCCTAAATAGAAAGGGTAAATAATGAACCAATCAAAAATAATAACTACAACAACTTTTCAAGATAGAGTCAGTACAATAAGATATAAATAGCAACAACAACAAGTTAAAAAGCAGGGATGCAAAGTTAAGGAGTAGATTTTTTATTAGTTTATTTTTGGCTTATTTGTTTGTGCAGTGTTAAGTTGTTATCAGGTTAAAATAATGAGTTATAAGGTAGTATCTGCAAGCCTCATGGTAACATGAAAACAAAATCATATAATGGATACAAAATAAAGGAAAAGCTAGAAACTAAATTATACCACCAGAGAAAATCACCTTTACATGAGGAAGACAGGAAGGAAAGCAAGAAAGATGAGAAGACCATAAAAACAATGAGAAAACAAGTAACAAAATTGCAAGGGTAAGTCCTTACTTATCAATAATAACATCGAATGTAAATGGACTAAACGCTCCAGTCAAAAGACATAGACTGGCTAATTCGGTGAAAAAACAAGACTCATCAATCTATTGCCTACAAGAACCACACTTCACCTGTAAAGACACACATAGACTGAGAACCAAAGGATGGAAAGAGATGTTCCATGCCAATGGAAATTGAAAAAGAGCAGGAGTCATTATATATAAATCAGACAAAATAGATTTCAAGACAAAAACTATAAGAAGAGATAAAGAAGGTAGCTATATAATGATAAAGGAGTCAACCCCTTAAGAGGACATAACAATTTTAAATATATAAGCACTCAACACTGGAGCACATGGACACATAAAAAAATTATTAGAGCAAAAGAGAGAGCAAGGCTCCAATACAATAATAGCTGGAGACTTTAACACCCCGTTTTCAGCATTGGACAGATCTTACAGACAGAAAATCAAAAAAGAATCATCAAATTTAATCTGTGTTATAGGGCAAATGTACCTAATATATATTTACAGAACATTTAATCCAATGGCTGAGGAATACACATTATTTTCCTCAGCACATGAATAATTATCAAGGATAAACAATATTTCAGGTCATAAAACAAGTCTTAAAGCATTCAAAAAAACTGAAATAATATCAGGCATCTTCTCTGACCACAGTGGAAAAAAATTAGAAATTAATAGTGAGAGGACTTTTTGAAACTATAGAAGTAGATGGGAAGTAAATAATATGCTCCTGAATGACCAGCGGGTCATTGAAGAAATTAAGAAGTAAATACAAAAATTTATTGAAACAGGCCAGGCGAGATGGCTCATGCCTGTAATCCCAGCACTTTGGGAGGCTGAGGTGGGCAGATCACAAGGTCAGGAGATCAAGACCATCCGGCTAACACAGTGAAACCCTGTCTCTAATAAAATTACAAAAAATTAGCCGGGCACCTGTAGTCCCAGCTACTCAGGAGGCTGAGGCAGGAGAATGGCGTGAACCTGGGAGGCGGAGCTTGCAATGAGCCGAGACCACACCACTGCACTCCAACCTGGGCGACAGAGCAAGACTCCATCTCAAAATAAATAAATAAATAAATAAATAAATAAATTTCTTAAAGCAAATGATAATGGAAAGACAGCACACCAAAATCTATGGGATACAGCAAAAGCAGCACTCAGAGGGAAGTTTATAGCTACAACTGCTTACATAAAAAAGAGGAAAATCTTCAAAGAAACAATATAACAATGCATCTTAAAAAACTAGAGAAGCAAGAGCAAAACAAACCCAAAATTAGTAGAAGAAAAGAAATAATAAAGATCGGAGCAGAAATAACTGAAATTGAAATGAAAAAATAATGCAAAAGATCAATGAAATGAAAAGTTGGTCTTCTAAAAAGTTAAACAAGATTGAAAAATCTTTATTCATACTAACAAAGAAAAAAAGAGAAGATACAAAAACATAAAATCAGAAATGGAAAAGAAGACATTACAACTGATACCACAGAAATTCAAATGATCATTAGTGGCTACTATGAGCAACTGTATGTCAATAAATTGAAAAACCTAGAAAATATAGACAAATTCCTAAACAAATATGACCAAGATTGAATGGAAGAAATCCAAAACCTGAATGAACCAATAACATGTAACAAGATCAAAGCTGTAATAAAAAGTCTCCCAGTAAAGCAAAGCTCAGGACCTAATGGCTTCACTGCTGAATTCTACCAAACATTTAAAGAAGAATTAAAACTAGTTCTACTCAAACTGTTCTGAAAAATAGAGGAGAAGGGAATATTTTCAAACTCATACTATGAGTTTGGTATTATCCTGACAAAAACCAGACAAAGACACATTAAAAAAGAAAACTACAGGCAAATATTTTTGATTAATACTGATGCAAAAATTATTAACAAAATTCTAGCAAAATGAGTTCAACAATAGAAAGATTAGGAAGATCATTTATCATGACCAAATGGGATTTATCCCTGAGTGGCAAGGATGGTTCAACACATGCAGATCAATCAAGGTGATACATCATATCAACAGAATGAAGAATGGAAACCAAATGATCATTTTAAATGATGTTGAAAAAGCATTTAATGAAACTCAACATTCCTTTATGATAAAAACCCTCAAAAAACTGGGAAGAGAAGGTACATACCTAAAGGTAATAAAAGCCATATATGATAGACCCATAGCTAGTATCATACTGAATGGGGAAAAACTGAAAGCCTTTCCTCTAAAACCTGGAACATGACAAGACAAGGATGCTATCACCACTGTCATTCAACCTAGTACTGGAAGTCCTAGCTAGAGCAATTGGATCAGAGAAAAGTATAAAGGGCATCCAAACTGAAAAGGAAGAAGTCAAATTATTCTTGTTTGAAGATATGATTTTATATTTTGAAAAACCTAAAGAGTCCACAAGAAAACTATTAGAACTGATATACAGATTCGGTAAAGTTGCACAATGCAAAATCAACATGCGAAAATGAGTTTCATTTCTATATGCCAGCAGTGAACAATGTGCAAAAGAAATTTTAAAAGTAATACCATTTTCAATAGCCACACATAAAATTAAACACTTAGAAATTAACTTAACCTAAGAAGTGAAAGATCTCTATAATGAAAACTATTAAACACTGATGAAAGAAATTGAAGAGGACACCAAAAACTGTTTCATGTTCATGGATTGGAAGAATCAATATTGTTAAAATGACTGTACTACCAAAGGAATCTAATCTATACATTCAATGCAATGTCTGCCAAAATACCAATGGCATTCTTCACAGAAATAGAAATAACAATCCTAAAATTTATATGGAATCACAAAAGATGCAGAATAGCCAAAGCTATCCAGAGCAAAAAGATCAAAACTGGGGGAATAACATTCCCTGACTTCAAGTTATACTACAGAGTAACCACAACAGCATGGTACTGGCGTAACAGACACATACATCAATGAAACAGAATAGAGAAACCAGAAACAGATTCACACGCCTAGAGTGAACTCATTTTTGACCAAGGTGCTGAGAACATACAATGGGGAAAAGACAGTCTCTCCACAAAATTGTGCTGGAAAAACTGGATATCCATGTGCAAAAGAATGAAATGAGACCCCATCTCTCACCATATACAAAAGTCAAATAAAAATTAATTAAAAACTTAAATCTAAGACCTCAAACTATGAAATTACCACAATAAAACATTGGAGAAACTCTCCAGGACATCAGTCTGGACAATAATTTATTGAACAGTATCCTACAAGCACAGGCAACCAAAGCAAAAATGGACAAAGGGGGTTACATGAAGTTTTAAAGCATCTGCACAGCAAAGGATACAATCAACATAATGAAGACAAATCCCACAGAATGGGAGAAAATATTTGCAAACTACCCATCTAACAAGGTGTGGGGTCTGTCCCACAGATCCTGACCCAACGACAGATGAAAGATGTACACTGACACAGATATTTTGCCTGTCTGTTTGTCTCCATCTCTTTCTTGCTTCCCCTCTTTTCCTCTTGGTTGTCTGGGATGAGCTCCCTCCGGGCTGCCAGAGTGCCCAGGCTGGGTGCTGCAGGATCCCACGGAGAGTGCCAGTGAAAGGTGAAGCTGGCTGGGCTTCTGGGACTGGTGGGGACTTGGAGAACTTTTCTGTCTAGCTAAAGGATTGTAAACGCACCAATCAGCACTCTGTGTCTAGCTAAAGGTTTGTAAATGCACTAATCAGCACTCTGTCAAAACAGACCAATCAGCTCTCTGTAAAATGGACCAGTAACAGGATGTGGGTGTGGCCAGATAAGGCAATAAAAGCAGGCCACCCAGCCAGCAGCAGCAACCCGCTTGGGTCCCCTTCCATGCTGTGGAAGCTTTGTTCTTTAGCTCTTCACAATAAATCTTGCAGCTGCTCACTCTTTGGGTCTGGGCCACCTTTATGAGCTGTAACAGTCACTACGAAGGTCTGCAGCTTCGCTCCTGAAGCCAGTGAGACCACGAACCCACCGGAAGGAACAAACAACTCCAGACACGCTGCCTTTAAGAGCTATAACACACACCGCAAAGGTCTGCAGCTTCGCTCCTGAAGCCAGTGAGACCACGAACCCACCGGAAGGAACAAACAACTCCAGACACGCCGCCTTTAAGAGCTATAACACTCACCGCAAAGGTCTGCAGCTTCACTCCTGAAGTCAGCGAGACCACAAACCCACCAGAAGGAATAAACTCCAGACACATCTGAACATCTGAAGGAACAAACTCCAGACACACCATCTTTAAGAACTATAACGCTCACCACGAGGGTCCGCAGCTTCATTCTTGAGTCAGCAAGACCAAGAACCCACCAATTCTGGACACACAATCACTATGGAGAACAGTTTGGCAGTTCCTCAGAAAAGTAAAAATTGAACTGCCATATGATCCAGCAATCTCATTGATGGATATATATCCATAAGACATACCCAAAAGAAAGGAAATCAGTATATCAAAGAGATATATGCACTCCTATGTTTGTTGCAGCACTGTTTAAAATAGCTGATTTAGAAGCAATCCAAGTGTTCATCAACAGATGAACAGATTTAAAAAATGTAGTACATATACACAACAGAGTACTATTCAGCCATAAAAAAAGAATGAAATCCAGTCATTTGCAACACCATGGATGGAACTGGAGATCATTATGTTAAGTGAAATAAGCCAGGCACAGAAAAACAAACACATTGCCTGTTCTCTCTTATTTTGGGGATCTAACAATGAAAATAACTGAACTCATGGACATAGAGAGAAGGATGGTTACCAGAGGATGAGAAGGTTAGCTGGGGGCTGTGAGGGAAGTGGGTTGGTTAAGAAGTACAAAAATTAGAAAGAATGAATAAGAACTACTATTTGATAGCACAACAGGGTGCCTATAGTCAACAATAACTGGAGCATACTATTTAAAATAAAGAGTGTAATTGGATTGTTTGTAACTCAAAGGATAAATGCTTTGAGGGGATGGATTTCCCATTCTCCATGATGTGATTATTTTACATACATGCCTGTATCAAAACATCTCAAGTATTCCAGAAATATATGCACCTACTATGTACCCACAAAATTTTTTTAAAACAAACAAATAGGAAAACAGGATGTCAAACTATCTCTGTTGCAGATTATATGATCCTATATCTAGAAAATCCCATAGTCTCTGCCCAAAGACTCATGGAACTGATAAACAACTTCAGTAAAGTTTCAGGACACAAAATCAGTGTACAAAAATCAGTAGCATTTCTATGCACCAATAATGGCTAGCTGACAGCCAAAAGAAGAATACAACCCCATTCACAATGGCCACAAAATGCATAAAATACCTAGGAATACAGCTAACCAGGGAGAGGAAATATCTCTTCAATGAGAATTACAAAACACTGCTGAATGAAATCAGAGATGACATAAACAAATGGAAAAGCATTCTATGATGATTGATTGGAAGAATCAGTGATGTATGTTAAAATGTCATACTGCCCGGAGCAATTCACAGAGTCAATGCTATTCTTAGCAAACTACCAATGTCATTTTTCACAGAATCAGAAAATACAACTATTCTAAAATTCATATGGAATTAAAAAAAGCCTGAATAGCCAAATCAATCCTAAGCAAAGGAACAAAGCTAAAGGCATCATATTGCCCAACTTCAAACTATACTACAAGGCTACAGTAACCAAAACAGCATGGCACTGGTACAAAAATAGATACATAGACTAAAGGATCAAGTTAGAGAACCAAGAAATAAAGCCAGACACCTGTAAATTGATTTTTCCCAAAGTTAATCATCTGTGAATTCTCAATCTTCGTTCATAAAATTGGGTTAACACATGCTAACATTCATTTTTTTAAAAATTTCTATCTCCATGTTAATTTTTTCCAGAAGTTTTATAACGAAAACTGTACAAGTCTTTTCCCTTTTTTGTTTATATTCAGTGCATGTGTTAAAGAAAATAGCAATGAAGTATTTTAGCATAACTATATAAACAGGGGTGGGAAAATAAACATTTCTCACAATTGAACTAGAATTCACAGTCCAAATAAGCAGTAATGTACAAAATTCATTGAGAGTTGTTTGTCAGTGACCATCTGAAAGGTCAATGCTTCACCAGAGTAACTAATCATCTAATATTTGTTGATATTGAACAATGTGCACTGAGGATATAAAAACCTACTTGTGAATATTTATGTAGAGCTTATCAAAAAATTATCTTGGTGCTTAACACCTAAGTGGTTTTAGGTACTAAAAACATAGAAAATACAAATCAAAAAAGATAGAAATGATATTAAAAACATATCACTATTTCAATGTAAGTTTGTAGCAAAATCTGAAGTTACACTAAGCCATTCAGAACATTCTTGATTAATGACTAATCACCATTTTAGAATACTATGAAATACAAAGTACAAAGAGAATGACATGATATAATGCCAGACAGCTATTAACAGATTTAGTTTCTTGTTTAAATTTCATATAGAAAATCATAGTAAGATATTGGAGATAAGGTGAAACTGAGACCACTAAACAAAAGTCTTATTCATTAAGACTAACAATAGAAAGAATAAAAATTTTAATGACTAGATTGATATATCATCTAAAGAAAGAAAAGAGTGAAAAAATGTTAATAAACAGTAATAAATACACATACAATGTTTGTATTAGCATTTTTGTTTTGAATTAGCAGGAAACAATTAGCACCATCGTCTGGATTATTGCAACAGCCTTCTGTCTCATCTTCCTGCTTTAGTAGCCACTAGTCTTTGAATCTGTTGTAAGCCTTTTAAATCTAAGAGATCACATCACTTCTCCACTTAAAAATTTCTGGCCGGGGTAAAAGGCAAGGTCTTCCACACCCCTTAGGATCCAGCTTCTGGCCCTTCTGTGACCCAATCTTTACTACTTTACTCCTTCCCCCTCTGTATCAGCCACATTGGCCATAGCCAGTCCTCAAACACTGCACCACATTCCTGCCTGGGGCCTGTGCACTTGCTATTCCTTTATCTAAAAAGACTTTTGCCAAATGAGTAGAAATTTTAAAACACCTTTATTTAATATTTAGGAGATAGCTGGTACATAACCAAGGCCAAGTCTTGAAGAAAAAAGAGACAGGCATTTATAAAACCCAGAGTTCTATTATTAAGATGCTTACATTCTATTGGGTAAAATAGGAAAATTAACACACAGATTAAGGTTTTGTGATAATTGCCCCAAAAAGAAGCTTATACAGTGCTATATGGCATAATTATAAGTAATCCTGCCTTAGGGTAAGTGAAGAATGTATAAAGGGGTTAGGAGACAGCTTTAGACATAGAGAGGATAAACAGACATTTGCTCTGCAAAGAAGAGGGAAAAACGTATTCCTGGCCAACATCTTAGGCTGATTCAAGCATGAAAGCAAGAGCATAGCATAAGTGGGCCAAGCAGAAAGTTCTATATGGGGAAATTGTTGAGTGGGTATGAGAGAGTGGTAAGAGAGAACATCAGGTTATGAAGGAGATTGAACTTTCTCCTGTAACACTGAGAAGCTATCTAAATGAAAGCACCAGAAGCCACTCTTCAAGGAGTGGAGGATTTGTGTAAGGCATGATACAAGAAAGAACCTGAAAACTCCTTGCAAATTTTGGAAGATTCTAGGTAAAATACTGATGTGAATGTCATAAGGAAGCCCAGGGTCTCGATTAATAGCTCCTTTGCTTTTGCACAGAGTTGGCTGCAAGGCAAGTTGGAAAAACAAAACAACCTCCAGAGTGTGTTATGTCCCCTCTTGGGAATCACAGAGGGAAGAAAAGGAAGTACAGAGGGAATTACAAGTCAATTATAATAATATAGGCCAAAGTAAACTATTTAACCCAGTGGGCTTGGCAGCCCTGAAGAAAACTCAGTCCCTTAACTTTTATAAATGCTCCAAAAAAAGTGACTGACTTTTACCTTAAGCATTAAGTTTTGCTTTTTTTCTGTCTCATATACACCCTGGTAACCAGTATGGAAACTAAACTCTTTTAGAAAAGAAATCCTATAAATTAGATGCCAAATAAAGTTACATAATCAGACAATTAAGATACATTTTGTTCTGACTTAAAACCCATTTTAAGTCAAATGCTCAAAATTGTTAAATCATTTTAGTGTCATTCATTAAGATATGCTCTCTAAATCAGAAAAAAAGGCAGTAATGAAATACCAGATAATCAATAAATCTCTATTGGTTTGATACTATTTCCAGAATAGAATCCTTATTTCCAGAATAAGATTGTTTTTTCTTTTTCTTGGTGCCTCTAGAAAACAAATTTAAAGGATCATAATAATGTCCTATTTTATGTTATCAAATTTCTTCTTAACATTCTTTCATTGACTTAAATTTGTTTAATCATCACAAAAAATTGTATGAGGTGAGTTTTATCAGGTCTGTTTTACAGATAAGGAAAATTTGATTTAGAGGTCATTGATATTGCATTTGAAAGATCATTTTCTGATGACCAAAGTCATTTTATTTTACTGTAGGGTCAAAAAAATACATTTCCCCTTTGTCCTATGTGATTGAGATCCATCATTAGCTCAGACTGAGTTACAGATGTTTAAATGACTTTCTCAGCCACAAAACTGGTAGAAAGAAGCGTCTAGATGCAAATTCATGTCTTCTGAGTCTAAACCTGCTATTTTTCTCCTGTATCATGTCCTAGAGATAGCCAAATTAACTACTAATGCAAGCCAACCCCATTGTCAATGATTGAATGTACTTATTATTGACACTTTAACCATTCATATTGTATAGAATATCTGTGTATGTATGATTATTTTAAAAGCTGATTTTTAAAAATCTCATTAATTCATGTGGCTTAAATTAAATCATCTGGTATCTAGATGCTAGTCAGGACCGAGCTTTACCTTTTGTATACCTGGAAAGATACTTTTTCTTCAAGCTGTTAAAATATAGAAGGTAAATTAAGTAAGAATTTTCTATCTTATGGTCCAAATAGAGTTCTATGTTCTCAGAAATCTAACTAATTTCTGCTCTTCTACTGTAGTCAAGGCAGTGTTGTCCAGGAAATCTTGAGTAATTCCTTCAATCTGACTTCTCTCAGAATTCCTATAGCACAAAGTAGAATTAGAAACCATTTTGTATTTTTAGCTAGTTGTGTTTTATAAATAAATTGTCAAACAGAATTTAAGCTCTTGGAGACAAAAATGATGTGTTTGTTTTCTCCGGAATTCTCCACACAATCTAGACAATTAACTGGACATGAAGTTGTCATTTGTGACATGTTTGTTGAGTTCTCCACAAATGCAAGTTCTCAGCAGATGCAGGAGAGGTCAGTTGATCAATGATGCAAGTTATAAATTACCCATTTAGTAAAAAAAAAAAAAAAAAAAAAAAAAAAAAAAAAGTCTTAGAGAACTTGCACAGCTTTCAAACTGCAGAAGTTATTTTATTTTATTGTAAAGTAATAAAACCACATTTCCTTATCATAATATGTGATTCAGACTTATTACTAATTCAGATTGGCCTTGAAACTAATTAGTAGCTTTTATTATGTTTTTATTTTTTTCTAACATATTTACAGCCAAAATCTAAAGAGGGTTCTGTTTGTTTTTTTAAGATTCATTTAAACTAGTCTCTGCACATCACTGAACTCAACATCTCATAATTCTTATAACTATTATGGTGGATACAATTGGCTTCTTTTATGAAGAATTGAAAATAGAGAGTTACCCTGTTGAAATAAAGACTTGAAACTCTGGAAAGTGTTCTGTCATTGCTTCCCATTTCACTTCATATCTTTACATTGTGGTGATTAGGTTGTTTGAAAACTTTCAAATTACCATAAAGAAACCAGAACAGTGTGTTCTGTCAGAAACACTTATAATGTCTCTCTGATTTAAATTGTACAACATAAGGGCAGAAATAGAGGCTTTTTGTCTCCTGAATAAAATATAACTCAGGCACCAAATAATATGTAATAAAAGTAATAACAGGACTTCTTCATCTCCTGTTAGTGTTTGAAACAACATCAAGGAGACAGTGTCTTGGGAATTTTTTTTAACGTTCATTTGTCCTGAAACAATATTGTGCTCTTTCCATTAGAACATTTTATGTATATTTCTGTTCAATTTGAGAAAATACTATTATAGTATTTCCAAAGTAAGAAACCACTTGGGAAATATGACCTTTAGGTGGATTGGCTTATTTGTCTTCCAAAATCTTTTTGTTCCCCCTTTACAAAAAGTGCTACATAAAACTAAAGGAAAAAAATGTACATCTGTTTTCAGACCTCTGCCAGTATTCCTCCTGCTGCACACAACTTCAGACTTATCTCGGGAGAATAATGCTTCTGTTACTATTGTTGTATAACAAATTAATACCTAATTTAATGGTATAGATTAACAATTTTTTAATGCTTATGGTTCCTGTGGGAATGGGGCAGGGCACAGTGGGGATAGCTTATTTTTGCTCCATATATATCTGGGGCTATGAAGAATTGAAGGCTAGGTTCTCGGGATGGCTGAGGACTGAAATCACCTAGAGGTTCATTCTCTCAACATATTAGTACCTGAGCTAGGATGACTTCAAGACTGTAACTGTCAACAAGAGCAACTACAGAAGGTCTCTCCATGTGGCTTGATTTCCTCATCACATGCCCACCACAGTTAGGGCTAGATCTCTAACCGGGTGACTCATAGTTCCAAGTGATAGGGTCCCAGGAAAGAAAAAGTGAAAGCTGCTTAGCTCTTTACAACTCAGCCTCAGAAATCACATAGCATCACTTCTGCTGTATTCTGCTGGTCAAAGAGATCCAAGGACCACCCAGATTCAAGGAGAAGGGATCAGACCCTACCTCTTGATGCCTGCTCACATTGTAGAAGAGCATGTGCAGCAGAAGATATGGTTGCAACAGATATGGTTGTGGCAATTTTTGGCAAATAAAATCTGCCATAAAGGGACTGAGTCTTCTTTGTCTGTCTCCGCTCTCTGCACCAAACAAGTAGGTCTTGTTTGATGAAGAGGTCTTGCCTAGCTGGGTTGCCTTTTTATTTCCCCTATCAATTAGCACTTAACGCATTCAGTGCTCAACAAAAGTTTACTGAACCTGAATTTAAATTAATTTATTATTTATTATTTAATTAATTTATTTGTTTATTAAATTAAATTTCCTGAATCTAAATTTAAATTTTCAGTGAAATCCCAGGAAAAAAAATCCATTTAATATCACAAAAGATGATATTTTCTGTGACATTACTGAGAGTGAATATTAATGTTCCAGTCGTCTCAGGTACAGTCATCAAACTGCACTAAATCCATGTATCTTTGCTAAAAGGCAGCGTTGCCCAGCACAGACTGAGATGAAACATGCTTATTCTTCACTTCGTAGGACACCATCTATAAAGGCATGTCCTTGAGCAAGTTATTCAAATTCACTGAGTTTGGTTTCCTCAGAAAACACTGCTGACTCCAAGGAGCAGGAATAAATACCTCAGCAGAGCCAGCTTGGAAAAGCCATGTCAAAAATCAGAGAAGAAATGGGTACAATAAATACCAACCAGGAGTGCCAATAAACAGGTAATCTTTTTATAATTTGTCCACTCAGAAGGGATATCTTTTGTGATCTGCACAAAAACACTACATGTGCTAATGAGGGCCCTCATGGCAGGCATAAGAAAACAAGCAAGCACCAATATAAATATAGCTTTCAGATACACCAGCGCCTACCTCATTTTTCCTCCATTTTGTCAGTCCAAAGAGCCAAGGACGTCTGTATGTAGTAAAATTCTACACATATTTAGTGCCAGACTTGGGCTTTAATTACAGTGAGGCTTCTGATCTTTATTATCAACAGTCACTGCCTTCTGCTGTGCTAGAATGTTGATTTTTAGAAGTCCATCACAGTGTTCTCTTAGGTGTAAAAATGTAACATCCATCTTGCAATTTGTTTTCTGAAAACCAGGAGATGAATGTGACTAAAGGTCCAACAACTTTCAACAAATGAGTTGAAGTATCTGATTCTTCATAGTGAATTTGCCTTTTTAGGTCAGAGCAACATTTTTAATAGATGTTTACATTCTGTAGATGAAAACTTGAGATACTTCCTGTAATTGACAGAATACATTGCCCTGTCCAGTCGACATCCCAGTTGATGTTTAGAGGCAGCTGGCTTTGATGATTTGACTCACACCAATATTAAAAACCAAATTCAATCATAATTCAAAATGAGTCCTTTTGGTGCCCATTAGAGAGCAGCAGTGCAGCTAGAAATCATCACCTAATGGAACAAAAAGCATTCTACATCTTAGACTTATTACTTAATTGTCTCAAGTGTATCTTAAAAGAACTGAGGGTTTGCTCAAAAAGAATAACAAGTGGCCATTTTCCAAGGAACAGCTGGCACATAGCTACACACATGCAAACAGAAATTGCTTTGGCTCTATATAAGGAGCTTGCTGACAGAACTTTGCTGTGTAGTATTCCCTCCCCACGCAACAGCAGACATCTCCACCTAAAACTTATCTTGCTAAAACTTCTAATATGCAAACTAACATTAAATTAACTCAAGTTAGCTCGAGTCAGCAGAAATACAATCTTTTACTTTCTATGCCTGAAGTAAAAATATACTTTTCATAAGAATCAACGTACGTTCTCTTTTGCCATAGGAGTTACAATTGGGAAGGCAAACTTTCACTGACCTACACTTTAAGCTCTCCACCAAACTGTTTCCTTTAGAGGCATATTTACATTTCAGCATCTGACCTTTGTCCCTGGTATCTGGAAGCTTTGTCTATGTCACATACATAGTCCATTTATCAAGACATGATTTTTTGGGCTACATGTACTTTAGCTCTCTCTTCTTCCTCTCTCAAAATTAAGTTTTTGGTCACCTGATCATCTGCTTAATAATTAATAGCTGTTAGTTCATCTTATTGTCTCCCACAGGTCATCAGGGAAATAAAGGCAGAGAGATGTTTCTGATGTCACAATGCTTCACCAAGGTTTGTAGTTGGGCCTCTGTTCCTTTCTTCTGCGATCTAGGAAACAGGAACTTCCACTCCTTCTTTCCCTATTTGTCTTGGTAGAGGGACAAATCAGGGTAAAGTATCCTTTCTCTGTCCCAAATTCTACTTTACCACTCCTTATCTAGATCATAACACACTGAACCTCAAGGGAGATTTAAGCTGTTCTTAACTAAAATATTTCAGCAAGAATCATAAGCCTGTAGAGTTGGATGGAGGAGGGTCATGGCTCTGGTTTAGCCAATAAAGTCCTTTGAGCCCCACAGTGGCCAAGTCTGATTCCTCATGCCTCGTGTCCTTCCTCATTTTATAACTTATTTGTTTCCTCCCTCTCCAAAATTTTACCTCCTGAAGTCCTTCCCAGTCTTTTTTTCTTGTGATGCACCACCCTTTCCCACAGGATAGTGAGCATCCATCCTCAGTGCAGGCTTGGAACTTGCAAATGCATTTTCTACCTTAAATACTTTCCAGATGTCCATACTTCTCCTCTTCCCCCCAGGAATGAGCTCTGAGTTGGAGGAGATGGAAGAATAAATATGGTGTTGTGCTTTCACTCAGGCCATGGCCGATTTTTTTGTACAGTGTCTGAAATCAAATACAGTTCAACACCATGGGGATAAATTTCTCCCAAGGAGCACCTTTAGTTTTAAATTAAATTTGTGTTTTTCTATTACTAATGTCCTGAACCTTATTCCTTACGAAATAAAACTCTGGGCTTGTTATATACTTACCTAGCTTGAGTCTTACTACAAAATGGTTCCAGAGTTAATAAAAAGCTTCTTTCTGAACCATCCAGACAAGTGGTCCATACTCAGAATACCTCTCTGGTCCACAGGGTATCTTGCATTTATTAGAAAAGCAGGGAAAGAGAGTTGCAGAAAGAATTTTAAGTCCCTGAAGGAGTACTTCCATCTCTTTCCAGATACATATTGGTACTATAGAATTTATAAGATTTTTAAGGCCAGTTGTAGCTCTTTAATTCTCAGTATGTTTTACATCTCTTCTGTTGGGCTCCTACTTCCGCTAAGGTGGTGAAAAATCTCATTGCTTAGATAATTCAGCACCATCTCCTAAACTCATAGTAACTGTGGAAATCCTTATAATAGAAGAAGCCCAACAAAGAGAGGAACTTTGAATATATTTCTCTAAATGGTCTTCCAAGGAAAGATTGGAGGAGGAGTTTCTAGGATTGGTTTATAATTATATATATATAATCAAATGCATAATAATATAACTATAGAGTCTCCCTTAATTCTAAATGTAGTATATTTTCTGCTTTTACTGGACACATTCAAAGGTATAAGAAGAATAAGTGTCAGGTAACAAAGTTGCTACATATGCATATTTAATTTCTCAGAATTTGACTCTGTGCTCTATGTAAAAGAGTGGGGGAAGGAATTAGCGAAAGAGAATGATTTAAATGTATATAGTTCAGAGAGGCTATGTGTCACTTCACTCAAAGACTGGGTTCTAGGCATGAGTGTGAGAAGGAAAATGAAGGAGATGGGAAGTGAGAATCTGCTCTTTACTCAGTCCTTCTTATGTTAGTGTGACCTCTCTGCTCTTTCACGCAATTTATGGCATGCTTAAGGCTAACTTTGACTATAAGTGACCTTTCCCTAATCTGGTAGACCTCAGCCCCAGGACATGATGGGTTCCTCCTTGTAATTTTATTTACTTGGCTCTCCTTGTCCCAAACTCTGAGCACTCCAGGTGCCTCGGCTGCCTGAAGAGCCTGCTCCACTCCCCACTGCAAGACATGGAGCTTATCTCCCTGGATCAGCCCCATGCTACATGTACAGGTGCATGCCCAAAACTTTACCGTTGTGAAGGTTTTCATAGTTTTTCTAATGTGAGATATGTCTATGAATATTTAATTGCCCATCAGGTTCTTCTTGCCCACTGCACAGACAAAACCAATTCACTGAGGCCACAGTCTTGCAGTAAAGAGAGAATTTAATTGATGCAAGGATGGCCATACAAAATAATTGGAGTTATCACTCAAATCAGTCTCCCTGAAGCCTCCAAGGTTAGGATAGCTCAAGAATAGTTTGGTGGGCAGGGGGTGCAGGGAATGGGAAATGTTGACTGATTAGGGATAAAATCACAGGGGTGTGGAAAACAGTCCTGTGCACTCACTCAGTCTCTGGGTGGGGGCCACAGGATCAGCTGAGTCCAGGGTCCAAGTGGAATCATTTTGTCTCCAGAAATGCAAAACTCTGTAAAATCTCAAATAGCTAAACTTAGGTTCTAAAATAGTGATGTTATCTACAGGAATAATTGAGGAAGTTACAAATCTTGTGACCTCCAGAACAATAGGTGGTTATCGGTTATGCCTGTATCTTGGCAGAATTCAGGCCTTTCTCATAATCCTAACCTTGTGGGCTTTCATTAGTTTTATAAAGGTGGTTTGTTTTGGGAAAGACTATTATCATCCTTGCTTTAAAGTTAAGCTATAGACTACATTTCTCCCATGGTTAGCCTGGCCTACACCCAGGAATGAGTGAGGACAGCCAGCGTGTGAGGCTAGAAGCAAGATGGAGTCAGCCATGCTAGAGTTCTCTTATTGTCATAATCTTTGCAAAGGTTCTTTCAAATATTTGAAAATTAAATGGATTTTCTGTATAAAAATAGAATAAAATGTTTAAACGATGGTTCTTTTTGAGTATGAGATTATGACTGATTTTTTTTCTAGTTCTTTATATTTTTCCAGCTTTCTCAGTCATGTTCGCATAAGTATTTCTTTCTCTGACAACATAAAAAATAGAGTTAAACAAAGCTAAGAATGATTTTCTGAATGACGATAAATGTTTATAGTTACATTATAGATGATATTTCCCTGACCTAGGTAAAAGCGATTGATACAGGTTTCACAGGGAAACAATAAGTTTTTTATTATCAAATTTCCTAAAAAGGATTAGAATAAGTTTTTCATGTGTGTATTCAATAAAGAAGACCTTTAGTTAAAAGTCCACAATTACTTCTTATTCTCATAATTTTATGCTCAATTATCTCTGAGCTAATAGAAAAAAATAGAATAATTGATTCTTAACTATAAAGCAACTGAGAATAGATTAAAATTAGCTGTTGCAGAGAGCTAAAATTGGCTTTACTCTTATCAAAGTCATTATTTTTGGATCATCACATTCGAAAACAAGGAAGTAGCAATGGAAAAGAAATAGTCACTAAGCACTTACTATGGGCCAGGTTACATGTTAGGTGTTTACACAAATTATTTCATTTAATTTTACCAACAACACCTTGAGGTGGGTATTATTCTTACATTATAACTGGATGAGGGGAAGCTTAGAAAGATTAACTTTACTAGGGTCAAATAACTAGTAAATAGAAGGGACAAGATTCAAAACAGATTGTTCTGATTTCAAAGTCTTTCCTGGAAACCAAAATGAAAACAAATACTATGTAAATAGTAATCTATTTTAAGATTAGAAGGAAGATGAGATAGAGGCCAATTCATACATTTTTGCCTTCATAATATTTTAGATTAAGTTATTTTAAAAGAATGCTGCTTAATTATATGTGTATCTTTTAATTTTCATATTTAATGAAGGCAATAATGATAAAAGCAACTAGCATGGTAGTTTTTTGTTGTTGTCATTTGTTTTTGTTTTTGTTTTATCATGTTTCTGGCACTATTCTAGACACTAAATGAATTAACTCATTTTATCCTCACAGCCACACCATGAGATAAGTACTATTATTATTTATATGTAAGGAGAAATTATGAGATAGCTGAAGATACAAGATGGCTTTCAGGTCAATGGGTCAGAAAACTAGTGCAACTGGAAAACTATTTACAAAACAACTTGAACTTTATGGGGAAAATGCTGCAAGGATTAGCATCGACTACAAGGTCAACTGGACCCTTTTTACCCTAGTTTCAAGGATGAAGGAAAACAGCCAGCAGCTCAAAAGTAAAGTAATAATCTGTGTTCTGTGAGGCACTTGATCACTCACATACACACTTAAGAAAGAGGAACAAGCTTCAACCACATTTTCATTGCTGTTTCTTATTGACCATTAAATTTCTTTCTAGATATCAGCAGCATTTAACGTTTTCATGTCTATAAACTCTTCAAAAGCAAATTAGCCTTCAAAGATGACCATGCCTGTTGCTCTGTTAAAACTTGTGAATGTCTTGAGGTAGGATAGTGCTGCTTTATTCTTGCTTTTGGGGGTAATTCATGAAAAGCTTTTATTAATTGAATTGTGTTATTTAGGCCTGTGAAGCAGGTTAATCTTTATAATAAACTTATTTGCAAGGTTTGAATTTGGAAGGAAATAGAGTTCCTTTTCATATGTATCTTAAACAACATTTTTGGAGTTTCAAAGTGTTATACTTAGGGAATTAGAAAGATAGATTTATTTATTCCTTATTATTTTTTAAAAAGTGGTTTATCAAATATATTATAGATTAGGGTTTTTTTTCTTCCAGTAACAGAAAAATGGCTTGATATGTTTGAGTGTTTATTAGTAGATTTGAGGAATATAGAAACCTCAATGTATGGATTAATGATCATTCTTATGGCTTATAGCTTTTTTCAAAGCTAATTGATATTGAATCTATAAATCTAATATTGAGGACAATAAAAATTAGAAGGAAATGGGTGAAGGTAAGTAGAAATGACCTTTGTATTACATACGAAGTGTTTGCATAAAACTTTAGTGGACTTCTGAAGATATCAAAAATTTCCACAAAAATATAGATGTAGTTATGTTTTTCTGGCCCCTGAATATATTATTGGCACTAGAAGAAATAAATATTAATATATAATACATTACAAAGATAAGTAATAAGGGCTCAGGAAATACATTTTTAAAAATAAATGGATCTCTTCACATCTATATGAAAACATTTATTTCATCTATATGAAAACATATTTATTTTGTTCTGTGTATTTTTTATAAGATTATTATTAGACACTAGTGTTTATTTTTTTAAAGAAACATTTAAAATGAAAATCAATATTTATGTAGGTAGCTATTTGTTGTTCAAACACAATATTCTTAGTGAGGCATTATGTGTTCATCATCTTACATGCATGCATTTTTGTACTTTTTTTCTCCCTAGACCATCACTGGACTATTGGAATATCCACACCAATTCCCAAGGCAACATCATGAAATAGCAAGTCATACTTGGGTACATTCTGAGATGGATTGAAGAACAGGGCTGTAGGACCTGTTACATTGGTAACAATGTAGGAAGAGCTAAGAGAAAAGGTAGGAGAGCACAGCAACATTAGAATTAGCAAGGTGACAACAATCATAAGGAAAATATTGGATATTTAAACAATACAGATAACTATTTCATAATGCACAGTTTTCAACTATTTATTATTGTAAACAGACAGGATTTCCTGTTTAGGAAAGGACATATTCATGGATTAAAAATGATTAATAAAGAAATGCTTACAATAGTGTTTGATATTTACACTCTCTTCCCTTTCATTTTCAAGTCATTTTGTCAGGTGAGTAATGTTGGTTGAAGTACAACAAATATGTTGATTTACTCTTTAGTAGTAACTTCTGTGACTGACGTGGTACACTGAGATGATGGCATTATTTAGAAATTCTCTCCAAGGTATGTTAGAATTTCCAGGGTAGGGCTTATCTACTAGGGCTTATCTACTGGGGCACCACAGCAAGCTAGTATGCCAAATGTGGGATCAAGGTATGCCAACATTATTACACCTCCAGCCTTTGGGGCAGAAAATGGAGCTGGAGTTGGGTCATCTCAGAATTACCATTTTCTACTGTGGCATAATTTCATAAAGGTAGGGAAACCCCACTTTAGAACCATTTCACTGGCATCCAAAATGGTCAACATTAAGGGGTGTTCTTTGGCTGCTAAGTCATAACGGCCTCTCAAGTTGTCCATGGAGTAAGGAGAGGGCCCTTATACTTTTTTTGATTAAACTTCTTATTTTGAGATAATCAAATATTCACAGGCAATTGTTAAGAAACAATATAGAGATCCCATGTAGCCTTCACAAGTTACCCCCACTGGTAACATCTTGCAAAACTATAGTACAAGGAAATACCCAGAGTACTGACATTGACACAGTCAATCAAGATATGGAACAGTCCCACCACCAAAAGGAATGTTGCCCCATTAGAGCGATACCTACCTACTCCCATTCATAAAACTGAAAAGCACTAATCTATTTCTAAAATTTTGTCATCGCAAAAATGTTATATAAACAGAAACAAATAGTTTACAGTCTTTTGGAAGTGGGTGTTTTCAATCAGCATAATTCTCTGGATAGTCATCCAGGTGTCACATGTCCCCATAGTCTTTTTTTTTTTTTCTTTTGAGATAGAGTCTTGCTCTGTCTCCTAGGCTAGAGTGCAGTGGCACGATCTCAGCTTACTGCAACCTCCACCTCCCATGTTCAAGCGATTCTCCTGCTTCAGCCTCCCAAGTAGCTGGGATTACAAGTACACACCACCAAGCCCAGCTAATTTTTGTAGTTTAGAAGAGACAGGGTTTCACCATGTTGGTCAGGCTGGTCTCGAACTTCTGACCTCAAGTGATCCACCCACCTCGGCCTCCCAAAGTGCTGGGATTACAGGCGTAAGCCACCATCCCCTGCCTAGTCCATTCTTATTGATGAATGGTAGTCCATAGTATAGATATACCACAGTTTGATTCATTTGTTGAAGGACACCTAGGTTGTTTCCAGTTTTAGAGTAGTACAAACAAACTGCTATGAACATTTATGTACAGGTTTTTGGGGTGCACATAAATTTTCATATTTATGGGATAAATGTTCAGAAGTACAGTTGCTGGGTTGTGTGGTAGCTGCTTGCATGATTTTATAAGAAATTGCCAAACCGTTTTTCTGAATGCCTGTATTTTTCATTCTCACTAGCAATACATTTTTTCATTCCCACCAGCAATATATGAATGATCCAGTTTCTGCACATCCTCTTCAACATTTGCTCTTGTCACTAATATTTATTTTAATATCTCATTGTAGTTTATTTGCATCTCTCTTATGAATAGTAACGTTCAGCATTTTTTCATATACCTGTTGGCCATTTGTGTGTTTTCTTTTGAAAAACTGTCTATTCAAGTTCTTTCTCCATTTTTTAAATTGGGTTATTTTTGTTCTTGCTATGAGTTTCTTATATATTTTGCCCATTTTCTAATTGGGAGAGTTTTTACTGTTGAGTTTTAAGGGTTCTCTTTCTCTCTCCATATGTGTGTGTGTGTGTGTGTGTGTGTATATATATATATATATATATATATATATATATAGAGAGAGAGAGAGAGAGAGAGAGAGAGAGAGAGATGAAGTCCTGCTGTCACCCAGGCTGAAGTGCAGTGGCACAATCTCGACTCACTGCAGCCTCCACCTCCCGGGTTCAAGCGATTCTTGTGCTTCAGCCTCCAGAATACCTGGGATTACAGGAGCGTGCCACCACCCCCAGCTAATGTCTGTATTTTTAGTAGAGACAGGGTTTCACTATGTTGGCCAGGCTGGTCTTGAACTCCTGACCTCAAGTGATCCACCTGCCTCTGCCTCCAAAAGTGCTGAGATTACAGGCATGAGGCACCGCACCTGGCTAGATACGTGGTTTGCAAACAGCTTCTCCCATCGTGTAGTTTGTCTTTCCTTCCTCTTAACAGAGTCTTTCACAGAGCAAAAGTTTATAATTTTGGTAAGACCTAACCTCTTAATTTTTTTTCTATTAGGGATCATGGTTTTGGTGTCAAGTTAAAAAAATTTTGCTCTTCTCTTAATCCCAAAATTTTTCTCCTGGACTTTAAAAAAAAGTTTTATTTTTCTACATTTTGCATTTCAGTCCTTAATCTTGAATTAATTTTTATATAAGGTGTAAGGTTTAAAAAAGCGTGTTTGGGGTGTATTTGTTTTGAGGGTTTCTTTCTTTCAGTTTTTTTGTTTTGTTTTGCTTTGTTTTTGGCTTATAGATTGCTCCACCACCATTTATTGGAAAGGAGGCTGTCTTTCATCTGTTCAACTGGTTTTGCACCTCTGTCAAAAAACAGTTGAACATATTTCTATGGGTATAATTCTGGGTTCTCATTTCTATTTTATTTATCTATATCTGTTTCTCCACCAATACTACACCATCCTGATTACTGTACCTATATACTGAGCCTTAACAGATGATGTGCATGTTTTCAGTATATACTCAGCTCCTTATATAGTGTCTGGCACATAGTATATACATCATACTTTTATGAGATCATTGATTAGATTTATTGCAATATAATTTAAACACTAAAAAATGTACCCCATTAGAGCGCACAGTTAAGTGGCTTTAGCATATGCACAGAGTTGTGCAACAATCACCACGATATAATTATAGAATATTTTTATCACTCGAAAAGGAAACCCAGTGCCTATTAGCAATCAGTCTTCTGCCTTTACAGATTTGCCTAGTCTGGCTGAATATTTTATGCAAATGGATTCATACAATATAGCCTTTTGTGACTGACTTCTTTCATATGCTTAATGTTTTTGAGGTTCATCGATGTCATATCAGTACATAATTTTTTTTATGGCTGAATATTATTCTATTGTATGGATATACCAAAATTGATTATTCGTTCATCAGTTACTAGACATTGTGTTGCTTCCACTTTGGACTACTATGCATAATGCTACCATAAACCGTGATGTAGAAGTTTTTGTGTGGGCATAGGTTTTCATGTCTCTTAGGCATATACTTAAAGGTAGAATTCCCAGGTCATGTGACTCTGTTTAAGTTTTTGAGGAAATTCCAAACTGTTTCCCAAAGTGGCTGTACCATTTTACATCCTTACCAGCAGCGTATAAGGGTTGCAGTCTCTCCGTATTCTTACCATTTTAGATAATGTTAAGATGATAACATAAGTTATAAGCCATCTTTTTTATTATACTTATCCTAGCGGTTGTGAAGTTGTAATGAATTGTAGTTTTGATTTGCATTTTCTTGATAACTAATGATGTCAAGCATCTTTTTATGTGCTTACTATCCATTCTTTGGAGATATGTTTATTGAGTTCCTTTGCTTATTGTTTTTCACTGTTTTGATAGTGTCCTTTGAAGCATAAAAAATTTAATTTTGCTGGAGTCCAATTTATCCATTTTTTTAAATTGCTTGTACTTTAGTTTCCAAAGAAAAAAAAAAGCTCAGACTTTTTTGGGAGAGATAGTTTTAAAAACTAATTTAATCTATTTATTTGTTATAGGTCTATTCAAGTGTGTTGTTTCTTCTTGAGTCAGTTTCAGTAGTTTGCATCTTTCTGTAAATTTGCATATTTCAGCTAAAACATTCTATACTCTTGGATGGGAAAAATCAATATCATTACAATGGTCATACTGTCCAGAGAAAATTATAGATTCAATGCTATTCCCATTAAACTACCACTGACATTCTTCACAGAACTAGAAAAAACTTTTATTTTTTTATTTTATTATTATTATTATTTTTGAGACAGAGTCTCACTCTGTCACCCAGGCTGTAGTGCAATGGCACAATCTCAGCTCACTGCAACCTCCGCCTCCTGGGTTCAAGCAATTCTCCTGGCTTAGCCTCCCAAGTAGCTGGGATTACAGGTGCCTGCCACTAAGTCCGGCTAATTTTTATATTTTTAGTAGAGATGAGGTTTCAACAAGTTGAGCAGGCTGGTCTCAAACTCCTTACCTCAGGTGATCGACCTGCCTCGGCCTCCCAAAGTGCTGGGATTACAGATGTGAGCCACTGCGCCCAGCGATTTTTTCCAAACTTCATAGGGAACCAAAAAAGAGCCCAAATAGCCAAGGCAATCCTATGCAAAAAGAACAAAACTGGAGGCATCACACTACCTGACTTCAAACCATACTACAGGGCTACAGAAACAAAAACATCATAGTACTGGTACAGAAACAGATACATAGACCAATGGAACAGGAGAAAGAATCCAGGAATAAGACTGCACACCTACAACTATCTGATCTTCAACAAACCTGACAAAAAAAGCAATGAGGAATTCCCTATTCACTAAATGGTGCTGGGATAACTGGCCAGCCATATGCAGAAGACTTAAACTGGACCCCTTCCTTATGCCATGTACAAAAATTAACTCAAGATGAATTAAAGACTTAAATGTAAAACCCCAAACTATAAAACACTGGAAGACAACCTTGGCAATACCATTCAGGACATAGGCATGGGCAAAGATTTCATGATGAAGACACCAAAAGCAATTGCAACAAAAGCAAACATTGACAAGTGTGATCTAATTAAACTAAAGAGCTTCTGCGCAGCAAAAGAAACTAGTATGTTATTATATGCATACATGTTTA
This sequence comes from Homo sapiens, assembly GCF_000001405.40. Taxonomy (NCBI): domain Eukaryota; kingdom Metazoa; phylum Chordata; class Mammalia; order Primates; family Hominidae; genus Homo; species Homo sapiens. The sequence goes on from NC_000003.12 coordinate 148,545,178, forward strand.
TAATTGTTATATTATCCTAACTTACTAACCCTTTTGTAATTATGAAATGTCCCTCATAACCTCCAGTAATGTTTTAAAAGTATGTTTAATTTGATATTAGTATAGGCATATATTTGTTTATGGTTGCTGTTTACGTGATACACCTTTTTCCATTAATTTATTTTCAACCTATTTCTATTTATATGCAAAGTGTGTCTCCTATAGACAGCACATAGTTTGGTGTGTGCATGTGTGTGTTTGTGTGTGTGTGTGTGTTTGTGTGTGTGTTTATCCAGCCTGAAAATAATTTTTTTATTGGAATGTTTGATCTATTTACAGTTAATATTACTATTGAGCTTTGGATCTACATTTGGTATTTTACTCCTCTTGTTGAAATTTATATGCCTTATCCCCTCTGTTCTCCTTTATCGCTTTCTTTGACATTGTATTAGTCAAGGTTCTCTAGAGGGACAGAACTAATAGGAGATATATATATATATATATATATATATATATATATATATATATATATATATATCTCCTATTGTATCTCCTATTATATATATGGGAGTTTATTAAGTATTAACTTACATGATCACAAAGCCCATAATAGGCTGTCTGGAAACTTGAGGAGCAAGGAGAACCGTCTGAGTCTCAAAACTGAAGAACTTAGAGTCTGATGTTCAAGGGCAGGAAGCATCCAGCATGGGAGAAAGGTGTAGACCGGGATGCTAGGCCAGTCTCGCCTCTTCTCATTTTTCTGCCTGCTTTATATTCACTGGCAGCTGATTAGATGGTGCCCACCTGATTAAGGGTGGATCTATCTTCCCCAGCCCACTGACTCAAATGTTAATCTCCTTTGGCAACACCCTCACAGACACACCCAGGATCAATATTGCATCCTTCAATCCAATCAAGTTGACATTCAGTATTATCCACCACACACATTAAGTGAATGCTTTCTAGAGTAACATTGTGATTTTTCTGATTTTTTTTTCACATTGTTTAGTTATTTTCTCAGTGTTTGCTCTAGGGCTTACCATAGATATCTTAACTTATTAGATCTTATTTGTACTGTCTTTGCTGTGGTAAAATATGAAAATGTTACTTCTGTATAGTTCTATTTCCTCTTCCCCCTTTTTGTGCTGTTGTTGTTATAAATATTCTGTGTGTGTGTATATCACACAATATATTGTTATAATTATTGCTTTATATAACTTTTTGTCCTGTAAAGAAGCTAAAGGAAGAAAGAATATGTATATACTTTTAGAGTTTGTTATATTAACTATTCATATATCTCTTATCCTTACTGTTTCTTTTCATTTCTTCCTGTGGATTCAAGGTACCATATGGTGTCATTTTCTTACTCCAATATAGTTTGTTCCTACTAACCTCCTTTGTGCTATTATTGTTAAGTAGGTTTATTACATATCTGTATGTCATAGTCCGAAAAATGCAATTATGTATGCATTGTTTTATACAATTCTTTTTCATATAAGTTACTTTTATTCTTTTAAAGCAGCACACCTCACTTTGACAAGAATACATGCACATTTAGTAATGTGTTTCTGCCTTATCTTAGGTTCCTTAGGCATTTGGGATAAAACAAAGATAAAAACCTAACTACACCTTCAATAAGCTATAGACTCCAGAATTATCTACTCAAAAATGTCAATTTTTTCCCAAGAAAATATAAACATTTAAAGTATTGGTTAAATAGCTAACAAAACACACACATACACATATGCACATCTATACATGAATGAACATGCATATACATAACACACATATGAGAGGCAGTGGATTTTACTGTTTTTGGTGTCACAGACTCTTCTAAGAAGATGATTGGGGTTGGTAGCAATCTGAAAACTCATCCTTCTTTTGTAGCACCATTTAGCTACCTCTTCAGGGTACACAAGCTAGTTAGGGTTTCTGAATGAAAAATGAAAAATAAAAAGATCAGGACTTTGTTATCTCTTAGCCAGATGGGAGCCAGCCAGAGAAATAAGCCTGGGGCAAGGTCTGGGACTGTCTTTCCCAGAGAAGTTGGCCTGCAAAGCCTTTTTTTTCCTTCTGCGGAAGAGCTGTTTTTGTTTCTGTGTGTATGTGTATTTGTGTGTGTTAAGGGGAAGGTCTTCTAGAAGGTACTGCTCTGGCCTAGGTGACAGAGAGAAAGATGGATGCTGATTTTCTTCTCATTGAAGCTTATGAATAACACTCGCAGCTGAGAAAATAGGAGTACAATGCACGCTCAAGAGAAGGAAAAACATTTCTCTATCATTGTTCAACAAGTGCAGACACCACTTATTCTTCCTGGCAGAAGAAAAAAAAATTTGACCTGATTCAGAAAGGTGAACAGAGTCATGAGTAGTTGAAAAAATACACTAAAGGAGAACCAGCAACCAGAGGCTAACCAATAATACCCAAGGAAGTAGTTCTTGGAGAAATAGAACTTTTAGAAGAAACAGGTGACAACTTTAATGAAAACAATAATAGGGGCAAATATTCAAGGAGATTTTGTTGTAGCATAAAAAATATTTTCTACTACCAAAAACAAAAAAAAATATATTAACTAAAAGTAAGTATAATAACTTATTGAGTATCAAATTAGTAGCCTAGGAAATCAAACAGAAAGGATATTTTAAAACACATAGCAAAAATATAAAGTGATCATAATGAAAGTTGTGAGCTTTCTCCCAATAAAAATATGTCTACAAATAATTTTTTTGTAAAATCTCAATGAGATGCAGATGCCCCTAAAGCACATCTGTAGATCCAATGACATAAAAAAATGCAATCCAGTTTAAAGCATGAATTTCATTTTAAAGATAAAAAAAAAAGACTTCCTAGGCATCAACATTTCCCTCATTATCCAACAAAGTTTTCCCAAGCCGTTGGTCTGCTCTTAGCCAGGTCTCTTCACCTATACCTTCTCTTGCTGACAGTCAGTAGTGGGAACCTTGTTACTATTGGGTTAATTCTATTTCATGAGTCTTTCCCACAAGATATGGGGCATAGAGAAGCTTTCTTTTCTTTTCTTCTCCCTTAGACCTCTGGAGAATACTGCTCTGCCTGCCTTTTGGCTGCTTTCCTACCGCTAGCTCCCAGTCTATTCACCCAACATGGCAGCACTGATAGCAGTAAAGAAAAGTCTTTAGAAAAGTCTTGACCAGGAAAGGTAGGTGTCACCTTTTCCTGCATTTATGGAGAGCTTCTGTGCTCCATAAATCTTTCATCTCTATTTCCCCTTCCAGAGAGACTTCCCTACAAAAAAGGTTGGCTTTATCTAGCAGTGACTTTTTAACCCCCTACATATCACCTAAATGGTCTATAAAAATAAACCAAATAAAACTGTAGTATAATAACATTTTAATAAACAAAGCTGAAAAACGCAATCATTTTTAAAATAAAGACAGTAGGCAATTTAGGTTCACACATTTTTCACTAACTCTTTTGAATACTGCAAGTGATTCTAAAGTCTCATGGCATGCATTGCTTTGTTTTGTTTATTTTGTTTTACTGAGCCATAAACTTAATTACCTTCAAGAAGGCTAGTATGTGTGGATGAACCTCTTAATTCAGCTTAATTTAGTAGTTCCTAGACTTCTGGATTTCCCAACTAGCTTTTTTAATTTTTTTAAGGCAGAGCAGGAGTTGGCTAAATGCCTAAGGGCAACTCTCATTTTCCCAAATAATCACCTTACTGCCACCTGCGACTTCCATATTTTTCAAACTAAAAGGCTGTAAACCATCCAAATTTGAGAGAACATAATAACAACAACAACAAAAAAAACTCATTTCTTCAGTTTTCCCCTTGTGACTGGCAAAATCTGTGTTTTAGCCTTGTACCAATTCTCACTGCTGTGGTGAGAACACGGCCCGCCATCTAAGTGAGCCTCCAGACACCAGACCCCATCCTGTGCATTGCAGAGCTTTCTGTTCTCTACAAAATTCCATAGCATAGCAGTCCTTGAGAAGTAGCACATCTGAACTCTTTCAAGGAAAAGGACCACTGTGAAAGAGATAAAACTTTAAGAAATATTTCTTAAAACTTAAAAAGTGATGTAATATACAAGAAATAAATGGAAGCAACTATCTATGAAAATATTTCATGTATCACTACAATATGTGAAGGTTCTTCAATATAGAATTAGAGTGCCCTACCTGGCATTAACTTTTTTCATTTTAATTAATAATGTGAATCTTACAAGCTGATTATCATTCATATAACTGATAATTATTTATGTGGTCATAAATACATGTGCTTAATATATTTAACATATATAATAAAGACACAAAAGTAAAATGACAAATATGAAAAGAATGTCATGAATATCAGAATGTTTGACAACCTCTCAATCATTATTCTATATTCCTAGTGCATAAGGAAGGCTGCTTTCCATTACTTTCTTTTAACATAGGCTCCTGCTTACCCAGAAGCATTTCACATGCAGTGCTGTTTTGTTTTTGTTTTCTAAATAATCATTTGTTTATTAAGTATGGTCCCTTGAGACCAAGAAATGAATTTATGATCTTCATACCAGTATCCAAGAACGGAAACTAATTAATGTCAGCTATATTAACTTAAAAGACTCTCTCTTTTTGCAATTTTTAGTTACAACTTCCAGAAACGGGCCAAGGTTCAAACAGTGAGTAGAAAATTAAAATGCTATTTATATGAAAAATTGTCAAAATACATGATCCAATAAAAGATAATTTCTCCTCTCACATTAATCTTATTTATGAATTAGCCAGAAAGAACATCTTAAATGCCTGAATCGGCTTTGAAGACTGATGGATATCACGATGGTTGTATAATTTCATGAACTTTTTTGAATGGGAAAATCTTTTATGTAAATACTAATAGCATAAAGGACAATATAACATTTTAATAAATAGGTCCAAAATTTTGTAAAATTACCTGATACAATGTTATCCCAAAATTCATCTAAAACTACAAATTTAGGAAGGATGAGAATATAAAGGAAAACTGTTATTATTTATTATGAAACTATAGAATGTTTCTAAACATAGTTATATCCAGATAAAATATATGAGGTTAAATGAATCATCTGCCTTCTTGGTAGGATTCAGCCACCAGTTGCATCATTAAACCAAATACAATATTCAAATTAAGTAGTGGGTACTTTTCATTTCATTCTCAGTCCAAGTCTGTGCTATAATTAGTTCCTTTTAACAGATGAAAAAACTATGGCACTAAATGGCTAAGTCATGTTTCCAATTCACACAGATTTTTTTTTCTGGTATCTCACTTGTTTTTTCTTACTTATTTTATTTATTCACATTTTACTTAAGAATTGTATAATTAAACTCACATCCATGTGGCACAGCTGAATTCAAATCCTGACTTCAAATCCAATTCCTTTTCACCATACCCCTCAGACTCTAACTGTGGTGTCATAAACCAGAAAAAAAAATGCGTACATTTCTAACAACCTCTTCAAGCCAACAAATTTTAAATACATCCAATGTATGCTAAAATGAAAAATGTCATATAGTGGAGAAATTCAGAGTATTTGAAGTAAGAAAATCTATGTTCCAATCCTTCGCCCAATACCTCCTGTGTAAGAAATTCTAGAAAAATCACTTTACTTTTCTGAAGTTTGCCTTTCTCTTTTGTAAAGAGGAGTTAATAACATCTAATATTTTTACCTCAGAGCATTGTTTGAAGAAACAAAGAATATATATTAAATTTCTATGCAGATTGTAAAAAATGTTAATGCATCAAATTTACTTGCATAATTTCTTCAGAGAATCTCTCTGTCTCTGAACTTGAAAAGAAACCATTCCAAATTTTAGTAGCATAAGTCCCAAAAGACCAGTTCATGTAAGTCCTATAATCTGAAATGTTAGTTATAATATAGGATTTGTTTTATATTAAACAATTTAAATTCACTTGGTACATATTTATAAGTAAAGGGACAATATTCATATAACATATACACTGAGTATTTGAAGTGTCAACAATGATTTTCTGAGCAACGATTATATATCATGTAGTGACTTGATAATGGTGCTAGATTATACAGGTAACATTCTGATGTTGCAAAGGTAAAAAAAATAATTTCTAACATTGAGAAGAAAGTAATCTAGGGGATAAGACAGACAAAGAAATGACCAACTCAAATACGACATGAATAGTGTTAAAATCAATAGATGAAAATGGGAAGTTGGTTTGTCCCAATTCTGAATCTATCTTCATTTCACATTCCTAGTCTATATAACTCTGTCTGACTCTTCAGAGGCCATTATCTCTGTAGCCACTATTTATTGATTTCTAAATAAATCCAATGTATGCAAATTAATGCAGAATTCATTAAAAGAAACATCTCCAAACAAAGGTTAATGTTATTTGTTATGACTGACAACAGTTGACAAGCAAAGCAAATTTTCTTGCAGTGAGGTGATTCAGAATGGTTCAGGGTTATTGGACTCCTGCTCTATTTCTGCCTTTCACACACTGTAACTCCTGTAGGCCACACCTGTAATATCTCAGTCAACTCTCTGAAACATTTATGTATCTGGGGCTGCAAAATGACCTGAAAACTAGATGGACATTTTCAAAAGCTAGATATTTCCTAAAGTTTAAAAAAAAAAAGAGCTTCATACAGTAACCACCACTTGAAGGGCACACAACAAAAGCTAAGACAGTCTGCAGCGCAAACATTTATTCCAACCTGGGAGATATCCAGAGCAGATGGTCTTTCATCATATACAAAGGTCGGAAAAATAGAGACTTAAAATCAGAATGTTTTTATTCAATTAAGGTACCATTTGACCACAAATGCTCTGTCTGCATGGGAAAATTAAAGAAATAAATCAGGATTTTTTTCTCTTAATGGTTGTTTTCATTGGCCAGCACTTGGCAATATGACTCAAGGCCCAGATTGAATTTCACTGTTGGGCAATTTCATTTATCATTGCTCCAAATGCAGGTACTGATGCCATTGGATTTGAGCACACAAAAAAGTTACTAGTCCAATATGATTTGCTTTATTTTACTATGTGAGGAGGACAATTTACAATAGCGTATTCTTCAGGAGAAAATGTTTCCATTAATATTTTGAATTAGTAGTAAAATATTTAGCCATATAGTGATGGCGGTGGAAATAAGGTGTTTCAAAATACACTAATTATTTAGTACCAGTGTTTCTGATGTATGATATTGGCCACTATACACTCGATCCATGTTTATGGTGATAAGACAAAAAAATTGGCTAAAATATTGGAGTGAAAAATTCATTGTTTTTATTATGCCTTGAAAGTTGAGATTTTGGAGGTACTCATTCATCAACATATGTTGAATGCCTTCTCTAAGTTACTCATTGTGTTAGGTGCTAGAAATATTAAAATAAATAAGACAAAATGACAGCCCTCATAGTTTCTACCCTATGGACTACTGAGAAGACATGCATAAACAGCTAGCACATAAGGTAAACAATAATACAGGTGTCTAATGGGAGTGAAATGGATGAAGTATTAAACAGAATATTTTATCTGTATCCTTGGTCTTTTCTGTGGCTCAATGTGTCTCTGAAGGTGTTCAGGTCAGTGCTGTCTCTCATAAATAGTGATAGATTGCAGTGAGGACTGAATCCTTGCATTTGGGACTAAATTCTTGCATTTGAGATCTGAATTGTTGCATTTCAGACCCAGAGTCTCCACTTACTATGCGATTTGAGGCAATAACTTCAATTTTCAGGACTCAATTTACATCTTAAAATCAGACAGGAATAATACCTGTTCCTACTGGGTGATTGTGAGGATAAAATGAGACAACATATAAGAAAACACATTGTAAGAGAATAGGATGAACTGATATACAAATGCTGTGAGTTGTAATTTGTTATTATTAATGTATCCTCTGGGCCAAATAAACCCTTCATAAAAAAGTAAGCCATCTTGAAGGAAAAAAAAGCCATAAATCATGTAAAACATAACTTCCTGCCTGCCCTCCCATGAGAAAACTATATCTGAGAACAGTTTCAATTTATCCCTGACCTTGTAAAGGCAAACAGACCAGACCCAACTCAAAATCATGAAATTAGAGAAAGCTGTATCCCAGTCCTTCTCTTTGTGACTCGGAGTGAGTTTTTAAATATTTTTGAATCTCAGTATCTATATCTGGAAAATGGGAATGAAAATACAGTTTAGAACTACAGAGTTGTAGGGAGTCCAAATGAAATGAAGTGTATTATGAAGCCCCAGGGCCAAGTTCATAGTAGGTCCTCTATAAATGTTAATCAACTCCATCACCAAAACAATAAGGGTTCCAAAATTACCATGAATTCTAATTTGATTAACCAATCACCCTTTACTATTGATGAGTTTTGCACAAGCCAACTCAATCAGCATTTGCATTTTGACACTATTATTTCTAATTATGCATAATTTGCTCCCTGTTAAAGAAATTTCAGTCATCAGCAAGCAAATCAGAAGACAGTTTGCAGACACAGAAGGCCCATTTGAAAGCTGCTTCTAAAGTCATATGTCTTTATTCCTTTTAGTATGGTTTCCAGGAGAGTAGGTGGGGGTGTAGAAATAGTCAGATGTGTCCCATGTGCTTGGTGGAGGTTCATTTTTAAAATGTAACCATAGCCTAAGAGTAAATCTATTGTCACTGATTTCCTCTAGGATTTGGAATCATGTGCCCTTGATAGCTCTATTTCTTTTCCCAAAAGCAGGCCTCATTCCCTAATCTTAGCCCAACCCCTTCTTTCTTATCTCAAGGCCCCAAGAATCTTTCTGTATGTTAGCATATTTTACAATATTTTCTTCATTTTTCATCCCATAACCCTGTGTTAGTTTGTGTTAAGTTGGAGATAAGATAATCTATTTTAAGTTAAACAGAAAGGGGTTTAATCACCAGGTACTGTTGGGGCTACATCAGCAGGCTGCGGAGTAAACTTCCAGGCAACTCCCAGCCTTCAGAATCACACTGCACCTTTCAATGATTGGGAAAGCAGCCCTGCTACAACAGAAAGCTGCAAGTACAGAAGCAGGCTGACTGTCTCACCACCGAGCTTATGAAATGGATGTCTTGCCCCTTGCCTTCTCCCGGTATAACCCAGACCCATCTCCACATCTTGCCAAAAAGTGCCAATTGGCAGAGCCTAAACACATCCAGAAAGCTATCCACAAAGGAATCTTGGAAATGCAGTTTTTTGCTTTTTGGTCTCTGCAGAAGAGGAAGAACACTAGACAGGACGTGGAGTGCTGTATACATAAATCAGTCCATTATAAGTATCTGCCAAAAACATTATGAAATCTTTTACCATGCATTCTGTATTTTGCTACCTTTCTTATGGGAAAGAGGGCAAAAGAAAGCAGTTTGCTACTAGAACATGTTCTGTTTGTTATTAAAGTAGCACAGTTAACAACCATGAACTTGAAGTCAAAGACCTGGAGTCCAGGGCGTGCTCTGCCACTAATTAGTTTTTGGCCTTGGGTAAGTCCATTTATTTTTCAGAGTTTTCGTTTCCTGCGAGTACAAAATGAGGCAATTAGACTCAGTGATTGCTGAAGAAGCATCCTTTTTATAATACATTAATGTCTACATTATTCTTGCTGGCATAAATAACTTCTTGTATTTGATTAAAAGTTATACACAGGCTCTTAGTATTTTTATGAAAACAGTGCCATTCCTATTAATTCTAATTAATTTAGATTAGATTGTCTACAGACACAGATAAGAACAAGCAGTGTTTTTTTCTCATGCTCAAGAGGTTTATAGACTCAGTGGCTTAACTAAAGAAATCCTTGAAAAATCTATTGTATCTTTTTCCTTTCCAATCTTTCCAAAGTCCTTTGGAATTAGTAAGCCAATGTTTCCCTCTCTAATTCCCTCCCAAACTCCCACAGCAGATACTAAGATGCTGAAGGAAATCATTTTACTAAGTATCATGTGTTTGGGAAGCCAAGGCAGTGGACAGGCCCTCTCAGCTAGGCATGCTCCAGCAGTGTGACCACAGGCCTCGATGAGAGGAATGCCAGTAGGCCCGGGCCTTACAAGATAGGTTTCCATGGTAACACCAGTTTTTTACCGTTTCATATAGTCACTCTTATGAATGCTTAAAATATTATAGCAACATCTATTCTGCTCTTTTCATTAATTCTGTATAAAAGCTTCTGTACCAATATAATTCAAAATAGATCACATCATTATAAACAAATTTACTTATCCCTATATGGTTTTTAAAAACTAATGCAGAAAAAATCCTTGACACTGACCGCACTTACAACACAAAACTCTGATCATTGTAAAGAATATTGGATAGATTTCAAAATACAATTTCTCAGTACATTTATTTAGAATATCTGTTCATTTACATTCCTTCCCACCATCATTGCAAACAAGAACTCTTGAATAAGTTTTTCAAGACAATGAAAACAAGTTGAAAGAGAGCAGCTTCTTTTGGCAACAAATTTTTAGTGTTCATGATGTATGCGGAATCTTAAAGAGTTTGTTACTGTATCTTTAGGATAGTAACAATACGCTGGTTAAATTATCCTGGTTAAACCATATTTAGAAGAAAATGCTTAATACTCCCAGTAAACACTATGCCTCCCATTATTATGAAAGTGTTTACTTTATCCCTTAGAACAGTGTTAAAGATGACATCTTCAGATTTCTAAAAACTGAAAGTTAAACTAAATTTTCACTAGCTGGATGCCATTCTAGATACTCTTCTCCAAACGCAATGAAATTATTTCCAGTTTGCAAATCAAAGCCTTGCTCTGTGTGTGTGTGTGTGTGTGTGTGTGTGTGTAAACTTTTCACTTTCAGAGATAATTGTAGCTTGAAATGTAGTTGAAATTCACAACTGTAGTACACTATCACAACAAGGATATTGACATTGATACTGTCAAGATACAGAACATTTCCATCACCACAAGGATTCCTTCAGTTACCTTTTTATGGCAGTAACAACTTTCATCTTCCACCTTGCCCTCTATCTTACAGGGCAGCCAATAATCAGTACTCCATTTCTTTAATTTTACAGTTAAATTATGTTATATAAATGAAGTCATGCAGCATGTAACTTTTTGTTATTGGCTTTTTTTCAGTCAACATAATGCTGTCGTGGAGATGCATCCAAATTGTTACCTGTATCAGTAGTTTGTTCCTTTTTCTTCCTAATATTCCATGGTACAGATACATCACAGTACGTCTACCCACTGGAGGACGTTTGGACTGATTTCAGTTTTTGGCTACTATGAGTAAATAAACAAGTAAATACACATTTGTGTACAGGCTTTTGTGTGAACATGTCTTCATTTGCCTGGAAAAAATATCTAGGAGTGCAATTGCTGTGGTTGCATGTTTGGTTTTTTAAGATGCTCTCAAAGTATCTTCTAAAGTGGCTTTCCCATTTTACATTCCCATCAGCAATGTGTAAGTAAACCAGTTTCTCTGCATCCTTATCAGTATTTGGTGTTGTCACAATTTTTTATTTCAGTCATGCTGATATCTGTAGAGTGATAAATCATCATGGCTTAAATTTGTATTTTCCAAATGGCTAATGATATTGGACAATTTTCCATGTGTTTATTTGCCATCTGTATATGCTCTTTGGTGAAATGTATCTTCATGTGTTTGCTCATTTTCTAATTGGAGTGTTTCTTATTAGTTTGGTGCAAAAGTAATTGTGGTGTTGCCATTACTTTTAATGATGAAAACCGCAATTACTTTTGCACCAGCCTAATAACCTACTACTTTTACTGTTTAGCTTAGAGAGTTCTTTATACATTTTAGTTGGAATTTTTTTGTCAGACACATGGTTTGCAAATATTTTCTCCCAGAATCTTTTATCCTCTTAACAGGGTCTTTTACAAAGCAAAAGTTTTTAATTTTGATGAGGCCTGGTTTGTTAATTTTTCCTTTTATGGAAAGTGTTTTTCTTTTACAGATAGTGTTATTTTTGGTATCAAGTCTTGGAACTGTTGGCCTAGCCTAGGCCCCTAAGTTTATTTCCTATATTTTTCCAGAAAATTTTATAACTTTACATTTTACAATTGTTATTGATATATTATGAGGTAATTTCTATAAAAGTGTGAGATTTTGATCTAGCTTCAGTTTTTGACCCTAGATGTCCAATTGCTCCAGCACCATTTCTTGAAAAATGCTGTCCTTCCTTCATTGAATTGCCTTTGCACCCCTGTGAAAAACCACTTGGGCATTCAATGTTTGTGTAGGTCTATTTCTAGGTTCTCTGTTCTGCCCCACTGATCTATCCTTCGGCAATACCATACAGTCTTGATTATGGAACCTATATACAGGTTAATCATCCCTAATCCAAAACTCTGGAATCCAAAATGCTCCAAAGTCTGAAATTTTCTGAGCATCAAACATGATGCTACAAATGGAAAACCCCACACTTGACCTCATGAACACAAACTGTGTTTCATGCACAAAATTATTTAAAATATTCTGTAAAATTACCTTCAGGCTATAAGGTATATATGAAACATAAATCAATTTTGTGTTGAGACTTGGGTCTCATCCCCAAGATATCTTATTAGGTATATGCAAATGTTTCAAAGTCTGAAAACATTCAAAATCTGAAACATCTCCAGTCCCAAGCATTTTGAACTAGGGATACTCAACCTGCAGTAAGATTTATCCCATTTCATTCTTCTGTTTCAAATTATTTTAGCTAACCTAAGTTCTTTAACTTCATGCTATATGAATTTTAGAATAATCTTATGTACATACATACAAATCTTACTAGTATTTTGATGATAATTATTTTAAACCTATGTATCAATTTGAGGAAAATTGACATCTTTACTATGCTGAGTCTTTTAACCCAGGAACATTTATTTAGATGATTTTTATTTCTTTCATTATATGGTTTAGCTCTAAGTTGACAAGTTATGTGTTATGTGTTTTGTTAGACTTATGCCTAAATATTTGATTTTTTTGAGTGACTAAAAACGATATGGTATTTTAATTTTAATGTCCACATATTTATTGCCAGTATATAGAAACAAGATAATTATTTAACGTTGTTTTTGTATCTTCTGATCTTGCTAAACTCACTTATTAGTTGTAGTTATTTCTTTTTGTTTTTGTTTGTGTGTGTGTGTTTGTGTATGTGTCTGGATTCCTTAAAATTTTCTGCTGTAAACAGTTATGTCATGGGAAAATAGGGTAAGGTTTATTTCTTACTTTCTGTTCTGTATGCTTATTCTTATTTTTTCCTTTCTCTATGGCACTGGCTAGCACTTCCAGTGCTATGTTGAATAAGATGGGTGACAGCCAACAATTTTTCCTTGTTCTCAATCTTAAGTGGAAAATATTTAGTCATTTACTTAATTTTGCATTACGTATAATGTTAACTATAGATATTTTTTGGATCTTCTTATTTGAACATAAGACATTATTTGTCTTTTTCAACCTCATTCTCTCATAACTGTACAGTGGAGTTTTCCAGTAGCTACATGATGTGCGATATTGCAACAAGTGAAATGTAGAAGCAAGAATGAAAAATCTAGCTACTTTCTATTAAGCCCAACATTAAAGAGATTTGCAAATTTGTAAAACAATGTCACTCTTTCACTAACTTATTTGATTGGGAAACTATAGTAATTGTTCATAAAAATATGCTGTGTAATTGCTTAAAGAATAAGAAATGTTTTAAATTTTATGAATTTTAATTTCTGATGTAGTAAATGTCTATAGATATAACCCACATAATCACTATAGTCTTTGAAGCCCTCGAGAAATTTTAAGATGGTAATGGGTCTTTCTAAATTACACTTTAAGTTCTGTTGTACATGTGCACAACGTGCAGGTTTGTTACATATGTATACATGTGCCATGTTGGTGTGCTGCACCCATTAACTCGTCATTTATATTAGGTATATCTCCTAATGCTATCCCTCCCCCATACCCCCACCCCACGACAGACCCTGGTGTGTGATGTTCCCCACCCTGTGTCCAAGTGTTCTCATTGTTCAATTCCCTGTGAGTGAGAACATGCGGTGTTTGGTTTTCTGTCCTTGAAATAGTTTGCTCAGAATGATGGTTTCTAGCTTCATCCATGTCTCTACAAAGGACATGAACTCATCCTTTTTTATGGCTGCATAGTATTCCATGGTGTATATGTGCCACATTTTCTTAATCCAGTCTATCATTGATGGACATTTGGGTTGGTTCCAAGTCTTGGCTATTGTGAATAGTGCCACAATAAACATACATGTGCATGTGTCTTTATAGCAGCATGATTTACAATCCTTTGGGTATATACCCAGTAAGGGGATTGCTGGGTCAAACGGTATTTCTACTTCTAGATCCTTGAGGAATTGCCACACTGTCTTCCACAATGATTGAACTAGTTTACAGTCCCACCAGCAGTGTAAAAGCATTCCTATTTTTCCACATCCTCTCCAGCACCTGTTGTTTCCAGACTTTTCAATGATTGCCATTCTAACTGGTGTGAGATACTATCTCGTTGTGGTTTTGATTTGCATTTCTCTGATGGCCAGTGATAGTGAGCATTTTTTCATGTGTCTGTAGGCTGCATAAATGTCTTCTTTTGAGAAGTATCTGTTCATATCCTTTGCCCGCTTTTTGATGGGGTCGTTTGATTTTTTCTTGTAAATTTGTTTAAGTTCTTTGTAGATTCTGGATATTAGCCCTTTGTCAGATGGGTAGATTGTAAAAATTTTCTCCCATTCTGTAGGTTGCCTGTTCACTCTGATGGTAGTTTCTTTTGCTGTGCAGAAGCTCTTTAGTTTAATTAGATCCCATTTGTCAATTTTGGCTTTTGTTGCCATTGCTTTTGGTGTTTTAGTCATGAAGTCCTTGCCCATGCCTATGTCCTGAATGGTATTGCCTAGGTTTTCTTCTAGGGTTTTTATGGTTTTAGGTCTAACATTTAAGTCTTTAATCCATCTTGAATTAATTTTTGTATAAGGTGTAAGGAAGGGATCCAGTTTCAGCTTTATACATATGGCTAGCCAGTTTTCCCAGCACCATTTGTTAAATAGGGAATCCTTTCCCCATTTCTTGTTTTTGTTAGGTGTGTCAAATCTTAGATGGTTGTAGACGTGTGGTATTATTTCCAAGGGCTCTATTCTGTTCCATTGGTCTATATCTCTGTTTTGGTACCAGTACCATGCTGTTTTGGTTACTGTAACCTTGTAGTACAGTTTGAAGTCAGGTAGCGTGATGCCTCGAGCTTTGTTCTTTTTGCTTAGGATTCTCTTGGCAATGTGGGCTCTTTTTTGGTTCCATATGAACTTTAAACTAGTTTTTCCAATTCTGTGAAGAAAGTCATTGGTAGCTTGATGGGGATGGCACTGAATCTATAAATTCCCTTGGGCAGTATGGCCTTTTTCACAATATTGATTCTTCCTATCCATGAGAATGGAATGTTCTTGCATTTGTTTGTGTGCTCTTTTATTTCATTGAGCAGTGGTTTGTAGTTCTCCTTGAAGAGGTCCTTCACATCCCTTGTAAGTTGGATTCCTATGTATTTTATTCCCTTTGAAGCAATTGTGAATGGGAGTTCACTCATGATTTGGCTCTCTGTGTGTTATTGGTGTGTAGGAATGCTTGTGATTTTTGCACATTGATTTTGTATCCTGAGACTTGCTGAAGTTGCTTATCAGCTTAAGGAGACTGTGGGCTGAGACGATGGGGTTTTCTAAATATACAATCATGTCATCTGCACACAGGGATAATTTGACTTCCTCTTTTCCTAATTGAATACACTTTATTTCTTTCTCTTGCCTGATTGCCCTGGCCAGAACTTCCAACACTATATTGAATAGGAGTGGTGAGAGAGGGCATCCCTGCCTTGTGCCAGTTTTCAAAGGGAATGCTTCCAGTTTTTGCCCATTTAGTATGATTTTGGTTGTGGGTTTGTCATAAATAGCTCTTATTATTTTGAGATACGTCCCATCAATGCCTAGTTTATTGAGAGTTTTTAGCATGAAGGCTGCTGAATTTTGTCAAAGGCCTTTTCTGCATCTATTGAGATTATCATGTGGTTTTTGTCTTTGGTTCTGTTTATATGATGGATTACATTTATTGATTAGCGAGTATGTTGAACCAACCTTGCATCCCAGGGATGAAGCCAACTTGATTGTGGTGGATAATCTTTTTGATGTGCTGAGGGATTTGGTTTGCCAGTATTTTATTGAGGATTTTTGCATCAATGTTCATCAGGGATATTGGTCTAAAAATCTCTTTTTTTTTTTTCTTGTTGTGTCTCTGCCAGGCTTTGGTATCAGGATGATGGTGGCCTCATAAAATGAATTAGGGAGGATTCCTTCTTTTTCTATTGATTGGAATAGTTTCAGAAGGAATGGTACCAGCTCCTCTTTGTACCTCTGGTAGAATTCAGCTGTGAATCCATCTGGTCCTGGACTTTTTTGTTGGTAGGCTATTCATTATTGCCTCAATTTCAGAACCTGTTATTGGTCTATTCAGGGATCCAACTTCTTCCTGGTTTAGTCTTGGGAGGGTGTATTTGTCCAGGAATCTATCCATTTCTTCCAGATTTTCTAGTTTATTTGCACAGAGCTGTTTATAGTATTCTCTGATGGTAGTTTGTATTTCTGTGGGATCAGTGGTGATATCCCCTTTATCATTTTTTATTGCATCTATTTGATTCTTCTCTCTTTTCTTCATTAGCCTTGCTAGCAGTCTATCGATTTTGTTGATCTTTTCAAAAAACCAGCTCCTGGATTCATTGATTTTGTGAAGGGTTTTTTGTTTCTCTCTCTTTCAGTCCTTCTCTGATCTTAGTTATTTCTTGCCTTCCGCTAGCTTTTGAATGTGTTTGCTCTTGCTTCTCTAGTTCTTTTAATTGTGATGTTAGGGTGTCAATTTTAGATCTTTCCTGCTTTCTCTTGTGGGAATTTGTTGTTATAAATTTCTCTCTACACACTGCTTTAAATGTGTCCCAGAGATTCTGGTATGTTGTGTCTTTGTTCTCATTGGTTTCAAAGAACATCTTTATTTCTTCCTTCATTTCATTATGTACCCAGTAGTCGTTCAGGAGTAGGTTGTTCAGTTTCCATGTAGTTGAGTGGTTTTGAGTGAGTTTCTTAATCCTGAGTTCTAGTTTGGTTGCACTGTGGTCTGAGAGACAGTTTGTTATAATTTCTGCTCTTTTATATTTGCTGAGGAGTGCTTTACTTCCAACTATGTGGTCAATTTTGGAATAAGTGTGATGTACCTGAAAATGACAGGGAGAATGGAACTAAGATGGAAAACACTCTTCACGGTATTATCCAGGAGAACTTCCTCAACCTAGCGAGGCAGGCCAACATTCAAATTCAGGAAATACAGAGAACACCACAAAGATACTCCTTGAGAAGAGCAACTCCAAGACACATAATTGCCAGATTCACCAAAGTTGAAATGAAGGAAAAAGTGTAAAGAGCAGCCAGAGAGAAAGGTTGGGTTACCCACAAAGGGAAGCCCATCAGACTAACAGTGGATCTCTCAGCAGAAACTGTACAAGCGAGAAGAGAGTAGGGGCCAATATTCAACATTCTTAAAGAAAAGAATTTTCAACCCAGAATTTCATATCCAGCCAAACTAAGCTTCATAAGTGAAGGAGAAATAAAATACTTTACAGACAAACAAATGCTGAGAGATTTTGTCACCACCAGGCCTGCCTTACAAGAGCTCCTGAAGGAAGCACTAAACATGGAAAGGAACAACTGGTACCAGCCACTGCAAAACATGCCAAATTATAAAGACCATCAAGGTTAGGAAGAAACTGCATCAACTAACGAGCAAAATAACCAGCTAACATCATAATGACAGGATCAAATTCACACATAACAATATTAACCTTAAATGTAAATGGGCTAAATGCTCCAATTAAAAGACACAGCCTGGAAAATTGGATAAAGAGTCAGGACCCATCAGTGTGCTGTATTCAGGAGACCCATCTCATGTGCAGAGACACACATAGGCTCAAAATAAAGGGATGGAGGAAGATCTACCAAGCAAATGGAAAACAAAAAAAAGCAGGGGTTGCACTCCTAGTCTCTGATAAAACAGACTTTAAACCAACAAAGATCAAAAGAGACAAAGAAGGCCATTACATAATGGTAAAGGGATCAATTCAACAAGAAGAGCTAGCTATTCTAAATATATGTGCACCCAATACAGGAGGATGCAGATTCATAAAGCTATTCCTTAGAGACCTAAAAAGAGACTTAGACTCCCACACAATAATAATGGGAGACTTTAACACCCCACTGTCAACATTAGACAGATCAACGAGACAGAAAGGTAACAAGGATATCCAGGAATTGAACTCAGCTCTGCACCAAGCAGACCTAATAGACATCTACAGAACTCTCTACCCCAAATCAGCAGAATATACATTTTTCTCAGCACCACATCAGTTAATGGGTCTTCCAAAAAGCTTGTGAGTCATTTCTTTAGGCTATCAGAGTCTTTAAAATTTACTAAAGTTGATATTTAATTTCTGATATTTGTCCTGTGTAGGGGTGGGTTGCCCCTACATCTGGCGCCCAACGTGGGGCTAAGGGATCTATTCTATTTATTTGCGCTGACTGAATTTTTTCTTCCACTAATTTAATTTCTTTTGTTGCCTCTGGGGTTAACATTCTTTTACTATTTAAGTCTGAGTCTCCTCTTAAGATAGAGAACAAATTTGACATGGCATAAGTAGGAATGCCTAGAGTTGGCCGAATCCAATTAATATCTCCTAGTAATTTTTGAAAATCATTTAGTGTTTTTAATGTGTCTTTTCTTATTTCTATTTTTTGTGGCTTAATTTTTCTATTTTCTATCTGCATCCCTAAATAATGAAAAGGAGTAGAGGTTTGGATCTTATCAGATGCTATTGCCAGTCCAGCATTGGCAACCTCTGCTTGCAGAAATGTATAACAGTCAATTAATTTATCTTTCGTTTCTGCAGCACATAAAATATCATCAATATAATGAATAATATAACAGTCTGAAAACTTTTCTCTAACTGGTTGAAGAGCTCGACCTACAAAAGTCTGACAAATAGTTGGACTATTAAGCATTCCCTGAGGTAACACTTTCCACTGAAACCTGGTGGCTGGTTCTTTATTATTTATGGCTGGTATAGTAAAGGCAAATTTTTCACAATCCTGCTCTGCCAGAGGGATGGTAAAAAAGCAATCCTTTAGATCAATTATAATTAAAGGCCAATCTTTTGGGATCATGGCTGGAGAGGGCAACCCAGGTTGGAGAGGCCCCATGGGTTGAATTACGGCGTTTACAGCCCTTAAGTCAGTTAACATACGCCATTTGCCTGATTTCTTCTGAATTACAAACACAGGAGAATTCCAAGGTGAGAACGAAGGCTCAATATGACCCTTTTCTAACTGTTCATTTGCTAATAAATGTAAAGCCTCCAGTTTTTGTTTTGGTAGCGGCCACTGATTTACCCACACCGGTTTTTCTGTTTTCCAAGTTAATGGTATGGGTTTAGGAGGCTCTACAGTGGCCGCCCCTAAAAAGGATACCCTAATTCCTTCTCTTTCTTGATTTATTTTAGCCTCAACTGGAACTTTAATGCCATCTTCATTTTTCCCTAGTCCCTTTCCTGGTATATATCCCCTCTTGGTCATGATTTTTTGACTCGTGGGGCTATATAATGGAGCGGGCATGGTGATTTCCGCACCCCATTGTTGTAATAAATCTCGACCCCACAGATTAAGAGGAATTGAAGTAATCATTGGCTGAACAGTACTTTCTTGATTATCTGGCCCTAAGCAATGTAAAATCTCCGTACTTTGATACACTTCTGAGGCTGTGCCTATGCCGACAAGTCCTGTAACAGCCTTTTGTTTAGGCCAATTTTTTGGCCACTGATTTAAAGCAATGATAGAGACATCTGCTCCAGTGTCTACCAACCCTTCAAACTGTTTTCCTTGAATAATGGCCTTACACACAGGTCTGTTCTCTGAGACCTGACTTGCCCAATATGCAGCCTTTCCTGTCGGATCAGTGCTTCCAAGCCCTCCTATTCTTTTTATTTCACTATTTTCACCCTTAATATATGGCAGGAGTAATAATTGAGCAATCCTGTCTCCTGGACTGGCACTCCAAGGAATTGAAGAGCTAATAACCAACTGAATTTCGCCTTTATAGTCTGAATCAACCACACTAGTATGAATTTGAACTCCTTTTAGATTTAGACTTGATCTTCCCAAGATTAGTCCTACAGTCCCCTCAGGCAGGGGGCCATATACCCCTGTAGGGATTTTTTGTGGGGGTTCCCCTGGAAGCAGAGAGACTGCTTGTATAGTACATAAATCTACTGCTGCACTGCCGCTTGTGGTGAGGGACAATTGTTGTATTGTGGTAACTGGCTTATTCCCTGAAACACTTGGGACAGTGGGGGTTGTTGTCCCTGAAAACCCTGAGGAACAAATGGCTGAATTGGGAATGCCCCAGTTTGTTGTGGGGCCTGAGGCTGGCCCCTTTGCTCGTTTCCCGACAATGGTTGCCCATTTTTATCAAATTTAGAACGACATTGACTAGCCCAATGTTTTCCTTTTTTACATCTTGGACATAAGTCAGGTGGCTCTCTACCTGTTGTAGTTGCTTGAATAGTTATATTCTGTTTATTTAAGACTGGGCAATTCTTTTTTAAGTGACCAATTTGACCACAATTATAACATTTTCCTCCAAATGTTCTAACTTGTCCTCCTAAAACAACTCCTGTTATTGCTTGAGCCATAAGCATAGCTTTATGCATAGCTCCTCCGATTCCATCACAGGCTTTTACATATTCTGAGATTACATCTGATCCTGCAGGAACCTTTCCTTTTAATGGCTTAATGGCTGATTGACACTCAGGATTGGCGTTTTCATATGCCATCAACTCCACTATGACCTTACGGGCTTTTTCATCGGCAATTGACTTTTGAGCAACATCTTGGAGCCTTGCCACAAAATCAGGATAGGGCTCTTTTGAACCTTGTCTTACTGTATTAAATGAGGGGCAGGTACTTCCTGGGTCTTGGATTTTTTCCCAGGCTCTAAGGCAGATAGCTCTAACTTGCTCAATGGCCTCATTTTGCATTAATGCTTGTTGACTAATAGTACTCCAATTTTGACCTATTCCTAATAGTTGATCTGCATCTATGTTAACTGGAGGATTGGCAGCCCTATTTCTTCAGACCTGTTCTTGTACCCCATCAATCCACCAAGTCTTAAATTGTAAAAATTGAGAGGGTGAGAGAGACGATTTTGCCAGAATCTCCCAATCATAAGGAATGAGTCTATGTCCATGAGCAATGGAATCTAATAATGTCCTCATATAAGGGGAGTTGGGTCCATACTGTTTTACTCCCTCTTTCATATCTTTTAGTATTTTTATCGAAAAAGACTTGTATCTGGCCTCAACTGTGGGAGGCTCTCCCTCTTGGGCTCCTTCTCCAGGTGGCATCGGTTCTAACGTTACTGGGAATTGCCATGCCTCAGTATCTCCTTCCTTTCTTGATTTATCAATAATTTCATGTAATTCACTACCCTGTCTACTAGGTGGTGCCGTAGGATTAAGTCTCCTAGTGGGCGGCTGAGGGTATGGCGCCCTGCCCTGTGGTGCTGGGGGCATTCCTGGATATCCATACTGACTTTCTGGGGGTGGCCGATACTGAAGTTCAGCCGGCGGCCAGTATTGATAAGCTACTGGCGGTTGGGTCTTATTTTCTTTAATCTGCTTTTGAGGTTGTAATGTTACGGGCACCTGACCTGCTGGAAGAGGACTTGGCCCTCGTGGTTTAGACTCTGATGGCCCCACTAATTCTGGACCTTTTCCTTCTAATTTTAACGTTTCAGGATATATCACCTCCTGTAATTGATTATAGTCAACATTTTGCGTTGACTGAGCCATTACCGGCTCTGCTACATATTCGCAATGTAAACTTTCCGTTTCTTTCTGGGATTTTTTCCTTGTCTTTTCATTACAATCTATTAAACAGCTTCCAGGGGCATCAGAAACTGAAATGCTATCTTCTTCTGTTTGAAATGGTTCTAAAGCTGCTTTAATAATGGCCCAATCATTCCATACTGTAAGTGGAATGATATTACCCTTCCTACCTGCTTGTTTTAGTTCCTTACCAATTCTTTTCCAATCTTTTAGATCTAAAGTTCCTTGTTCTGGAAACCATGGGCAAAATTGTTCTATTATTTGAAATAGCTTGATTAGATTTTTTGTAGATACTTTAACTCCCCCTCTTTTTAAAAGAATTTTAATAAAGCTGAGATAAGAGGCATATTTACTTTTAATTTTACTTTTAGTTTGCCCCATTATCACCCTAGCTTCTTCCGAGCGCACAAGCTTACCGTAAGGCTGACTGTAGATGTACTCGGGATCTCTCGTCGACTTGTCCTCAATGACCACGCTTGAGCGTACCTTCACCCTAGAGAAAAGCCTCCACGTTGGGCACCAGATGTAGGGGCAACCCACCCCTACAGTCCTGCATGTAGGTATGTTGCTGGAGACATATAAATATGTTCCAGCAAATAGTTTTATAAATATTTGACTGAATACTGTATCAGGGTATTTTCTGTGTACTTCTTATTAACCTTATCTTGAAAAATTGTGTTGTTGACTATGAATCTTCCCTTCCAGGTAATAAAAGGGCAACACAACCAGAAAAAAAGATTTACTTTTAGAAACTTTATATAACCAAACATACATTAAACAAATATTGAATGCCTGTTTTGTGTACTAGATTTATAGTAGTAATGAAAACAGACAAATGCTTGCTTTCATGGAGCTTGTCTTCTAGTTGCAGGAAAATGAAAATAAATAAATAATAATATACCATGCACTGAAGGGAAAGTAGACATAGAAATTCATAGCCAGGCCAGGCATACTGGCTCACACTCATAATCCCAGCACTTGCAGAGACTGAAGCAGGGGGATCACTTGAGGCCAGGTGTTTGAGGCCAGTCTGGGAAACATAGCAAGACCCCCCATTTCTATTTTTTTAATTTTTAAAAAACATATAAAAATAAAATAGACATTTCTTTAAAGAAGAAATTCATGGCTAGTTGAGTTCTGTCTTGCTCAGGGAGTAAGAAGTCAAGGCATGGAAACCTTCTTCTGGAATTAAAGGCAGGGATAAATCATACTTCTACTTATAGACTACAAATATTCGGGAGAATGTGTCACCTATTTCTGGGTCAAAGTGCTTTCCTTCTCTATTTTTCCTCAATCCTTTTTTCTTTGCTTTGCCTTGTATGGAATGCTTACCAAGTTTGAACATTATTGTCAAGGTTCCTTCTAACAAGTGTATTGTTTAGTACATGTATAAGTGTACTAAAATGTGTATTATTGCACTAGAACATGTAACTGACCTCTACTCCTAAGGGAGTTAAAAACGAAAAAAGACATTCATTTGCATCAGGAAGTTATCCATCAACTTTTCCTTATCCTCTGACTATTTTTAATGATGATACAGCAAACAGCCCCACATTTTTTTTATAAACAAAAATAGCAATCTTATGAAGAATGTGTTTCCTGCTGCTGTGAGAAACAGGGTCCTAGGTGGCATGCTGGCCTTAACTTGTTTGCATTTAGCCTTGTTCCAAGATAAGGAAAGATGCTGGAAATCATTCCTGCCACAGTCAACCACAGCCAATGTCATGGCACCTGAAACCCAGCAAGAATAGGCAATGTGGCAAGCCAGAGTGTGCAGAAGGTCCCCTGGCTTAATAAACAACTGCCTTAAAATACCTCATTAAGAAGTTGTTGTTGTTGTTGTTGTTAATTTTGTGCATTCATTAGTATAATCATATACTTTTAATTTCTGGAATAACCTCAGGAAAAATACATATTGTTTCCTTCAGTGATAATCTAGTCTGGTGGATGATTCTCATGTTTATAACATTTCCCTACTCTGTAAATATTGTCACTAAGCATTTGGATGTGCTTAATTATGTGAGTGAGAACATTTAAAGTGATAGTCATTTGGCATAATTTATGCAATAAAGAGAATGTTGTGAAAAACTGCTCTTGACTGGTCATTTTCCTTAACTCCACAATTAAAGCAGTCCTCTTACCTTTCAGATATTTCTCTTTTCTTCAGAAACACAGCATTGAGAGTGACTTCTTGACTAAGTAAATTTTTCATATATTCTTTTTCCAATGATGTAGAACCCAGATATTTGTCTGAATATACTTAGATGTGAATGAAATGCATTAAGTGATTGTGGCCCCATAGAAATACAGCTTATTAATTTTTTCTGTTGATAAAGATTCATTTCAGTGGCTACTATTTCTTGTTTTTTTTTAACTTTTCTTTTTTTATTACACTTTAAGTTCTAGGGTACACGCGCACAATGTGCAGGTTTGTTACATATGTATAGATGTGTTGTGGTGGTTTGCTGCACCCATTAACTCGTCATTTACATTAGGTATTTCTCCTAATGCTATCCCTCCCCCAAGCCCCCACCCCGCAACAGGCCCTGGTGTGTGATGTTCCCTGCCCTGTGTCCAAGTGTTCTCATTGTTCATTTCCCACCAATGAGTGAGAACATGTGGTGTCTGGTTTTCTGTCCTTGTGATAGTTTGCTCAGAATGATGATTTCAGTGGCTACTATTCCAAAAATGATCTGATGGTATTCCCATATCCCAGTAGTCAATTATTCACTGTAATGTATTTATTGAGCCCTACTCTGTGCCAACCACAAAGCAATATTCTGGATTTCTGTGCCTGGTGCTGATAACCCATAGTGGTCATGCCTTGTTTATATCATTATGCAATTAATTCCCTACAATCATCATTTTCAAATTATGCTCAAAGAATTTTTAAGATATATCCTACTGTGTCACCTGTGGTGTGAGGACAGAAATTCAAATAGCTTAAATTCTGAGCCCTGTCTTGGTTGCTGTCCTTACTTTTAAATATTGGACTTTTATGTAAGATTTCATTCAAAGAAAGAATTGTAAAGCTGACAGAAAAACCTCCTCTTCTGCCATAAACAAACTAGCAAGAAAAAAAGATACTTTCCCCAAATCAACCTATATTTATTTAACATTAGCCAATGTGCTAGATGATAAATTTTGCTAACCCAGAGAATTTAACAGGATTGACCTAAATTAGAGATTCTTAAGTGTTTTTATCACAGCACCCTTTACAACTCTTAAAATTGTTAAGGAGCCAAAAGGGGTCTTTTAAAATGGAGAATTATTATCTATCAATGTTTATCTTATTAGATATTTTAATTTCTGAAAAAACTTTAAAATATTTAATAATTTATTTTTAAGACAATACATGAATTTCATATTAACATTCATAAGCAATTTCTATGAAAAATAAATATATTTTCAAAACAAAAAATTAGTGAATGGCGTGATTTTCTATTTTTGCAAATCTCTTCAACATATGACACAACAGAAGAGTGCTAAATTCCTAAATCTGTTGCAGTATCACATGTCATGTTGAGAGGTGAAGCCAGTTGGACTTCCAGGGTCAAATGGGGACCTGGAGAACTTTTCTGTCTAGGTAAAGGTTTGTAAACGCACCAATCAGCATTCTGTAAAAATGCACCAATCAGCACTCTGTGTCTAGCTAAAGGTTTGTAAACGCACCAATCAGCACTCTGTAAAAATGGACCAATCAGCACTCTGTAAAATGGACCAATCGGCGCTCTGTAAAATGGACCTATCAGCAGGACATGGGTGGGGCCAAGTAAGGGAATAAAAGTTGGCCACCTGAGCCAGCAGCAGCAACCTGCTGGGGTCCCCTTCCATGCTGTGGAAGCTTTGTTCTTTTGCTCTTCACAATAAATCTTGCTGCTGCTCACTCTTTGGGTCCACACTACCTTTAAGAGCTGTAACACTCACTGTGAAGGTCTATGGCTTCACTCCTGAAGTCAGCGAGACCACGAACCCACTGGGAGGAACAAACAACTCCAGACGCACCACCTTTAAGACTGTAACACTCACTGCGAAGGTCTGTGGCTTCACTCCTGAAGTGAAGCGAGACCACAAACCCACTGGAAGGAAGAAACTCCAGACACATCTGAACATCTGAAGGAACAAACTCCAGACACACCATCTTTAAGAACTGTAACACTCACTGCAAGGGTCTGTGGCTTCGTTCTTGAAGTCAGCGAGACCAAGAACCCACCTGAAGGAACAAATTCTGGACACATTTTGGTGACCCAGATGGGACTATCACCAAGCAGTGAGTACCATCGGACCCCTTTTGCTTGCTGTTCTGTCCTATTTTTCCTTAGAATTTGGGGGTAAATACCGGGCACCTGTCGGCAAGTTAAAAGCGACTAGCGCAGCCGCTGGACTAAAGACACGGGTGTCTGGCTTTCTGGGAAAGGGCTCTCTAACAACCCCCGGCTCTTCAGAGTTGGGAGCGTTGGTTTGCCTGGAACCAGCTTCTGTTTTTCCTATACTTCCAGGCTGAGCCAAGGGTCGACAGAGAAGAAAGCCATTCTGCTCCAGGGTCCTGACAAGTTGGTTGACCCTGCGGCCATGAGCAGAATTCTCAAAGTCATGTTGCCCAAGCGAGACTCACCCATCTATCCTATCTATCCTGACCCTTGCCTCCTGGGTCCTAACACTTGTCAGACGAACTTCCTCTCGCCTCTCTTATCTGAGGCTAGTCTTGCTTCTAAAAACCACTCCCTGTCTCTGGTGTTTTTCTAGTTTCTCCTATAGCAATGATTTCTAGTATGAACTTCAGGACTCTGTTACCTTCTTTAGGCACCCAGGCTCACCAATCAGAAACACATAATTTTTGCCCAAAGCCCCATAGGTAGGTGGGGGGACTATCTGGAATTTTAGGATCCCTCCTCAGACTAGCAGGCCTAACAAAAGCTATTCCTGAAGTTAGGATATGGGGAACCTCAGAAATGATATCCTTCCTATACAAGTGAGAACAAAAGGCATTACTCTTCCAACCCTGGAGATCCCTTCCCTCCCTCAGTGTATGGTCCTCCTCTTCATTTTTGGGGCATAACATCTTTATAGGACAGGGGTAAAATCCCAATACTAACAGGAGAATGCTTAGGACTCTCAACAGGTTTTCAACAATGCATCAGTAAGGGCCACTAAATCTGATTTTTCTCAGTCCTCTTTGTGGTCTAGGAGGACAGGCAAGGGTGCAGGTTTTTGAGAATGTGATGGTAAGGGCCACTAAAACCAACCTTCCTTGGTCCTCCTTGTGGTCTAGGAGGAAAACTAGTGTTTCTGCTGCTGCATCAATGAGTGCAACTATTCCAATCAGCAGGGTCCAGGGACCATTGTGGGTTCTTGGGGAAGAGGTGTTTCCTCTGCTGTGTCAGTGAGCACAACTATTCCAATCAGCAGGGTCCAGGGACCATTGCAGGTTCTTGGGCAGGGGGAGAAACAAACAAACCAAAACCATGGGCGGTTTTGTCTTTCAGATGGAAAACACTCAGGCATCACCCTTGAAATGCATTCTAAGCCACTGGGACCAATTTGACCTGCAAAACCCTGAAAAAGAGGTGGCTCATATTTTTCTGCACTATGGCTTGGCCCCAATATTCTCTCTCTGATGGGGAAAAATGGCCACCTGAGGGAGGTATAAATTACAATACTATCCTGCAGCTTGACCTTTTCCGTAACAGGGAAGGCAAATGGAGTGAAATACCTTATGTCCAAGCTTTCTTTTCATTGAAGGGGAATCCACAACTATGCAAAGCTTACAATTTACATCCCACAGGAGGACCTCTCAGCTTACCCCCATATCCTAGCTCCCCTTCCTATTAATGATAAGCCTCCTCTAATCTCCCCTGTCCAAAAGGAAATGAGCAAAGAAATCTCCAAAGGACCACAACCCCCCCACCCCGGGCTATCAATTATGTCCCCTTCAAGCTGTAGGGGGAGGGGAATTTGGCCCAACCCGGGCACATGTCCCCTTCTCCCTCTCTGATTTAAAACAGATCAAGGCAGACCTGGGGAAGCTTACAGATGATCCTGATAGGTATATAGATGTCCTACAGGGTCTAGGGCAAACCTTTGATCTTACTTGGAGAGATGTCATGCTATTGTTAGATCAAACCCTGGCCTTTAATGAAAAGAATGCAGCTTTAGCTGCAGCCCAAGAGTTTGGAGATACCTGGTATCTTAGTCAATAAATGATAGAATGACAGCTGAAGAAAGGGACAAATTCCCTACTGGTCAGCAAGCCATCCCTAGTATGGATTCCTCACTGGGACCTCAACTCAGATCATGGGGACTGGAGTTGTAAACATCTGTTGACCTGTGTTCTAGAAGGACTAAGGAGAATTAGGAAAAATCCCATGAATTATTCAATGATGTCCACCATAACTCAGGGAAAGGAAGAAAATCCTTCTACCTTCCACGAGTGGCTATAGGAGGCCTTAAGAAAATATATTCCCCTGTCACCTGACTCATTAGAGGGTCAATTGATCCTAAAAGATAAGTTTATTACCCAATCAGCCACAGATATCAGGAGAAAGCTCCAAAAGTGAGCCCTGGGTCCTGAACAAAATCTAGATGCATTATTAAACCCGGCAACCTTGGTGTTCTATAATAGGGATCAAGAGGAACAGGCTCAAAAGGAAAAGTGAGATCAGAGAAAGTCTGCAGCCTTAATCATGGCGCTAAGACAAACAAACCTTAGTGGTTCAGAGAGGACAGAAAATGGAGCAGGCCAATCACCCAGTAGGGCTTGTTATTAGTGTGGTTTACAAGGACACTTTAAAAAAGATTGTCCAGTGAGAAGCCACCCCCTCGTCCATGCCCGCTATGCCAAGGCAATCACTGGAAGGTGCACTGCCCCAGAGTGCACTGGTTCTCTGGGCCAGAAGCCCCCAACCAAATGATCCAACAACAGGACTGAGGGTGCCCGGGGCAAGTGCCAGCTCATGTCATCACACTCACTGAGCCCCAGGTATGTTTAATCATTGAGGGCCAGGAAATTGACTTCCTCCTGGACAATGGCGGGGCTTTCTCAGTGTTAATCTCCTGTCCCAGACAGCTGTCCTCAAGATCCATTACCATCCAAGGAATTCTGGGACAGCCTGTAACCAGTTATTTCTCCCACCTCCTCCATTGTAATTGGGGGACTTTGCTGTTTTCACATGCTTTTCTTGTTATACCTGAAAGTCCCACACCCTTATTAGGGAGGGACATATTAGCCAAAGATGGAGCTATTATCTACATGAATATGGGGAACAAGTTACCCATTTGTTGTCCCCTACTTGAGGAGGGAATCAACCCTGAAGTCTGGGCATTGGAAGGACACTTTGGAAGGGCAAAAAATGCCTGCCTAGTCCAAATCAGGCTAAAAGACTCCACCACTTTTCCTTATCAAAGGCAATATCCCTTAAGGCCTGAAGCTCATGAAGGATTACTGGATATTGTTAAACATTTAAAAGCTCAAGGTTTAGTAAGGAAATGCAGCAGTCCCTGCCACACCCCAATTCTAGGATACAAAAACCAAATGGTCAGTGGAAACTAGTGCAAGATCTTAGACTCATCAAGCAGGCAGTAATTCCTTTATATCCAATTGTACCCAACCCCTATACCCTGCTGTCTCAAATACCAGAGGAAGCAGAATGGTTCACTGTTCTGGACCTCAAGGATGCCTTCTTTTGTATTCCCCTGCATTCTGACTCCCAGTTTCTCTTTGCCTTTGAGGATCCCACATGTCCCAACTTACACGGACGGTCTTGCCCCAAGGGTTTAGGGATAGCCTTCATCTGTTTGGTCAGGTACTGGCCCAAGATCTAGGCCACTTCTCCAGTCCAGGCACTCTGGTCCTTCAGTATGTGGATGATTTACTTTTGGCTATCAGTTCAAAAGCCTCATGCCAGCAGGCTACTCTAGATCTCTTGAACTTACTAGCTAATCAAGGGTACAAGGTGTCTAGGTCAAAGACCCAGCTTTGCCTAGAGCAGGTCAAATATCTAGGCCTAATCTTAGCCAGAGATGCCCTCAGCAAGGAATGAATACAGCCTATATGGGCTTATCCTCACCCTAAAACATTAAAACAGTTTCAGGGGTTCCTTGGAATCACTGGCTTTTGCCGACTATGGATCCCTGGATACAGCAAGATAGTGAGGTCCCTCTATATTCTAATCAAGGACACCCAGAGGGCAAATACTCATCTAGTAGAATGGGAAACCAGGAACAGAAATAGCCTTCAAAACCTTAAAGCATGTCCTAGTAGAAGCTCCAGCTTTAAGCCTTCCCACAGGACAAAACTTCTCTTTATACATCACAGAGAGAGCAGGGATAGTTCTTGGAGTCCTTAGTCAGACTTGCAGGACAACCCAACAACCAGTGTCACACCTAAGTAAGGAAATTGATGTAGTAGCAAAAGGCTGGCCTCACTGTTTACAGGTAGTTGCGGTGGTGGCCGTCTTAGTGTCAGAGGTTATCAAAATAATACAAGGAAAGGATCTCACTGTCTGGACTACTCATGATGTAAATGGCATACTAGGTGCCAAAGGAAGTTTATGGCTATCAGACAACTGCCTGCTTAGATACCAGGCACTACTCCCTGAGGGACTGGTGCTTAAAATACGCACGTGTGTGGCCCTTAACATTGCCACTTTTCTCCCAGAGGATGGGAACCAATCGAGTATAACTGCCAACAAATCATAGTCCAGACTTATGTCACCCAAGATGATCTCTTAGAAGTCCCCTTAGCTAATCCTGGCCTTAACCTATATACTGATGGAAGTTCATTTGTGGAGAATGGGATATGAAGGGCAGGTTATGTGATGTAACCATAGTTAGTGATGTAACCATACTTGAAAGTAAGCCTCTTCCCCCAGGGACCAGCACCCAGTTAGCAGAACTAGTGGCATTTACCTGAGCCTTAGAACTAGGAAAGGGAAGAAGAATAAATGCATATACAGAGAGCAAGTAGGCTTATCTAATCTTATACGCTCATGCTGCAATATGGAAAAAAGGAGAGTTTCTAACCTCTGGGGGAGCCCCCATTAAATATCACAAGGAAATCATGGAATTATTGCATACAGTGCAAAAACCCAAGGAGGTGGCAGTCTTACACTGCTGAAGCCATCAAAAAGGGGAAGGAGAGGGGAGAACAGCAGCATAAGCAGCTGGCAGAGGCAGGGAAAGACCAGCAGAAAGGAGAGAGAGAGGAAGAGACAGACAAAGAGGAAGTCAGAAAGACAGAGATAAAGGAGTCAAAGAGAAAGAAAAAGAGATGGAATTAGTAAAGAAAAAACAGCATACTCTATTCCTTTAAAAGCCAGGGTAAGTTTAAAACCTATAATTGATAATTGAAGGTCTTCTCCATGACCCTATAACACTCCAATACCACCTTGTTGTCAGCGCAAACAAGGGCACAGCCCAAAAGCACTGAGGCCACTGACAGCCCGCAGCCTTCCCATCAAAAATCCTTAACCCAGCAGGTTTCCTAACAGTGGATCTAAATCTTAATTAATTACCATACCAAGGTCCTACCAGATCTAGGAGGAACTCACTTCAGGACAGGACGGATAGATGGTTCCTCTCAGGTGATTAAGGGAAAAAGACACAATGGGTATTCAGTAAGTGATAAGGAAACTCTTGTAGAAGCAGAGTTAGGAAAATTGCCTAATAATTGTTCTGCTCAAATGTGTGAGCTGTTTGCACTTAGCCAAACCTTAAAAGTACTTACAGAATCAGGAAGGAGCCATCTATACCAATTCTAGTTAATATGGACTGAACAAGGTCTTATTAATAGCAAAGAATAATTGAAATCCCAAATTTACAAGGTTTTCAACAAAAGTGCAGTTTGCCAAAAGTTCAGTGTAGCATGTATTATCCTACTACCACACACCCTCAAAGAATTTCTCAGACAGTTTGCAAGAAATAACGAAATCTATCCTTACTCTACAATCCCAAATAGACTCTTTGGCAGCAGTGACTCTCCAAAACCACCGAGGCCTAGACCTCCTCACTGCTGAGAAAGGAGGACTCTGCACCTTCTTAGGGGAAAAGTATTGCTTTTACACTAACCAGTCAGGGATAGTAAGAGATGCTGCCCAGCATTTACGGGAAAAGGCTTCTGAAATCAGACAATGCCTTTCAAACTCTTATACCAACCTCTGGAGTTGGGCAACATGGCTTCTCCCCTTTCTAGGTCCTGTGACAGCCATCTTGCTATTACTCATCTTCGGGCCCTGTATTTTTAACCTCCTTGTCAAATTTGTTTCCTCTAGTATCAAGGCCATCAAGCTACAGATGGTCTTACAAATGGAACCCCAAATGAGCTCAACTAACAACTTCTACCGAGGACCACTGGACCGACGGGCTGGCCCTTTAACTGGCCTAAAGAATTCCCCTCTGGAGGACACTACAACTGCAGGGCCCCTTCTTCACCCCTATCCAGCAGGAAGTAGCTAGAGCAGTCATCCCCCAATTCCTATCAGCAGTTGGGCTGTCCTGTTTAGAGGGGGGATTGACAGGTGAAGCCAGCTGGACTTCCTGGGTCAAGTGGGGACTTGGAGAACTTTTCTGTCTAGCTAAAGGTTTGTAAATGCACCAATCAGCACTCTGTAAAAATGCACCAATCAGCACTCTGTGTCTAGCTAAAGGTTTGTAAACGTGCCAATCAGCACTCTGTAAAAATGCACCAATCAGCACTCTGTGTCTAGCTAAAGGTTTGTAAACGCACCAATCAGCACTCTGTAAAAATGCACCAATCAGCACTTTGTGTCTAGCTAAAGGTTTGTAAATGCATGAATCAACACTCTGTAAAAATGGACCAATCAGCACCCTGTAAAATGGATCTATCAGCAGGACGTGGGTGGGGCCAAATAAGGGAATAAAAGTTGGCCACCCAAGCCAGCAGCAGCAACCTGCTGGGGTCCCCTTCCACACTGTGGAAGATTTGCTCTTTTGCTCTTCACAATAAATCTTGCTGCTGCTCACTCTTTGGGTCCACACTACCTTTAAAAGCTCTAACACTCACTGTGAAGGTCTACGGCTTCACACCTGAAGTCAGCGAGACCACAAATCCACCAGGAGGAGCAAACAACTCCAGATACACCACCTTTAAGAGCTGTAACACTCACTGCAAAGGTCTGTGGCTTCACTCCTGAAGTCAAGAGAGACCACGAACCCACCGGAAGGAGGAAACTCCAGACACATCTGAACATCTGAAGGAACAAACTCTGGACACACCATCTTTAAGAACTGTAACACTCACCGTGAGGGTCTGTGGCTTCATTCTTGAAGTCAGTGAGACCAAGAGCCCACTGGAAGGAATCAATTCCAGACAGACACAGTGTAGCCTCTGGGAAACTACCACATGCTCATGACAGAATAAGAGTGAAAATGGCCAATAATATTTCAGTATAATTTTGAGAAAAGTTTTGATCCTGTGGACCAACTGAAAATGTCTCAAGGACTCCTCAGAGTGCCCAGCCACACTTTGAAAACTACCAACCTAAGAGTTATTTTAGAAAATCATTGATACACTCAAAGTCATAGAAAACAACACATAAAATCATTTCAAGAAGAACAAATAGTTGCCATAAATGTAAACAGCACTAGGTATGTAAGCTCCAAAACTAAGCTTATCCTATTTGCAGACAACATGATTTTTCACATAGGAAATCTCAAGGAATCTACTAAGAAAAACTTCCTAGAACTATAAAGTTAATTGGTCAAGGTTGTAGAGTACAAGAGCAACACAAACTATGAATCTGATCTCTATATGCCAACAACAAACACATGGAAATCAAAATTAAAAACACAGTGTCATTTATATTAACTTCAAAGAAAATTAAATACTTAGGTAGAAACCAACAAAACATATACAGTATCTGCATGCTGAATACAAAATGCTGTTGAAAAAAAATCAAAGACCTACATAGAGAGACATTGTGTACATGGATTGGAAGACACAACATAGAAAAGGTGTTCATTCTCCTGAAATTGAGCTATAGGTTTAATGTAATTCCTATCAAACTCCTAGCAAAGGTTTTCATAAACATAGTTAATCTTATTCTAGAATATATATGAAAGGGTAAAGGGCTTACATTAGCTAAAACCATTTAAAAAAACAATAAATTACAAGGAATCACTCTACTCAACATTGAGGCTGACTATAGAGCCATAGGACTCAAGCCTGATATTTGCTGAGGAATAGATTAGTGGAACAGAATAGAAAAGCTAGAAATAGTTCACACAAATATGCCCAAGTGGTTTTTGACAAAACTAAAAACCAATTCAATGAAGGCATTGTTATCTTTTCAGCAATTGGTGCTGGAGAAATTAGATATGCATAAGCAAAACAAAACAAAAATAAATAAAACAAATAAACAAAAAACCACAAAGTACCTTGACCTAAACCTCACACCTTATATAAAAAAAAAAAAAAAATAGATCATGACCTTAAATGTAAATTTGAAACTCTAAAGCTTTTAGAAGAAAACAAAGGACAAAATCTTCAGATATGAAGAGTAGGCAAAATTCTTAGACTTGACACCAAAAACAGGATCATAAGAGGAAAAATTAATAAACTATAGTTCATCAAACTAAAGACAGTGCTCTGTGAAAGACTATGTTAAGAAGACACATAAAAGAAGCTAGAAGAAAACCTAGGCATTACCATTCAGGACATAGGCATGGGCAAGGACTTCATGTCTAAAACACCAAAAGCAATGGCAACAAAAGCCAAAATTGACAAATGGGATCTAATTAAACTAAAGAGCTTCTGCACAGCAAAAGAAACTACCATCAGAGTGAACAGGCAACCTACAAAATGGGAGAAAATTTTCACAACCTACTCAGCTGACAAAGGGCTAATATCCAGAATCTACAATGAACTCAAACAAATTTACAAGAAAAAAACAAACAACCCCATCAAAAAGTGGGCGAAGGACATGAACAGATACTTCTCAAAAGAAGACATTTATGCAGCCAAAAAACACATGAAAAAATGCTCACCATCATTGGCCATCAGAGAAATGCAAATCAAAACCACAGTGAGATACCATCTCACACCAGTTAGAATGGCAATCATTAAAAAGTCAGGAAACAACAGGTGCTGGAGAGGATGTGGAGAAATAGGAACACTTTTACACTGTTGGTGGGACTGTAAACTAGTTCAACCCTTGTGGAAGTCAGTGTGGCGATTCCTCAGGGATCTAGAACTAGAAATACCATTTGACCCAGCCATCTCATTACTGGGTATATACCCAAAGGACTATAAATCATGCTGCCATAAAGACACATGCACACGTATGTTTATTGCGGCACTATTCACAATAGCAAAGACTTGGAACCAACCCAAATGTCCAATAATGATAGACTGGATTAAGAAAATGTGGCACATATACACCATGGAATACTATGCAGCCATAAAAAATGATGAGTTCATGTCCTTTGTAGGGACATGGATGAAACTGGAAATCATCATTCTCAGTAAACTACTGCAAGAACAAAAAACCAAACACCGCATATTCCCACTCATAGGTGGGAACTGAACAATGAGAACGCATGGACACAGGAAGGGGAACATCACACTCTGGGGACTGTGGTGGGGTGGGGGGAGGGGGGAGGGATAGCATTAGGAGATATACCTAATGCTAAATGACGAGTTAATGGGTGCAGCACACCAAGATGGCACATGTATACATATGTAACTAATCTGCACATTGTGCACATGTACCCTAAAACTTAAAGTATAATAATAATAAAATTAAATTAAATTAAAAAAAGAAGCTATAAACTGAGAGCTAACCTATCTGACAAAGGACTTGTAACCAGAATACATAAAGAACTTTCAAAACTCAATATTTTTTTAAAAATCAACAATTCAATTATAAAATAGGCAAAAGACACTTCACGAAAGAGGATATACAGATAGAAAATAAGTGCAAAAAAGATGTTCAACATCAGTAGCCATTAAGGTAGTGCAAATTTAAGCCACAATGAGATATCACTATACAACTTCAGAATGGCTAAAATAAAAAAAATATAACAATACCAAATATAAGTGAGGATGCAGAGAAACTAGATAACTTATACATTGCTTGTAGAAATGTAAAATGGTAGAGCCATTCCAAAAAATGGTTTGGAAGATTTTCCAAAACTACACATGAATTTACTGTATAACCTAGCGATTGTGTTATCAAATATTTATGCCACAAAAATGGAAATTAATGTTCATACAAAAAACTATATGTAAATGTTCATAGCAGCTCTATTTGTAATAGCCCAAAACTGGAAACAACCCAGATATCCTTCAATGAGTTAATGGCCAAACAGATTATGGTACATTCATAACATGTATTGCTACTCGACAATGAAAAGGAACAAACTGTTTTTTTCTATTTTTAAAAGATAAGATCTCACTCTCTTGTCCATGCTGGAATGAAGTGGCATGATCGTAGCCCACTGCTGCAGTCTCAACCTCCTAGGCTCAAGGGATCCTCCCACCTCAGCCTCCAGAGTTGCTGGAACTACAGCATGTAACACCATGCCTGGCTAATTTTTATTATTATTATTTTTAGTAGAGATGTGGTCTCCCTATGATGCTCAAGCTGGTCTCAAAAAAAAAAAAAATACTATTGATACACCAACAACTTGGATTTATCTCAAGAGAATTACACTGAATGGAAAAGCCAATTTCACAAAATTACATTCTGTATGATTCTATTTATATTGTTCTTGGAATAACATAATTATGGAAACTTAGACTGGATTTGTGGTTGCCAAATGTTAGGGGTGGAGAAAATGGGGATGGGTGTACTTATAAAGTGGCATGAGACAGCCTTGTGGTGATGGAACATCTCTGTATTTTGATTGTCATAGTGTTTGCACAAATCTACACAAGTGATAAAATTGCATAGAACCACACACACACACAAATGGGTGCATGTCAAACTGATGAAACCTGAATAAGCTCTGTGGGTTATAAGCCATGTTAATTTACTGGTTTTGGTATTATACTATAGTTGTGCAATATGTTATTATAATTGAAGGAAATTGAGTGAAAAATACATGGGACCTCCCTGTACATTTTTGCCTCTTCCTGTGAATCTATAATTGTTGTGAAATAGCCTAAAAAAAAAAAAAACTGAGCCCAATATATGACCTCAAAATAGAGACCAAGTAAAACACATCTGAAAGGAAAAAAGTGCTCAGAGTTTGTGAATAGCTAAATAAATGGGTCATGTTATGATTGCACAGACCTCTACAGTTAAAGTCCAGTGTGCCAAGCCAAGAATAAAACACCATCACCAGCCAAGGATAAAACATCATCAACAACCACCAGCACAGAGGGACTGAGTAAACTCCTAACCAGAACATGAGCATATAACTCATTATTTTGATTCAATTCCTTTGGCAGCTATCATCCTAGCCTACCGGAGGAACTCTTCTCTAACTTCAAAAGGTTTGTACTAATTTTAAACTGATCCAATCACACAATTATGCATTCATAATTTCCAGGTCAAACTCTGATATCACCACTTAACATAATCAAAATAGCAAATGTTCTTAAATCGAAAGGTCTGATGTCTTAAAGTTTATCATTCATTCAAATGTGTTGTTACTATGATAGCTAAAGTCATGAAAAAAACTGTTATATAAAAAATTTAAATGTTGAAGACCAACTTCAATTTCAATAAAAACAAATATTACTTAAGAAACTATTGCTAGGCCAACTAGCTTATGTTAATAAAAGACTGTATTCTCAAACTGGTAACCTACTGGTTTTAGTAGAATTTCCAGAGATGTAGAATGTGTTCTTACTCCTCAGAAGTAACTGGTTGGGACATGCATTTGAAAAAAAAAATGCATTAAAATCTGTTTTGTTTAAGAGAGATAATATCTAGGAATTAAGCTATTCATTATTTCCTTTTCTTTCTACAAAAGGAGTGTAGAAATGCCAAAATGTCAGGAACTGATCAACAAAATGATATGTTAACCTCAGGAGGACAAAATTAAATTCATGACTTGACTTCTAATTCTTTATTTGACTGGTGTTATGAAAATTGCCAGTCTTTTCTGCAATTGCAATAAAACTCTGTGTTGGCAAGAACTGCTAACTATAATCCACATCAGTTTTCAAAAAGTTTCTTTGAAGTGTTTTAATTCAATGCCATTTAAAGTTTGTATGTTGGTGTTTACACATCAGGTGGCATTTCCATTTCTGCATCTATATATAAGTTATGAGACTGAGAGAGGAGCCACCATAACTAATATATATTAATATATTAACATTAATATAAATTATCAACATCAATATGCTAATATAAATTAATATATCAGAAAAAGTCACTTGTTACAAAATGCCATAGTCTGAGTGCCTTGCCAGGAACCACTATGGTAGAGGGTGTATTTATAATCAGCACACCTTCCATCAGCTTTAACAAGAGTGTTTGAACTTTTTGGCCCTTTAGGCTCTGACTTTGAACACAACACATGTCAACCAAGTTATTCCAAAGTTCCAAGTATGTAAATGCTATAATATAGTGAGAAAGCACATTTCTCCCAAAATCAGTGCAGTTCAACCAAAAACTCATGTGAATATAGCTAACAAAATGCTAGATTACAGAGTAAAGACAAAGGAAAAAAAAGATCTGGCCCTTATCTTGAAAAGTTTACAGGTTTTTGAATTGACAGTCAAAATAAGGGACTACTCAGGAAGCTGAGGCAAGAGAATTGCTTGATGCCAGGAGTTAGAGACCACCAGTCTGAGCTAAAGAGTTGGTCTCCATCTCTAAAAATACATTTTTACAAATTAGCTGGGAGTGGTGGTGAATGCCTGTAGTCCCAGCTATTTGGGAAGATGAAGTAGGAGAATCACTTGAGCTTATGAGTTCAAGGCCGCAATGAGCTATGATTGTGCCACTGTAGTCCAGCCTGGTCAATAGAGAGAGACCCCATCCTCCAAAACAGGAACTGCTAAGCCATGGAATTGCTGCATTGTTAAAGACCTTGGTTTGAATTTCATCTCAAACTCATTTTCATGGCCATCCCTAAAGAACAAATTTCCAAATAGTCAAACACACAAATATCAGAAAGAGAAATTATTAATTTTATTTTACAAAAATTAAGTTAATTTGCATTCAGGGTAATGTGCACAATATTTATAAAATTAAATTTAGATTATCTCAGAAACTTCATGCATTTTTTTGTCACATGCCAACAAAGTTCATCTGTAACTGCCAGACGACAAAAAGCTTTACATGGTGAATTGCTGTGTGCCCAATGCTGCTTATTTTCACTTTCATCGTAAATGAAATGTGATTAGACAAAGTCTCCCCACAGTACTTGAAGGTGAGAGTGAATGCACAATGAGCAAAATAAATGTAGCAGAACATGGGCTTTGAATTCCTAATGGTTGCTTGGCAATAAAATATGTGTATGCAATAGTAATGAAACTGTATTTTTCTTCAGAGCAATGAGATTCCTATCCATGGGGCAAAAAGATATGCATTAAAGTGTCAAGAAACCCATCCTAGGAGCCTTGATAAGGCCCCTTTTCCCATTCCATCAGTCAACCAGGCAGGCTAGGAAACACTGTTCCTGGTCCCCACACCTGACAATGACATCCCATAGCAGGGGCTGGGGTGCAGTGCTGGCTCTCCCAGCAGCAGCACAGTGAGGCTTTCTTTTGGTGTTAAAGCAGAATTCATCATGAAGTATTTGAGTTACCATCCAACAGTCTGGAGATATTTGATTTTGTAATGTCATCAGATTTTTATCCATAAAATATGACTCATTATTTTATAATTGAATTCATCAGGAAATTGTACAATTCTATCGAAATGCATTATTTTCCCCCTTTCTTGGCTAAAGTTTCTTTTTCTTACACAGAAATTAAGAAGGAAGGTAGGAAGGAAACGTGAGTGTTTAACAGTGATGAATGCAAGCATAACTTTGTTCTGAGCTTTTATCAGAAGGCCCAATGGGCCCAACTCCCAGCGTTGACATTGTGAATTTGAGTCATCAGATGATAGTGGGACTTCACACAACCATTTAATTAAATATGGAGAATTTAATACCACTTTGATACTTTCAGGGGTTCCAAATACATCCACAGAAGGAAATGAACCAATAAAGCTGTCCAGATAAAGTTCATTTTTGCTGACAGTATCCAAGCTCTAAAGAACAGACTGTTTTTCTAAATATTCTAGAATGAATATAAATTAGGAAAAGGAAAAAAGTTTTACGAAGAATGTTTGTTTTCATAAAATTTCAGAGTGACCACCACTTCACAGTAGTTTTCAAATAATTGATTTGTTACATAAGGATTTAAAAAATGATAAGTTACACAATATGCCAGTTTGCCTAGCAAATATAGCCCTGTATGTATCCTCTGTAAAAAAAAAAAAAAAAAAAAAAAAAATCACCTCTGCACTTATTCCAAATTGCTTCTTTTAAGAGAACTTCTGATCTCACAGATAAAGCTAGACTAAAAAAAAGTTTTCTTAGAAACAACTAAGGATTCTCTCATCATATGTCTTTGATAAACTAATGAATGTCATTGGTAAAGCTTAAATTTACTTTGCATTAAACTATAGTAGATGGCTATTGAATCAAGAACTAAATATTGTATTGAACTGAATATTTAAAAACATGTTATACTTATCTCAAGATGTAGACATCTTCTAAAAGAGATAAGAACCCGTTTGAAACAATAATAAACAGATAATACAGGCCAGGTGTGGTGGCTCACACCTGTAATCCCAACACTTTGAGAGGTCATGGCGGGAAGAATCCCTTGAGGCGAGGAGTTCAAAACCACCCCAGGCAACAGTGAGATTCCATCTCTACAGAAACAATAACAACACAAACAAAACACAAACAAAACAAACATAATAGAAAAATGTGTCAAGCAGTAAGAAATATGAGAAATGGAGAGGGCTAAATAAACATTAAAATGTAGAAAATAATTTATTTGACCAAGTGTTTGGACCAACATTACAACTGCAGTAGATACAATTAATGCCCTTCCCAGAATCTTTACCTGCCAGATTAATCGTTCCCCAGCTGCTGTGAGTTTTGGCTAGAACAAGAGGAAGACACCTCTCCCAGAGATGTCTGTGTTTGTGGTTATGGAAGCTCCTACCCACTCAGGGGTGCCTGTAGGGAGTAGAGAGGCGGCCCTTAGCCAATAATTGACCAACACAGAAGTACAAAATATAATTTGTCTCAGTGGAACAACTCCTAGGAGCCATTCAAACTCTCTAGAGCTCCACATGGGATCAGGATGAGTCTAGACTTCTGTTAAAAGCATATCCTTTCCTAGGTTTTCCACCTACCTTATTTGGCTTCTGTCATTTCCTAACAGTTTCCTTCTGAGAACATTCCCTCAAAAAAAAAAAATCATTTGCAAGGAATCCTCAATTCAGGCTCTGCAGTAGGGAAACTGACCTAACAATAATCAACCTACTCGATATTTTAGCATAAATATCATGAATTAAAAAATGACTCAGGTAATTTCTAATTTTTTTATAATTTCACTTTTGCTGCAATGAAATGTTGTCTTATGTACTTCTGAGAATCACTGATATCAAATTAGTCAGATAGTATTTGTTGATTGTATTTCTGTTTTTTCAGGGGAAGAAAAACTCTTTTATTTGGAATGAAAATATGTCTTAGAGCCCAACAAAGTTACTACATTATTTTGAACTAATATCTTAAAATTTCCCTTCCTGCTTGATGCTTACACTTTTTATGTTATACAAAATATATGAAGGGGAAATATAAATATGGCTGTATATGGCACAGTTATAAAATGTGTTTCAACAGTCTTAGTGTACTGAACTACCTGTCTTTGAATCATAATTTTGAAAACACAAGTCTTTCATGATTAGTCTTTTATAATTAGTTGATCTACATTAGAACTGTTTCCAATTATTTCTACATTTCAGGATAACTGAACAACTTCTTAAGAAAATGACATAAATTAATATCAATCGTGCAAAATTAATTTCCTTTAATATTCACACAAGAAGATGCATGCAGGTGGATAGGACAGCTAGAAATGCTGGAGGACTGGTTTGTTTATTTTGATTTTGCTTTCTTTTCCATAATGAGCATGTAATCCAATGAGATTGTCTACACAATACAATCAAAATCAATTAAGAACCACGTATTGATTTGTTTTGCCATATTTAACTACATTAAAAGCTTATCACTGTTACCATTTAATGCTTACCAAGTTGTTTTATTGCATATTAAATGCAAAATCTATATTAATATAATTTTGAGACTTCATATTTGGAATTGAGGGGGAAAATAAAGAAAATAAAAGGTTAGATTTCCTCACCAAAGGTCAATTTTGTCTGTCGGTTGAAAGATTCATATAAAATAATTTAAATGATAAAAGTGGCAATTTTTTTGAAAGCAAAAACATATAAGTTCAGTTTAACATTTGTGTGTGTGTGTATACACACATACAGGTGCCCTTATTTACATACATATGCGCTGTGTGCTTGTGTGGGCATAATATATTTCCTGTATCAATCCAGTTTCAGTTGTAAAGGTGCTTACTTGAATAATTTTAAAGCAATTTATTTCTGTTGAATAGATGGAAATGTTAAGATACCATTTCATTTTTCATTGAAAACAGTTATTCAAAAAGATACAATGAAGCAGTAAGAACCCATAGCTCCAGATAGAAACTTAGAAACAGATAACATTTAATAAATTTGGGCCAGGCACGGTGGCTCAGGCCTGTAATCCCAGCACTTTGTGAGGCTGAGGCCGGTGGATCAAGAGGTCAGGAGTTCGAGGTCAGTCTGGCCAACATAGCGAAACCCCATCTCTACTAAAAATAAAAAAATTAGTGGCGTATGGTGGTGTGCACCTATAATCCCAGCTACTCCGGAGACTGAGGCAGGAGAATCGCGTGAACCTGGGAGACAGAGGTTGCAGTGAGCCAAGATAGCACTATTGCACTCCAGCCCGGGCAACAGTGCAAGACCCCATCTCAAAATAATAATAATAATAATTAATACATTTGAAGTGTTTGAAATAAACATATTTAAAAGTTTGACAGTTATGCTGAAAATTCACCAGAGCATGGAGTAGGATGATTAAGGCATGATGAGCTGTAAGATATCAAGAAGCAGACATCTTGACCTCAAGTTCCCTCTATTCTATTTAGGAAGTCAATAAATGTATATGTGTGAAACAATGAGATAATTCAAATAAGATTTCTTCACTTAATGGGTATATATCAGTTACCTATCACCACAATAATGCTGCATAACAAGCAGCAAGAAACCTCAGTGACATAAAACAAGAACTTATTGCTCATACATCAGA
Organism: Homo sapiens; assembly: GCF_000001405.40. Classification (NCBI taxonomy): domain Eukaryota; kingdom Metazoa; phylum Chordata; class Mammalia; order Primates; family Hominidae; genus Homo; species Homo sapiens. The sequence goes on from NC_000003.12 coordinate 148,588,428, forward strand.
GGCAATAATTAGATGGCTCTGCTGATCTTAAATAGCTCACTTATTCATCTGAGGGCTGGCTGGTTTCCAGCTGATCTAGGTTGGCCTTGTCTATGCCCAATCATGTGTCTGAAGTCTAGCTAGCTTACTTACTTATCTATGGGTTGGCTCTATTCCATATGTTTCATCCTCCGTAAGACTAGCTTAGTGTTTTCTTATAGCAATGGCCAAAGAATGAAAATTAGGATGTTCCGTTCAACCACCTGCTATATGAATTCTTCTAACACTCTATTGGCCAAAGGAAGTAACATTGCTGAGCCCAGAGTTCAAGTGAAGGGACACCAAAAAGCTATAAAAAAAAGAACATGGACTCCGAGATGAGGAAAGAATTGAGGCCAATAACTCAGTCCACCACAGTGGGTATTTATTGAATGATTATACTATTGTCAGAACTTGTTGGGGTTAAACTCTTTTAATAATCTTTACTGATATACCAACTTAATGGCAACAGATAGAATGTGTTGCTATATATAGTTATGTGTATATATATATAATATATAAAATGTTGTATATATAATATATAAAATATATATATATATAAAGTTGTAGATTTATACCATTAAATTCCATTCTTTTTCTTTTTGCAGAAATATCATTTGTAAAGGTCAGATTTCTCACTGTTTATAAGATTAGACTTGTTTTAAAGTTTATTTTTATGCTATAAAACTATCACTTTGCTAAATGAAAGGGTAAAAAACAAAATTTTAAGTAACTATAAACTACTTAGGAAGGAAAAATATTTGTCAGTTTCGTAGAACCTACTTACAAAAAAGCAGTTGAATTATTTGTATCTCCTTATTAAATAGTTGCCTGAAAGACTGCAAGTTTTAATCCATTTTTTGTTACTATTGAGATTACTACATGCACTTAAAAATAATAAAACTACATTTTTAAGGTTTTTTTCCAAAACTAAATTTTTCATTTATTAAGATTTTGTCTTTTACTTCTTTGTAATAGAATTAGTGACTTTTTTCAAAATGAACAAAATAAATCATATTTTAAAAATTTAAATAAAATGAGTTATCAATATGAAGCTAAATTTCAAACCAAGATAAATATTTACAACATTGTAATGGTAATTATTCTAGATCTAAGATATTTGAAGCTAATCCAGGACATCAAGTAAAAAGGTCACTTAGGAGGCTACCTGAAGTTACAGAATATGTCAGAAAGATTCCCTGGGCCCAACTGATCCAGGAGAAGCGTTACCTGACCATTGAACTATCAATTGCAGCCCACAAAAGGACATGGATGCTATTTATTATACATCATTTTCTTAAAATATCTTTAACAACAACAATAAGTTATGCATTATTAGAAAATCTTATAAAACAATTTGGTGTATTTACATCTCTAATGCTAAATTTATATATACACACAGAGAGAGAGAGAGAGGAAAAAAATACCAGAACAAGGTTAAAGAATGACTGTTTTATAGACTGTGGTTAGTAACCATTTGGAAAGAAAAAAATAAAACTTTTTTTTTAACAAGAGGGGCAGCGGTGCTGGGGATGTGGCACAAAGTATTATAAAAGTATTATTATCAAATATTTTATAATTTATCTTAAAAGTTAAATGTAATTTTAAGAAAGTACCATTTTACTTAGTAGATTGTGTATATTCAGAACTCATGTCCAAAATATGTGACACTAATTAGATATATAAACAAATGGAAAGACTAGGATAACCCACTATCATCGCTATTAGTATTATTGTTCTGGAAGTGTTATCCAATGCAATTAGAAGAAAAGAAAAGTGTAAAAATAGAAAGAAAAATAAAAGTAAGCCAGGTGTGGTGGCTCACACCTCTAATCCCAGCACTTTGGGAGGCCAAGATGGGTGGATTACAAGGTCAGGAGTTCAAGACCAGCCTGACCAACATGCAGAATCCCCGTCTCTACTAAAAATACAAAAAAAAAAAAAAAAATTAGTTGGGCATGGTGGCTCATGCCTGTAATCCCAGGTATCTTCCAGACTGCAGTGCAAAAAGGGACAACCCAAACAGACCCTGGTCATTTCACTTAGTCAAAGAGACAAAAATAAGATTTGAGGAGGCTGAGGTCCCAGCAATTTTCAAAGTAGAGTATCAAAAAGTAGGATTTGCATACAGAGAGAACAATGGAGATTTGCAAAAGGTTCTCCTCAAGTCTATAGGTTCTCCTCAAGTCTATAGCTGGAAATAGCTGGAAATAAATGGTGTTCCACCAGCCAGTGTGAGAAGGCCTGTTAATACATCAGTAGTACATAGGTACTACTAAGCCTATATACACACACACATATATATATATGTATATATATGACTATAGACCTCTTACTACTCTATCAGAGCAGTAAGTAGTAAAATTCATTAAAATCACTACTAAGCCTATATACCATATATATATATATATATATATATATATATATATATATATATATATATATACATGCCTATATACCTCTTACTACTCTATCAGGTAGAGCGGTAAGTAGTAAAATTCATTAAAATCACTACTAATCTTACTACTCTATCAGTAGAGTAGTAAGAGGTACATAGGCTTAGTAGTAGGATTAAATTTGCCATAGGTTAAGACTGATTTAGACCCACCCTAACAAAGCTTAAAAAACAAGCCTGATTGACACTACTCGATTTTAAGATGGTATAAAGCTACAATAATAAGACAGTGTGGTATTGGAGAGTAAATAGACAAATATATCAATGGAACAGAATAGAGAGCCCAGATATAGACCCACATAAATATAGTCAACTGATCTTTGACAAAGGGGAAACTGCAATACAATAAAGAAAAGGTCATTTGTTTTAATGAATAGTTCTGGGAAAACTAGACACCCATGTGCAAAGAAATGAATCTGTATACAGACTTTACACCCTTCACAAAAATTAACTGAAATTGGATCACATGCCTAAATGTAACATGCGAAACTGTAAAACTCATAGAAGTTAACACAGTAGAAAGTCTAAATGACCTTGGATTTGGCAATGACATTTTAGATAATGAAACCAAAAGACACAATTCATGAATAAGAAAGTTGACAAAGTGGATTTCATTAAAATTAAAAATTTCTGTTCTGTGAAAGATAATGTCAAGAAAATTAAAAACAAGCTACAGACTGGGATAAAATATTTGCAAAAGACATGTCTGTCTGACAAAGGACTGCTATCCAAAATGTACAAAGAACCCTTAAATCTCAACAATAATAACAACCCAATTAGAAAATGGGCCAAAGACCTTAAAATACATCTCACCAAAGAAGACATATAGATGGTGTCTTAGTTTGTTTCAGCCGCTATAACAAAAATACTGTAAACTGGGTGGGTTATAAACAACTGTTAGTTAATTTATGTCTCACAGTTCTGGGGGCTGGGAAGTTCAAGATCAAGGCTCCAGTAGATTCAGGGTCTGGTGAGGGCCCGATTTCTGGTTTTTCATGTTGACTTCTCACCGTGTCCTAACATGGTGGAAGAAACAAGGCTGCTTTCTGGGACCTCTTTAATAGGGGCATTAACCCCATTTGTGATGTCCCTGCCCTTATGACCTAATCATCTCCCAAATGCCCCACATTCTATTACCAACATATTGGTGAATAGGTTTCAAAATTCTAGGGAAATACAAATATTCAAACCATAGCAGATAGCAAAGAAGCATGTGAAAAAATCATCCATATCATATGTCATGAAGGAAATGCACATTAAAACAATGAGACATCACTACATACCTATTAGAATGGTGAAAATGAAGAACACTGACAACATCAAATGCTGACAAGGATGTGGGATGAACAGAGTTCTCTTTTACTGCTATGGAAAAGAAAAATGGTATAGCTACTTAGGAAGATGATTTAACAGGTTTGAGGGTTGGACTTTTTTTTTTGGTTTGATTGGTTTTTACAAAACTAAATATACTCTTACTATACAATCCAGTAATCATGCTCACACAAAAATCTATATGCAAATGTTTATAGCAGCTTTATTTATTATTGCTAAGACTTGGAACCAACAAACGCTCTTCAGTAGGTGAATGAACAAATGAATTGTGGTACTTCCAGACAATGGAATATTATTCAGCATTAAAAATAAAGGAGCTATCAAACTATGAAAAGATGATGTATCTTAAATGCATATTACCAAGTGAGAGAACTCAGTCTGAAAGGCTACATACGATATGCTTCCAACTATATAACATTCTGGAAAATGCAAAACTATGGATACAGTAAAAAGATCAGTGATTACCAGGAGTTAGGGGAGAGAAGACGAATAGGTGGAGCACAGAGGATTTTTAAGTTAATTAAACTATTTGGTATAATACTATAATTGGGGATACATATTATACATTTGTTCAAATCCATAAAATGCGCAACACCAGGAGTGAGCTGTAATGTAAACTATGGTTTTTGAGGGATAGTGATGTGTCAGTGTAGGTTGTTAAAATTTAACAAATATATCACCCTGGCTGGGGACATTGATAATGGGGGAAGCTATGCATGTGTGGTGGTAGAAAGTACATGGGAAATCTCTGTACCTTCCTCTCGATTTTGCTGTGAACCTAAAACTGCTCTAAAAAATAAAGTCTCATCTTTAAAAACCAAGTCTTGAAGACATCTGAATCCAACTAACCTCTTAAGAAAAACTGAACTAAAAAAAATGGAGATTTTAACATTCCTCTCTTAGTAATTGGTATAATAAGCAGATGGAAAATCAATAAGGTTCAAGAACAGTCTGGCCAACCTGGTGAAACCCCGTCTCTACTAAAAATACAAAAATTATCTGGGTGTGGTGGCACACGCCTGTAGTTCCAGCTACTAGGGAGGCTGAGGCACAAGAATCGCTTGAACCAGGGAGGCTGAGGTTGCAGTGAGCAGAGATTGTACCAGTGTACTCCAGCCTAGGCGACAGAGTGAGACCCTGTCTCAAAACAAACAAACAAACAAACAAAAATTAATAAGAATACAGAAGACCCGAACATTACTGTCAACCAACTTAAGAACACTCAACCCAAAACTGCAGAACACACATATTTATCAAGTGCATATGAAAACTTTACAAGTAAAATTTGTGTTTCTTAAATACAATAACAACAAATATAATAATTAATATATACTTATAAGTATACTAATTACTTTAAAAGCACATGAATCATGCAAAATATGTCTTTGAATTAAGCTAAATGATAAAATTGAATTAAATTAAACTAAAATGATAGTGGAAACATATTTGGAAAACCCCCAAAGATTGGGAAATTAAACAAGGCACATCCAAATAACTCAAGTCAAAGAAGAAGAAAATAATAATAATATAAGAGAAAGCAATAAAATGGAAAAAAGGAAACAATAGAGGAAAACAATGACACCTAAAGTCAGATCTTTAAAGAGATTAATAAAATTTATAAACTTCTAGCCAGACTGATTAATAATAGAGAAGACAGATTTCTAACATTAGAAATGGAAGAGAAACGTCACTGCAGAGATCGTACAGATCTCAAAAAGATGATAAAATAACATTATAAAAAACTTTATGCTAAGTAATTTGATAATTTGAGAGTGGCTTGAAAGACAAAAACTACCAAATCTCATTCAAGAAAAAATGGATGACCTATACCGATTTGAGAAATAGATAAATAATAAGTCTATATCTATTAAATAAATTGAATTCAAATTTTATATACTTTCCACAAAGATAAATCTGGGCTGAGAGGGTGCACTGATGAATTCTACCAAACATTTAAATAAGAGTGATGACAAGCCTACACTAAATCCTCCAGAAAATGGAAGAGGGGTGAACACTACTTATTTTATGGGGCCATATTAACCTAATACTATTCAGATAGACATTACAAGAGAAGAAAACTAAACACAGACACAGCAATTCTCTGAAAAGTTGAAAGAACTAGAATTCAGAAATATGTGAAAAGGACAGTACATTCTGTTAAATTGAGTTTTATCTTAGGAATGTACTGTTGGCTTAACATTCAAAAACCAATCAATGTAATTCACCATTTTCATAGATAAAAAAGAAAAAAATTATATGATTATCCCAGTAGACATAGGAAAAGCACTTAACAAAACTCAACATCCATTATGATAAAAGCCGTCAGCAACTAGGAATAAAAGAAAACATGAGAGGATTTGTTTATAAACCTAGAGTATAGAAGGGTTAAGTATGATACCAAACCTAGAAGCCATCAAAAGTTGATAATTTCAACTATTTAAAAGTTAGGAATTACTACATGGCAAAAATAACATTATCAATAGTGAAAGACATGAAATAACAGGTAAAATATTTGCAATACACATCACAGAAAAGAAGTAGTTTACTAAATTAGAAGCTCCTACAAATAAATCAACAACCTAATATCAAAGGGAGCAATGGATAAACTATTTAGAAAAGAGAAAATTGAATAGTTCTTAAACATTTGCTCAAGTTCACTTGTAAAAATAAGGCAAGCCAATTAAAACTAAAAAGAGATAACTCACTTTTTCCTGAGCTGATTGCCAAAGATCAAAAAACATGTACTGTGTGTTACAAGGACATGAGAAAACAAGCACTCTCATACATTTCGGTGGGCATGCAAATTGATGTAATGTCTGTGGATGGCAATTCAGTATATCCATCATAATTGAAAATGCATATGCCATTTGAAACAATATAATTATACTTTTGGAAATTTATCTTACAGATAAACACATTTCAAAACTGATTATTGTACATGAGTAATTATTGCACCAATATTTGTAATAGCAAAAGAATTGAAGTAAACTCAGTCCACCAATTATGGACCAGTTAAATCAATTAAGATATGTTCATACAACAGAATACTATGTAGATGCTATACATATATGTGTGTTTGTTAAAATGAGTATATTAATATATTTTAAGAAGTAAAGCAAGATGTAAAATTGTATATATAATACACATATATGTTTATTTTTACATGCATGTATAATAAATGTTACATTATAAATGTTATGTTATGTTATAAAATAATATGTTTATTTTTACAAGCATGTATAATAAGGGAGACTGCAGATTTCCAACATTAGAAATGGAAGAGAACCATCACTACAGAGATCTTACAGATCTCAAAAGGATAATAAAATAACATTATGAAAAACTTTGTGCTAAGTAATTTGATAATTTGAGAGTGGCTTGAAAGACAACACTACCAAATCTCATTCAAGAAAAAAGTAGATGAGCTATACCGATAGGTATAGTCATCGCTCAGTGTCTGTGGGGGATTGGTTCCAGGACCTCCCACAGATTCCAAAATCTGTGGATGCTCAAATCCCTGATCTAAAATGGCATAGTGTTTATGTATAACCTACACAAATATCCCTGTATACCTTAAACCATCTCTAGATTTCTTATAATACCTAATACAGTTAAAAGTGATGTAAACAATTGTTATAGTGTATTATTTAAGGAATAATGACAAGGAAATATGTCTGTACATGTTCAGTGCAAATACAATTTTTTCCTCCAAATATTTTCAATGCGTAGTTGGTCAAATCCACAGATGCAGAGGGCTGACTGTGTGTGTGTGTGTGTGTGTGTGTGTGTGTATGTGTGTGTACTTATAATCTCTGCAAAATTACACACAAGTAAGAGTGATTGCCTCCAGAAATGAAAACTAAGTGCCCATGAGAGAGGGACATACCATTTTAACATTTTGGATTGTATACTGTATACATATAACCTATTTAAATATCAATATGTCATTAATTACAAAATAGTTATTTAAAAAGCTTAGTAAATTTAGTGTTGATAGCTCATGACATGTCATTCAAGTACTCTGAGATATTTAGAAATGTACCTTATATATTTTAATATTAACTGACAGAAGACAAACTGGATTGTCTCTGTCAGAGAAGAAACACTGAAGTGGATGAATTTTTGAGCTAATTGTCATGGCTTTCCTTATATTCTAGTTTTTACTTGAACAGAGGCGGACATGACAGGAATGGTTAGAGGTGGGAAAAATAGGCTTATGTTGTCTCCTACTATTCCAGTCTACTAAAAGCTTATAGGTATATGCATATGCATGTGCGTATATGTGTGTGTGTGTGAGAGAGAGAACGAAAGAGAGAGAGAAAGACAAAGATTGAGAAACACCACACAACAGGCAATGGTGGAGGAAGGAGAGCCACAAACTAAGAAGGATCCCAAGAGATACATTTTCTTTTTGTTTTTAACTTTTATTTTAAGTTCAGGGGTACAAGTGCAGGTTTGTTACATAGGTAAACTTGTATCATGGGGTTTGTTGTACAGATTATTCCATCACCCGGGTATTAAGCCTAGTATCCATTAGTTATTTTTCATGATCCTTCTTCTCTTCTCACCCTCCACCCTCCGAAAGACCCAGTTTGTGTTCTTCCCCTCTATGTGTCCATGTGTTCCAAAAGAGATACCTTTTCTACTCTTGCTATTACTTGGAGTCAGTAAATAGTTGTTGGGTTTTTCTTGCTTTCCCTAAATAGCTGCCTTTCAGCACATTATGGAGTGAGTGCTGGTACAATACTTATTTAAGCAATGAGCAAAGGGTACATTAAGAACCTTTTGTATTGAAAGGTTATTGTTATTTTAAGATATGCTTATTACTACTTGACATTGCCAGGGTAAAACAGACTGAAGGATGAAGATGGCACCGTCAACAAAAAAGTGTTTTCGGGAACTGACACCTCTCCTTGTGCTCCAGAATTGACTCAATGGCTCAAGCAGACAGAAGGACTTGATTTCCAGTTAGAAATGGCAGCTTCTGCAAATACTCAGAATGTCCTTTTCTCCACATTTAATCTTTAAAACCCTTTACTATTGCCCCAGCTTATAATTCTAGCTGGATCACCATCTATTTTCCTGTAAGACCATTATGCTTCAGCAAAATTGGAACATACTCTCTCTCAAACACACAAACACACACACAAATTTGGCTTTATTATTTTTAAGTATTTTTTATCAAATTTATCTCTCTGAGCTTTGCACAATTCTCTTCTGTTGACTCTTCCTGGACCACTCTAGGCCCTTGTTATCTTCCTTTCTGAACTGAGCCCGTATTGCTCTTATGATAATTTAAGTGTTGCCTTGTCTTTTTGAGATACAGAAATTTTGTTGAGATTGTTTTTAGATTTTATTTTGTTGGGTTTCTTCTTTTTTAATTAAAAAAAAAAAAAAACCTATTGCACTCTGGTGCGGAAAAGCAACATTCCAAGGACCAAATCAGACTTCTGCTTCTGTCTATAACAGGGTGATCAGCTCCAGATTTGCCCTCCCTTCATAAAAAAACTAGGTAAGTAGACATGACATTTGATAACGGAAAGCTCAAGATTGTGTCTCCTCAGAGAATGGAATCAAATGAGGTGAGGCCTCCAGTAGCCCTGGTTTTCTGCTCAGAGGTACTTTCATGATTGTGGATCAGAGAAGGGTCCTCAAGCAAAGTGCAGTCTTGTTGAGATGACAAGTCAGGAACCTGCAGAGGAGAAATCCATGCAAAGAAAGAGATCCAGAAACTTACTTAGGAGTCTTCTTGAGTCTTTGCTTACTAAGGTGTGCCGTCGTAGGGTGAATCTCCACAAGGACAGGCAAAGGATGACTGGGCAGTTTAAAGTGAACACTTTCCAGAACTTGCAGAGGTCCAGGAGCCATTTTAGTTCTGACAGTCAGGGGAGTCCCAAGTGAAAACCCAGGGCACTTGTTACACACCCTAAAGGCGGCACACTTTAGTAGTGGGACTTACCTAGCCCTAGAATAAAGGCTGTTTTACACTTGCTCTAAGAAAACTTAAAATAAATAAATAAATAAGCCTTGAGGCCAGGCATGGTGGCTCACTCTTGTAATCCCAGCACTTTGGCAGGCCAAGGTGGGCAGATTGCTTGAGCTCAGGAGTTTAAGACCAGCCTGAGAACATAGTGAAACCCTGTCTCTATAAATCAGAAAAAAAAATAATCCTGGAAAGAATAAACTTGATCCAGAAGCACTCTTTAAAGGAAGACCACAAAATCCAGACAATCAGAAATTTAATATGTCCACACACATACATTTTGTGTGTATATTTTTATTCTCATCAAAATGCAAAAGTCATAAGAGTAGGGATTTCTCTCTATTTTATTCATGGATGGATTTCAAATACCTAGAAGAAAATTTGTGCAGAGGAAGCATGCAATAAATATTTATTGAATGATTACTTATTCTTTATTGTATATTAAATATTTATATTATACAAATTCATGTCATAAAATATTTACTGTACATTAAATGTTTATACTACACAAACTCAGACCTCATTGATTTGTGGCTGAAATAAGGAACATGTTCCCACAATGTCATGACTCAGATTTGAACCATGGTTGCTGTGGCCACAACACAGAGTGCTAACCACTATACAGTCACTGCATGCTACTGGGGACCTGACATAAGAAACGTGTAAACGAAAAGAGACATCTTAGTTTTCAAACATTTCTTAATAAGTAAAAATAAAGATACACAATTGCAACTCTTGGTTTAGTTAGGAAAAAAATTATAAAGCAGGGAAAGTGAACTTTCCAAAAAGGAGCAATTGGTAATTCTTGATCAGCCTAATTAAGTAGTAGCTGGGGTTGCCAAATGTGTATACGCTTACCTTTTCCACAACATATCTGCATGAAACAGCATGTTCAGACTGCACCACTGTGAAAGCCCATAAGTAGTCTCCAAGGACCACTCAATATAGAGGTCCAGTGCAACAATATGGTTTCTAATGAAATATGAGGATGTGACTTAAGCAAAAAAGCAAAATAATGCACACGGAGTGATAGTATTATTAAAATCATCCGATAGATGTTGCATTTTTTCAAAATCTGACACATTTTCTTGTCAAAAAAAAGATTCCTCTAAATTATTATTTTGGTAATTTTTGGTTTTGTTACAAAATAAAAACATGCATATGAAGACCATTTTTTCACATATTGCAGCAATTAATTTACCAGAAAAATCATATATTGTTTTCTACATTCCTCCCAGCACATATTATAAATGATGAGCTCTTGTATGCATTCTGTTGATGCATTATCATTAAAAAGTTTTCTGTGGGCTAATAAATCAAATTAATGCCACCTTAAAAGTTGATGCTCCTGGGGTATTACACTTAGCTATCTTTAGCGCTCACCTCTCTGATCAGCAGGATCTCAAAGCTCAGTTGTTTCTCCAGCTGACCTAACTTCAAAACGCCACACCCAACTTTCTAGCTGCCTTACAGCCTGCACACCTCAAAGTTCATATTTCCAATTGAACACGCTAACTCCCTCTCTAGATGCCCGACCTCGTCTGCACACCTAGTTTCTTTTCCTCATGCTTTCCACACTTTGGTCAATGGCACCAAAATCTTCATGTTTATACATGACAAAACCCTGAGAATTATATTAGTGAGCTCCTTGTTTCTTATCACCCAGATATCATTTTTCTTTCTTATGATCTCTATATTCCAAGCCTTCCTCCTAAGTCCTGCTGCTCTTCAGGACGTTATTATTTCTAATTTAGAGGATGCCAGTAGATTCTCCACTAGCCTCCTTGTCCTGTCTTCCCCGCTCCTGCCCAGTCTGTTCCCTAGGGCTATTGGTGGGGTATCTCTCACTGCAGATCTAATCACACAGATCCTTAGTAAAATTCTTCAGTGGTAGCTTATACCAGCTTATGTGGTTCACTGATCATCTGTTTATTTTGCCAGGGTTTTCAGTGTTTAAAGCTAAAGTGAACTGTTCTTTAAAATCAGACATTTGACACAAATATCCATATTTCTGGCTTCTCTAGAAAACTCAGTCTGACAGCACTGGGCACTGCATTTCCAACTTGGTGGCAATCAGCTGAGGCTAAGTAGAAAGTGCTGAGGGGGATGATGCCCTCTCCAGTTCCCAATAATTTGTGTGATACACTTGTACTTACCAAACCACTTCTCCCCACCTGTTTGACATTTGATGGCATAAGATATCACTTGATTTTACAGCCCCTGGCCTATCCAGACCCTACCTGAGGCTTTGACCTAATAAAATCTTTTTAAATTGTTTCTTTGTATATAAATCACAGCTTTGCCTCTCAGTTCATGTACCTCTCAGTTCACGTTCCTCACCTACAAGAAGAGGAGTGAAGACCAGATGGTCCCCAACTCTTCTAACTACAAGGACATGGTTGGGAAAATAAATACCCTGACTTCACATTTCTTCCTCCCTCCAGTCTCTCACTAGAGCTATTCATTAACTAAACCCAATCAGAAGCTCTAGAATGGATGGTTCAGAAGCATTTAAAACCCAAAATAAACAATGAGGAGTCTCAGCATTTAATTTATCAAAATTATGATTGTGTCCCCTTTTAGAAGCAATGCTCCCTAGAACCTTAAATTCCATAGACACAAAGTTATGGGGACAGGAATCAAAAATTCTACCAGTAGGCTATTAGGTAAAATAGTGAGAGCAGCCAATCTCATCTCCATTCCTTTGTCCCTAGATGTTATATTCTGACTGTGTAGATAGAGTCAAATATTAGCTGCTGGCTTAAGGGGTATTAGCTGCATCTTGTAAAATGGTACCAAATCTCACAGAGTATGTTTTTAGCTCGCACTGTAGCTGAGCTTCCTCAGGACATTGTACTCTTCTATCAAGGTAAGTGTTTTGGCCTTAACGCAAATAAGATCAAAGTGAATTCCACTGGCATCAGTCCAATGTCTCACTTCCTTTGCTTTAAAACAAATCTCCTGGTCAAAGGTAATGTTTTGTGGATTGCCATGGATACAGCAATCTGTAATCCATGAATCAAGATGCTGGCAGAAGCCAGCAGGAAAGGCAGATCTGTTCCTGAATACACATTTGTCCCTGTGTGGACAACTGCTGCCTCCTCCATGATGAGCAGGTTGCCAGCCGTTCCCTTAATATGTGATGCAGGAACTCATTGCTGTCCTCTCTGCAGTCAAATTGCACACTCAGTTGAGTGTCTAGAAGCCAGATCAGCCTTGATGAGAGCAAGATTCTGTTGTTGAGCTCACACATAATCTCCATTCTTGATGTCAGGGCCACTTTGTAGTGGACCCATCCAACAGGCACTAGTGTGCTGGAATAAGAAGCTGTCTGACATCCATGATGGGATCAATTATCTACCTAATGATTAAAAGCCCTCACAGATGAAGCCCTTGGGTAAGCATTTACATGAATCACAAATGTGTTGCCCTCTGTGCCCATTATAATAGATCCATCTATATACCTGTTCCCTAGACCTCCTTTGTCACCAAAAGTGTTCATTTCAAATTCATGACCAGTCGACCAGTTCATTAGCCACAGTTTATGAATCAAGTACATTCATACATTAAGCCATCTTTCCTTCCAGAATAAGAGTTCAGCCACATGGACCACCCAAAGCTCTACACATTGTGGTGAGTTCCTTTCACCACTATTTTTCAGGGCCAACTCTGAGTGGGTCTTTAGTTCAGTAGTTCTGAACTACCCTTCTGGATCATGAGAATTCTAATAGTGTGAGACAGGAGGAGGCAGAGTCCTGTTTTCCTTACTTTTAAGCCCCTAACTCATCCAGATCGTACAATGGCTTCTAAAATTTCTCTTGGATTTATGAAAAGTGCAGTATACACACACCACTACACATACACAGAAGCCCACACCAGCCTTGGCCTTGAACTAGAACGTGTTGTTTTGGAAATATTTCTTATTGAATAGCAAGTTTGTAGCACTAAAAGCCAACTAGAAATTAACCTTTCCCCAGCAGTAGAAAAAGGCAACATAAACATTCTTTTGGAATTACAGATTTAAAAAGGAATTAAACATTGTTTTAGAGCTAGGTTGGTTTCCTCTTCCCCACTTCTATTGTCAGTGAACTTACTCTGACTGGAAAGGATAGCACTGATGTCAAGGAAAGCAAACAGCACCCACTCATGTAAACAATCTCATCTGTAATTCATTAACCCTGCTACCCTCAGCCTCCCAGGAAAAGTGTCTCATTTATTAGCTTCCAATCCTAAGTTCATGTTTGTCTTTCAGTTCTGGGACATTATTGAGCAGTACAGGAAAGAGATGTTCAATTACTGGTGACATTTTTTACGTGGAGTTGCCAGTTTACACCAGTGGTACAGATTGTTTACTAAATTATTTTCACTTTTGATGGATTAGATATCTCAGACTCCTCATTATTTATATTTCTTACCCATTGAAGAAAGTAGAAAAACACATATTACTAAGGTACCCCACTCTTTCTCATTCTACTATCTAAAACAAAAGAAGCAGAGACCAAAATAGCAGTGGCAACTGGAAAACAGCAAGGCCTCCCACAGCCTGGGATACTATTGGTATTTGAGACAACTCTCGATGGTATGCCAGACAATATCAGGTGGTACTCTAATCAGGCAAATAATGGTATCAGAAACCTATAATGAGAAAATTATTTTCTTTTCTAATTTGCTTCAATCCTTTAATTTCTTCAGTAAAGAAAGTCTCATTTGGGGGCTAGCCTTTAATATCTAATGTTTTAACAGAGAGAAAGCAAGCTTCAGGCTTAGAACATTTGGTAGTCAACAACATCTAGCTAGAACTTACCAACGTTATTATTTTTTCATTATCTCTTTATGGCAATTGATACTGATGGTATAGTAGTGATAATGAGATTTCTCTTTGATAAATTTTAAAAGTAAGTTGTTTTAAGAAAAAAATGTTAAGTAAATAATAGTACAAGTGATACATGAATACAGTAAAAATCTCAAAATGTGAATACAAATAAAGAAATTTTGAAAACACTGTTAGAGAAAAAGAAAGATTTAATAACAACTTAGTCCTGAAGTTAGAATTCACTCAATATCGGTGAGGGTTTGTGTATGGGCTGTGTGTGTATATGGATGTATGTGTATATAGGAGGGGAGCTGGAAGTTTTGAACTTTCTGTTTCCCATTTCCACATGCTGAAAAGACTATGTTATTGTCACATTTTCCTCTGTGCAAATATATATGCACACATTATATGAATATATACACATACAAAAACACATACCTGCACATATTTCAGAGATGTTTGGTAGCACCGGCTCTCTACATTGCTAAATTCTGTTTTTTAAAACTGGATGTGTTTGTGCCTAATATATACATCTTTTTTTTTCTTACTATTTACAATCATATTTAATCCTGAAAGTTCATTCTGAAATATCTGTCAGTTCTTTCAATTAAATGTATTATACAGTTTCATGAACATTATGTCCTTGACTGTTTCTGTTTATTCACCCTCTAGATTGCCTTCTACTTAGAATTTTAGGCTTAATAAACTCATTTTATTGAAGTAAATGTGTCTGGAGATTTTGTTCTTCAGGAAGAATAGAGGTAATTAGGATTTTGTGTGTAGGAATAGAAGAGCCTTCATTAAACTCAGTAGTCTTATTCAGCTGAGATTAATGGCTAAAAATTATATTTTGCTGCAAATTATTTATATTTCTTATGCAGTCATGCAAATTATATTATTTGTTAATTTTACATAAAACAACTATGTAGACAGATAAAGATGGGGCATTTATACTTATGTAGAATCAAACATTTCTTTTTCAGTGTTGAAAACTGTAATAGTAAAGTATAATTTTTTCTAAGGATTATCACTTTGCTAATTTTTCACTTTCTGACATTCCATTGCATCTCCCAGCAATTACTGACACATTTTCCACTGGAAATGTTCTCACTAGGTTACTAAATGCAGATATTTCCTAAGGCACAACATATTTTTTTCCTTCCATGGATTCTTGAATTGGAGATAAAATTGTTGTGGCATTTGAACACAAGTTACTGTGTAAATAGATACCTTCTAGAGTTGCTTTTGGATTATTGAAAGTAATTTCAGTTTTCACTCATTATCATTAAAAAAAAAAAGAGGATAGTTTTGCCACATGTGCATAAGCCCAGAAGGGATGCTGTAAACTCTGAGGAAATCATTAGTAATCAGCAGGGCGCAGTGGCTCATGCCTGTAATCCCAGTGCTTTGGGAGGCTGAGGTGGGCGGATCACTTAAGGTCTGGAGCTCGGGACCAGTCTGGCCAACATGGTGAATCCCTGTCTCTTTTAAAAATACAAAAATTAGCAGGGCGTGGTGGCACGTGCCTATAATCCCAGCTACCTGGGAGGCTGAGGCACAAGAATCACTCGAACCCAGGAGGCAGAGGTTGCAGGGATCTGAGATCATGCCACTGCACTCCAACCTGGGTGACACAGTGAGACTCCGTCTCAAAAAAAAAAAAAAAAAAGAAAGATTAGTAATCGCGTAGAATAAACAGATGTACACTTTGGCAAGCATTGAATCTTATAAAGACAAAAGAAGTTGGTCAAGTTTATTCTCATGTTCAAACTTTTCATGCTTTGGTACAAAGCACATTTTGCAAGGCACTTTTTTTAGGCATAATAAATGTGTTTTGATATTGAATCTGTGTTTTGAATGTTACAGCTGTAATATCCTGGGACCAGGAATTACTTGTTACTCATCATGTAGATATTTTTAAGCAAATACTCAGCAACAACAACAAAATAGTATGGCAATCATGTATTTTTTTTGTCTCCACAGACATTTTTTTTTCACTTAAAGGACAATTGACATGGCAAAAGCATATCATTCAGAGAATTCTTTACCTGTAAAATATAACTTTTTCAATTAAATTTTTAAATATTATATTAAAGTATAACTTTTATGACAGTCTATTAAAGAACAAATTAAATGCTTCTTTTTAACAAATTAAATGCCTCTTTTTACAACTTACAATGTAAATTTTTGCATTTATTTTAAAATCCAGTTTTTCTATATGCAGCTATCATAACCTATTTTTGTTTTTCAGATCATTTTGCAACTTAAGATTCACAAATATTTTAAGGAACAAAGAAATATCATTTTTGGAGTAACTAACAAAACTGCTGAATAAGAAAGTACTTTTTAAATAAAAGAGAAATTTTGTAATAAAGTCAGAATCATATAGACATTAAAATAAAGCTGAATACTGTCAAAGCCTGTCACTTTCTCTTGGCATTAAGATAACAATGGAAATAAATTAAATAAACAGACAAAGATGGTCCTCAAGGCCATGTCAGCAGCCAATAGTTTGAGGCCCTTATATCTGAAGACAGATTTTCTAGAAAGAGATGTAATGGAATTAACTTGGCATCCAGATATCTTCCAAGAAACTTTTGCTCTTAAATCTTGCTATAAAATTAAAATCAAATTGCAAGTTGAAATACTAGTTAAAATGAAAGAAAATCCCAAAGGACTGGAATTGGCTCAACCTATGTTATTGTGAGGTTTTGCAATGCCATTTTTTACAAATATGAGAAAATAATTTTTCAGGGCTGGTAGAAGATAGAACATTTTGTTTTACATTATTTATCTGCTGTTGAAAAGAAGACTTATTCCAAAAGATTACAAAAACTATTATAAAGCAAGGGTAGTGCCAATATGAATTATTGCTCCAGGCATTTAAAGCTATATTTGGGGAAGGAAATCTTTACTTATTTTATCCTGTTAAGAAAAAAGATTCAATATAATCTGAAGTGCCATTTGATGTGGAGTCCTCTTGCAAATGTGTGCTGTCAGGCTGCTTTTTGTAATTACTACCTACCTTCTTGTCTTTATCACAAGCAGATTTTACCATTTTTCTTTTCATTTTTTTCTTTTGCATGTGCTGTTTAATCACATGCTGATTAGCATTTTAATAGTTCAAAGTCAGGCTCATGCTTCCAGTTCAAGATAGTTGACTAGTATGGGCATTTATCTCTCTTCCATACCAAAATTTGATTAAAATAAAATTTTAAATAATAATAGCAACTAAAACAACGATAGCTAATTTCTGTTGAGTACCAACTATGCCAGGCACTCTTCTGCGTGTATAGCATTGAATTCTCAGGATCTCCCATTTTACAGATATAAAAGTAGAGGCATAAAATAGTTAAGGAACTTGTGTGGAGTGGTAAAACAGTAATTGGAGGAGCCAGAGCTTGAATCCGGGCTTATGAAGTGAGCCCCTATGCTGCACTGCCAGTTAAGATATGAAAAAAGAGAAGAAATCATTACATGTAATGAAAGTAAGAGTGGCCCCTTCAGTTGATGAAAATTTTGGAGAATTTCTGGGAGACAGCAAACAGATTGGAGAAAATACAATCATATCAGGAGGAGAGAGCTATGGAATATTTAATCTAAGAAATATCTACAATACACTTAGACTAACTAGCCATCATCATGCCCCCAAAAATACAATGCAGCTGCAGAATTTTTCCTAACCCTAAAGCAGCCTACTATATTAGCCAGGGTCCAACCAGGAAATGGAAATGAAGTATTTACCACAGGCAGAATTTAATACACAGAACCAATTACCCAGGGGCTGGTGCTGCTGAGAAGCCACACTGGGGATAGAAGGCAGAAACAGGAAGCAGGATGGAGTTGGTATCCCTGAAGACAAGGGGTCGGGTCACTCAGCAGCAATTTAAAGGCAACCTGTCCAGGGAAAATTGATGCTATTTCTGGAGATACCATCCAAGATAAACAGGTAAAGAGGGAGGAGGAAAAGGTGTTTTCATCATCCTTTCCCATATCTCAATCTGCTGCCTCTGTGTCCCATTGGCCAAATCCAGCCAGAACCATCTTGGGTGAAACCCAGGAAATGTAGCCTGCTGCAGTCAGTCTTCCTATGATACAGAGCAGAGCAAGGGCAAGGAATGATTCTGAGCACACAGGCTCCAGACCAGCAAGGATGTTGCTAAATAAAGTAAAAAGGCCTTCCTGGCAAGCAATCCCAGCATGGGTGTTAGGGCCAGAGATAAACAGAACAGAGCCTGACATAACCCTGGATTCCTAACATCATCAGTCATGGGGGACTAAGCTCACCTGTACTCAAAAAGGAAGACCTTAGCCTCCTTCATTCCAAGAAGACAACTTCAGTGTAAACTGGCCCACATAACTGCAGAGGAACCCCAATATTAGTTGTCCAGAATTATCAAACTAGTTATTCCTTCACAAATATGAAGAGACAACTGAGAGTCAGAAAATATCTGACTTTCTGAGCCTTACAGCTGACCTTAAGACTGGGAAAAATGAGCAGTTTAGAAGAGAAGGATCGTGATAAATAAACAGAACCCCTAACCCTAGAGGAAACAATGATACTGCAGAAGGAAAATTTTATTAATGTACATATTATAGAACTCACCCTTTTAAAGTGTATAGTTCAGTAGTTTTCAGTGTATTCACAGATGTTCTCAATCATCACAACCTAATCTCAGAACATTTTCCTTATTCCAAAAAGAAATACTGTACCCATTAGCAGTCACCCCCCATTCCACCACTACTTCCAGCCCATGACAACCACTAATCTACTTTGTCTCTGTGGATTTTCCTATTCTGGACATTTCATATGAATGGAAACACACAGATGTACATTTTGTGACTGGCTTCTTTCTCTTAGCATAAAGTTTTTTTTGTTTTGTCTTGTTTTTCATTTTTCCATAGGTTATTGGGGTACAGGTGGTGTTTGATTACAGGAGTAAGTTCTTTAGTAGTGATTTGTGAGATTTTGGTGCACCCATCAGCAAAGCATTATACACTGCACCCTATTTGTAGTCTTTTATCCCTTGCCTCCCTCCCATTCTTCCCCCAAAGACCCCAAAGTCCATCGTATCATTCTTATGCCTCTGAGTCCTCATAGCTTAGTTCCCACATATCAGTGAGAACATACGATGTTTGTTTTTCATTTCCTGAGTTACTTCATTTATAATAATAGTCTCTGATTGCATCCAGATCACTGTGATTGCCGTTAGTTCGTTCCTTTATATGGCTAAGTAGTATTCCATCATATATATCTATATCTATATACGGATAGATAGATACCACAGATTCTTTATCCACTCATTTATTGATAGGCATTTGGATTGGTTCCACGATTTTGCAATTGTGAATTATGCTGCTATAAACTTGCATGTGCAAGTATCTTTTTCATATAATGACTTCTTTTCATCTGGGTAGATAACCAGTAATGGGATTGCTGGATCAAATGGTTGTTCTACTTTTAGTTCTGTAAGGAATCTCCACACTGTTTTCCATAGTGGTTGTACTAGCTTACATTCCCACCAGCAGTGTAGAAGTGTTCCCTGTTCACCACATCGACGCCAACATCTACTGTTTTTTAATTTTTTTATTATGGCCATTCTTGCAGGAGTAAGGCGGTAATGTATTGTGGTTTTGATTTGCATTTCCCTGATCATTTGTGATATTGTGCATTTTTTCATATGTTTGTTAGTCATTTGTTTATCTTCTTTTGAGAATTGTCTATTCATGTCCTTAGCCTACTTTTTGGTAGGATTGCTTGTTTTTTTTATTTTCTTGCTGACGTGTTTAAGTTCGTTATAGATTCTGAATATTAGTCCTTTGTCAGATGTATAGATTGCGAAGTTTTTCTCCCACTCTGTGGGTTGTCTGTTTACTCTGCTGACTGTTCCTTTTCCTGTGCCAAAGCTCTTTAGTTTAATTAAGTCCCAGGTATTTATCTTTGTTTTTATTGCATTTGCTTTTGGGTTCTTGGTCCTGAAATTCTTGCCTAAGCCAATGTCTAGAAGAGTTTTTCCAATGTTATCTTCTAGAATTTTTATAGTTTCAGGTCTTAGGCTTAAGTTCTTGATCCATCTTGAGTTGATTTTTGTGTAAGGTGAGAGATGAGAATCCAGTTTTGTTCTCCTACATGTGGGTAGCCAATTATCCCAGCACCATTTGTTGAAAAGGTTGTCCTTTCCCCATTCTATGTTTTTGTTTTCTTTGTTGAAGATCAGTTGTCTGTAAGTATTTGGGTTTATTTATGGGTTCTCTGTTCTGTTGCATTGGTCTATGTACCCATTTTTATATAAGTACTATGCTGTTTTGGTGACTATGGCCTTATAGTATAGTTTGAAATAAGGTAGTAAGATGGCTTCATATTTGTTCTTTTTGTTAGTCTTGCTTTGCCTATGTGGGCTCTTTTTTGGTTCCATATGAATTTTAGAATTTTTTTTTCTAATTCTGTGAAGAATGATGGTGATATTTTCATGGGGATTGCATTGAATTCGTAGATTGCTTTTGGCAGTATGGTCATTTTCACAATATTGATTCTATCCACCCATGAGCGTGGGATGTGTTTCCATTTGTTTGTGTCATGTATGATTTCTTTAAACAGTGTTTTGTAGTTTTTGCAGATTGAAAATTTTATTTTTTATTTTATTTTATTTTATTTTTTTGAGACAGAGTCTTGCTCTGTTATTCAGGCTGGGGTGCAGTGGCATGATCTCGGCTCACTGCAATCTCTGCCTCCCGGGTTCAAGAAATTCTCCTGCCTCAGCCTCCTGAGTAGCTGGGGTTACAGACACACACCACTACATCCAGCTAATTTTTGTATTTTTAGTAGAAATGGGGTTTCGCCATGTTGGCCAGCCTGGTCTTGAACTCCTGACCTCAGGTGATCTTCCTGCCTCAGCCTCCCAAAGTGCTGGGATTACAGGCATGAGCCACCATGCCCGGCCTGCAGAAGGACAATTTTAAATAATTCTAAATTAATTTCAGAGAAAATAGCACCTGCATCCATAAAACTGGAATAGACTGCTATATATATACATCTACATTCATATATATATACACACACACATACATATATATTCATATATATATATATATATATATAAATATATGAAGCAGTCAAAGAAAAAGAAAATGTTCTTGGAAAGGAGCTCATAAGGTTTTTTCTACATAAAAATTTCAGTGAAGAAGAATCACGAATGAACATTGCTAAAGACCAAATTAGTGCCATGCAAGATAAGATTGAATAAATCTTTTAGGGAAAAAACAAAAACAAAAACATAGAAATGGAAAATATAAGAGAAATGGTAAGCTCCAGATAGACTAAATAGAACTCAAGAAGATAAGGATAATAATAATAAAGTAACACTAGTAGAAGAAAACTTCCAAAGCTTAAAAGACATGAGTCTTTATATTGAAAGAGCCCACCAAGGCACAAGCAAGAAAAAAAAAAAATCGGAGGTGGAATTCCTGAAAGCAAACAACTCAATGGAGCTACTGCAATCAGAATAGGGGTGGGCTACAAGACAATCATCATCAGGATATTTAATAAATGTTTATACTACATCTACACTAATTAGCCATTCTGGACATCTAGACATTTACTGAATTCAGTGAAGAGGGAAAGCATTCTGAAAACTTCCAGAATGTTAAAATTTGATATCAACAAAGAAATGGGAATCAGAATGACATCAGAATTCTAATCAACAGTACTGGGTCCCTGAAAAAAATGGAACAGTGGCTTCAAGGTTTTGGTGGGAAATTACAGATATGGATTTAGAGATACTTATAGGTATACATATGGACATAGATATAGACAAATTAGATGTAGACATAGATATAAATATAGATAGCATAAAAACAGAGGAAGGATATGCCTTATTAGAGAAATCTTTTCTCTCGGTTAGGACTGGTAACCTGTTTATGCTTACTTTTCACTGCACTGAGCAAACTCCCACCTCACCTATATGAACTTGTAGAACAGTCTGTGGTGTTCTCTTGAGGAATTCTTGCTTTCTCTAAGCATATTTCTTGTTGCTCGCACATTTCATTAATAATTTGATTAAAAATTGGGTGCCTTAGTTGAAAGTAAGCATGGAGCTGGCTTGTGCCTCTAAGGAGATTTGACCTAGCCATTGCTGAATAGCAATCTACATCACATTATGGCAAGCTTAACCAGTGTTTTTAGTAATATAGACGGTAATAACTTCTTTTTGGTAATATAGATGTCAAGGAAACAGAGGGAAACCTGGTTCCCCAAACTCAGGCTGATGTACTTAGACTGACTGACCTTTTAAAGTCTGTTGTACATCATAGTTTTGGAGGATCTAGGTCCCAGCGAAAAAGGTGCTGGGAGTTCCTGGATCCCTTATGCCCCTGTGTGTAATTGCAGGTAATTTCTACCAACTCAAGTAATTTCTCTTATACTCCAAGAAACTCACTAGTATATACTTTAAAGTGCTTTATAATATATGAAATACATAGTTATTATATAAAATATAGAAAGTAGAAAGCAGAAATCAAAAATTAACCATAATTTAATCACTTAGAAAAAAATTAGTTATTTTATTGTGTCTGTCCTGTGTTTTTCTTAGAAATGTAAGACAACACTTCTTTTCACTTAATGCTAAAATTTATATCCTTCCATGCCAAGAAACATGCCTTTACAACATCAGCTTTTACTACTGCATAGTTCTCTATTATATGGATATATCAAAAGTAATATAATACAAAGGCAACCTGTAGAATGGGAAAAATATTTGCAAACCATATCTGATAAGGTATTGACATCCAAACTATATAAGAAACTCATATAACTCAATAACAACAACAACAACAAAAAGGAAACCCACATATAACCCAATTAAAACTGGGCAAAGGACCTACTTACAAATGGCCAACAGAATATTTTTAAAATGTTCAACACTATTAATCTGGGAAATGTAAATCAAACCACAATGAAATTTCACCTCATACCTATTAGGGTAGCTATTATCAAAAAGTCAAAAGATAATTTTCAGCAAGGATGTGGAGAAAAGGGAAACTTTATACATCGTTGGTTGGCACGTAAATTGGTACAGTCATTATGGAAAACAGTATGGAAGAGTCTCAAAAAATTAAAATAGAGCTACCATATGATCCAGCAATCCCCAATTCAGTATATATCCAAAAGAAATAAAATTACTGTTTCAAAGAGATATCTGCACTTCCATGTTAATTGCAGCATTATTCACATTAGCCAAGAAAAAGAAACAATGTAAGTGTACATCAATAGATGAATGGATAAAGAAAATGCTAATCTTATACATCTATAGGTATATATACAGCTTTATAATAATGGAATATTATTCAGCCTTTAAAAAGAAGAAAATCCTGCCATCTGTGACAATATAGATGAATCTGGAGGATATTATCATAAATGAAATAACCCAGATACACAAAGACAAATATTGCATCATCTCACTTATATGTGGAATCTAAAAAATTTCAAACTTACAAAAACAGAGAGTATAAGGATGATTACCAAGGGTCAGGGTAGTGGGAGAAATGAGGAGATGTTGTTGAAAAGATACAAACGTCCAATTTCAAGAAGAATAAGTTCTGGAGACCTAAAGTACAGCATGGTGACTATAGTAAATAATAATGTATTGGATACTTGAAATTTACTAAGCCAGTAGACGTTAAGTATTCTCACTACACACACACAAATGGTAATTATGTGAGATGATAGATATGTTAATTAGCTTGATTGTCATAATCATTTCACAATATATGTATAAATCAAAACATCTCACTGTACATCTTAAATATATACTTTTTTACTTGTCAATTATACCTTAATAAAGCAGAGGGAAATTAATATAAACAAGGTTCTATGGTTAGGTATTTTTGATATTTCCAATAGAAGTAAAGCATTTTGTAAAAGCACTGTCTTAAAAATTGACTACTAAGACTCTAAGTATCTTTATGATTGTACCATGAAGCCATTTTCAAGAAGAAAAACTTTCTTTATCTATATTCTAAAGTAACAGTTAAATGTTTTTAAATTGTATTTTTTGTTTTCTTTTGACAGTCAAAATAGTGCTTGTTCATAGTTAAAAAATTAGAAAATGTAAATAAAATTGAAAAAAATTAAAAACACCCTAATCACACCAAAAAAACAAATTGATTGCTTTAATGTATTAAGTATCTAATTATATCTGAAGAACCAAATGTCACTCACATTTTTTTTGTTTTTCATGTTGTCCTATTTCTTGTATTTTTTTATTTTACGAAATTATATCCTCAAACAATAATTTTAGGAAGGCAGTGTGGTAGGCAAATTTTCTGAGTCCTTGTTTTCCAAAACTGTTCTTATTTTGCCTTTACACTTAATACTTTGGGTGCAAAAGGCTAGATTTATAATAATTTTTCTTAAAACAGATGACAGCTAATCTGTATTTGGATTAAAAAGAAGTTGACTAAGAAAAGCAAGAATAAAAAAAGTTCTAAAAGTAAAACTAGTGAGTGGTTAATTGCAAAGAGCATTTGGGGACCAAGAAGTTTCAACATAAAAAAAAAAGTCCTATAAGATAGTAGCAGAAGATAAGGTCAAAAGGTAGGTAGGATGAGAAAATCTTGAAAGACAGTTGAAGGTTTTTGCCAGTTTTATTGAAAACTATTGGGAGGCATGAAAGATGTAAAGCAAGAACTTTCAGATCCTAACAGCACCATGTCTGCCATACACAGTAAGAACTCCATATTTGTTGAATGAATGAAGGAAGTTTGGCATTAACCAAGTCATGAGGTTGAAAGAATCTGCATTAGAGTGAGAAAGTGGTAATGAAAATGAGATAGTCATCAATCGTGTGCATTTTAGACATGATGTACTGAAAGGCAACAGACACTACTTGCCCCCAAATCTGATTTTCCTGTAGCAGTGATGAACTTTTGTTAGTTTGCTCCTTCTATCACCCAATTTCCCCTCTGGAACAGTGTCAGAGAATTGTAAAATGGCTTGTTTGTAGCAGAGAATGTCCTAATATTGCCTTATGATCAGAATGTCCTAACATTGCCTTATAAGCAGCATATCCTAAGTAGAAATGTCTTTCCCAGAAGTGAACATTTTATCAAGATGCTAAAAGGCATATAAAAAAGTCTTTTGGTTGAATTAGAAATCAAGATTTCTAATCTTTTCTCTACTTCTGCTTCAGTCCCCCTGCATGGCCTTAAGGAAGTCCACTAATTAGTATGTGTCCTAAAGTTATGTACTCTGAATGTACTGCCCAGCCTATGACAGGTTCTCAATAAATATTTATGGGACAATTAAATTTATAAAAGCAGATTCGTTTCAGAGAAGTGGTTCAATCAAACAATTTAGCCCTTAAATTTTTTATAACACATTTGACTTCCTAAAGGGCTTTCATGTGTATTTTCTAATGGGATGCAATGGCATCATATTAGATGTTTCAACTGTCATTAAGTGAAAACCTAATTCAAACTGGCTAAATAATAATAAAACTCAAAGTCTCTCAAAACATGAAGACTTTTCTATCTCGACTATTGTGTCAACTTACTAATGTCATCAGGGATCCTGGTCCTTCACTCTGTTTTCCACAGCGTTAACATCATAACAGCTGCTTTCCTTGGAGGACAGCTGCCCATTAGCCTGGGGTTGAATCCTTCCTTTTATGCCTCCAGTTGAATAATCCCTCTCTTAAAAGGTCTCCCAGATAATGAAGGAAAAATTGTCCCAGAAATCCCTCATATCTGCAAATGGTAGCACATGTCTATTCCTTTATTGATCACTGGCCCAGGGGTGTGATTGCTCTGATTTGTATTAAATACTCAGAGCTCAACTCAGGATGTGTGTGTGTGTGTGCACGTGTGTGGTGTGTGTGTGTGTGTGTGTGTGAGAGAGAGAGAGAGAGAGAGAGAGAGAGAGAGAGAGAGAGAGAAAGGGGAGGGAGATACCAAAACAAAATTAGACTATTTTAGGATACAGGAAGGATGCCAGGGAGAAATTCAACAACGTTTACTGCAGCCTTTTTTTTTTTTTTTTTTTTTTTTCACTAGCATGAGGACTTTGAGGCTGGGCTGGCTATGCTAGAATAATAGTATCATAGACTCTTAGAACTTTAGAATTAGAAGGACCTAGAGAAATGGTTTAGTTTGTTGCTCTTTTTTACAAAAGAGGAAACTAAGTTCTCTAAAGGTTAAATATCTTACCCTTAGTGACACAGATAGTTAAAACAGAACTAGTAATAACATTCAAATCATTTAATTGCCAATTATATGTTCTGTCTGTGACATTCCTCTTCACAAATAAGAATGTAGCATTCTAGAAAAGATAGAAACAGTTGCTGACTTTGTATGTCAATAGACCACTAATAAAAAATCTATATTTGATGAAACTAAGTAATTATTAAAGGATAAATTTTGTTGTCATTTATTATCAGTATATGATTAAACTTAATTTTAGGAAAAATTCCTAGGACTCCCTGTTTACAACAGAGAACTAGGAATCGCCTCTAGAAATGCTGTATCTTGGATCCTATACAGCATCAAGAATGCGATGACTGGGCAGAATTTATGACTAGAAGAACTTGGGTATGTATAAAGTGAGAAAAGTATTCAGTACTTTGTTTTACAATAACCTCAAAATTTCCATTTGAGATTATTTATATTGTTTTCTATTTTCAAGGCCATTCTAAAATTTTCTGTATTTTAAGAGCCACTAAAACCAACGTAAACTAAACATGAGTCATTACATTATGTAAATTATGTCAGCAGCTCTGATTTTTAATGTATATTTTTCCTAGTCATAAAATAGCAGAAGTCCAGAAATTATTCCCACGTATAAAATGAAAAGTTTATTGTACAGCAGAAACTCATTGCTTGCCTTGAATATTTTTTTCAATCTCTGACATAAAGGGACCATATGTTCCTTTCCAGAACTGTGATGTCTCTGTCACCAATGATAATCGCTAATGTGTTTCAGCTTTTCATGAAGCAATAACAGGATTCTAAGAAATGATTGTTGAAATATTCCAGAAACAATATGTGAGACAAATGAAATCAGTCATTTCAAAAAAGAAGGGACTGAGAACACTAACTGTTGCTCTTAAGCCATTAAAACTTATAGTCGATTACATTCACTGTTATCATTCTTAGCTAGTGAATTTTTTAATGTACCACCTTGAATTGGGAAATATTTAGAAAATTTTTAAATGATATGAAAGCAGGCATAAAAATTAAGTCATCAATGCAGGAAGGCACCAGTTTCCATTACTTTGAACTTTACTATCAATAATAACTTACATTCTGAACCAAAAGTTATTAACAATCTTCCCAGTATCCTTCCCCCATATGTTTATGATGATGAGATATAGAAACATTTTTGTAAATATATGTGAATCTTCTGGTAAAATATTAATAATGAAAGGTTATAGGTCAATCATTTAAGGATGAAAGTTAATCTACTTTGTTTTTTAGAAGAGAGAAGAATCAACATCAAATATAAATGTAAAATGTTTCCAGAAAAACAAGCTGGTTTTATAATTATATAATCATAATTTCAACTGGTATTTCTGCATTACACGATGACCCTAAATATCATTTCCAAAAATTAATGCTTTTCAATTTAGTAATTATTACATGTTGTTATTTCAAATTGTTACAAGTTTAATGATTATTTTTGTAGTTATTGCATGTTGATGTTTCAAGTCTACAGCATAATTCAAGCCAGGGAAAAATCCATCTGTAACTATCATTCTTTTTTTAATTATTTTATTTTTTTAAGTTCTGAGATACATGTGCAGGTTGTGTAGGTTTGTTAGATAGGTAAACTTGTGTGTGCCATGGTGGTTTGCTGCACCTATCAACCCATCACCTAGGTATTAAGCCCACCACGCATCAGCTGTTTTCTTTCCCTAAATCTCTCCCCTGACCCGCCCTCCTCCAACAGGTCCCAGTGTGTGTTGTTCCCTTCCCTGTCTCCATGTGTTCTCATTTATAACTATCATTCTTAATGTATATATGGAATAATATATATTTCCAGCTATTACACACCTTACTTTTGAAAGTATTTGTGAATTATATTTATTATAATCAGCTCTAACATTTGTTCAACTTTTGCCGGAAAAGTGTTGTATTTGGAAATCCAAATGTATTAAGAAAGTAATTTCTCTTAACTACTTTTCTGAAAATTTAGCCATCACTTTATTATGCTCAATTACATACCTAGCAGGTCAAGAGGGTCCCATTGTACAAGTTAGGAGATTTAGAACAAAATTAAACCAGCCTTCATTAGTCAAAATTCAAACCTCAAATATGAAGAGGTCAGCATTAGCAACTGAGTACCACAAGGGGCCTTTAGAAAGGTAATAGGAGTAATACTTTTGAAATATCTCCTGATATATTTTTTTTCCTTCATTATTAAATGGTTTCTTTCCTCTTACACATTCCATCATTATTGACTTAGGAAAAGGGGAAACAATTACCACAGAATTGGGAAGAAGGAGCATATGATGCAATGGAAACAATGTTCATGAAACTGTTTCATTTTTCTCCTGTGCATACAACAAAACTATATTTCCTAGTTCTCACACACTTGAATCTAGATGGAACCTTGTATTTGAGATGTGGCCAGTGAGGGATGGCAATTCCAGTCCTTGCTATTAAATACTTATCAACTTCCCTGTTAGATCTTCCACACACCCTCTTTACTCTCCACATTGCTAGATGTGAAAGATGCCAAGGTAGGGAAGACACACGGTGGCAGTGAGAGGTGAAGCTGGCTGGGCTTCTGGGTCAGGTGGGGACTTAGAGAACTTTTCTGTCTAGCTAAAGGATTGTAAACACACCAATCAGTGCTCTGTGTCTAGCTTAAGATTTGTAAACGCACCAAGCAGCACTCTGTAAAAATGCACCAATCAGCGCTCTGTGTCTAGCTAAAGGTTTGTAAACACACCAATCAGCACTCTGTAAAGACGGACCAATCAGCACTCTGTAAAATGGACCAAGCAGCAGAACGTGGGTGGGGCCATATAAAGGAATAAAAGCTGGCCACCCAAGCCAGCAGCAGAAACCCACTAGGGTCCCCTTCCATGCTGTGGAAGCTTTGTTCTTTCGTTCTTCACAATAAATCTTGTTGCTGCTCAATCTTTTGGTCCGGACTACCTTTAAGAGCTATAACACTCACTGCGAAGGTCTGCAGTTTCACTCCTGCAGTCAGCAAGACCATGAACCCACCGGAAGGAAGAAACTCCGGACACACCTGAACATCTGAAGGAAAAAACTCCGGAGACGCAGCTTTTGAGAACTGTAACACTCACCGCGAGAGTCCACGGCTTCATTCTTGAAGTTAGTGAGACAAAGAACCCACAGGAAGGAACCAATTGAGGACACGGAAGCACTTTAGCTCCTCAAGTTAACTCTTAGAGGGGAGACACATAGATCCTAGACTCCTGTACCCCACTAACCTCCATTGGACTTTGCATGAGTAAAAAATGAGGTTTTATTTTGTTTAATCTTTGAGGTTCATTAACCTAATACCTATTATAGGAAAGAAGTTCCCCCTTGGCAGGAAGCCCACAAGCCTTGGAAATAAGGATAAGAGAGAAGGAAGCAGAGAAGAGGGAAGTCAACTGTGAGGGACTAGACCTCACTCTTGGGATTTTAAAAATAAGCCTTGGCAGGAAGAAAGGAGGTGACAAAACATCCTACTGTGTGCATCCTAAGGTGGGCAAGGGAGTACTTTCTCTTCACCTTAAAGTGTGGCTGAGGAAAACTGAAAGTCCGTAGTGAATGCTCACTTTTAATGTGATACTGGAACCACAAGGTTCTAGTTGTTCCAGTTTGAGTTAATTTTTTTTCTGTGCTTAGCAGAAATGGGAGCTAGGGAGAAAAATACAATCAATCATAGGTAAAAAAAAAAAGATATCTATTCAGAGGGGAAATTATTAGGAATTTAGAGAATTTGTGAGAAGGCCAAGGCAACTGGGCTTAGGACGGAACCCAGTAATTCAAGAAATCAAAAAGGGCAGGGACCAGCCTGTAGCAGAAGCAGTCAAAGGACAATGTCTCTCCTGGAAATTAATGAACACTCACCATTTTCATTTTTGTGTCCTGGGAAGGAGTGCCCGATTAGTTGAGCTTGGTCAGGGGCCCTTCCCTCAATAAGGGAGGGAAAGGTCCCTGTATTAACTCCAGGTGCTCTTTAATACTGCAAATTGTGGGGAAGAGATGATTCTTAGCAGAGAACTGTAGGGTTTGTTTAAAAAAAAAAAAAGGAAGAAAATAAAGACAATGAATTCTCACCAGCCAAAATAAAACCCCACGAATATCTGCCTTATGCTTTAGAGAGGAAAGAATTATTTTTACTTGCCTTAGATTCACCTTCCAAGTGCTTATTTCATACTATAGGACTGACAAAAAGATAATATTGACTCCTTTCCAGGGAACATCTTCCAAATTACGGTCTTGTTCATGGTCTTGTCCTTTACCTCCCACTCTCCATCAAGACATTAGAGCATTGTAGTCCAACATTATTGTATTTCCTTAAGTCTGGGTTATTGCATATTAAATAGAAGCCAAAGTCCAGGAAATGCCTAGTCTTCCTAAAGTGTTTACACAGCTTTCCATACCCTACAGTCAGCTGATCAAAGAACACCAAGCAGAATTCTGAAGAAAGCCTTGCTTATAATTTTTTTTCCTCAGTATTTGTTCTATAAGAACCAAAATTCACAAAAACATAGATGGTAAAAGAAAATGGCCCGGGCGCAGTGGCTCACGCCTGTAATCCCAGCACTTTGGGAAGCTGAGGCAGGCAGATCACGAGGTCAGGAGATCGAGACCATCCTGGCTAACACGGTGAAACCCTGTCTCTACTAAAAATACAAAAAAATTAGCCGGGCGTTATGGCGGGCGCCTGTAGTCCCAGCTATTCGGGAGGCTGAGGTAGGAGAATCGCTTGAACCTGGGAGGCGGAGCTTGCAGGGAGCAGAGATGCGGCACTGCACTCCACTGCAGCCTGGGCGACAGAGTGAGACTCCATCCCAAATGAAAGAAAGGAAGGGAAGGGGAGGGAAGGGGAGGGAAGGGGGAAGGAAAAGGAGAAGGAAAAGAAAGAAAAGAAAAGAAAGGAGCCAATGTATAGAATCAAAAAATACCACTTTTTCATGTGATGTATTTGTATTTAAACCATTTTCGTGGTATGTCCCCAAGTCCCATGATTGAGTGCTTGCCTTAAATATACTTAAATTTAAAAACTCAAGTAAATGCTTCATTTTTTTGCCTCAGGAAAAAACTGTTCCAAATTAAAAATTTCAACTCAAAACTATGTACTTGAAATGTAGAGAACACTGCACCAAATAAATGCAGACTAGACTACACATTATTTTCAAGTGTACACAGAACATTTACCAAAATTAACCATACACTAGTGAATAAAGTGTATCAGCAAATTTTAAAAGATGGAAATCATACAAAGGATATTTTCTGACAATAAAAAATTAAGCTAGAAATAGATAACAAAAAGAAACTAAAAAATCCTTTTATGTTTGTCTGTAGTTCTAAATAACCCTTGGGTCAAAGAAGAATTACAATGAAATTACAAAATATTTTTAATCTAATGTGTGAGATGCAGCCAGAATTATGCTTAAAGAGAAATGTATTGCCTGAAATCTATATATTGAAATAGAAAAAGCCTAAAAATAATGACCTTAAAAAGAAAGCAATCAAACCTAAAGCAAGTAGAATAAAAGATACAAGATAGATGAGAGCAGAAATAAGTGAAATTAAAAAGCTTACAACAGATCAAATAAAAAAATCGAACAGTTGGTTCTTTACAGATGAATAAAATTGATTTTTTAAAAAAGGAGCAAAAGCACAAAGACCAGCATTAGGAATGAAGAAGGATAAGCCACTACAGAGCATGGAGACATCACAAAGGTCATAATAGGAGAACTATGAACAACTTTATATCAAGAAATGTTAAAATGTATACAATAGACAAAATTATATTAAAAACTAACTAAACAAAAATAAAGTCCACTTAGTAAGCCTGATATAAGAAGAAAAAGAAAGCCTGAATATTCCTATATCTAAAAATAAACTGTAAATGATTATTAAAATCATTCACACCAAGTCAATTCCAGGACCAGATTTGCTTTACCTATGAGCTCCATCAAACATTTAAGAAAGAAATGACACTAATTTTATGCAGAAAGTTTCCAGAAAATAATAAAAGGGCACATGATTGGCATCATTCTCTATGTAGGTAATTCAAAAGAATATACAAGTAAAGTATAGAGTTAAGTGAATTCAGACAGGACACTAAATACAAAATCAATATAAGATCAATTTTATTTATCAGCCACAATAATTAGAAAGTTCAAAAAATAATTATTTGCAGTAGGATCAAAGGGCTTCAAATACCTAGAAATAATAAAGAGCTCTCCACCAAAAATAAAAATAAAACATTACTGAAAGGAAATAAAGAATACTTAAATAAATAGAAAAATATATGGATACTAAGTTCCTGAACTGGAAAGCTCAAGATTGTAGAAATGTGAGGTCTTTCCAAATTAATTTGTAGATTCAGTGCAATCCAAATCAAAATTTCAGTAGATATTTTTCTTGCCAATCTGATTTACAAATGTATATGACTTTAAATGGCCAAGAATAGCCAAAAATTATCTTGAAGAAAAGACAGTCGAAGGACTATTCTGACTTATTTCACCCAACATCAGGACTTATCATTAAGCTATAGTAATTAAGACATTTTTCATTTGTGCAAAAACAGAAAATATAGACCAATGGAGCAGAATAAATATTAGAAGCAGACCTAACACATTTGGGGAAATTTGACTTATGACAAAGGTGGCAGTGTAGAATAGTGGGCAAAGACCTTCTTACAATAAATGATGCTGGAAGAATTAGTTATCCATGTGGAAAACAATGAAACTAGAGCCCTTCTCACACCACACAGAAAAATCAGTTTCAAGTGAATAATAGATCTAAAGATGAAAGGTTAACAATGACCTTCACGAAGGTAGCATTGGAGAATATAGCTATGACCTTAGGGCAGTAAAGATTACTTTAACAGGACATTAAAAAAAAAGTTGGCCAGGCACAGTGGCTCACACCTGTAATCCCAGCACTTTGGGAGGCCGAGGCGGGCGGATCACGAGGTCAGGAGTTCGAGACCAGCCTGACCAACATGGTGAAATCCTGTCTCTACTAAAAATACAAAAATTAGCCAGGCATGATGGCATGCACCTGTAATCTCTGCTACTCGAGAGGCTGAGACAGGAGAATCATTTGAACCTGAGAGGTAGAGGTTGCAAAAACAAAACAAAACTGATCAACTGAACTACAGGAAAATTAAAAACTTCTTTTCAACAAAATGTCTTATTAAATGTGTGAACAAGCATGCCACAAAGATAGAAAAGATAATAGTATATACAATTGACAAAGGACTTATATCTTGAATAATAAGTCCTATAAATTATAAGAAAAATATAATAAAATAGAAAAGTGGTCAAACTACTGAACAGATACTTCACAGGAGGATATCTAAGTGGTCAATAAATATATTAACCTGGCCAACATAGTGAAACCCCATCTCTACTAAAAATACAAAAATTAGCTGGGTGTGGTGGCGCATGCCTGTAGTCCCAGCTACGTGGGAGGCCAAGGCAGGAGACTCGCTTGAACTGAGAGGCAAATCTTGCAGTGAGCCAAGATCGCACTACTGCACTCCAGCCTGGGCAACAATGCAAGACTCCATCTCTCTCTCTCGCTCCATATATATATATAAAAAAACATATATATAGGGAGAGAGAGATATATATATAACATATATATCAAATATATGTATATGTTGTGCATATACATGTTAACATATATATGTTATGATATATTTATGATATATATGATATATCTGATATATCTGAGATATATCTGATATATATCTGATATATCTGAGATATATCTGATATATCTGATATATATCTGATATATATGATATATATCAGATATATATGATATATATCAGATATATATGATATATATGATATATAGATATGATATATATGATATATAGGGATATATATCATAACATATATATATCCCCCTATATATACATATATGTAGGGAGATTAAAAGGAGTTAAAAGGTGCTCAGCTTCATAAGTTTTCAACAAAATCCAAATACAAAATATGGTATCACTCTACACACAGAATGGGAGAAAAAAGACTAACAATACCAAATGATGTTGAAAATGTAGAACAACTGGAATTATAACATTCTCCTAGTAAAAGTTGAAAGTGACGCCATTTTGAAAAACTGATAATATCAAGTGAAGCTGAATTAAAATATGCACAACTTTTTTTCCAAAAATTTCACTCTAGGTATAAGCCCAACAGAAAAAGGTGCATATATTCATCAGAAAACATGTAAAATAATGTTCATAGCAGCATTAATTCAATAATCAAAAACTGGAAACAATTCCAAATCCTATCAACAGTAACAGTGATTTAAAAAATAATAATAATTCACTTCAAGGCCATATAATGGATACAATACAAAGTACAAATGGGCAACTTCTACCAAGAACATGAAGATTCCACAAGCATATGTTGACTGAAAGCAGCCAGGCCCAAACACTATTATGCTAGCAAGTAAATTTGTCAAACATTCAAAATTATTTTGGAGTTAGATGCCAGAATAGTATCACTTTTGGGAGAAGGGAAGATGTATTATTGAATGGGGACATGAGAGCTTCTAGGGTGTTGATAGTGCTGTATTTCTTGGATTGGGTGGTACTTATGTGGGTGAGTTCACTTTGTGATTGAAACATATGTTTATATGTGCACTTTTTATATGCAGAAGTATGTTATACTTCAGTGAAAAAGTTTATTTTAAAAAATACTTACAATTTTTAAATGATATTTTTAAATATTTCTTCAACAACTGTTCCAAAGCAATCTAGAGTCTATGCTTTCTGAAGTTCATCATAATTTAAAAATAAATACTAGTTACATGTTCAATGTTAACTTACAATGGTTAGAACAGGTCAACAGTGGAAAAGAAATAAAATCCAATGTATATTAAAATATTAGTAAATAAAATAACAAACTTACATAGTAGACCTCAGCCTTGGTTGATTATTCCCAAAACACTTTACTGTATTAACTTGCTGGGAAAAAATACATATGTGATACACTCTACATAGGTAGGAAAACTCATGTATTAACAATCTAGACCTGGATTATTTCAATACATTTTTTTTACTTAAGAAAGAAACCATAAAGAAAATGTGTATAAGAAATTATAAAATGAAAAAGAGTTGTACATTCAAATGAGGGATTAAAGCAATGCTATATGAAAATGAGGTATTTACATTTAAATTTCTATAAAACGTATCTACTAATGAAAAAGAAACATGAAAAAGAATGACAATATGAGAATTGCTGAAAACAGAGCAGTTTGAACATCAGGATTTAAGCATTTCTTTTGAAGCAGTCAGCACTAATATATTCCTTCATTCCTGATACACAATGATACATGAGTTAAAATTTAATTACACCCACCACAAAAAATAAACAAGTTCAGATATAATTATTCTTTATCTGCAACCCCATTCAGAGCATTTGGTCTCAGTCTGCATTTAATATTTACAGTACTCTTCAAATAGGGATATAGTCATCAAGTGCCCATTCTATGTTCAAGATTTTGATGCTAAGTCAGGCAAGGTATGAATCCCTAGGTCAGGCAATGTAAGTGGTTAAAAAAAAAAATGAAAACAGAACTTGAATTCCTTCAAGCTGATTTACCCCACAGAAATATTTAGAATGGAAGGAAAAAATACCTTACATGGTGTCTGGTTTTGTTTTATTTTTATTTATTTATTTATTTTTTGCACTTGAGACTTTTTGTTTTGACTTGCCTTTTTTTAATTTATTTTTTGTGTTTATACAGTTTAGAAATGAAGTTCAGCCTGCTGAGAACTGGTGTCCCATTTTCACGTTTTTGGTTTATTCCTCCGAGTTGCTTATATCTTTTACCAAAATCTAAATAAGTAATAAGTATCATCCATTCCCATGTTTGGAAGAAAGGTGATAAATCTACGTGATTTCGAGTAGACTAAGCTTGGGGTTAATTTCCTAAAAAATTCCGGAACTTTCAAACTATTAAATCTAGCATCAAGCTGCTTTGCAAATATTTACACAACTTCATTTTATTATGTTAAGGCCTTGTTTTAAAGCTCTTATAAGTTTCTATTTGTTTTGGCATAAAATGTCCATATGTCCACATGGTGCTTAATGTGGTGAATTATTTTTCTCTTTAAACCACTTTTTCCTCCCTAAATCTTCTTAAACCTTAAACTGTGGTCCATGTTCACACTCAGCTGTTCCCAGGGAGGCTGGTGAATGCAATGCTAAATTTTCACTACCTCTTTGATGTTTTTCTTTATTTGCTTTATGTCATATATAACTTGTTTTACTAGAACATCTTGAACAGGAAGTGGACTGTCAGGACACTATTAAAAACGTGGTGGTATTGACAGGATATAAACAGGGAGATGAGAAGGAAGAAACAAGTAGCCAAGAGGAAAATATTAGATGACAGTTAAAATTTATATGATAACATAAAAGAAGTCAGCTCAGAATTGCTCTATCCCTGACACACTAACCCTAGTGCCTGGCACATAGCAGGTATTCAGTAGTATAATTTGAAATTTGTTAATAATTCTCAGAGCAAACCATGGTGGCAAGACTAAGATCAAAAGGTAGTTTGGGGGACATATATTATTATATATTACATTATATATTATTACATGCTGTATATAATATATAACCTTGATCTTCTGAGCCACTGTTTTTCATCAATAAAAACATGAAGACAATATCCACCAAAAACTTTCATTATGAAGATCAGAAGAAATAGTTTATGTGATGCATCCAGTAAGTACCAAGAACTAGTAGGCAATCAATAAATGGCTATGATTTCTTCTCAAACATTTATATACACACACATATAGCTATAATCAGATGTGTGGAAAACATAGAGGCCAAAATGAACTTTTAAAGAGGGAAAAAGTCATTCAAAGTTGTGATCATCTTGTTATAACTTGTTACATGTCTACTGCTGACCAAGTTTCATAAGCATTTCCTGTTTTAAAATCAGCTTTCCGGTGACACAGGAGAAAGAGTAATGACTATGGCCGCCAATTTTCTCATCCAGACATCATGGAATATCAGATGGACCTTATATTGATAACCATTTTCTTTAAGGCTCAGGGAAATTCCCTTCTTAATTGTCACTTATTAAAAATAAGGACAATTATATGGTCAAAAAATAGTGTTATTTATCCTCTTTAGAAATCTAATGATGGTTTATGTATCTTAGATACATAACTTGGCATCCTTGATAAACTAAAGTAGATATAAAACAGGCCCTTTTTACACTTTAGTCAAGTCTTTTTGTCCTAAATCAATATGGCTGCGCCCATCAGGGTTTGACAGGATTGGTCCAGTCATTGTCATTACTGAGGATGTCATCTCCAAAATTATATGTGGACCCTGGGAATTTATGTCGTTCCGGGAGACCAGGCAATGGACCTAATCCTTGCTGGTCATCACCTTCACTGCAACCTCATTTACAATTCAATAGCATTGTTACTTGCTGGTCCCTCACTGTATCTCCAGACAGATCACAGAGATGCCCTTGACACCTCTCCACCGCCATGGTGAACTCTCACCCACTGCTCCTCAGTATCCTCCCAACGAATACACACAACTGTTTCCTCCATTTAGAAAATACATCTCCATTATCTCATAAAAACCACCCACCCCAAACTCTCCATTCTCCAATCTCTTTCCCTTCACCTCATCTTTTCCTCAGAAGTCCTGCTTTGAGCTTGTTCATTGGCTTTAAAATATAAAGCAGCTTTAATTTCCCTTGGGACAAGGGGTCCAGGAACAAATTGTCAAGGCTGTATTCTAAAGGTGATATGTTGGGTAATGTGAAGGTCAGAAGGGAAATAATTACTTTTTATTCATTCAATTTCTAATAGAAGCAAGACAAAGTAGAACTTAAAATCTCAGTAGGTAGTCCTTTCACATAAATAAATCATAAGGAAAAGCAGTCTTCAGTAATGAGAAGTCAGGCAAACCAGGGTTTAATCTCTAAGTCCATATGATCCACCAATTCCACTCCCACGTATATACCCAAAGGAAATAAAACATGTCTACATAAAAACTTGTGCACAAATGTTTATGACAGCATTATTCATAATACCCCCAAAATGGAGACAACCAAATTTCCATTCACTGATGAATGAATAAACAAAATGTAATATGTCCATATAATGGAATATTATTCAGCAATAAAAAGGAATGAAATACTTATGCATACTACAACATAGATGAACTTTGAAAACATACCCTAAGTAAAATAAGTCAAAAACACTACATGTTGTATGATCCCATTTATACAAAATGTCCAGAATAGGTAAACTGATAGAGACAGAAAGTAGCTTAGCTGCTTAGTGGGGTGGCGGGGGAGGTACAACAAGGGAGATGGAGGGGTGAACAGTTTAGATGGGGGAAGAATGAGCATACCTGCTAATAAGTGTGGAGTTTCTTTGGGAGATGATGAAAATGTTCTAAAATTAGAGTGTGGTGTTGGTACAACCTTGCCAATATACTCAAAACCATTGAGTTGAACAACGTAAATGAATGAATTTTATGATGTGATTTATATTTCAGTAAAGCTATTTTAAAAACACTGAATGACTTTGGGCAAGTTACTTAACCTCTAGAACTCTGTTTTCCCCTCTGAAAAATAAAAATAATACTACTTACTTCACAGGGGTACTGTGAAGCAGTGTCTGGAAAGACACATGGCATGGAGTACATGTTCAATAATTTTCTTCTTTTCTTTCTTTTTTTTTTTTTTTGAGACATAGTTTTGCTCGGTCACCCAGGCTGGAGTGCAATGGTACAATCTCAGCTCACTGTAACCTCTGCCTCCTGGTTCAAGCAATTATCATGCCTCAGCCTCCCAAGTAGCTGGGATTACAGGTGCCTGCCATCGTGCCCAGCTAATTTTTTTTATTTTTAATAGAGACTGGGTTTCACCAGGTTGGCCAGGCTGGTCTCGAACTCTTGACCTGAAGTCATCCTCCTGCCTTAGCCTCCCAAAGTGCTGGTATTACAGGCATGAGCCACCGCGCCTGGCCCAATAATTTCTTTATCTTTCCTTCTGTGTATTTCTGCCTTCCTACTTTTATTCAAATTGTTCAGGAACTCAATTTTCTGTTTAAGTGTGATAGAGGTATTCTCAGTTTCTCAGAGGTAGTAATAGGGTTTGCATTCATTAAATCATAAAGGATCATGTTTCTTCTTATCTAGGAAGCCAAGATAAATTGTACTAAGAAGTAGAATGTATTAGATAATATAAAATAATATAAAACACATAGAAACTTGTATTAGGGTGCAAATCAGACACATGTGCCCATACAGTTTAAAAATATATAGATAAATGTAATTGAGAGTATAGTATTACCATAATGAAGGACATATAGATTAATGGAACACAAAAGAGTCCAGAAGTGGACATATACACATATATGATTAATTGACTTTGAACAGAGATGCCAAGGTAATTCAATAAAGAATGATAGTCTGTTCAAAAAATGACACTGGAAGAACTGGATATCCACAAGGAAAAAATGAACTTTGACCCTTACCTCGAAACATACATTTTTAAAAACTCAAAATGGATTATGTAACTAAATTTAAAAGCCAAAAGTTATAAAACTTTTAGAAGAAAAAATGAGAAAATCTCCATGACTTTGAGTTAAGCAAGTAAATCTTAGAAAATAAAAAGCACAAGCCATTTTTTAAAACAGTAAATTGGACTTTACCAAAATTAAAAACTTTAGCACTTCCAAAGGCACCATCAAGAAAACTAAAAGGTAAGCCCAAACTGCAAGAAAATATTCGTAATACATATATCTGACAAATACTTAGTATTCACAATTTATAGAGAACTCTTGAAACTCAAAAGGAAGAAAACAACTCAAGTAGAAAGTGGGTATATGAAATGAGCTTGACACTAGTCATTCAAGAAATGCAAATTAAAACCATCATGTGATGCCACTGAAACTTTACTACAATGGCTAAAATT
The DNA here is from genome assembly GCF_000001405.40 of Homo sapiens. Classification (NCBI taxonomy): domain Eukaryota; kingdom Metazoa; phylum Chordata; class Mammalia; order Primates; family Hominidae; genus Homo; species Homo sapiens. Next base: position 148,629,201 of record NC_000003.12, read on the forward strand.
ATAACAGACTGATAATACCAAGTGTTGGCAAGGATGTGGAGCAACTGGTATTTCATATATTGTATTCAAGATGTAAAATTGTACAGTCACTTTGGAAAATTGTGTGGTGGTTTGTTATAAACTTACTCTTTTACCATATGACCCAACAATCCCACTTCTAGGTATTTTCATGATACAAATGATGGTACATGTTCATATAAGGACTTGTACACAAATGTTCACGTAAATTTTATTTGTAGTAGCCAAAAACCAAAAACACCTCAAATTCCATCACCAGATAGATGGATAAACAAATGGTGGTATATCCATACAATGGAATATGAAATGGTTGAGTTTATGTGTCACTTTTGCTAGATATTTGGAAAAACATTATTCTAGATGTTTCTGTGAAGGTATTTTTTAGATGAAGTTAACATTTAAATCAGTACACTTTGAGTAAAGCAGATTACATTCCATAATGTGGATGGGCCTCATCCAATCAGTAAAAGGCCTTAATAGAAAAGGACTGGAGGAAGGAGGTGCAGCAAGATGCCCAAATAGAACCTCCAACAATCACCATCTCCTACCCCTGCAGGAACACCAAATTAAACATCTCTCCACACAAGAAAACACCTTCATAAGAACCAAAAATCAGGTGAGCAATCACAGTACGTGGTTTTAACATCATAGCAAGGAAAAAGGTGCTGAAGAAGGTAGGAAAGACAGTCTTTAATCAACTACACCAATCCTCCTTCGTCTCCTGGCAGTGCCACATGGTATGGAGAGAGAATCTGTGTGCTTGGGGGAGGAAAAGCAAAGTGATTATGGGACTTTGCAATGGAATTCAGTGCAAACTGTCATAGCAGAAAGCAACAAAGGGCAAAATTCAGCTGGTGCCCATGGAGTGAGCATTTAGACCAGCCCTAACCAGAGGGGAATCATTTACCCCAGCGGTCAAAACCCTGAGTTCATCTAGCCCCACCACTATGGCTGAAATACTCTGGGTCCTAAATAAACTTGAAAAGCCATCTAGGCCATAAGGACTATAATTCCTGCACAAGTCCTGGTGCTGTGCTGGGCTTAGAGCCAGTGCACTTGGGATGTGCATGACCCAGTGAGACCAGCTGGGGTAACCAAGGGAGTGCCTGCATCAACCCTTTCTTTTTTTTTTTTTTTTTGAGACAGAGTCCCGCTCTGTCACCCAGGCTGGAGTGCAGTGGCACCATCTCAGCTCACTGCAACCTCTGCCTCCTGGGTTCAAGTGATTCTCCTGCCTCAGCCTCCTGAGTAGCTAGGATTACAGGCATGCACCACCACACCTGGCTAATTTTTGTATTTTTTATAGAGACGGGGTTTCACCATATTGATCAGGCTGGTCTCAAACTCCTGACCTCGTGATCCGCCCGACTTGGCCTCCCAAAATGCTGGGATTACAGGCGTGAGCCACCGTGCCTGGCCGGCTCCTGGAAATTTCTACACCCACTTTGGGCCAGAAGGGATTTCACCCCACCTGAAGGGAGGGACCCAGTCCTGCCAGAATTTACCACCTGCTGACTAAAGAGCCCTTGAGCCTTGAATAAACAACAGTGGTAGCCAGGCAGCTGTCTCCTCGGGCCTTGAGCAAGACCCAGTACTGTGTTGGCTTCCGATGTAACCTAGCACATTCCCAGCTGTGGTGGCCACAGGAAAAGACTCCTTCTGCTTTTGCAGAGGAAAGAGTAAAAAGGACTTTGTCTTACAACTTGAGTACAAGCTCAGCCACAGTAAAGTGCCCAGTAGACTCCTAAAGTACCCAATTCCAGGACTTAACTACTTGAGGTCATTTCTAGACCCACCTGAGGCTAGAAAGGAACTTGCTGCCCTGAGGGGAGAGACCCAGGCCTGGCAGGACTCATCACCTGCTGACTAAAGAGCACATGGACCTTTAATAAACATCAGCAGTAGGCAGCCCTTAGTTGCCATGGAACTGGGGCAATGGTGACCACAGACAGAGACTCCTTCTGCTTAAGGAAAGGAGAGAAAAAATTATAGGGGACTTTGTCTTGTAGTCCGAGAACCAGCACAGCCACAGTCAAATAAAGCACCAAGCAAATTCCTAAAGATCCCAATTGCAGACCCTAGCTCCTACATGGCACGTTTATACTCACTCTGGGCCAGAGGGAACTTGCTGCACTGAAAGGAAAGACCCAGTCCTGGCAGGATTCGTCACCTGCTGACTAGCCCTTGGGCTTCGAATAAACATCAGCAGTAGCCAGTAAATAGTCATTAAAGGCCTTGGGCGATACTCAGTACTTTGCTAGGTTCCAGTGTAACCCAGTATAGTCCCAGCAGTGGTGGTCATGGGAGTGCTTGGAACTCCCCTCCCTCAACTCCAGGCAGCTCAGTATGGAAAGAGAGATTGTTTTTTTGGGGGGAAAGTAATGGAAGAGAACATGAGACTTTGCTTGATAATCCAGGCAATTCTCTCCAGTCTTATACAAGACCACCAGGGTGGTACCTTTATGAGTCTGCAAAAGTCACAGCGTTACTAGGCTTGGAGTGCCCCCTAATGCATGTATGGCTGCAGTGACCAAAGACTTAGATCACAACACTAAATTCCCTTTTAATACTTCACAAGAAAGATGGGTAAAACAAGCCCAGGTTGCAAAGATTAGAATAAATATCTAACTCTTCAATGCCCAGACATTGATGAACATCCACAAGCATCAAGATAATCCAGGAAAATGACGCCACCAAATGAACTACATAAGGCACCAGTTACTGATACAGGAGAGACAGGAATATGTGCCTTTTCAGAGAGAGAATTCTGTTTCTGTTTTGAGAAAGCTTGATGAAAGCCAAAATAACACAGAAAAGGAATTCAGAATCCTATCAAATAAATTTAGCAAAGAGATTAAAATAATTTTTAAAAGTCAAGCATGAATTCTGGACTTGACAAATGCAGTTGACATACTGAAGAATGCATCAGAGTCTCTTAATAGCAGAATTGGTCAAGCAGAAAAAAGAATCAGTGAGCTTGAAGAAAGGCTGTTTAAAAATACACAGAGAAGAAAAAAGAAAAAAAGAATAAAAAAGAATGAAGCACACCTACAGGGCATAGAAAATAGTCTCAAAGGGAAAGTCTAAGAGTTATTGTCCTTAAAGAGGAGGTAGAGAGAGAGGTCAAGGTAGAAAGTTTATTCAAAGGGATGATAATAGAGAACTTTCCAAACCTAGAGAAAGATACCAATATTCAAGTACAAGAAGGTTATAGAACACCAAGCAGATTGAACCCAAATAAGGCTACCTCAAGACACTTAATAATCAAATTCCCAAAGGAGAAGAATGAAGAAAAGATCTGAAAAGCAGCAAGAGAAAAGAAACAACATAAAAAGGAGCTCAAATAGATTTTCCAGCAGAGCAGATTTCTCAGTAAAAACCTTATAGGCTGGGAGAGAGTAGCATGATATATTTAAAGTGCTGAAGGAAAAAACTTGTATCCTAGAATATTATATCCAGCAACAATATCCTTCAAACATGAAAGAGCAATAAAGACTTATCCAGACAAACAAAAGCTAAGAGATTTCACCAAAACCAGACCTATCCTACAAGAAATGCTAAAGTAAGTTTTTCCATTAGAAAAGAAAGGCTGTGAATGAGCAATCATCTGAAGGTATAAAACTCACTGATAACTGTAAATATGCAGACAAATACAGATGATTATAACACTGTAATTGTCTTGTGTAAACTACTCATATTGAGTAGAAAGACTAAAAGACAAACCTATCAAAAATAATAGCTACAACAAGTTTTTAAGACACAGACAGTGTAATAAGATATCAATAGAAACAACAAAAAGTTAAAGGCAGGGGAGATGAAGTTAAAGTATAGAGTTTAGTTAGTTTTCTCTCTAAAGGAGAGTTAGTTTTCTCCTTGTTTGTTTATTAGTTTGTTTGTTTTTGCAATCATAGTTGTCATGAGTTTAAAATAATAGGTAATATGTTATATGCAAGACTGATGGTAACCTCAAATCTAAAAACCTACAACAGATACACAAAAATATATAAAACAAGAAATTAAAATATGCTAGACAAAATCACTTTCACAAAAAGGAAGACAGGAAGGAAGAGAGAAAGAGAAGACCGCAAAAAAACTAAAACACACATAACAAAATAGCAGTAGTAAGTCATTAGTTGTCAATAATAATAGCGAACGTAAATGGACTAAACTCTCCAATCAAAAGAGATAGAGTGGCTGAATGGATTAAAAAAAAGACACAATAACCTTTTGCCTACAAGAAACACATTTTACCTATAAAGACACACATATACTGAAAATAAAGGGATGGGAAAAGATATTCCATGTAAGTGGAGACCAAAAAGGAGCAGGAGCAGCTATATGTATATAGATAAAATAGATTTTGAAAAAAAAGGTCACTATATGATGATAAAGTAGTCAAGAGGGTATTCGGCAATAGAATATAACAATTGTAAACATATGTGCACACAACACTGGAACACTCATATATGTAAAGCATATATTATTAGAGATAGACAGACTATGTCCCAATATAATGATAGTTGCAGACTTCAACACCCCCACTTCCAGTGTTGGACAGATCATCCAGATGGAAATCCAACAAAGAAACATTGGACCTGATCTGCATTATAGACCAAATGGATCTAATAGATATTTACAGAACATTTCACCCAATGGCTACAAAATACACATTCTTCTCCTCAGCACATTGGTCATTCTCAAGGATGGAGCATATGTTAGGTAACAAAACAAATCTTAAAATATTCAAAAAACAGTTGAAATATTATCAAGCATTTTCTCTGACCACAGTGGAATAAAACTAAAAATCAATAACACAGGAATTTTGGAAACTATGAAAACAACAAACACATGGAAATTAAACAATATGGTCCTGAATGACCAGTGGATCAATGAAGAAATTAACAAGAAAATTAAAAAATTTCTTGGAACAAATGAAAATGGAAACACAACATATCAAAACCTATGGAATACAGCAAAAGCAGTACCAAGAGAAAAGGTTATAAAAACAAGCACCAACATCAAAAAAGTAGAAAAACTGCAAATAAACAACCCAATAATGCATCTTAAAGAACTAGAAAAGCAAGAGCAAACAAACCCAAAATTAGTAGAAGATAAATTATAAAGATCAGAGCAAAAATATATAAAATTGAAATGAAAAAACAAATACAGAAGATCAATAAAAAGTTGCTTTATTGAAAAGGTAAATGACATTGACAAACCTTTAGCCAGACAAAGAAAAAAAAAGAGAGAAGACCCAAATAAATAAAATGCGAGATGAAAAAGAGGCATTACACCAATACTGCAGAACTTCAAAAGATCATTAGAGACTACTATGAGCAACTATGTGCCAATAAATCGGAAAACCTAGAAAAAATGGATAAATTTCTAGACACATACAAGCTACCAAGATTGAACCATGAAGAAATTCAAGACTTGAACAGACTAATAACAAGTAACAAGATAAAGCTATAGTAAAAAGACTCCCAGCAAAGGAAAGCCCAGACCCAATGGGCTTCTCTGCTGAATTCTACCAAACATTTAAAGAAAAACTAGTATCAACTACTCAAAGTATTCAAAAAAATAGAAGAAGAGGGAATATTTCCTAACTCATTCTGTAAGGCCAGTATTACCCTGATACCAAAACCTGGCAAAGATACATCAAAACAAGAAATCTACAGGCCAATATCTCTGAAGAACATTGCAAAAATACCCAACAAAATACTAGCAAACTGAATTCAATAACACATTGCAAAGATCGTCCACCATGACCAACTAGGATTCATCCCAGAGATAGAAGGATGGTTCAATATATGCAAATCAATCAACATGCAAATCAATCAACATGATACGTCATATCAACAGAATGAAAGGCAAATCCATATGATCATCTCAATTGATGCTGAAAAAGCATTTGATAAAATTCCACATCCCTTCATGATAAAAACCCTCAAAAAACTGGGTACAGAAGAAACATACCTTAACACAATGAGAGGCATATATGGCAAACCCACAGCTAGTATTGTACTGAACACAGAAAAACTGAAAGCCTTTCCTCTAAGATCCGGAACAAGATAAGTATGCCCAGTTTCACCATTGTTATTCAACATAGTACTGGAAGTCCTTCTTAGAGCAATCAGACAGAAGAAAGAAATAAAAGGCAAGTAAATTGGAAAGGAAGAAGTCAAATTTAGATGTGTGCAGATATAATCTTATGTTTGGAAAAACCTAAACCCTCCATCAAAACACTGTTAGAACTGATAAATTCAGTAAAATCACAGGATACAAAATCAACATATAAAAACCAGCATCATTTCTATATGCCAACAGCTAATAATCTGAAAGAGAAATCAAGAAGGTAATTTCATTTATAAAAGCTACAAACAAAATAAAATATCTACTAATAAACTTAACCAAAGAAGTGAAAGTTCTCTACAGTGAAAACTATAAAACACTGATAAAATAAGTTGAAGATCACACAAAAACATTGAAAAATATTTCATGTTCATGGATTGGAAGAATCAATATTGTTAAAATGTCCATATCACCCAAAGCAATACATAGATTCAGTGCAATCCCTATCAAAATACCAATGATACTATTTGCAGAAATAGAAAACATAATCCTAAAATTTATGTGGAGCTACAGAAGACCCAAAATATCCAAAGCCACCCTGAGCAAAAAGAACAAAAGTGGAGGAATCACATTACCTAACTTTAAATTATTCTACAGAGCTACTGTAACCAAAGCAGTGTTGTACTGGCATAAACATGGACACGTAGACCAATGGAACAGAATAGAGAACACAGGAATAAATCTGTACATCTACGGTGAACTCATTTTCCACAAAGATCCCAAGAACATACACAGGGAAACAGACAGCCCCTTCAATAAACAGTGCTGGGGAAACTGGATATCCACATGCAGAAGAATGCAACTAGACCCCTATCTCTCACCATATACAAAAATCAAAACAAAATAAACTAAGGCAACCAAAGCAAAAATGGACAAATGGGATCACATCAAACTAAAAAGCTTCTGGTCAGCAAATGAAACAATCAATAAAGTGAAGAGACAACCCACAGAATGGGAGAAAATATTTGCAAACCATCCATCTGAAAAAGGATTAATAACCGGAATATATAAGGAGCTCAAGCAACTCTATAGGAAAAAAATCTAACAATCCAATTTAAAAATGGGCAAAAGATCTAAGCAGACATTTCTCAAAAGAAGACATACAAATGACAATTAGACACATAAAAATGTGCTCAACATCACTGATCATCAGAGAAATGCAAATCAAAACTGCAATGAGATATCATCTCACCCTAGTTAAAATGGCTTTTATCCAAAAGACAGGCAATAATGAAGCTGGCAGGGGTGTGGAGAAAGGAGAACCTTTATACAATGTTGGTGGGAATGTAAATTCGTACAGCCATTATGAAGAACAGTACGGAGGTTCCTCAGAAAACTAAAAATAGAACTACCATATGATCCACAAATTCCATGGCTAGGTATATAATCAAAAGAAAGGAAATCAGTATATTGAAGGGATACCTACATTCCCATGTTTATTTCAGCACTATTCACAATAACCAAGATTTGGAATCAACTTAAGTGTCCATCAACAGATGAACAGATAAAGAAAATATGGGAAATATACACAATGGGGTATTATTCATCAATAAAAAAACAATGAGATCCTGTCATTTGCAACAACATGGATGGAACTGGAGGACATTATGTTAAGCCAAATAAGCCAGGCACAGAAAGACAAACTTCATTTCTTCTCACTCATTTGTAAGAGCTAAAAATTAGAACAAATGAACTCATGGAGATAGAGAGTGAAATGATGGTTACCAGAGGCTGGGAAATGTAGTGGGAAGGTGGGCGGGGGGAGCAAATGGGAAGGTTGATGCATACAAAATATAGTTAGATAAAATAAATAAGATCTAGTATTTGATAGCACAACAGGGTGACTGCAGTTAGCAATAATCTGTTGTATGTTTTAGAATAACTAAGGGAGTACAACTGGAATGTTTGTAACACAAAGAAATAATGAATGTTTGAGGTGATGGATATTTCCTTTATCCTGATGTGATTATTACATGTTATAACCTGTATCAAAATATCTCAAGTACCTCATAAATATGTATGCCTACTATGTACCCATTAAAAACCAAAAATAAAAAAAAGAGAAACACTGACCTCCCCTGAAAAGAGAATTCTGGCAGCAGACTCCCTTCAGCATCAACTCTTCCTTCAGCCTGCCTGCCTACTCTGCAGATTGTGGACTTGGCAGCCTCCACGATCATATAAAAAAATTCCTTAAAATAAACTTCTTCCTCTAGATAGACAGGGGTGATGGATGGGTGGATGGATGGATAGATGGATGGATGGATGGATGGATGGATGGATGGATGGATGGATGGATGGATGGATGAATGAATGAATGGACAGATAAATTTGTTCTGTTTCTCTGGAGAACCCTAACTAATACAGGATACACTTCAGCAATTTAAAAGGATGGACCACAGAAACATACAAAGTTTTTTCTCTCAAAAACATTATGCTGAGTTAAAGAAGCGTACAAAAGGGAACTTATTGTATAATTCCATTGACAGCTGGCCCTCCACATCCATAGGTTCTGCATCTGCAAATTCAACCAACTGTAGATTGAAAATATTCAAAACTAGTACAGCCACTATGGAAAACAGTGTGGAGATTCCTTAAAGAACTAAAAGTAGAACTACTATTTGATCCAGCAATCCTACTACTGGGTATCTACCCAGAGGAAAAGAAGCCATTATTCAAAAAAGATACTTGCACATGCATGTTTATAGCAGCATGATTCACAATTGCAAAATCATAGAACCTACCCAAATCCCCATCAATGAATGAGTGGATAAAGAAACTGTGGCATATATGTATGACGGAATACTACTCAGCAATAAAAATGGATGGATGAACAGCATTTGCAGTGACCTGGATAAGGTTAGAGACTACCATTCTAAGAGAAATAACTCAGGAATGGGAAACATTCACTGATATGTGGGAGCTAAGCTATGAGGACACAAAGGCATAAGAATGATACAATGGACTTTGGGGACTTGGGAATAGTGGGAGGGGGATGAGGGATAAAAGACTACGAATAAGACGCAGTGTATACTGCTCCAGTGATGGTGCACCAAAATCTCACAAATCACCACTAAAGAACTTACTCATGTACCCAAATTCCACCTGTACCCCAATAACTTATGGAAAAATAAAAATAATAAAAAGAAAATATTCAAAAAGTGCTTAAAATAAAAATAACAATACAACAATAAAAAGTAATGCAAATTTCAAAATACAATATAACAACTATTTACATAGCTTTTTTTGTGTTAGGTATTATAAGTAATCTAGAGACGATTTTAAGTATAGGAAAGGATATGCACAGGCTGTGTGCAAATACTACTCTATTTTGCATAAGGGACTTGAACATTCACAGATTTTGGTATTCTTGGGGTGGAAGAGGGCGAATGGAGTTGGAGCCAGTCCCCCCAGATACCAGGGAACACCTGTATATAAAACTAGGAAAGACACAACTCATCTTTACTGATAGAAAGCGGATCAATGGTCATCTGTGGATGGAGGTAGGAGGCATCATTCACCAGGAATGGGCATAAGAAAACTTTTCAGAGTAAAGTAATAATAATGTTCTACATCTTGCCTATGGTAGTGGTTACAAAAGTGTATACATTTGTCAAAACTAATCAAACTGTACACTTTAAATTCATGGACTTTATTATATTTAAATAATACCTAAAAACAGAGAGGAAAAAATACACCAGTGCATTAAGATTAGATTTGACTACAGGCAATAGAAAATAGAAAAATAGTAAGTGGGACAATGTGGAGAAGTTTTTCTTTCATATGTAAAAAGTGCAGAGTCCAAAGGTGTTGCAGGAACTCCACAGTTGTCCAAAACCTGGCTTTCCACTCCACCATCCCTAGATGAAGGATGTATCCTCACGGCCCAAGGAGCTCCAGCCATCACAGCTGCCTTTCAAGCAGCTAGATGGAGGAAGGGTGGAGACAGGGTCCAAAGGCAGGGTCAGATGTCTTATATTAAAGGTGCGCCAAGGTTTCACCACCACTTCCACTTATATCCTATCAGCCATCTCTTACTTGCATAGCCCCATCCAGCTAAAGAGTGAAGCTGTAAAATATAAGTGTTTTGTTTTGTTTTGTTTTGTTTTTAGCCATGGCATACTGGCCATATGCATGGCTAAAAAATGAAGATTTTAACAAAAAGAGAAACAAATTTCAGTATCAGGGGACAACTGCAATAATCACTGACTTAAACAGGGAACTCTTTAGAACAGGAATTCATAGTATCCTGAGACTCAGTTACAGAGCTTGGCAGATAATAAATGATCAATAAATTTACAGTGAATGACTGAATGAACTAACTGCATCTACGAGGGCAGCGAGGGTGTCTTCTTTCTCCCAAAAATTCAGCACAGAGGGTAAGAACTCCCTGGACACTTGGTTGGTTAATTTACAAGCTATTGTTTCCCAGTAGATGAGTTCCATTTATTTTATGTTCTTCATCATCTCTGAAATTTGTTTTCTTGTCCTCATATTGTTTCCTTCTCCAAAGCCATTTTAAAATAATTGCTCACATTTCTGATACTTTTATCCAGTGACATTCAGCCCAGGAAACACAACTTTAACATGGCCTTTCTTTGGGAGCTTATCCTTGCCACATTATCTTGTATTTCATATTAGGTTTGAATTCCTAAGAGTGTCAAATTAGTGTTCCTGGTAGGAATAGAATAGAATCACATGAAATAGAAGCCTATATTTGGTAGAATAATTCTATTATCTGACAAGTACAAACAGTACACCACATTTGGTTGATACTTTAGGAAAAAATTAATCAGTGCGAGTAAAATAGACTATTATTTTTATTTAATTATATTATTCTGTTTACAATTCCAGTGAGAACAGTGACTAATGCCAAACTGCAATTGTATTGATTGGCCCAAGTGATGATAAATTACATTTAATTTTAAATTTGGTTACCTGAAATTTTCCTTACTGCAAGCAAAATTAGTTTATTTTGGCAATACACAATATAACTGGGCATGTGAGTATAATGAATAATAATGAATTCTCAAAACAGTCAAATGAAGATAACTATATATAGCGTCATCAATTCATTTATAAGACATAGAGCTAGATGAGACTTGGAGACCAATCCCCAAGGACCTAATTTACCTCTTTATTTTAGAGAGGAAACATCTGAGACTGAGACAGCTTACACATCTGGTTAGTGGCCAGTTCATATTTTAGTCCGCTTCTTTATGTTGCAAAGAACAACCTCTCACTTGGACAAGCTTAAGAAACAGGGTTATCAATGGAACATGTGTCATGATGGAAGAAACTGTCACATGTCTGGACCTCAGAGACACAGCACTGAAGAGGGGCTGGGACCAGAGAGAGCCAAGAACTCTAGCAGCAGGAGTTCCTGGAACTTTAGTATCCCAGCAGTATACATTATTCTCAGTGTCTGCTTCTCTTTGCCTAATGCCAAATTCTCACCTCTCCTCTGTTTGTCTTACAGCCTTTTAGCCTTTGCTAACTGGTAATTTGTGCTTTCACATAAATTAGGCTTGTTGGGACTCTAGTAATCTCTCTTCACTTTCAATACACATTATGGACATTTTTCTTCTATTTTTAAATTTAATTCTCCCCCCGCAAAAAAAAAAAAAAAAAAAAAAAGTCTGGCTTGCCCAACTCATCTCTTTATATCAAATAATGTTCTGTGTCCTTGGCTCTCAAACATCCTTGGACAAGTTGCCCAGTGCTAACCCAATAAGCTGTGGCCAGGAGAAGGTTGATTCTCATGTACTCCCAACGGTGACCACCCATAACTGTTTTTGAATAGAGGTGTGGCCATGGCAGTGTCCCTTTAGAGAAGACTACGGGGCAGTTCAGGAGTTATTATTGTCATGACTAGTGAACAGAACAAGGGAAAGAACCCACAAAACCCAGTTCTCCTTCCACTATACCACAGAGGGTCCTCTAGTGCTTGAACAGATACAAATGTTCTGATTTTAAACCCTTGCCAGATATAATTTATGACCATTAAAGATAAGCAAACTACTTGTAAGACAGCAGGCATCTCTAACAAGCACAGAGAAAGGGACAAGTAACATTGGGCCTGTTAAGGATAAGAAGTGGACAATCTCCATGGGGTAAGTCTTGTTAAGGCTGGTTGCTAAAATATTTAGTCATTCTGTACCAGCCAGTAAATAGCAGAAGTTACTGACCCTATAATTCTTAATGTCATTACTCTTATCCAGTGACAGCCACAGTGGATTAATTGGGCCTAGAAGTAGGACTAGTAGACTGAGATATCAATAGAGAGGTAGCAGGAAGGATAATACAATGCCGTTCTGCAACCTATAGCTGCCCAGCACTGACTAGGGTAACAAGCAGACATCAAGGTTGGTGGCACTGCTGACAGCATTGCTTGGGGGCGGAAGGGCTGATATCACCCATATGAGAATCATTGGCATCCACATATTACCTGCCTACCTAATGAGTTTCAATTTATTAGGTTGGTGCAAAAGTAATTTGCCATTACTTCTAATGGCAAAAGCCACAATTACTTTTGCACCAACCTAATAATTGGGGAAGTTGTTGGAAGGGTTCAATGTCACTTCCTCTTTTAAATCATGGCCTAGATTCGGGCACTATTTAGCAAGGGAAGATGCATGCAACAAAAAAAATCACACCAATAATATCTAAAAATCAACAAAATTTTAGAACTCATTAGGAAGATTCATGAACAATTTGTGCTACTAAATAAATAATTTCCTTAGAGGATAAAAGAAATGTGTTTTTAATTATTGACATCTGTTGATTTATAATTAATTAATGGGAGGTATATCTCAAAGCACTTATCTTTTTATGTTAATATACCCTTCTAGAAAATATAAAACATTAACAAGGTGCAACTTTTATACATTTCCTGAATGTGTGAATAGTTCCAGAAAAAGTCCTAGGATTAACTTTTATTCAATCAGCTTGCATCACATATTCATCCCTGAACCAATCACTCTGCTCTAAGGAGTGGCTATGTTGATTGGTTGGGCCTGAGTCATTTGACCACTCCAGAGCCAATGGATGAAGTCACTTCAGTAGAACCATAGACTGAGATAATAGCAAAGGCATTTTTTTCCAAAGTATATTAGAATAGAAAATGGTTGTTGAGCAAGAGATACACAACATAACTTTGCAAAAAAAAAAAAAAGCCTTTATTTATGTTGCAAGGAATGGGCATTTATCTGGCAATAGACCCATGTCATTGGTTTGTGACTACAGATGCCCTTAATGTTTAAAGCTGGAATCCATATATATATATGTATCTGCACATTCACTACAAAATTCTTATCAATTACTACATAAATACATAAAATTCACAAACTGGAAAGACCTCAAGTTCATTTGTTCCAAATCTCATGTCTTGCAATTAAGAAAGCTAATACACAGAGAGTCTGACTCATCAAAGTCACATACATCATGACATGATAGAAATCCAGCTTCCTCCTTGCCTCTGAGTGAGTTAAATGGCATTACTGTGAACTCAAATGACTGTAATACAATGATGAGAACAGCAAGTGCCATTAGAAGGTACAAATAAAGTCCTCCGAGAATTCAAATATAGTAATCATCTTTGGCAAAGAGGCAGGCCATGCATTTCATCTAGATAGCTCAAACTTACACCGATGGATGTGCAAACCTATTTTTTATATCATTTTATGTAAATTTTTGAAAACTATATTAAATTCTTCCTTGCCTTTTTAAAATAGCAACCACTGAACATAATTTGGTCTTTTTGATAACTACACTATCATTATGAATCACTAGCACTGCATTATTATATGAAATACATGCAGTTCTGAATCTGTTTTTTAATTTTCTGCTTCCTCCTTCCTTATCTATGAACTGTTACTTCATAGCTGCCAGTTTGCTTGCTTCTAACATTTTCTCTGACTTCCTAATGTGTTACTTTTAATCTACTTTGAGCTGGGAAACCAAGAAACCCACAATTATTATGACCTCTGTTAAATAAAAATAAACAATTTCTAAGTGAGAGCATATAAGCCTGTAAGAAGGAAAGTCCATGGCTTTAGTCTGGGGACACAGGAGCTATTTTGAGTACCACACGGCCTTTTCTGCTTATTTCTGAGTTTGCATTCCAGGGAACAGAGGGTGCTGGGAGCCTGACCTCTGGTCAAGTAGGACATTACCATATATAAACATGATGGAGATTTACTAACAAGGGGTTTTACAAAGGATACCAGATTACTGAGATTACTGCCATGCCAGGTCAGTGCGGATGGTGTGGCAACCAGCTCATGCAGAAACACCCTCCAGACACACTCTAGGAAAGCTCCTAGAATATTGCTCATGGTTTAAACTTCTTTAGCTGTGGGCCTACAGCTGCTTTATCCCAGTTTCTGTTGGCAAGAACGTAACCCTAAGTCCTGGTTCCCTAAAGTGCTGAGTCACTCTGACAGTTTCTGAGGTTAAAATAAGGCATCCCTTCCCACCAGGAAGATCGTCAAAAATGTCTGCAAACCCATATCATTGTTGTAAGCTCACAAGTCTTCAGGTCAGACGAAAATTTTCAGCTCATCTTACCCAAAAGTGAGATTGTTGTTTAAACTCAGTATTCCTGGGCTTCATGAAAGAATGGAATCACAGCAAAAAATATAACACATTTCACTGGCTCTGGACTCTAACAGAAGGTTCAAAACCTTTGGCACCCTATAAAATTCCCTATCAATTATTTGTGGAGACCTCCAAGAGGTGCCTCAGAAATATGAATACTCCTATGGGGTGCCACAGTCTCTAACAAGCCATGATACTATTCTTCTGTTTTTCTCCAAGAACTAAACTTGACAACTGACACCCCATTGTTCAAGTAAGTATCATCCCCAGGTACTCAAGTGTTCACAGGATCCCTCAGCTCTGTGATCAGGGTACTTAGAAATGTGTGCCTGTTCCCACCCCACTCCTGCCCCACTATGGTAGAGACATCTCTAACACAAAGCTGTGCTATTTGTGTCCCAATGATTTACAAAGCTTCCAGGTCAACAGGTCTCTCTTATAGATGCTCAGATCTATATAGGATTCACCTATGGTTCAGGAGTAAGGATGCCTGAAACAAAAGTTAAAGCTGAGAGTCAGTTACTGTGTTCTATTTTAAAATAATTTCTTAATCATTTAATATATTGGTTCAGGTATCTTTTATTTTCAGGGTAAGTGCCTTCCAAGTACAATCCTAAGACCCTATGCCAAAAGGTTTCTGGTGAACTTGCCCCACTAATTTCTAATATATTCCCCAAAATGTCTCAGAATTCAGTTGTGGTGGTTGGAAGGGGACAATGTATATGAATTGAAATTCTGACAATCAATAATCTTCCCCCTCTCTTACTCTTCACCACCTAAGGTATCTACATTTTAAATTTAAATTTCATTCCTTCCTTTATTTACGTCAATTAAATAAGTGATCATTATATTCAAGCAGCTTGACTTTTAAAAGACTTCCTTGATGAACTGATTTATAAAGAGACTAATTGCTCTTTAATAATTACTACAGGACTTGTAGGACTCTTCACTCCCTACTTTATTTCATGTGCAACTATTTTATGATTCATTTTCTAAAATGATCAGCCTCATGTATATGGTCCCCACTGCATCTTTGAATCCCAAGTAGGCAAAAATAGCTATGCATATGATAAAAGAAAGATTTGTACCCTGGAGAAATGTATAAAAATTGTACACTGTAATTGTTTCATGTTTTCTAGAAGAGTACATTCCTATGAAAAAGATAAGTTCATTCGGATATAGTCCCCATTAATTTTCATGTTTTTCAAGCAGATACCATCATTTTCCCTGTTCCGGCATCCCTCCAGGAAGCTGCAAGGACTAGGTTAATAAAATAGCTGTGTCAAATGGTTAGCTACCAGGATATCTCAGGGACTGAAATTCCTTTATAACAAAGTTGGAAATACATTGCAGATACCCTCAGAATTTTGGCAACAGGACAGTCAAATAACAGAGGGTTTGGGGGAATATGGAAAAGGATATCTTCTCAGCCTGGATATGTAGCAAAGCCACACAGGTCTGACAGAGAACATAGAGCCCAATCCATTTGCTATTGAGTCCCTTGACACCCTTCCATTTTGGAGAAGAAGTTGAGGGCCTGGAATAACTGAGCAAAGGCTGCACATACACTTGCATGGCATCCCAAGTGTAGCCTCATGTACACATACATGCTCACACTCATAGCATTTTACCATAATATTACCATTATATGCTTTCACGCATATGAATCTAAATGAGCGTGTTTCACTTGAAAAGACAGAGACATTGGCCTTCTCCCTCTGTTTCTTTTCTTCCTCTACCTTCCCTTCCACATGCTCTTTTGACTCACTCTTCCTCTTCCTTCCCTACTTTTCCCTTCCCTGTCCCTTGCTTTCCCTTCAGGCATGCCTCCCATTTCCCCTTCTTCCACATTCCCTTATCACCGTCTCCCTCTTTAGCTTCTTAGGGGCCTGTAAAGGCAACATCCTGAATATGTGGAAACAGTCTCTGGGCATCTTACATTCATTCTATGGCTAATAAAAATTTATCTTGAAACTTAGGATGGTGTTGGAATAGCAGTATTATCACCTTGAGTCAAAGGTAGAACATGGAGAAGAAATTAGGTGTCCTGGCTCCCCCAGGGCCTCCCAGTCTCCCCCAGACACTAGCTCACCTGCCTCCCTTAAGCTGTGCATCTCAAGCTTTCCCCAACCCAAAGGTAATTGCCTTCCCTGTGGACAGCATGGAGCCTCGGGAAGTGTTGCATTTTACAGTCCAAGTTATACCTGGTTCCGGAGCCAGGCTATGATTTCACACATTTCCATTATTGCTTTATCCCTGAGTCAACACAACATCTTTTTCATCACCTCTTGCTGTTTTAATCAGCATTTCAAGGAAGAGAGAGATGTATAGAGGGCTCCATTTGGAGAAAAGGTAATTTAGCTCAGTGTTGCCTGGGGTCAGGTGAGCCTAAAATGTTCATTTATCACCCGCATAAACTACTGAGATTATTCCACTGAAATATCTATCTGAATGTTTGAAAAATCTGTTAAGAATGAATCCTTGAACATCTGAACTCTGCGCCACTTCTCACATACACAAAAGGAATGCAAGATTTTTTTCTAAAGAATGCCGTTTTTGTTTCAGTTTTTTAGTCATTGTACTGCATGTTCTTTTATAGATCATTCTTATTTCTCTTCTGAGAATAGGAAAATGGGAGACACTTTAAGGGATTTTTTTCAATTAAAATGAGTTGGAGAAACTAAGAAATGTAACACTTCATTAGCAAGCATTTAATTCCCTAGCTTTTTATTTTTAAGGAAATTAAAAAACCGTATGCTCTCTGGTACCATTTGTGTTTTTCAACTGCAGTATACATTATAACATAGAACAGGGAATTTTTTGATAAATATGAGGTATTAACAAAAGACTCCAACCAGAATTACTAACTGTGATTTCTGTCATTTAATGCCAATGAGTGTAAGTTGTTGTTTTTGCTTGAGGAAGCAAAAAGAATGATTAAAAAGCATATATTAGAAACTGCACACACTATGGATGTAATGCTTTAGTGTGCTGGCTTGAAATGGTGGATATCAACTATTCTTCTGTGGTACTTCTAGTAAATAAAAATTTACAATAATGTTTATAATAATGCCCTCTATATTATGAAAGTTTACCCATTCATGAAACATTTTGCTTTAAAATGGCATTTTAAAGATTATAATATGATGCAGTAAATTCTAATGCATTCAAAATGGCAGGAGATAATTTTTTGATTAGTTGAGTGATTTCATACCTATTATATACATACTAGAAAATTTTATACAATTCAATTCCAGTCAAAATACATTTTACTCTATGAAACAACATTTAATCCTTTTATGATGATGCTTCAAAATTCATTTGAAGGTCTGGTAGTATGTCGGTTATTGCTACACACAGCCATTCCCATTGTACAATATATGTGTTTACATTCTACCTACTGGGCATTAACGAAGTATGAACTGTTTGAATTTTGCATTAAGGAAAATTTAACACGAATTCAAATTCAACACAACTGAAAAAGCTGTCTTCGGCCTTTCAGACATCAAACCATTGTTGCAACATAAGGCATGTAAGAAACATCTCCACAAGAAGAACAAAAGCTAAATGTCAAAGACTAATATATTATCCTGGAACTAAATTAATATTGCCACATTCTCTTCTAAAGAGAACAATACAATCCCTATCCTTTTTTTTTTTTTTTTTTTTTTTTTTTTTTTGCTTCCTTTTCTTTCTTCTGGTCCTCAGAAGAGGACCAAAATTCTAGTATATTCTGTCTGCATTTTAATCTTTGAATGTGGCATGTCAACTTTATATATGGTATGATATTCACACATATATGCACATAAAATCACTGTATGTGAACCAGCAAAACTCCTAAACAAAGTAAGCCACTTACACCTGATTTCAAAGCCTTCCTAATCTGGTTCATTGAGACCTCTTTCTTTCCTTTTTTTTTTTTTTTTGTTCTTGAGACGGAGTCTCGCTCTGTCACCCAGGCTGGAGTGCAGTGGTGCGATCTCTGCTCACTGCAAGCCCCGCCTCCCAGGTCCCAGGTTCATGCCATTCTCCTGCCTCAGCCTCCCGAGTAGCTGGGATTACAGGCGCCTGGCACCACGCCCGGCTAATTTTTTGTATTTCAAGTGAGGCTTTCAAAATTACTTTTAATTAAAAAAAAAAAAAAAAAAAAAACAGAGCTCCTTTCCAGGTCTCATTAGTCACAGTTCAACTTTTTGTTTTCTTGTTTTCCTCTTTTCCTTCTTTCTTTTCTTCTTTTCTTTAATTGCCAGGAGAATTTCTACTTTCTATTGACTCAGTCAAAGTCCAGGACCACTGCTAAAGGTTTTAAAATACACATCTAAAAACAGTCACAGGTACCTTATTCAATGTTTCCTGCCTTTATTTCCTTTAAATAAAATAGTTTCCATTTTACAAGTCTAAGCAAATATAATGAGCAATTTGTAAGAAAGGGGTGACAATTTAGAAGCAAAGTATATGCATTTTACATGCTGACTACAAAAAAAGATGGAAATTTAGTCAGAGCTCTTTATCTGCCACTTACTATTCTTAGAATAATGGCTGATAATGATAGAAATCACACTGCCTAACGGCACTATTAACATCTTCCATGTTAGCTCACACTCTATATATGAGGTCTTTTTGTAAATTTGTTAAGTTCTATATGGGTTTTCTATGCAAAAAGAAAGAAAGAAAGAAAAGAAAAAAACAACACGACAATTTGGGGGTTAAATTTATGAGCCACAAACATTCACCAGCTTGCAAATTGCCCTTCATCTTTAGTCTTCTTTTGTTAAAACTAGAAGATCTTGACTTAGTATTCAATTTTTTTACCTAATCTATGAAATTTCTTATGAACCTAGAAAGTCATTAAGCAGTACAATAATCATCAGATGTATTTATCTTTCTAAGCCAATGTGAGGACAAGAAACAGGATGACAGTGATACATATGTCCTTTTAGAGGCGCAATTTCGTAGACTCTGGGTATTAGTCATTCAGCATTGATGTGAATACATGTGCATTTTTATTAAAGATACAAGATATCATGAACAAAATGTCTTAAGTGAAAAGTGGGTTTTTTTTTGGTTGGGGGTAATTTTTGGAAGGACACAATTTATAGAAAGAACACCAATTGAAAAATTGAATCTACAATTAGTTACATAGCTGTTTTCCCTGACGAATATTTGTACCATTTATTTTGGCCAGTTTCTGATTTTTTTATGATGAATCATGGGCCTTTGCAGAAAAAAAAATGCTGAGGTCTCTTGGCCAAGATGATTACAGCTGGAAAGAATGGATTCATTTCTTGAAGATGAAGAAGTTAAAACACAGTTGTCATAACTTGAATTTCAAAAAGGATCTGCTGCCTAAGAGATATGGCATTTTTTGTTTGCTGCAGTTAAATGGTAAACACAAATAATTTGTAGTAGTGGTTCTCAATTTATTGTTTATAAACCATTCTTAATTTAAATCAACAGAATAAGTTCCAACAATGCATTCGTAACTGAGTTCTTGGGAGCTCAGACATATTTTACTGTAGACAAAATGTTATGAAGGTTGTTGAGGCAGCTAAACAAGACCACAAAACTGATTTCATATTGTCCATCACTTTGACATATGTTTATCAAGCACCAATCAGGCACAATCTAATAAACAGGATGTTAATATAATAGATAAGGCCCCTCACCGCAAGAAGCATAGAATTTATAACAAGAATATCCAGGCTTTTCAACAGTCATCTATATGAATGACCAAACAAAAAACAAAAGTTCTGGGAAGATAATTCAAACTGAAGAAAAAGAAAGTCTCTAAACATGTACAATTAAGTATATTGATTATTTGTAATAATCTTCTGTCATTATAAAAATTGATCTAAGCTTGTTTGCATGACACCCACATAGTAGTGAAACAAGTAGAGCTGCAGGCAGATATTTAGGTGCTGTGGGTTTTCCAAGGTTTGTGTTGTCTTAGTTATTGGAGCACGTATATTTCAAAGAAGCTGAAATGTCAGCCTGCCAGGCTGCCCCTGGCCTGCAGAGGAATCAGGGAACAGTGGGAGAAGAAGGGTTTTAGTTAAAGCTACCCATTCCTGACAATATTGGGGTTGCAAGGTAGTTGTGTTTTATGCAATGGATTCATGAATTCCTGAAAGTGTCCCTCATAATTCAAATTGGCATTATTCAAGATTAATTTTCCTAATGGAATAAGTGAAAACTATAGGGAATGCATCTGGCCTGCATAAATCTACATAAATACACAATATTTAGAGTGTATTTTTGCTTAATGTTGCTTTGTTTTCTCAACATTGCCTCTGATATTTTACGGAGTGCTGTCTCCTAAATTGTCACAGCAGTAGTCTGGCCTTCTATGTAGTGTTTTATGACATCTAACTTTGGTTCCAAAGTTATTGACTTTCAGGTGAATTGTCTAGCACTAGTTCTAGCTTCACCACTTAGTGCATGCTCATGATATTGCTAGAGGATATTTTTTAAAATTTCAAAGTATGGTAATTATGAAGCTAAAAGAACAGTAAGATACTGACTAGACCCCTCCCCCTAAGCAGTGCCCATCTATGTGAGACTCTGATTGGCAGCCATTTTTGTTTACCAGCTATAGGAACAGAAATCGTATAGTTTGCAATTCGCTGGGCCTGCAAGCAATGAAATTGTACAAGTCCGGATTCTGTTGTTTTTTGGTTTGGGTTTTAATTTGGAGCATAGGAAAAAAAACTACTGATCTCTATTTCCAGCATAAATACAGACCATGAAAGCAGGGCTTCAGGTGCCTTTTGGTTGTAAGAAAGAGGTGGCAGAAAAGTTTCTACAGGGATGTCACTTGATTTCCAATTTGACATGGCAGTAAGATTTCATTAATTTTTTTAAGTCAGAACATTTTAAATTGTATCATAATTCAAATTCCAGGAGTCCTCACAGAGCAAGTACCCTATTCTAATCCCCATGGTATGGCCTGAGAAATGTGGGTTACACATTTGACTTCCTATGGGGAAAGGGTTGGTCAGAAGAAGAAAAATGTTTGGGCTCTGAAGTCTGATGCGGTTTCAGCAAATGCTCTCACCCAGGCCTCTGCCCAGTGGGCTAAAGCTGAGGCTGACTTACTACTGCAAGTCCAACGTGCCCAGAAACTTGGATCATATAAGGAAGTTAATGGGAACATCAGTCAACTGGATGATAAACATATACATTCAGCACCACCAGGTATAGTCTTTAAGAAGAAAGGTTTAAGAATCTCTTTACATAGGACCAGTTTAGCTTTCTTTGGAGAAAGTGCAATGTTCAAATTAGTATAATAAAAACATTGAATAAAGAGTATTTATAAAAATTATGAAAGTTTTGCAAAGGTGATTTCTAAAAAGAGGTATCCCTAGCAAGTACAGATTTATGACCTAAACTTTTTCTTTGTGTCTTGATTGTGACTGGTGCTCTTTTTTTATCTCTGTTTCTATTTTCAGTAAGTCTTAAATGCTTACCATTATGATACTGCACTCTTTTTCTAAGCTTTATCTTCTATCTACTTGTGAAGTGGACAAACACACATTTCTTGACTTTGTATATGTAATCCCAGTGACATTTGTTAAAATGTTGTTCATAATTCCCTCTACTTAAACTTGATGCTTTTATTAACGTCTCTTGGAATTCTTCAGGGGCCTTACTGCTACGAAAACCTATGCAGAAACTTTGATGTGCCACTGTACCAAGACCCAGAGATTTTTTCTTGTTAAATGTTTTGCAGCATGTGGCTACAGACAGAGCATTCCTTTTGAATTTAGTTTCTAGGATCATTACCTAACATCTCTATTTATAGTGAATTGCATATACAACTTATTTACATATGCGCTTTCTGGTCAGCCAGTTCCCTCAGTTTTATTGCGTCCTTTATGCCTAGCGTGCCCCACCACCATTTTATAATATGCAATTTGTACGTTTTATCACATCAATTCATGTTTCATTTTACAAGCAACTGCTCTATTTATATATTTTAATAATCTTTAATGCTTCTTGTGAGGTTCTACAAGATGCTTTGATAAAGCACAAATTAAAATTTTAGCTGAATTTTTTTATCTCTTCAATATTTTCTATTTTGGCAAAAAAAATACAAAAATGTCTTCTGAAATGTGTTATCTTTGGGGCCTGTGACTCTTTTAACCCCTTTTAATGATGAGAGCATTTTTGGTAAATAACTCTCTTGGATTTTTGTCCAAGACACAGTGCTTTATATAGAATTTGCCACTGGCAAAAAGAATAACCATTGTATTTGGAACATGGCATTTATTATCTAAGTATGTTGGGAATCCCAAGAAAATAAATTCCATAATCATTTGTAACATTTTTGTGTAAAATTTTCTTACAAGATTATTGGTATTCAATTTTTCTTCTGTATTTTAAAATAGTTATAAATTATGTTTTGCCATTTTCCTGGTTTCAATCAAGTATAATTCCATAATGATATTGATTTCTGAGACTTACCATCCTGACATTCTAAACCAGGCCACAAAAACAAAATTACAGATTTTCCCATTTCTAATTTTCATTGTTCTTTTGTCCTCATTTTATTTCATGATTACATTCCTATGTTCTATAATTAAAAGGTAACACTGGGAGATCCTCATTAGACTGTGGACTCCTAGAGGGAAGAGACTCTTGTCTTATTTGTCTTTGTAACTCTGGTATGCTTTTGGAAAATAGTCCTGCTACTAATATATAACATATTTGTCAAATTGGCTTTCGAATGCATTAATATTTTTCTGCAACAGTTTTAGTGCATTTCTAATTTTCTGTCAAATTCATTGCTACCTGCAGGTTCTTCTAATTCTGATCTCCTGTCACATTCTCCATTGTAAAAATCAAATATATTTTGCTATTTTAATTAAACTTTATTATGTGATATATGCTTAAAGTGGAAAAATTAGAAAATACAAAATCAAAATGTCCCTGAAATCCTCACCCAGAGCTAGTCATGATTAATATTTTAGTGAATATAACGCAAGTCTCTTCCTTTTGGGTACAAATACAACAATATATGTTAGCATTATTTTCAAAAATTGGGAGCATATTACGTATTCCATTTTGAAACATCAACAAACACACAACTATAGCATCACTTTTAGTAATGGCATTTTGTTCCACTATAACTATTCATATGATTTATTTTTTTTTAATGTTGTATACTGGCAGCCCATGTCTCAGAGCCCACAAATGCATCTGGTTTTTCCTACACATAATTTTAAAACTTGACAAATTACCTTACAAAAAATGGGCTTGCAGTATCTTTCGATGAATCAAAAACTCTAGCAACATCTCCAGGTAGCAATCACCTGCTAGACCTGCCTGCACAGTTTGCCTCACCTCCTACTTGCCACCATCTCTTTTGTCCCACACGCAGCCTACTTAACTAATTTCGATTACCTTTCATTTGATTCATTACCTTTGGTTAAATAATTCCCTGTTTTGGAGAATTTTTCACTATTACAAAAGCCTTATGATGAATAGCCATTTGTATACATTTATCTTTGCATGTTCTTCTGATTTGTTTTTCTCCTTACAATAAGTTCTTAGGAGTGTCATTGGAGGTTCAAACAGTATTTTAAGTCTTTTGATTCATATCATAAGATTTCTATCCAAATGCGTTAATATTTGTATGCTCCTCCCATCAGAGCCTGTGAGCATTTATTGGCACCTGCTAGCCCTCCTCCCTCTTGTCCTTGTGAGCTGTGCTAATTCAACTTATGTTTTATTGATCTAGAAAAAATGTTTTAAGTGATAATACTCATTGTTGGCAAGTGTGTGGCAGAGACAGAATATACTACGCTTGCATAAGTCAGTACTTCTCTGGCAGATTGCGTGCATTATACGTATTTACATGCCTCACCTCCATTAGATTATATTTTCCAAAACATTGTTAGGGGTAGAATTTTCAGCCCATTCATTTTTTATTAATAATAACACAAAACTATGCCACAAATTTTGTGCCTGCACTTCTGTTTCATTAATCTTTTCATATAACTGAGAAAAGTTAATGAAAAAGGATAAGCTGAGCATATTTTACCATTTTAATCCCTTAACTTAAATCATATTGTGAAGGAAAATGTCACCAAAAACCTCTTCAACTGTTTATCTAAAAATCCAGTTTACACATTTTTGTCCTTTGAGGGAATAATTACTAATTCTGCGGGTTGCGCTGATGTCTACATATCCTAAGCTATTGAAATAGCCTGGCAATAGGAGAGAAGCTAGTGAAGGAAAAGGGTTGTAACCATTAGATTCTGACGTCTTAATATAATTTATGGGAAGCCCATAATTAAGTCCAATTCTGAATTGTCGCTTCTTTTTTTTGTCAAATTTTATTGTAGATTTGGGGGTACATGTGCACATTTGCTACGTGGGTAAATTGCACGTTGCAAAGATTTGGTGTGCAAATTATTTCATCATCCACCTACTGGGCATAGTACCCAGTAATAGATAGTTTTTCAACCCTCAACCTCCTACCACCCTCCCCTGTCAAAGAGGCCCCGGTGTCCACTGTTGCCATGTATACGTAATGTTAAGCTCCCACTTATAAGTGAGAACATGTGGTATTTGGTTTTCTGTTTCTACATTAATTCCCTTGAGTTAATGGTCTCCAGCTGCATCCACGTTGCTGCAAAGAACAAAATGTCATCCTTTTTATGGCTGCATAGTATTCCATTGTGTATACGTACCATATTTTCTTTATCCAGTCTGCTGTTGATGGGCACCTATATTGATTCCATGTCTTTGTTATTATGAATAGGGGTGTGATAAACATGCAAATGCATGTGACTTTCTGGTAGAATAATTTGTTTTCTTTTTAATATTTACCCAGTAATGAGTTTGCTGGGACAAATGGTAGTTCTGTTTTTCCTTTGAGAAATTTCCAAACTGCTTTCCACAGTGGCTGAACTAATTTACACCCTCACTAACAGCGTATAAGGAGTCCCTTTTTTCTGGAACCTCGCCAGCATCTGTTGTTTTTTGAATTTTTAATAATAACAGTTCTGACTGGTGTGAGGTGGTATCTCACGGTGGTTTTGATTGCATTTCTTTCATGATTAGTGATGTTGAGCATTTTTTTTTTTTTTTTTGAGATGGAGTCTCACTCTGTCACAGGCTGGAGTGCAGTGGTACAGTCTCAGCTCACTGCAACCTCCGTCTCCCAGGTTCAAGCAATTCTCCTGCCTCAGCCTCCTGAATAGCTGGGACTACAGGTGTGCACCATCATGCCCAGCTAATTTTTGTATTTTTAGCAGAGATGGGGTTTCACCATATTGGCCAGGATGGTCTCAATCTCTTGACCTCATGATCTTCCCACCTCAGCCTCCCAAAGTGCTGGGATTACAGGTGTGAGCCACCATGCCAGGCCTGAGCCACCAACCCCAGCCGAGCATTCTTTTATGTGGTTGTTGGCCACATATGTGTCTTCTTTTGAGAATTGTCTGCTCATGTTCTTTGCCCGTTTTTTAATGGGCTGTTTGGGGTTTTTGGCTTTTTGATTTGTTTAGATTTCTTATAGATTCTGCATATTAGAACTTGTCAGATGCAGAATTTGCAAATATTTTCTCCCATTCTGTAGGTTGTCTGTTTACTCTGTTGTTAGTTTCCCTTGCTGCACAGTATGCTTTAGTTTTAGGTTTCTAAATAGACAAACAATTTAGGTTTCTAAATAGACAAATAATTAATTTGTCTAGTTTTGTTTTTGTTGGCAATTGCTTCTGAAGACTTCTTGTCATGAAGTATTTGTCAAGGCCTGTGTCCAAAATGGTATTTCCTAGGTTGTTTTCTAGGGCTTTTATAGTTTTAAGTCTTAGATTTAAGTCTTTAACCCACTACTAGCTGATTTTTGTATATGGTGAAAGGAAGGGGCCCAGTTTCAATCTTCTGCATATGCCTAGCCAGTTATCTCAGAACCATTTATTGAATAGCATGTTATTTCCCCACTGCTTATTATGAATTTTCTCAAAGATCAGATGGTTGTAGGTATGTGGCTTTATTTCTGGGTCCTCTAACCTGTTCCATTGGTCTATGTGTCTGTTTTTTGTACCAGTACCATGCTGTTTTAGTTACTGTAGCCTTGTAGTATAGTTTGAGGTGAGGTAGTGTGATTCCTCTGGTGTTGTTCTGTTTGGTTAGATTGCTTTGGCTACTTGGCTCTTTTTTGGTTTGATATGAATTTTAGAATTTTTTTTCTAATTCTGTGAAAAATGACATTGGTAGTTTTTTAGGAATAGTATAGAATTTGCAAATTGCTTTGGGCAGAATGGCCTTATAACAATATTGATTCTTCCTATCCATGAGCATGAAATGCTTTTCCATTTGTTTGTGTCATCTCTACTTTCTTTCAGCAGTGTTTTATAATTCGTGCCATGGAGATCTTTCACCTACCTATTTAGCTCTATTCCCAGATATTTTATTCTTTTTGTGGCTGCTAAATTGTCACTTCCGAGGGACTAGGAGCCCAGAGATATTTTAATGTTTAATTTCACTTCTCATACTCACCTAGACTTATAGATGGTGCTCAATATGCATTTGTTGAATCTAATAAATTAGATTAGAAACCAGTTCTCTTAAAAGTGAAAACTTTTCTTGTATTTTACCCAAATTTCCCCTCAATGACATTTGGGTCTATACCTGCTCATGTGTCCAATCAATTCAGAATCTCATTATTCAAGAAAAGACCTCAGTTTTGTACTGTCAAAAGAAAAGATGTGTTTGAGATAATGTTCTTCAGTTTAAAAAAATTAAAGTTGTTAATAATTAATGTGTTCAAATCATTTTATCAGATATATGTGTATACGATATGATAGCATATAGTATATATATGTATATATATGCATTATCACTTAGGATATGTAGCTGCAGTATATTTTTAGCTTTGGAAGACAGGACTACTTGTAAGAAATTGTGAGAATTAACAAACAAATGGCTCAAAATATCATACACATATGAAAATTCCTAAAGGGAGAAAACTCTCCATTGGCAAAATATGTCTTGGGGAAATTATGGTTTTTTTCTTCCCCTGTAAAATCTTTGAAGCCATGGAAAATTCCAAACAACAGGTGAGAAAACTAAAAAGTAGCCACTTTACTACCATAAGAAGATATTGATGAAAGGTAGTAACGTCAGCATACACTTCAACATTATCAGCAAGGAAACTTTTTTCCCAAGAAATAATAGAAATAGAGATGAAGAAGGGTTATGTTATAAATCATATTTTGAATTGTGAATTTTTTCAGGTGACTAGACTGAAGGGTAGAAGATGCTAAGCCATTTGCCATTTAATCCATTTCATTTAAAGGATCACTAGCTATATTTAATGACATCCAAAAATAAACTCTTCAGATGCTGAAATACTAGACTGGGAAGGCAGGCAGGGGAAGCAGGAAGGTTATTCTGGCTTTATTTCATTTTCTTGAAGGGCAAAGGCGGCTTCTCATTCATAAGAAGAAACTGACCTCAAACTGACAGAAGGTACAAAAAAAAAAAACAACTATACCAGGTCTATGGAACTAGAGTTGACAATTGATACCTATCCACAATAGCAGCAAATTATTTCCTTCTACAGAAATTCAAGACAGAATCCCCACCTCTAATGAAGTTGGAAATTGTAATGGTTATTAATTCGTCTAACTAATGTGAAATTGTATATAGCAAAGTACAAGCAGGGCAAGTACTTGATTTCAAGCAAACGGTTCTTAGTGATTGCATAATACACACTTCAAAGGACCTGAGACTCAACAGGATTTATTTCATTGAACACTTTCAACACCTATTGTAATTCAGCCTTTTTATTCAACAGTAGCTCAAGCACGTTAACATTGTCAAACTGCATAAAAACATTAAGTTCCGAAACTTTCTCCTTGTATTTTTTTATCTTGAATTCACATATGATTATCTTTTTTTTCTTCTTGATTTCAGGTACAAAAATGTCCACATAGATATACCTGTCAAAAATCTACCGTTAGTAATTAGGTAGCTACTACACAGTTGGATGGTTTAGCTAGAATCAGTATATGATATTTTTAAAACAATTTTTTAATGAGATATGGCTGTCTCTCTTACAACACTCTGAATATATCCTATTGCATTTTCTCCTTTCTAGAGCCCCTGTATTCTATCTACTGAAATCTCTGGCTTACTCATGTGGAATGCATTCAGCCTTATTGAGGTGGTAGCTGAATGTCAGAATCAGTAATTATCAGTGGGACACAAGATGGAGACATGACCTGCCAAAGAACATCATATTGTATCACTTATAGTACTTTGTCAAGTTGCAAATATAGAGGATCCTCACTGGAGGTTTGGCATTGATCCCCGTGGCAAGGGTGGATGGGAGCGAACAGCACATCTTGCAGGTTGAAAATTAATTCCACTGCGAATATGTGTCAATCCTTAGAAGTGTTGGTATCAAAAAAATGTTGAGAACTACTCTTCTAAATCCCACCCAACCACCCAGAGATATGCTTACAGCTTTGTTTCTCTTCAAGCACCTGGCATATAAGTGCTTAGAAACTACTGTTAAATAAACAAGTAAGTCAATGCATAAATAATTGAAAGTTTTCACATAATCTGAAAGTTTAAACATTTGCTTTACAGTCTAAAATTCCTGAAGTCATCATTGTGGAACAGATGATTTCACAATAAACACTGATCCTAAACAAAATAACATGAGATCTCTATCAGTGAAATAGTAAAATGAACATTAACTATTCGAAGGCTTAACTAAATGAGGACTCAATTTATTCAGACATCCTAACCTTGTTCCCCCAATAGCCATATCTCCCCTCTCCAAGAGGCCGCATTTGTGTACCTTCTCAAGCCATCATTTCTTTGATGGACCCATACTTGCTCTGGAAAAATCAGGAGCTTCAGGAAGGGTGGAAAGGATAACGATCTTTCTACTATCCATGCTCCCTCTATCAGCCAAGAGTTCCATTCACTTCCTCAGCCCTAATTTCAGACTTTAGTTAAACTGATTAGTGAGAAGTCAGCATGAGTAAAGGAATAAGTAGTTCCCCATGGCTGAGACAGCTAGCTGATCCTTAAACTTGGTGCTCCTCCCTTCCATAATATAAGTGGTTATTGAAAAGTTACTGTCAGTTAGGGTCTACGTTTCCTGACTTTTCTTGCATTTAAGAATGGTCGATGTGACTAGTTCTTGCCGGTGGACTATCAACAGAAGTGAGATGTGTTGCTCCTGTGCTAATAGAGTTTAAACAGAAGAGCCTTCTCCTCACCCCCGCTCTCCTCTTTTGCCAGCTGAATACCAGGGAGACAAAGTCTTAGAGAATAACGGAACCACAAAGTGGAAGAAATCTGGATCCTTGAGTCACTACATGGTGTAGAAGACTGGCACTCACCAGTCAGGAACACTACCACTGGTCTTTTACATGAATAAGAAATAAATTTGTGTTCTGTTAAGTCACTGAAATTTGAGGATGTATTTATGATAGTAGCAACAATTACACTAATGAGTACATTTCTCCACCTATTTACTTGATGCTCCAGTAATAACAACCTACGTGCAATTTCCCGGCTCCACCAGGCAGTTTCATGCCTTCATGTGTTTGCACATGCTGATCCTTCATAATTCTTAATTTTCTCTACCTATTTTCTCTCCTTTCTGGCACTTTTTCCTTCACTGACTCTTACTAATCCTTAAAAACTCAGCTCCTAGGCTTCTGTGAAGCATTACTCTGCCAACAGGCTCCATTCCTGCCATGTACTTTCCTAGTCTGTACATAATTCCACTTTTGCATATGTCACAATATTTTAGGATTCTCGGTTTATAAATATGTCAACCTTACAACATACACATTTGTCATATTTCTACCCTGTAAAGCTTCCAACAGAGTGGTGATACATAAAAGATGATTTATGACTGTATGCTAGGTTCCTATCTCATTAGGATTTTATTTTAAATTAATCTGATCCATGGAGGATTAGAAACTAAGAGTCTGTTAGCCGTTGGAAGATGGTGACAGCAATGAAAGAGAGGAATCCTGGTGTGTGCTGCTAATTACTCTAGAATAACAGCAATGCAAGCTTGCAAATAAAGCAAGGAAAACACGTGCACTTCTATAGGTTAACAATTTCGGCAGAAGTTCAAAGGAAACAGAGATCCTGATGTAGGGGACGAGCCCAATTTTAAGTTTCAACATTTCAACATAAGACTTTGGTTCAACATATGGCTCAACATAAGACCTTTATTGCATGTAGTATTTATATTTTAATATAAATGAATTTTGTTTTAAAGGACATGGTCTATTGTTTTTCAGAAATTTGGGAAGATTAAATGAGTTAATAGACACTGGCACATAATGAGTATTGAATAAATGTTGGATAAATGCACTTATAAAATGATGTTCATGACCAAAACGATAAGTATTTTTTTAAACTGAATCTATGTGGTTTTGTATCATAAGTGCTGACCCAGGTTTTTCATCCTTTATTCCTTTATTTTTTTTAATACTGTACTTTATGCCAAATATTCCTGTCTTGAGGCAGGCTTGGAGGCTGGTATGGTACGTGGGAGTAGAAGATGAGATTCTGTGGGTAGAATCATAAGGTTTTAGGAGGTGAGGGAGCTCATTTACAAACTTCTCTGGGCCTTTCATTTGGTGCAAATTTGAGACAGGTTGTTTTTCAACTTAGAAAAAGAATCGCTCATTGAATTTTTCTTTTAAAATTATATTTTATTATATTTAAAATATATATTATATAAAATATATATTATATTTTATTATATTATATTTAAAATTATATTTTATTCTGCCTACTGGTTTTACACTGGTCCCCATAAAATGTACATTATAAAAAATACA
Organism: Homo sapiens; assembly: GCF_000001405.40. Classification (NCBI taxonomy): domain Eukaryota; kingdom Metazoa; phylum Chordata; class Mammalia; order Primates; family Hominidae; genus Homo; species Homo sapiens. The sequence continues at coordinate 148,660,781 of NC_000003.12, forward strand.
AACCTCATTTGATAAGCCTATTACCTGATGTTCATGGCTGCTAGCTTTATTCTATTGAATTCAAATTTGCCTGTGGCAGTGCTTTGTATCTAATTTGTGACTTTCACAAGGTGAGCCTTGCATCATTTTCCTTTGCCTCTGCTTCCATTTATCTAAATGAAAACAGTTTCTCTTAATGCATAGGTTTGCTTGATAAGCCATTAATACCACAGCTGGGCCTTGAAATGCTCATAAAAAGAAGCATCAAAATAAATATTTATTGTTGTTTCACCCAGACATACAAACCTTGGATATCTTTAATACGGCTGGCTACTTGGTTTCTAGTTTAATACAGCTTATTTACTTGATTTCATTTTCTCAAATAATTGCTATTTCTCTGAAGGTTATTTGAGGGGAAGAGGTGGTTGAAGGAGTGGAATGAATATTGAAATATGTGAGATGGAGGCTGATGGTACATTTAAGTTGATTAGAAGAAGACTGAAATGAAATGAGGGCCAAATGTTTTGCGTGTAAATTCATGAACTTGTACAGAATTTATCAAACTTAGAAAAATATCTGTTAAACACAGCATTTCATAAACACAGCTTAGGAAAAAACAAACAGAGCTCTTAGCTTACTAAATTTCACAGAGAATAATTCTCAAAGGGAAAAACAAATCATGAGGAGGCTTGTGGTATTTTCTTTAGCTTCTATATCTTTTATGATTGGTGCTCAGTATATTTTAAGTCATATTTATATTCCAAATGCCTCTATCATGTGATGAGCAATATTTGCACAGCTTCAAAAATAATCCTTAAGAGCTATTTAAAACATAAATGTCATTAAACAACATGCAATAAAGTTTAAAATTCCTCTCTTGTTGGCAGAACCCTGTGAAGGGCACTTAACTAGGCATATGGTCCCTGAGGGTCCAGAGCTCATGATGTGATGGAAAAAGACATAAGTCCTCATGTTAGGGACACAATGGAGGGAAGTCCACCCACTGTGGACATCAGGGAAGCCTTCGTGGATGATATGGTAACTGAATTGGGTTTAAAGAATGTAGGCATTTATAGGAATTAATGAGCAAAAAGAGGCATAAGGAAAAGGATCCGGCAGAGGGAAAAACATTAACATGAGCATTTCTCAGGTGCGACAGAGCATAATGTGCAAGGAATATTACAGCTCTTTCTATATTACTGAACATTTTTTAACACCCTATTCTTGCTATCATTTAAAGAAATTATTTTAGGAATTACATATTTTTAAGTATTAATTCTTTAGCTAAAGTTTTATTTAGCTAAACCATGATTTTTTTAATACATGTAAGTTTAAGGATGAAAACATGAATGTCCCTTGTTTCAAAAGGCAACTTACTACCTCTATACATGCTTATTTGTATTTGTTACATAAATACTAATGAGGTATCTAATCAATTGTAAAATCTATAAAAGAAAAAGGAACACAGTTGAAAAATATCAGGTTTCTTTTTTACAAATTGATCATAAAAGCTAAGAAAACTTTTTTCCTTGGAAGCATTTTGCTTGGCCTTTTGTAATTAAGAGAGTACTTTAGGTGAGACAAGAATCTTTATTTAAGAGAGTGATGTCTTTAAAGAAAGTTATTTGAAGAGACTGTAAATAAAAGTAAATTTAGTCTATTTAATCTTAGATTTAAGAAATCCCTGGTGCATCATTTGAGCCAAATGAAAATTACCTCCTATAGATTCCTCTAGATATTTCTCTGGAAATAGCATCTCCTAGGAACCAAAAAAGATATGACTAATATTGGGGAAGCATATCCATAATCTTTAGAGAATATGTAGTTTATATTTCCATGGAGTTTTGCTTTCTGATTATATAATATTTACTTGATAACAGAAGAAGTTTATCCTCTATTTCTTCATTTTTAATCCATTGAATTTCAGGAGTTACATGCATTTGGCATTTATTCCAATTCCTTAAAAGTGATTATATGTTTCTCTTCTAATTGGAGCCTCTTAAATTGAAGGAGTAAATAATTTACATTTTATCAGAAAAGTTGAATCTGCAGAGGATTCTAGTTTTATAGGTGGAATACAATGCTAGAAACAGCATTGATCTCATACAAGCACTTCTAAAATCTCATTTCTCTGGCCATAAAAATGTTGGGTGAGTTCAAAAATGTACAGAAAATTATTTTATAATGAACTGTAATTGGCAGTATATTTAACAAACTTCAGTAAACTTGCCATATATATAGATATTGATTCCATAATTGAGTTGTGATCTCCTTGAGGGCAAGAACTACTGGTCTCATACCACCTCAGAAAACTGAGTTTTCCTCTAGAAAAATCCATATTTCCAGTTTTTGTATTTGTCAGCACATGCTGGTTACTGTCCATTTTTTTTTAACTTGGAAAACAACATTTAGAGCATTAGCATTAATTAGATGATTAATACATATATTTGCAAATTCTCAAACATAGAACCTGTTTATTAAAAGAGAAGCTAAGATATTCCAGAAGAAAGGACCCTGCAATGCCATGACAAATGTATGTAACAGTGATTCTCTAAGTTCTCCCCCAAAGGAACTTATAGCCATTTACTCAGGCAAACTTACATGAAGGAAAGGGGAGTACACTGTTGGATATGGGGCACCAGTTAATGCTAACTCAGGCACCTAAAACACTATTATGGTCCCTCTGTTAAAGCAGAGATATATATGTGTCAAGTAGCAATTAGGTTTCTAGCTCATGTCTACCTCACAGACAGCCCTAGGATTCATCTTGTGATCATTTCCTCACTTTTCAAATAAATAGTTGTAATGGATATACTAAGCATTGGTAGAGTCCTCACTCTGATGCTTTGATAAATAAAATAAGAGTTATTATAGTAAGGTACAGCAAGTGGAAGCCTCTGAGACTACCTTTCTACTCCACCAACATAATTAATCAAAAACAACATTGCAATTCAGAAGAATGGCAGAGATTAGTATCAACTTCAAGGATTTAAAAGATACAGGGATTGCATTTCCCATATCACCATTTAATTCACCCATTTGGTTTTGAGAAAAGTAGATATTTTGTGACAAATGACAGTGGACTACCATAAACCTAACCAAATAGTAACTTCAAACACAGCCTCAGGTACATGATATCTAGCTACTGATATGGCAAATGCATTTTTCCACAGCTGTTGGAGAAGAGAATTAGAAGTAATTTGCATTCGTTTGGAATGGACAGCAGTGCAAATTCATGGTTTTGCCCTAGATATATGTTAATTATCCTGCTCTCTGTCATAATATAGTCCAAAGGGACTTGTTTGATTGAATCATCCTGCAGAATATCACTTTGATCCACTATATTAATGAATCATGTTAATCAGACCTAATAGGCAATACACCAGCTCGATAGGTGTATAAGCAACCATGCTGTTTTGCCACCTTTATAAAGAAGGCATATATAAAGCACAGGCATGAAGTTCAACAAAGAAGTTCCGACCCTTTGACTAGGCTCACAATCTGGTTGCCAACCATCTCACTTGCCTTATATCCTCCACATGACCTCCACCTGAGTATTACCACACACCATTTTCCTTATGCAATGCATTTGTCCTTCTTCTCCACTGAGTGACCTAGGACAATAATGGAATGCCCACATCCCTTGTCTCTTATGGTCTGAGTTACAAAGTTATTTGTGGGCAAGAGATTGGTGTTTCAGAAAACTTTTCATTCCCATATAGTCTACATCCAATCAACAGAACTGGCAGTACAGCTCCTCCACAACTCATCCTCATTTCAGACAACTCGGGAAGAAACTCTCAGGCAAACACTTCATTTATCCCTGCCCATCCAGAGGTACTCACTCCTCTTGTCTAAGTTTTAATACCAGCTTCACATGCCTACCCTTCCTTCCCATCATCTCTGACTCACACATGTTCAATTCCTCCACCCTGGAATTAGAAGTGCTCAGGGGAGAAAATTACTCCTCTCTCAATGCCCATGTTTTTTTTTTAATTCATAGGATTTATCTCTAGTGCACTATTAATCTAAAAAGTTGATTTGCCTTTCTAAGAAATAACACACATAGTTGAAATTCATTCTTACAAATGAAAAGGCCTGGCATTAGCTACTTTGTCTTTCATGTAACTTGCTTTATCTTCCACAGCATTCTCAAGTAAAAAGTGCAAATCTTAGTACAAAACTTAAAACACTTTAGTCGCTAGATATAAGAGCAGCAATTAACAGGGACCAGCTTGATCCCCTCTACCAAGAGTTTCTAGGAAACACGGTTAATCACAGGAGCAGCTGACTTCTCCTGAGAAGCTTGGTCCTTCTCCCCTCTCACCAGACAGCAGGAGACTGCTTGGAATACTTGTATGGGAAAGTATGATCAGCGAAAGCCTTTATATCTTACATCTTTCCTATGCTAATCCCCACGCTTCTCTGGACTTACACCTCCTCATCTACACCCCTACAGATTTACTCTTCCTCTCAGATCTCTCCGCTGTGCCCTCTGGAACCTCTGTGGAATCCACATTAAATAAATTTTCCCGTGTCCTCAGCATCTTGCATCTTGACTGAATATTTCTCATGTTCTCATGTGGAAACTGGATTTTCTCATGGTACACCTCGTTCCCTGTCTTCCCAGGGGAGATAGTGTCAGATCACTTCCCAGTGCCACTTCAAGACCTCTGCATCCCTCTAACTTGTGTAGCAAGCATCTGCCTCTTTGAAGTTTTCACTCTCTTGTCAATATCCCCCACATTGCCATTTCTCTTGGAAAACAGCAGTACATTCTCATTGCATTTCCTCTCTACCTCAAGATCTGATATCATCCTGGGGGATATCAACATCCACCCAAACTGTCCAACACCCTGACCTCCCTCCTTGGTCTTCTCATTGTCAGGGATGCATATGTCAGTTCACTTTCAGCCACCCCTGGACTCTAAATATGCACCTCCAAAAATTAAATTCGAGTGTCCCACATTGTCACCACAGCCTTGTCTCTTGCCAGCTTTCTGCTGCAATTACTTCTTTTTCTGTTCCTTAAACTTCTGGGTCCTCCAGTGCCACACCCCTCCACTTCATTCCGAGCTACCAATCCCTCCTAACTTCATCATTCCCTCTCAAGATTACCATCAATATTTCAGCTCTTCTGTAATCACTTGCCAATATTCTCAAGTCTTTTGAACATTCTCTTTCCGTAACATCTATGGAGCAAAAAATGAACTTTGTTTTTACTATTTAATTCCAATATTTAATTTGGGATATAACATGGCATGTTAATCTTATGTGTTATTTTTTAATCTGCTAAGAGTTGATATTTTATTAATTTTTAGGTTATTTTACCTATTTATTATGTGTTAGAATTTTCTTAGCCCTATTTGATGTAAAATATGATGGGATACTTGAAAATGTGGTGTAGAGAAGAAGTCTTGCTGGGATGTCAGACAAGTATGATAGTTCATAGCCAGACTGCAAGTCTGGCTGAGGATTCTGAGCTATGTACTTCCCTTGCTCTCAACATGTGGGAAAGTAGCAGATTTTTAACTATACATTCATAATCTTTTATAAATGAAGCAGGAAAATGCAAGGATTGGGTGGGAGTCAGCTGCACGGGAAGTTTTCTGCATTGTTTCCCTACACTCACTCCTGCGAAGCCTTCATGATAGATGCGCCCATTTAGGGCCACGCCAAATGTTGATGTGGATTGCACCCTACAAAATGGCACCTGGCAAGGGAGTGAGAAGGGGCTTACATTGAGTGTGCATTTTGTGCTCACTAAGCTGTGTGCTCTGGCTTAGAGGAAGAAAGTTTTTCTAATACCTGCAAAAGCATAATGTAAACTACAAGCACTTCTTTCCCATGCTCTCTAATTCTGAACCTCTAATTCAAACGTATTTAAGCCAAACTGATCCAGTTAAATCACCTGCTGACTTCCTTTTCTTTTCCCCTTCCTCTACCCCTTCCATTCCAGAAGAAAACTACCAAGAGAGGCAACCATATGTAGTGTCTGGAGTCAAGCCTCTGAATTTTATCCCAGATCAACTACCTAAAGACTAGGACCTTGGGTAAATTATTTGACCACTCTGAGCTTCAGCTTTCTTGTCTGTAAAATGGGTGGGTAATAAGTTTTTTGTAAAGATTAAATAAGATAAAGGTAGTGAAACATCCAGGACAGTGCCTAGCATATAGCAGGTACCTATTAAATACGTACAGACAGATAGTAGGCAAGATGGATGGATGGATAGTTGGATGGATGAAGGAAAACAAAGAGTTTGGGTATCTTCAGCCACTCTTTTCCTTTATGAAGTGACACATGATTTACATGACTGGAGTGATGGCACTGTAGCAGAGAATCCTAAGAAACCAACAAAGGAGAAATTTTTAATAAATGGCCTTTATTTCTGGATTTTTTTCTATTTATTTTGCCTGATGACAGCAGGCTTTATTACTGCAGAACAAGGAATGATTTGTATACTGGAGAATTTTCCATCATTTAAATCTCTGAAACTTTACACATAAACTCAAAGACCTTATGCATGTTATGAATAAATTAAGCAAATTACTAGCATTATAGGTGGCTTAATTTTACTGATAACTTATTTACACTGATAGCCTAGTTCTAAGAAAACAGCACTTATCCAGTTTCCAAATATATATTGCAAGTACACGGAGAGAATAAATGGCACGAATTAGTTTCAAGCAGAACATATCAAAAATACAAAAATGTGTTAAGTAATTAAAAAAAAAAGAAACTCCATATTTCACTGATGGCCATATTAACACTCTTATTTCTGTAAAGAAGTTTTGCAATTGTTTTGTCATTAAATTTTAAGTGCTAACCAGGTATACATGATTAAATAGTAAATTTAAACACAGCAAAGCAAGGTGACAGGATGACTTAGGAAAAAATTGAGTTAACTATAAAATAATTATTGCCACATTCAGATGCTACACTTTACTAGTCTCTCCTTCCCTACCACACACACACACACACACACACACACATGCAGATACACATGCACATACTCATGCACATGCCCACACTTGAGGAATGAAAGAAAAAAATTACTGAAACACAGATTCCACTTTCTAAAATAATATACTGATATTATTATTTAAAATATGTTATCAGAGAAAAGAGAGTGAGTCCATTTCTACCAATGGCAGGCAGGTGTTTATTTAGTAAAAGCAGTCAAAACAAGGCAATGTGTTAAAAGTCCACAAAAAGCTATTAAACATATAAAAAGTAGACTAAGTGTTTTTAAGAACCCTAAAATATTACAAGTAGAATTGAATCTCTCTTTTTAAAAAAACCGACAGGTCAATCACATTAAGATAGTAAAAAAGTCTCACAAGCAAAGATATTTCACAAGTAGTTATTGAGTGTACATTACCACCATCATGTGTCAGATACAGTTCTATATGCTGGGAACACATCAATGAGCAAACAAGTAAAATCCTTGCCATGAAGCTTATATTCTAGTAAAAGAAAATGTTTATCTGTTGCCTGGCTAACTCCTAAGCATTATGAAAAAACAAACAAACAAACAAACAAACAAAAACACTGTATAACTCTGTTACAAAACTTTTGTTCCAACATTTTTTAAAGTTTCAAAAGGGGAAAAGGAATTTCTTTAAGAAACAAGCATAAATTGAAGTTTCTTAGAGACTTATAGAAAAATTGGGGAATTTATGTACTAATTTTATCTTACAGCAAAAAAAAAGAGACAACTTAGAAAGATCATTCCCAAAAACGACTTTCTGATTCCTTAGCCAAGCCAAGCTGTGCCTCATTTCTATGTAATCCCATCCATCTATTTATGTATCTTCAAACAAAAATTACTTATTGAACTCATACTATGTCCAAGGAATATTACTTGCCAAAAAGCCTAGTATCTTGTGTGGGAACCAGAAAAATAGCTGGATATTTAAAGTACAATATGAAATGTTCCACAAGAAAGGCATAAAGATCCTGGCCAATCTTAAACAATCAAAGAAAATCAACAAGGGATTCCTGAGCTGGGTATTAAAATTGATTAGGAGGTGAGAGCATGTGATAAATTGTTAATAATTATAGATATGGCTGGGCCTTAGGATGTTTTCATGGGAGTGGAGAGAGCTGCAGCTGAGAAGTTCACAGAGGATTAAGTTATGTTATCTCCCTATTCCCTGCTGAGGATATTAGAGTTAACCCTGAAGTCTCTCAGGAAATATTAAAGTAGAAAAGTCCCATGAAAAGGTTTACGTTGTAGAAAGCTCCATTTGGGGTAGTGCAGAGAACAGATCTTCATCCGCTCTAGGAATTTAATTTGAGGGAACGAAGGTAGCTCCAGAGCTGTATTCATTTCCTAGGGCTGCCATAACAAATTACCACAAACTAGGTGGCTTAAAGTAACAGAAATTTATTATCTCGCCATTCTGGATGGTAGAAGCCCAAAGTCAATTATCAGTGCTATGCTCTCTATAAATGCTCTAGGAGAAAATCTTTTTGCCTCTTCCTAGCTTGTGGTGGTTGCCAACAATCTTTGGCTTTCCTTGGTTTGCAGATGCATGATTCCAATCTCTGCCTCCTCTTCATACGGCATTCTTCCCATGTATTTCCATCTTCATTTGGCATTCTCCTACCTACATCTGTGTTCAAATTTCTCTCTTATAAGCCATTGGATTAAGGTACACCCTAATCTAGTATAATTAACTTGATTACATCTACAAAGGTCTTATTTCCATATAAGGCTATATTCTGAGGTTCTAGGTGAGTATGAATTTGGTAGGGACATAATTCCATCCTGTTCAGGAGCTATTGTGATAGCCTAGTCAGAAGATGAGAATGGAATAAAACTGAGATAGTGACAGGGGAAACAAATTAACTCAAAATAATTTGAAAAAGTGTAATCAATTGGGTTTAAGGACTTACTGGATATGTAGCATAGCAACTAGTTGCACTGATGGCTCCAATTATTGGTCGTCCTATACCCACTCCCTTTGACCTATAATTTTATTGGTTTATTTTCCCCTGATATAGATCATGCAGCTTCCTTTGGCCAATAGGGCTTTAGAAGGTTTGGCATAAGCAGAGACTTTTAAAGACTTTGTAATGTTTCCATTTCCTCTTCTGGAACCCTGCCACCTCCATGAGAGTAAGCCCACACTAGCCTGCTGGAGGATGAGAGAGCACACACAAAACAGAGCCTGCTTTTCCCATCTGAAACTATCCCAGACCAACTTATAGCAAACCAATCTACAAACGTCTAAGAGAGCCCAGCTAAGATCAGCTGACCCAAAGCTGACAGATGTTTGAATGACCTCAGCCACAATCAGAAGTACCTCCCAACTGATGCATAAACTCATGAAAAATAAATGCTTAATGGGATAGTTTGTCACGCAGCAATAGACAATTGACACATGAAGAATAAGGGAGGAGAAATAATCAAAGATAACTTCCACTGGTTTGCAGAACTAGGTAAATAGCAAAAACATAAGAGAAAAAGTAGAAACCCTGTGTTTTTAGTAGAGATGGGGTTTCACCGTGTTAGCCAGAATGGTCTCGATCTCCTGAACGCGTGATCCACCTGCCTCGGCCTCCCAAAGTGCTGCTCAGCAGGCTGAGGCAGGAGAATCGCTTGAACCCGGGAGGCAGAAGTTGCAGTGAGCCGAGATCGCACCACTGCACTCCAGCCCGGGCGATGGAGCGAGACTCCGTCTCAAAAAAAAAAAAAAAAAAGAAACTATACTGTGTTTTTACTAATATTATGTTCTCTTTTGGAATGTTATACTCCCCTGGTCTTACATATCTAGGTATAAATTGTTCAGAAACAACTTTAGTATTGCCCTTTTCAATAAGCTTTGTCTGGTACTCACCCAAACTAATCACTCACTCTCCTTAACATTCTTGCTGAGTTATTATGCCGCATCTCACTCCCGCAACCATCAAACCATTTCTCTGCCCCCTATTTAGACCATAATTCTTCCAAAGAATCCCTCACTCTTGGTACCAAATTCTGTAACGATCAGAGTTCAATAACAGAAGCAGAAGCACTAGGAGACATATATAATTTATTACATAATTTGACCTTATGTAATTGCAGGGTTTGGTATAAAATTTTCTGGAAAGCTGTTATCTTCATATCTGATGTTGGAGCTTAAAGTCTACAGGGCAAGAGATCAAGAAGGGACAAAGAGTATAAAATGTGGAAGAGAAAGGATAAGCTGTAACTCACACGGTCAAACTGGAACCCACAAGGACAGACTGGAACTCAATCAGGCTCTTACTACTTCTGACTTCAGTGATGTGAGTGCCTTGCAAAAAAAAGCTGGTGCTCTTCATCATGGAAATAAACACACACCTGCACACCTGGCCAAGGAGTGGAGGAAGCTAAAAGAGGGTTCATAGGAAGGTAGAGAAGCTGCTGGCCTGGCTGCTGTCTCACACCAGCATCTAACAAAATGCTAATTCGTCAATAGCACCTGCGCTGGCCTTCTGCACGTAAAAACAATATGATGGCTGCTTCTTTCCACCCCCCGAATCTCAAATAAAAGAAAAAAAAAAATCTCTTGCAGCCCAACCAACTGGAAACTTACAGTGAAGATAATTCTACTAAATGAACTTGAGCCTAGCCAAGTTAGCATATCATAAAAACCACCAAGTCCACCCCTTGTCAACACGGCGCCAATACACATCTTTAAACCAAAATTAATTTCCAAATAAAGAAGGTAAAGTCATGCTTCTTTCTTTCTTTCTTTCTTTTTTTAAGACGGAGTCTTGCTCTGTAGCCCAGGCTGGAGTGCAATGTCATGATCTTGGCTCACTGCAATCTCGACCTCTCGGGTTCAAGTGATTCTTCTGCCTCAGCCTCCCAAGTGGCTGGGATTAAAGGTGCCTGCCACCACGCCCAGCTAAATTTTTGTATTTTTAGTAGAGACACGGTTTCACCATGTTAGTCAGGCTGGTCTCGAACTCCTGACCACAGGTGATCCGCCCGCCTCGGCGTCCCAAAGTGGTGGGATTACAGACGTGAGCCACTGTGCCTGGCCAAGTCATGTTTCTTTCTAAAGTGATATGACCATCTTATGTGCAACTGAAAAGAGTATGTAAAGTTCCTTTTCCATCTTTGAGGAATGTTCATTCATCTCCTGATCATCGCAGGGTAAGAACTAGTCTTTCCCTAATCATTCAGCTTAAAAGTCCCAGCCCAAAGGTTCTCTCTCTTAAGAGTCTGCATTGGCATATGATACTGCTATATTGCTGTGTGCTGCCCCAGAGTGTCGGGGCAACACCTCTGCAAGAGTCCTATCACTGTGAATTTTCTCAAATAAATACTCTTCTATAAGGGCTGATTGTGTATGCTGCAGCTCACTTCTTGTTTGCTCAACAATGTAGTATTTAAAAATTAACGAATCATAATAAGTCAAGTATGAATTTAATTAAAAAAAATTCCTAACATTGTGTTTAGGACAGCATTTTACATGACTGATTGCTGAAAATAGCCCAGCAATTATATAATTTCCCCCAAATTAATCTATGTTTCTATCAACTGAAAGACTGTTTGTAATTCAAAAACCTGAGATTTTCCTTTTTCTACAAACTGAATTTCTTTCTTCCTATTCAAGTATGCTTTTTGCAAAAAAAAAAAAAAAAAAAGACTTAACTTACAGTGTTACACTTTAGAGAGAGATTTACCAAGGGATCCAAAATTTTACTCATGTTTTAAAATCCTATTTATCTGTTTGTTATTGATTCTTATTTCCTTCTCTTTCACATTCAAAAGTAAAACTATTCTATTAATCTTGATATGTATAACTGCACTCTCTGAACACTGAACTCAGGCCAAAATACGTCAATTTTTTTCTCTGATTCTGGACATGGTGCACAGCTGGGAACAAAATGAGGAATTATCATTAAGACAAATAAGGTTATAATGGTCAGTTGAGCCAAGAGATGAGAAGAATTCTAAGTAAAGATAGTTCTTAGCCTGCTTTTTTAATTAGCTGTGTTCATTCTCAGGTCATTCCTTGTGAATTTGTTTAATACACTTCCTCCTCACTTACTTTTACCAGTCTTTTATACATTTTAATGAATGGGATATTCAAGAATGATTTGACATTTTTTCTTTTTTTTAATGATTATCCTTATTACATCATATTATTAATTATGCAATGTAAAACATATTGATTTTATAACATAAAATACTTCAATGTTATCAGTAGTGTTAAAAATATAGTGGTGCTATTTATTTAAATTAATCAATTTAAATGAATTTAAAACTCCGAGGAAAGTGCTGTTAATTTATCCATTTTATAAATGAGGAAATTGAGGCCTAAAAAGTAACTTGCCAATAAGAAGCAGAAACAATGTTACAACACAGACAGGATAATTCAAGAGTTGTTCTTAACTACTGTGTTCTACTATGTAATGATAACACTTTGCAATATATACTGCTTTACAGTTTACAAAACACTATCATATGATCTTCACACCAAAACTAAGAAACAAATATATCCATTTTCAAACCTAAGTAGTAAGACTCAAATAACTTAAATAATCTTGCCAAAGTCAAACAGCTGAGACATGATAAATACAGGACAAGAACCCCAGTTTTCTCCTAACCTGTATTCTTTCTTTTGTATACTTTGATTCCTATAAAATGTTAAAAGATCAACCTGTGAAGTGTATGGCAATAATAAAAATTCTTCTGTTTTTGTCAAATCACAGTTTCCTTTAAAGTATCCAGAATTTATTGGTTATATTCAGCTTATCTTTGTGTATGAAAGATATCTGTACTTTAATAATACATATGAATATCAGTTTGGAAATTATAATGTATATTATAAAAAATAGTGTATATTTTTCCAATTTATCATAATTCTTTGTCAACGTAGTTCATCATTTGAATATGAGCTGAGTAAGGGAGCCCAGGATGAGGAGTAAGGTGACTTGACTTCTGGTCCTGTTTTGTCAGTAACAGGTGAACCGAGTGAGTCATTTAACTGCTCTGGTCTTCAATTTCCTCAGGTGTACAATAAGAGGGACCTCCAAGTTACAGCCCCATAGTCTAGGACAGTAATCATGTGCTTCACTGAGTCTGTGACAAGTAAAGAGAGAAAACTATACAAATTTTTATAGAACAAAGAAGCTTTGAATAATGTACTGATGAATTACAAACTGTCACATAGATGAGGGGCATTTGCCTCCCCCAAAAGAGGGAGATGCATGTTGCTAATAATGCATTGAGCTCTTTCCACGTGCCAGATTCTGTGCAAAATGTTTTTGTATGCACACTTTCTTGTTACACAGCTCAAAGATACCCCAAGAACATTAATAAATTTATCTGGAAATGTATATTGGGTACTGCTAAACCTGTTCCTTATATTGCCAACCTTACTTATACTCCATTTTGCCTTTGGCATTGCATCTTAGCACTGTTTTTTTCCATGATGTTAACGGTTTCCAACTTGTATTTTTCCAAGTACTGAACACATTCAATTAAAATATAACCAAAGCTCAGAAGAGAGAGTGGTAGCAAAGATGCCAGAGTCAGCAATTATGTAACTTTTTAAAAATTAAGTGTATAAATTAAATATGTATATATGTAATAGTGTGTATACATGTATGTACACACAGTAGACTCATTTCAAATTGTCAGAAATTTCAGATTTAAAAACTTTAAGCAACTAAATGTTAGTAGAACTAGAAAAGACAAAAATAATTATTTTTGAAAATGTAAAAGATACTGCAATGTCAAAGTAATGCTGAGCATCTATCTGTACTGTGGTATGCATTAAAATCCATTACATTCTTTTTCATTTCCCTAGGTAAAAATGTTACTGCAATGTGTTGATACAAATTGTATTTAAATCTGCTTCCTTTATTTGAAAGCCTTATGTTTTGTGTTAAGAGAGGACAGTTGTAAAATTGTTAAGTGTACATTAGTTTCATACAGATTTCAGAGGCTATTAAGCAATATACACATCTTGATTGGGAATTAGCACCAAACACAGCATATTCCATAGGATTCCATCTTTACAATCTGTTTCATACTGATTGAAAAACACTAAAGCCAAAAGCAATAGAATTGTTAGAATATTAAACAAAGTTTATATGATAATAAATACTTGGTCATTATGAAGAATTATAATGGATCTCTTCAATGAATGAATACCATTTGGCTTACTCAACAATAATATGTGGTTTTTATTGAGTACCTACTATGTGCCAGGCATTGTTCTGAGAAATGTGACTATCACAATGCCCTTTACCTTAGAAATAACATGGCAAGACCAAAATTTGTTATATCATCCTAGATATATATTAAGGTTTACATTTTCAAAGAAAGCCAAATAAATACTTTGACAAAATCTTCACTACCTATGTCTATCCAAGAGTAGTATCTCTAAGGTCAATTCAATATACAGATAGTTTTTTTCTTCCCTGAATAGGTGAACTTTAGGTTGTTTATGCTCATGCTTAAATATTTGATGCTTATGTACATTTAGAAGTAATACAAATGGTCGCAGGGAGAGACTTTGCTATATTATTATCAGATTAAACTAAAACTGTCTTTGTTAATTATCCTTTAGTCATCTGGGCTGGAATATGACAAAATCAAAATACCCAAGACAAAAATAGGTTACCAAAAATAGGTGTTTCCTCAATGTAGATTTACGAGTTCACACCAAGCTTACGGTCACCAAAAACAATGCTTATAAAAGCTAAGCTAGAATTACACACTTTTCTGAGCTCAGTAGAGCAGGAAATCTGAGACGTTGTGTATATTTTTCTCTCAAAGCTTAAAAATTTGAAAATAAGGGTAGAACCTGTGGCCAATTGAAATGCTGAAAGTTCTAGCTATTTCAGATATTAAGACTGTATTTGGCCTTGCTATTACACTTATTGGTCTGGTGTACTCTCTGCAGAAACTGGAACAAGAGAAAGTCAGATAAAATGCAGGGAAGTTTCACTGGCCTTGAAGAAAAGCCCTTTAAACATATTTATAAAAGTGGAGTAAACTAAAAAACTCTGGAATATTCAAGATTCAGAAAACCATGAATAATTTGACTAGTCACCAGCTTGCATACCAGGAATATGGGCTCAATTTTATGATCCTAGATTAATTCATATAATGCATACTTTCAATTCACTTTCATGCATATCACCTAATATTCAATTACACTGACCAGTCTTTTGTACCTCTTTTTATATTTGGATGGATGTCTTCATTTTTAGCAATGCTTTTTTACTTAAACCTAAAATCAAATCTGACAACCATTCTGAAAATTTGAACAGTTATTGTGCTTGAAAAAACATCTGCAACTTCTATTTAAAGAAAATTCAAAAACCAGGTATCAGTCAGGGTCTCATCAAGAAACAGAATTTACTCCAAATGAATTAAAGAAGACTTTAAAAGGGAAACAAATAAGTGACAGTAAGTACTTAGAGACTAGCAATAGTGGAAAGCCATTGCCACTCTTGGAATTGAAGGGACAAGGGGAAAAAATAGTGGTCCTGGAATCCAGCAAAAACTGAATCCATGGAGAATGGGCTTCCCAGAAGGAACTAGAGCCATGAAGTAATGGATCTACTGTCAGTGCCTCAGTACAAAACCAGGGAGGAAGTCATTGAAAAATACCCCAACTGCTCTCCGGTCAGATATCCTCCCTGTGCATCCTATTAGCCAAATGCACTAGAACTAGAAGCCAAACCCAATCTCCCATTGGCCAAACGCAACCAGAGGACAACCCTCAGTAGGCGTTAACCTGCCAAGGAATAAATAAAGCAGAACGGGGAAGGATAGACAATAGTTTGGGAGGTGTCGGGGTACGAATGGTGGTTAATCAGCATACCAGTATACCTAAGCACCCATTAAATTTAAGATAGAAATTGAGAATGTAAACGGAGTGTTTTTTGGAGTTCATTGAGTGGCAACAGAATGGAAAGATAAAGCATTTATTCCTTAAAAGAGTGACTGCTACTGAGTTGGTCAATTTAAAGCCTATGCTCCTAATATCACTTTAAAAGTGTGTATAAAGTGGACACATATACAAGGATATTCATTCCAATAACATTTGTAATATCCAAAATGTCAACCCAAATGTCATGCAGCATTGGTTGTATAGTGGTGAGCATAGCTGCCTTCCAACCCAAATGTTTCTCCACAGTGGAATAAATGCATGAGGTAGGTATGCTCATTCAGTAAAATAACCTATCATAATAAAAATGAACAGCCTAGAACTATACACAACAATATGGAAAATCATTACCAACATTACATTGACCAAAAGAAGTAATATGGAAGCAAATACATAACAGTATGGCTCTCTCTATATGAAGTTTAAAAACTTGTTTGGAATATATTCATATGCAGAAAAACTATAAAGTAAAACAAGGAAATGATTACCATACAAGTTAGAATAATGGTAACTTCTAAGGGGAATGGAGGGGAATTTGACAGAAAACTGACACATGGGGGCTTCTGAGATTCTGGCAATATTAATTTTTTTTCTTACTTGGATGGTCTTTACATGGATGTTTGCTTTATAATTATTCAATATAATGTATGCTTATTTTGTGTACTCTTCTATATCTGTGTCATATTTCACAATGAAAATGTTTTTAAAATTATTGCTTGAGTTTCTGTTATTTGAAAGATTTGAATTTTACAATAAGGAGCCTTCTTGGTAATTAAATAGATAATCTCTTTCCAGGGAACTTTATGCTTTGAAATAATTTCCTGTGGTTTCTAATCTTTAATTATAGCACTCACCAGATACAATAAATTACAAGGAAAGTCCAAAACATTTTGTTTCTGTAATCCCTTTGGAAACGACATCTTAGGTGTATCTCCATTGAGGAAGACAATTTGTTCCAGAAACACATGTGCCATGCATTTGTTTTCAGAAGAAGAAACAGCATAGAAAATATAATTGCATGGCTTTATCTCAGAAGCAAAGAATTATAGTACAGAAAAATCATTAAATAACAATTAAAATAGCATCAGTGTGCCAAAAATACACATATATAATTGGCTTCTGGGTGACTTTGGACTCAGGGATGTAAGGGTAAGGGGTCAAGTTAGTGATGAGAGACTGATATCCCCAGGGATCTCTGTGGACAGAAAGTGAATCTAGGGCAGGAGGGAAAAAACCAACTGAAATTAAATGGAAATTAAGTTAGGGTCTTAATTAGAGCTCTGAAATGATTTATTCACAGAATAATTTCATCTTCATATAACATTTTGACTCCTATTCCTTGAAATTTAGAAAAGTTCTGTCATATCTTGGCTTTGCTTTTTCTTTAATAAGCAAGCATGTTGGAGATGTGACTTACAGGTAGTAAGAAATATTTAATAATTTGGGGTGTTGAATACTATCCTTTTCTACCAATTTATTCTAAGTTGCTTTCTATTTTTATATAAAGTGTGTTCTGGAACTGTGCTATGGCTTCCTTCTCCTGTCAAATTCCTTTTCCCAACATATTTTTCTCATAACCTAAAATGTTTCTGTAAGCATTAGTTATGCTTGCATCCTCGTTTATGTTTTTTTTTAATTTTATTATTATTATACTTTAAGTTTTAGGGTACATGTGCACAATGTGCAGGTTAGTTACATATGTATACCTGTGCCATGCTGGTGTGCTGCACCCATTAACTGGTCATTTAGCATTAGGTATATATCTCCTAATGCTATCCCTCCCCCCTCCCCCAACCCCACAACAGTCCCCAGAGTGTGATGTTCCCCTTCCTGTGTCCGTGTGTTCTCATGGATGAAACTGGAAATCATCATTCTCAGTAAACTATTGCAAGGACAAAAAATCAAACACCGCATGTTCTCACTCATAGGTGGGAATTGAACCATGAGAACACGTTTATGTTTTTTTTTAAAATGACTTTCCCTAGAGCCCCCTTGCCTTTCCTTGTTAGCACACAGTAAACGCTCTAGCCTTAAGGCCTTTAGTAATTGTTGCATTAGGTGGATAGAGTGGCCAAGACACAAAGGAAACACTTACTTCTCCTCCATCAGGTTGGGTACCGTTGTCTCCAAACCCCTCTGGATAGATGGAAGCCCTACTAAAATTCAAACTGCAGGTAGAATTTAGTTTTGAAACACCACTACTTGTACTCCATTATTATTTTTAGATTACATCTCTACAACAGTCTTCAATGTTTTGAAAATAGAGGGGAAAAGAGATGGAACTTAGATATGGTTAATATTAAAATTTCTTCAGCGTGGATTAAATAAACCCTCTCCATTATGTTTCAACTATTTACAAACATCTCTAGGTTTTCGGCAAGTTTTTTTTCAGCCTTGGAATATTCTATTTGCCTACTCCCCTAATGGCTAGTGGCTAGAAAGGGCTGATCATGACAAGACAATTATCCTACAAATGACATCATTTGAGCAGGTCTCTGTGCACATGAGGAGGAATTACCTAAATACAGTGATGTAGCAAGAGTTGCAATTCAATTTTCCTGAGATCTTAACCATTAGAAGCCAAAAAGCCCATCTAATTATAAAAAAAATCAATAAACATTTATGTCAAACTTCAGAAATAAAAAACTACAGGGATATGACTCACTGTAACATAGCCTTTAAATCAAAAGATCTCTAAATACAAGTAAATAGATGAATATTTAATGCAAATCTTATTTAAAATATTACCACTAAACTCTCTTGCATGTTACAAACTTACTTAGAAGTAGGGAAAAAAGCAGAATACAATAAAAGGGGAATTTAAGCTAGAATTAGAGTACCTGGGTTACTAATCTACCGTCTGTTAACTAGATGTCTTTGAATACATTGAATTCTTCATCCTCATTTTTTTATCTGTAAATTGTTGGTAGTAACATCAGACTTATCCGTCAAACTGAATTATTTCAAGGATGAAACTGAGTTCCTTTCAGCCATCTTAGACGCTGTCTTAGAAGCACAATTCAGAATAGAGACCACAGGAGAGAACAAGATGGCTTAGTCCAACCTCAATCAAAAGACAAGGAGAACCAAAGGTAATCTGTCCAGCTGAATACAGAACCCTATGTCCTCCTAACTTCCACAGGATCTTGTTCTGCCAACGATCTCTTGTCTCCTAAACCTGTAATCTCTCTTCTTTTTCACATGGCTCTTTTATCTACAAAAATAAAAATAAAAAAAATAAAAAATAAAAGGCCAAATTACCTACATGCTGAAACAAATGAAACAAGAAAACCTTCCTAAGCATTGCTTTTCCCTTAAACTGTCACATTTGTCTTTTTCTCTCCTGTTAAACTTTTAAAAATCCCTACACTTATTCTATCAACTTCCTAATTATTCCCAAACCTAATAATACAAAGGCATTTCTGCCCCTTCAATCTACTGAAACCACTTCTGCTAGGTTATCAACTACTTCCTACTTGCAACATTCAAGTGATATTATTCGGACTCAAATGCTTGCATTTAACAGTTTACACCTTTCTTTTTCTTTAATCCACGGATGAGCAAACCACAGCTCACTCCTTGTTTATGTATGGCCCGTGCTCTTAGAACAGTTTTCACAATTTTAAATCGTTTAAAAACTGAAAAGAATAGTATTTTGTGACATGTAAAAAGTATATGATATTGAAATTTCAGTGTCCACAAATTAAGTTTTTTTGGAACACTGACATACCTATTTACTTGTCTACAGCTGCTTCTGTACTACAGAAGCAGAGTTGCCTAGTTGCACTCTAGTTGCTGTAGAGACAGGATAGCCTTAAACATTTACTACCTGGTCTTTTACAGATTAAGTTTGCCACTGTAAACTTAAACTCCCTCCAGCCAAGGTTTCAGGATGCATTTCCTGGAAAAGTTCCTACTTCTCTGATAAGTCCTCCCTGAGATGTTGTAAAGATTAAATAGTCTAACATATACAAAGTACCTAAGACAGTATTGTCCCAAAGCTTATGTTTGAATCCATATTAGCTCTTTTGTCTGTTGACTCCTTCTCCTCTTCCTATGTCTGTGTTCCCCCAAAGGTTCCATTTCATTTTTTTGTTCTTTCTTTATTCCTTACACTCTTCTTATTAACCTTATTTCCTCCCGTAACCTCAAGCATCATCTCCATGCTGATGAATTCCACAGCTACATATTCAATCCAGATTTTGCCTTACCTGGATGTCTTTTTGAGAAAACAAACTAAGTGCATTCAAATTTAAACCCATCCTTCCCCATAAAATTTGCTTCTCAAAAAACAATCCCTGTTTTCAATTTTTAGTACTGCTATCCTCCCAAACTCAACGCAAAGACCTCTTCCTTTCTGTCTCTTTTTCACCCCCCACATCCAACCAGTCCATGAATCCTTTCTACCACATTTTAGAAGCTTGTCCCATCATCCACAAATTCACCACTTTAAGTTTACTTCATTTTGCTTCTGGAATGACTAACTCATCTATCTGCCAATAATCTGGTCCTACTTGTATCTATCCTCTATATTTTCAATAGAATTGCCTTTCATCTTCCTATATAACAAACGGGATCACAGGACTCAATGCTTAATCATCTCTGTGACTCACACTGCCTACAGAAATAATATAGTCCAAACACTTGAGCCTAGCCTTTCACAATGCATTCATTCATTCAACAAATATTTATTATTTACTACATGCCAAGCTCTATGCCAGACTGTGGATAGGGCAGTGAACAAAATCAGCATGGTATCTGCTTACAGGGAGATTCCAGTCCTGCAGAAGAGACCAATATTAAACAAAGAATCATTGCATTTTCCATCTACCCGTATGGAAAAGGTATACTTTTATAGTGTCATCTGCATGTGCAGTGACCTCTGTCTAGAATACCCTAACCTTCAAAGCAAGACTCAAATATTTACTCCTCTGGTATGGAAACTTTTCCCAACTTGTGGCTGTCAGAGTTAATTCTGGCCTTCTTTGTATTCCGTAAGAATATCTTAATTATTTAAACACAATATTATACATTCTTACTGCTCTTACTTCACTGGGTTGTGAACTTCTTATACTCATGGACTATGTCTTATTGATGTCCCATGTTAACTCAGTAATCATTATAGTTTATTTAATTAATGAATTATGTCTCTTCTGTGATTAAAGGTCAGAAACCAGGTTAGATCTATGCTGTAATTAATAAAAAGCAATATTTGATAAAATAATAAAAAATACTTAAAGAGATAACATACGTTGCTCATAGATGAATAAAAAGTAGCACTTTTTAAATTTTTAAGTAATTAATTTTAATAACATGACTTTTACATTTATTTCATTCAGAAAAAGCCAAATGATTTCCCAAAAAAGGCATATTAGCTGTTAATGCTTAATTTTTATCCACTAATTTTGTTTCTTATTTTAGTATGTTCAAAGTATATTTTAGCAAACTATAAATAAATCTCTTTGCTAAAAAATATTAGAGAATATTATCCTCACAATAAGATATTTGTTTTGTATAAATAATATGTTTACATTTTGTAGATATTCAAGTCACAGACAATGCAGAAATAGAGAATGATGAATGGGCTGCAGAGTCAAGAAAATAATTGTAATAATAAGTAGCCTAATTTATAAGATGTGCCAAAGGGGAGATCCAGGAAATTACCAAGCAGTTAACATCAATACTAAGAAAGAAAAAGAACAAATAATAATAGAACTGATCAGGAAGTACTTAGGCAAGAACAATTTAATGAGCAACTAGCAGCATGAGTTCATGTAGAAAGATTACGGAATACAAACCAGACAGAAAGTGTGAGAACAAGCAGAGTCAGCCCAAGGAACCTGAATTTGTCTATTTTAAATTATATCGATAGCCATGTGAAAAAGCATCATAAATTAAAATAATCCTGTGAGGTTCATTTATATAAAATTAACTTTTGGCTTATATACTACAAAAGGCATTATTTTATTTAAAAACCCTCCTATTCAGAAGATATCTTCCAATCCAATGATGCTTCCACCACTGGACTCTGAGTGGTGCATATGAGTGCAACTGATAGTACTTAAATTATCTTAGCCCACCTCCCAAAAAATAGTTGCATAAATCTTGCTAATATGTGCTTTTCAAGCCAGCCAGATATGGCAGTCTTGGTGAGTGCCTCCAGCATGAAAACTAGTATAAATGAAGTCCTAAAAAGATGACAGCTATTAGCAATCCAGGAGCTATAGGTGGTGCAGCAAGTTTTACTTTTCTAAAGATAATTTGATTATGTGTAAGAACTCAAAGCAAAGTCTTTAAAAGTATTTGGACTACAAAGTGAAGTTAAAGATTGTCTAAATGGGCCAGAGGAAGCTTCACTCATTAAGGGCTGTCTCTAACATAATGGAGCTCAGGTCACCTATAAGCATCTCCCCTCTAGAAAGACATGCCTATCACTTATTTATGAGAGAGGAACCTTCTGCTTGGATCAGGAATCATGCAGCTCAATCAGCAGAGGCAGGAGTGTGCCTTGGCCAACACGGGCATTCTCAAGGTGGCCAGGTGCCAAAGAAGTGTTGGCCAAGTGGACAGTCTGCTATCGTGACCTCTATAGTGGGTAAAGACAGCCAGCATAGTTGTGTGACTAATTTGTTTGACAGTAAAGAAGGGTCCTCCCCGCAAAACTGAAGCAAAATAAGAAATATGGTGGAAAATATTTGGGTTTTATTGTAATGACACCATGGAAATATAACTACAGTTGGGACAGCCTGCCCTCCTTATTGTTCCTCAGTCAGTTAAACTCAAACACAATTTTTCAAATGCCACCCATTTTTCTAAAATGTTTAATTTCAAGGTCTGTTGATTCTTTATATGGGCCAAAATATATACTCTTTATCATCTTAAATATCTCCCTTTTTCTTCTCTGATACTTCATTATTCAGCACCTTCATTTATTATATAAAGCTTTCTTCTCTTAAAGTTAAATATTTAACTAATTGATACAACTCTTAGGTACATTAGTTCCTTTATACAGAGTATGACACATGTATTTGATGGTTATCAACAATGATGTTCATAAATTTAAAATACTCACATATAAAAACTGCCCTGTTGAGAATTTTATTTTGTAATGCTTTTCCTATCATGTATCAACATTTTTATTGGTGAATATAGTAACCTTGTTTTTTTTAGAAAGTGAAATTAATTTAATACAAAAGTGATACATCTTTACTATATCTGTCTTCATCTCTAATGTTAAAAATAGCTTTTTTCTGTTAGTTTTCTCCTCTTTTCTTATGAACATTTATGTAATTTTTAAAATTTTTAACTCATAGTTAAAGCAAAACATAATTTAGAATAATACATTTTACCCTTTTAGATTATTCTAATCCTCTACAAATTTTATCACATTTACCAGCTTTTGGATAATATTTAAAATAGCCTTCTGCCCTAATAAGTTTACAGAGCCTTGCTAATGTTTATTCTCTATTTCTATAAATAAAGGTAATAAGAAATAGTAGAAATCCTGCCTGATTAATGATCTGTGAAGTTTATAACTTAGTTTTTTAAGAGGTTATATCTGTAAGAGGTAGAAAATAAGAGGGATAAAGTAGTTGTTTACTCACTCTACATATTCATTTCTAACAGTTTATTATATGGACAATTGAAATAAATCACTCGAGAAGTAGGCTTTCATTATAATACACAGAACTGTAAAACACAGTTATACTAGTGAGGCTATAAACATTATAAACATGCCCCAGTAAAGAATGTTCAACAATACTGTTTATTTTGTTTGTTGGTTTTTGTTTGTTGGTTGGTTTGTTTTTGTTGTATTCATCTCTTTCTCTATATCCTTGTAAAACTACTTAAAGCAGGGATATAAATTTTGATAAAGTGTATTGAGTAAGATAGATTCCTATCTTATCAAAAGGATTTCTTAGTGACAGTTCTATTTGCTTTACCTCATTTAATCCTCATTCACATTGAGTTAGGTGCTATTACTATCCACATTTTACTGATGATTAAACTGAAGCACAGAGATGTTAGTTCACACAACTAGAAAACAGGATATTGGAAATCTCTTATTTTAAGTGCCAGGAGATATCTAGATGTAAAGATATTTTCGTATCCTGGACAATTTTCATATCTTGACCAAGCTCCATTGATGCCTCTTCAGAGAAAGGAAAAAGGACCCTAGGTCTCTGAACTCCTTGTTAACATTTCTTCCCATAAAATCATGCTACATTTTTATTTTCAAAAACAAGACGTAAGTTCAAAGGAGAAAGTAGTGGCTTCTGGCAGATGTGATCAGGAAAATTAGGAAACTGGCATTTGATCTGAGTCTTTGAGGACAGGCAAGTTTTTCAAACAGCAAAGGCTGGAAGATAATCTAAACAATGGGTCAGCCTGGGCAAAAGGATGAAAGCAAAAAATTGAAGAGATGTGAAAGGTATCTCTGAGAGAATTTAGTAATATGGGTAAAAATTTTAAAAGCAGGGAAGAGTGATGGAAATTGGAATCAAAAATAAAGCTCTCCTTGTAAATTTAAAATTCATAAAGCTTAATGATATTCTTAGAAAAAAATTAAAGGAAATATAGAAAATGTTCTTTTTTCATCGTAAGTAATATAAGTAGACATTTGCATGCGTTCCCATTTATAATCTCCCATGGCTGTGTAATGAATTAATTTGTAAGCTACATAGTAGCTTATAATACAATATTGCATACAATAATATAATATGATCAGTCTAACCCTCTGCTTTCTCTGAGACAAAAAAAAAAAGCCATAAAACACACAGTGATAGGCTAGGTTAACTTTGCTGTCTGCCACAGTATCCATCTCAAAAGCCTGGCTCAATTCTCTCAGCATCTCTTGACTATGATGGACTCCACTTAGAAAGAAACTTGAACATGATGAATATTTACATATGTATATAACACCCTTTCTCACGTTAAACACTAGCTGAAATTTTATGAAATGACATAAAATTTGGGAGAACCAGTTGCATACTCAAAACCAGAGGAATGCCCTAAAATACAGATACAGGCACACTTACAGGATTAAAGCCATTGGGCCTTCAAGTTTAGTGTCAGCAAAAGCTGTCAACGAAAATTCCCCTCAATGGTCCTTGCTTTCCAAACAGATCCTGTGTTAAGTTCCCTGCCCTCTTGTTCATTCTGCTTATGTTTTATAGTGATATAACTGCTAGATAAAATTTAGACAATGTAACCAAGCAGAAAAAGAAAATGTAATTTCAAATTACCTATAATCCCTATATTCAGAAGTAACCACTGTAAGGATTTTAGGAAATATATATCCAATCTTTTTCTATGTGTATGTGTGTTTGTGATGTTTTACATAATTTAGATAACAGTTTACATATTGTTCTATAAACTGATTTTTCACTAATTATCATATCATGAAGACTTCCCATATAATTAAATATCCGTTGCATTACTTTTAATGTTTAAGTTCTATTCTAGATGTATCATAACCAACCCTCTACTTGAGAGATATTAAGTTCGTTTCCAATTATGTGCTATTATACATAGCAATGTAAATAACATCCTTGTATATAAATCTTGGCTCATATCCATTATTACTATTTAGAATAAGTTCCTGGTTGATGAGGATATGCAACAATCCTACAAATACACACACACATATATGTGTGTGGGGGTATACGTGTGTATATATACACACATATGTATACATATATATACATGTGTGTGTATGTGTGTGCATGAGAGTACGAACTTCCCCACATTCTCCACATTCAGCAAAAACTGAATTCTGGTATGATCATCTTTTCTTTTTAATCTTTGTCAATTTTATAGATGCATAATTGTACCTTGTTACTTTAAATTACGTTTTCATTATTAAAAAGAGTAAACTTTTTTCATGTTTATTATACACTGCATTTCTTTTGCATGTCCTGTCGAGTTTTTTCTCCAGAATGATATTTTGAGTTGGGCCTTTGGTAGGTGATCTAGAATCTGATACCAGCCAAGCCCTGGCCTCAGCAGAAGTGGGGTTCTGGGGTACTGTCTTTCCTCATCTAGCATTTCAACAGCCTGGCTTCCCTTGAGCTGTGTGTTCACACTTCCAGCTACACGGTGACAGCACCACCCAATCCTGCCTCACGTGGCACATAAAGAGAGGAGAGAGAGTAAGAAAAAGACTGTACTTGAGTCCATACCATCAGGACTGCAATTATATCAAAATTTCAAAATTTTGATACGAGAAACAAATTAATCAGAAAGATATCAAGATGTTTTATCCCTTTTTAAAAAGTATCAAAAAGCCAGTATATTCCTGTTCTGGCTGCAAAATTGCCTGCTTCTCAATGAAACTGGCTAGTATCCATTAAGCACTTACTATGTGCCAGACAGTGTCTGAAGCTTTCACATATACTCTTTTCCTTAGCCCTGACAAATGTTTAGGGAACATTATTGCCCTTTATATTAAAATCCATATCAGAGGGGTAACTTGTCTAAGTGTACTGGGTGAACAATAGCAAAGTTGAACTTCAAATCCCTGCCTCTAGTCACAATTCTAAGGCACACCCTTTTGTGTAGGACCAACGTGTAACCACAGTAGAAAACCCCAGGGTTTAAAACATACCATTACTCAGCCAATTCATTACAATAGTAATGATACCATCATTTTCTTCTCATCTGCTTGTTTCTGATGATATAATATCCCTGAGATCAAACCCCACCCTTTCAAGAAGTTTTACCAACACAGTTGACTCTCTAAGAAATTTACAGTCTTAAAAACTATACTGTGGTAATTTTTTTTTTTTTAATGAGTTGAGGTGGAATCTCACTCTGTCGCCCAGGCTGGAGTGCAGTGGCACGATTTCGGCTCACTGCAACCTCTGCCTCTCAGGTTCAAGTGATTCTCCTGCCTCAGCCTCCTGAGTAGCTGAGACTACAGGTGTGTGCCACCATGCCCAGCTAATTTTTTTTGTATTTTAGTAGAGACAGAGTTTCACCATGTTGGTCAAGATGGTCTTGATCTCCTCACCTCATGATCCGCCTGCCTCAGCCTCCCAAAGTGCTGGGATCACAGGCATGAGGCACCATGCCTGGCCTACTATGGTTATTTCTAAAACCAAGCTGGAATTTAGTACAGAAGTGACTATGGTTAGTGATTTTCAGCAGTAAATAGATTCAAAAATATAAAGATCCCCTGAATCTTAATACTCAGAGGAGTATTTTCTATTTTCAATCACAGATTCTAGATTTTGGTTGTCACTCACTTCTGGCTTTTCTACAAAGGACTTGTGATAATGGCTCCAAATATCTGTGACGGTATGAGGTAAGTCTCACAAAGAGTCCAATTTCAAAACTGATCAGAGAAATAAATGAATGCCTAGGACAAGCTTTACACCATGTAGGAGAGTTGGATGTTCTGAGTCTCGTCTCAGTGCAGACCAGCAGTGACTTTTATCTCCGTTCCCTCATCATTTAGCATAGCATGAAATACAGAGAAGATCAGTAAACATCTGCTAAGTAAATAACCCAGGAGAGAAAACTGAAAACTTTATACACAGGAAGATGTTACATAAAACAAAAAGAAACAGTACCACTGTGGGTTCTTGACTGCTAGCAGGCATGTTACGAAGGGGGATGTCACATCCAAGAAAGTGTTGTCTATTTAAAATGGAATACTCCAAGGCTTGGACATCAATGCTGAAAGGTGAGAAAAATGCCCAGAATCCTATAAAAAGTTCATAAAATCTCGCTGTAGCTTCATCCTTTCTCTATTTCCTGATTCCATCATGCCCTCTCTTCACTGTCAAGCTTCTTGGAAGGTTCATTCCTGCAGCCACCCCTGCCTCCTTGTCAGTTCCCTACCATGCCACTCATCTCCTGATTCCAGTGCTCTTTCCCTTATCAGGAGACTTTCACATCTAATTCCTGGTTACCCTGGTCTTGAATATAAATGCAAATCTTTAAAAGCCATCAAAACCTGTGTATATCTTTTCTAGCCATTTAAACTAAAAACCAAGCATTCTCACCAAGAAAAAAATCAACAACAAAGTAAATACCTTGAAGCTCTCCAAAGGAGGCCCATCTCTCTTCCAATTATAATGGCTAGTGTGACATCTGCGTAAGGTTCTTCAGTAGATGAAGCCGATCAGCTGCCTCTTAAAAGCTCGATGAACCCCCACCCCAAATCCCCAGTTATTTTCGTAAGTTCTCTGTATTCTGTCTTGACACTGTCTCTCATCCTAATTTCACTGGTGTGGGTTTTTGTGTGTGTGTTAACCCTAGCCTAGTCCACTGTTATCCCTATTTCTAACATCTCCACACCCTAATGCACCTTACACATCACGCCTCTCCTCATTCATAAGCCTCAGCCATTCCTCAAGAACCAAATTAAGTTCAAACCTCTCTACAAACTTCTGAGCTCCACATTCATGATAATCCATCTTTCTAGCTCTTTCTACCACTCCCTCTTATAGCAAATATATGGCCTTTTATGCCAGAGAACCTGGACTCTTGTCTCTGCCTCTTACAAGTCATGTAACCTTGGGTAACTTGCTTAATTTCTGTACCTTACCTTCCTCATCTGTAAAATCTGTAACTTTTATATACAGATTTGCTATAATGATTAATTAGGTTAATAGATATGAAGGGCTTAATAAGATGCCTGATGTATATAGCAAGCATCCAGTAAATAATAACTCATTATTAATTATGTACTCCAGAAAAATTCAGTAACAATCTGTTCCCACACAAATGACACTTCGTTGCCATGGTACTTTTACATGGCTGTTTCCTTGTTCCTAGTTCAAATAATGCTATTTATTCTTCAGGACCCATTTCAAACAACATTTCCTCCAAGATAGAGTTCACATATGAACTAAAAGTCAGTCTTACATCGGAGCAATTTGTTTGCATTTGTGGGAATTCTTTTTTTTCTTCTTCTTCTTTAAAAAAAGAACAGGTTCATTGAAATATATTCCACATGCCATAAAAGTCACTCATTTTATGTGTACAAACCAATGATTTTTAGTAAATTTATAGAGTTGTACAGCCATCATATACGTATGTACATAAATAAATAGTTATTTTCTTACGCCCTATTTAACTTACTCTCCCAGTTCTAAAATCTACTTACCTGATTTTATTTTTTTATACTTTAAGTTTTAGGGTACATGTGCACAATGTGCAGGTTAGTTACATATGTATACATGTGCCATGCTGGTGTGCTGCACCCATTAACTCATCATTTAGCATTAGGTATATCTCCTAAAGCTATCCCTTCCCCCTTCCCCCACCCCACAACAGTCCCCAGAGTGTGATGTTCCCCTCCTGTGTCCATGTGTTCTCATTGTTCAATTCCCACCTATGAGTGAGAATATGCGGTGTTTGGTTTTTTGTTTTTGCGATAGTTTACTGAGAATGATGATTTCCAGTTTCATCCATGTCCCTACAAAGGACACGAACTCATCATTTTTTATGGCTGCATAGTATTCCGTGGTGTATATGTGCCACATTTTCTTAATCCAGTCTATCATTGTTGGACATTTGGGTTGGTTCCAAGTCTTTGCTATTGTGAATAGTGCTGCAATAAACATACGTGTGCATGTGTCTTTATAGCAGCATGATTTATAGTCCTTTGGGTATATACCCAGTAATAAGATGGCTGGGTCAAATGGTATTTCTAGTTCTAGATCCCTGAGGAATCGCCACACTGACTTCCACAAGGGTTGAACTAGTTTACAGTCCCACCAACAGTGTAAAAGTGTTCCTATTTCTCCACATCCTCTCCAGCACCTGTTGTTTCCTGACTTTTTAATGATTGCCATTCTAACTGGTGTGAGATGGTATCTCATTGTGGTTTTGATTTGCATTTCTCTGATGGCCAGTGATGGTGAGCATTTTTTCATGTGTTTTTTGGCTGCATAAATGTCTTATTTTGAGAAGTGTCTGTTCATGTCCTTCACCCACTTTTTGATGGGGTTTTTTTTTCTTATAAATTTGTTTGAGTTCATCGTAGATTCTGGATATTAGCCCTTTGTCAGATGAGTAGGTTGCGAAAATTTTCTCCCATTTTGTAGGTTGCCTGTTCATTCTGTTGGTAGTTTCTTTTGCTGTGCAGAAGCTCTTCAGTTTAATTAGATCCCATTTGTCAATTTTGGCTTTTGTTGCCATTGCTTTATTGCTTTTGGTGTTTTAGACGTGAAGTCCTTGCCCATGCCTATGTCCTGAATGGTAATGCCTAGGTATTCTTCTAGGGTTTTTATGGTTTTACGTCTAACGTTTAAGTCTTTAATCCATCTGGAATTGATTTTTGTATAAGGTGTAAGGAAGGGATCCAGTTTCAGCTTTCTACATATGGCTAGCCAGTTTTCCTGGCACGATTTATTAAATAGGGAATCCTTTCCCCATTGCTTGTTTTTCTCAGGTTTGTCAAAGATCAGAGAGTTGTAGATATGCGACATTATTTCTGAGGGCTCTGTTCTGTTCCATTGATCTATATCTCTGTTTAGTACCAGTACCATGCTGTTTTGGTTACTGTAGCCTTGTAGTATAGTTTGAAGTCAGGTAGCATGATGCCTCCAGCTTTGTTCTTTTGGCTTAGAATTGACTTGGTGATGTGGGCTCCTTTTTGGTTCCATATGAACTTTAAAGTAGTTTTTTCCAATTCTGTGAAGAAAGTCATTGGTAGCTTGATGGGGATGGCATTGAGTCTATAAATTCCCTTGGGCAGTATGGCCATTTTCACGATATTGATTCTTCCTACCCTTGAGCATGGAATGTTCTTCCATTTGTTTGTATCCTCTTTTATTTCATTCAGCAGTGGTTTGTAGTTCTCCTTGAAGAGGTCCTTCACATCCCTTGTAAGTTGGATTCCTAGGTATTTTATTGTCTTTGAAGCAACTGTGAATGGGAGTTCACTCATGATTTGGCTCTCTGTTTGTCTGTTCTTGGTGTATAAGAATGCTTGTGATTTTTGTACATTGATTTTGTATCCTGAGACTTGCTGAAGTTGCTTATCAGCTTAAGGAGATTTTGGGCTGAGACAATGGGGTTTTCTAGATATACAGTCATGTCATCTGCAAACAGGGACAATTTGACTTCCTCTTTTCCTAATTGAATACCCTTTATTTCCTTCTCCTGCCTAATTGCCCTGGCCAGAACTTCCAACACTATGTTGAATAGGAGTGGTGAGAGAGGGCATCCGTCTTGTGCCACTTTTCAAAGGGGATGCTTCCAGTTTTTGCCCATTCAGTATGATATTGGCTGTGGGTTTGTCATAGATAGCTCTTATTATTTTGAGATACGTCCCATCAATACCTAATTTATTGACAGTTTTTAGCATGAAGGGTTGTTGAATTTTGTCGAAGGCCTTTTCTGCATCTATTGAGATAATCATGTGGTTTTTGTCTTTGGTTCTGTTTATATGCTGGACTACATTTTTTGATTTGTGTATATTGAATCAGCCTTGCATCCCAGGGATGAAGCCCACTTGATCATGGTGGATAAGCTTTTTGATGTGCTGCTGGATTCGGTTTGCCAGTATTTTATTGAGGATTTTTGCATCAATGCTCATCAAGGATATTGGTCTAAAATTCTCTTTTTTGGTTGAGTCTCTGCCTGGCTTTGGTATCAGGATGATGCTGGCCTCATAAAATGAGTTACGGAGGGTTCCCTCTTTTTCTATTGATTGGAGTAGTTTCAGAAGGAATGGTACCAGTTCCTCCTTGTACCTCTGGTTGAATTCGGCTGTGAATCCATCTGGTCCTGGACTCTTTTTTGTTGGTAAGCTATTGATTATTGCCACAATTTCAGAGCCTGTTATTCGTCTATTCAGAGAGTCAATTTCTTCCTGGTTTAGTCTTGGGAGGGTGTATGTGTCGAGGAATTTATACATTTCTTCCAGATTTTCTAGTTTATTTGCATAGAGGTGTTTGTAGTATTCTCTGATGGTAGTTTGTATTTCTGTAGGATCGGTGGTGATATCCCCTTTATCATTTTTTATTGCGTCTATTTGATTCTTCTCTCTTTTCTTCTTTATTAGTCTTGCTAGCGGTCTATCAATTTTGTTGATCCTTTCAAAAAGCAGCTCCTGGATTCATTAATTCTTTGAAGGGTTTTTTGTGTCTCTATTTCCTTCAGTTCTGCTCTGATTTTAGTTATTTCTTGCCTTCTGCTAGCTTTTGAATGTGTTTGCTCTTGCTTTTCTAGTTCTTTTAATTGTGATGGTAGGGTGTCAATTTTGGATCTTCCCTGCTTTCTCTTGTGGGCATTGAGTGCTATAAATTTCCCTCTACACACTGCTTTGAATGTGTCCCAGAGATTCTGTTATGTTGTGTCTTTGTTCTCATTGGTTTCAAAGAACTTCTTAACCCAGGAATACAGTGAACTGATAAGACAGAGCCCTGTCGCAGAGGCACAATCCAGTGGAGAAGGGAATGCTAACCCTCCTGGGTCACCATACTCAGGACTCAGGAACCATGTCTTCCTCAGGTTTGCATTCTGAGAAAGTTCTCCTGCAGAAACCTATGCTTACTACATGCTTGATTATATTTAAGTAAATTTGCCATTTTTAATTTAATGAAAATTCAAAACATGTAAGTCATTTCAACATATGGTATGTTGCTAAATAAAAACCTTTATTTTAAAAATAGGTTTTAATTATTAATAATTTATATTACTTTCCTGATCCACAATGTGGTCTAGCACAGAGGTGTTAGCCATTGCATGAAAGATAGGAACTGAGCCCCTCTTCTCTCTTCAGAAACTTGGAAGCAAGAAACAAAAGTCAGACATTCATGTCTTTACTCATCTACACAAATTTCATATTTTACCTTTTTAAAATAGCTTTACTTATATATACTCTACATACTATACAGTTCACCCATTTAAAGAATTAAGTTTATCCTAAAGCTGCTTCCTTACGTATTTTAAATTTGGCCTAAAAGTTTCTCAGCATGTAGTGAACTGTAACCTAACTGGATGCTGAAAAGACTGAAACCTACTCTTGTGCCAATCACAGAGTTTCAGCATATCTAAGGTGGTCAGTTGTTCAAACTGTGTTCAAATAAGGCAAATGCCAAATTATAACCAATTCTATTTCTGTACCTCATTTTTGTCTTCTTTACATCACTTTCCTTTTTCTGCCCATAAATCTTTTTCAACCACGAGGCAGTGCTGGAGTCTCTCTGAACCTATTGCAGTTCAGTGGCTGCCCGATTTGCACATCACTCTTTGCTCAATTAAGCACTGTTAAATTTAATTTGACTAGGTTTGTCTTTTAACAAAGATGTACAGTTCAATGTTTTTTGTATGTTTTCAAACATACAAAAGTTGTGTAATGATCACCATAATCAAATGTACAATTTTTTATCATCGTCCAATTAGCAGACACTACCATTCCCTCCTACCCCTCCACTCTCAGCCTAGGCAATCAAAATTCTCTACAGTTATGTCACTCCTGAATATTTCATATAAATGAAATCATATAATATGTCTTCTTCTGTGACTGGCTTCTTTCAATTAGCACAAGGTTTTCAAGGCACTTCCATGTGTAACATGTACTTTATTCCCTTTTATTGCCAAACAATATCCTATGGTATGGAGATATCACATTTTATCTATTCATCAGTTGATAGATATTTGACTTATTTCTGCTTTGGGGCTATTATGAATAATGCTGCTATGAATTTTCACGTCTACATTTTTGTGTGGACATATGTTTTCATTTCTAATGAGTATATACCTAGGAATGGAATTGCTGAGCCATATGGTAACTCTATCTATGCTTAGCATTTTGAAGAATTGCCACTGTTTTCCAAAATGGCTGCACTATTTTATATTCCCACCAACAATATATGAGGGATCCAATTTCTCCACATTCTGGACAACACTTGTTACTATCTGACTTTTTGATTATAGCTATCCTAGTAGGCCTAAAATCATAACTAATTGTTCCTTTGAGTTGCATTTTCCTGCTGGCTAATAATGTTGAGTTTTTTTATGTGTTTGTCTACCTTCTTTAGAGAAATGTATATTAAGATCCTTTGACCATTTTTAATGGTGTTTTTATTATCTTTGTGTGTGCTTTATTATCTTTATATGTTCTATACACAAGTCCTTATCAGGTATATAATTTGCAAATATCTTTGCACATTCTTGGCTTTTTCTTTTCACTTTCTTGATACCCTTGGAAGTATAGATGCTGTTAATATTGATGAAATCAAATTAATTTACCTACTTTTTCTTGTATTTCTTATGCTTTTGGAGTTGTATCTAAGATGGCTTTGCATAACCCAAGGTAACAAAGGTTTACTCCTACGTTTTCTATTTAGTTTTATAATTTTTCTCTTAAGCTTGGGTCTATGATCCATTTTGACTTAATTTTTACATGTGGTATTATAAGGAGTCCAACTTCATTCTTCTGCATGCAGATATCCAATTATTCCAGTACCATTTGTAATAAAGATTACTCATTCTGCATTTTTTCAACCCTTTTCAAAATCTAGTGGCTCATAAATGTAAGGGTTTAGTTTGTGGACACAATTCTGTTCCATTGATCTTTCTATCTATTGCTATGCCAGTACCACATTGTCTTGTTTATTGTAATTTTGCAGTAAATTTTGAAATTGGTAAGTTTGTTCTTTTTCAGAATTGTCTTGACTATTCTGGGCCCCTCGCACTGCTACATGTTTTTAGGATAACTCCATTCATTTCTGCAATAAAAGCTTGCTGGGTTTTGATAGAGATTTTGTTTAACCTGTAGATCATTTGAAGATTAATGCCATTGTAACGATATTAAATCTTTCAATCCAAGAACATGGAATGTCATTCCATTTATTTAGGTCTACCTTATTTCAACAATTCTTTTTGTTTGTTTTCAGACTACAAGTTTTAGATCCTTTTGTTAAATTTATTTCTTAGGGTTTTTTTTGTTTTGTTTTGTTTTGTTGGTTGGTTGGTTTGTTTTGAGATGGAGTCTCACTCTGTCACCCAGGCTGGAGTGCAGTGGCACAATCTCAGCTCACAGCAACCTCTACCTCCTGGGTTCAAGCGATTCTTCTGCCTCAGCCTCCTCCTCCTGAGTAGCTGGAACTACAGGCATGCACCACCACGCCTGGCTTTTTTTTTTTTTTTTTCTTTTGCATTTTTAGTAGAGACAGGGTTTCACGATGTTGGCCAGCCTGGTCTCGAATCCCTGACCTTGTGATTCACCCACCTCGGCCTCCCAAAGTGCTGAGATTACAGGAGTGAGCCACTACACCAGGTCATTTCTTAGTATTTTTACTCTTTTGATCTATAGTAAGTAAAATTGTTTTTATCTTTGAATTTTTAAATTTTTAACACAGTTCAAATCAGTGTGTCTGATTTCATCTCCTTCTCTAACAAACCAGGGTGCCAGAACTGCTTCAGTTTCTCTGCCTTCTCTTTGTCTATGATGACTAATGTATGAAGGTATCTGCTGCATCAAACTTTAAACTTCACATTATCCTTATTTCTCTTGACCTTGACAGATCTGGCATCTTTTCACCTGGCTGTAAGCAGAAAGTCCTTGATCTCCTTAACTTTTTGAGGCATGGCAGCATGTGAGGCAGGGAGAGGACACAGACCCACACAGCAAGTGGTGAGAAGCCAACAGTGGAATTGTTTTCTTAATTCCATTTGTTGATTGTTTATTGCTAGTGTATAGAAATACAACTGATTTTTGTATATTGATCTTGTATTCTAAAAACTTGCTCAACTTGTTTCTTAGTTCTAATAGTTAATTAATTGATTCCTTAGGGCTTTTTAATACAAGATCATGTCATCTACAAATAGAAATTGTTTTACTTTCTTTCTAATCTGGATGCCATTTATCTTTTTTTCTTGTCCAATTGCCCTCACTAGAACCTTTAGTACAAAGTTAAATAGAAATGGGAAGACTAGACATTTTGTCTTGTTCCTGATCTTAGACATAAAAACGTTGTCTTCCGTTATTATGTGTGATATTAGTTAAGTTTTTCATAAATAAACTTCACAGTTTGAGGAAGTTCCTATTCCTAGTTTGTTGAGTGTTAGCATGAAAAAGTGTTGAATTTTGTCCAATAGTTTTTAAAAATTTTTTTAGACAATCATGTAGGCTTTGTCCATTTTTTACTTCTTTAAATTTATTTTTATTGATACACAATAGATGTACACTTTTTAGGTACATGCAATAATTTAATGCCCCTCACTATAAATTCGGAGCTGCCTCCTCGCCGATGATTCCAGCGCCTGACAGCCAGGACCCCAGGCAGCAGCGAGTGACAGGACTTTTTAGGTACATGCAATAATTTAATGCATTCATATAAAGATCAAATCAGTGCAATTGGCATATCCATCACCTTAAATATTTGTCTTTTCTTCATGCTAGAAACATTCAAGTTATTTTCTCCTAGCTACTCTGAAATATACAATAGATTACTGTAAACTACAGTCACCCTACTCACCTATCTAACATTAATTGATTTTTGGTAAACTAATCTAATCTTGCTTTCTGGCATCAACCTCACTTGACCATGGTGTATAGTCCCTTTCATATGTTATTGGATTCAATTTGCCTACATTTTGTTGAGAATTTTTATCTATACTCTTAAGAAATATTGATCTGTAGTCTCGTGATGTCTTTATCTGGTTTTGTTATCAGGGTGATACTGGCCTCATAGCATGAGTTGGGAGATCATCCTTACTCTTCTATTTTTTGGAAGAGTTTGTGAAGAATTGATATTATTTCTTCTTTAAATATTTATTGGGTTTTTAAAATACATTTTTAAAATGCAACTTGGGTAGCATGTCCAATAGGAACAAATGAGTGTCCACCCTTGAATTTCATAACCCTGGAATTAATCCATGTAATCTATGATCCACAACTGTATTACCAAAGTTCGAGTTACTCATAGGAAAGAGAAAGAAGTTCTCTAATTCGTCCTTAAAAGTTTTCCAAGTTCAGAAAAAAAAAATGTTGAAGAACACGAATCTCCGCAGGAAATGATACTCCTGTACCCCCAGCTCGCTCTCCCTCACGACCCCTCGCTAGGCGGGGTTCGGGACCAGGTGAACGCTGATCTGATAGTTGACACGGGACGACTGTGGCATCATCCTTGCTGCCGTCAATATCCCGAGAGGGAGGAGGTTGGGCCGGGAGGGTCTCCCGGGGCGGGGCGGAGGAGGAGGGAATGCAAAACAGAGCCTCGTCCCCGGAACCCAAGAAGCAGCAACGCCCCTCACTATAAATTCGGAGCTGCCTCCTCGCCAATGATTCCAGCGCCTGACAGCCAGGACCCCAGGCAGCAGCGAGTGACAGGACGTCTGGACCGGCGCGCCGCTAGCAGCTCTGCCGGGCCGCGGCGGTGATCGATGGGGAGCGGCTGGAGCGGACCCAGCGAGTGAGGGCGCACAGCCGGGACGCCGAGGCGGCGGGCGGGAGACCCGCACCAGCGCAGCCGGCCCTCGGCGGGACGTGACGCAGCGCCCGGGGCGCGGGTGAGTCCGCGCGGACCGCCAGG
Source organism: Homo sapiens (assembly GCF_000001405.40). NCBI lineage: Eukaryota > Metazoa > Chordata > Mammalia > Primates > Hominidae > Homo > Homo sapiens. The sequence continues at coordinate 148,698,151 of NC_000003.12, forward strand.
CATGCTTGGGGGACTTCAAGGGCGGGGTGCTAAGTTTCATGTCACGGTGTCCTAACTGCTGGCTCTATACTGGGAAGCTCTCGGGGACCAAGGAAAGAGCGACCGTAGTTCTGGTCAGCGCCTGCCCCTGGAGCTGGCCACACTTTCCCAAATCAGGTGAGGGGCTTCTGGAATGGGAGGGAACAAGGTAGGTTTGTTTGCCACGTGCCTCGAAATTCTCAATCCATTTTAACCAAACTCTTCCGAGTGCAAGGAAGAAATCTACAGAAATAAGATGCAATTCAATAAACTTTCTTCCTGAGGCTTTTAGTTAACTCTTGTATTTTAGCCATCATCTGAGCGGGAAGCCGGTATGACTCTGCAAGGCGTTCGTTTAAAAGTTGTGCTACTTTTGAGGTGAAGTTAAGAGTGTCTCCATCCACGCCCTCTGCTTCCCAGTCAATGTCCCTGCACTGCTCACGTCCCTTTAGCTCTCTCCCTGCAAACCATAGCGGTGGGTCCTAGACACGGGACATCGCTCCAACCTTGGCCAAACTCTCCCACCCTCAGGGTTCCCAGATGTCCTTTGAATAATCAAACTGAGGAAGGAGAAGCAAGATGTCTCCACACCCCAATCCCTACAGCCTTAGCCAATGCATGTGTGTAACTGAGACAGAATTTTAGCAAAAGGTCTCCTGCTTCCAGGACTAAACAGAGCCTCTGGCAGGCCACTGCCCGACACCCAACTCCATCCTCCAATTTTCTTAAATGTCCAGGTAAACATCTCCATAGTGCCAGCCTGCTATAGTCTCCCGAAGACCTCAGCAATTCTTCCCCAAAGCGTCTCCTTCTGCACCGTTTTTTTCTTTGGGCAACCATTTGTGACCTGGCTATTGAGCCCACCTGGGCCTCTTCTCTTTGTTTGCTGATAGCCTCGTTAAGTATTAAAAACCTACTCCCCCCCTTCAGGAGCCCTCTTTTAATGAAAGTTTGGGTACTGGGATCAGATTTGGGACTTGGCTACATTTATTTCCTGTGTCATTCTGAGAAGAGAAAGTAATAGAGGCAAGAAATTTGGCACCCTATTGATCTATTTTATTACTTTGTTGAGCAACTTGTGCTTCCCGCTGAAGATGCTGCATCCCAACATGATTCTCTTATTATTAGTTACCACCTGAGGGTTTTGGATCTCCAGGTGTTTATTTCACATAGCATATGCTTTAACCCCCTTATAAGTCTTCTCTAAGGAAGAAACTGCCATACTTCCCTTGTCTTCTCCGGTGTTTCCCTAGCTATAAAGGCCCCACCTGCATAACCTGTCCTCAGGCTGTGATGTATTCCCGGGTGCCCTGGTACCTTCTCCTTCCTCTCCACCACCCTTCCTGACAGTGCAGGGGCAGGAAAGCATGGGGAGAAGGGAAATGGAGACTCCCACTTAACTTGCTGTGTGATAGTAAGAGCATTATTTCACAACTCTGAACCTCAAGTCTCTGCCCATAAGGTTCCCTCCAGTGATATAATTCCTTAATTTCTTTTGTTTTGGTTATTGCTTTAAAATAAAAGTCTAAGCTTAAGGCTAGGTTATAGAAACTGCCCATCATAATTGCTAGGTCTCAACATTTGCTTAAGTTTTGTGATTCTTAGTTTCAAGTCTGTTACCCACTCTCTCTCCCCGCCACCTTTTTTCCCCCTGACTTCATTGTTCTTTGTTCCCATCCTGAGGCCTTGATTTCTGGTTCTGCTCTTCTTTGACCTTAAACTGAATCAACTCTTCCATCATCCAACTCAGAATAAAATTGGTTTTCTTCCACCGGTTCCACTGATGCCAATGGAAGACTTGTCTTCCTTGCGATTTGCAAAATGTCTTTCAGTCACAGGTGCTGCGGCAATGCTGCTGTCCCACAGCATTCTAAGCTTCAGTCTTTCTCTCTCTTATCGTGGGTCAGTATTCAGAAAAGGGCAGATTTGTGGGTTGTTCAGGTTTCTCACTTTTCTTTTTCTTCTTTCTAGTTTGGGATCAGAGTTGTGTGAGTATTTGTGTATATAATTTTGTTTTGGTTTTTTGTTCCTGCTGCTACTTACGACTGCTGTTATTATTTCAATTATGACTAATTAATACTAATGACTAATTTTCCCCTATGCTAGAGGGAAAATAAGGAAGAAAAGTTTACTCTGCTACTTACCCAAAGCCCAGGTAAAATGCTTAGCTGAGAAGGAATTTAAAACTCATAGTTTAAATGCATGATGCATGTCTGCTGTCATTTTATCTGTGCTGCCACAGTGTCCTTTCAAGCAGATAACTGAGAGTTGCTGTATTTTGCTTTCGAATTTGTTACAGGGACAAAAATAGTGACCCCTCACATTTAGGTGTTTTGGCTGCTTAATGCGAGCTCCTGCCCTCTAGCCGCATGCTTATTAGTTTACCTAGCCCTTTTTCTGGTCAGTCATGACTGGAGAATGCCAAAGAGTCTCCCAAGTAGGCTACCAAATTAAGAATTGTGTTTAGAAGTTTGAAGTCAGTCCAAGTGTTGTAAAGATTAAAACGTTGTTTTGAAGATATGCTGTGTCAATAAACAAATATGGAGCCAGAGCAACACAATGTGACCAAGTGTCCAAGCCCAGCTTAGGAACACTTTTCTCCCATGTTATCTAGCAAACTGACAAATCAGCTTTCCAACACGTGATGATTGGAAAATGCTATTAGTTTCCTTCAAAATTCTCCTAATGTTTCTTTTTCAAAATTGCCTAAGATCATTGGATTATGTGGTTTGTGTTTCTTTTCACTGTAGCTGCTTGTTAAAGCAGTATACTCAATCTCTGATAAGCAACAGTAAATTTGATCGATTTGTATCCTAAATTTAGCTATCACTTTACATTTTGTTTTATTCATAATATGAACTTTAGCTTCTAAAAATCAACTTTTTAATAGCTTAATATATAAAGCCATCTTAAATCAAGGAATATCTATAGGGACTTAAGGTAATATTCAACTAAATTGGCAAGTGACTACCATTATCCTATTAAAGCTCTAAAATGCAATATTTCAATCACAGAAAAAAAATCTTATAATTTAAAGAACTATAAATTGCCAGATGTTTCCCTAGTTATTACGTTAGTGACAAATTAGACAACTGGAAATAGAAAACAGAGTATATGTTTGGAACAGTCATAAAAGGACTAGTGACTATTGCTGCTAGCTGTGGTTGTATTAACATTAAAATATTTGCTATGGGATTTTTCTTCTTATCAAAGCAGATGCTCAGATGAGGAAAAACTTTCTTGCATATGAAAATCAAAATTGTCTTCCAAAATATTTAAGTAACAAAAAATTCATTATGTAGTATAAATGCTGTATGATTACATTATTCTTATAGTTAATTTAGAAGGGTTTGAATTTGTTTTTGTTTTGTTTGTGTTTGTTTCTTCGATAGGTGCATTCTCTAACTGTCTTAAGTAGAAACAAATGTCTAGAATCTCTCAGTGATTATCAGTCTCCTTCCTATTACCAAGAATGTTTTTATTGTGTTGTTAATCTCACATGTAATTTTTTTAACATTTAAAAGTTTGGAAAATGGGTAAAAAATGAGTGTGCCTTGTTTCCTATTATTACAATGTGCCTTCCTATTTCAAGTCCCAATTCTAGATTTCCTTAAAACTTAAAATCATAGAATTAATAATCTTTCAGTTTAAGTCAACTTTTGTGTGATTTCTTGTCCACTTATACACACATAGATGCCTTCATCTTCACCAAATAATGTAGAAATTTTATTTAGTTCAATGGATTTAAGTACTCTGTATGCTTAAGTACAAAATAAGAATATTGAGAAATACACATATGATTGTGTACCTTTTTTTTTTTTTTTTTTGAGACAGAGTCTTGCTCTGTTGCCCAGGCTGGCGTGCAGTGGCATGATCTCGGCTCACTGCAACCTCTGCCTCCCAGGTTCAAATGATTTTCCTGCCTCAGCCTCCTTAGTAGCTGGGATTACAGGTGCATGCCGCCACGCCCAGCTAATTTTTGTATTTTTAGTAGAGAAGAGGTTCGCCATGTTGGCCAGGCTGGTCTCAAACTTCTGACCTCAAGTGATCTCCCTGCCTCGGCCTCCCAAAGTGCTGGGATTACAGACATGAGCCACCTCACCTGGCCTGATTTTGTACTTTTAAAGAGAATTTGTTGTTGCTAATTTGCTAAGTTTATTTAGATATTTTCTGATTCTATATTAGTCAAAGCTCCTCTTATCTACTTTGGAAAATGAAGAATTATGTCTATAAAATATATCAACAACAGCTGCAGGTACTTACAGAGGAAATACTGTGGATCTGAGTGATATTAGGCCCTGAGGATACAAGCCAAAGTATAAAAATGGTCTTTGCCGTAGAGAGATAGTAGTCAAGCTAAGCACATATTTTGGCATGGGTCTCTAATAGCCTAATGCTAGTAGGGTGGGAAGCCATTTAAAAATGGCCCCTCCTTCTGTCCTGCCTTTCAGACCAGATGGTGTGTCTAAAGTGGTCACACTGTTTGGTTCTGGCCACTTCTGTAATAACCACTGCTCCTTTCCCCTCCTCGTGAGATTATAACTCCTTTGACAGTATGGATGGCACCTAACGCATCCTTGTTTTCTTTTACTAAATGTTCCACGGAGTCACTTGCTTGCCTGTTTGTTGCTTATTTGTTTGTTTTTGGCTAAAACTACAGAAAATGTTAAATACATTTTCAGACCTTTATATTTTAAAAAAGAAATGTTAAGAAATAAATAATTTTTCTAATCTCATTTAGATACACTGTCCTATTACACACAATGACAAATTTGATGCTTTTGTCTTGCTAATTGAAGAGCTAAGCATGAATACAGTTTTTCAGTCTACAGCAGCAATGACAAGGGTAAAGTGGAGAAAAGAGTAAGGAAAGAAAAAATTAAAAAGAATAAAAGGTTGAAATATCAAATCGGTGGTTCTTAAGATGACAGAGGCAGGTGAGACAAGAATACTGGAATCACCCAGGGGGCATATGAAATCTGTACATTTCATCCACACCTTCTTTTCTCCCCCTGTCCTCATTCCCCCTGTTGAGACACATTGTATTACAAATTAGGAGGAAACCATCTAAAATTATCTCACGTATCCCAGTTCCCATATTAGCATCATGAGTATCACCTGAGAGTTTGTTGGAACTGCAGAATCTCAGACCCTGTCCAGACCCATTGATTGCATAAGAATCTGCATTTTAGCAAAATCCTCAGGTGATTCAAATGCACATTAAGGGAAAAGAAACACAGTGTACCGTACCTGTGGCTTGTTTAGAATAATTATGAAGAGGTGTTTTCTTGGCTCTTAACTAACGTTTTTAATAAAGCTAATATTTATTGAGTACATAAATGTGCCAAACACAACGTTCAGTCTTTCTTTAAATTTTTTTTATTTAATCCTCACAACAACCCTGTGAGATAGTTTCTGTTTTATCCTTATTTTATAGATTGGGATACCAAGTAATAATGAGATAAGTAGTTTACCCAAAAGCTGTAACTGATACAGTCGAGATGTAAACATAAGAATTCTAATTTCATTGCCTGTTCTCTTAGCTGTTACCTACAGTGTCTGCTCTATACTGGGCTACCTACTTTTTAAGGCCAACTAATTATTTGAAAATTTATTTAAAGTTTTAATTTGAGATCAAAATCTGTTTCCCTCATAAATTTTTTTTAAAAAAAGCAAACAAGATCTATTCCATTTTGATCTAATGTTTTCCTGTCACCTTACCTTTAAGTGCAATAATGGGAAATTCTAGAAATTCCTTCTTTAACTGTTTGAAAAAATACCAAAACTATGACAGCCTGTCCAAATCCACTAAAATATATTTTTATATGCATGCTTTTTGTATATCAATTATACTTCAATAAAGCTTTTTAAAAAAATAGTAGATGACATACTTTTAAAAATTAACTTTGGAGCCCAGGTATGGTGGCTCAGACCTGTAATCCCAGCACTTTGGGAGGATCACTTGAGGCCAGGAGTTTGAGACCAGCTGAGGCAACAAACTGAGACCCCCATCTCTACAAAAAATAAAAAATTGCCAGAGCATGGTGGCGCACACCATGTAGTAGTTGGGACCTGTAGTCCCAACTACTCAGGAGACTGAGTTGGGAGGATTGCTTGAGTCTGGGAGGTGAAGGCTGCAGTGAGCCATGATCACACCACTGCACTCCAGCCTGAGCAACAGAGAAAGACCCTGTCTCGAATAATAATAATAATAATAACAACTTTTGATATCTCTATTTTTTCCCATAAAAATCCAAAATTTTCTGTTTACTTTTTGGTGCTCTCATGCTATAAAGTAAATTCTCCCTTGGATTGGACAAGTTATTTTCTGTTTTCTACATACACATAGACTGTTCAGCATTCCAACTCAAATTACATATTACTTTTTCAGCTTTTAATATAAATGCTTATTTACTACAAGCATGGTTTACAAAAATGTAGTAAAATATAGTTACTAACCAGTCAATGCTCAAGCCAGTGACTCCCCAAATGATTCAGTCCCTGAGCTGTTTCACCCAGTGCAGGTAGATTCTCTGACAGCCATCAGTTGGATCTGTCCGAATATCTCCTGTTTTGACAGGGGCTTATTGATGTTGGTCAAAAGACAGGTGTGTATGGGTTCCCTGGGATCATGTTTGAGGGGAAACCTGTGCCAACAGGACTGAGCAGCCACTTTTTCAATGGTATTGAGAAAATTTGTAGGAGATAAAATTTCACCAGCTCCTTGAATCTAGAACTGTAGATATTCAGGTAGCACTGACATTACAACATCTAATTTGTAAGTTATGGGTTAGGGCAAAATCAATCCAGGGCTGCCATCATGACAAGTAGTGGAAGTTTGAAAGAAGGAGAAATACCCAAAAGATATCTTACACATAGCAGGCAGAGTTTCTTAGTACTAATAAAAAATAAAGTACCAGTGATCACCCTCTATAGCCCCTAAGAGTCCCCTGGTTTCACTAAGCCCCAATATTTGTGGCTGTGGCTGAATGCAATCTGCACAAGGTTTTCTTTTTAACAGTTGGAAAAAATCTCATAGCATAGCATTTTTTTCTTTTTAACAGTTGGAAAAATTCTCGTAGCATAGCATTTTTTTCTAGTAAATTTCATATACTTAACAACTTTATCAGCACATATATTTTCCTTCACACTTACAATTTCATCAACACATATACTTTACTTTTTGACTCAAATTCTTCTTGCCATCAATTCAAATGCTCCTGCCCTTAGAATGAGAATTTTCCATTAACCCAGCTTTAATAATCTAACTCTCCCATTCAAATGATGTCACTTCATATAAAACACATTTTATCATGATGTCTCCCAGCCCTCAGTTACACAGTTAATTGCTGCCACTTTATCATGAATGAAAAAGATGTGATTCTTGGGTAATGATTTCTTGAGTA